>NC_000018.10:1260000-2510000 GCF_000001405.40 Homo sapiens | reverse complement strand
AACTCAATTAAATATTAGCATTTGTCAGCCAGGTGCGGTGGCTTATGTCCATAATCCCAGCACTTTGGGAGATGGAGGCTGGCGGATCACCTGAGGTCAGGCGTTTGAGACCAGCCTGGCCAACATGGTGAAACCCAGTCTCATTATGTGAAAAAAAAAAAAAATTAACATTTGTCAAAATTGCTCAATCTTACCAGAATCCTTCAAAATCTTTAACAACTCAACAGTTATTATCCATAGCAGCTCAATGCTGCATGACTATTATAGCCAGAGTCACCTCAGGATTTAATAATGATAATAAATACTGATAATGATTTACATTTACAAAATATATCAATCCCATTGCAGTTTTAAAAATATTATTACAACCTGTTTGATCATTTGATCCTTAAAATGTAGGAATAAATATTCTCTTACAAATGAGGGATATGGAGGCAAATTACACGTTCCACAGACTCTCATTTTTAGATTGTAAGTAAGAACTAGTTCCAATAATCTTTTGAATGAGTTATTAAAGTTGACTAAAATTTGGTTTCATAAATGAAAATTAGCAGGTAACTAGGGACTCTAATTCAGTATCTTTTGGCTAAAGCATCTGGCTATCATGTAGTTGTTGGCAAGTTTGCAAAACTCTCATTGCCCTTGTTCACATGTAGACAAATGCAATTCCCACAATATCAAAGAGAAATTCTTATCCCTAAATCATCCCTGGTTTTTTGAGTATGGTATTATTTGAAGTTGCTGCTCTTTTGCTTTGTAATTTTAAGTTAGTGTTATGAGTTGTTTGGTTAACTACAGCGTAGAGCATTGCATATTTGCAACAACCGTATTCTTGGCCCTGCTTTTCATCCAAAGTAGATTTTTAGCTGTGTGTGGCAACTTCTAAACCACTAAGTTGTGTGTATGCGCAGATATAAACTAGCATGTTTCTGTATTGAGTGAAGCAGATTCTTACCACAGCGAGAATGGGTGGGATGAGAAGGTCTTGGGGTCTTTGGCTTTCCTTAAGTGGACTGTGTTAAAGAGTGAGAACTACTTGTCTTCAGGAGTCCTGAGGTGGAGAATTACAAGTACCTGCTTGCTTGGCACGTGGTTACAGTGGTTACAGAGGCTCTGCATAGACACCTCCAGTTTTCATAAAGACCATGTTGATGTCATGTGTTTGTAAGAAGGAGTGGTAGACCTGCTTGCATTGAATCCAGGCTTTTGCTACACAACTATGAAGAAATAGAATCACAATTGCACGGGCCAGAGCCACCATTAAGCTTTATATGTACAAATTGTAAAAGTATTATTCTATTTTTTTCCCTGAAGCCATGATTTCTTACATATGCCTAACTCAAACTTTAAAATTAGAGGGAAACAGAGAGATTTGCCAGTCTAACTTTCTTATTTTTTGAAGGGAAAAAATGAGCCACAGAGAAATGTAGTGATTTAAGATCACAGAGGCTGAGACAGAATCAGTAATCAGAGTTCTTGATGCTCAGCCAAGTGTTATTTTATTTTCAATTTTTAAATTTATTTCTTGCATATGAAATATATTCACATGATTCAAAATTACCATAAGGCTTATAAATTTCCCTTCCATCCCATTCATCAGCCAAGCAGTCTTCTCTCTTTGTAAGGAAACAATGCTATGAGTTTTGTAAAAACGCTTGCAGAACTGCTTTATGCATATGCCAACAAATACGTAAGCAGACAGTTTTTTCATACAAATGGTAACATACTCTTCACATGGTTTTGTACTTTGTGTTTTTTTAACTTAATATTTGAAATTATTTTATATTGTTACAAAAAAAATCCTCATTAATTTTAATGGCTGTAGGATATTTCCTTCTTTTCTTTTTTGACAGTTTTGCTTTTGGTGCCTAGGCCGGAGTGCAATGGCACGATCTCGGCTCACTGCAACCTCCGCCTCCTGGGTTCAAGCAATTCTCCTGCCTCAGCCTCCCGAGTAGGTGGGATTACAGGTACCTGCCACCATGCCCAGTTAATTCTTTGTATTTTTTTAGTAGAGATGGGGTTTTGCCATGTTGGCCGGGCTGGTCTCAAACTCCTGCACAGCTCGGCCTCCCAAAGTGCTGGGACTACAGGCATGAGCCACAGCACCCTGCCAGCTGTAGGATATTTCATTGAGTGGATATATCATAATTTATTTAGCCAGTCACCTATTGATAGACTTGTAGGTTGTTTCCAGTCTTTTGCTATAGCAAGTAATGCTGCAGTGCATATCTTGTACGTGTATTGTTTTGTACTTGTTTGAATATATCTATATAAATTCCTAGAAAAGGAATTTTCTGTGTTTATGAGTAGATTATCTGATATATATTGCAGAACTGTACTTCAGAAAGGTTGAATCAACTTACATTCCTGCCAATAATATATGATATTGCTTATTTTCCCATATTCTTACCAACAGAGTGTTATTAAACGTTACCTAGCAACGTTTTTCAAAAATTGAAAAATGATGACTGAGTGTTGTTTTAAATTGCTCTTTTTTTTTTTTTTTGAGACTGAGTTTTGCTCTTGTTGCCTAGGCTGGAGTGCAGTGGCACAGTCTCAACTCACTGCAACCTCTGCCTCCTGGGTTCAAGCAATTCTCCTGCCTCAGCCTCCCGAGTAGCTGCGACTACAGGCCCTACTACCATGCCCAGCTAATTTTGTATTTTTAGTAGAGATGGGGTTTCACCATGTTGGCCAGGCTGGTCTTGAACTACTGACCTCAGGTGATCCGCTCGCCTCGCCTCCCAAAGTGCTGGGATTACAGGTGTGAGCCACCGTGCCTGGCCTTAAATTGCACTTCTCTTATGTTGAGTAATTTTAAATATCATTTCACATGCTCCAGAGCAATTTTGTCTTTCCTTTTCTGTGAACTGTATGTCAATATATTTCACCATTTTTCTACTAGTTTATTGGTCTTTTCTTTATCAGTGTTTGGGAAATTCTTCATAAATGAATGAACTTAACACTTTTTTTTTTTTCCAGCTACTCCCACTAAGTGCTCGGTACTGGGCTAGGACATGCTGCTCACTATTGTGAGTGATCGCAGCAACTCAGTTTTGAATATTTATATATGTTGAGGTGAAGGATCTTCCTTGACTACATCTGAGGAGTTGTGGAATCCTCAGAAGTAAGTCCTTCTAACAACACACTACAGTATGATGCGTTTCTGATCCAAGCTGCTGTGAATCCATGTCAGGAGAAACCTTCAGTTGTGTTTTAATAAATGAAAACACAGTAGGGCTGAGAAATCTGCAGCTACCTGGAAAAATAAACTCCTTCCCCCTTGGAAACTGCTAATTTCTTAAATATCCACATTTGCATTTAGTTTTGGGAATTTATATTGTTTCAATAAAAATGAGCATATTTGGTTTTGGCTTTGTTCTGTGTTATATCCTTACCATCTAACTCAAAAAGGGACCTCCCACTTACTAACACTAGGCAATCTTCATTTGTTAGGCATGTGAGGTAGGCATTACTCTCCCCACAGGACTAGAACTAAAGAGGTTAAATAAAATAAAAATTGAAAATGCATCCTTTTGTAGTGTATAGATCTGAGTGGTTTAGGTTTCAGCAAAAATACTTCCTTATTTGAAAATAATCTAGAGAGTCCTAATGTTCAGCTGTTTACCTCTTCAAGTCCTCTGTGGTCATGGATTTCCATGGTAAACTGACAGAATGAGAGCAACAAGATTTTCTGATCATACCACAGAAATGGAAAATAATAAAAGCATATACGAGGAAGAAATTAAATTTGGTATTACAGTGTTATCTGTAATATACAACATTGAGACAAAAGATCAATTATCATTATTGTCCAAGAGGTATTGATAAAAAAATTATTCTAACTCTTATCTACAAATACCACAACATATGAGTGAAGAAGAAGGGGAAAATGCCCAGGAGTAAATAAATTTGGCACTAAATAAATAACTCAAAAACTTGATTTATTTATTTACATTTTTAAAAGACAGGTCTTGCTCTGTCATCCAGGCTGGAGTGCAGTGGCACAGTCATGGCTCCCTGCAACCTCGACCTCCTAGGCTCAACCAATCCTCCCACCTCAGCCTCCTGAGTAGCTGGGACTATAGGCACATGCCGCCATGCTTGGGTAATTTTTGTACTTTTTGTAGGGACTGGGTTTTGCCATGTTTCCCAGGATGGACTAATTCTAAAATTTAGATGACTTATGTTCCTGAAGTAGTATATTTGGCTCTAGTTAATAGGGCATATTAACTATAGTTAACAGTCTATATAGGCGACCGGGTGTGGTGGCTCACACCTGTAATTCCAGCACCTTGGGAGGCCAAGTCGGGCAGATTATGAGATCAGGAGATCGAGACCATCCTGGCCAACAGGGTGAAACCCTGTCTGTACTAAAAATACAAAAATTAGCTGGGCGTGTGGCGTGCGCCTGTAATCCCAGCTACTCAGGAGGCTGAGGCAGGAGAATCACTTGAACCGGGAAGGCAGAGGTTGCAGTGAGCCGAGATCATGCCACTGCACTACAGCCTGGCCACAGTGTGAGACTCCGCTTCAAAACAACAACAAAAAAATAGTCTATATAGGCCAAAGCACAGAACTTCTCTAAATAACATCAGTTAACCAATTCTGATTATGATGTCAAAGAGGGAAGGAAAGAGTTGCTCTTATTGACAAATGGCTGAAGATCCCTGAGGGACTGCATCAATGGCAGCAATGCATCAATGCACAAATGGGTTCTATGCATCAGTGTCTCAAGGCATCAATAGTATCCATGCACCAATGCCATCAATGCATCAGTGCAGCAATGGCATCAGTGCATCCAAGGTGCAACCACCCCATCAGTAAAGAAGCCACAGCATGAAGGGAAGTTTTAAGCTAATTTATATAAAGTAAATTTTATTCACATGGAAGTCTACAAAGCATTTTAAATCTTTGGATAATATGGCCATAGGAAACCTCTTTCAGGACCTCAAAGAATGTACCTTGTTTCTTACTTCTAGGCTTTGGAATGTACAGTTTCCCTGCCATAAATCTTCACCATCTGTGCCATTCTCCTTTTGTTTTGTCAACCCTTGCTCCTCATTTTACAGGTTAATTGTCCCTTCAATTTTACAAGATTGTTAATTTTACAAGATTAATTGTCCCTTCCTTCTGGAAGCTTCCATGACCTCTCAAGAATGGGTTAAGGGCTTCCTTAAGCACTGCCAGAACAGACTTCCCCATCATGACACGCATTGCTCTGTATTGTATTCTAACTGTCTGCTTACTTGTCTCTTTTCCTTTCTGGACTATAAATTCCCAGGGGCTAGACTCCATTTCTCTTTTATGTATTATTTTTTCCCCAGGTACAAACTAGACTTCAAGAAATATTTGTTGAATAAAAAAATGTGCCAATACACTTATTTAAGTTATAGTTAGTCTAAATACTCTGATATAATTTTGGTGGAAAAAAGAAACCATGGCTTAAGTTATAGATACAATAGTTTTTTAAAAGTTTATATCAATATATTTTTAATGAGGATGTTATGCACTCTAATCTCTTGCAATGAATTATTTGCTAATGTATTAGCAGGTACATTGGAAAAAATCAAACTAATATGAATACTGTTTGTAATATTTGTAGGTATGATTTACTAATGTATTGATAGTCTATTGTAGTCAGTGGTTTCTAGAGTATACTCTTTTGCAGTGCTGGCTATTTACAGTGTATTATGTTTTTATAATAAAATATCAAAATATTATCGTCCAGAATCGATGATGAAAATTGAGAAATATTTTGGTATTTGTGGTATTAATAGTATAATACCCAATAGTATAGGAAAATCCAATAATCTGATAGAGAATCAGTCTGGATCTTGTTGGGTTATTGAACTTTTAATGAAATTTGCTGAATGGTGGGCAGGTAGTAGGTGGCAGAGCCCTCATGGTGGGTGAGTCAAGCTGGTCAGGCAAGGTCACTGTACTGTTCGGTACTGTTTTCCTGTTCTTATATGGTTCCTTAGAGAGGTTATTGAATAGCTGTGCTGATGAATAAAAGAGACAAGAGAAAGGATACTATTTTGAGAGAGTAAAGTACAATACTGTAACATATAAAGCAAGTGAAATATATACATTTTTAATAGTTATCATAATGTGATTTTTAGCTAGCCAAGAATAGAATTGTCATTTTTTCTTTTAAACTGGTGTCTTGAGACCACTTAATTATTTTATTTTATTTAATTAATTTCTTTTTTTGGAGACAGAGTCTTGCTCTGCTGTCAAGGTTGGAGTGCAGTGGCACGATCTCAGCTAACTGCAGCCTCCACCTCCTGGGTTCAAGCAATTCTCCTGCCTCAGCCTCCTGAGTAGCTGGGCCTACAGGTGCGTGCTACCATGTCTGGCTAATTTTTTGTATTTTTTTTTTTTTTTTTTTTAGTAGAGACGGGGTTTCACCATGTTGGCCAGGTTGGTCTCGATCTCCTGACCTTGTGATCTGCCCGCCTCAGCCTCCCAAAGTACAGGATTACAGGTGTGAGCCACCATGCCTGGCCTTGAGACCACTTTAAAAGTGGTCTTTACTTTACTTCCTTTAAATTAGTGTATTGCCTTATCGGTAAAATCATGAATTTTGCTCTCCTTCCCCATTCAGAGCCTGAATCACAATCATGTTTTGTTTTCTAGTGAGATTGTTACAGGATCAAGGTCAAATGAATGTCAGAAAAAAATAAGACTTCAATAAATGGAATTTGTAGAATCTTGTAGCAAGGGGTGATCAGATAGGGTTTAAAGAAAATATAAGTATATGATGTTGAGGCAGAGAAGGATGGGTGGGTGAGGAGAAGGGTGAACTGACATGGAAGAGTGAAATGTGTACAAACTTCTCTCCTTTTTTCTTTTCTTTCCTTTTTTTCTCTGCTCCTCCTCCTCCTCCTCTTCTTCTTCCTTCTTCTTCCTCTTCTTTCTTCCTTCTTCCTCCTTTTTATTCTCCTCCTCTGCCACCGCTGCTTCTTCTTCTTCTTCTTCTTCTCCTTCTTCCTCTTCCTCTTCTTCATAATGGTTAGAATTTAATTCTCACATCTCTTTTATTGATCACTGTTTCTTGCACCTCAGATAGAAAAAGGGAGAACTTTGATAAGACAGGTCTATGCAAAGTATTTTATCAAATGTATGCCTTTGTCTAAGCCTGAGAGCAGAGTCTGAGACAAGAACTTGTGGGCAGGTAAGGGAAAGAGAGGGAGCTGATTCACAGGTTCCTCATCAGGATGTAGAATGCATCTCAGAATTGTCCACCTGAGTATCACAGAAGGGTGGCATTTATCTTCTGGCCCCCATCCTCTATTGCTCCAGCGTTGCCCCATGGATCGTAATTTGCCCAGGCTTCCAGATTGCACATATATAACAGCCATGGTGTCAGAGAAGTGCTGGGGCAAAGGGGAGGAGCCGTCAACAGTACCTGTGCCAAGGGCATGTAACCTGTGCAGCTGCACAAGGCCTGGGTTTGGTTTAATGCACTCATATTATTGACTTGATATTCTTAATAATTTTTGGAACAAGTGGCTTTGCATTTTTATTTTTCACTGGTCCTTCCAAATTATTTGGCTGTCTGGCTGTCAGATTACATTTCATGAAGTTGGTTATTACACAGTAGTTGGAGTAAAAAAGTTGTTCCAAGAGAATGTGAGGTAAGGCACAGTGGGTGTTTGATATACTGATATAACATTTATAACATTCCTATGAGTTAAGTGCTATTACCCCATTTTAAAGATGAAGAAACTGGTCTGGGTAATCCCAGCACTTTGGGAGGCCAAGGTGGGTGGATTACTTGAGGCCAGGAGTTTGAGACCAGCCTGAGCAACATGATAAAACCCCGTCTCTACAAAAATAACAAAAATTAGCCAGGTGTGGTGGTGCATGCCAGTAATCCCAGCTACTCAAGAGGTTGAGGCAGGAGGAATGCTTGAACCTGGGAGGCGGAGGTTGGAGTGAGCGGAGACTGCGCTACTGCACTCCAGCCTGAGCGACACAGCAAGACTCCATCTCAATTTAAAAAAAAAAAAAAAATGAAGAAATGAGGCTGAGTACAGTGGCTTACACCTATAATCCCAGAATTTTGGGAGGGCAAGGTGGGTGGATCATTTGAGGACAGGAGTTTGAGACCAGCCTGGCCAACATGATGAAACCCATCTCTACTAAAAATACAAAAATTATCTGGGTGTGGTGGGCGTCTGTAGTCCCAGCTACTTGGGAAGCTGAGGCATGAGAATTGCTTGAGCCCCGGGAGGCGGAGGTTGCGGTGAGTGGAGATCATGCCACTGCGCTCCAGCCTGGGTGACAGAGTGGAGGAAGAATATCTTGAGGCCAGGAGTTTGAGACCAGCCTGGACAACATAGTGAAACTCCATTTGTCCACAAATTTTAAAAAATTAGCTGGGCATGGTGGTGTAAACCTGTAGACCTAGCTACACTGGAGGCTGAGGTGGGAGGATCCTTTGAGCCCTGGAGTTCAAGGCTGCAGTGAGCTATGATGGTACTACTTCACTCAAGCCTGGGTGACAGAGCAAGACTCTGTGGCTAAAAACAATCAAAATGAAAAAAGATGAAGAAACAGATTCAGGTAGGGTGATTACTGTGATGGTTAATTTACAAGGCTGGTGGTCAATGACAAAGCTAGGATTCAAATTAGGGTCTGTCTGAATTGAAACTCCTGATTCTCTCTGTCACACATGCTTGAAAGTGAGGATGAGCCAATTTCTTTTTTCTGCCTTGTATCTTCTGGACAGACTAAAGTTTAGAGGTATGTTCTCCATCAGCCGTAAGTGATGCTCTTGCCACATTTTAACACACTGGACCCTGTGTGGACACCTGGGTAGACCTGCATTTGGCAACATCATCAAATTTTCTTCTTCCTTCTTGGATAAGTGAAGAGAGAAGCCATAGAAGTTAGCCAGATATGCCACAAGGAAAAAGGCATCTGGGTACATTTTAATTTTTTTTTTTTTTTAGGGATAGTGTCTCACTGCATTGCCCAGGCTGGTCTCAAACTCCTGAGCTCCAGCAATTCTCCCACCTTGGCATCCCAAAGTGCTGGGATACAGGCAGGGTACATTTAAAAAACAAAATTAAAGGGGCCTGGCACAGTGGCTCATGCCTGTAATCCTACCATTTTGGGAGGCTGAGGCAGGCAGATCACCTCAGGTCAGGAGTTAGAGACCAGCCTGGCCAACATGGTGAAACTCATGTCTACTAAAAAAAAAATACCAAAATTAGCTGGGCTTGATGGTGTGAGCCTGTAATCCCAGCTACTCAGGAGGCTGAGGCAGGAGAATTGCTTGAACCCAAGAGGCGGAGGTTGCAGTGAGCCGAGATCGTGCCACTGCGCTCCAGCCTAGGCAACAAGAGTGAAACTCCATCTCAAAAAAAAAATTAATGTTTTCTGGGTGAGACTACATCTATCTAATGAATGGAGAGAAATTAAGTGCAGCAAGAGTAGAACAAGAGTAGAACATGGTGGAGCCGATTTGTTGGCTGAGGTTTGGGTGATTGGCTGATTCCAAACCCAGCACAGCAAGAGCTGCATGTCCCCACCCAGCCTCTCTCCTCAGCACCGTGACCTGCACCCCGTCCTCTCCCTGCTGGGGCTACACAGTGGCTGGAGAGTAGCAATCATGTGAAAGTTGTTCCTGCTCAGCACACACCATTGAAAACCTGAAGCAGACTTCTTTTTTCTTTTCTTTTTTAAAAAATTTCCCTCTGAAAACCTTGTACAAGGCATCTGTGTGTGGCCAACTTCTCTGGATATGAAGGTAATAAGAAGGTAACGCTTGATTCAACTGTAGGCCTAACTTGCCTAGGACAACCCTGGTTTATATATGATGTTATTATTAATCGCATCACCTTTTACTCTCAAAGGGTCCAGGTTTGGGTCATAAATTATATGGTAGCTCTAGTTATATTGCCTCTTCAGACAGCACATAACTTATCAACTGGAATATTTATTTGGCTTTCCTGTTTTCAAAAAGCTTTAAGGTTGTCAGAGCAGGCTCCACACTGCCGGTGGCACCATGACAATGTTAACAAGTGTGCTCTTCTCAGCCCTGTGGAACAGGTGACTTAAGCTGGGCCAACCACACTACCTGGCCTCAGTGACTGGTCTGCGGGAGTGGGCATGTGGCCTAAGCCAGGATCCCATTATCATCTGGGATTGTCTAACTGAATCCTGGATAGAAGTTACTCTTTCCTCTTGTGAGCTGAGATGTTATAAGGATCCAAGCCCAGTGTTGCCTGAGGTTAAGTGCCCTGGTAGGAAAAAGTGGCTCCAGTTACAGGACAATGTGGCTCATCTCCCAGAGCATGCCTGTGACTTCCTTTCTCCTCCCATCTTTTCCTTTGTTCTCTTGCCTCTTTGCCCCCAATTCCTGTCCCCTTTGCATACAGATCAGTTCAGCTTTCTCCAGCCCGACATCCAAACTTAGGCACTGCAAGTCGTTTGTGCATCTGAAGACCCTTACAGGGCAATGCTAAACCATGGGCTGCCACGGGTGTGTTGGCACATGCCTGTAACCCAGCTACTTGGGAGACTGAGGCAGGAGAATCTCTTGAATCTGGGAGGCAGAGGTTGCAGTGAGCCGAGATTGAGCCATTGCACTCCAGCCTGGGCAACAAGAGCGAAACTCTGTCTCAAAAAATTAAAAAATAAAAAATAAAAACAATGGGCTGCCAACTTCAGGACCCAGTCCCCACCTCCCCCTTCAGGAGGAACAGGGCAAAATGGAGATTTGTCCCCACACCTCAGCCCCACTCGGATCACAGAGATAGAGCATTTTTACTTTCAAAAATCGCGTTTTCTCTCTATTACAGTAGTAAAGTGTGATACTATATATTCATGATGAGAAAAAGATAGGCAAAGAATAATATACCGTCAACTAAGAATGATAAAAGGAAATAGTGAGATTTTCATTTCAAATGCAAAGTTCAATAAAACAGCATTAAATCAGCCCATGATCTTACACACAAAAACTTAAGATTGTGGCTTTTTTGCATAAAAAGTAGAAAACATTAGTCTAGACTCTTTTGTTCTGAGTTTCAGAAAGTTAACTTGAACAAACTTGAATAAAAATGGGGAGCGAATTGGTTTATGGAACCAACCATAACCAATGAGATGAGTAGGGGAGAGCTTTCTCGAGGACAACTGGACAAAGATAATCAAAGTTTTCAAAGTGCTCTTTCCATCCATGAGTTTCGATTCTCTCTCCCTGTTTGCTTCACTTTCTCCTCCTTCATGTGGGCTCATTCCACTATCAGGGCACTTAGCCTTAGGCAACACTGGGCTTGAATCCTCTAGCATCACAGCTCACAGGAGGAAAGGGTATCCTGGATTCAGCTAGAAAATTCCAGGTGAAACCCCATCTCTATTAGCTGGGCATGGTGGCAGGTGCCTGTAATCCCAACTACCTGGGAGGCTGAGGCAGGATAATCGCTTGAACCTGGGAGGCAGATGTTGCAATGAACTGAGATTGTGCCACTGCACTCCAGCCTAGGCAACAGAGTGAGACTCTGTCTAAAAAAAGAAAAAAAAAAAAAAGCCAGGCACTGTGGCTCACGCCTGTAATCTCAACACTTTGGGAGGCTGAGGCGGGCAGATCACCTGAGGTCAGGAGTTTGAGACCAGCTTGGCCAACATGGTGAAACCCTGCCTCTACTAAAAATACAAAAAAATTAGCCAGACACGGTGGTGCGTGCCTGTAGTCCCAGCTACTCAGGAGGTGGAGGCAGGAGAATTGCTTGAACCCGGGAGGTGGAGATTGCAGTGAGCCTAGATTGCACCACTGTACTCCAGAGTGAGACTCTGTCTGGAAAAAAAAAAACAAAATTCCAGATGAGAATAAGATTTTTGCTTAGGCCACAGGCCCTCAGACCAGTCACTGAGGCCAGGTAGTGTGGTTGGCCCAGCTGAGGGCACCTATTCCCACGTGGGTAGGGCACACTTCTTAGCATAGTAGTGGTGCCTTATGCGTGTGGAGCCTGCTCTGATGGCCAGCCAGGAACTAGCAAGGACTGGCTCTGTGTGAGGGACAGACCAGATGGAGAATGCCGAAGGCCCCTCAGCCCATGGTGCTGAAGTGGAGTTCTGCTTTCATTGGAAGCCCTTGGAAGATTTTCTTAAGGAAGACCTTCAGCTTTTCCTTCTGTGCTTTGGGAAATCTGCTAGTTGTCACAATATCTGTTAACTTTACCCTCTTCTAAGGGGCATGGTTTGACCCTTAGTAATCCTTTCACTAGTATACAATTTTTACATATTCAGTTTTGTTTTATTTGAGACAGAGTCTCGCTCTGTCACCCAGGCTGGAGCGCAGTGGTGCGAACTTGGCTCACTGCAACCTCCGCCTCCTGGGTTCAAGTGATTCTCCTGTCTCAACCTCCTGAGTAGCTGGGATTATAGGCATACACCACCACTCCCGGCTAATTTTTATATTTTTAGTAGAGATGGGGTTTCACCATGTTGGCCAGGCTGGTCTGGAACTCCTGATCTCAAGTGATCGGCCTGCCTCAGCCTCCCAAAGTGCTAGGCCTTTTACATATTCAGTTTACTTTTTGTTGCCATTTCCCCCTTTAAATTGAGCAACAGGAAGCAATGGTAGAAGAGGCGGATTCTGGTCAATAGCCTTAAAGAATGTAAATTACCTTTTTTCCTTCTGTTAGCACCTCAAAAATACTGTGCTAAGCACAGTAGCAGTGGAACTGAAGAATGGTCCTCTGGGGATGTTTGATAGCTTTTGAGGGCATTGCTCTTGAAATGACTGAACACAATTCTTCAGCATTCTCTGGAGAAGAGATGGCAGGAGAAGCTGCGACATCAGAGATTCCTGCCGGTGTCTCTGAGTTTTGTTCATCTCCTTGGTGCTTCTCACAAAGATCCAATCCTAAAGTAATAGCTGAAGGGCACTCAATAGGGTGAAGGGTTAAGTAAGATTTCCCATCAGGCAGGAAGTTGGCCAGGCACCGTGGCTCACGCCTGTGATCCCAGCACTTTGGGATGCTGAGGTGGGAGCTGAGGTGGGAAGATTGCTTGAGGCCAGGAGTTTGAGATCAGCCTGGGCAACATAGTGAGACTCTGTCGCTACAAAAAAAAAAAAAAAAAATAGCCAGACATGTGGTGTATGCCTGTAGTTCCAGCTACTCAAGAGGCTGAGGCGGGAGGATCACCTGAGCCCAGGAGTTTGAGGCTGCAGTGATCTGTGATCATGCCATTCATTGCACTCCAGCCTGGATGAAAGAGACCCTATCTCTAAAAGAAAACAAAACAAACAAACAAACAAAAAAACAAAACAAAAAAGAAGACGTAAAAGAAAAAAGAAAACAGAAAGCCTAGCAGTGTAGAAGAAAGCAGCACAGAACTGGAAGAAGAAGCAGAATTGTGTCTAGAACCCTCCAGGCATATGATGAATATGTTCATGAATCAAAATCCATGTTCTTCAACCTACGAACATTGTTTTGAATAACAGGAGTATCCTAATGAAGAAACAAGCAGGAAATTATATTCAAAGAAAGTTGCCTCAAGCTGCACCTTCAATGAATTTAAAAAAATTTTTTAAAAATTGAGTGGAGTGAAATTACAAAGTGACATTTACCTATATTGTTATTCCAAATAGATGTGAATTATATTTTGATTTCTGGATTTTTAATGTCACATGGTTAATGTAACGGGATCATGAATTACATCTGGATGTCCTGGTGTTTTCAGAAACAAGTTATGTATATGAGGGAGTGAGTAAGGGGAAAAAATCAAGAAAGTCTAAGAGGAGGAGGTAAACAAATCTTTTCATGAATGGTACAAAGCTAGAAATGAAAATGATACCTCATGTGTACATATAGTGCAATGCGTATCTTTTTGAGGAAAAGAACCACAAAACCTCTTGAGAGTGTAATTTTTATTTAGAGAAAAAAAGTAGAAGTTCTTATATTTTCGTCAGTCATTAAACAGGATTTATAATCAAAGCATTGGTTCTGAACAAGTTTTCTTTTAAAGATGTTCTTTTTATTTTGAAATCAGATCTTTAAAGCTTCTCTGGTTGAACTCTTCTTAGAAATAATGGGTGTAAGTGACATCTTGGTAGCCCACTAGGTGAATCAGTACAAGACACAATTAATGGGAATACTGAGGCTTACCATTTCCTTTCTAATGAGTGATTGATGAGTAAATATGCTCTTGAACCACTATGCTAACTTTACGGAGACATGTAATGGATCTTTAAAGGAAGCTCTTAAACAAATGGCCCTGAAATAAAAACAATGAATGAACAGGACAAATTATAGATTGTTTATTGTCATCTTCTAGCATTTTAATTACTTGAAACACAGGAATTGGACAACTAGTTTTGCTGAGTTGTCCTAGAGTCTATGAGTTTGGCGAGAGGAACAGAATGGTGTATTGCTTGGAGAAAGAATAGCAATCCAATCATACCTTGCCTTAGTCACTAGGCATCTTCTTGAAAAATAGTGTCTAAGTCAAATCCCACAAAATATTCTAAATATAGTCCATCACAGGTGTTGCACACATAAGTGTTTATTATATTATTCTCAGTACTTTTTTGAAGTTTAAAAAATTTCAGACTAAAAGAGGAAAAAAATGCTGCAAGGCAATTTATTATTTAATAGAATTATTTCATTAAGCAGATAATCACTCCCTAATTTATGCTGTTTATGAATTGGTGTGTAATCCAGGTTCTTCAAGAAGAAGACACCAAGATGAGATTGATTGTGCAGGGAATTCATAGGAGAGTGCCTGTGTGAGAGAAAGTTGAGAGGGAGTGGGGGAAGGCTGGAAGAGCTGCCAGGCCACACAGGATGCAAGTCTGACCCGAGCCACTTTGTTGTCAGAAAACCTAGACTAATCTTCTTGAGAATAAAGGTTGCATGGAAGAGGTCCAGCACGAAGGCCCCAGACCAGGGGATGAAGTCATCCTGGATCTTCCAGCCATTGCCACTGCCGTCTGACTGCAACTGCAGGAGTGACCTAGGTTAGAGAAGCAGAGAACCACCCAGGCAACCCACCAAGAAATTCTGAGAGTTTCAATCAATCATGGTTGCCTTCGGCCACATAGTTTTAGGGGGTTGTTATGCATACGAAGATAATGGTGTTGCCTTTTTGAGATTTCTGGCTTGATGTGAAGGCCTCAGTTTCAACATCTTGCCTTGTCTGAGCCCAAGGCCTTATTTTCTGCCTCATTATGATCATTAAACTTATGACCTTGGGCCAGGCCTGGTGACTCACACCTGTAATCTCAGCACTTTGGAGGCCAAGGTGGGTGGATCACCTGAGGTCAGGAGTTCGAGACCAGCCTGACCAACATGGTGAAACCCAGTTTCTACTAAAAATATAAAAAAATTAGCTGGCCATGGTGGCGTGTGCCTGTAACCCCAGCTACTTGGGAGGCTGAGGCAAGAGAATCGGTTGAACCTGGGAGGCAGAGGTTGCAATAAGCCAAGATCGCACCATTGTACTCCAGCCTGGGCAACAAGAGTGAAACTCCATCTCACAAAAGCAAAAACAAAAACAACCTCATGACCCTTATTGAAACAGAGACTCACAACTCTACTTCATGGTAGCTAAAACTTGAGTGCCCTTGAGCCGATTTTATTTCTTTTCTTAGCCTTGGAAGATTATTTTCCTTACCTTCTTACTTTCTAGGAATGCATTTAAGTGGATGTGATTATATTGAAGTTAGTATTTGTCAGAGACTTTCAGGTTGTCTGGTCTGCCACATTGTTAGATTTGGAGTCTCTATCTAGAACTTTTGAGTTTGTCTTAGAGATAGTCTTTTCTTTTTCTTCCCCGACAAGTCACTTCACTGCCCTGTCAGGGCTTTGGAGGAAAACATTACCTTGTTGTGGGAGGAGTTGGTTGTAGTAGTGAGCACCACTGCTTTGTTCTAGCTTTTAATGCACTAGAACTCTATAGGCAATGCATATTTGTAAAGGATTCTATATAGAAAGTATGCTTATAAATTAATGAAACTGTATGTTAGAAAAAATAGCAAGCCAATATTGCTTATTAAGTGTGATCCTAAAATGTGGCATGTAAATAATTTCAAAATTCACTAGAAGCTAGAACATGTTCTTTAAGTGAATCTCACATGAACACTTTTGTAAAATAAATAAGATTTTCCTAATTTGTAGATTTTTGTAGGATATATATCTCTATATTTTTAATGTTGACATACATTAGTGGGCCTGAAATTGTTCAACAACAAACATGAAGGGTGAGAGGGGGAGTTGACAGAGGAGGAAATCCTAAAGCGATTTTTATTTGGAATAATGGAAAGGTCTTTGAGGTAGCATTTAGCCAAGACATTGTTTCCTCCTTGCTGTGGGTGGAAGGTGTGGTGGTCCTTAAGATAAACTGCAATGAGAGCCAAGGAATAAATAAACAGTCGTGTTGTTACAGGCAGTTGAAAAAAGCTATGACAGTGGAAAAGTTTATAAATCTGAACTTTGGGCAATTTTAGACAAGAGAAAATTCATCTGCTTTGAGAGAGGAAGTGACTAGTATGGCTAAAACATAGTTATGTGTAGTTATAAAAGAGGATTAGTAAATAATATACATTGGACAACAAAAGAAAAAAGAATCTGTACAGAACCAGAATAGGCATGTTTCCCTCAGCTGCTTCCTTGCTAAGGGTCTCATCAGTGCCTTCAAAGGGACAAGTTGATGGCAACACCAGGATGTCTCTGTAGTTATATTTGTGCCGTGGGGTCTGTGTATGTTGCGTGAATGACCTTCTCTCTATTCCTAGATTCTTAGTTATACACTTCATTAGGTGTGTGTTCAGTCACTCTCTACATTGTTTTTGGTTGTATTCTTAAGGATTGAAGCCAACCAACCAATTAGCCAACCAACAAAGGGTCAAATGAGTATGCTCAAGCCTCCTGATATTATTCAGGAGAGAAACCTGAATTGGATCAATTCATCTAAGGTTGGCAGTGTGGGTACACAGCCCCCTTCAGGGTGGATTCTGCATTAGGTCCCTTTCTAGCCAGGTACGCCGTGGTATTTTTGCTTGGATCGGCAACGTAAGAGTATTTCTGTAACAAGTACAATACACTGGAATGGGACGCAAAGCCCCTTTAACTGCTGATAGGACTCTGTTTCAGGCAGCACACAGTTCTGTCTAAAATCTCTGGAGAGCCACCACTTGAACACCTGGTGGGAAGAGAATGGCAGGCTTGTCGGAAGCAATCACACCCTTGACACAGATAAGAAGATATGACCCTGGTTGTGATTATCCCAGCCTGAAATCTATCGAAACAGTCTCTCTCATTTTCTCTGCAGTAAGTTTTTATTTTCTATTTGGTCTCCTTTGTTATCCTCCTGGACAAACATCGAGCAAAGTATGGAAAAGAGGACTTTTTTTTAATAGGAAGGAAGGGCTAAAAAAAAAAATGGCAGCTTCACAGTCTGTTTTTCCTGGTAATTTACTAGCAATGAAAACCCCAGCAGTGGCTATGATGCCTCCTTTCTAAGCAATGAGATATTCCTGATCACAAACTGCCAGAAGTCACAGGTGACGCTTTCTTCCCTCCCTTGAAAGGAATGGTTATGGTGAAGTTGCTTCCTGGTGGAAGAAGTTAATACTCTAGGATGTGAAGCACGCATTGATAGAAGTTAGAGGATTGCCTTTAGCAGTATGACAGTTATTACATGCAATTTTCATCATTTAAAGATGGATACTGATTGGTTTTACTCCTTTTTAATATTTAGCTGCCTCAACTATAACTACTTTCCATTTTAAGATCAAAATAAGCAAGAAAAACTTGTGGTCAGTAAATAATAAACTAGGTAAATCCTAAAGGATTTGATTTCATAACATAGAAGAGAGACATTTGCTGATAGGCAAAACATATTTCAATCCACATTTGCTTCAATGGCATAAAAGGACAAGATTCCCGCCCTTTTGTGTTTCACATATCTGTAATTAAAACTTTCCTTAATGTGTCCTTTGAGCATTTATATATATGTATGCATTCCTATAATTGAAGCCTGATGAAACCCAAAAATTTATATGAAAATTAAGTGTTTTTTAATTTACCATTTAACGCCTGTTGCCAGTTATTGAGGATCTCTTCTTGAAAAAACAGAAAGTGGAAATGACATAATCGTCTATTTGATGACTAAAGAGAATATGATTATTATACGGTTTAAATGGTTTCTTAAATTAAAAGCAACTAAATCTTTGGCCTTGTAATATTGCATATTGGTTGACAAGTTCTCATTCCCACACCAGCTGGCTGGCAGACCTAGATTCTTCAGTATTTTCCACATAAAATCTGGAATGAACATTGTCTTAGTTGGTTCCTGATGCTATAACAAAATACCTTAGAGTGGGTAATTTATAAACAACAGGAATCCACTGCTTACGGTTCTGGAGGCTGGGTAGTTCAAGACCAAGGATCCAGGAAGTTCAGTGTCTGGTGAGGGTCCATTCCTCATTGATGGCACCTTGTTGCTGTGTGCTCACACATCAGAAGAGGAAAAAGGAGACAAACAGGCTCCCTCAAGCCCTTTTATAAGGCATGAATCCCATTCATGAGGGTGGAGTCTTCATGCCTAATCATCTCTTAAAGTCTCCACCTCTAATTGTATTAGAAATTAAGTTTCAACATGAATTTTGGAGAGGACACAAACCATAGCAGACCCTTACTGTTCTGTGTGTCAAAACTCTTCCCTTTTTAAGTAGAGCACCACCTCCACTGTCAGGCAATGGAAGCTGTCATCATTTTGGCCACAGTGATTGGTCTAGGGGTGGACACTTAACCCATGCTGGGTCTGCCACAGGATCCCCTCTGGCCTCAGTGGGTGGTGGAGCTGTAAGACCTAGAGCTGCGGGGGACTGTGTTCCCTGCCACAGTGAGGTATTGGGATCAGCAACCAGAGACAAGCAAAGACGAGAAATGGAGAGTGAGTGGGTTCCTGCTCCTGGTTCCACACGCATTTCTAGCCTTTCAGAGACTGGCTTAAGTGAACATCTCCCTTCTTTCCACACCCCCACTCTTTTTTCTGAACTAGTTAGAATCAGGGTTTTTTGTTTTTCTTTTTTTTTCACATGCAAACTCACATGCAACATTTCATGAGTTTTGGTAGACTTTGTTTTTTTGGAGGGGGAGATTACCTTCAGCATTCCGCTTAAAATACCTCCCTCCAGGCTTTCGTCTCAGCCAAGTTTCTCCTTCCTTATGAGCCCGGTGTCTTCTTCCAGAGGCACTCCATAACCCTCCGCCATTAGAATTGGGCAATCTGCATTTCTTCTCTTCCACTGATTGAAGCAAAACTTTTCTTTCTTTTTATTTTTATTTTTTATTTTATTTTATTTTATTGTTATTATTATACTTTAAGTTTTAGGGTACATGTGCACAATGTGCAGGTTAGTTACATATGTATACATGTGCCATGCTGGTGCGCTGCACCCACTAACTCGTCGTCTAGCATTAGGTATATCTCTTAAAGCTATCCCTCCCCCTCCCCCCACGCCACCACAGTCCCCAGAGTATTTTCTCTCTTAAGAAGCCAAAGCCCAGCCAATGTGTTGCTATTGCAAAGGTGGCTTTATTAAGATGTTCTTCCTACAAAGGCATTTTTGTATTGACCGCTAAGAGGATGCAAATTATTCCGTATTATAACACCTCACCTGTGATTTTTTTGATCATTGTCCTCATTAAGCAGGCTAATGTCATTTTCAGGGCACTTTAACAACACATGTTATTCTGAATAGCCAATTTTTCTCTTTCTTTTTCCACCCAATTTTCCACGCAAAACCTAGACACACCTCTCATTGATTCTACCATTACATCCCACGCTGACTAATATAATCTAAATCTTCTTTCTTTTCACTGAAGATCTTCAAATTCTACCACTTCCACATATTTTATGTTTTTCTTTCTTTCTTTCTTTTTTTTTTTTTTTTTTTTGAGATGGAGTCTCGCTCTGTCGCCCAGGCTGGACTGCAGTGGCACAATCTCGGCTCACTGCAAGCTCCGCCTCCTGGGTTCACGCCACTCTCCTGCCTCAGTCTCCAGAGTAGCTGGGACTACAGGTGCCCTCCACCACGCCCGGCTCATTTTTTGTATTTTTTTAGTAGAGACGGGGTTTCACCATGTTAACCAAGATGGTCTCGATCTCCTGACCTCGTGATCCACCTGCCTCGGCCTCCCAAAGTGCTGGGATTACAAGCGTGAGCCACCATGCCCAGCCCACATATTTTATGATTTAATTGAATGAAATGTTTGAAATGACTTGTGATTTTGCTCAAAATAAATGCACATGCCATATTTAGGAATTCCTCCCTCACTCCCACCTTTCCCACTTCCCCCAACTGTTCTTGCTGTTGAAATAGAGGTGTGTCTGAGAGGGCAGAAGATTGGAAAGGAAGAAATGACAATTTTCTTAAATTATTTCTAATGTTACCGAGAAGGGGAATTCTGGAGGAAGATGACTATTATAGCTCCATCCTGGGGTGCAATTCTCCCTCTGAAATCTAAATAAGAACACTTGACAATGTAGGGATAGGGCTTAAGAAGGCTTTTTTTTTTTTGTGCTTGCAGCAAACGAGACATTGATATTTTCTCAATTACCCTGACTGTGCTAGATCAAAAATGGCCATAAATTTTTTTCAGCCTCTCCCATGAAAAGCTGGTGTGCCTTTCTCCTCCCTTCAAATCTGGGCTGGCTTTGTAAATTGCTTTGACCAGTAAAATGTAGTGGAAGTGATGTATGACTTCTCAGCAAGTTCTTAAGAGGTCTTGCAGTTGTTGCTCCTTTCCATTTGGAATGTTTCTCCACCATACTACAAATTGAGCAGTCCTGCCAGATTGGCTGTGTGGAAGAGGTTAGTGTTTTTATACTTAACTGAGACCTATCAACGGTATGCTTTTCCCTAGCCATATTCAGATGTTTGGGTACAGATGTGAAGTAGTATAAAGTTGAATTCAATTATGATTGGGGCTTAGAGTGTGACAGAGTTCGGGAGAGTCAAGATAACTGATCATGTATGGAAGGGAGTGGTTACAATGATGGCTCATGGAAGGAATATAAGCCCATTAAGGGAGCAAGTGAAGAAGACATGAGGAGGGTAAGGATTTAAGAAAAGGGGCAACATAAATGGATTGAATACAACCTTGTGAGAAAAGGTCTCAGTGGTGTTATTGTTTAGCATCTGATGCTAGTACACATTGTGATCATAGGAAAATTACTTACATTTATTGATTTGTACAATCAGGGAGTTGTACTAGAATAAACTCTAAGATTTCTTTGCAGCTGTAATGATTTGTCATTCTATGAGTCCATGTAAAAGTAGCCTATGACATAGACACTAATGAGGAATGATTCAGTTTTGCAAAAATAAAAAAATAAAAATAAAAAAAACTGGCAAACCTCTGCTAAGGTCTCTCATAAAAGGTTAAGTTTAGTTAGCCACTAATTATTTCTCTCACTTGTTTGCTGCATTCTTTTTGGATGCCTGCTGCACAAATAAGTACATTTGGAATAAGTATTTAGAGATTTAATGAGATGTATCTGGAATCGCTGTAAAGATGGGTTAAAGGACAGAACAACACAGGGGGAGGAAGGAATGCTGGGTTTCTGCCTTGCCTCTGACTCTGTTCTGTTTTGCTGTATAAGTCATGTTTACTGCTTTTACTATGATTTATTAAAAGTTCTGAGAGACTTTGCAATTTTTACTTCACTTGAATATTTGGCTAAATCAGAGCTGGATACAGAAGCCCTGGAATAGAAGGGGTATGATCATATTATTTCACTTATTCATCAGAATCTAGACTAGATAATAGCAGCCATGATGGCATTTTGGGAAAGATGTGAAAGCAAATAAGACTTTTTAGCATCCTAGTCAAAGGGTTTTCATTTTAATTGAAAAGAAGCTTCTAATACTCATGCCATTGCTTTTGCTGGCAATTGCAGCCACCACTATACCTGACTATTGCAATTTCTTCAAACTTGTCTCTCTGTGTTCCTTGGTTCTTGCTTCAGTTTATTTGGCACCTAGCAGCTAGAGGTGACCTTTTATAAAGTAAGTCATGTTGTTTTACTTCCTTTCTTGAAGGCTTCCATTGACTTCCTGTTAGGTTGAGTATAAAATCCAGACTCCTCATTTTTGTCTTCAAACTCTTGAAGGAAATGGCCCATCCTGAACCAATTTCCACTTCATTCACCATGTTCCAGACACACTGATCTACTCTCCCCAAAACATGGAGAATTCTTCCTTATCTCAGGACTTGGTACCAGTGGGTCTCTCTACTTGGAAAGCTCTTTCAGATCCCTGCAGGGCTCACCGATCACTATAAACACTTGTCTTTTTCTGTTTGCCTTTTCGTTTTCTGTCTCTCTTTGAACTAGACAGAAATATGTGATATGCCCTTGTCTACTCCACTGGCTGGTGTAGCCCTTGTGCCTAGGAGAGCATCTAGTAGGTACACAGCACAATTTTTAATGGCAAAGAGAGGGAGCACATAAGTAGGTGGAGTGGAAGGTAGTTTGTCTAGGGTCAGTTGAGGGAGCTTGAGCCTGGGCTATTCAATTCTAAAATACTGGCCATTTCTAAAAATCTTTTATTTTAGTTTGGGGGTACATGTGAAGGTTTGTTACATAGGTAAACTCATGTCATGGGGGTTTGTTGTACAGATTATTTAATCGCTCAGGAATTAAGCCAAGTACCCAATAGTTATCTTTCTGCTCCTCTCCCTCCTCCCACCCTCCACCTTCAAGTAAACCCCAGTGTGCTGTTTCCTTCTTTGTGTTCGTAAGTTCTCAGCATTTAGCTCCCACCTATAAGTGAGAACATGTGATATTTGGTTTTCTGTTCCTGCAATAGTTTTCTGAGGATAATAGCCTCCAGCTCCATCCATATTCCTGCAAAAGACATGACCTCAGTTTTTCTATGGCTGCACGGTATTCCACGGTGTATATGTACCACATTTTCTTTATCCAATCTGTCATCGATGGGCATTTTAGGTTGATTCCATGTCTTTGCTATTGTGAATAGTGCTGCAATGAACATTCGTGTGCATGTGTCTTTGTGGTAGAATGATTTATATTCCTTTGGGTATATACCCAGTAATGGGATTGCTGGGACGGATGGTAGTTCTGCTTTTAGCTCTCTGAGGAATCACCATACTGCTTTCCACAATACTGACCATATTATCTTTCCCATACTATTAAAGTTTTACTTCTTACATCTTGAAAAATCTGTAGCCTTCAAGATTCCCTGCTTAAAATGCAAATAACCCTGTGAGTTTATTTATAAAGTTTATACCAACTAACGTTTTGGTTCCTAGTGACCACCTAGGAAGAAATCGGATACCGGATGTGTAAGTGGCCAAGTGATGAGTGGGGAAGTAAACAAACAGAGCCAAAGGGCAAACGGGCAACTAGGAAGAAAAATGTCAGGAAAGGGACAAAGTGAAAAAGTGGTGGGAGGAGAGAATTTTACCAGCATTTTGTCTAGAGTGGGAACATTTTTGTTTCCCAGTCTACAAGACAGTGGTACAGTTGACAACTGGTAATGTATGTTTCCAAGTATGAGAAAGTTTTTGTTTTTTAAGCTGATTCTCTCTCTTTTTTGCATAATAAAGTATCAAGCAATTTAAAGCAGATCCTTGATAGTTTTTCTTGGTTACAGATAAATTGGGGAAGGGAAAGCTATGTCTGCTAAAAAACAAGGAGAACCCACCATGATTACATAAGACAATGTAAGTTGCTCAGCATGAGCATTTCAAAGAAAGATTTGGTATCCTATAAAGTTGAAGTTTCTATGGTGACAGTGTATTTTTAATGACACCATTAAATGGTAGTATGACTGGTTGTAACTAAGGAGTGCTGAATAGTCACAGCTGTGCTGTTTGGAGTTTATGTGTCTATTTTCCAGGATGGTTTTAAATGACTTCAAAAATAAAAGTGTTGTATAACAGAACATCACTTTGGTATATAATGTACGTACATTTTACAAATAGAAAAGACCTTAGAGAATGTGAATTCTCATTTCACTGCATGCACGCACACACGAACATGAGTTAAACACATATGTGTGCACACTTTATAGACGAAGATGTGGCGACAAAGATTAAGTAGTTTTTCCAGTTTATTTAGCTAGTGACAGAATTAGGCTAAGATCTCAGGTTTTCCCACCTCGAAAGCAGTTTCCGTCTACCATTGCGTACTGCTTCTTCCCCACACGATATGGCACACAAGCCACTCTACGTTCTTTTCATACATCACAATTAGTAAGAAGTTGCAAGCTGGGCACGGTGGCTCACGCCTATAATCCCAGCACTTTGGGAGGCTGAGGCAGGCAGATCACAAGGTCAGGAGTTACAGACCAGCCTGGCCAACATGGTGAAATCCCATCTCTGCTAAAGATACAAAAAATTAGCTTGGCGTGGTGGCGGGTGCCTGTAATCCCAGCCACTCGGGAAGCTGAGGCAGAAGAATCGCTTGAACCTGGGAGGCAGAGGTTGCAGTGAGCTGAGATCGCGCCATTGCACTCCAGCCTGGGCGACAGGGCAAGAGTCTGTCTCAAAAGAAAAGAAAAAAAAGAAGTTGTAATGAGTTTATATCACCCTGTGGGGTTGCGAGGTGATTAGGACCCAGTTGAAATAGGGATGAATGAGTAATGTAATTGATAGAGTCTATAGATGGATTTCAAGACCTTTAAAAATTGTTCACAAGTGTGTACATGCATATATTTTTCTAATGAGGGGCTTTACCAGTTCTTAAGGAATTTGTGACCTCTTTCCAAATAAGTGATAAATTATGGCTCTTGCCCCATTTATAATGTCAAAATATCATAAAAAGGAAAAGTAAATGGTATATTGAGAAAAACATTTATGATATGATAAAAGGTTAATATCCTTAATTTATAAAGAACATATACACATCCAGAAAAATATTGAGACCCAGTTGAAATTAGAGTAAAGGAAATAAATGAAAAATATACCTAACAGGAGGTAAAAATGGTTAATAGAAATGAAAATTATTCTTCCTCATTAGTTATTAGAGAAAAGAAAATTAAAACAATAAAAATTTACCATTTTCACCTATTGAAATAGCACAGATTGAAGACAACCATGATGGTATTCTATGTGGTGAAGAGGCGGTGAGATAACCAGATTTCTATACTGTTAACTGTTACTGGGAGCACAGGTTGGGGTGAAGTTTTTGGGAACTAAATTAATAATTTGGACTAAGAGCCTTAAAAGTGTTCATAACTGGCTGGGTATGGTGGCTGACGCCTGTAATCCTAGCACTTTGGGAGGCCAAGGCAGGCGGATCACAAGGTCAGGAGTTCGAGACCAGCCTGACCAATATGGTGAAACCTCGTCTCTACTAAAAATACAAAAATTAGCCAGGCATGGTGGTGCATGCCTGTCATCCCAGCTACTCAAGAAGCTGAGGCAAGATAATCGTTTGAACCCAGAAGGCAGAGGTTGCAGTGAGCTGAGATCACACCACTGCACTCCAGCCTGGGTGACAGAGTGAGACTCCAAGGCTCTGTCTCAAAAACAAACAAACAAAAAACAAAAAGTTCATAACCAGTAATTCAAATTCCAAGGAAACTCTTTCATTCTAAGGCAATAATCAGAAGTGTTCATTAAGATTTGTCTGTAGAAGTATTTCTTTTAGTGTTATGTAAAATAGTAAAAAATGTGGAAAAACACAGATGTCCAACATAGGGAAAAGGTTAAATAAAATACTGCATTTCTGTGAATCCAATAAATTGTCTTGATCATTTTGTTAATGATATGGAAACCTCTTATGATATAAGATTATATTTAAGACTACCCAGACTTCTAAAATGCTTGTAGATTATTATTCTAATTAGATAACCTCATTAAAAAATACTTGAAGGAAATATACTAAAATGTTAATAATGGTTATCTCCAGGGTCAGGGGATTCTTAATTATTATTTTTTTCCTTTTTGTACTTTTGTATATGTTCTCAGGTTTCTATAGAGAATTTTTGTATTATCAGAAGTGAAATAACAGTTATGTAAAAAAGTTTGCTGAACGTATTTTTCATGTTATCTCAGTTGTTCTGATGTCACATAAATCTGTTGTCCTAAACAATGGTAGAAATTAGAAAGACATCTTTTTGGGGGAACAAAACCCAGCTCACTAAAATGCAATAAAATTTGACCTTTTTTTTTCATTTTAAAAATATCTGTGTATCTGGGCGCAGGGGATCATGCCTGTAATCCCAGCCCTTTGGAAGGGTGAGGCAGGTGAAAGGCTTGAGTCCAGGAGTTTGAGACCAGCCTAGGGAATATTTCTATTACAAATAAAAATAAAAATACAATACAATACAATACAATACAATACAATAAAATCTATGTAAGGTTGGGCCAGATGCTGAGGAAACACACACGGACAAGATATTGTTGCTGACACCCACAGTTTATGTTCTACTCAGAAAGATAGGCATTTAATAATGTTAATGACACAGCTCATTTGTACTTTGTCATGTGGCAACATGAAGAAAAGAGTGATGAGGGATTCCTGAGGAAATAGAGGGATGGCATGATATTTGACTCAAGTCTTGAATGATGGGTAGGAGGTCATGAGGTGAGCGAAAATGAAATGATTTGCCCCAATAAAGGGAAGAAGGTGTGTTAAGCATGGGGACATAAAAGGGGTGTACTGTTTTGAGAACAGGCCTTTTAATTTGGCCAGAAAGCTGGAGAAAGGCCAGCTGTTGCAAGCTGTTTGTTTGTCAGATGTCTGGACCATGTCTGTGAGCAAAAAGGGGTTATGAAAGTCACTGAGCCATACAAGTAAATCAGATTTGATCAGATAATGAATATGTGAAGGAATCATCTTTGCCTGCAGCAGCAGAAATAATGATTCAAGAATCAGCCATTCAATCATTATTTAGATCTTTTTATTGTAACAATAGTCAATATGGTAGAGCTTTAAAAAAAAACTAAAGGTTCTATCAAGGTGCTGCTTTGCAGTGATTATCCCACAGAGGATATCTGATATCAGAGATGCATTGGTTGGGCATATAATGGTATTAATGTGGCCAAAACCACAGTCTCCTTGTAAATTCAGTTGGCAGACCAAAAATTTTGCTTTGTGGCTGCCAGCTCCATGAAGCAGTTTGCAATGGCATCTGCTATTTATAAAAGCTGTTTATATGTTGGAAGAGTGTGGCTGCATCTATATCAAATCTTAACTCTAAATTAAAATTGAGCAAAGTGCGGGTTCTCTATGTGTGCTTCACTTCAGTGTCTTGGTGAAGTTCTGTGGTGATCTTTATAATAAGAAGGTTATCTAATGGTCTAAGAACACTCTGGTTGTCTTTGCTTGGCCCAGGTATTATTCCTGAGCTTGCTATTAAATTGGTGCAAATGTGATTGCGGTTTTTGCCGTTCCTTTTAATGGCAAAACCATTACTTTTAATGGCAAAACCATTACTTTTAATGGCAAAAGCTGCAATTATTTTTGCACCTACCTAATATAATCACGAATTACAACATGGGTGTATTTATCCCTCACATTTCTCAAGTGCCAGTAGTTTTTAGAAGGATCACTTTTTTCAGGACTATCATTGTATTGTTTCTGAATTGTGACGCTCTCCCACTTCCCAGTTGTAGTAGTAGATAAAAAATAGCAGTAATAGAGATAAAAAACCAACTCCCAAATTAACTTACCCCTATACCCACGTTCTTGGTTATTTTATTTTTATTTTTATTTTTTATTTTTTTTGAGACGGGAGTCTGGCTCTGTCGCCCATGCCTGGGGTAATTTTTTGTATTTTTAGTAGAGACGGGGTTTCACCGTGTTAGCCAGGATGGTCTCGATCTCCTGCCCTCGTGATCCGCCCACCTCGGCCTCCCAAAGTGCTGGGATTACAGGCGTGAGCCACCGCGCCCGGGCCATTCTTAGTTATCTTTTAAAAGCATCTACCAGTTTAATTTATATTTAAGATATATAGTTCCAGATATGTAGCTTAGTTCTTGAATACTAGTGGTGATTATGTAAAAGTGTTATTTAAGCATTTCCTGAGATTTATCTTTCTCTCCTCTGCCGAGCGGTGGGAGGGAAGCTGCATGCTTATTCGTCACCTTATTTAAGATGATGATGTTGTTTAGTGAAAGGGGATTAGATTGGGATGCAGAAGACATGGTTCAATTTCAGCCTCAAAGTTTACTCACTCTGTGATCGGTGACGGTTAACTTTATGTGTTAACTTGACTGGGCAAGGGATGTCCAGATAGCCGGTAAAACATTGTTTCTGAGTATGTCTGTGAGGTTGCTTCCAGAAGAGATTATATTTGAAGTGATAGACTGAGTAAAGATCTTTCCTCACCAGTATGGGAGGGCATCGTCCAATCCATTGAGGGCTCAAATAGAATAAAAAGGTGAGGAAGAGTGAATTCACTCCTTCTCTTCTTTAGCGGAGACATCCATCTTCTCCTGCCCTTGGGCAGCAGACCTCTTGGTTCTTGAGCCTTCAGACTCTGGGACTTACACCAGTCCCAGCTTCCCACTCCCGGCCCTGGTTCTTGGATCTTCTGACTTGGACTGAATTATATCATGGGCTTTCCTGATTCTTCAGCTTGCAGATGGCATATTGTGAGACTTCTCAACCTCCATAGTTACATAAACCAATTCCCATAATAAATCTCCTTTTCTCTATCTCTATAAATCTTATTGGTTCTGTTTCTCTGAAGAACTCTAACTAATATACACCTTAAGCCAAGAACTGCTTAATTTCACTATAGTTTTTTCCTATATTCTTTATTTGTTGGTCATATGTTATACCAAGTTGAATCTCTGAAACTGCTCGATAAACAGACTTTTTAGAGAGATCTCGAAATAGAGAAAACCTTCAGGAGAGGATTTAAAACATAGACTTTCTGGAAAATAAGATAGCAAGATAGCAAGGAAGATAAGGAGGTATGAAACTCAGGGAATCCATGAGAGTTAGAGAAGTGCAAGGAAATCCAGGGCCTAAGAGAACATTTCTCCATTGAAAGAAAGCAGTGGGGATTATCTAAAATAATCATAATCATAATGAAAGGATACATGGCAGGTAGGAAAGAGCTTTAAAATATCTGATACAGAAGGCTGTGGGGAACAAGGAGATATAAAGAATTAATGCAATGAAGTAACTGATGGGAAAGATTTTTCTTTTTTGTAGAAAATAGCCCAGGATGAATCACAAGCCATAGACTAAACTCGGTTTATTTACTTGGAGTCTGAGAAAACAGCTTAGGGCTATTTAGTGAGAAGCACTCTTGGAAAATTACATGTAGATACCACTTCATTTGATAAACCATACTCTGCTTTTGCTCCGAGACTTTCAACATTAGAGCAGAAATGTTTGCTTAGAGATTTAAAAATATTTTAAGAGACAATGCTTTAGAGCAATTCTAGGTTTACAGAAAAATTGCACAGAAATGACAGAGAGTTCCCAAATAATCCCCCTTCTCACACAAGCACTTGCCCCTATTATTAAAATCTTGGGCCGGGTGCAGTGGCTCATGCCTGTAATCCCAGCACTTTGGGAGGCCGAGGTGGGTGGATCACTTGAGGTCAGGAGTTCGAGACCAGCCTGGCCAACATGGTGAAACCCAATCTCTATTAAAAACACAAAAAATTAGCCAGGCGTGGTGGGGCACACCTACAATCCCAGCTATTTGGGAGGCTGAGACAGGAGAATGGCTTGAACCCGGGGGGTGAAGGTTGCAGTGAGCCAAGATTGCGCCACTGTACTCCAGCCTGGGCAATGGAGTGAGACTTTGTCTCAAAAAAAAAAAAAAAATCTTGCATTAGTGTGGTACATTTGTTAAAATTAGTGAACCAATACAAATGCATTATTATTAACTAAAGTACACAATTTATTTTAGGGCTCACTCTTTCGTTGTATAGTTCTACGAATTTTGACAAATGCATGTCTCCACCATTACAGTATCATACAGAATACTTTCACTGTCCTCAAAATCCTGCTTACCCCTCTCTTCCTTTTCCTCAACCTGTGGCAACCACGGATCTTTTTGCTCTCTCTCTTCCTAGTTTTGTCTAATATGCCATACAGTTGGAATCATATAGTACACAACCTTTTCAGATAGGCCTCTTTTACTTAGTAATATGCATTTAAGATTCCTCCACATCTTTCATGACCTGATAACTCTTCTCTTGTTAGTGTTGAGTAATATTCCATTGTCTGTATGCACCACTGTCTATTCATTCACCTACTGAAGGACATCTTGGTTGTTTCCAAGTTTTGGCAATTAGGTGCTATAAACATCTGTGTAGCGGTTTGTGTGGATGTAAGTTTTCAAATCATTTGGGTAAATATTAAGATGTGTGATTACTGGATATGTGGTAAAAATTTGTTTAGTTTTGTAAGAAACTGCCAAACCATCTTTCAAAGTGACTCCAGCATTTTTCATTCCTACCAACAGTGGAAGTTCCTATCGCTCCACATCCTCATCGGCATTTGGTGGCGTCAGTTTTGGATTTTAGCCATTCTATAGCTGTGTAGTGCCACCTTACTGTTGTTTTAATTTGCAATTCCCTGCAATAAAATGTTGAGCGTCTTTTAATTTTCTTATTTGACATCTGTATATCTCTGGTAAGGCATCTGTTCAGTGATTTTGCCCATTTTAAAACTGAGCTAAGTTCAGAACAAGGATCTCTGAGGGAGAAAAAAAGAAGTAAAATAGACCCACTATTTTGGAGTTTTAACAGTTGTTTGCATATTTTGAACACAAGACCTTTATTAGTTCTGTATTTTGCAAAGATTTTCTCCCAGTGAGTAAGTTAGTTGCCTTTTTACTCTCTTAAGAGTGCAGGAGTTTTTAATTTCAATGAAGTCCAACTTATCAATTTATTTTTCCTTGATTGTGCTTTTGTTGGTGTATTAAAAAACTCACTTTAGGTCACCTTGCTTCTCTCTTGTTTTCTTCTAGAAGTTTTAAAGTTTTGTGTCTTTCATTTAGATCTATGATCCAGTTTTAGTTAATTTTTGTAAAAGGTACAAGGCCCGTGTCTAGATTCTTCTTCCTCCTCCCCCTACTGCCCTTCTTCTGCCCTCCTCCTCCTCCTTCTTCCTCCTCCTCCCTCTTCTTCCTCCTCCTCCTCTATCTTCTTCCTCCTCCTCCTCCATCTTCTTCCTCTTCCTCCTCCATCTTCCTCCTCCTCCTTCTCCTTCTTCCTCCTCCTCTTTCTCCTTCTTCCTCCTCCTCCTAGTCCTTCTTTCTCCTCCTCCTTCCTCCAAGTATTTTCTTTCTCAGTATTGTGCTGGCTATTTTGGGTCTTGCCTTTCCATGTAAACTTTAGAACCAGCTTGTTAGTAGCCAGTTTGTCTAAAGAGAAAAAGCAAGCATCAAAACTAGATTCAGTTATGGCAGAGATTAGGAATTATCAGACTGGCATTTTAAAATAATTATGATTACTAAGCAAAGAGCCCTAATGGAAAAAGTGGACAACATACAAGAATAGGTGCATAATGTAAGCAGAGAGGTAGAAACTCTAAGAATCAAAAGGAAATGCTAGAAATAAAAAATATAAATAAAAAAGAACTGTAACAAAAATAAAGAATGCCTTTTATAGGCTCATCAGTGGACTGGGCATGGCCAAGGAAATACTCAGTGAGTTTGAACATATGTCAAGAGAACCTTTCAAAACTAAGATGCAAAGGGCAAAGAATAAAACAAATGGAACAAAATTATCAGGAACTCTGGGAGAATTATAAGATGTGTGGTATATGTGTAAGGGAACACCAGGAGAAGAAGGAGAGAAGGAGTCAGGACACAGTGGCTCATGCCTATAATCTCAGCACTTTGGGAAGCCAAGGTGGGCAAATCGTTTCATTCCAGGAGTCAGAGACCAACCTGGGTAGCATGGCAAAACCCCATATCTACTACTAAAAAAACAAAAAAAACATTAGCGGGGCTGGGTGGCATATACCTGTAGCCCCAGCTACTCGGAAAGCTGAGGTGGGAGAATCACCTGAGCCAGGAAATTGAGGCTGCAGTGAGCTTGATTGTGCCACTGCACTCCAGCCTGGCTGATGGGAGTGAGACTCCATCTCGGGTGGGGTGGGGGGAAAGAAGGAGTTGGGGAGAGAGAGAGACAGACAGACAGACACAGAGAGAGAGAGAGAGAGAGCAAGCGAGAGAGAGAAAATATTTGAAGTAATAATGACTAAGAATTTTCCGAGATTAATGACAGACACCAAACCACAGATTCAGGAGGCTCAAAGAACACTGCTATGGTTTGAATAGTTGTGCCCTCCAAAACTTGTGTTGAAATTTAATCCCAAATGTGGCAGTATTGAGAGGTGGGATCTTTATGAGGTGATTGAATGGATTAATCCATTCATGGATTAGTGGGTTAGTAAATTAATGGGTTATCACGGGAGCAGGACTAGTGACTGTATAAGAAGAGGAAGAGAGCTGAGCTAGCGTGCTCAGCCTCTAACTATGTCATTCTCTATGCCATCTTTGCAGAGTCCCCACCAGCAAGAAGGCACTCATCAGGTAAGCCCCTTAACCTTGAACTTCCCAGCTTCCATAATTATAAGAAATAATTTCCTTTTCTTTATAAATTATGCAGTTTTAGTTATTCTATTATTAGCAGCAGAAAATGAACTGAAACAAACACCAAGCAGGATAAAGAACAAAAGATTTATATCTAGGATATCATATTTAAACTAAAGAAACTCAAAGACAAAGAGAACATCTTAAAATAAGCCAGGAGAAATAAACACCTTACCTCTAGAGGAGCAAGGATAAGAATTACATCAGACTTTTCTTTATAAATCATGCAAGCAAGAAGATAGTGGCGTGAAATATTCAAAGCATTGAAAGAAAAAATGCACCAACCTAGAATTCTTGTATCTAGTAAAATTATCCTTCAAAACTGAAAGAGGAATAAAGATTTTCTAAAACAAACAAAAGGTGAGGGAATTTGTTTCCAGAAGACCCACCCTGAAAGCAATGTAAAAAATTCTTCAGAAAGAAAAAGGCGATTTAGGTCAGAAACAGATCTACATACAGAAAGAAAGAGTGTTAGAGAAGGAATAAATGAAGGTAAAATAATATATTTTGTTTTTCTTATTCTTAACTTATATAATAGAGAAGTTTGTTTAAAACAATAATGGCAACCATATGTTGGGAAATTATAACTTATAAATGAGTGGAATGAAGGAATGTTATAGAGGACAGCACAGAGGAACTGGGAATATTCTGTTAGGAGGTACTTGTACTACCTGTGAAATGGTATAGTGTTATTTGACTTGGATTAGTTGTAAATGTACACTGCAAAATCTAGTGTAACCACCCAACAAATTATAAAAAGTATAATTGATATGCTAAGGGAGGAAAGAAAAATGAATCATATAAAATGCTCAATTAAAACCAGAGAAGGTAGAAAAAGAGTGAAAGATAAAAAAGAAACAAGAGCAAGGGCAATGAATAGAAAATAGTTACAAATATAGCAGATATCACTCTAACTATGTCAACAATCACATTAAATGTTAAAATACACCAATTAAAAGGCAAAGACTATCAAAGTGTATCAAAAAACATGATCCAATTATTTATTATTGACAGAAAACTAATTTTAAATATAAAGACACAGATGGATTAAAATTTAATGTATGAGGAAAGGTATACCATGCTAATGCTGATCAGTTGAAAGCTGGAGTAGCTATATTAGTTTTGGACAAAGCAAACTTCAGGACAAAAAAATTATAAGGATAAAGCGGGGCACTACACAGTGATAAAGGGTTTAATTCTCTAAAAGAAGGTAACATTTCTTAATGTTTATGTTCAGATATTTTTGAATATATTTTATATTTTGTTAAAGGCTGATCAATGTAGTGCCATTAGCATGGGACTTGGAATCAGAAATTTTTTTCTTTTTTTTTGAGATAGAGTCTCACTCTGTGGCCAAGGCTGGAGTGCAGTGGTATGATCTTGGCTCACTGCAACCTCCGCTTCCTGGGTTCAAACATTTCTCCTGCCTCAGCCTCCCACATAGCTGGGATTACAGGAGCATGCCATTATGCCCAGCTAATTTTTGTATTTTTTTTTTAGTAGAGATGGGATTTCTCCATGTTGGCCAGGCTGGTCTTGAACTCCTGGCCTCAGGTGATCCACTCGCCTCGACCTCCCAAAGTGCTGGGATTACAGGTGAGCCACCACACCCAATCAGAAAATTTGGGTTTTAATCTGGGCTTTGTCACTAAGTATCAGGTGAGTTATGAGAAAATTTCGAAAGTTCCTTCTATCCCTAACGATCTATGATTCTAATATCTAATATTCTATCCCGAATAATCTGTGATTCTAATATAAAGATTGGGTATATATGACTGAAATAAACTGAAGTAAATATAATTATATTGGATGTAATTTAGCAGGAGTCTTTAAAGATGAATTTACAGTAAATCTGTGTTTAGTAGATATTTACTATTTTAAAAATATTAAATATCTCACTACCTATAGAACCAGGCTAGAAAGTCAGTCTATATTTGAACTCTTAAATCCAACATACTATCTACCACATAATCTTGTCAGGACATATTTTTATAAAATATGGGCAAACCAGCTGAACACCATCCTCTGTATATATTCCTTAAAATATTGATTAGGATATTCATTCAAGAATATCTATTTAGGGCATAGGCAACATTTTCTTCTAATATATAACTTTTCATAGCTTTTAAGTTAGATACCAGTCATTGGTGTTGCCTCTGATACCCTGCTTTTTTCCAATTTCCTTTCTCTTCTTCTTGCTATGTTTTCAAGGCCCAAAGTTCTGACAGGTAGGAGAGTTGATGAGTATTACTGAAGATGGAGTTGCAAAATTAGATTCACGTTTTTCTTATACATGTGTTTATGTCTTTGAAGGGAATTATATAGCTAAAGAAAAACATGAGATGGGTGATTGTGAAGATCTGTTTGTTTTGTAGGTAATAATAATAGTAAATGACAATAGCAACACGAGACACATTTGTTGAGTGCATGGTGATGTGCCGGGTACTGTGAGAAACAGATATCAAAGGTCATGTCTTTTTTCTTTTTGTTGAGACAGAGTCTTGCTCTGTCGCCCAGGCTGGAGTGCAGTGGTGCAATCTTGGCTCACTGCAACCTCTGTCTCCCTGGTTCAAGCGATTCTCCTGCTTCAGCCTCCTGAGTAGCTGGGACTACAGGCGCCTGCCACCACACCTGGCTAATTTTTTGTATTTTTAGTAGAGATGGGGTTTCACCATGTTAGCCAGGATGGTCTCGATCTCCTGACATTGTGATCTGCCAACCTTGGCCTCTCAAAATACTGGGATTACAGGCGTGAGCCACTGCACCTGGCTGAAGGTCATGTCTTTATTTTAGTTTTTATTTTTGTGGAAGCCCTTATTTCCAAACAACATGATCAAACTAACAGATTTTAGCAGAAAAGTGATTCAGTGACTAGTGAAATCACCAGGAGGACTGGAGAAGTTGACTTGGGTTCTATGCCACAGAACTGGTTCAGCAAAGACACCAGACACCTCTGCCTACCAAGCCCCTCCAGCCATGCACTTGCACTTCCAACATCCATGACCCAAGAAGGTGGATACAGCATTACCTCCTCTGCTCTTGCAGCTCCAGGAACTTGGACTTGCTGCAAACCCCACCTCTCTCCTTTCCAATCTCTTCTTTGCATCATTAGTGACCGTTTCAAAGCCCGAGGTGGGTTCATTGGGTTGGTGAAGGAGCTGTCTGTCAGTGTACTCAGAAGTGTAGCACAAATAGTGGTGGCAGCATCAGAATGAGTTGAAGGTTCAATTGCAAATCATGCAATTGGCTCCACTCTATTCTACTCAGTCAATATGTAGGTTTGGGAAGGTTTGAGAAGCCCTCAAATGCACTATACTATGCACACTAAAGCTTGCAAAGCAATTGTTTAGGTTAAGATAGTCATGCTTGCAAAAGAGGCTGGCAAACAAAGTAACAGGCATTTTCAGCTTTATAGCCAGAAGTGGCTCTTCTTCCAAGATTGGCAAAGTGGAGAAGTCCCAAGAAATATGAAGGTGGTTTAGTAGTTCAGCAGCCAAAAAGAAAGACAAATGTCCAGTACAGCTGCTGTTCTTGGAATGTCACAGCTGGACTTTCTGCCTTGTGAGGATTAACCAGTGGAACTTAGTCTCCTTTGTCAGGGGGTGTCTCTGAGTTAGCTCTCCCCATTAACCCTCACATTACTATAGTGCCCGTCTCTCCTCCTCAGTGACTTGTCTCTGCCCTTTTCTCCTTCCTCCTCCCCTCTCCCTTTCCACCTCTCTTCTGCTCCTTTTATTTCTTTTCCTCCTACCACCTCTAAAGTTGATTCGAGGTGTCTTCCTTTAAGATTTCAGGGAAAAGGGGTTATTCCCCTTCTGTTAAAGGCTGCTGTAATCACTGGCTTACAGAATTAATGAAGCTTTCAAGGGAAGTTCTTTTTCATTTTTTCCAACAGGTTAAGAAATCATACACCCAGGGCTTGCTCTAGGCAAAGTGTTGAAGCTGAGACGTTGATCCCTAGTGCCTCCAGGTTCTCTTTCCGTTTCTTTCCCTCTCACAGCTTCCTTTTCACCTTCAGTCACAAGCTGCCCTCCCACCTCCCATCCCTGCCCCAACTCCCACCAATCAAGACTTGCTGTTAGGAAAGAATGATATCCTTAAAGATTATCTGTCAATAGTACACAGAATCACCTCTCTGAGAGTATTTACTTTTAGAGGTTTCTTCTTTTCCTGGTGGAGGAGTTGAAGGTTTTGTTCTCACTACAAACAAATTTCAAAAACATCGGTCAATTGGAGAAGATACCACTTAGTTGGCGAATTAAGGGGTCTTGCTCATAAACTTCTCCCACTGTTTTCCCTACTGATTTTAACTTTCTACTTCCTGGGTCATGGTAGAGGAATGTACTAGAGATTTCCCATTCAACTGATGCCCCATGACAGGGTGAAAGTCCTTGGAAGTGACATGTTACAGTCGTGCACTGACCCTCAGGAGCCAAGGCAGGTGTGTGGCTTCCTCCTTCACCTTTACTTCCTTCCACACATTCAGAGGTTCCTTTCTATGCATCCGAAAGAGCCCTTGCTAGCGTTTCCAGCTGCTGTATTGCCCTCCTCTCAGGAGCCAGCTTCTTCCTGGTGTTGATTTCCTGACTATATCATACAAGACCAAAATCCCAAATAAATAATTCCTTTGTAGCACATTTTTTAAACCTTTTCCAGAAAGAGAGATGTGGCCCTTCCACTTTTCACAGCCAAAAACGCAAGAGACTGGTACCAAACAATGATATTTATGTGATGTCTTACTGGAGGTGATGAAATAAAAACAAATTGTATGGCAAAAAAAAAAAAAAACCCAACTGGGAAAAAATATAATAAATCTATATCAGGTGTAAAAAGAAAAACCTTAGACAAATTAAATTTAACAGAGTTTAATTGAACAAAGAATTATTCTTGATTTGGGCAGTTTCTGAAACAAAATAGGTTCAGAGAGCCTCCAGCACAGCCATGTGGTTGAAGATTTAAGGACAGAAAAAGGAAAGTGACATACAGAAACTGGAAGTGAGGTACAGAAACAGCTGGATTGGTTATGGCTCCATGTTTGCCTTATTTGAACATGGTTTGAACAGTTGGTCTACTTTGATTGGCTGAAACTCGGTGATTGGCATAAGAGTAGCTTACAGTTTGTTTACACATCCAGTTAGGTTACAGTTTACTATCTATGGAGAAACCTTTATGTTGAACTTAAAATATGGAAGGAGGCAGCTTTAGGCTAAACTTAACAGAGGATTAATATTCTGCAAATATTAGAGCTTTTAAAAATGGAGAAGGCGGGAGAAGGCTGATGTCCCAGCTTGAAAGCAGGTAGAAATAGCAAATTCACCCTTACTCTAGCTTTTAGTTGTATACAGGCCTCCAAAAAATTGGATGAGATCTACCCACATTGGGGAGGGCAGTTTGCTTTACTCAGTGTCCTAATTCAAATGCTTCAGGATGGCGGGGAACATGGTAAGGCAAGTGAATTCCATGAACATGGGCCCACCGCCATGCTTCTTTTGTTGTGAAGTGAATTCCTTGATCAGAAGCAATGCTGTATGAGTACCATGATTTTTGATTAGGAATTCTATAAGTACATGGATGGTAGGTTTGGTAGAAGTATTGCAGGCAGGGAAGGCAAATCTCTATCCACAGTAAGGTCTACTTCAAAATAAGAACAAAATATTGCTCTTTCCAAAATGGAAGCCTTCTAATGCATTCAACCTGCCACTAGGTGGCTGGCTGATCACCTCAGGGAATGGTGTCATACCGGGGACCATGTTGCTTTCTGCTGCTGGCAGATTGGGCACTCAGCAGTGGCCCTAGCTAGGTTGGTCTTGGAGAGTGGAAGTCCATGTTGCTGAGCCCATGCATAACCTCCATCCCTACCACCATGGTCCCTTTGTTCATGAGTCCTTTGGGCGATGGCAGGGGTGGCTGGGGAAAGAGGCTGCCTGGTGTCCACAGAACGAGTCAGTCTGTCCACTTGATTATTAAAATCCTCTTCTCCGGAGGTTGCTCAGCATGCTGAGGTGAGCATTCATATGGGACACAAATATCTTCACATTTTCTGCTCATCCAGAGAGGTCTATCCACATATTTCTTCCCCACATTTCTTTGTCACTTATTTTTAATCACCTTCATTTCAAGTCCCCGACCATTGATCTAAATGAATCGGCCCATGTCTGGCCTTTTATCCTTCTGAGCAAAGTGAACAACCAGGTACACTGCTTGAAGTCCTGCCCACTGGGATTATGTTCCTTCACCGCTGTCCCTCAGGGATGTCCCAGAAAGGGGCTGTAGTGCTGCAGCTGTCCACTTTCAAGAGCTTCCTGAATATCAGGCACAGCCATCTGCAAAGCAGGCCCAAGTGTTTTCTTCCTCTGTCAACTGATCATAGGGAACTTCCCGCAAGGCCATAGATGCAGGCTGGGAGAGAGAAGGCAGTATAGCAGGACTGGGGGCCATGGGCGTTTGGGTCACTTCTTCATGTAATTTACTGTGCCTTCAGGGCCTGCTTGGACCTGATCACATATAACCAACTTTCATTCAATGATGGAATGCTGCCACGCATGACCAACATTATAGCGTTGTGGGCCAGAAAATATCCAGTTCATGAAGGACAGCTCTGGTCGCATGGTAATTTGGAGACCCATGGTCAAGTGTTCACTCTCTATGGAGGTTAGTAGCAGGCCAAGAGCCATGTCTCAAAAGGAGAGTAATTATTTGTGGAGGATGGCAGGGCTTAATTAAAAAATTCTAAGGGTCTGCACTGCCATTCACCTCTAGAAGCCTGCCAAAAGCTTCAGATAGCATCCGTGTCTGCCACTGACACCTCAAGCACCGTCGGATCTGCTGGATCGTGTGGCCCAAGTAGCAGCACAGGTTGCACAGAAGCCTTGACCTGTTACAGAGCCTCCTCCTGTTCCGGGCCACCCTAAAAAGTAGCAGCTTTTTGGGTCACTTGGTAACACACCCAAATGAGGAATATGTTGCCTCCAAAATGCAAAGAGATCCACAAGGCATTTTGCTTCTTTTTTGGTTGTAGGAAGGGCCAGATGAGGCAACTTAACTTTCACCTTAGGAGGGATATCTCAACATGCCCCACACAACTGGACCTCTGGAAGTTTCACTCAGGTAGAAGGCTCCTGATTTGTAGTCAGATTTATTTTCCACCCTGTGACATCTCAATGTCATCTCAATGACATCAGTAAGTCTAGAGCTACGTCTTGCTCATTAGGTCTAATCAGCATCATGTCCTCAATGTAATGGACCTGTGTGACATCTTATAAAAAGTGTTCAAGATCCCTGTGACTTAAATGATGACTTCAGGCTGGAGGGTTGATAGACCTCTGAGGAAAGACAGTGCAGATGTATTGCTGGTCTTGCCAGCTGAAAGCAAACTGCTTCTGGTGGGCTGTATTGACAGGTATGGAGAAAAAGGCATTTGCCAGGTTAATAGCTGCATTCCAGATACTAGGGAGTGTGTTAATTTTCTCAAGTAATGAACATATGCATTTGCATTTTGATCCTACAATCCTGCTTCGAGGTATCTATTAAGATTTGTAGGCAAAAAACATAAAATTACTGATGCAGAAGGTAATTTACTGCTGTACCAATTGAAACAGAAAAATCCTCTACCCAGTGTTCATGAGTAGAAGACTGGTGAATAAATTTTGAGGTAGCCACATAATGCCCTACTATGTAGGTGTAGATAGAAGTGAGGGGGCCTCTATACACTGATATGGAAAGATCCCCAGGACACAGTAAGGTACAGAACAGTGTGCACAGCAGGCCACCTTTGATTTGAGGAGTGAGGGAGAAATGAGAAGTACTGATATATGCATTTATATATGATATTATGTATAATATGTATTATGAAACACGTAATATAAAATGTACAAAATATAATAATAAATGCTAACATATTAGCGTTCTCCAGAGAAACAGAACTAATAGGATGATACATAGAGAAACAGAACTAATGGGGACTGGGGCAGGTATCTCTGATGCTTGTGCTCTGTCTCCTTGAACCACCTCTGGTTTTGGCCTCAGTGCTGGTGGACAGATCTGTTGCACTCAGATTCCTCTCCCACTACCAACATTCCTCCTCCGTGCACTTGAAGTCTTTTTGCTCCCTGCTCTTGAGCCTTCTCTGTCACCCCTTGAGTTCCCCTGGCCCCAGCATTCTGATTCAGCCCAGAGAGTGAAGAGTTAATGTCCCCAGGAGCAACCTTCAACCTAGAGATGGGAACTGATGGACAAAGGGTCCTGCCTCTTATTTTCCAGGTGGATTATTCTTGGATGTCTTCATGCTTCTCAGGAGGTCTCAGTGGACTTGCTAATGCATACTTTTGTTGCTTTTTCTTCCTCTCCTGTGTCACTGGTCCTGCTCCGTCGCTACTGCTTCCTGGGATCAACTCCCAAATCAACCTTCTGCACCCATGCTCTTGTCCCAGACTCTACATGGGGGACAAAAACTAGGACAGAAATTCTGTAATGGATAGATCAGGCTGGTAGCACATGACCTCACTGGCTCAAGCCTCATCGCAGAGAAACAATCAGATGCTGTGTCTCCAGCACCACACATATTCTTTTCAAAAATGGAGCTTGAATCTGATCAGGCCTCTAAGCTGATAGTTAATAAGAACAGGTTAAACTATTCCCTGGGGAGGCAATCGGTAATCCAGAATGTGGGAAATTTGGCAAGACAAATGATCTAGTATCTTCCACAACCAAATGGTACGAGAAAAAAGAGAGACGAGAATCCTATAGATTAAAGAAGGTTAAAGAGCGGTATCAACAAATCTAGTGGGTTTAGCTGTATGTAAAAGTTACAAAGTAAAAATTACCCAATAGTCAGGGGAGTTGTTGATAGTGAGGAACTGTTATTAATTTTTGAGTGTGCTATTTGATTATATAGAAAAAGAATCCTATCTTGTATATTGAAGTATTTGTGAGTGAAGTGATATGTTGGGGATTTAATAATCCAGTGGGTGAGGAAATGGGGGGAGTACAGATGAAATGAGACTATCTCAGGATAATGGCTTGGAGGTGGCTGATGGATGGGAGGCTTAATATGTTCATAGTAAAAATTTTCTTCAAGAATGTATGTTTCTCAAGATACAGAAATGAAAAACTAATGTACTAGAACTTCCAAAACAGACATATGCTGTGACCTTATGCTGAGCCATTTGGCTTTTTTTGTCCCTCTGGGACTGTTATTTGAGAAACATGAATGCTTGGAGATTAACATGGTGCTTTCCTGCAGGAAGTGCTGGGATCCTATGAGACAGGGATTCTTTGAGTAATAATCTTTTTGGAGACCATTGGGAGCTGAAGGTGAGGTTTGGTGATGTATTTGCATCTGCTTAATGTATAATAATGGACTTGGAGATTCATTCCCCGAGCCAGAAACGTTTTCATTTGATATAGTCCCACTCATTTCCTTTTGCTTTCATTGCCTGTGCTTTTGGTATCATATCCAAAACATCATTGCCAAGATCAGTGTCAAAAACCTTTGCCCCATGTTTTCTTCTAAGAGTTTTACGATTTCAGGTCTTACGTTTAAGTCTTTAATCCATTTTGAATTGATTATTGTGTATGCTATATGATAAGAATCAATATTTGCCAGTGAATATTCAGTTAACTTGGACTCTTCAAGGCAAGGAACTTAATTTTGTTAATTTTGTCTATTCTATAAGACTCATCCCATTGTCTCCATTTCATGGCGTTTCGTTATATCTGATGGTGTGAACTGAATTTTCTTAGGCATATTCTCACCTGATAGGAGAGGCCTGTGGTAGCTGGTGAAGTCAGTCCCACATCCTCTTGTCTGTTTAGATGACCTTTTTACCTCACAAGGCAATAAGAAAGGAGTGTGTGCTCTCTAACTCCTGGAAGTGTGGTGAGAACTCATTTGTTTTGAGTGGTGACTATATGTCAGGAACTATGCTATGTGCTTTGTACATAAAATCTCACTTCTTTATCTTTCACTGTGGATGGAACGTTCCAGATGGCCTTTAAGGGAGGCCCATCCTCCCCTGGAACCTTACCATCTTATCTTTTATTCTGGATGTGATTTTTGGATGTCTCTGTGTTAGTTTTCTAGGGCTGTGGTAACAAAGTATCACAGACTGGGTGGCTTAGAAAACAGAAATTTATTGTCTCACCATTCTCCAGGCTGGATATCCAAAATCAAAGTGCTGGCAGGGTTGGTTCCTTGTGAGGGATATAAGGAAAGGATCTGTTCCAGGCCTCTCTCCTTGGCCTGTAGATGGCTGTCTTCTCCCTGTGTCTCCTTATATTGTCTTCTCTGTATGATCATCTCTGCATCCAAATTTCCCCCTTTGACAAGTACCCCTGTCCTATTGTATTAGGGCCCAGCCTGATGACCTCATTTTTACTTGATTACCTCTGTAAAGTGCTTGTTTCCAAATAAGATCACATTCTGAATTACAGCGGGTTAGGACTTCAACATATGTATTTTGGGATGGACCCAATTCAACCTATAAGTCTCCAAAAGGGAAAACTCTTTGTGCTTCTAGAATAGCTCATGAGTTTTCTCAAGATTTGACTTATTCCTTGCTCCTAAGTGAGCACCAGTGAGGAAATTTTCAGAATGGAAAAGGGTGGGAATGTTGAAATTACTATTCTGGGAATTCTTTGAGAAAGACATGAGGCTGTTGGCAAACTGTGAAATGTTTGATATTCCATGTGAATTACTATGCTTAAGATTCAACCATTGATTCGACAGTTCACAGGGAATTTGAATTGCTTAGCACAAATTAACTTTATCTCTTTTCATTAACTTTATCTCTTGCTCTGACTTTTCAGTAACAGACAACAAAAGAGTTGAAGGAGGCAGAGGCTCTATTGATGTCAGAATTCTTGCACTTGATTTGAGGAAAGTAGTAAATGCAAAGGAAGAAAACCTTATTGATACTTTCATTTTGGCCACAGGAATATATCCTTTTCCACTTAAAGAAATCTAGCTATGGAGGAGGAAGGGGAAATAATTCCCTTAACAATAAATAGAACAAAAAATTTAACCAATAAATAGAACAAAAAGTAGAACAAGTAGGACATAGCAGAGAGGGTGTAAGTAGAGATATTTGCAAATCTCAAAGAAGTCTTGTGAAAATGGTGAGAAATAAAGGTGGGGAGGTGGCTCTTGTGTGGCTCTGGGAAAATGGTAAGAGATAAAGGTGGGGAAGTGGGCCTTGTGTGGCTCTGGGAAAATGGTGAGAAATAAAGGTGGGGATGTGGGTCTTGTGTGGCTCTGGGAAAATGGTAAGAAATAAAGGTGGGGAGGTGGGTCTTGTGTATTCCTGGGAGGGAAAAAGTAAAGGAGCACTTGTGGAAGTGAATGCACCTCAGGATGTGGGATAGCCAATGGCAGAAGCTTGCCTGGATCCTGATATTCCCAGTTCCCACACGGCCTGGTTCACCTGTGGCCCCAGGTGCTTGTCCCATTCAGTTCGGTGCACCTGGATGCGTAACCACCCAAGTGCTCTCTGATTTCTGCCTTCAAATGTAGGCTCGTCCTCTGTGCTTCTCCATTAAACCACCATCCAGTCTTCACTCTTGAATTGCAGTGTGTGTTTTGCTCCGCATGCTCACCTGCTTTTAAAGATCCTTTCAGTCAGAGATGGAGAAGGGAAAATTTCTCCACCAGCTCACTAGTGTCGTGGAACTCTGACTGCAGCCTTCTTCCTTTCCTTCTTTTCTGGCTTAGGAAACGAGTTTGCAGCTGGACTGATCAACCCCTATTCTACTGTCTAGCTGCTTGAGGAAAGTGAAATCAGAAATCTGCTTATAAAAACTTGTTACAGATATAAAATATGTATTATATATTCTTTAGTTTTAGAGATGACGCAGCTTAAGTGTATTTGCTCTGGTCATGAAAAGCAAATCCAACATGTGGGGCAGTTGTCAGTAGTTGTTTTTATGCTTAGATGCTTCCACCTGCCATGACTCCTGGCTGAGATTTGACATACCAACCTCTTTGCGTTGTCAGAAGTTGGAAAGAGGAATGCTGAGACTGGATGATCACAGACAGGATCTAAAATGGAGAGCATGCTAAAGAAGATGCTGAGAAAAAGGAAGAAAATGAAGGCCTTGGGTATTCTGTAAAAGCAGCAAATGTGTTTCTTGTGGAAAGCAACATGGTTGTAGTTTCTAAAGGAAGACCTCTAGATTGCAGAGGCTGGGACTGGAGGCTGCCTGGGGCATCCTCTCTCTCCTTGACCTCCAAACTCCTGCTCCCTTCTTGTCTCTTTGCTTGAAACCTTCTAAATTTATTTGCCTCTCTCTTCTGTCTACTCCTTTCTTCCTGTTCCATCTCAATGTTCCCACAGGGATGGAAGGTGTGGAGTAGGCTCTTTGGTTCTTTTTTTAGAGACAGGGCCTTGCTCTGTCCCCCAGGCTGGAGTGCAGTGGCACGATTGTGACTCACTGCAGCCTTGAACTCCTGGGCTTAAGCAATCCTCCCACTTCAGCCTTCTGAGTAGCTGGGACTATACGCATGCACAACAATGCCTGGCTAATTTTTAAATTTTTATTTTGTAGAGAGATTGGGTCTCACTATTTGCCCAGGCTGGTTTTGATCTCCTAGCTTCCAGTGATCCTCCCACCTCAGCCTCCCAAAGTGCTGGGATTAGAGGCATGAGTCACCGCACCTGTCTAAGAAGCAAATTGTTAATGAAAAATGAGGACAAAAAGCCTTGACATTTTAGTGAAATTCATTGAAATTCATAGACATAGTATTAATGGAATAGAGTCTGTATTTTGATACTCAAACTGTTAATAGTTATTAATAGGTCAGGGCTAGAACTTTCACTGTAATAATGAACAGTTTCTTATCTCAAAATAAGGAAATAACATTGATTTCTCATGGTAGATGTCAACAATAACTCTTCTGTGACTCCATAGGTCTGGATCTAAAAGAAAAAACAATCCTCCCCCCCAAAAAACTATAATTACTCCTCTGGAGGGCACCTTTTTCTCACACATTGGTGGGTATATGCCTACATAGATGCAGATAGATAGATAGATAGATAGATAGATAGATCCCCTATATACATATACACAACATGCACATATAAAGAGAGATGGATGCATGGATGCCATTGGTTAGATATTTATCAGCCATTTCTCTCTATCCTTCTTTATAGGCAGTACCCTGATTTTATTTACGGGTTTCACCTACATGTGCTCAGGGAATATGATCCCCTTCCCAGCTCCAGAGGGTAAATCATGATTGGTCTAGTCCAGTCAGGTGATCTTATCACCCTTGCCAGTGACTGATTTGGGAATGGGCAGATGACTCAATATTGGTCAATGAAACCCAAGGGTTGGTCTGTTGGGAGGCTTCTGGGAAAGGTTTCTGTAACTCAAAACAAACAAACAAACAAACAAACAAACAAACAAACCAAAAACCGAGAAACAAAAACCCAACAAACAAAAACTAGATAGCCAGTATGGAATTTGTCCCTTCTTCACTGGATGTTATGTGTCACCTATGATGCCTAGACTGACAGGAATCTCAGGGCTATGAGAGGAGGCAATACTGACATGCCAGAACGAAAGGCGGAATAACTTGTGTCCTGCTCATTGTCCTACTGCTGGGCTCTTTGTTTTGTTTGCCATTTGTTTTGTCATGCCTCTAACTGATTAAGCTGCCTTTGTGTACAGCTTGATCTGAGAAGCTGGAATATGCTGTGTTTATATAATTGTTTCAAATATATCCTGAACGTATGTTAGGTAAGACTGCCAACATAGGCTGAAATATGGGCAGCTAGCTATGAGGAAGAGATATGGTGAGGTAGCTAAGATGTAGGCTGTGGAATCAGTTGTCTCATTGTGACTCTCTCTTCCAGCCCCTAGTTCCTGGTGGAATCTGGGAAAATTATTTAGCCTTTCTGGCCATCAGTTGCTTAATATGTAAAATGTGAATAATAATAATAATACTTGCTTAGATATAAAGGAAGAGTGGAGGCAAAGTATTGAGCCCCTTGGCGGGCACACAGTAAATATCCAAAAATGTTAGACATTATAATTACTACACTTGAGAATATAAATGTAGGGGGCGGAAAACAATAATTTTCCTTTGATCCATCATACTACAGCAGAAGATTGCGTATTAACAAGAGAAAGCAAACAAGTGTGTTAACATGTTTATTTCGTACATAGATGGGAAATAGGCACAGAATGAGTAATTCTCAAAGAAGTGGCTTAGAACTTGGCTTATATAGTATCTTCAACAAAGAATTATACATTTTTAGAGAAGTGACAAGACAAAGGAAAAGGACCTTGAGTCTCATAAGGTAACAAGTTGTGGGAAGGCAAATGAATGGGAAACGAATGGTAGATAAAAGCTAGTTAGTACGATTGGTTATGTAGATGCCTCTGATGTCATCTTCAGGCTGACCAGGGTCTAAAATTGACTTTGGTGATCAACATTTGTCCTTTCTGGTGACGGGGGTGGAAGGACACCTTTGTAAACTCATGTCCTACTTTTAGGCAGATAAGAGGAGTACAGACAGCTTTCCTCATATCTGCTTCTTCTCAATAGGCTTCAGCTCAAAATAATCTCTATGCCAAAGTGTTATATTTTGGGGTGGCATATTCTGCTGCCCTTCATAAATAAGTGCTCTAGAAAAGGTATAAAACATGTGAAGTGGTTAAAAAAAGTCTCTCAAAGATAAAAATGTTCTGAGTGTTTGTGATTTTCACCCTTAAGTACAAAAATTTTTAAAAACTCATATTAAAGTCCTGAATAATATTCTCAAAAATATATATAAAATGTTTTTTTAACAACAGAAAAGTTGAGCTAATTAATGTAAAAAATGCAAGGCACATAATGGAGTTATGTTGCACTAAGTTGAGTAATAATGTCCTATAGAAAAGAGCAAATCGCAATTTAACAACTAATCTGAGAGGGGAAGGAAATGGAAGAGAGATTTAGGAACAAATTTTCCATTTGTGTTTACCCGAAAGTAATGTTCCCTTCACATAATAATGAATTATTGGGAGTTAACTATTGGCTAACATAAACTTGGGCTTTATCTGTGAATCATAATTACTCATAATCAATTACTAGGTATAATTGGGAATTGGCTGCATTACAGGATAGCATAACATGACTCTCTTCAAAATACCACATCTATCCCTATGCTGAATACGTAATCATGATCTCTTCAAGCACACAATAGCATATTTACTCCTGGTATATGTTTGTATTGACTTTATGATATAGTTGTAAATTGTTTTGTCAGAAATAAATATTGTAAAGGAAAAAGATCAGTTGATTTAAGAATATGATGCTGACTTTTAGCTGTAGCTGCTTATAAGAAACCTTGAGTAGTAGTCTAGCATTCCCTGTAGAATTCTATAACAGATTAAGTGTCATGCAAAAAATTTTGGCATTTATCATTATAATATAATAGAGAGGTACCTTATGGGGATGAGGCTAGAAAAGGCTTTTATATGGTTACATCATATGGTGATAGATGCTAACAATTTGTGGTTATTATGAGAACAATTTTAGGAAAAGAATTCTTGATAAATTTTTGCAATTGCTCTTCTCTAGTTGTATAAAAAGATAGCTAATATTGTATCATAAATATAAATAACAAAGTTGGAAGAGGGATTTAAAGTTTGTCTGGATAAAACAAATTAGAATTTGTGCATATTTGCTCAGGTCTTATTTTTATTAAAAGATGACGGAGAAGAATGGAAAAAACAGAACAATTCTGAGAAAATGTTTACTGGAATTATAATTTATGCCTTTGTGACCTCTAGACTAAATTACTGAAGGGCAGTGACCAGAAAGAATATTCTTTAAATATTTGAGTTGTAACAATATATAAATAACCCAAGATAGACTGAGAATTGTTAGTAATCTAGAGCTTGCTATTTCTGTTATTTGTAGAGCTCAGGTCACAAGATAAGTAGCAGGCCTGGTACTACCCCTAGAAATTGATTTTGAAGCTGCTGAGCTGAGAACATGTAAACTTCAGGAATGAAGGTGTCAACTTCTTTCTGACCCTAGTAACTTTGGGGCTTATCTTACCAGGAAGAGCTCAAAGGCTCTGCTAGAACCTGCCTGTTACTATATAGCTGGAAGGAGGTAAATATAGTGGGGGTATGTGTACCTCTGTGCACGTGTGTCTTTTACTTGAATGGCTAATAAGTCAATGTCAGTCAACAAAAATTTAATGTATGTCTACTATATACTTAGCATTGTGAATGATACTGTCAAAAGGCAAAATTACAAATATTTAAAATCTCAACTGACTTTATTTGTGATTCTAAAATTGGGTAACACCTTACTGCATAAAATAGAATAAATGTTCCAATAAGCTGGATAGAAGGGATTGGCTTTATAGACAGAGAAAGATTAGAGAAAGAAGAAGCAAAGAATAAAGAGTCGGGAGGGAGGTGGAGAAAAATGGCAAAATAGAACCCTCCAGTGATTGTCCCCTGCAGAAACACCAAATTGAACAACTATTCACACAAGAGAGCACTTCCATTAGAACCAAAAATCAGGTGAGTGACCACAATACCTAGTTCTAACATCATAGTAAGGAAAGAGGCACTGAAGAGGGTAGGAAAGACAGTCTTGAATCATCAACACTATCCCTCCCTCATCCCTCAGCAGCAGTTGCATGGTGCAGAGAGAAAATTGTGTGCTTGGGGGAGGGAGAGTGCAGTGATTGTGAGACTTTGCATTGGAACTCAGTGTTGATGGTCACAGCAGAGAGCAACAAAGGCCAGAGTTGAGCTGGCACCCATGGAGGGAGCATTTAGACCAGTCCTAGCCAGAGGGGAATTGTTCATCTCAGTGGTCAGAACCTGAGTTCTGGCTAGGTCTACCACTACACACTAAAGTGCTGTGGGCCCCTAAATAAAATTGAAGGGCAGTCTAGGCCACAAGGACTGCAACTCTTGGGCGAGTCCTGATGCTATTCTGGGTTCAGAGCCAGAGAACTTAGGGTCCATGCGACCTAGTGAGACACAAGCTAGGGTGGCCAAAGAAGTGCTTACATCACCTCTCCCCCAACCATAGACAGTGCAGCTCATAGCTCTGGGAGAGAGTCCTTTCTTCCACTTGACAAGTGAAGAAGACAGGGAGAGAGGGAAGAGTAAAGAGGACTTTGTCTTGCAACTTGGATACCAGCTCAGCCATAATAAAATGACACACAAAGCAAAGTCCTGAGACCCCATTCCAGGCCCTCGCTCTCGAATGACATTTATAGACACACTATAGAACAGAAAGGAACTCACTGCCTTGAAGAGAAGAATCTAGTCCTGATAGGATTAATCATCTGCTGACTCAAGACCTCTTAGGTCTTGAATAAACACTAGTAGTAGCCAGGCAGTACTCACTGTGGGCTTTGGGTGAGACTCAGTGCCATGCTGGTTTCAGGTGTGATCCAGTGTATTCCCAGCTGTGGTCATGGGGAGAGACTCTTTCTGCTTGAGGAAAGGAGAGGTAAGAGGACTCCTTGAGGAAAGGAGAGGGAAGGGGACTGTGTCTTGAGCTTGGGTACCAGCTCAGCCTCAATGGGGTAGAGTACCAAGTGGGCTCCTGGGGCCTTTGATTTCTGGTCTTGGATTCTGGATGGTATTTCTTGACTCACTTGGGGCCAGAAAGGACCCCAGTTCCCTGAAGGGAGAGACCCAGTCTTGGTGGCATTCACCACAAGCTGATTGAAGAGCCCTTGGGCCTTGCATGAACGTTGGTGGTCACCAGGCAGTACTCACTGTGGATCTGTGGCAGTGGTTGGGAGATACTCCATTTTTTTTTTTTTTTTTTTTTCTTTTTGAGACGGAGTTTCGCTCTTGTTGTCCAGGCTGGAGTGCATGGTGTGCAATGGCGTGATCTTGGCTCACCGCAACCTCCGCCTCCCGGGTTCAAGTGATTCTCCTGCATCAGCCTCCCGAGTAGCTGGGATTACAGGCATGTGCCATCACTCCTAATTTTGTATTTTTAGTAGAGATGGGGTTTCTCCATGTTGGTCAGTCTGGTCTTGAACTCCTGACCTCAGGTGATCTGTCCGCCTTGGCCTCCCAAAGTGCTGGCATTACAGCTGGGAGATACTCCTTATGCTTGAGGAAAGGAGAGGGAAGAGTGGGAAGAATTTTTTCTGATGGTTTGGGTGCCAGCTAAGCTGCAGTAGAGTAGAGCACAAAGTAGATTCCTAAGATTTCCAGCTCCACATCCTGGCTCCTAGGATGGTATTTTTGGACTTGCCTTGGGCCAGGGGAGAGCTTGCCACCCTGAAGGGAAGGATATAAGCCTGGCTATATTTGCCACCTGCTGATTGTAGAGCCCTTAGACCTGAAGTGAGTATTAGTGGTAGCTAGGCAATGGTCACTGTGGGCCTTGAGCTGTGCTGGCTTTGAATCTCATTCTGCAGTTCCTCTGATGGTGGCCACAAGGGTGCTTGTGTCTTATCTCCCCCAGCTCCAGGAAGCTCAGCACATAGAGAAAGACTCCATTTGTTTGGGAGAAAGTAAGGGAAGAGAACAAGAGACTGCTTTGTAATCTAGGGAATTCTCTCAAATTTTACCCAAGATCACCAAGGCAGTAACTCTATGACTCTGCAAGAACACAGTATTACTGGGCTTGGGGTGCCCGCTAATGAAGATATGGTTGCAGTGACCAAAGACTTAGATCACAACACTCAACTTTGAATACTTGGAAAGTCTTCCCAAAAAGGATGCATACAAATGAGCCCAGACCAGAAAACTACAATAAATACCTAACTTTTCAATGCCTAGACATTGATGAATATCCACAAACATCAAGATCATCCAGGAAAACATGACTTCACCGAATGAACTAAATAAGACACGAGTGACCAATCTCAGAGTGACAAATTATACTACAGAGTGATTGTAACCCAAACAGCATGGTACTGGCATAAAAGCAGACACATAGAACAAAGGAACAGAATAGAGAATCCAGAAATAAATCCATGCATCTACAGCGAACTCATTTTTGACAAAGGTGCCGAGAACATACATTGGGCAAAGGACAATCTCTTCAATAAATGGTGCTGGGAAAACTGGATATTCATATGCAGAAGAATGAAGCTAGACCCCTATCTCTTGCCATATACAAAAATCAAATCGAAATGGATTAAAGACTTAAACTGAAGACCTCAAACTATGTGACTATAAAAATAAAACATTGGGGAAAATCTCCAAGATATTGGTCTGGGCAAAAATTTCTTGAGTGATACCCCACAAGCACAGGCAACCAAAGTGGAAATGGACAAATGAGATTATATCAAGTTCAGGAGCTTCTGCAAACAATCAACAAAGTGAAGAGACAACCCACAGAGTGGGTGAAATATTTGCAAATTACCCATCTGACAAATGATTAATAACCAGAATATATAAGGAGCCTAAACAACTCTATAGAAAAAAATCTAATAATCTGATTTTAAAAATGGGCAAAATATTTTAATAAACATTTCTCAAATGAAGACATGCAAATAGAAAACAAGTATATGAAAAAGTGCTCAACATCATTGATCATCAGAGAAATGCAAATCAAAGCTACAATGAGATGCCACTTTACTCAAGTTAAGATGGCTTTTTTCCAAATGACAGGCAATAACAACTGCTGGTGAGAATGTGGAGAAAAGGGAACCCCTGTACACTGTTGGTGGGAATGTAAATTAGTATAACTACTATGGAGAATATAGTATAGAGTTTCCTCAAAAAAAATCTAAAAATAGAACTACCATATGATCCAGCAATCCCACTGCTAGATATTTACTCAAAAGAAAGGAAATCCATATATTGAAGAGATATCTGCACTCCTTTGTTTATTGCTGCAGTATTTACAATAGCTAAGATTTGGAAGCAATCCAAGTGTCCATCAAATGGTGAATGGATAAAGAAAATATGGTAGAGATATACACAATGGAGTATTACTCAGCCATAAAAAAAGAATGAGATCCTGTCATTTGCAACAACATGGATGGAACTGCAGGCCATTATTTTAAGTGAAATAATAGAGGCACCAAAAGATAAACTTCACATGTTCTTGCTCATTTGTGGGAGCTAAAAATTAAAACAATTGAACCCATGGAGATACAGAATAGAATGATGGTTACCACAGGCTGGGAAGGGTAGAGGGTGTTGTGAGGGAAGTAAGGATGGTTAATGGGTACAAAAATATTGTTAGATAGAATGATTAAGATCAAGTTCTTGGTAACACAATGGGGTGATTACAGTCAACAATAATTTATTATACATTTAAAAATAACTAAAAGGGTATAATTGGAATGTTTGTAATGCAAAGAAATGATAAATGCTTGAGGTGAATTTATAAATACGTTTTCCCTAATGTGATTATTACATATTATATGTCTGTATCAAGATATCTCATGTATCCCATAAATATATGTACCTACTATGTACCTATTAAAAAAAGAACAAAGAGTATATTAGTTGCTTTTAGACAGAACAGTAAAAAAATAACTGATTAGTTAACATCCAGTTCTTTATGCTACCATTTTTGTCTAAGGATTAAAGTAGAGGGAACTCTATTATCATTCTTATTGAAGAGTTAAACTGGCCTATTTGAGAAATTGACTGTTATTGTTCCGTCCTGATTTCCAGGAAGGATCACCCATGCTAAAGCTCCATATCACCAAACCTAAACAAAGTTGTTCCTCATCACCAAACCTAAGCTAAGGTTTGGTTTAGGCATCAAATCTTAGTTTAGGCAAAGTGGCATCAGCCATTTTGATTTTTCGTCTGGTCTGTTCAGGCCTATAGCAGAAGCTTAGTCCAAAACAATGGCCTTGTATTATTTTTATTAAACAATACTGTGAGAGGTAAAGAAGGTATAATATATGGCTTCTACCCACTAATGCTACAATCGGGATTTATAACCAGGTCTATCTGAGTCTGATATGGTTTGGATCTGTATCACTGCCCAAATCTCATGTTCTGTTGAAATCCTCAGTGTTGGAGGTGGGGCTTAGTGGGAGGTGATTGGAGCATGGGAGCAGCTTCTTACTTTGGTGCTATTCTCATGATAGAGTTCTCATGAGATCTGGTTATTTAAAAGTGTGTGGTACCTTTCCCCTCTTTCTCTCTTCCTCCAGCTCTGGCCAGGTAAGACGTGTTTGCTTCCCCCTTTGCCTTCTGCCATGATTATGAGTTTCCTGAGGCCCCCCAAAAGCCAAGCAGATGCTGCCATTCTTCCTGTACAGTCTGGGGAACCATGAGCCAATTAAACCCCTTTTTTCCTTTTAAAAAATAAATTACTTAGTCTCAGGCATTTCTTCCTTTCTTTTTTTTTCACAAATCATGTGTTTGTTTATTTTGAAATCACTAGAATCATCTTGGTTTTCATTCTTGTCAGAAACCTCTCAAGTTTTTCTTTAGAAGACAAAGCATGGCCATAGAATCTGAAGGGGGCCTTACCAACCTCATAAATTTTTCTGTCAGTTATCTACTGTAATTAGTCTGTTCTCATGCTGCTAATAAAGACATACCTGAGACTGGGTAATTTATAAAGGTAAGAGGTTTAATGAGCTCACAGTTCCATGTGGCTGGAGAAGCCTTAAAATTACAGCAGAAGGCGAAGGAAGAGCAAAGTCACATCTTACATGGTGGCAGGCAAGAGAGAGCATGTGCAGGGGAACTGTGCTTTATAAAACCATCAGATCTCATGAGACTTATTCACTATCATGAGAACAGCATGGAAAAACCCAACCCCATGATTCAGTTACCTCCCACTGGATCCCTCCCATGACATATGAGGATTATAGGAGCTACAATTCAAGATGAGATTTGGATGGGGACACAGCCAAACCATATCAGTGACCTCATGAATTTTTCTGTCAGTTTTTGGCTTGTGAGGGACAAAGAGCTAAATTCATAAGCAGCTTCTCTTTCCACAGCTGGGTGAGCTCAAACTTCTTATCTGTAGGCCTTACACTATATTGTCAGTACAGAAATTGAAGTTAATCACTTGGGCTCTCACTGAGCTATAAAGTCTGTAGATCCAAGCAAAGGGTTATCACAGAATTATGATGTAGGAAGATTAAGGTAATTTTTCTTCTTTACTGAAAGGTCATCAGTATTTTATTTACAAGAGCAGCAGTTAAGAAAAAGCAGTTAATAAGACAGAAAGTTCCTGAAATAAGTTTTCTTGCTATCTGAAACACTTTATTCTTTGTGATCAAAACCATTTAAGGGTTTAGTTTTGAGGACACTAGACTGTAGGTTTTCTGAAGACCAGGAGAGCATCTGCTTTGCTCCCAAGATTTCCAGGGCATGGCACTAAGTAGGTGCACAATCAATACTGCTGGATCAATGAATGATGAAAGAAATAACTGCATCTTTCCAGGAGTAAAGCATTGTATAATTGTTTGTCATTGAGGTAGGCAGTCTCTAGACTCGCCCTAATGATCTTGGCCTCCAGGTTTTCATGTCCTTTTGTAATCTCTCTTTGAGTATGGGGTGGATCTAGTGACTTGCTTCTAGTGAGTAGAGTACAGCAAATGTGATGGGATGTCTCTTCTGAGATTAGGTTACAAAAAAGATTGTGACTTCTGTCTCAGGCATTTCTTTATAGCAATGCAAGAATAGGCTAATCCAGAGTCCAACTTCTGTATATTATATACGCTATACCATTGGCTAGGCATTTTTCTTACATTACATTTGTGCCACTGGAAGTGCATATGTAGAGCTCATTTTAAACCCAAGGCTGTAAATTTTTCCATATCTCATGCTACCTCCCTCTAGACTGGGATTTCAACCTGGCCTTGGCAGACAGAATTTTCATGGAGTGGGTATGAGATAGTATACAGGTATAAAAACCACCCAGTTCTTGAGGTGTAGTTAGAAAGATGCCCATCCTGACTCTAAACAAGGAGTACTTTGTTCATTTTAGGTTCTTAATACACTTTAATTGTATGAGTGAATGATATCTGAATGATAACCCCAATCCAGATTTTTAAATGTGCTCTTAAGAAACTTTGGCATGCGCCAAAACCATTTATCTTCAAAGAAAATACACCGTATTACCCATGTTCCTTTGATGAATGTTTGGGATCACTAATTTTAAAACTATTGGAAGTGAAAGAGAAAATCTCAGCTGAAGCCCATGTTAGAGAGCTCAGTGCAGGTGGGAATAGGTGCCCTTATCCCATCTGCTTCTCGAGGACGTGGGAGCCACAGGCCAAAAGTGAGCATCTTCACATCATTGCTACTTCATCATTTACAAGGTTCACTGTTTCTCACCAGGTGGGCTTTTATGAGCCAGAGTAGAGCTGTTTCTCTTTTTAGATGGCTTACTTACATCCTTTTTAATTGCAGTTCAAATCTGGAAGTACCAGGAAAATGAACTGCTTGCCATAATCATTAGTTTGAAAAGTTTAAATATCACTTGTTTTGTGCATGTAGTGTTTCAAGATTTAAAAAAAAGTTCATCTAAAAGGTGAAGAGAAGAGATAGCGGTCTTTTCCAAGAAACATCAGGTTTTCCGTCGTTAATTAGTTAATACAGTTCTTGTAAAGCACTTAGAAGATGAAAAGCACCATGTAATTAAGTGTCCCTTTCTTAACAGCACCAATAGAGTTTAATCACATTATAAGGTCATAGGCTATTTTGCTACACTGAGAAAGAGAATATTTTTTTCTCGTATTGCAGGCATTCTTTAGAAGAAATATGGAAAGAAATTATTTTCCCTGGGTTTCTTTCAACGTTTCCTGCCCTTAAGCAAGATGAGATTTTTGTATTTTGTGGGCTTTGTAGTCTGTAGTCATAGGTTCATAGTGCCTGGGAGACTGTTAGGAGTCTGGCCTGATGATAAAAGGTAAATATTCTTCTCTAATCCTGACTCTCATCCTCTTCTGATGCCTCTACTTCTTGTCTATGGAATGGCTGTTCCCTGGCATCTACTGACCCCCTAAAAACAAAACACGATTTGAACCAAATTTTCCACTTAGACTGTTGCCCCAAATATTACTCTGATTTAAGCACTGCCATCCTTTATACTCTTAGGTTTGTAAATCTGTAATGATCATTTCTGAGTTCTCTTTAATCTGAATTGTGTAGCCAGTTAGTAAGTTCCAGACTTACTGGGTTTATCTCCTCTTTACTGAGACCCCAAATACAGCTTTGACTTAGAGCTTATGGCCAGCTGCGGCTTTTCCACTTCCCTTTGTTTTCATAAGCATGTTCTTACATTTTGAAAGGGTTCTTGAACAACCCAGATAAAAGTTTTTTTTTCCTTTGGACAAAAAAATTACATTTAAACTATGAGCAACTGCCTTGTGCACGGCAAATAGCATTTGTTAACATCATGTTTTGGTGTTAATATCTTCGCTGGACATGGTGGCTCATGCCTGCAATTCTAGCACTTTGGGAGGCCTAGATGGGAGGATTGCTTGAGGCCAGGAGTTTGAGACCAGTTTGGGCAACATAGTGAGACCTCATTTCTACAAAAAAAAAATACAAATATTAGTCAGGCATGGTGGTGTATATCTGTGGTTCCAGCTACTCAGGAAGCTGAGGTGGGAGGATTGCTTGTGTCCAGGAGGTCAAAGTTGTGGTGAGCTGTGATTGCACCACTGCACTCTAGCCTGGGTGACAAAATGACAGAATGAGACTGCATCTAAAAAAAAATTGATCTATGTATTTATATTTAATATATCTATCTATATTGACATATAGATATATACATTCGATATCTAAACATATATCTATATGGATATCTAGATATATACATTAGATATCTAAACATATGTCCGTATAGATATATATCGATATAGATATATATACCTTAAGATTCTACCATAAGTGGGAGCGCTGTCTGAGAAGTTCCTAAGGGTTTGTGAAGGAAGATAACTAAGTAGATTTTTTTTCATTAGTGACTTGTTTATTTTGCAACTAATCAAGGTTGGCATGTTTTTAATACCTTTATATTGAAAACTCATAATTTTTAAAAATACATAAAATTGTGAGCCGTTACTTATTTGTAATACCAATACTTAACAACCTAGGGGGAAAAGGGAAATGAATTCATACTCACATAGAGTTACTTACAATTCCAGCCTTAATGCCCGCTGCCTTTAGGGTATGGTGATATTTCTATTTACACTATTTTTATTGGTAGTAGTTTTGACTTTTGTGAGATTTTTAGCTCTGGGATTCAAACAACTAGACTTTAGCCGAAGACACATGCAGTTAATAAAATTAGCTATTTTTTTTCACTCAACTATTCCTTTTTTTCTAAAAGATAAAACCAGAAATAGAAGTTTTTATTAAAAATAGTATCATATGGTACAATAAGTAATTGCATATGACATTAATATATATTCAGAGCAAGACTTAAAGAAACAATAAATTAAGTATATTTTGGTATTTGGTGTTTTTTCTTTTCTTCTTTCTACAAAAAATAATTATTTTCTCTCATGTGATTAATTCAGTATCAAAATGAACTTGTTTTAAAATTTTCCTTTGTGGTTCAAATTTTCTTACTGTGGTAAAGCATAAAGCATAAAATTTACCATTTTAACCATTTCAAGCATACAGTTCTATGGCATTAAGTACATTCACATAGTTGTGCAACTATCGCTACCATCTGTCTCCAGAACTTTTTCATCTTCCCCAGCTGAAACTCTATATCATTAAATTTCAACTCCCCCATCCTCCTTTGCCCCCAGGCTCTGGCAACCACTGTTTACTTTCTATCTCTATGAATTTGATGACTCTAGGAACTTAGTGGAATCACATAACATTTGTGTGTTTTTTTTGAGTCTGTTTTATTTCACTTAGCATAATGTCTTTGATTCATCCATATTATATCATGTATCAAAATAGTCCTCCTTTTTCAGGCTGAATAATATTCCATTGTATGTATATACACATGTTAAAAAATCCTTTTATCTATCAATGGACACTCTGGTTGCGTCTACCTTTTGGCTATTGGAAATAATGCTGCTATGAACATGAGTGTACGAACATCCGTTTGAGACTCTGCTTTCAGTTCTTTTGGACATATACCCATGAATAGAATTGCTGGATCATATGGTAGTTCTACATTTAAATTTTTGAAGAATTGCCATACTATTTTTCAGAGTGGCTACACCGTTTTACATTCCCACCAGCAATGCACAAGGATCCCAATTTCTCCATATCTGACAACTCTGTTTTTATTTTCTTTTTTAACGATAGCCATTCTATAGTGTAAAGTGGTTTCTCATTGTGGTTTTGACTTGCATTTCCTTAATGCCTCCTGATATTGAGCATTTTTATTTGTTTGAGATTTTATAATTTTGTTTGAAATGAATGTTTTCTTTCCTCCCTCCCTTCCTTCTTTTTCTTCTTCCCTTCCTTCTCTTTCTCACAAAAATAATGTTCACATAAACATGTATTTGGTGCTGCACTGGACTAGATGCTAGAAATACAAGGAACTAGGAGTGACATGGGAGGACTGGTGAGTAAACAGATAACTACAATACAGAGAGCTCATTGACAGAGACATTCATGTGTGCAGGAAACTGCAAGTAAGACCCCCCACCGAAGAAAGGAGGAGTTGAGGAAAGCTTGTGCAAAGCAAGACATATCTATACATAATCAACTAAGAAAGCTAGGAACTACCCATTTATGACTACTCAAAATGGGTTCAGAAAACAAGGCCTATTTAGATTACTTTCACTTCTAGTATTTCGGCATTCTACCTTTAATTGAATCTGCCTCATGCTTTCATTGTTTTTTTCCCTTCAAACAGTAATAACTTTTTTGTTTTGTAAAAATATATCGTTTCTTTCATAAAAACTCAAGCTATTTTGAAAATTATAAGAAAGTAAAAAAATTTATGATACGTTCTACCATCTAGATAAGCAGTATTAACATTACAGAAAATTATAAGAAATTGAAAAAAGTTATGATACATTCTACTATTTAGATAATTACAATAAAGAATATTAACATGAATATATATAGCTAACAGTGTAAACACTTAAAGACACAATACGATCATCCTGAACTTGCTGCATGAATCGAAAGTGTAAAATTTTTATTTAAATTCAATAGAGCTATAAATTGGGTGTGAAACTGAAGGAATTTCTAGAAAGCAAATAAGCCTCTTTTAAAATAAGAGATTTCATCCCTGAAGGAATTATCTAGGGTTAAGAAAAATTTTAATTATACAAAACATCAAGTGCAGAATCAATATACTTTTTACAAAATACATTTTTATTCATTTATTTTTTGAGATGGAGTCTCGCTCTGTTGCCCAGGCTGGAGTGCAGTGGCATGATCTTGGCTCACTGAAACCTCTGCCACCCAGGTTCAAGCAATTCTCCTGCCTTGGTCTCTTGTGTAGCTGGGATTACAGGCACGCACCACCATGCCTGGCTAATTTTTGTATTTTTAGTAGAGACGGGGTTTCACCATGTTGACCAGACTGGTCTCCAACTCCTGACCTCAGCAGATCCACCCACCTCGGCCTCCCAAAGTGCTAGGATTACAGGAGTGAGCCATCGTGCCCGGCCCTTTTTACAAAAGACCTTTTTAATTTCTGGTTTCCTGTGCCAACTCTGTATTGTGAAAGATAAAGAAATTAGCCCTTGTTTTACCACCATTCTTCCTCATCACCTTTCAAATTTGTTAAAAGCAATATTATTTTCATGTTGTCAGGCTTGCAACAGGTAAATTCTGTTCTGCTGTCGTCAGATGGTTATTTTAGCCTTAGCTTCTCCATTTTGTTATTTAGGTTACTTAGGTGCAGTTATTTTACCATAGCTTCTCCATTTTGCAGTTCTTAGTTTTGATTCACCTTGTCTTTGTTGGAAGAGTGTATTCATGTGCTTCCATTTAGGTAATTTTTATTTATTTATTTTTTTGAGACAGAGTCTCACACTGTCACCCAGGCTGGAGTGCAGTGGCACGATCTCTGCTCACATGCAACCTCCGCCTCCCAGGTTCAAGTGATTCTCCTGCCTCAGCCTCCTGAGTAGCTAGGATTACAGGCACCCACCACCATGCCGGGCTAATTTTTTTTGTATTTTTTTTAGTAGATTTTTTTTTAGCTAATTTTTTTTGTATTTTTTTTTAGGTTTCAGTATGTTGGCCAGGCTGGCTTGAACTCCTGACCTTGTGATCCACCTGCCTCAGCTTCCCAAAGTGCTGGGATTACAGGCGTGAGCCAGCACACCCGGCCTAGGTAATGTTTTATTTGCTCTACTATTTATTTCCCTGAGATTATTAAACACACTTTTAGTCTCCTGTTGTCTTATTTTTCTGTTGTATCTCTTTTGAACAAAACCCAGAATGTTTCACAAATTTGTCATCTTTTCATAAGTCCCAGGCTTATACAACCTATAGAATGTGTGCCACAGCCTGACTATATAATATTACTATCATTTAACTAATCAGCAATAGTCATGGTTTGGATGAAGCTGTTGTAAAACTACGCAGCAAAATTTTGCAATTTCCCCTTTGATTATTTCCACATTTTAAACGTTTTTATTGTACTTCATTGTAAGCACAGATCACAGACCCAAACTTAAATCTCATGACTTTTATCTTTTCTTAGAATATTGTTGAAACATTACTCAACTCCTGCTTGAATTCTTCCCCTCACAAGGAACTTGCTATTTTGGCTCAAGTTCTTTTCATTGTTGAAAACTTTTCTTACATTGAACAGAAGGCTCTGTCATTGTTATTCTTGCTCATTAGTTGGCAGAATGAAACTGTGCCTATTTCCTCTTCCTTGAGAATCTTTCAACAATTTGAAAAGTTGTGTCTCCCTTAATGCTTCTCCATTCACATTTTCATTCTTTGCCATTTCTATTTTCAAGAAAGGTTTTGAAGGACTTCTTTAACTTGTAATCTTCTTCTTTTAAAAAATAATCTGATACCTTTTATAATGACTTATGCTTTGAGAATGCTGTGGAAATATATTTGAGTGTGGATTGCTGTGTGGGTAAAATTGTAGTGTAGAAAGTCATTTGAATTAATAAGACTATACGTGATATCGATATGGTACAGATTCATATCTACTAAAGGAATGACATTAATGGTTATTGGCAATGTTGAGGGCTCACATTATGTGCTGCAGGGGAGAAAAATTTTCTCTCTCTTCTTAGTTTCTCCAGCTGAGTCTGTAAAATAAACTGACAACAGACAGATGAACAGAAGAAAAGGCCGTATGCCTCTATTTGGTGTTAAAATTTTCACATGGCAGAGTGAGGAGGAGAGACTTCATAGAAAGAAGAGAAACCCCAAAAGCAATGGCTAGGCTTGGAGGCCTTAATACCATATAGACAAATGAAGATAAATTTACAGAGAAGTGACAAGACAAAGAAAAGGGACCTTGAACTCCTAGGGGTGGCAAGTTGTAGGAAGGCCAATATTTGGAAATCTAATAGTAGAGAAGAGCTAGTTCATGAGGTTTGTTATATAGACTCTTTCTTGGTGCCATCTTGTCTCTGATGATAGGGTTGTTATTCCCTTCCTGGTGTTGGGGGTCAAAAAACAATACCCAAAAATGAAGACCTCAGAAGTAAAAGTTTTTCTTTGACTTTCTCCTGCCCTCCTGTCTCTCAGTCCCATCCTCCTGACAGGCCTTGCCTGGTTTCCCCACTCAGTCCATTAGCATCAGGTCATACCCTTTTTATCCAATAATATTTCTACATAGCTGTCCATAGTTTGTTGAACCTAAGCATAAAAATGGACAATTTCCATGTATATTTGTGTCTTTATTATGAAGGTACTCATGTATACATGTTAAATAATGTGTATGCTGGCTGGGCATGGTGGCTTGTGCCTTTAATCCCAGTGCTTTGGGAGGCCAAGGTGGGAAAATCACTTGAGGCCAGGAGTTCAACATCAGCCTGGGCAACACAGTGAGACCCTGTCTATATAAAAAGTTAAAAAAAATTAGCCGGGTGTGGTGGTATGCACCTGTAGTCCCAGGTACTTGGGAGGCTAAGGCGGGAGGATCACTGGAGCCCAGGAGGTCAAGGCTACAATGAGCTATGATAACCACGGCATTCCAGCCTGGGTGATAGAGCAAGCCACTGTCTCATTAAAAAGAAAATGTATATTCAATAGCAGAGACGTGGAATCAACCTTAATGCCCATCAATGACAGACTGGCTAAGGAAAATGTGGTACGTATACACCATAGAATACATTACAGCCATAAAAAGGAACAAGATCATGTCCTTTGCAGGTACACATTTACCTAGGTAACAAACATACACATCCTGCACATGTGCCCAAAACTTGAAAATAAAAATAAAAAATTTACTAACAAAAATAAACAAAAAACCCCCAAACAACAACAGCAACAACAACAAAATGTGTATGCTTTTTCTCCAGTTAGTATTTCTTTTGTGAATTGATTTTTTACTGAACCTTTAGAGGGCTATGTCCTTGGCCACGACACTGGTATGGCACATGGTGGTGGAGGGGATATCATCACAAGGAATGTATAACCTGTTTTTAGGCAGAGAGGAGGACAGCAGACAGCTTATCCTGTGTCTGCTTTTTCTCATGTAAACCAAAAATAAAATTCTAAGCCCCCCAACCAAGTTAAAGAACCCTTCCTCTTGGCCAAGAAGATTCCAAAGGAAGCCTAAAAACTAGTTCAGGCCATGATGAGAAGAAGGGTTTGGACATGCTTCATTACCCCCTCTTCCCTTTGGAATTCAGGCACAACTGAACCATGTGTCAACATTAAAACAGAGATCTTAAGACTACCAACTGACTCTTTGTAGTAATAAGATACCAAATTCCAACCTGACTCTAGCATAGCATCACATGACAGATAGCAGATCCTGAAAGAAATTAAAGTATTTTACCCTAGAATATAATTCTTTGACCTATTTTGAAAAGGCCTGGCAAAGCTATCTCTTTCCTTCCTTTTGTAGGTCTTTTTCTGATCCTGAAGAGATTAACTAAGAGGCTAGCACCTTTTAAGTTCTGAATATAAAACATTTGCCATCAATTGCCTCTAAGGGCGGCCACCTATGAGACTTCATCTACATAATAAGAACCTTGGTCTCCACAACCCCTTTTTTCAGCTCAGACACTCCTTTCTGTTGATCCCAAGTCTTTAGAGAATAGCTTAATTCTTTCAATGCAATCACCAATCAGAAAATCTTTGATTCTACCTATGACCTGGAAGCCCCCACTGGAAGTTGCCCCATCTTTCTGGACCAAACCAGTGTATACCTCACAGGTATTGATTGATGGCTTACATCTCCCTAAAACACCAAGCTCTGACCGGGCGTGGTGGCTCATGCCTGTAATCCCAGCACTTTGGGAGGCCAAGGCGGGCAAATCACGAGGTCAGGAGTTCGAGACCAGCCTGGCCAACATGGTGAAACCCCGTCTCTATTAAAAAATACAAAAAATTAGCTGGGCACAGTGGCAGGTGCCTGTAATCCCAGCTACTCGGGAGGCTGAGGCAGGAGAATCATTTGAACCTGGGAGGCAGAGGTTGCAGTGAGCTGAGATTGTGCCACTGCCCTCCAGCCTAGATGACAGAGTGAGACTCCATCTCAAAAAACAAACAAAAAAACAAACACCAAGCTCTAACCCAACCACCTTGGGCACATGCCCTCAGGACCCCTTGAGACTTGGTCTTGGGCTTTAGTCACTCATATTGGGTTCATAATAAACCTTTTTAAATCTTTTACAGTTTGACTCTCTTTGTTGACACTCAATTGCCTTCAGCTCAAAATAATTCTTATGCCACAGTGGCATATTTTGGGGTGGCATAGTCTGACATACAATACCCCAAACAAAAACTGTCTGTGATAGTCTATAAAAACCAACTATTTAGGCAGGAGGCCCAGAGTACCAAGACAAATGGGGAATGTAGGTCCCCTACACACCTTCACACTGCATAAGGGGAAGACAGCCCAGGTAGCTCATTCTATCCAATGTAGGAGATAAAATTCTCTAAAAAGCCATTCTGGGTTGGAGAAGTTTCAAAGATGGTTTTTGCCTCCAATTTCTGGGTACATCTCTGACCTTTAATATTGCTAAGTATGTTAAGAACAAGAAGAAAAGTCAATGCCCTTTCTTTCCCTCTCCTCATTTTCTTCTTTTGGTTTTTCAGAATAAATTGAGGTGGGAGAGAAATAAACTCCTTGGTTTCTAAGCAGTGCAAGGAAAAACCTGCCTGTGGCAGAGTAAATGATAAAGAACCTTAGTTCTGTATTTGAAATGTAAATCAAATACTCTCGGTAGTCAGTCCTTTTAATCATCTAGTGATAATTATCCAAAACAGAACCAAAACTTCAACACCATGAGCATACAACATTCTCAAATTCTTAATCTGGACCACTTTTTTGACTAATGAAGCTTAAATTTTTATTATCCTCTTTAGGCTGGTTTATACTCTTGGCTCATATTGGTTTTATCCTTATCAAAGTTAGCAAGTAATTTTCATAACAAATGTACTCAAAGCATACCTCCCCATGTTATATTTGTGTAATTAAAAAATCCAATTTAAATGCAGAATTTTACATTTATTCTTATCTAATTTTTATTTTTTTTTATGACGTTGTTGGAAACCACTATTGGGGCTCAGAAAACAATACTCCAAAATGTGGTGCTTTGGCATGTGGAGTGCTTTCCACAAAGAAGACTGAAAGGCCTCAGAAATATGCCTCAGAGCCAAGATCTCTCTCTGACCTTCTCCTCCTCCCCCTTTCCCTTCTGAAGCATAGGCAGGGGCTCTTTCTGAAGTTCCCTTATCTGACTGAGGGAAGTTCATCCAGAAGGAATGCAATTGTATTAACCCCCCACCCCGGAATCTACATTCACCAGAGACAATTGATCATCTTGCAGGAGAGGAAACTAAAAGTCTTCACACCTAGGCCACCAAACTGACAGACTTTTCATCTATTCTTTCAACGATTCTTTTCAGGGATATTACTTGAGATGCTTTATCTGCATAAAAAGACAACCTTTGTTTGCAGTTCATCTCTGCCTTCACCATCTTCCCATAGCATGTCTCCACCTCCCACAGAACTCAGAGGAACTTGTCTCGAAGGGGCCCATTTATTTCCCCTAACAACCATTTCCTCTTCCTCGAAAATTGCTTAACCCCTTGCTCTACTCTACTCTATGAAGAGTGTATTTAAGCTTTAACTTTCTTGCCCTTCTTTGAGTATTATGTTTTCTGTGGCCCCTGTGCACACTGATAAATTTGTACGCCTTTTCTCCTGTTAATCTGTTTATTGTCAGTTTATTTCAGCAGACTTGATTAATGGAAACTTCAGAGGGAAAGCTTAAACTTCCCTATACCATCAGCATAATTTTGATATTGAGCCCATCAATCAACATACCAAGAAATCATTTGGCTTTTTATGAGAAGCTAATAAAAATATCTTCATCTGTCTTCATGTAGATAAAAAATTATAAAATGTTGAATGAGATAGGAACAAGGTTAAAACTCTGTGTGGCACAAAAGTCCTTCCTTTACTTTGGGGTATTTAGGTATATTTAGTTAGTTGACCCTCTGGGTACGTCATTAAGATGGCCAGCCACAAATCCATGCAATTCTGCTTTTATGAAGCCAAAATGTCAGTGTTTCAGCTACATGAGCCAATAAGCTCACACCTTAATGGAGAAGGTGTCTAAAATCAAGATGTATGATATAGACAGCATTCTCCCAGTACAATATTTCATTCTTAAATCTTAAGAGTGGTTTTTCTCATTTTCTCTATTATTTTTATGTGTTTTATTAAGCTATTTTGTCATTTAGTTTTCTATCCAAACTTCTTTATTGTCATTACTCTCTGCTCTATTATCTCTTTGAGTCATTATGAATGGACTACATCATTGCAGATGTGCTAATACATAAAAAAAGTAAGGAAATGATTACTTATTGACTATTTGGATGTGAATTAAGAACCATACCTCTTCGGCGTTAAGCTTGAATCGTTCTTAACAATCAAATATTAGCTTTCCAAAGATACCATAGCAAAACATTATTTTCATCTTCAAAATATTAATCAAAAGAAATGAAGAAATTGTTTGATTTAATTTTCTCCTGTTGAGCTATAACTTGTGGGATTTTAGCCTATAGGTGAAATAATAAGAAAAGATCAGGCACAAAGAGATGGCAGGATGCTAGAAATTCTAAATGGTTTTAATAAAATCTGATGATCTGTCACATCAGGTGCTGTGAATCAATTGCAGACAGAAAAAAAAGATAAGCAAAAGGCAAACACAGAGGTATGTTGTTTAATAACAAAGGATGGGTTTGGCAGAGGGCAGACTGCATTTGCTGCTCTCAGGCGGGGGGAAGATGAAGTAGACTTTTCTTTGTAGAAAGAGAAAATGGATCTTTTCTACCTTGATAGAAGTCTGCAGATCTGGGTATGTCCTCAACTTTTGTCTGATACCTTAGCCCTGTTGACCTGAAATAGAGCCTGCCTGGGATGTACTGGCAGAGCTCCTTTCCTCATACTTTCAGTATAATTCTGACAGAGAAATTCTGAATCACTATCTTAGGATTCTAAGGAATGTATAAGGAAGTCACACCGGTTAGACTACAGAACTAGAATTCTTTTAGATGACGGGAGGCCAGCTATATAATTATACCATTTCTGAATCAGAATTGACATTCAGATTATTTAGTCCAGCCCCTTTATTTTTGGAGCTCGATGATATATTCAACTGTGGGGTAGGATTTTCAATTTTGAAGATAATTTGGATAGTATGAAAGCTCTAGGAACCAAGGTTATAGAGTGTGGAATTATAGACAATGGAAACCCAGACAGTGGGAGGGTGGGAGGGGGTGAAGCATGAGAAATTACTTAATGGGTTTAATGCATGATATTTGGGTGATGGTTACACTAAAAGCCTAGAGTTTACCACTACACAATATATTCATGTAACAAAACTGCACTTGTAACCCTTAAATTTATACAAAGGAAAAACAAAGCTGTATGTGTCAAGGTGAAACATTTAATAAACAGTATTTACAAGTTTCATTATGACAATAATAATAGTGAACATTCACTAAGTGCCATGCACTGTCCTCAACACTTGGCATAGATTAGCTCATTTAGTCCTAACAATTAACATTGGAGATGGGTATAATTTTCATTTCCCATTTTACAGAGGGAGAAAAGAGGCACAGAAAGAGAATTTGCTTAACAACTGAGACATGAAAGCGCCCTGGATTTAAACCCAATAACTTTATCTCTAGAGCTTGCAGCACTTAACCACGATGCTGTCCTCCTCTCAGGACCGTAGAGAGATAAAGCAACCACAAATTTGTTGTGTAAACTGTTAGCTGAAAGTCACTAAATTAGGTATATGTAATTAAGGATGCTATGTCATTAGTAGTTCTGTATTGATAACAAAAATGCTGGGGTTGTCAAATTTAAATACTATCCCCAGAAGGTTTGGAGTTGTATAATTTAAAAATGTGTCTAATCTTTGTCCTAGGTTACTGGCATGGAGCGTCTAACACCATGGGAACTTTTCAAGTGGTAGAAGCATCTTTGTTATTCTTGAGCCTCTTGGGTCACCCCTGAGTTTATGCAAATGAGGTGGTTCACCGTGGGCCCCTAGGTAGCTTCAGGAGGGGAGCTGCTCACCAGAAAGGACAACTATGTGATTAAAGAGTTGAGATGTGGAGTCAGCCTGACCCCTGAGGAGGAACAGAGGGCTGGAGATCAACTTCAGTCATGTGGCCAATTATTTAATGAATCATCTCTATGTAATGTAACTCCAGCAAAAACTCTGGAAACCGAAGCTCAGTGGTGCTTTCTGGCTGGTGAATGCACAGATGTTCTGGGAGGGTGATGGGCACTGATTCCATGAACACAGGGCAGAGAAACTCTGTACTTGAGACCCCCCTACACTTTATTCTATGTGTGTCTTTATTTAAGTGTTCCCAAGTTATATCCTTTATAATAAAATTGTGATCATAAATATAATGCCTTCTAAAGTTTCGTGAGCCACTCTAGTGAGTTAGCGGGATTGTGGAAATCACCCAGAACTGGAGCCAGCTGATATGAAGTGAAGGCAGTCTTGTTGTGGACTCTGCCCTGTAACTTTGGGGTCTCTGCTAACTCCAGGTGGTTAGTGCCATAATTGAATTGCAATACACCAGTTGAGGTCAAAACAGAATAAGGGTGAATAAAGGTAAAAATTTATCATGACTTCCTCACACCTGGCAACAAAGCTAAGACTTTATGTCATTAAAATATTGCAGGCAAACATGTGGAGGGCTGCAGAAGATGACCTTGGTCTTGACTTCCTCCTGAAGAATGTATGTGTATGTGTAAGTGCATGGTATGCATGTGTATATGAAATTGGAATATCTTGAATTACATAAAGGCAGCCCTCATTTTATTGCCCTTCACTTTATTGTATTTTGCAGTACTTTTAAAAAAAAATTGAAGGTTTGTGGCAACCCTGCGTTGAGCAAGTCTGTCAGTGCTCTTTTCCCACAGCAGGAATTGTTTTTTTTCTTTTTTCTTTTTTTTTTTTTGAGACGGAGTTTTGCTCTTGTTGCCCAGGCTGGAGTGCAATGGTGTGATCTCAGCTCATTGCAACCTCCGCCTCCTGGGTTCAAGTGATTCTCCTGCCTCAGCCCCCTGAGTAGCTGGAGTTACAGGCATGCGCCAAGTGGTCAGTGATTTTTGATGTTACTATTATAATTGTTTTGGGGTGCCATGAACTGCATCCATATAAGATGGCAAATGTAATCAATAAATGTGTGTGTTCTGACTGCTCCAGCAACCAGCTGTTCCTCCATGTCTTTCACTTTCCTTAGGCCTCTCTGTTCCCCAAGACAAACAGTGTAGAAATTAAACCAAATAATACCTTACAATGATGGTCTCTCAGTGAAAGGAAGAGTCACGTGTCTCTCACTTTAAATCAAAAGCCAGAGAAATAATTAAGCTTAGTGAGGAAGAAATGTTGAAAGTCAACATAGGCTGAAAGATAGGCCTCTTGCATCAAATAGTCAGCCAAGATGTGAATGCAAAGGAAAAGTTCTTGAAGGAAATTAAATGTACTCCTCCAATGAACACACCAACGATAAGAAAACAAAACAGCTTTATTGCTGACATGGAGAACGTTTGTGTGGTCTCGATAGATCAAACCAGCCATAACATTTCCTTAATCCAAAGTCTAATTCAGAGCAAGGCCCTAGCTCTTTTCAATTCTGTGAAAGCTGAGAAAGGTGAGCAAGATGCAGAAGAAAAGTTGGAAACTAGCAGAGGTTTGTTCATAACAAAAGTGCAAGATAAGGCAGCAAGTGCTGATGTAGAAGCTGCAGCAAGTTATCCAGATCTAACTAAGATCCTTGATGAAGTTGGCCACACTAAACCACAGATTTTCAGTGTAAATGAAACAGATCTCTATTGAAAAAATATTTTGACTTTTAAGTCTTATTATTTAAGAAATACATTTTGTAAGGCTGTAGCTGCCATAGAGAGCGAGTCCTCTGATAGATCTGGGCAAAGTCCATTGAAAACCTTCTGGAAAGGACTCATCATTCTCAATGCTATAAAGGACAACTATGTGATTCATGAGAGGAGGTTAAAATAGCAATTCCAACCCTCGTGGGAGGCTTGAGGGGTTCAATACTTCAGTAGAGGAAGTCACTGCAGATGTGGTGGAAATAGCAAGAGAACTAGAATTAGAAGTGGAGCCTGAAGATACGACTGAATTCCTGCAATTTCATCATCAAACTTTAACAAATACAAGTTGCTTCTCATGAATGAGCCAAGAAATTGGTTTCTTGAGATGGAATCTACTGGTGAAGATGCTGTGAATGTTGTTGAAATGACAAAAAAGAATTTAGAATATTACATCAACTTACTTGATAAAGCAGCAGCAGGGTTGAGAGGATTGACCCCAATTTCAAAAGAAGTTCCGCTGGGGATAAAATGCCATCAAATAGCATCACATGCTACAGAGAAATCTTTCATGAAAGGAAGAGTCAATCGATGCGTAAACTTCACTGTTGTTTTATTTTAAGGAATATTCATAGCCACCCCAACCTTCAATAACCACCAACATGATCAGTTAGCAGCCATCAACATCAAGACAAGATCCTCCACTGGCAAAGACTACAACTTGCTTAAGGCTCAGATGATCATTAGTATTTTTTAGCAATAAAGTATTTTAAAATTAAGGTATGTACACTTTTTAGACCTAATGGTATTGCACACTTAGTAGATTACAGTATAGTGGAAACATAATTTTTATATGTACTGATAAACCAAAAAAAGTGTGTGACTCACTTTATTGCAGTGGTCTGGAACTAAACCTGCAATATCCCTGAGGTATGTGTGTAAGTAATTAGAATCTCTGATTAGACACAAAGAACTTACCAAGAAAAGAGAATCTAGAAATGTTTTATTGACTTAAAGTCTTCCTTTTTCATAGTAAAATCATAAACACTTAGGCAGGAAGGAGCTTATGATATCACTGAACTCAGTCTCTGAATTTTACTGATGAGGACGTTGAAGTCCATAGATTCAGATTTGATAATTCATCTAAGGTTACATGTTTAATCAGGATGAGGGTGGAACTTGATTCCAGACTGCTCCAAAGCTGGTCTGTAATCTAGCCTTGATGTTTTCTAGCTGAAAACACTAAACGAGAAGTTGTGCATATAAACATTTATGTAGTTTTACTTTGTGTTTTTTTTTTTTTTTTTCTGAGATGAAGTTTCACTCTTGTTGCCTAGGCTGGAGTGCAATGGTGTGATCTCGGCTCACTGCAACCTCTGCCTCCTGGTTCAAGTGATTCTCCTGCCTCAGCCTCCCAAGGAGCTGGGATTACAAGCATGCACCACCATGCCTGGCGAATTTGGTATTTTTACTAGAAATGGGGGTTCTCCATGTTGGTCAGGCTGGTCTCGAACTCCTGACCTGAGGTGATCTGGCCACCTCGGCCTCCCAAAGTGCTGGGATTACAGGCATGAGCCACCACGCCTGGCCTGTAGTTTTACTTTGTGTGTAATTTGGCAAGAAATATCATTCTTATTGAAAATTTCAAACACCACAGAGGTATCCAGAATAAGTATCAAAGCTCCTTTTTCCCACAGTAGCCACAATTCTCTGTGAGAAAGTCATTTTTACAGTTGGGTATGTATTCTTCCAAACCTTTCCCCAGGCTTTCACATATAAACAACAACTAGTTTGGGTAGAAGCACTTTTCCATAAAAAGTTCATGAATACATATTGTTCTTCAGCTTTCTTTTCATACTTAATGGCTGGTATTGGGCATATTTCATGTTAGTATTATAGCTCTAATCCACTCTTCCATCTACTGCCTAGGTTATACATATTTAATTATGTGTAATAAATAAAAGAGAAAACAACATTCACATTATCTGATGGAGAAGAAATGAAGGAAGTTTCATTTTTATTTTGTGGATTTCCAGTGCTTTTTTTGTTATTATTATTGCTTGCTTCCTTTGTTGTACTTGTTCTCTAAAATTAAAATTTGTTTTCTCAAAATGTCTTTTATATCTTTCTATTTGTTAAAGGAAATATATTTACAATACTTCCCTTTTGCAGCATATTCCAACTTCAGCTTATTTAACTACTTCATGCTATTAACTGTAAATCCAAGTTTAAATCTGTAGCTACCCTGATCAGAAGGGGATTTATCATCATCAGAAGCAGAAATTATTCATGAGTTGCAAATAAAAGAAACAGAAGAAAATGGTGTATGCTTCACTTTTGCATAATCACTTGAAATGTTTTTCTACATACTTGAACTAACATAGAGCATCAGATCTTCAGTACATTATTTATTAAATGTTTTTAGCAGACATTTATAATATTAAGTGGTTCTTCTATCCAGAAAGATTAGAAATTAAGGATAGGCTTAGTGACTGAAATACGTTTTCACAATTGTTTCTTGTTTTAATCCTTAGATTTTGTTTGACTGAATGAGTCCTCTAATTCTTGTTTCCCATTCTTGTTTGGTTCTGATGAATATTGTCCAGGGCCCAAATGGAAGCTTACTTTTTATTGATGGTGATAGGTACCTTATTGCATAAATTATGATCTCCAAAGTTCATATAGGAGATGCCATTAGTTCTTTTGTTTAGAGTTAAAAGACAAGTAAGTTTCAGATGATTTGCGAGTTGGTTCATAATCGAAGTAGCACTTCCAAGGTATAAATTTGATATAAAATAGGAATAAGTAGAGTATAACGGCAAACATATACACATAAATGTGCTTTCTAATTAGAATAATTTAATGTGTATGTTTCTGTTATATAGGCCCTCCCTATTAGTCTGTTTACCAGTGACTAAATAAATGAGATTCATGTTACTGAAGAGAAGTTTTTGATGTATGTAAATCTTCCTCATCTTTTTCTTCATTCTTCATCCTATTCTATTTGAATATAGCAACATAATGGTAAGTTCACCACAACCCAAGAGTGAAATGGATCTGTCAGTTCTGGCAAGAACATAAAACAAAGAATAATAACAAAGTTAATCAAATTAACTAATAAGGAAATAAACATATTTCCCTTTACAATCCTCAAGTTAACATTTCTGGAATCAATAAGTTATAACAACAAATAATGTTGTTATAACACATAATGTAATCAATAAGTTATTACAACAAATAATGAAAAAGAATGTAGCTGATGTGGGGTATTAGCAAATTTGGGATACAGATGAGAAATAAACAAAAAAAGGAGGTTTTTAGGGGTTTTTTAAGGTGTGCTAACACCAAAGAGGTTTTGCAGTTTTTTGTTCATTGATCACCTTACCGAAGGTTATTTTGCTTTATGCCTAACACAGTGTGACATAGTCTAGTTATACACAAATTCTTGATTTTGAGTGAGTAACTATTAAGTGAATAATGTCCTAAGCAATTTTTCAAAGGAAGGTAGCCTGTCATAGTAATGAAGAAGGAGGCCTTTATAGTTGTATAGATCTGAGTTTGAAATCTAGCTCAATCCATGCTAGCTCTGTGACTTTAGAGTATTTAGTTAAACTCTCCAAGCTTTAGTTTCTTCATTTCTAAAATTGGATAATGATACCTATTTATAGGATTGTTCTGAGATTTAAATTAACATGTATGATATCCTTAGATCAGAGTATCATGTCTGTATACTCATACATGACAGTCACTGTGATTCACAAGCAGAGGCATTACTTAGGAAATGTCACGACTCTGTGCAAGCAAAGAATCTATCTTCACATCTAATTTCAAGTAGAAAAGTAAATGTTCTATATGTGCATTTAACAAATGTTTACTGACTGTGTGCTGAGCCAGGTGTTGTCTCAATTAGGATAATGAACAACACATTAGAAAATGGTACTATCAAGATGCTTACATTAAATAAAGAACAAACAGACAGAGATATGAAGATACATGAGCAAAATCTAAATTATGTTAGATCATGATGACTGATAAAGAGGAACTAAAGTAAGGGGGATAGACAATGCTGGCGGAAAACTGAAATTTTAGATAGTATTGTTGGGGAAATCTTCACTAAGAGGGTAATATTTGAGCAAAGATCTAAAAGAGATGATGGAAAGAGCCATCAGGATATTTGAGGGAACAATTCCTACAAGACTCTAGGTGACAATAAAGCTGGTGTGTTCAAGGAACTGCAAGGAGGCCACTGTGGCTGGAGCAAGATGGGGCTGAGATCAGAGAGTGACAGGAACAGATTGTGTAGAGCCTTACGGATCATTGTAAGGATTTTGGCTTTTGTTTGGAATGGGAAAAGAAGCTATGAAAGACTTTTTAAGCAGAGGAGTGACATGATCTGCCTTCACTTTTAAAAGGAGCACTCCAAGCTATTGTGTTGACTACAGTGCAGAGAGGCAAGGAGGACCAGGGACACCAGCTAGGATGCTCTTGTAATACTCTTGGAAAGAGAGGATGATGGCTTCAACCAAAATGATAGTAGCAGAGAAGATAAGAAGTGGTTGGATTCTAGATAGAATTTGAAGGTAGAGTAGACTGGATTTGCTAATGGATGAGATGTACGGTGTAAGATAAAGAGAGGAATCAAGGATGACTCAATTTGATGTAAGCCACTGAAAGAATAGAATTGCTGTTTATTGAGGTGGGGAAAACTTTGGGGAGAGAAAGTTTGATGGAAAAATCAAGAACTCATTCTTGGACATGTTGTGTTTGAGATGATTATTAGATATCCAAATGAAGACAGTGCAGGAAGAAGTCTAGGCTGGAGAAATTTTTGGAATTACTAGGGCATAGATGGTATTTTGGAATTTTTAAGGCACAAATGGTATTTAAAACAATGAGTCTGGGTAATAATATTGCCTTAGTCCATTTTGTGTTGCTGCAGCAGAATACCACAGATTAAGTAATTTATAATGAACAAAATTAATTAGTTCACAGTTCTGGAGGCTGGGAAGTCCAAGATTAAGGGGCTAGCATCTGACAAGGGCCTTCTTGCTGCATCATCCTATGGCAGAAGGGCAAAGAGAGGGTGAGAGAGAGCAAGCAAGAGGAGGATAAACTTGTCCTTTTATAACAAACCCACTCTCATGATAAAGGCATTAATCAGTTTATGAAGGTTTTGCCCCCCATGATTCAATCACTCTTCAAGGTCCCACTTCCCAACACTTCTCCATTGAGGATTAAGTTTCCAATAAATGAATTTTGGGGGACATATTCAAACTCAAGCCATACTAATTACCTATGGAGTGAGGGTGGAGAGAAAAAAGGAGAGGTCCAAGGACTTACGCCTGAGATACTCCAAAATTTGGAGGACAGGGTAATGAGGAGGAACCAGCAACTAAGTGAGGAGGGACCAGAAAGATGGAGGAAATGCAGCAGTGAGATGCAGAAAGTATTTTACGGATCAGTGGAGTCAAATGCAATAGGACAAAGAAGATGAAGACTGAGAATCACTGGATTCAACAACTGCCATTGGATTTCTTCCCATGAAAGTAAGTTTATTACTCTACATCAGTTGGCCATAGCAAGCATGAAAAATGATGACCCAGCAGAGAGAACACATTCTGGTTAGAAAGTCACAAAGCTGCAGCAGTATAGATTCCTTACCAGAATTTTGTAGAGAAAATTTGAATGAAGCAAAGATTTTCTGAGCAATCAGCCTGTCAAGATTCAGTTAATTCAGCATTTCGACTAATTTGTGTTGGCTATTCTTTGTTGGTGTTAAAGAATAGAGAAAGTTTTAGTTTGTTGCGTGTTTTCTTTTTATGACAGGAGCAAAATTCTTTTATGCTTTTCTGCACTGTAACTAGAAGTGCAACTACAGAATTCAATTTGTTAAGTTTAATAATAAAAGAGATTGATAAAAATCCTTCATTAAAGGAACTTTGACCCAAGGTAATATTCGAAATGTTTAACAATCAGTGTAGTAGAGGACCAATTACATAGTGGCCAGTATACTGCTAGTAAAAGGACTCTGGCCTGTTAAAAAATAATACCATCATGATGAAGAACACGAATATAAAATTGATTATGAAAGTCTCATGAACTAGTGAATGAGATTAGCATTTTAAACTCTGTATCTCAAATTAAAGTTTAATCAATACAGCTCTCATTCTGAATGACATTAGCAGTATCAGGTTCAAAGAAACAAATTATTTTTGCCTGCACCTATTATTTGTCTAGTATTTGAGAGAAACTATGCCATGAACCTGTATTTTCTATTTTTCTCATATTTTGATGAGTTATACTCAAAACCAGTTTGAGGGATCTTCCTGTTTTGCCCACTGAAGTTCTGCTCTTGAAAATTCTGTAAGTTGGCACTATATAAAATGAGTGCTTTGGTGGAGAAACAAAGGCATAGCTTCCTTTATAGATCTGTTCATAATGGGAAGCAGAGGCTGCAAGTTCTGTCCTGCTGGCAGCCCAGTGATATAAACCAGGCTCTTTGACTTCAGTCATCTTCACCTATGATGAATGAAATCCAGGTCTTTAAATAATATATGTCTGGGCTGTGGTTTCATTACTCTGCCGGAATATGATCTAACCTGTCAGTTTCTACTCTAAGGAAAGACACAGAAAATGAGGAAGAAATGACAATAAAACATTTTTTTTCTTTTGGGAAGAAGCTAGGATGTGAAGCCCCTGTAAATAAACGAATAAATAAAATAGCTATATTTGAGGTTTGATTTTAGAGTCCTTGCCAATATGGCTAGAATCTCTGCGATCCACTGGATTTCAATGTCTTTATCATAAACTTCCAAATATTCATCAAGAAAATGGAAGCTTTTTAAAAAGTTTTACATTCATGACAGTGCATATTGTAAGACAGAACTTTTAGCTGAATCTCACACTTTACAGTGCATTTCTGAATCTTTGCCTTGAAAAAATACTATTTTTTTCAAAAGAATAAACAACTACAGCTACCAACTACCATTATTACCGATATTAATTGTGCACTTACTAAGTGCCATGCTCAGTACTAAACATACTAAGTAGCTCACAAAAGTGCTGGAAATCCAACTGTTTTGGACATAGTGTGATAAACAGACATAAGACAAGGAAAATTTTTGTACCGTTGGCAAACAGTAGCAATTAATAAGAAAAATCGATACTTTTCAGATTAAAGAGTGCCTTTTGTAGAAATGTCTAAGCACTTAGATAAAAAGATCTCTTGAAGTTCCATTCCACAGATAAGCAGATTTTAAATCTCCAAAAGATCAAAGAAAAGACACTTTTTGAGCCAAAAGTGCTCAATGTGTATGTGTGTGTGTGTGTGTGTGCATGTGTGTAGGATGGGGAGGGGAGAGGAGGGATACAAATAATAAAACATCCCTAAATTCTGAAGCGTTTCTAAAGATTTCTAAAGAAATTTTTTGGCACAATTCCTAAAATGTTTACTTACTATTTTACTAGGTGTTTCATTTTGTATTTTCCTTGTACTTGCTTATCCCATGTTCTTTCAGATTTCCTGCTGATATGCTAGAGGAACATGATATTTATTGATAGCTGTATACTTAGAAGTTTAAATGTGAACTCAGGAAAAATTTTTACTCTGCACGAGGGAGATGATGAAAAACAGCCTGGACACTGGCAAGTGTACTGAGGTCATCTTTCCTAGACAGAAAAGCTCAAATGAGTGAGTCCAAGCTGGTGTCTTCTATTTTCTCCTCCAGGTCCCCTTCCCACCATTCTCCACCCTGTTCTCTGCCCCTGGAGCCTGCCTATATGGACTTGCTAATGGGATCCCATTGCCTTTGTTGGGTTTGGCCAATTGAGAGCACTATTAAAAGACCAGAGGGAGGGAGGAGAGCACTGGCATAGTAGTTGCTTGCCTGGGCTCCTTCCTGTGGAGTTGAAGGAGTTCAGTGCCCCTTAGCAGAAATCTCTGGTCCTTTCAAGGGATCTTTTTCTACATGACTTTCTCTCTCCAGATCCCAGTAACCACTGCTCCCCTCCTTCTTTGTGGCATAGGAATGGTGACAGTCAGGCTACTGTCAGGCCTTGGTGACTCTTCTGTGTATTGTGTTTCCCCCAGAGCAATGCCTTTATGATTAAGCTTTTCATAAATAAACTCTGCTAAAATTAGCCTATTGTCTGTGTGTCATCTGTTTTCTATTGGGGACCCTGGCTGGTAAAAATTCTATTAATCTACAAGAAAGAAAAGTTATTAAGGATCCGTATGTCACGCCACATACAGTATTGTTAGATTTGTATAGTGTTTATTTCTGAATCTCACAAAAAAGAGTAATATTATTTTCTATTACCTAGAAAAATATTAACAGTTAGCATTTCAAAGACCAGGTGACTGTCATGCTTTCATGAACTTGTTCTGAAGAAAAATAATGATTTGTGTATGCAGCCAACAGCTTGATACTGAGTATAGTAGTCTCCTATTATCCATGGGGGATGGGTTCCAAGAATCCCAGTGGATGCCTGAAATTGCACATAATACCAAACTGTGTTTTTTCCTATATGTACATACCTATGATAAAGTTTAACTTACAAATTAGGCAAGGTAAGTGATTAACAATAACTAATAATAAAATAGATCAGTTATAACAATAGACTATAATAAAAGGTGTGTGAATATAGTCTCTCTATTAAAATGTCTTATTTATATATAAAATATATTGTAATATATTTATATATTGTATATATAAAAATATTGTAATATATTTATATATTATATAGATAAAAATAATATATATTATATATATAAAAATAATATATATTATATATATAAATAATATATATTATATAGAAATATTTATATACTGTATATATAAATAATAATAAATATTATAATATATATTTACAAATATATTACAATATTTCAGACCATGATTGACTAAGTAACTGAAACTGCAAAAGTGAAACTGCAGGTAATGAGGGAACAACTGTCCTAGGTTTCAGTCTTTCTTCATGGAGGTATAACCACTTTCCAGTTTTTCTTGATTTGTATGAAGAAACAGTTTTAAAAAAACTAATGTGTTTGTTTCATGAAATACAATTATGATTTCAATGGAAACATAATGCTTAGCAATGTATGTTAGGAAGATGTTTTGATAGTGAGGTCCACTTAACCATGGTAATGTCAAATTAGAGAAATTGAAATTTCATTTCTGAAAGGGATGATAGTAAAAATAGAATGCCTTTTTAAACTCTTTAAGTTTATTTGAGTAGGTTCTGACCTAGAAAAGAATAAAGTTTTTTTTCAAATAATTTTCCTAGATGTGTAAGAGTCAGATCTAATCAACAGATTTTTAATTTTAATTCAAGGAGTATTTATTAAGTGTCTACCACCTGCAAGGGTGTGTACCAGATGATAGAGACAGTGGTAAATACCACAGTATAGTCCAGGAACTCTTGCAGATTATAGGTTAGCTGAAAAGACACATATGGCATTTCCAGTGTAGTGAGTCACTCCTGAATTCTGCCACCCCTTTCCCTCAAGAGTCAGTCATCAAGTTGTACCTATTTCTCTATCTTATACTTGTTCCCATTTCTGCATCCTTATGACTATTGCCCTAGTTTAATTCCTAGCCATTTCTCTGTTGGTGTCCTGCACTTAACCCTGCTTCCAGTCTTGCCCCTCAAATTCATGTTTCACATTGTCATCAGAGTGTTTTAGCCATAAAGCAAAACTGACTGTTTTATACCCTGCAAAACATTCCTCAATGACCTTCTGAGCAATAAATGTTAAGGGCCTGCTCCTTAGCATAGTGTCCAAGGGGCTGTGTGACCTGGACTCTGCTATACCTCTCATTGTATCCTTCACCTTCAAAGGCAGGCACTGGCTGGGTATGGTGTCTCATGCTTATAATCCCAATCATTTGGGAGGCCAAGGTGGGAGGACAGCTTGAGCCCAGGAGTTTGAGATCGGTCTAGGCAACATAGCAAGACCCCATCTTTCAAAAAAATAAAAAAATTAGTCAGATATGGTGGTGTGCACGTGTAATCTCAGGTACTTGGGAGGCTGAATTGGGAGGATTGCTTGAGCCCAGGAGTCTGAGGCTGAAGTGAGACATGATCACGCCACTGCACACCAGCCTGGGTGACAGAGCAAGACCCTGTCTCTAAAAAATAATTTAAAAAATAATAAAAAATAAAGGCAGGAACTAAATATTGAATGAATGAATTAAAAACATTTAGCATAATTTCATCTACCAGAAATGAAACCAGAAAATATTTTTTAAGCTGCACATAGATGTAGGGAATGGTTTTGTGCTAGTTAAGCTTTTCTCTTTTTTCTTCTCAAACAGTATTCATTCAGTATTAATATAACACATGCATATATTGGGCTCCAAAGGGATGTATAAGAAGCATCCCGATATGAAAGTTTACAGTTTCTCTGACAAGATGTTGCTCAATTAGGCATTAATGCAAGGTGGGCTTTCTTTTTTTTTTTTTGAGACGGAGTTTCGTTCTTGTTGCCCAAGCTGGAGTGCAGTGGTACGATCTCCACTCACTGCAACCTCCGCCTCCCGGGTTCAAGCAATTCTCCTGCCTCAGCCTCCCGAGTAGCTGGGATTACAGGTGCCTGCCACCACACCTGGCTAATTTTTGTATTTTTTACTAGAGATGGGGTTTCACCATGCTGGCCAGGCTGGTCTCCAACTCTTGGCCTCAGGTGATCCGCTTGCCTCAGCCTCCCAAAGTGCTGGGATTACCGGCATGAGCCACAGCGCCCGGCCTGCAAGGCAGGTTTTACATGAGGGTCAACATTAGCAAGTTGAAAACACTTGCTGTAGAAATTCTTTGAAGGAGAAAGTCCCTTGTGGGGCAGAAGATTGAGCTGGATTGGATGTAGGAGTGAGTTCTGCCCTGAGAGTGACACAGCTTTTGGGAATTGGCCATGCTATTCTTAGAAGCCTGTGAGTTTTCAGACAGAACTTTACCATCCTGACCCTGTAGAGCTCAGACCTCTTGCTGCTGAGGTCTGTACAGTAGAGAAGCGGTGGACGTAGCTATCCTACCTCTGCTGGAATCCTTTTGCGATGGAACACAAGCCAGTTTCCTGCCTCTCCTGCATCCTTCAAAGTGGCTGCAGTCTCTGAGGAGTATTCAGGCCCTCAGTGGAGGCTGAGGAAATGATGAGGCCCATAGTCCAGCAGACCCTCAGATGCCTAAGAGAGAGGTTAAGAAAAATTAGTGAACACCAGAAAACAGAACCGAGTCTGCCCTGTGGTCTGGCAGTTGCAAATGTGGCAAATTCAAGCCTTCCCTCTGCTCCAACTCTGGAATTCCGTGAAAAGATGTTCTTCTTGTACAAGAGGGACACAAGATGGCTTTTCGTTGTGTCCCACTTGAGCAAAAGGAATCTGTGACATCTCTGATAATGTTTTTTCACTTTAGCCTGTCTCTCTGATTGTGATACTTTCTTAAAAAAGTGTGGGAAAGCATCAATCCATATAAAGTTATGTGTTGTTTATGAATCCAAACACGAATTTGTTAATTGTATGAAAAACAATTCCTACTCTGGAATCCTTTGTGTAGTTAACATTCTAGGGTTTAACCAAAATGTTATTTTTATAACTGCATATTTTATTGATACCCATTTACCAAAATATGCTTTTAACAATGGGATCTAAATAAGAATGTTTCTGGTTCTGGAGAGAGTAACCTACTTGGAAAATAGTGGAAATTAAATTTCTCTCAATCTTAATTTCTGATCTGAAAGGGATGAATCTTAGTACTGTAATTTCTTGATGATTTCAATAAAAATTAAAGTTTTGGGCCTAGAGTGGCCTAAAGATTGCCATCAGTGAAATAAAATTAGGATTTTATAAGAAGCACACTATTGAGAATTGGACTTTTTATAAAGGTCCCATTATATGCATTTCATAGTCATTTAAAAGAATCACAAATCTTCACTGGGATGGGCTTTTGCACTTTCCCTTTGTTCTAGACCTTAGGACTTAATCATTTGTATATATATTTTTTCCAGTGGTGTTATAAATTTTCCAAGTATCTGATTAGCATCATATCTTTATTGAATAAGATGGCTGTGAATTTAACAAAACAATATTATATTCATATATATATATGTGTATATACACACACACACACACACACACACACACACACGGGTAAACTTGGTTTCAATAATAACAGCGAATTCTTGCTAAATGCTTACTATGTGCCAAGTACCATTCTAAGTGTTTTGTATGCAACAACTCATTCACTTCTCAAACAATCTTATGAAGTAGATACAATTACTACCTATTTTACAGTTCAGGAAACCAAGGCACAAATATTTTTAATTAAGTTGCCTATTTTTTTTTTTTTGAGATGAAGTCTCACTCTGTTGCCCAGGCTGGAGTGCAATGGCATGATCTCAGCTCACCGCAACCTCCGCCTCCCGGGTTCAAGTGCTTCTCTTGCCTCAGCCTTCTGAGTAGCTGGGACTACAGGCACGTGCCACCACGCCCAGCTAATTTTTGTATTTTTATTAGAGACAGGGTTTCACCATGTTGGTTAGGCTGGTCTCGAACTCCTGACCTCAGGTGATCCACCCACCTCGGCCTCCCAAAGCGCTGGGATTACAGGCATGAGCCACTGCGCCCAGTTTAAGTTGCCTAAATTTTTATAGTTAGTACATGATGTTTCTGAGATTTGGACCATAATCTGACTTTAGAATCAATGCTTTGAGGTTGTACATATTGTTCCTTCATAGAAAATTTAACCTGCTGTGCCACAGTAGACTGAGCAGCTGGCTTGGAAGGTCATGAACACTCTTTTATTATTATTATTATTATTATACTTTAAGTTTTAGGGTACATGTGCACATTGTGCAGGTTAGTTACATATGTATACATGTGCCATGTTGGTGTGCTGCACCCATTAACTCGTCATTTAGCATTAGGTATATCTCCTAATGCTATCCCTCCCCCTACCCCCTACCCCACAACAGTCCCCAGAGTGTGATGTTCCCCTTCCTGTGTCCATGTGTTCTCATTGTTCAGTTCCCACCTATGAGTAAGAATATGCGGTGTTTGGTTTTTTGTTCTTGTGATAGTTTACTGAGAATGATGATTTCCAGTTTCATCCATGTCCCTGCAAAGGACATGAACTCATCATTTTTTATGGCTGCATAGTATTCCATGGTGTATATGTGCCACATTTTCTTAATCCAGTCTATCATTGTTGGACATTTGGGTTGGTTCCAAGTCTTTGCTATTGTGAATAGTGCAGCAATAAACATATGTGTGCATGTGTCTTTATAGCAGCATGATTTATAGTCCTTTGGGTATATACCCAGTAATGGGATGGTTGGGTCAAATGGTATTTCTAGTTCTAGATCCTGAGGAATTGCCACACTGACTTCCACAAGGGTTGAGCCTTCCGAAATAATACCACATATCTACAACTATCTGATCTTTGACAAACCTGAGAAAAACAAGCAATGGGGAAAGGATTCCCTATTTAATAAATGGTGCTGGGAAAACTGGCTAGCCATATGTAGAAAGCTGAAACTGGATCCCTTCCTTACGCCTTATACAAAAATTAATTCAAGATGGATTAAAGACTTAAACGTTAGACCTAAAACCATAAAAACCCTAGAAGAAAACCTAGGCATTACCATTCAGGACACAGGCATGGGCAAGGACTTCATGTCTAAAACACCAAAAGCAATGGCAACAAAAGCCAAAATTGACAAATGGGATCTAATTAAACTAAAGAGCTTCTGCACAGCAAAAGAAACTACCATCAGAGTGAACAGGCAACCTACAAAATGGGAGAAAATTTTTGCAACCTACTCATCTGACAAAGGGCTAATATCCAGAATCTACAATGAACTCAAACAAATTTACAAGAAAAAAACAAACAACCCCATCAAAAAGTGGGCGAAGGACGTGAACAGACACTTCTCAAAAGAAGACATTTATGCAGCCAAAAAAACACTCTTAAATCCACAGAAAATGCTTAAGGTTTTTGCTTTGCACTCCCTTTTGTCATCATTTTGGAGCTTTATTTTACACTTTGAAATAAATTTATCAAACACACACTGAGAACCTACTGTTTGTGTGTGTGTCTAAGTTAAGAGGGAAAGAATGAAATATTCTTGCTTTTTCAGAGTGCTGGCAGTGGCAGTGAGTCATTAGGTCTCAGAGGTAAGATGATGTAAGAAATTGCAAAAGATAGCAGGCAATGGAGAGGAGGAATGGGGAAGACATCCCATTGGATGGATAACTTGGATGGTTAGAACACCTTAACAATGGGTTTGACCCTTTTTGTGTTCCATGGTCACACTATGCCATGTGAAGCTCCAGTCAATCTTGCAAATGCCAGGGTAAGATAGTGGTTGTAGAAGTGAATGATGTATAGATGTTGGTATTTAAGAGAGATTGTTCTAGAAGCTGCTTATAGAGTGGATTGCAACTGGAGATACAAGGCAGTCGTCCAGCCAAGAGTCTGTTATTATTTCTGGCTAGAAGAACGAGGCTGGGATTGGATACAAAAGAAGGTGAAAGTTCAAGAGATGTTGCAGAAATGTAAGACTGGTATGATGAGAAAATAAGAGATGCAGTTTGTTGTAGAAGAATGAGGGAAATCTAAAATTTAATTTGGAGATTGAAATATTTCACAAAGCACCAGCATCTTCAAATAGAGATGTCTAATAGGCATCTGGATGCAGGGAGAAGACTGCAGATTCAGTTGTTAGTAGCATGAAAGTAGCATCTTTTTGTTGGGATCACTGTGTGGCCTCCTAGTGGGTCTCTGCATTTTCTCTCTTGCCCCTCTTCTGTTCATTCTCCACACAACAGCCTAAGTGATTTATTTTAAAGGAAGTAATAAAAACCTTTTGCTTCCTACTTAAAATTCTTTAATACATTGATTTTAAATGAGGAAAAAAGGGATACCGAGAAGGCATTTTGAAGCTGAGAGGATGTATTCTGACTTGTCATAATGAAGGTGGGGCTATTGTTATGTAGTGAGCACAAATCAGAAATTCTTCACATCTTGAAATGTTGCATTGCTTGAGCATTTATATGTTGACGTTCAGCTCATTGGAAATTATTATTTCTCATTTGTAGTATGATTAGAATATGTTATTGATTTACAAAAGATTATGTATGTATACATAAGATATATTATCTATGGATTTCATTTTGGATTAAGAAAGGGACTTTACAAAATATTTCTTATAAAATTTTACTTTCTAATTTTGTTCATCACTGAAAGAAAAGGAGGAAAAAATAATAACTGTTAGTTCAAAAGAATATATTGAGGTTTGGAGAGACATTCTCCATGTAGATAAGTCTAAATTTAAACACAATTATTTTTAAGCCTTGGGTTCATCTCATTATCACTAACAAGAATAAATACAGAGCTGCGTGGCAGCCTGAAGGAAATTTGAGTTGAGAACACAAGAGCTGTCATCCTGAGTCAGCCTTTGACCACACGACCTGGAGCACCATCTCACCAAGCTGCATGGAGGGGCAGGTTGGAAATGGACTGAGAATTCTGACATCTGCCTTGGACATTCGGGTCATGCCATTCCTGGTTCCCCTGAGTAATTGATGATAAATATGCCATTCATAAATTCATTCAGAGGTGTTTCTGAATCTATTTATAGTTTTTGTTCTACACTAAATTTCAGATGAGTGAATTCTAAAAGTTTACTACCAATTGCCCTAAACAGTGTTTCTCAAGCTATGAGAAATGCTCCATAGGGAAAATTTCCCTGAATTTAGTGAGTTTCAGGGGTTCACAAGGACCCTGCAGAGCATCCATGGTACACGAATCTATCCAGGTGCTCAGTACAATACTTGGAATACACTCACTGTGATACCCTTTTCTAGAGGATCATGGAGCACAGTAGGACATTGATGATGTACTAGGAAATGGGATCACAAAACCTCTCTTTGTGTAACATCATGCAGTGGTAGTGTTTCATGGGAAAAACTGTGTTAGCAGCTTAGGAACAAACTGTTGGAACTTTCTATATCCATATTCTGACCAGGGGAAAGTTGTCATATCCTGGCAAGACTGTTTTCCATTCTCCTAGCCCATTTTTAATACAGATGGTGGACTGTGAGTGATGAGACCGTGGGCCACACATCTCGTTATTCAATCATTAAAATCAGAGCAGCCAACAAATGATAACTCATGGAAAGAACATGGGAGTTGGACTACAAAACGTGAGTTGGAATTCCTGCTCTATTATTCCTCGCAGCTGTGTGATCTCGGGAGTGTTACTGGGTTCTTGGACTTTCCTCATGTATGAAATGGGGATAATGAAATGGCTCTTTATTGGCAGAACTATTTTACAAATCATATCTGCTAATGGGTGTGGAAACTTGGCCAAATGTATTGGTTTTAAAAAAATTGTGAAGTATTTGACAAATTCTAATGAGGATGAATCCTGGTGTTCTCATTAGTGAATTGAATGATGAAACATAGTGAGTCTTGAGGTTTAAGGCTAATTAATCTTGTGCATATCAATGTATAAAGGGAAGGGAAATCCAACCATTTCCCTGCCAATGACCCCCACCCCCAAACCCTGTTGAGGTTAATAACTGCCCCTGCTGCAAACATCAGTGCATTAGACTAGGAGCTCAGCTGACCTAATTTAGTGCTCAGCACCTGGTTTTATCTCTGCTCTGCTGAAACCCTCAACACAAAGAGTAGCTTCTGGAAAACTGGTTCTAATACCTTGATGATACAATATTCCAAGAGTTTAGGTCCACAAACAAACTCTTCATTTTCATCATTTCCTTTTACAGAAAACATGATTTCTATTGGGCTTTTGTTAAAGTGTCTTCCTGCTTTCTTTAAAGAAACAAAAAAATACTAATAGTTACAAAAAGAACTCAGATTTTTCTCCCCTATTCTAAGGAGACAGAACCTTAGCACTTACGAGTCAGAAATAGCTAAAGAACTCTGTTAACTTCTTGATACAGACGATTTAAGAAAATCTTCTTATGTGCTAACTGTGTAATGGACATGCAATTGAGAATGAGTTCATGGCCAGGCGCGGTGGCGCACGCCTGTAATCCCCGCACTTTGGGAGGCCGAGGCGGGTGGATCACCTGAGGTCAGGAATTTGAGACCAGCCTGGCCAACATGGTGAAACCCCGTCTCTACTAAAAATACACACACACAAAAATACTAAAAATACAAAATTAGGGCATGGTGGCACGTGCCTGTAATCCCAGCTAATCGGGAGGCTGAGGCAGGAGAATTGCTTGAACCTAGGAGGCGGAGGTTGCAGCGGGCGGATGTACTGCCCTTGTGCTCCAGCCTGGGCGACAAGAGCAAAACTCCATCTCAAAAAAAAAAAAAAAAGAATGACTTCATAAGGCAACTCTTCTTAACATAGGCATTGCCATTTCAAAACAAAAATGACTTGAATTCAGCCTCACTAGAACATGCGTGTGTGTCCTAATCCGCCGCTCAGAGTTGAGAGGTATAACAACAGCCAACAAATGATGAATGATGCAGCTCTCGGAGGATGGGTCCCTCCTGTTACAAAACATCACCGGGGCATAGTCCTGTGTTTCTAGGCAAAAAACAAGTTTGCCTTTACATTGTGGGAGTTGGATTTGAATTAGATTGGGAGGGGTAAATTTGGGAGAGGACCTTAAACATTACAAATGACTTTCATAGGGGAAAATATCAAGGATGGAAAGAAAGAATAATCCTATTTTGTTTTATTTCTCCTGATGGCAGTGTTGGAGGTATTTGCGTTGGTGTTGGGATGGGTGGTGTATGTGTGGGTATGTGTGAATATGCAAGAAGTAGGGCATAAATGTGCTGGACTGAAAGTAATGTTGAGCCTGTTAAAGATCGAGGGAAGAAGGATGGTAGAGCAAGGGTCAACAACTCCAATGCACTCGGTGCAGCTGCTAAGTTAAATGATGAAGGGTAAAAATGAAGGCTGTAATGACTGGTGTGGGCTGTGATTACTGAATGTGTGCATCCCCTGAAGGCATTCAAAGTCCATTTAAAAACAAAACAAACACCATGCAGACCAAGCAAGACAGCTGCATGGGCTCAAATCCGTCTTCTGCACTGGTGGCCAGCTTAGAATTCTGGGCAAAAGTTTAAGAAGTAGGGGCTCAGGAGGCAAACTGTCTAGATTCAGTACCTCTTAAACCTGATAAACGTGGCAAGTTATTTAGCATCTGAAAGCCTCATTTTCCTCACCTCTAGAATGTAGATAATAATAGTACTTACCTTTTGGGATTATTGGGAGGACATTGAGAGAATGCATATACATAACAACACACTTAACAGAATAGCTGGCACCTAGCAAGCATTGAATAAATATTTGTTGTGTGTGTATACATACACACACATAAATAGAAATATATAGAAATATATATACAAATGGCCATTTCCTCCTTCAAATAATCATCTGGGGAAACTATACACTTTTATAATAATGTCTTTGACAACAAATACTTTATTTGTTCATCTTTGTATCTCCCCATGTTGAAGAGACTTCAGAGCCTGTGGCATAGTCTTCTGAATGTATTTGATGGCAGCAAATGTCTTCTTTCAGAAAGTGGGAGGGGATTTGGATTTTGAAAAACATTAGGAGTCCTTTGCAGTGAAGACTGACGAGTAAGATAAATAATAAAATGGAGTGATACAATTTACAAAAATGAGTTAATAAAAGGGAAGAAGAATTTAGGCATAAAAGGATGTGCAGTATGGAGATGGGAACTCATTCAGAGAGAATAGGCCATAATTATTTTGCTGCTTTTCTAGCTCCCTGATATTTTTATTTTAGCACATCTTCTCCACATTTAAATGTTGGAGAACCCTGGGGCTCAGTAATCGAGCCTCTTCTCTCTATCTATCCTCACTCTCCCCCGGTGATCTCATGCCTTCTCATGGCTTTAACTACCTTTTTTTGCTTCACTCCTAAATTTATACTTTCAGTTAGCATTTTTCCTCTGGACTCTAAACTTACATATTCGACCACCCAGTTGACATCTCTACACTGATGTCTAATGAGCTCCTCAAATTTATGTCCAGAATGGAGCTTTTGCTATTCGGTACCCCCTTCCCAAATCAGCTTTCCCCGTTATTCTTCCTGACTCAGCTAATGGCAACTCTGTCCTCCTTGTTGTTCAAGGCAAAACCTGTGGTGTCATGCTTAATACCTCTTTTTCTCTCATACCTTGCGTGTGGCTCATCAGCATATTCTGTCTACTCTACCAGGTATCACCCCAGTTCTACCATCCCGGTCCAAACCACCGTCGTCTCTCCCCTGGATTTTTACAGCAGTTCATCCATCCTGTGCCTATGCTTGTCCTCTTTCTCAGCACCTCGCCACAGTGATCCTGTTCAAATGAAAGTCTGGTCATGTTACTGCTCTAAGGCTTCCCATCCGACTCAGTTGCAGTCCTTACTGACCTATGAAGCGGCTCTGCAAACTTGTCTCCCGTCCAACCTTTCTGGCTTCATTGCCTCTCTCCTCATTGACTCACACCTGCCACACTGGCCTCCTTCCTGTTCCCTGAACCCCACCAGGAGCTGCTACCTCAGGACCTATGCTCTTGTTACTTCCTGTCTGGAATGCTTGTCCCCTCTATATTTGCATGGCTACTTTTCTCACTTCCTTCAGGTCTTTACTTACAGTCACCTTCCCTGGCTGCCCTGTTTAGGAATTTTATTTCCTTTCCCCATATTTTCCTTCTGTGATTAATTTATTTATTTTTCCTTAGCAATTGCTTCTCTCTCTCTCTCTCTGTCTCTCTCTCCCTCCCCTCTCTCAAAAGTATAAGCTCTTTGAAGGCAGAAAATTTGTGTGTTTTGTTAACTATTGTATCTCTGGTGTCTTGAATATGCCTGGCCCATAGTGAACACTCAATAAATACGTGTTGAGTAAAGGAATACATGCATTCATTGCCTTTTCTGTTATCTATTTAAAAATAATGCAGCAACTGTGGACGATACAGGCAATGATTATAGTGGAGAAGGCACAGGACCAGGAATCCAGGCACTTGGATTCTACTTCCAGCTGTGCTACTCAGTAGCTTTGTAGTTTTTGGCCCGTGACTTTACCTCCACAAGCCTTGATTTCCTCATGTACAAAATGAGGCGGTTAAATGAGATATATAGATGACTGCTAGAATCACTTTCATCTCTGGGGTGAAATGACTAATATAACAAGGAAGATTCTTATAATAACAAAGATCTGTGCTTTATTTCAGACCAATTTAGAACTCTTTGTGATAGCCAGAGAGGGTGCATTTGTGCATCTCTCTTTTTAAAGGTTAGCTCTAATAGTTTCTGTCTTTGAGGGAGGATCAAAGCCAGGCAGCGGGAAGGAGAAGAGGTAACTCCTGTGTGGGTCTTTAGCCTCTCATTTATCACACCGGCTTAACATATTCCCTCACCAAGCCGGCAACTTATGTTTACTATCGCAGTAATGCTGATGCTATAACATTGAGTTATGTGTTGTCTGAAGTATTTCTATGTGCATCGATTGGCATCACAACATCCCCATGCAGAAGCGGGTCAGATTTTATTAGCACCCACATTTATAGAAGCTAGAAGCAGATTAGTTGGCAATGTCACAGAAAAAGCTTGTAAGAAGTCAAGGCCAGATCCCATAAGAAGTGTTCTTTTTCAGTAATAGAGCTCCATCCTTAAGACACTAAAGTCAGAACTGGTAGAATTCTTGTGAAAGTCTCCAAGTCTGAAGAGGTGGTTGTTTAGAAACACTTACATAGATGTTTCTGCAACTCATAGAGTGTCAGAAATGTCACAAAATTTTGTTGGAGGTTTGAAGATTTTCAATGACAATGGAGTTGAGAGAACAGAGCTTCTTGACTTTGGGCTTTGTAGGATAAGGACCTTTTTCCTCCTCTCTATTTAGATCATGTGAGGATAGTTGTCCTGCCTGGGCATTTTACCAGAGCAGCAATAGAATTCTGGCCTCTGAATTTCTGGTCAAAAAAGGTGAATATGTGGAACAAAATCTGATTAATTATTAAGCAACTCAATCTGTTCTTCAACTGAGAGCAAAAGTGAGCAATGGCAGATATAACTATACCGATAGTTATTAACCAATGCAGAATTTTGAAGATAAGAATCCAAAATCAGCTTTGGATAACCGGGAAGCTTCCCACACAGCATAGAAAGCATGAATCAAATACTAAAACTAGATATCCAAGGTCAGTATTTAGAAACTTAATATTTAGAATTAAGCCTATCCTGGGTAGATTTGGCTTCTGGTAAGATGGGGCTTAGAGACTGAGCCGTATTGCACAGGGTTCCAAGGTTAAGTATGTAAAAACTACAGGGTTGGGCCATATCTCTTTTCCTGGAAAAGCTGGAGAATGGTTTCTAAAAGCTGAATTCCTTAGTGATACATTTAAAAGACCATAATTTTTATAACAAGATTAAGTATGTCACATTGAGGAGAAATTGGGAAAACAGAGTGTAGTAAGTATGGTGAATGCAGTATTGTCTATGAATTTTTACACCTGGAGAAGGATTACATAAGGTAGGGGGCATATGCATTGTAGGTCTCTTTTTATAACTAAAGCCTCAATACCATGGAGACTATTCCTGGCAAGGGAACAGATTAAACCTTCCTCTCAGCCTTAATACCCCAGAGAGAATGCAGCTGTCAGAGCAGAGATTTCTGCACATGACATTCACGTTAGAGCTATCTAGACCAGCAGGCAGATAAAAGCTATCCCAAGAGTTGAGGAGTAAAGCAGACTGCAAGCATTTTGCAGAGCGTATTAGAATGAAACACAGTTTCAGTATAAATCAACAGGTAAAGAGGAACTTTGAATAATTCCATATACCAAGGCTAATCACACTGAAATGTGGTAACATCAGTGCTAAGGCGGCATAGCACAGAGAGAGTCAGCAGATCTGGGGCTGCCAAGGAAGATGGTCCCAGATGAGCCCCAACTGAGGCTGTGCTATTAGTCACACTAGCTAATGTGCTTGCCGTTGTATTCAGAGGTCTTGAACGTCAATTTCAGAAACTCCTTGCTTATTACTTTCATTTGTGTGTATTTTTTTAATTTGGTCTATGAGTGAGGGTTGAATCATTCCCAGTGAGCTGTTCTGACCTACTCATGGTACTCAGCTAAAAGAACCCCCAGGTATTGTTATATTTAGATACCTGGACTAGGTGGACCCTGAATGTTATTAATACTTGTGAAGATTCTGATATTTAATGTATGCTGTATTATCAGGGCCAGTTTCTGTTTCAGTAGCAATTTATAACTCACCATTCCCTAACAGATGCTGGTTTGTGTCCTTCTTTGTGTACAGTATATCTGGAATTATATACTCTCAGAATTATAATATGCTATTAGATTTCATTGTAATATTTGCTGCACAACCGTGAACATTCTTATTTATTTATTTATTTATTTTTTTGAGACGGAGTCTCGCTCTGCCACCCAGACTGGAGTGCAGTGGCGTGATCACAGCTCAATGCAGGCTCCGCCTACCTGGGTGACGCCATTCTCCTGCCTCAGCCTCCCGAGTAGCTGGGACTGCAGGCGCCCGCCACCAGACCCGGCTAATTTTTTGTATTTTTAGTAGAGACGGGGTTTCACCATGTTAGCCAGGATGGTCTCGATCTCCTGACCTGGTGATCCACCTGCCTCAGATTGTAAAACGTTTAAATCATAAAATGTTTTATGTTTTTATTTTTTAAATCAGCTGACTTTCAGATTCAAATTCTTATAAATCTTAAAGATGGTTTTCCAGAGGCTATGAGATACAGATTAGTCTATCTGTCCAGCACACACACACACACACACACACACACACACACACACACACACACACGAAAGAAAATGAACTCTTTTGGAAAGGACACTGCGGTACTAATGTGTCAGAGATTGTCACAAATCTTTTCTTCTTACCATGATCTAACTAGAGGCCGGGCACAGTGGCTCATGCCTGTAATCCTAGCAGTTTGGGAGGCTGAGACGGGCAGATCGCCTGAGCTCAGGAGCTTGAGACCAGCCTGGCCAATGTGGTGAAACCCCATCTCTGCTAAAATACAAAAAATCAGCTGGGCATGGCGGTGGGTGCCTGTAATCCTAGCTACTCAGGAGGCTGAGACACGAGAATTGCTTGAACTCGGGAGGTGGAGGTTGCAGTGAGCCGAGATCATGCCAGTGCACTCCAGCCTGGGCAACAAAGCGAAATTGTTTAAAAAAAGAAATCTAACTAGAACTGTCACTGAGCTCATCTACCCAGGTAACTCATTGTCCAGTGGTAACACTAATTACATTACACAACACCTTCCATGACTCCTCATCACTGATGGGATAAAACACAAAGCCCATCATGGACCAAACAAGACTTCATCTTCTGTCTACCCTACCTCATATTTCAAGCATTAGGTGGGCACATGGCTTCTGCTTCTTTGCACACACCATGCTGTTTATTGAGTCCTTTGTTCAGTTTATGCTTTTCCTTCAGGAATATCTTTTGTCCCCATTTACTCACAACTATTGATGCAAAAGCTTGACTCAAGCATCATCTTTTCTTCCTACCTCCCTCAGGTCTTCTGCTCTCTTCTCCACTGGTTGGGCGAGGTGACTCTGAGTTCCCATTGGACTCAATGCAAATCACTAAAAAGTACATTTATTTGTCTGTCCCTTCCAGTAGGCCGCAAGTTCCTATATTAATTATTAATCTTTGGGTTTCCCATTTTCTAGCTCAGTGATTGATATGTAGCAGCTGAAATAAATAACTGTTTATTTAATTAAATAGTATTATTCAAAAAATAGCTAACAATCTTAAAGGCTCAGTAGAATTTATTATGAAAGAACACAAATTCAAATCCTATTTTCAAGTCTAATGAGAGTGATAACTTGGATGTGGCTTCATTTCCATTCATGTGGGGTTACTACAAAATTGGCAAAGAAGCTTTGCAAAAAAAAGCAAGACATAAGGAATCAGGTAAATGAATGGGTACAGGTCCTCAGCTTCCCCTCAGCTCTTGTGTTCAAACAGCAGTCAACCTGGAGAGTGGGGAGCCAATGGGCTCCTTGTATTTGATAGCAGGAGGCTGGGGGTGAGGCCACATAAGCGCACAAGGGTCCATGCACCACCACAAATGGCAATTCTTGCTTTGCCATGAACACTCACTTTGGGGTTATATTTGTCAATGTGTCATCAGGCCAATAAGTGGCCTGGCCAAGGCCCAACCATCAACGTATCTTTTCAGGTGGTAGCAGAATGTGGCTTCAGTTTGTCATCAAATTCCAGACCAAATAACATCAGAAAAGCAGTAATTACGTCTAAAGTCTTCTGTGGGTATGAGTCTCCTGCAAACCACATGTCTACTTTCTAAAGATTTTCAGTAACACTATCCATGAGATTTACCATGTATGTATAATTTACCTGGGTCATGTTCAAGTTACAATAATCTAGAATTAAAATTACCTCCTAGATTCCAGCAATTAAGAGAACATCATATGTGAAGATGAGATCCCAATAATAAAAGTTCAGATTGAGGTTACAAAGAATTTATTTCCATGCTTTGTTAATAAAAACCTTAGAAACACGAAGAAGGGTCAATAGATGCAATTTTCCCCATGCCACGAGAGAGAGAATGTTTTGCATCTTAGTAAATGGTCTTAGGCATTTTTCCCCCCAAAAGTCATGCGTGTGTGTTGGGAAAGAAAAGTGGAGACCTCTGGTTAAAATCTGTGCTTTCTGAATATATAAATCATTATTCCAGGGATTCTTAAAATACACAGGAGTGCATAGTCTAGATGATGCAGTGTTATCCATACTGTCGCTTGGAATTATATAGGCTTTTCCTGTTTTCAGGCACCTACTTCAGGTCTTGCCATTCACTATACCATTAGTGATTTGAGTTTGGACTTCTGGAAGGTTATCAAGGTTGAAAAAAGTTAGCTGGAGAATTAGTCTATAGGGTTTAATGTGTGTTTAAAAATCTATGTCATAGTGGGTTGGATTTTCAAATCTTTCCCCCTCTCATCCTACCAGTTTTATTCCCTGTTCTTCCCCAACCAGCACCCTCTGCTCTGCCCACTGCTTTGGATTGTGTCCCCATTGTCTTGAGACCTTGTTGGGTTCATTTTTTTCTGGGTTCCTTTGCGCATGCTCTTTTATTGTAACTGGGCTGTCCTTTGCCTTCCTGCTTTATACATTTAAGATCTGGGCATTCTTCAGGTTGCAGCTCACTCACTACTTCTATTAATCTCCTTCAACTTCTCAAACAGGCATTCTCAAATATTCAAACTATTATGACAGTTGTCTGTTTTGCTTATTTTTATTTTCTGTAGTTATATTATTAACTGTTTCAGGGAAATGTTTTGGCCTTAGCAAATCTCCATAGTAACTTCCATCCTTGATATTCTGATGCTAGATTGTCTCCTTAACTAGACAGTGAGCTCTATAAAGGATGAGATTCATTTCTTTTGGAACCACTTATAATGTGTAGAACATTGCAATGTTCTATTAGGCACATAGGTGCCTAATAAGGATAGTATGAGTTGCAGAAAAAAATAGAAGTTTAAAAAATCTAAAAAGACATGTATTTTTCATGGTGAAGACATAGGTGCTCAGGATGTATACAAACCATTTGTGCTGAATTAATAAAGCTGACTTTGCTATTTAAACTTTTTCTAATCTACTTACACTTTCACACACTTAGTAAGAGAGAATGACTTAGTAGAGTCACAAATTGAATTCTCATCAGCAGCCCATATGGGGCACCTGAATTTTAAAAGCTACAGCTTATGTTAAATCATAGAATCTTGAGACCAAAAATCCTAGATAGACTAGCTGTCATTCTATATTTGACTTTGCTTATTTTCTCTTCTGAGGGAATTTTTGACTTTGCTTATTTTCTCTTCTGAGGGAATTTACCTAGGAAAGAATAAAAACATCACAAAGGAACAAGGGGAAGACATGATAAAGAGGGCGCACCACCTGTCTTAGAAAATGAAACAGGTCAGTGTTAATTTTCACCATTGGAAAGTGACTGACATTTCTGACATGATTGATGGTAGCAGTCAATGGGGTTATCAGTTCCTCCTCTAAACCATAGCCTTGGTTGAGCCCACTGCCCCCAGGTAAGCTGAGATTTCTTCTTAGAGAAATATAGCCATGGCATTAGTACAGACTTAGGGCTTAAAATTGAACAACGTGGATCATTCCAAGAACCACCAGGCCACATGTTAGCTTTTATGAGGTGTATATAATATGCATATAATCTTTCAATGAAAAACTTAATTTCATGAATTTGCTTTTTTAGTCACAGATTCAGCTTTCCTCAGTTGCTCCTTGTCTGGGTTTTCCTAACATTTTTATCTTTCTTCATTGCCATCCTGTTTGTGTCGATTCATCTGGTGCCTGTGCAGTCTTGGGGCTCACCCTCCCTCCGAGCTCCTGAGCTATGAGATCTGCTTCAGCCCCTACCCTACAGGCCACCTCTGAACAGGGCCACCAGCTGCATGCCACATCTGCCTGCCCATGGACTGCCCAAGGGCTTGCACCTGGTGCAAGATGATGGTCAGGGGAATTCACTCTCCACAGCGTCAATGTTAACCAGTGGGAAATAGGAGGAGGCCAGATAGAAAAATATCCTCTTTTTCCATGGGCTTTTTTTTTCCCCTAGGCAAAGAGTCTCTGTGCAGAGTGTGTCTGGACGCATCTGAGTAGCTGAGCAAATGCCCTGAAAGTGATCGGCTGTGTCTCTTTGGAGTTCCTTATGAAGCAGTTGCTAGCGCAGTAGTGCATCACTTTGCATTGCTTCTCATCCCTCCAGCTTTACTTACAGTTTTCCTTCCCCTTGTTTCCCTGGGATTGTATGTCCCAAATAAATCTTCAGAGCTTCATCCTGCCTCAGGCGGTTTTTCCAGGAAAACTCTGCCAAGATGATATAATAATGACTTGTTTATATGCTTTTCGCTTCTGGGAGACTGTAAACCCCTTGAAAGCAGAAGCTATGTCATATATTTTTGTTTTACTTCCTCAGTGCCTGACACAAAATAGGCCAAAAGTCCATTACCTATGACAGACTTCTATACGAAAATGTAGAAAATCATAGAATGAAATTGTTGTTTGTAAAATGGATACTTTCAAATATGATTATTATATGTCTTTAATTGTATTGGCTAATATCTAAAGATCATCCCATATATAGTAAATATAATGTGGTATTTGAATCATGAAGAAAGTACAAAAAAGATAGTTTTACTAAGCAGAGTTAAAAGCCCCAGAAGTATTTTTACCATTTTGTTATCACTAACAGTAAAATAATTCTTACGAAGAACTAACCTTTTTGAAAAATAGAAAAAAGAAAAAAATCCCAGAAAATTCAAATTCTGTGCAGTATATTTAAACATCTTAGGAGCTGGCCACCTCTGAAAGCTAAAGGACAAATAAATATCAAGTAATAAGCATTAAAGAACTTTGACAGGAAATAAAGGCAGAAAGCCCATTACTTTCATAAAAAGAGAAGCCTCAATAAAGCCAGACTGGGAATAAAGCAAATCTCATCACCCTCTGTTGAATTTGCAATAAACCACAGATGCCAAACATTCATCTCATTTAACTCAGTCGGTGCTTAGCTCGAATAGAGTACTTTAAGCCTTTCCCAAATTGGATTAATGATGGTGAAAGAAATCCTGCAATTAAACATAGGAGGATGGTGGGACGATTGTAAGCCCAGGGTAATTTATGGTTGAGAATATATTTTGATCATGAATGCTTCATGTCTGGGCTGTAAGATCTACTGTGAGCCCTACATGATGCATTCAAGTTTGGGCATGGATTAAACAACGTAAATGTTTTAGGAATTTACACCTTGATCCAACACTGTCTACCCTTTTATCCTTTATTTCCAGTTTTGTTTCCCTTTTATCCTTTATTTCCAGTTTTGTTTCAAAGTATTTGTTTGTATGTGTTGAAGGAGGGTTGCAGACCAATAGTCAATAGTGACACTGCACTTAGCGAAAAAAATAGCCCTTCCAGAATGTACATGGAAAATGTTTTAAATTTTAGAGTTCTAAGTTTAAACCTTTTAGGAAACCAGATCTTTTAAATAAAAATGGAGGTAAAAGAGATCCAGATGGGAAACAAGAGAAAAGAAAAGATACCAATTTTTATCTAACCAGAGCTTCATATGTATTACCTCATTTGAGTTTGGTAAGAATCTATCTTCTGGAGGGGATATGATTACTCCTGGGCAATTTCCTGGAGGAAATTGAGGCTCATGCAGTTTCACAGAAGCTGTCCTATTGCCTATGTCATGGCCTTGGTTGTTGGCAAAATTTATGATTTTTGTGGTTTCTTATTAAATGTCCTATTCTCATCCATAAGATAGTGGTGACTTTGCCAGTCTTTTACTTTCTACCATTGGATTTTGGTTTTAGTGTAAACTGGTGTGGCTTGGAGTATTGGCAGAAAAGAGCAGGAAGTAGGACTTGGATAATGTATTAGTCAGGGTTCTCCAGAGAAACAGAACAAAATGAATCATCACAGATATTGTAATCTCTGCCATCTCTGGAGGTTGGTTAGTAGACCATCAATATCTTCAGTATGATTCTGAGTTTAGTGAAAAAGCCAGTTACAGCCAAAGATGAGGATGATGCTTGAAGTCTTGCTTTCGAATTCTTCCTTTTGTTATTGCTTTGCTTCTAGATTTGGTACCAATCTTCAGGTAATTTAAATTTTTGATACGGTGTGATGGAAAAGCCACAGAGATAGGTTGCCTGGAAAATCTATCCAATTATTCTGCTTTCTGAATGCTTATCTTGTAAATGTATGTTACTGCAATATTCTCTACCAAAGGAATGTCGTCCATTCACCACTGACGAGTCAAGTGCTTTGTTTTCTAGGGTGGGACAGGTCTCATATATTGGAAATGGTTTATGTCTTGTAATATTTCACAAGGAAACAAACACTGAAATGTTATTCTTAAAAGTGTGTGTTGTGTGGTTGTAAACATCTTTGACATGGGGTCAAAAATCGAAGTAATCTTTTTTTCCCTTTTAACATATACTTTTTACTCTTTTCATTTCTTTCTGTAGTAACTGCAAATATCATCATGCAGAAATTTCACTTCTTCAGTTTCTTGAGCTATAGGTCACATTGCTTTTTTACTGGAATCTCTACCTGGCTCAGTAACCAAGGCAACAAATCCCTGGTTAATGACTCACTAGAAATTCACTGTGGAGGTGGCTTATTAGTTTTTTCCCCAAGAACTGGAATAAAAAGCTTGCTTGTGATTTTTTTCATCTATTTTCCTTTCTGTCTTACTTGCAATCCAGACAACCTAAAGTACACTTAATTAAAATCAATAGGCAAAAACATCCAGCACTTTAAAATACTATTTTGGGACTCACCGCATATGTATATGTAAACATAAAATATTAATAAGCTTAAGAATATTTTATTTCATGACTCCACGTCTTTCAATTTGCATGTGGATGAAAAATAAAAATAATTTTAAGACTGTGGTTTTAGGTTTAAGCAGCATCTTAGTCTTCTGAAAAATTGTTTGGAGAAGGCATCTTTTAGAAGGTACTAAACAAGTCTTAAGGGAAAGAAGAGAGAACAAGTAGAAATCTGACAGAAGTTTGAATGAAAAAGAAGTCAACTTTATGAAAAAGAGTAAATGTGAGAAGAAATTGATGAGAGGCAAAAAAACAAAAAATCCTTGGCATTGCCTAAAAATATTCTATAGTATGCAAAGATACGGTTTTAAAGATGAATAAACTCAGTTATATTTCTGGGAAAAGTATTTTCTACCAAAACATTTAAAGGGAAGCAAGAGGAAGAGGAAATGATAGAATGACATTTAACATATTTCTCAAGTGTTTACAATAGAGAAAAAGGCAGTAACACTGGTGAACGTGTTTACCTGGCTTGAAAGTGTTGAAAGGAATGGACCTCTTAAGAAAGGTGTCTAGGATCAGGGGAGACATTAACAGCAGGCTGTAACATGTTCCCCTCTGTGTGGGAGCTTTTAGTGCCATGTTAAATGAAGTAAATATAACTAAAATTACGAGTCAAGAAGTATTACCTCAGGGCCGGGCGCGGTGGCTCATGCCTGTAATTCCAGCACTTTGGGAGGCTGAGGTGGGGGGATCACATGAGGTCAGAAGTTTGAGACCAGCCTGGCCAACATGGCTACTAAAATACAAAAATTAGCCAGGTGTGGCGGTGTGCACCTGTAATCCCAGCTACTTGGGAGGCTGAGGCAGGAGAATCGCTTGAACCCAGGAGGCGGAGGTTCCAGTGAGCCGAGATCGTGCCATTGCACTCCAGCCTGGGTGACAAGAGTGAAACTCCATCTCAAAAAAAAGAACCGTTACCTCAAGGAAGTATTTTAGAATCCCTATTAAGAATTGAAGACAATGCCACTGCACTCCAGCCTGGGTGACAGAGTAAGACTTCTTATCAAAAAAAGAAAAAAAAAGAATTGAAGACAATACAACAAATTAATATTTATGAATTAACAAAAGGTTTTTATTTATGGCATTATAGTTGTTCATAATGTCAAAAAACAGATAATGAAAAAAATCACATAATTTTATTATATTGAGAGCTTGAGAAGAACACACTGAAAGTCAGTGGAAGTCTAGATACACTATTGGTATATTTATACATTTTATATTACATTGCTTTGAAAATTGTTTCTGGAAGAACAAACAAAGATTCTGTTTGATAGTCCCATAGGTGTTTGCCACTAGGAAACATCACGGCAGCATAATACGGAAGCCTCAGACGAATACTGCTATTGGGCATCTAAAAGTCACAAGGGGATGCGATACTACAAGTGGCTATGGACTGGTCTTTTCCCTCCTTGTTCTTGTTCTCTGACCACAGTTTTTCCTGGAAGCCACTCTGTCTTCCCTCTTAGCCTGCAAGTTTTGAGTCTGGAGCCCTGGGCTCCAGAGCTGGAGGCTTTCCCCAAGCTAAGCTATCAGCACCTGCCAACCTGGCCAGTCTCAACCAAGAGGACTTAGCCAAAGACTTTTTTTGAGCTTTTGTTGGCCTCTCCTTCCGGCACTGGACTGTGTGTGGTGGATCTGGGAATCCCAAGTTGCAAGAATCACTGCAGGGAGCCTGAGAATGAAGTCAACTCAAAGAAAGTGAAGAAAAGAGGGGATATCACCTGAGTCCTGAAGAAAGCTGTATCTGAAGTCACGACATCGTGTGGACTTTTACATGAGTAGAAAATACTTTTTTGTTTAAACTAGTTGGAGATGTTCTTCCCCCATTTGCAATAAAAAGATTTCTAACAGAGACAGAACTCTTTAACCACAGGTGCAGAGCTTCCTGAGGAGAGCCATTAGGGGTTGGGTAATTCTGTAATGAAGGCAAGTGTGGCTTCTGTAGATGATTTTTTAATTTTTTTTTTGGTTAATGATTGGGATATCAGAAAAGGCTTTAAAGGTATATACCATGTCTTCAAGAAGCCTGTATCTGAGTTAAGGAAAAAAGAATAATAGCAAGAAAATGAAAAAGCAATTAGGCACTATGCTCTGCTGTTCTGATTTAGTAAATGCACAAAGAATATTCACGGGGGTGGAGAGAGTGATTATTCACGAGAAGGCTTGGAGAAGGAGACAGGCAACATAGCAAATAATCAGAATACCTGGTTTAAATGCCTACATTATGCATGGGCCAAAAATTATTAGGGCAGATAGATTGTAAATTTTAAAATTTATTATAGTTTATTCCATTAGGATTAGCTATATTGGTTAATATTTTAGTAGAGAATAAATCATTAGTTCATTTAATGGCATGTAAACATATCAGAATTGTTTCAGTTTTTGGAACGTAATTTGAGAACTGGGATATCAAACTGAGAAAATATTTTAAATGCTTTTGTAGCAAATGTGATTGATATTCTTCACTGATAATGTGATTCTCCTTAAAAGAACAAACATTGTGGTTTTTGCCATTTGCAAGTGGTTCTGTGCTTTACAGATTTTTTTTTTTTTTGCCTTTTGAGCACCTATAGCAGATTTGCTGTTATAAGAAATATTTATTTTTCAACTACTTTGTTCCTCTTGCTGAAAGTTAACATTGGAATAAATTTGAAGGTCAGTCAGAAATTATAAATTCTGATCTTTTCATGCATGAGCAGAGGTCAAATACTTCTTTATTTTAAACTGAATAGGCAAGGCATAGAAACTTTGGTGGGTGGTGGCCAGGTGAGGTGGCTCACGCCTGTAATCCCAGCACTTTGGGAGGCCAAGGTGGGTGGATCACCTGAGGTCAGGAGTTCAAGACCAGCCTGGCCAACATGGTGAAACCCCATCTCTGCTTTAAATACAAATAATTAGCCAGGCGTGGTGGCGGGCGCCTATAATCCCTGCTACGTGCGAGGCTGAGGCAGCAGAATCACTTGAACCAGGGAGGCGAAGGTTGCAGTGAGCCAAAATCATGCCACCGCACTCCAGCCTGGGCAACAAGAGTGAAACTCGGTCTCAAAAAAAAAAAAAAAAAGAAAATCTGGCGGGTGGCAAAAGGCAGTCAGCGAGTTAATTGGGAATTAATAGAGAGTCTTCTTACTGAAATACCAAAAGTATAAAGGACCTTAACACTGTTACTAACTTCCAGTAAAACATGAGTGGATGTCTTTTTTAGGGATGATAATAAAAAAATAAGTGAAACATACACTGAGAGACTATTGGAGACTCTGGAGAAGTATAACTACAGAGTTTAAGTCTGAAGGCTGACTCTGGTATGAAAACGGATGCAATGAATTCATAAATTAAAAGAACAGATTCTGTCTTTAATGGCAGCAAAAAAAGAATAGAAAAGAGGTAAAAAATACAGTGAGCAGAGTAGCATTTGTGTCAGAAATGTTCATTTATTGTGTGTTTGTCTTATTCATTTCTCTTGTAAAAAAGAATCAGAATATCTCGGTTATATTGAGTTCTTTTGAACAGAGCAGGTAACTCTGTGAGTCAAGTCCCTGTTTAAACTTACATTTAAGTTAAATGGAAATATGACAGTGTAGGAAGATTCCCTGGGCAGGATATTAAAGTATTTTTTACAGCTGTCAATAAAAGTACCTAAATGGTGAAATAAATTCTTTCCCATGAAATAACTGATTTGCAGAAAATAAAAACAAAGTTGATATCATCCTGCTGGTTGCGTTATTAAGCACCAAGAAGTGGCTCTTTTAGTTGAGATATGTCATACATAAAGAACAAAACTAACGGACTATCAAAGTAGCTCAGTCACAGGGCATCTTATGTCTCTGGGAACTTTACCAGGAAGTTTCAAAACCCTGAAGTGAAAATAAACAAGCCATCAAAGTTCTGTAAATCAGCCCAGCAACTCACAGTCTAAGAAAACAGAAGTTTGGACTAGGCTAGAGGCCAGGCTGGCCTTTTTTTCTGGCAATTCATGCCATTACCCATTACTGATGACTGAACCTATATGGTTATACACAATGGGTAATAAATGTTGTTATAAAAATAACAAGAGAATCTCTTCATGGGTTTAGGAGTTAAATACCTTTCAAAGATACTGTACTTTAAGGTAACTTGAAACTCCTGACTGTGAAAGAGTTTTGATCAGGGGTAATAAAAATACTATGTAGTGTAGTAATTACTTATGTAAAGTACTCATTTCTTTGTATACCTGCAGTCTGTTTTTATCTTTGGTGGGCCTGCTACACAGCCTCCTTGCATCTATTGCTGTTCTCCTCCAATGCATTGTTGCTGTTGCCATCTGGATGATATTTACAAAATGATCTGCTGTGGTCCCTTCTCCCTTCCCAATACCCGCTTCCAAGACCTCCATGCGAATGCACCTCATGGAATCCCGGCTACCGGGTGCTGCCCAGAATCGACTTAGGGCCCCTGCTGCGGTGCTCGCAAATCCTTTACCGCTTTTTCACTGAGGCTGAAATTCCCACGAGCTGCTGCTGCCAATGATGAGTGTGGCAGTCGGTACTAAGACTCTCCCGATGGGTGGCTTCGGCTCAAGGACGCCCTGATGGCCTTGCCAAGCCTGTCTTAGACTGCACGGCAGGGCAGTCTAGTGCTTCCGCCCAGGCTGGCCAACCTTCCCGGTGTGCCCCAACTGTCCCACCTTCAATCTTGTCACAGAAGCCCCTCAGTCCCAGGCAATCCTACTTCTACCCAACCTTCCTTCCCTCTCTCCTTCATGAAGGATCAAGCTTAATCATGGTCTGACCATTTCCTAGCCTCCCTCCTATCCCATTTCCTCTCACAGGGGTTTCCTCTAATAAAATCCTTGCATGTTTAATCCCAATGCAGTGTCTGTTTTCAGAGCACCCAGCCTACTGTGAAGACCCTGCAAAGCCTTCCTGTATGACTTCTCAGAGAAAAAAATGAGAAATTTTGATCACTGTGTGATCATCTCACCAATCTCTGTGGTCGGAATCTCACTTGGCAACTTACCAGGACTAGCCTCTTTCAGCTCTTTTATTTTAATTTTATATTTTTTGTAGAGATGGGGTCATGTTATGTTGTCCAGGCTGATCTCAAACTTCTGGCCTTCCACGTTGGCCTCCCAAAGTGCTGGGATTACAGGCGTGAGCCACTGCACCTCTTTTAGTTCTCTTTACCATATACACCTGCTCACCTCTTACGGCTTGAAAATGTAACAAGCTAGGAAGGTTCACAGCAGAGTAGGGACATTTGTCAATAAGATGCACGCACACACACAAAAAGGAATAAAACAACAAGGATGCCATTGGGAATGCTCTTTCCTCCTCCAGAACACTCTTCTAATGCCTCTCTTTTCACCCACACAGATTTGTCTAGGTAAGGCCCACTCAGTGGGATTTTAACTTGAGGGTGATTTCTGGGGAACATTTCCCCACTCTTCTCACTGAGGGAGGTTTACTCTTCTACACACTCTTAGCACCAAGAACTTTGCTTTATAGCACCTGCCACAGTTGATATTTTATAGTCACTGAATGAATATTTGATTCAATAATGTCACCTGGTCTCGACATTAAGTACTGCAAGGACAGAAACGTGTGTTAAAATTTTTTTTCTTGCTTCTGTGTCCCTAGCTCCTAACATGGTGCCTGTCACATATAAATAAATACTTACTCAATAAATATCTATTGAATGAATAAATTCAAACATGTAGTGTCCTCAGTTCAGCACATATATCCCAGAACTTAAGGTGAAAAAAAAAAAAAAACCCAAAGGAAATTTGTGAATCTGAAACATTTTCCTATCACCAATGTTCCTCTTACATGCTAATATTCTCCTCTAAAGCTCTGCCTCTTATATTTTTGTTATTCTGAAAGGACCAGGTTAATGAAAAGTTTCCCAGAGTTCATATTAAGGTGCAAGTGGTTCAATGCACTAGAAAAGATTATTCTTTATACTACGTTCTTTTTAATTTTTTTAGTATCAAAGTTGAAATGCATATAGTTGTCAAATAATTATACAAGTCTCTCTCTCTCTTTTTTTTTTTGAGATGGAGTCTCGCTCTGTTGCCCAGGCTGGAGTGCAGTGGCGTGATTTAGCTCGCTGCAACCTCCACCTCCTGGGTTCAAGCAATCCTCCTGCCTCAGCCTCCCAAGTAGCTGAGATTACAAGCATGCACCACCATGTCCGGCTAATTTTTGTATTTTTAGTAGAGATGAGGTTTCACCATGTTGGCCAGGCTGGTCTCGAACTCCTCACCTCAAATGATCTGCCCCCTTGGCCTCCCAAAGTGCTGGGATTACAGGCGTGAGTCACCACTCCCGGCCTATACAAGTCTTATATAGAGAATAATACTCCCCTACAATTCTGCTCTCCTCCCTTTTATTTCTTAGAGCTCAATGCTTTTTAGTTATTTCTTTTTTTTCTTTATATCCCTAAATAACATGATTATATTCAACTTCTAGGTTCTTCACTTTTAGGCATTATCTTTAGACTTCCTACTATAAAAGATCAGGCTTTATTTCTCTTTAATCCTTACCCCTTATACCAAGCTCTTCACTGCATGTTTCCCATCCCCATCATCCTCTTCATAATTTCATGTTAACATTTTTGTATTAATATTTATTATGTACACTGCCATGCTTATATAAATGCTGTTTTCAGCTGAGCCCAATACGAGTCTTAGACATTTGTAAAGAGGCCCGTGTCTTGCCAGCCACACTTTGGGAGATCTTCTTCTGGCCCTTACTCATGGGGAGAGAAATTCACAGGGTCAAGGAGGCTCCCTTTCCAGGTCTCGCACTGGGTTCAGAGACCTAGAATTCCCCACCCAAATGGCCTGAAATGGCTTCCAAGGCCCATGCGTGTCTCATGTCCTACTAAAGGTGGAGGGTGCCACCTATGTGGGTACCTAGGAGGGAGGTGTTGGTGAGGGTGTGGTCAGAGCATGGACACGTGTGTGTGTCCAGACACATGCCCACAAGGCTCTTCAGATGTGGGATGGACCCTGGGGCTGGAAGAAAAAGGGTGAGCTGTTCAGCTGGGGCCAGTGGCTGGTTCTCCCCTTCCACTGCAAAGTTCTGGTGTGGAACTTGGAAAAACTTGAGAATTTTAAATTCTGTCCTGGACTTCCAGGTCATTTACTAAGGTAGGAGGATAGAATATATTTTATTTAACACTTTGCTAATTTAATTTATATTTTCAAAATATATAGTCATACGATAAGTGGGCCTTCATTTATCTTGCCCCCATTCTGTAAATGCTAGAAGTGGGCCTAGGTTAGCTATTTGCTAGGTTAGACCCTGCGATACTTTTCTTTCCTTGCACAGCTTTAAAATTTTCTTTTGTTGTGGTTAATAATTATCTCATTTTGAATTTGCTTTGTTTTCTATTTACTTATCTCTTTTTCCTAATTTATCCCTCAGAAACTTTAATTTCCTCTTAATTAAAACAGGTCAAGTAATGTATCTATTTCATCTTTTTGGAGACATCCCTACTGGAGCTTTTTTCTTTTTATTTTTTTATTATGGTAAGATATACATAATATAAAATTTACTATTTCAATAGTTTTTTATTGATATGCAATATTTTATGTAATTATGGGGTACATGCGAATATTGGTTACATGCATAGAATGTGTAATGATCAAGTTGGGGTATTTGGGGTGCCCATCACCTTGAGTGTTTATCATTTCTATGTGTTGGGAGCAACTCAAGACCTCTCTTCTAGCTACTTAGAAATACACAATACGTTGTTGCTAACTGTAGTCATGCTACTCTAGAACTTAAAGTCATGAACTTTAGAACTTATATATTCTATCTAATTGTATGTTTGTACCCATTAACCAACCTTTCTGCATCCTGGGCCTCCCACCCACGCACCCTTCCCAGCCTCCAGTATCTACCATTCTATTCTCTACCTCTATGAGATAAACTCTTTTTGCTTTCACATATGAGTGAGGACAAGCAATATTTGTCTCTTTGTGCCTGCTTTATTTGACTTAACACAATGACCTCCGGTTCCTTCCATGTCGCTGAAGATGACATGATTTCATTCTCTTTTGTGATTGAAGAGTATTCTATTGTATACATATACCACATTTCTTTATGCATTCATCCATTGATGGATATTTAAGCTGATTCCATCTCTTTGATATTATGAATAGTGCTGCAGTCAACATAGGGGTGCAGGAATCCCTTTGATAATACTTATTTCTTTTCCTTTGGATAAATGCCCAGTAGTGAGCTTGCTGGATTGTACTGTAGTTCTATTTTCAGATTTTTTGAGAAACCTCCACATTGTTTTACATAGTGATTATACTGATTTACATTCCTATCAACAGTTTATAAGAGTTCCCTTTTCTTTGCATTCTTGCCATTTTTTGTCTTTTTCATCATAGCCATTCTAACTGGGGAAAGATGACATCTCATTGTGGTTTCGGTCTGCATTTCCCTGATTAGTGATGTTGAGCACTTTTTCATAGACCTGTCTGCCATTTATATGTCTTCTTTTGAAAAATGTCTGTTCATGTCCTTAGCCCACTTTTTAATGGGATTATTCATTTTTAAAATCATTGAGTTGTTTAGGTTCCTTGTATATTTTGGATATTAGTCAGATAAGTAGTTTGCAAATATTTTCTCCTGTTCTCCTGTTCTTCCTGTCTCTTCATTTGTTGATTGTTTCCTTTGATGTGCAGTAGCTTTTTAGTTTAATATAATCCCATTTGTCTATTTTTGTAATAATTGTCTATGCTTTTGAGGTCTGAGCCATGAAATCTTTGCCTAGATTGATGACTTGAATATTTTCCCTATTTTTTTCCTAGTAATGTTATAGTTTTAGGTCTTATGCTTAAGTCTTATTCTATCTTGAGTTGATTTTTGTATATGGGGAGAGATAGGGTCTCAGTTTCATTCTTCTGCATATGAATATCCAATTTTCCTGGCACCATTTATTGAAAAAGGTGTCCTTATCCCAGTGTATGTTCCTGGTATTTTTATAGAAAATCAGTTGGCTGTAAATATGGGAATTTATTTATGGACTCTCTATTTTTGTTCCATTGCTTTATGTGTCTGTTTTTATACCAATATCATGTTGTTTTGGTTACTGTAGCTTTGTAATATGCTTTGAAGTCAAGTAGTGTGACTTCACTTTGTTTTTCTTGCGCAGGATTGCTTTCACTATTCTGGTTCTTTTTTGTTTCCAAACAAATTTTAAGATTCTTTTTTGTAATTCTGTGAAAAATGACATTGGTGTTTTGATAGAAATGTCATTGAATTTGTGAATTTCTTTGGGTAGTATGGTCATTTAAATTATATTAATTCTTCTAATCCATGAGCATGAGATATCTTTCCATTTGTGTCTTCTTCAATTTCTTTCAGTGTTTTGTAGATTTCTTCATTAAGATATTTTACCTCCTTGATTAAATTTATTCCTAGGTGTTTTCCTCTGTTGTTATTGCAAATGGGATTGCCTTCTTGATTTCCTTCTCAGTTAGTTCATTATTGATGTATAGAAATACTACTGATTTTTGTATGTTGATTTTATATCCTGCAACTTTACTGAGTTCATTTATCAGTTATAACTTTTCTTGGTGGGGTCTTTAGGTTTTTCTAGATACAAGATCATATCATCAGAAAAGAGGAACAATTGACTTCCCTTTTCCCCCTCAATTTGGATGCCTTTTATTTCTTTTGCTTGCCTGATTGTTTGGCAAGGACTTCCAGTACTATGATGAATAAGAGTGGTGAAAGCAGGCATCCTTGTCTCGTTCCAGATCCTGGAGGAAAGGCTTTCAGCTTTCCCCATTTGGTATGAATTTGGTACATTAGCTGTGAGTTCATCATATATGGCCTTTATTATTTTGAAGTATGTTCCTTCTATTCTTTTACTACGATGTTGGAGCTCCTGGACTTAGCCTCACATTTTCTTATCATTTCTTCTTCTTTTTTTTTTATAACTTTGTCCTTTTTGCTCTACTTTTTGAGAGATATCCTCATGTTTATCATTCAGTCATTCTATTGAGTTTTTCATTTCTACTACTATTAAAAATTTCTCAAAGTTCTTTTTTCTCCTCTCAAAGTTTTTACTCTATATTATTGTGTTCAAGCTTCATTGATATAAAATCTCTTCTCTCTGAGAATACTGAAGACACATTTTAAAAATTGTTCTTTTTCTTGAATGTTCTCTATTTCCTTCAAGTTCCTTTTTCTGTCTTTGTTTTGTCTCTTCCCTAAAACTTAGAGTCTTTTTTCCAATGACTATTACTCCTTGTCTGTGAGTTTACATTCAAGTGTGGTGCACTGAGAAGCTCATTGCATGTGCAGGGCTTGTTGACCACAGACTTCACAATAGACTGAGCAGATCAGACTGTTTCATTGGGGATACACTCAGATATCAATATCTTTAATTTCTTTTGCTTGAGTTGGTGAGATTCTACAGATAAGGATCTTCCAGGCTCCCCCTGCCAGTGTCCTGTGAACCAAGTCAGGAAAGAGGGATGGAGTTTCAATATTCAGGTTCAATTTTTTTTTTATACTTTAAGTTCTAGGGTACATGTGCACAACGTGCAGGTTTGTTACATAGGCATATATGTGCCATGTTGGTTTGGTGCACCCATTAACTCGTCATTTACATTAGGTATTTCTCCTAATACTATCCCTCCCCTCTCCCCCACCCCATGACAGGCCCCCATGTGTGATGTTCCCCGCCCTGTGTCCAAGTGTTCTCATTGTTCAATTCCCACCCATGAGTGAGAACATGCGGTGTTTGGTTTTCTGTCTCTGTGATAGTTTGCTCAGGATGATGGTTTCCAGCTTCATCCATGTCCCTGCAAAGGACATGAACTCATCCTTTTTTATGGCTGCATAGTATCCATGGTGTATATGTGCCACAGTTTCTTAATCCAGTCTATCATTGATGGATATCTGGCTTGGTTCCAAGTCTTTGCTATTGTGAATAGTGCCGCAATAAACATATGAGTGCATGTGTCTTTATAGTAGCGTGATTTATAATCCTTTCGGTATATACCCAGTAATGGGATGGCTGGGTCAAATGGTATTTCTAGTTCTAGATCCTTGAGGAATTGCCACACTGTCTTCCACAATGGTTGAGCTAGTTTACACTCCCACCAACAGTGTAAATGCTCAGTTTTAATCCTCCTTTAGTTTGATACCACTGACTTCAACTGTATGCAGTGTCCTCATCCAGAATCCTTCTGTTTTGTCTTTCCCTAGGGATTAGGGAGAGGTAATCGCTCAGTTTAACAAAGAAGGGGAGCTCATTCGAGGCTTTCTAATCAAACTTTGAAATTTGTTTCCATTTTCAGCTGTATCTTCACTTCTAATACTGGAATTTTCTGCTGCTGCTGATTTCTGAGACATTTGAAGATTCTGGTTTGTGAATTAGGTTTCTGTTCAGCTTTCTCCACTGACAATTTAGGATTAGATTTTTCCAGTTTGGAAAGTTAATATTGATTCATTCCTCTGATTTGCATCTCCCAAAATGTTGCTGCTATGGTTTTTTTTAAAATAGATTTTATTTTTAAGAGCAGTTTTAGGTTCACAGCAAAATTAAGTGGAAGGTACAGAGGTTTGCCATATACCCCCTTTCCCAATACATGCATAATCTTCCCCGTTATCAGCACTTCACCAGGGTGGTACATTTGTTACAACTGATGAATGTACATTGACACACTGTCATCACCCACAGTTTCCCTTAGGGTTTACTCTTGGTGTTGTACATTCTATGGGTTTGAACAAATATATCCACCATTATAGAACCATACAGAGCAATTTCACTGCCCTAAAAATCCTCTGTGCTCTATTTATATCTCTCCCTCCCCACTAACTTGTGCCATTGTTTTATGGTTTCTTTAAGAAAATCCCCTTTACAGTTCTGTTAGTGGGGCTAACAATTTGCTACATAACTAGACTGAGAAAATATTTTTTTTAAACAGGAAAATATACATTTATTTGGTCTCATAAGTCTTAAAATAACAAATCAATATATCAGAGTTAAAAGCCAGATTTCAGCACCTTTTCATTTTTGCTTTGGATTAGACAGTAATACACTTAAGAATTTTCCATCGTCATAAAGAGAAAGTATTGAAAGTGAACATTATGCCTTCAAACAAAACCAATACAGTTGATAGAACATTTTGCTATTTTCCCTCAAAGCACCATTAAAACCTCAACACTTATAAATTACAGAACTTTAAAGTGATCATTTTATTCAAATCTTTAATTTATAGGAACCTGAGGCCTGGGGGAGAGGTGGCATCGTTAAGCTTTTCTTTCTGTTCCTGCAAGAATTGGGACCAGGGCCCAGGTCTCCTAAAGAAGAAAGAGTGGATTACCATGATGGAAAAGGAGAGAAGGGGAGCTTATGAGTTAGGAGGAAAAATCGGTAAAATGCTTGCCGGAGAGAGATTTGCCTCTTACCTGTGATATGCCTAGGTTTGGTGTCTTTCATGCTCCCATCAGGGATCCAATGCTTCCCACATGCTTGATTTTTCTCATGAGAAGAAAGGCAGCTCTTACAAATCACACACACTTTTATTACATGTGCTACTTCTACTAGCATTATTTACATTTTCAGAGAGGGATCCCTAGGCTACTCTAGTGATGAAATTTCAAATTTCTGGATTATTTAACGTAGGGTAGTAATTATTTTACAACAATAGTTCTTTATAGATGTGCTTCAATTAATCTTTGGTTCTGGTTACTTTGTGACACCGCCCTGGGTAGCATCAAAGGGTGAAATTTCTGAAAATCTTTCTCCTTATTAAATATTTAGCTCTAGCTTGAACGTCATTTTATCTGTTATAACCTTCAGGTCATAAAAAATTCCATATATTTTTAAGCTAGCATCATCTAGAAATTCTTTGCAAAATTGACATAATGTTGTTTTCCCTCTCAACATAATGGTAAAACCAGGAAATTTATGGTTTCCCATAAGGAAAACTACAAATCTGTTAAAATTAATTGGCGAAGTAAACCAACAGTTTACAAAATACTGGAGGGAACCAGATAAGAAAACACAACTGGAGAGAAAACATTCATGCTTTCTAATAGAGGAATATAAAATAAAATAAGAATGAAAGCTTTTTTTAAAATTACATATTCGGAAAATAAAAAATGATAATAATTGGTGCTAGAGTGAAGATTTGCCATTGGCTCTGATAGCATATCTTAGAAACTTATGCAATTTAGTAATATGCACCAATAGCTTTGATAATGAAGCCCTTTGATGCAATATTATGGTTTAAGAAAATCCATCCTAAGGAAAGAACTTAAAATATAGATTAAAAAACTGATGCTTAAATGCTATTTGCAGCACAACTTATAATAGTGAAAAACTGTATAAATACCCCCAAATGGAAAAAGGATAATAAAACATGGTATATCTGTACAATAAATATTATATAATAATTAAAAACATTTGCATAGCATTTCTAATAACGTGGGAAATGATTCACGTGATTGTGTTAAGGGATAATAACAGAATTTAAATTGTCAATGTCATCTTTTCATAACTATATAAATGTGTTTAAAATATAGAAAGAAATGCATTTGAATATTTATTATATTTGGTTTGAATTGTGGGATTATGGATACTATTACTTCTATTTAGTTTGATGCATTTTCTAAATTTTTTACAAAGGGCACGTGGTGTCATAATTGGTTAAAAAATCAACCGTAAAAACAGTCATAACCCTTTTTCCATGTAGAATTTCGTTTGCTTACATTTTAGTTTCTGACTTTGTAATCTCTTACATTTTTTTCTCCTTTTAAATCAAAGTTATTTTCAAATACTTTTACTTTCTCACATCTTCATCAACTAGTCTTGTTTCTCCTTCTCTTCTTAGTCATTTACCCACTTTTTGGGTGTGTTTTGTAATTACGTGTTTCTATCTTCCCTGTTATGTTCCATCTGGTTCTTTGATTAACTGTTAGTGTTGTACATTCTATAGGTTTGGACAAATGTAGCCACTATTGGAGTACTATACAGAGCAATTCACTGCCCTGAGTATTCCTCCATTGACAATTTAGGATTCAGCTTTTTCTAGTTTGCAAAGTTAATATCCATTTATTCATCTGTTTTGCGTATCTCCCAAAAGGTTGCTGCCATTTTTTTAGAGAGTTTTTTATTTTTTTATTTTTTATTTTTTTTTCAGAGCAGTTTTAGGTTCACAGCAGAATTGAGTGGAAGGTTCAGAGATTTTCCATGTACCGGCTGCCCTGACACATGCACAGTCTTTAATATGCAAGAATGTCTCTTCTGGAAGAGTCCCATTTTATTGCCTGAAAACTGTCACATTAGAAGGCCTTTCCTGAGCCTCCACCTCTGAAAGTGCTATGCTATAGTAAAAACAATGACAACAACAACAAAAAAGCCTAACGCAGTGATGAATGCACCTGTGTAATCTATCTTCTAGCAATTAAAAAAATTCTCAGTCACATTTTCTATTTTAGTTATAACTGAAAACTTTAGGTATGCATATAATTTAAACAATATATTATGATCAGTGTGTAATTCCTTTCTCAAATGTTACAGAACAGCAGAAAGCTTGTGCAGGGTGTTAAACAAACATTAAATATTAACCAGCAAGGGGTCGGGGAGACATTTCCTTTCCGGTTTAGTCATTCTGGAAGGACATTTATAGAATTATTTGAAAAGGTGCTAGATAGATTCTTTTTTAGACTGAGCTTCCTTTCTCTGTCCCCTACTCACCCTCATTTCCAGTAAAATTTTCTTTGTTATTATTTTCTCAATTCAACCTCTTTCTGGGTGGTCATGCTTTGAGGTTTGAGGAAACAAATGAGTTTTCCAATTCTGCCACTTTTCCCCTTTATATTTTCTCTTTTATTTTTTATCTCCATAAGGAACTATCCAGTGGACGTAAGTAACCTCTGGTCAGGCACTCAGAGCTTCTGGGGAAGAAGAGAGGTTGGAGGCCTGTAGGTTTGAGAAGAGTGGCAGAGGAATGCCATCTGTGCAGCCTGTGGTGTGCAAGGTGCTGCTTAGAATGGAGCCTTCCAAAGACACTGGCCCATTCACCACATTTCAGCCCAAAGGTAGAAACTCACTCTTACAGTCACCTTTTGAAGGTCCTTCAGGGCAGGTCCCTTGGGACAGTGCAGGGTTGTGTTGGTGAAAATGATTTTTTAAAATCTTGTTTATTAACTGGAGGCTGATGAAACAATAGGACATTTTTCCAGCTTGGTTTTACTGATATGCAGGCCATTTCCCTTAGAGGGATATATAGATTAGGGAAGAAAATCTGAATTGGATTTATTTTGCTCCACATCTGCCGGTTTACAGCTGCTGCTATAAGAGGAGGCTTTGATAGACAATAGCCAGGGACAATTCCTCTACCTTCATGCCTGAGCTTCCAGCTGGTCTCATGCGGAAAGCTAGTAATAAGTTCCCAGATTGGGCTGGAGAAGAGAGCATACTTCCCTGTCACATAAAATATTAATTTAGAAGTTGATCAAGGCAGTTCAGTTGCAAACCTGCTTCTCATCGCTTGAAATGTATGTCTTAGCTGCTGCTATTTTTTTTAAAGTCACAGAGAACTACCATGGATACTGACAAAAATTCTTTTTGTTTATGCTCAGCAGGGTTTCAGCCTTTTAAAGATCTCTTCCTTTGATCATCTGTATAACCTTTCTATTCACATCACCACAAAATTAAGTTAAAGAAGGAAGCAGACCACTAAAAATAACCCGAGACCATGCAGTCTTAGCAGGGAGATGAAAGCTGCCCAGGATGGGGATTACAGCAGTGCCCGAGCGCTCTTCATTATCGAGACACTTCTGGAGGTGACGGGGCCTCGTTGTAAAATGCCTATTTTCCCATATTTTCCAGTCTCAAAAGCTCTCTGGTTCCACGGGAAGAGATCAGTTCTGAACAAGGGAAATGGTCTTTGGCTTTCTATCATCTATCTTTTATCCTTTTCTTTCTCATTTCTCTATTTTTGACCTCTCGCATGTCTCTCTTCTACACAGAAACACACAGACACACACGCATGCACACACACATACATGCACACACATCCACACCCCACACATGAATAAGCCTTAGGTTTGGATTTTTGCTGTGTATTAGTGGCTTTTACTGATAATTTTCATGTTGTTGTGGTATTAATGTAGTAATATTTCTTGGCAATATGTGATATCATCTGAGAACTCGTGTAGGTATGGATCACGCTCTGTTTTTTCCAGACCTCTTTGGTTCTGCATAACCTAATGCAATCTGCCATTTCTTTATTGGGCTATTATAATTAATCATCAGACAAGACTAAAAAGGGACAGGCATGTGGAAATACAGAAAGGTTGAGAGAAGGGCTGAAGACATGGAGATTCTCTGTTTCCTATGGCTAATTCCAAAAATCAGTGTTCTAATTACTGATTTTGCTAATTGTTTCTTGTTTAACCAATTATAAAAAAGGTGCTAAACTTGAGTCTCGATTATCAAATACAAGATGTGTGTAATATAAGATATAATATTCAAGCTGAACATTACTTGGTCATCACAACATTAATAAAAAAGGGTTATTTTACTTAAAACATTGTTGTTCTTGGTCAAGGGAGGCTAAAAAGAAATCTGAGAAATAAATGTGTTGATTGAAGTCTATAATAGAGGTGGTTGAGAAAAGAACCTCTTCTAATAATGATAAGATGGATTCCTAAATGGTAGGAAAAGGGTATAACATAATGTAAAAATAAATTAGGTATAAATATTTATTACATCAGAGAAGAAAAATAGTATGTGAAACACAGTATAAACTTTAGAAGAGCAAGAACTTACTTAGGATCATTGTTGATTAATGTAAATAAAACCAAACACAATTTCATAAGTCATCATTTCTTTTTAATTGAGCGGTAGTGAAATGAAGAAGAGTTTCCAATTGGAATTAGAAAGATTTTCCTAGATTTTATGAAGAAACAGGAAGTAATGCTTTCATATAATACAAAATCCTCAAGGAAATATGTTGAATTCCCTTCAAGAAACAGCTGGATGTCTCAAAATTTGTTGAGTTTTTATAGTTTATAAAGTTTTTTAAAACTTAAAACATATTACAGAAAGCTTTTTATGTTTTCCTTCTGTCTAAAATGCTATAATGTTAGGGTTTAATTTTTATTCTTGGATTGTGCAAAGAAGCTGTTGACCTTGGTTGTCATTCTACAGAAATTTTATGTAATTTGCAAAGTAGAATAATGATTGTCATTCAAACTGTAATGTTGAAATTCTTCTACAGTATTTTCAGAGGAAAGAAACTTTCAACAATTGAATGTTTTCATTCTAAATGTGACCTTCACTGAGATGGCTTTCATTCATCATCAGTATATAGAGTCTTTTACTTGCTAGGTTTAGGTAGATTTGAAAAGAAAAAAACAAAAAGAGAGTTTTAATAATGAAGTAACAGAAAAGAGATTTTTTCATTATTAATACACAAAGCTCTTAAAATCATTTAGTGCCAAAACCACGAAGCAATGCCTACTCCATATTGAACAGGTTTGTCTAAATGAGCACAAATGAGAAAGTAATTCTTAGTTGTCATACTCTTTAATTTCATTAACTATGAATATCTCTGGCTCCGAGTTTAGTATTTTGGATTTCTGTTGATTCTATGTTAAATTGTGTAAAGTGTATGTAAGAATGATAATAATTTTCATTTTATGATGGTGAAAGCAGCCCTTGCAAAACCCAGAAAATATACTCCTACTTCTCTGTGAGTTCTCTTTCAATTAAGATTGAAAAACAGAAAAGATAAAAACCTTTTGCAAGGCTTTCACTGATTGGAGAGATGTTTGAGGACTGAGGAAGAGGATTTTAGGCAAAGTAGCTGGAACAGATATAAGCTATTCATTGAGAAATCCAGAGAGCTGTGTCCAAATCATAGTCCCTCACTATAGTCTGATCTTTCACTTTCTGAGCTGGGGATTATAATTCTGGTGTTGGAGTGGAAGTAATTTAGTGATGACATTTACAGCTCCATTGATCGCCAGGGTTTATTTGGAAGACATGACTGACTTGGCAGCTGTTCACAGTTTATTCTGGGTAGGTCCTTCAGAATAGGCTCAGTAGCAAAAAAGAATATATTTATAGTCTCTTTACGGAGAGAGTGTATCATTAGGCTTAGCTAGGTTATACTCTGGTAGCAAAAACCCCCAAGTCTCAGCACCCTAAAATGGCTCTAAAGTTGCTACTTGGGTTGAGAGTGATGAGTGGTTAAGTTTAGATGGAAAGAGTCCTAGAACAAATCAGTGGCAGCAAGACTCAAAGCAGCAAAGTAACCATAGGTGCATTTTTCTCCTGGGGCCACTGGGATGACATTTTGCTTCACTCTGTTACTCATCAGGAGCATAAAAAAGTAATCCAAAGTTTCATTGTCATTTGCTTAAAATACTTTAGGGGTCAATGGAAATATAATGGTGATGACTAGGGAAACATTTTTGACTATCATATACCTTTCATATGTGTTCCTCAGAGTTAGTTCCAAGACAAGATGCATTACCTCTATCTTCTAGGACTTCAATTTTCTCTACTATATTATACTACTCATAGTTTACTACATAGTTTATGTTATAGTAAAACTATGTAATAGCCAAGCCTCCTACTCTAAGTAGTAAGGTACATATCTGGTTAATAATGATCTTCAATAAATATTGAATTGTGATAATATTTTGTGATAATATTAAATACACTTACAGAAACAGTTTTTATTTCTTCTTCTTCTGGTAGATTTTTTTCAGAGACAGGGTTTCACCATGTTGCCCAAGCTGGTCTTGAACTCCTGAGCTCAGGCAATCCACCTGCCTCGGCCTCCCAAAGTGCTAGGATTAAAGGCGTGAGCCACTGTGCCCGGCCTCAGTTGACAAATAATTTTTTAAACAGCTCTATTAAAGTATAATTTCTTTACTATAGAATCCAATCGCCGTAAACAAACCGAATTTGAATCCAGTTTTAGGACAGTCTATCACTCTCAAAACTTCCCTTGTGTGCATTTGCAATCAATCACTGCTCCCACCCCCAACCCCAGGCAACCACTGATGTACTTTTGGTTTCTCTGATGTACTTTTGGTTTTTTTTTTAAAACAAAACCCTTAAATTTATGATTTAAATAAAATCATACAATATCTAGTTTTTAGGATCTCTTTCAAGGTTTATCCATACTGCAGCACATAGCAGTAGTTTGTTACTTTTTATTGTTAGTATAATTCCATTTTACCTATGTACATACCAGTTGATAGACATTCGGATTGTTTCCAGTTTTTGGCTATTATGAATACCTAGGCTATGAATATTCATGTAGAAGTCTTTAAGGACAAATGCTTTTATTTCTCTTGGCTAGAGACCTAGGATTGAAATTGTTGTGTTATATGACATATTTATGCTTTACACTTTTAAAAGAAACCACCAAACTGTTTTTTAAAGAGGCTGTACCATTTTGTATTTTCACCAGCAATGTATGAGAGTTTCAGTTTTTCAGCATCATTGCCAACACTTGATATTGCCAGTGTTTCTGATTAGAGATATTCTACTGTGTGTGTGTACAATGGTATATGTTCGTGATTCTAATTTTTTGTGCAATAACTAATGATGATGAGTATCTTTTCATGCGTTTATTAGCTATCCACATATCTTCTTTGGTGAATGTCTATTCCAATCTTTTGCCCATTTGTTTTTTAACTAAGTGATTTTCTTGTTATTGAATTGTAAGAGCTTTTGTTTTTCCTTAAATATATTCTTTCAGATATATGATTTACAATTATTTTCTCCTGTCCTGTAGCTTATGTTTTCATTTTCTTAATGATGTCATTTGAAGATTGTTTTAAATTTTGATAAGGTCCAATTTATTTCAAATTTTAATTCTTTCTGCCATGGATCATGTTTTTGATGTCTTATTAAAGATATTTTTGTTTACCTAAGACTGTGTTCTCTCGCAAGTTTTATAACTTAGTCCTTACATTTAGGCCTACAATTTATTTTGTGTTACTTTGGTCTGTGGTGTGTGGGGGTGTGTGAGGAAAGGATATAATGTGAGGTAACAGTGCGAGTTCTTTTATTTTGTGCATGAATATCCTGCTGTTCTTTAGAAAATTACCTTTTAAACAATATCTAGTCTAATCCTTGAATGTGGACTAGTTCTCCATTTTTTAAGATGATCTTAAATTTTGCTCTGTGAAAAAACTGTTTTATAGTTTTCAGAGGTTTGTCTTAATCTTCTGTTAACTTTTTTTCTAAATACTTCATTTTCTGATGACATGCAAATGTAATTGCTTCCTTAATTGCATCATCATTGCTTGTATGCAGACATTCAACTGCTTTTTGTGCATTGATATTGTATTCTGTGATCTTCCAAACTTATTAGTTATAGAAGTTTTTAAAATTGTAGATTCCTTAGGGTTGTCTACCTATACAATCATGTTATTTGCAACATGATGAGAGCAGACAATGTGGCCTCGTTTCCAACCTTCTTTCACCATTAAGTATGATGTTAGCTATAAGTTTTTCATAGATTTCCTTTATCATGTTGAAGAATTTCCTTTCTGTTCTTAGTTTATTGAGTGTTTTTATCTTGAAACGATGTTGGATTTTTGTCATATATCTTTTCTGAATTGATTGAGAGATCATGGGGCTTTTGTCTTTATATCTATTAATATTAATATGGTACATCACACTAATTAATTTTCAGATGTTAAACCAAACTTGCATTCCTGGGAGAACTCCTAGGAGAACTTGGTCAAGGTGTGTGCTCTGTTTCATATATTTCTGGATTTGTTCTGCTAATATTTTATAAAGGATTTTTGTGTCTGTATTTATGAGAGATATTGGTTTGTAATTTTTATTTTAAAAAAGTCTTTCTCTACTACTAAATCTATAGATTTAATGCAATTTCTATGAAAATGCCAATGACATTCTTCACAGAAATAGAGAAAAACCCCTGAATTTATATAGAACCACAAAAGACCCCAAATAGCCAGAGCAATCCTGAGCAAAAAGAAACAAAGCTGGAAGCATTGCAATACCTTATTTCAAAATATACTATAAAGCTAGACTAGTAACATATAGTATTGGCCCAAATACAGACACATAGAACAATGGGACAGAATAGAGAATCCAGAAATAAATCCATGCAATTACAGCCGACTGATTTTTCATAAAGGCATCTTTGTCAAAAGGTGACTGATATGTTAATTACGCTGTACACATGAATCAAAATATCACATGTACCACAGAAATATGTACAATAAATATGTGTCAATTAAAAAATAAAAATTAAGAAAGTCTTTAGTTTTGTTATCATGGAAATACTGGCTCAATAAATAAGTTAGAAAATTTTTTCTCTTTTCCTAATTTCTGAAAGCATTTGTTTAGGGTTGGTAATATTTTTTCCTTAAATATTTGGTAGGGAATCAGTCTGGGTCAGGGCTTTTCTTTCTGGGAAATTTTAAAATTACTTATTTAATTTCTTTACTTGATATATATCTGTATGTGTTTTCCATTTCCTTTTTTTTTTTTTTTTTTGAGACAGAGTTTCCTTCTTTTTCCCCAGGCTAGAGTGCAATGGCGTAATCTCGGCTCACTGCAGCCTCTACCTCTCAGGTTCAAGCGATTTTCCTGCCCCAGCCTCCTGAGTAGCTGGGATTACAGGTGCCCACCACCATGCCCAGCTAATTTTTTTTTTTTTGTATTTTTAGTAGAGATGGGGTTTTGCCATATTGGCCAGGCTGGTCTTGAACTCTTGGCCTCAGGTGATCCACCTGGCTCAGCCTCCCAAAGCATTGGGATTACAGGCGTGAGTCACTGTGCCCAGCTTCCATTTCTTTTGATGACATTTTGATAACCCCCATAAAAATTTGCTCATTTCATCTAAGTTGAATAGTTTGTTGGCATAAAGTTGTTCATAATAGTCCCTTAAAATACTTTTAATTTATTTAGGGTCTTAGGGATGGCCCTTTTTTTCTTTTGGTAATTTTGTCTTTTGTCTCTTCTTTTTTTTTTTTTCAATCTAGTTAAGGTTTACCAATTTTGTTGAACTTTTCAAAGAGCCAACTTTTGGTTTGATTAATTTCCTCTATTGTTTTTCTGTTTTCTATTTCATTGTTTTCCACTTCAATTTTATTTTCTTCCTTCTGTTTACTTTGTGCATCACTTGTTCTTCTTTTTTTGGCTTTCTGAAGTGGAAATTTAGATTTTTTTAGATCTTTCTTCCTTTCTAATATAAACATATAAAGTAGTAAGTTTTCTTTAGATACTCTATTCAATGAATTTGGATATGTTGTACAGTATTTTCATTAATTTTATAGTTTAAAATTTAATTTTGATATCTTCTTTGACCTATTTGCTACTTAAAAGTGTGTTCTTTATTTTCCAAATATGTGAGAATTTGCTGTGTTTCCCTCTTTTGTTGATTTCTAATTTAAATAAATTGAATTCGTAATACATGTTTTGTATAATTTCAGCATTTTGATTATGGACTAAGACATAGTCTATTTTTGAGAATGTTTCATGTGCATTTAAAAAGAAAGAATATTCTTCTATTTTGGGTTAAAATATTCTGTACATTTCAGTTAGGTCAAATAGGTTGGTAGTCTTCTATGTTCTTGATTTTCTGCTTAGTTGTTCTATCAGTTTTTGAAATTACTGAAACCTGTAGCTATAGTTGTTGTCTATTTCTCCATTTAGTTCTCTTATTTTTCTGCTTTATATATTTGTAGGCTCCATTGTTAGGTGCATACACATTTATAATTATTATATCTTCCTAATGTATATAGTAACCCTTTTATGATTATGAAAGATCCTTCTTTTTTCTGCTTCTTCATTTTGGACCTATTTGTGTCTTTGAATCTAAAGAATGCCTTTTATATATAGCATATAGTTAGATCTTAGTTTTCAAATCCAGTTTGTCAATCTCTGCCTTTTGATTGAAATGTTTAGTCCATTCACATTTAATGTAATTGTTGTTTGGTTACATTTATATATGTCACTTTGATATTTGTTTTCTATACATTTCATGTCACTTTTTGTTATTCTGTTCCTTCTCTACCATCTTCTTTGTGTTAACTAAAGAATATTTAAGGTTCCATTATACTTTGGAATTTTTATCTATATATTTTTAATTAAAAAATAATTCCTCTAAAGTTTATAATATGCATTTTTATTTTTTGTAATCTCCTTTAGGTAAACACTGGCTTATTTTAGTAAGATATATTAACTATTTACTATAGCTTATTTCCTTTCCCTTCCTTTGTTCTACTATTTTTATATATATTATGTTAATTATATTATAAACCCAACAATACATTGTTATAATTTTGACTTTAAACATTTTTATCTATTTAAAAAATCAAAATAATTAATGAAAAAATATACTTTATTTAATATTTATCCGTAGATACCATTTCTGGTGCTCTTCATTCCTTCTTCTGCATTCAAGTTATCATATGGTATTTTTTTTTTCAGCCTGAAACAATTCCTTTAGAATTTCTTATAAGATACATCTTTTATCAACAAATTATTTCACTTTTGTTCTGTCTTTTTTCACATTCATTTTTTAAAGGATAGTTTTTTATATATAGAATTCTTGGTTGACAGGGTTTTTTTTAATTCTTCCTTTTGGAAGATTGATTATGTCATTCCAATTCCTTTAAGCCTCTATTTTTTTCTGTTGAGAAATCAGCTCTTAATCATATTGTTGTTCTCCATTCATTATAAGTTGATTTGCTTTTCAGTAGTTTCACTAAGATATGCCTAGGCTTGGATATCTGTGTTTATTTTACCCAGAGTTCACTAGACTCTTGGATCTTTAGATATATGTGATTTTCATCTAATTTAGAAAGTTTTGGGCTATAATTTCTTACCATTTTTGTAAGATCTATTTTGACCTTTCTTCAGAATACTCTATGGTTCTGCTCATTAAATTTTTTTTTCCCTTTTTGTTCTTTGGATTGGAAAGTTTATATTGATTGATCTTTCAGCTAATTCTCTTCTGCCATCTCAAATCCACTTTTGAGCCCATATAGTAAAACTTTCATTTCAGTTATATAAATTGCAAACTGTAGAATTTTTATTTATTTCTTTTTGTAGTTTTAATTCCTCTTTTGTGAATTCCCGTTGATTGATTCATTATGATTATACTTTTGTTTAATTGCTTTGATGTATTTGTCTGCTAAATCCAATATCTGGATCCACTTAAAGTTAACTTCTAGTGAGTATGGTTCACACTTTCTTGTTTTTTCATGACTCATTTTCTTTTGTTAAGAACTGAATATTTTAGGTAATATGTTATCTCACCTCTAGATTATGTTTTGTTTTTCTGAAATTTTTCTTTTCTGTTTTTCTTTTTAGTACCTTGTATTGACTTACAATGCAAAATCTGTCTCCCTCCCATGGTATATCCAATGATACTTCCACATTTTATTACCCTGGCTTCATAGTTTTAAATTTTTAATTGCTCAGTTTTTAAATTTAAATTTAAAGTTTTATTCCAGGCTGCCTTAGAAAGTCCAAATTTGGTCTGAGCACAGTTGCTCATTCCTGTAATCCTAGTATTTTGGGAGATAGAGGCAGGAAGATTGCTTGAGCTCAGGAGTCTGAGACTAGCCTGGGAAACTTAGTGAAGGCCTGTCTCTACAGAAAATACATTAAAAAATAATTAGTTGGTTTCAATGATGTGTGCCTGTAGTCCCAGCTACTGAGGTGGCTGAGATCAGAGAATCACTTGAGCCTGGGAAGTTGAGGTGACAGTGAGCCATGATTGAGCCACTATATTCCAGCCTGGGTGACAGACTGAGACCCTGTCTCGAAAAACAAAACAAACAAACAAAAACACCCAAGAAAGTACATGTTTGGATAGCTTAGAGGTTAGTCAATTATGGAAACATAATATGTTCAAACATTTCTAGCCAGTAAGGCTTCTACTATCTTTCAATTGATCTTGTTGTGGGTTTGGGAGCATATTGAAAGTTATCTAGTTCTCCAATCTCTTTTAGCTTTTAACTTCTGCCCAGATTGCTTGAGTCTTTCTAATGAATGCAGTAGTTCTCCAGTCAGCAAGGGATCTGGGAGAGTTACATAATCTTTCTATGTTTTCTCACTTTCAGGTTCTCCCAATTAAATCTCTGGCTGATCCATGCTTGCCCAATCCAGAAGTGTAACTTCAGGCTAGTAAAGCTGCAGGTTTCCCTAGTTTGTTTTCTTCCAACTTTGCCATCTTTAACTGACAAAACCATAAGTTTCCTTCCTGCTCTCCCAAGTTAATGCCACATCCCCTCTGGGAGTAAAACTGAGGCTTTTTTAGGTTAGACCCACCTGATAAAGCTATTTGTTTGCTTTTGGTAACTGACCTGAGGTGGGGGCGGACAAATGAATGCCAGCAGCCACAGGCAAAAAAGGCCACCAACTGCTATTGTTCTTAACCAAAGTTTCAGTAGTTTTTCAAGAAAAAACTTCTCAATTTGTCATCTGGCTTGATAGATTTTAAGAGCCCTGACATGATTGTATTTGTTCAGTTTGTGTGTGTGTGTATATATTTTTCTGCATATATATTTATATATATATTTTTTGCCCATATAATTATCTATATTTTGTGTATACATCTATATATACAGAAAATATGTATATATTGTATATATATCTATATGTATATATTGTGTATATATCTCTATATATGCACAATATTGTGTATATCTCTCTCTATATGTATATATTGTGTATATATACACAAAATATTTTGTGTACATATCTGTATATACATAAAATACGTATATATTGTATATATCTATATGTATATATTGTGTGTATATCTATATACACAAAATATATAATACAATGTATAATAAATAAATATACACAAAAGTGAATATTAAAAAGTATATATATACTTTTTTGTGTGTGGGAAGGATTAATCAGCTTCCCACCACTATAGCTGTAAGTCCCTAATTGCCTGTTTTAAAGATAGCAATACGCTTTAATAAAAAGCTTTTTTTAAAGCTTTAAACGAAATTTTATTTTATTTTTTTACAGTTAGGAATACATTGTCTTTGGGGAATAATTCTATAACTATCACTGTGTTGGACTTTTGACAACATGAAATCTATTTCATCCAAAGGCTATAATGGTGCTCTTATCCTTAAATTTAAGAATGATAAAAATCAACAAGTTTAGAAAATATTTTTAAAGAAACACAGAGACTGGAACCCCCTGGCATATATGATGTAGACAGAGGTGGCAAATTCTCTGTTGATTATTTCCATTCATCTTTTTTTTTTTTTTTTTTTTTTTGAGACGGAGTCTCGCTCTGTCGCCCAGGCTGGAGTGCAGTGGTGCGATCTGGGCTCACTGCAAACTCTGCCTCCCGGGTTCATGCCTTTCTCCTGCCTCAGCCTCCCGAGTAGCTGGGACTACAGGCGCCTGCCACCACTCCCGGCTATTTTTTTGTATTTTTAGTAGAGATGAGGTTTCACCGTGTTATCCAGGATGGTCTCTATCTCCTGATCTCGTGATCCACCCTCCTTGGCCTCCCAAAGTGCTGGGATTACAGGCGTGAGCCACCGTGCCTGGACTCCATTCATCTTTTAAAAGAACTTAATCCAAATCCAGCTTAGAAATCTTAAGTTTGAATGAGCAGGAAATAAAAGGGGGTGTGAGAAGCTGCTAAGGAAGAAGTGACAGTAATTTCCATGTCTCCTAACTCAATAAAAAATACCAATTGTATGCATACACATTAAATTTAAGTCTAGTTGTTAGTGGGTGAAAATATGAATGTTTTCTAAAACTAGGCTACATGCTTTATGGGTCAACGTTATGAAAGGAAAACACTTGTGAAAATAAGCCATACAGTAAAAAATCTATCTAGTCATTTAGAAATGGGTAAATATGTATCTTATCCACTCAACTATAGAAACATGGTATAATGAATGTAATTAGTAATAAGAATAAAATTGTCCTTAAATGTCTTTATGTGTGTGTTTAAAACCAGATAATATAGAGTTAAATAATGAGGCAATTGTCACACACACACACACACACACACACACACACACATTCATTGTGGGAGATGGAATTTTTCTTTTTATCCTCAATAGATTAATAAAAACATCATAATTTGAGTAACTTTTGTAGAGGCTTAATTGAGAACTTGATGGTATCCAATGGGTAGCCCAATAATTATTTATTTTTCTGAACCTAAATATCACTTACTATCTCATATTATTATATGTCTAATTTTTAAGTAAGAAACATTTTAGCTCTAGTAATCTGGGCAGTGATTTTTTACTTTTAGAAATGCATCTAATTTTCAATTGGATTGATGGGAAAATATTTTATATTATTTCCAAATATTTACTAGAGAAATTTTGTCTTCTCAAGAACTTATTTCTCTTTAGGTTTGAGATAATCTTTTCTATATGGTCTTATCAATTCAACTATTGGATCCTGCATCAATATTCTCTGTTCACCGGAAGGTTTTCAAGTATATTTGCCGAATAATCGATGAATATACCACTGTATTTATTAGAAGAAACTATACAAAATTGCCAATATTTGGCCATTTTTGACCTACAAAAATGTTAAGTTTGTAATGTTTAACGTAGAACATGTTAATGATGAGCAGGCAGCATTCCTACTTGGGTCTGTCAGGTTTTCATTCATTCAGAGGCTACAATGTCGTTCCTTACCCTTGTTTGTTTCTCATTTTCCTTTTCTCTCAAATTCTTATCTTTCACATGTAGCTTACCTTAGACCTGCTAAAATTACCCTTTTTTCCCCTAGGTATACATAGCTATAAATGAAATGATTCATTTACAATCTCACAATAGAAAAATCAAACCTTTACTTGAACATAATATGAATGTCTTAAGATTAATATATTCTGTGTATATTTGTAAAGCATCTTCTCTACTGAATTTCTTATTATGTATATAATGTGTATTTAAACCTGTGCTATCTATCTTACGTTTTACATTCCTTGGGGGAAGGCCTTCTTCTGTTGACTCAGTCTGCACAGTGACTACTACAATCAGTCAAGATCTTTGAGTGTCTACTAAATATCCAGGAACATACCAGGGCAATGTGTGTAGAGTTGACAGAGCTGCTTAGTGGAAGTAGAGAAGCGGTACCATGCAGTCCTGCCTCAGCCCCTGGAGTTTAAAATTTGTACGATCTAGTTGAGATAGAGTATGTAATGACATGAGAATATACACCCATAAAAAGTTGTTTTGGATGAGAAACATTTTTTGGAAATTTCTCCGGGATTGACTATTATGCGAATGTGGGTTTCTGGGAAGTTACAGAAAAGACGTTAGCATTTCTATTATGAAAAAGTCAGATTTCAAGGAAAAGGAAGCTTCTATTGTCCAGTAAACTCACTGACCACCATCTGGCTCTGTTCATTCAAAGAGTGATCCAAGCAGGGCAACCTGCTGGTTACGGCAAAGCTTGAAGCCCAGTGGGTTTCAGGGCCTTAGCAGGAGGTAAGCAGTCACAATTCACGTTCCCAGACACCTGAGGTCAAAGAGGGATATGTTCTGTCAATATCCTCTGGAAGATGCCCGCTGCCGTGGGGTCAGAGTAATGCTCTTGGAAGTTTGTGGTTTTCTTATAGACAATCAAAATTTAAAACAAGGCTGTGAAGGGGCAGATTTGGCTGTGAGAGACAGAAGATCAATGTGAAGCTTGATCTGATTGGAGGAATTTATGGTGTTCTCATTTTTACCATCTTAAAATTTGTGTGAGGGAATTTCACTTAATTTCTTGCTAGAAGAAATAATACATATGATAATGTCTATAAATATATGTGTGGTATACTGAAAACCATGAAATGTTGAGTTGGATGATGCATTTGAATTATAGTTTCATTTCTTGGTAACGCTGCACTTTAGGTGTCAGTAAATGTTTCTGAAGCTTAGTTTTCTCACACCTTTGAAAGGTCTTATTTACTTCGCTGAGTTGAGTGAGATCCTATGAGTTATTTATGTAAAAGACTGTGTAAGCAATGAGAGATATGTATGTTAGTCATCTTTAATACAGTCTAGAGAATTTACCAGGGGTTTGTAGAAAGTAGAATCAATGATCTGTTACTGTGCTCAAAAGTGGATGGCAATATTTTTCAGTTATACTGTTATAATTCTTGGTGGTATGAGAATGAAAATGTAGTTATTGTAGATCTGCTTAATTAGTTCATACTTTGACACTTCCCACTTTCCCTACCAACATCCACTGGAAAATTATAGTGATAGGATAAAACATCTTCTCATTGGTAATTGGAGCAGCACACAACATTAATTTAGTTTGGTTCAACTGAACATGTTTGAGGTTCTAATTTAGTGTCACAAGTTACATCAAGAGTGAGTCAGTATTTTGAATGGAGACATTGTACATACAAAAGTCCATTATTAAAATTCAAATAATGCAATGGTGGGAGGAATAGCAAAATAACCTGTGATCTGTAGATAATTAACACTTTATGCAAAAGAAATAAGGTTCAGGATGATATCATCCTTATAACTTAGACAAATTTTTACCATTTTATATAGTGTTTATTAACCTAAACCCTAATTTTTTGAACTCATTAAAATAGAATAATTTGATGATATTCTAATAAGATCATTTTCATTTTGAAAGAATAATACATAACAGCTTAATATAATTTTATCTTAACAGTTATCAGAGAAACATGGATCAATGGCAGCAACATCTAAAAGAGATTTTACTAATTAGAAAGAAAGAGAAAGTTTCATTTAAGTTTCTTCAATCCAAAGGTCTAATTCATAAACATTCTGTTACTTTTCTCATATATTCTCTCTAAGTGAGTAATAAAATTTTATAAGTTCAGCAAGCCTTAGAGCAATAATAATTAAAAATCTGAAGGTGTTAGGAAAACAACCAAAATCCAATTTAGTATGATATTGACTGAACATGATAAAACACATTTTTGTCAACACACTCAATGGAATAGCATAAAAGAAGTTCAGCTTAAAATTTCCTTATCTGTGAATTTTACTTCTGCTAGCCCTACTTCCCTTCTCTATTTCTCTTTCTGGCAAAAACACTTGGAATATTACCCATACCTGTTTCTCTCTTCATCTTCCATTTTTTTTCTTCATCCACTGCAGTGTGGTTACTGGTCTTACTATGCTAACTTTTATAGAATCAATATTTGCTGAGCACTGTGCTAAGCAAGTTATGTACATTATCATTCATTCCTTACAGCAGTCTAGGGGTAGATGTTAGAAATTCCATGTTTCTTATACTGAAATTACTCCAGAAATGGTCACTTTGTTAGTTAGGACCGCTTAATAACTAATGAGGGAAGCAAACTCAAACTGTCTTAAGTCAGTTTGAGTGCAGGATTTATGTTGGTTTCTGACAGGTCAGGAACCTCCCTTTCTCTCTCTTGAGGCAGCTGTTTGTGTGTTGTCTTCATTATGAAGCAGGAACTCTCCACTCAGTAGCAAATACAATATTAGATCTAAACTTACATTTTGCCAATTACCAATCAGTGAAAAGGGAGTGCCTAGATTCTAGAAACGGGTTCAGATCTGACTTTTATTGGTCAGTTGTGTGTTATGTCCTATCGATGAAAACACAGGAGACCTTTGTGACACAGGGCTAAGCAAAGTTTATTAAATAAGACAGCAAAACATGATCCACACAATAAAAGTTGGTGAATTGGAACTTTTGTTTTTCATTCTAGTTTACATCCATGCAGCATGATACTGATGAAAATTCATGCTTTGTTGTGACTTCCTCCTTCGACCCTACAATTTCAATTTAAGAACAGTTTTGTTTTTTTTTTTTTTTGGTGGGGCGGGGGATGCCAGCGGCTACCAGATGCTGGGAAGACATTAAGCAGAACAGAGTTATGTTCCATTTTCACCAACACTTGGTAAAGTCAGTTTTTAAATTTTAGCCATTCTTATAGGTGTGTAGTGGTTTTCCATTGTGGTCTTAATTTCCCTTTTCCTAATGATTAATGATATTAATCATATTTTCATGGGCTTATTTGACATCCATGTATCTTCTTTGGTAAAGGTCCATTCAGAGCTTTTTCCCATTAAAGATTGGGTTGTTTGGTTTTTTTTTAATGAGTTTTGAGGGTTCTTTATATAGCTCTTTTGTCAGATATTTTATTTGCAGAGATATTCTTTCAGTTTGCTGTTTTCATTTTTAACAGTGCCTTTGGAAGTTCTGTAGTTTTAGTTCTTACATTTAGGTCTATCACCCATTTTGAGTTGATTTTTGTATATGAGGCAATGTATGGATTGAAGTACTTTTTTCCCCACCCTTTGGCTATGGATATCCAATTGTTCCAGTACCATTTGTTGAAAAGACTATCCATTCTACACGGATTCCTTTACATCTCTGCAAAAAATATTGACCATTGTTATGAATTATTTCTCTCCTAATGCCATATGTTGAAGCCCTAACTCCCAACATGGTTGTTTTTGAAGGGAGGGTCTTTAAGGAGGTAATTAAGGTTAAAAGAGGTCATAAGGTCGGGACTCCCTGATCTAGTAGGCCTAGTATCCTTAGAAGAAGGGAAAGAGACACCAGAAAATTCTCTCTCCACTTGAGCATTGAGGAAAAGGCCATGTAAAGAAACAATGAGAAGGTGGCCACCTGCAAACCAGGAAGAGAAGCCTCACCAGAAACCAATGCTGCTGACCCCTTGATCTTGGACTTCCAGCCTCCAGCACTGTGATAAAGTAAATTTCTGTTGTTTAAGTCAGCTGATCTGTGGTACCTCGTTATGGCAGCTCTAGCTGACTAATGCAATCATACATGTATGGGTCTATTTCTGCACAGTCCATTGATCTATTTGTTTGTTTTAACACCAATCCCACCATGTCTTGATGATCGCAGCTTTATAGCAAGTCTTTATTTTAGGAAATGGAAGCCCCCAACTTTGTTATTATTTTTCAAGGTTGTTTCACTATTCTAGTTTCTTTGCATTTCTAAATACATTTTATACCACCTGCCTATTTTTAAAAGAGTGTTTAAATGAAGACAATTGTTAAGAGTTAAGATCTACATAGATGGAAACAAAGCCATTTTTTTTCCACATTTTCTTTTTTTTTTTCTTTTATTATTATACTTTAAGTTTTAGGGTACATGTGCACATTGTGCAGGTTAGTTACATATGTATACATGTGCCATGCTGGTGTGCTGCACCCACTAACTCGTCATCTAGCATTAGGTATATCTCCCAGTGCTATCCCTCCCCCCTCACCCCACCCCACAACAGTCCCCAGAGTGTGATGTTCCCCTTCCTGTGTCCATGTGATCTCAACAAAGCCATTTTTAAAGAAGATTTATAAAACTTATAATTTCAGGGTAAATTAGTGAAAGATCTGATTTTGATACTGTCTTTGTGTTCTTTAAGATAGTTCCCAGGCTATTACATCAATTTAATCAATTTTTTAAAAGTTTGTCATTAAGGAAAACAGACCTCTGAAATTTCAGCAGTAAAATTTTGACATGGGAATTGACCTTATTCTTGAGATATTCTTTATTGCCTCTGATTTTATGTATAGTGTTTATATTGCCTAGTATATTGTCTTGTTAACAGTTTATGCATTTTACTCCAATTATGTTCATTTGGTAACCTGATCTATTTTAAAACCTCACAAATTTTTGGTAGCAATAACCAGATCTATTTTTTACAATTGTATATGTGTATATAAACAAAATAGGCATACAGACTCTTTTTTTTTTTTTTCTTTGAGATGGAGTCTCACTCTGTCACCCAGGCTGGCATGCAGTGGTGCGATCTCAGCTCACTGCAACCTCTGGCTCCCGGGTTCAAGCGATTCTCTGCCTCAGCCTTCCGAGTAGCTGGGATTACAGGTGCCCGCCACCATGCCCGGCTAACTTTTGTATTTTTAGTGGAGATGGGGTTTCACCATCTTGGCCAGGCTGGCCTTCAACTCCTGACCTTGTGATCCACCCGCCTCAGCCTATAATAAAAAAATATGTAGTTAAAAAGTGCAAAAGATAGTGTCACAGTTGGGTTTTTTTTTCTTTTAGTAGAAAGTTTGATTCTTTTTCAGTTTATTGAAAACCTCAACAAAAAGAACATAAACAAGAAATATCATTGTCTTGTCTCCCTACTTCTTTTGGTTAGTAAGTTTCCAATTGTCCACCTTAAATAAAATACATTATAACGTGGAATTCAGGGTTTATTTGTCAGTTAGACTTGTATTGCTTATAAAACATAATATTATACTATTTCTTATAGATAGTATTTTAAATAGGTGCATACATTTTCTGTAAAATTAGAATAATGCAATATCAGTCCCCTGCATTTCTGATGATGAATGACCATGATGATGACCAAGGATGAAGACCTAATTGACTTAAGTAAAAATGAAGAATTTGGTAGAAAGCTATTGGCTTATGTCATGAAAGTAAAGGAAAAGTTGATTTAGGAAAAAAAGAAATCTGGGAGATTCCAGAGACTTGGCAGCAGCCATTTTTGGACTTCCTTCTGGAATACCTATCTCCAGGGATACCCAGATCCAGCAATTCCAAGGCTCTGCATATCTGTGTTCCTTAGTTGAAATGAGACAGAATATGATTGACTGCTTTGGTTGGGTCTGTACCTCTGGAGCAATCACCTATGGCTCAGGGAACAGGGTCACACAGAATAGATTTGCATCCTGATGACCTGCTTCTATGAATCAGGCTCATTCTCAAGAAGGGATGCATGTGATCTGGGCAGTCACCCAGAGTTATCTGTTACTGCAAGAGGCTTGAAGGAGATAAGTGACTGTGAGAAACACACATTTACCCATCCAAACCCGAAGAATTAACTCAGAGACATGAAGAACAGTGGAAGCAAGACTTTTAATGGTGGTCTTGCAAGATTGGGTGTCTGGTAGGCAGGCACACCTGGGGCAGTTACTGCAGGTAATTTACCTCCTAGCACGCAAGTCCCTCCCCTAGTTCCTCATTGGTTGAGCACTATGGGGTTACAATCCTCCCGGACATTGCCTAGGTCTCATTATCTTCCTTATAAAGTTATATCCTGGTCTCCTTCCCCGCTTAAGTTTGGATTTCCCAATAACGAAACTGTCTTCTATTTATGGGCTGACGTCTTCTCTACATTCTGTTTGCTTATTGTGACTTTCTAGAAGCATGAGCTGCGTGGTTTGTTACATCTGCAGGGAGGCTGCCAGTACATAGATTTATTATGCCTTGAAAATGGACCATTAGAAATGTTTTCTCACAGTAACTGGACCAGGGTCATGTTGCTCCCTCTGCCCTAGATGTGTGAACTTGGACACGACATTCAGCCTTCTCCAGGATTATCACCTCCTAGGGTAGGGCTCGAACCCTGGACCTGACCCTTCTGTTCACAGCCCTCAGAGCATTTCATTACAGTTACAGAATACTGCATAGTGTGTATTAACTTATAATCTACAAAGTTCTAATTCACTTGTATTATTATTCAATCCTTACAAAAATTATACAAGATACATATTTTACCCATTATTTTTTTAATCATGAGGACACAGACTTAGGGAAGTCACAGAGCTAGTGAACAGCAGAGTCTGAAGTCAATCCAATGCTCAGTTCAGAGCTCTTTTCACGGGTATATGGGCAAGGATTCAGTAGGGCAGTTTTTTGTGTACAATCTTTCAGAAAACATATTTTTGTGTGTATGTCTAAATAAAAAACCTGCCTAAAAATTCTGAAAAAAAATTCCTGTTACATGAGGCAAGTACTTCTTTGTATCTGGCTGGATCAGTCTAATTACCTTATAATGTGTTAATAGCTTATTTGCTACTAAAAGTGGCTTGTCCTTCCACCGGTTGGCAGTTCAGATATTTATACCATATCCTTACTTACTATAATATTCCCCTGAGAAAACGTTGGAATAGATTTTTTGTGTGCCTATTTTGTTTGCTGGTGTATTAACAGTTAAAAATATGACATTAAGAGGTAATAAGCATTTATTTAGTACTTACTACATTCCAGGAATATGCTAAACTTAAGGTTAGAAGGTGGAAAAGATATTCTGTGCAAATGGACACCAAAAGTAAGCAGGAGTAGCTATTCTTATATCAGACAAAACAAACTTTAAAGCAACAGCAGTTAAAAAAGATAAAGAGGGACGTCGTTATATATTAATAAAAAAACAGTTCAACAGGAAAATATCACAATTCTAAATATATTTGCACCTAACACTGTTGCTCCAAAATTTATAAAACAATTACTACTAGACCTAAAAAAATGAGATAGAGAGCAACACAATAATAGCGGGGGGCTTCAATACTCCACTGACAACACTAGACAGGTCTTCAAGACAGAAAGTCAACAAAGAAACAATGGACTTAAACTGTACCCTAGAAAAAATGGACCTAACAGGTATTTACAGAACATTCTACCCAACAACTGCAGAATATACATTCTATTCATTAGCACATGGAACATTCTCCATTCTCCAAGATAGACCATATGATAGGCCACAAAACAAGTGTCAACAAATTTAAGAAAATTGAAGTTATAGCAAGTACTCTGTCAGACCACAGTGGAATAAAATTGGAAACCAGCTCCAAAAGGAACCCTCAAAACCATGCAAAGACATGGAAATTAAATAACCTGCTCCTGAATGATCACTGGGTCAACAATGAAATCAAAATGGAAATTTTAAAATTTTTTGAACTTAATGATAATAGTGACACAGCCTATCAAAACCTCTGGGATACAGCAAAGGTGGTACTAAGAGGAAAGTTCATAGCCTTAAATGCCTCCATCCAAAAGTCTGAAAGAGCACAGACAATCTAAGGTCACACCTCAAGCAGATAGAAAAACAAGAACAAACCACACCCAAACCCAGCAGAAGAAAAGAAACAACCAAGATTAGAGCAGAACGAAATGAAATTGAAACAAAAAACATAAAAGATAAATGAAAGAAACAGCTGGTTCTTTGAAAAGATAAATAAAATTGATAGATCATTAGCAAGATTAACCATGAAAAGAGGAGCAAAGATGCAAATAAGCTCAATTAGAAACAAAATGGGAGACCGTACATCCAATACCACAGAAATACAAAAGTTCATTCAAGGCTACTATGAACACCTTTACATGCATAAACTAGAAAACCTAGAGGATATGGATAAATTCTTGAAAATATGCAACTCTCCTACATTAAACCAGGAAGAAATAGCAGCTCTGAACAGACCAATAAGAAACAGCGAGATTTAAATGGTAATTAAAAAGTTACCAAGAAAAAAAAGTCCAGGCCCAGACGGATTCATAGTTGAATCCTAGCAGACATCCAAAGAAGAATTGGTACCAATCCTATTGACACTATTCAACAAGATAGATAAAGAGGGAATCCTCCCTAAGTCATTCTTATGAAGCCAGCATCACCCTGATACCAAAACAAGGAAAGGACATAATAAAAAAAGAAAACTACAGACCATATCCCTGATGAACACAGATGCAAAAATCTTCAACAAATTATTAGCTAACTGAATCCAACAGCACATAAAAAAGATAATCCACCATGATCAAGTGGGTTTCATACCAGGGTTGCAGGGATGATTTAACATCCCCAAGTCAATAAATGTGATATATCACATAACAAAATTAAAAACAAAAATCACATGGTCATCTCAATAGATGTAGAAAAAGCATTTGACGAAATCCAGTATCCCTTTAAGATTAAAATCCTCAGCAAAATCAGCATAGAACAGACATACCTTAAGGAAATAAAAGCCATCTATGACAAACCCAGAACCAACATTATGCTGAACGAAGAAAAATTGAAAGCATTCCCCCTGAAAACTGGAACAAGACAAGGATGCCCAGTTTCACCACTTCTATTCAACATAGTGTTGGAAGTCCTAGCCAGAGCACTCAGATAAGAGAATGAAATCAAGGGCATCCAAATTGGTAAAGAGGAAGTTAAACTGTTGCTGTTTGTGGATGACATGATCATATACCTGGAAAATCCAAAGACTCATCCCAAAAGCTCCTAGAACTGGTAAATGAATTCATCAATGTTTCAGAATACAAAATTAATGTACACAAATCAGTGGCTCTGATATATACCAACAGCAACCAAGCTGAGAATCAAGTCAAGAACTCAACCCCTTTGACAGTAGCTGCAAAAAAAAAAAAAAAAAATTCTTAGGAATATACTTAACCAGGGAGGCAAAAGGCGTCTATAGGAAATACTACAAAACACTGCAGAAAGACATCATAGATGACACAAACAAATCGAAATATATCCCATGCTCATGGATGGGTAGAGTCAATATTGTGAAAATGGGCATACTGCCAATAGCACTCTACAAATTCAGTGCAATTTCCATCAAAATACTACCATCATTCTTCACAGAACTAGAAAAAAACAATTCTAAAATTCATATCGGACCAAAATGGGCCTGCCTGCATAGCCAAAAGCAAGACTAAGTAAAAAGAACAAATCTGGAGGCATCACATTATCTGACTTCAAACTATCCTATAAGACCATAGTCACCAAAACAGCATGGTACTGGTATAAAAACAGGCATATAAACCAATGGAACAGAATGGAGAACCCAGAAATAAAACCAAATACATATAGTCAACTGATCTTTGACAAAGCAAACAGAAACATAAAGTGGGAAAAGGAGACCCTATTCAACAAATGGTGCTGGGATAATTGGCTAGCCACATGTAGAAGAATGAAACTGGTTCCTCTTCTCTCATCTTATAAAAAAATCAACTCAAGATAGATCAAAGACTTAAATTTAAGACCCAAAACCATAAAAATTCTGGAAGATAACATTAGAAAAACCCCTCTAGACATTGGATTAGGCAACGATTTCATGACCAAGAACCCGAAAGCAAATGCAACAAAAACAAAGATAGATGGAACTTAAACTAAAATGCTTCTGCACAGCAAAAGAAACAATCAGTAGAGTAAACAGACAACCTACAAAGTAGGAGAAAATCTTCACAATCTGTACTTCTAACAAAGGACTTATATCCAGAATCTATAAGGAACTCAAACAAATCAGCAAGAAAAATCAAACAATCCCATCAAAAAGTGGGCTAAGGACATGAATAGACAATTCTCAAAAGAAGATATACAAATGGCCAACAAACATAAGAAAAAAAATGCTCAGCATTACAAATTATCAGGGTAATGCAAATCAAAACTACTATGCGTTACTACCTTACTCCTGCAAGAATGGCATAATCAAAAAATTAAAAAAAAATAGATGTTGGCATAGATGTAGTGAAAAGGGAACACTTTTACATTGTTGGTGGGAATGTAAACTAGTAAAACCATTGTGGAAAACAGTGTGGAGATTCTTTAAATAACTAGAAGTAGAACTACCATTTGATCCAGCAATGCCACTACTAGGTATCTACCCCAGATGAAAGGATAGAAGTCATTATACAAAAAAGATACCTGCACATGCATGTTTATGGCAGCACAATCTGTAATTGCAAAAATATGGAACCAGCCCAAATGCCTATCAATCAAAGAATGGATAAAGAAAATGTGATATATATACACCAAGGAATAGTACTCAGCCATAAAAAAAAAGTGAAATAATGTCATTCGCAGCAATGTGGATGGAATTGGAGACCATTTTTCTAAGTGAAGTATCTCAGGAATGGAAAACCAAACACTGTATATTCTCACTCATATGTGGGAGCTAAGCTATGAGGATGTAAAAGCATGAGAATGATACAATGGACTCTGGGAATTTAGAGGAGAGGGTGGGAGGGAGGTTAGGGATGAAAGACTACACATTGGATACATTGTACACAGCTCGGGTGATGGGTGCACCAAAATCTCAGAAATCACCACTAAAGAACTTATTCATGTAATCAAACACTACTGGTTCCCCCCAAATCTACTGAAATAATAATAATAAAAAGATATGTGCACATTGCAAGTGGTAAAGGTAGGACTGAAACCCAGGCTTCTATATTCTATATTAAGCCATACCATATTGATATTCTCTTTTTTTTAAGATGGAGTCTCACTCTGTCACCCAGACTGAAGTGCAGTGGCATGATCTTGGCTCACTACAACCTCCACCTCCCAGGTTCAAGTGGTTCTCCTGCTTCTCAGCCTCCCAAGTAGCTGGGATTACAGGCACACGCCACCATGCCCTGCTAATTTTTGTATTTTTAGTAGAGATGGGGTTTAACCATGTTGGCCAGGCTGATCTTGAACTCCTGACCTCAAGTGAATCGCCTGCCTCAGCCTCCCAAATTGCTGGGAGTACAGGTTTGAGCCACCACACTGTAATGCTGTTCTTATTCCCAACAATGATTTTATTGCTTCACCAATAGAATGCAATTTCTACGTATAATTTCTTAATTGTGGTGAAGGATTTACACCCCTTATCCATCTTCTCTTGCCCAATCCCACTTGTGACTAATTGGACATATTTTCTATGATCGCATGATAAGAAGGTATAAGAAGGTATCTTAGTTTTAAGATACTTAGATATTAAGTATTTTAGTTTCCTAGAGCTTCTGTAACAATCACAACCTGGCTTGCTTAAAACAACAGATGTTTATTTTGTTATAGTTCAGGAGGCCAGAAGTCCAAAATCAGTTGTCATCAGTTGGTTCCTTTTGGAGGCTCTGAGGGAGAATATTCAGTCGAAATTTTGTTAGAAAAGCAGAATGTAGTAAGGAGTAATGGTTAAGTGACTCTATTAGCGATAATAAAATCCATAATTTATTTGCCCCTGCATTTCTTATAGAAGTGAATATTGGACCAGTGTTTTTTTATGGTAGATATTTGCTTTTCTGAAGGAAAGGCATAGATCCACAAAATATCTCGAGTTGTCTTCTGGCTGGATTTCTATGTCTTGAATGTAGCAAGAAGGGTTGAAATTCTGTGTAAGTAAAAGAAAAGAAGAGGTGTATGATTAAGGGCTGATTCTAGAAAAGAAAAATTGTAAACTCCAGCTTCATAGAACTATCTATATTTTTAAGTCTATATTTCAGGATTTATTTTGTATTATTACAATGTTCCAGTGGGACTTGATGTAAGTTCAGCCCAAGGTTCTTGCATGTATATTTTATTTCCATAGTAAGGAGATGAAAAAAGCAATAATGATGACAAGTGAATAAGGTCCAATAAAAGAGTCAGTGATATTTAGGTAAGGAGTGAATGAAATTTAAATGAGGGAAAAATATTCTTTAAGTGTAAAGTACCTTTGTTTTGTTGTATCCCAAACACTAATTGTTCAGAATAGAAGACATGGTCTGTGAGCCTTAATAATTCTCTGATTTTTATCATTCATACAGGTCTGACCTTGTAATATATTAGATAATAACTTCTGGTAAAATAAATGTCAAATCTTTCTGCTATAATCTCTCCTGCGCAAAAGCTATTGTTTTCCTTTATTTTCTTGTATTTTTGTTCTTCTTTTCTCATTAGAGTGGATATTAGGAAGCTCCCTTTGCAGTTGACAATAATAATACATTAATTTAGAATTCCCATTCGGTGCATACTGGTTGGGATATAGGATCTTAGGGCAACTTTCTGACTCTTGATTCTTTACAGAACAGAGAAAGCAGAGAAAGCAAATCTGCCTAAAATTCAAGTGAATCTCTGAATATATGTTTGTAAGAAGAGGTGGGTGAAGACAGCAGTAGTGTTCCTGCTATTACCACTCAGAGTTAGCATCTAGAACTTTCCATTGCCTCCTAGGACCACAAGGAGGATTTTAGGAGGGCAATAACCACCTTCTTCCAGCATTCTCCCTTATCTCTACCAAATCATTGCCAAGGAAGATAATGTTACTTTAAATGTTGTCCACCAATGCCTGTATTCTTTCACTGATTATTAAAAAACGTTTTTTGTAAGTACATTATACTCTCTGTAACTTTTCCTGAAAGAAGCAAAGGTTTAGGTCAATATATTTCACAATTGAAATTTATTATGTTATGTTACAGGCGTACCTGAGACATATCGAGGGTTTGATTTCAAACCACTGCAACAAAGTGAACATCATAATAAAGTTAGTCACACAAATTTTTTGGTTTCCCAGTGAATATAAATGTTATATTTATACTGTACTATAGTCTATGTAGTGTGTGGTAGTATTATATCTAAAAATGTACATACATTAATAAAAAATACTTGATTGCTAAAAATGCTAATGAACATCTGAGTCTTCAGTGAGTCATCATCTTTTTGCTGGTGGGTCTTGCCACAATGTTGGTGGCTGCTGAGGGATCAAAGTGATAATTGTTGAAGGCTGGGATGGCTCTGGCAATTTCTTAAAATCAGACAATAAATTTGCTCTATCAATTGACTCTTGCTTTTAAAAAATATTTCTCTATAGCATGTGATGCTGTTTGATAGCGTTTTACCCACAGTAGTAGAACTTCTTTCAAAATTAAAGTCAATGCTTTCAAACCCCGATGCTGCTTTACCAGCTAAGTTGGTGTAATATTCTAAATCCTTTGTTATTTTAACAGTGTTCACAGGATCTTCACCAGGAGTAGATTCATGTCAAGAAATCAATTTCTTTGCTCATATATGTGAAGCAACTTGTGTCTGTTAAAGTTTGATCTTGAGATTGCAGGAATTCAGTCAAAGCTTCAGGTTCCATTTCTAATTCTAGTTCTCTTGCTATTTCTACCACACCTGCAGTGACTTCCTCCACTGAGGTCTTGAACCCCTCAAAGCCTTCCATGAGGGTTGAAATCAACTTTTTTCAAACTCCGGATAATGTTGATATTTTGACTTCCTCCTATGAATCATGAATGTTTTAATGACATCTAGAATGGTAAATATCTTCAATTGACTTTGCCCAGATCCAGCACAGGAATTACTATCTTTGGCAGCTATAGCCTTATGAAATGTATTTCTTAAATCATAAGACTTGAAAGTCAAAATTACTTCTTGACTCATGGGTTAAAGAATGGATGTTGTGTTAGCAGGCATGAAAACAATATTAATCTTATACATCTCCATCATGGCTCTTGGGTGGCCACGTGCATTGTCAATAGCAGTAGTATTTTGAAAGGAATCTTTTTTTCTGAGCAGTAGGTTTCACTCCTAGGCTTATAATATTCAGCAAACTGTGCTGTCATTCAGATTGTGTTGTTCCATTTCTAGAGCCCAGCAAGAGTAGATGTAGCATAATTCTTAAGAACCATCAGATTGTCAGAATGGTAAATGAGCATTGGCTTTAATTTAAAGTCATCAGCTGCATTAGTCCCTAACAAGAGAGTTAGACGGTTCCTTGAAGCTTTGAAGCCAGGTATTGACTTCCCTTCTTTAGCTATGAAAATCCTAGATGGCATCTTGTTTCAATAGATGACTCGTTTGTCTCTCTTGAAAATCTGTGGTTTGGTGTAGCCACCTTCATTAATGATTGTAGCTAGATTTTCTTCATAACTTGCTGTGGCTTCCACATCAGCATTTGCTTCTTTACCTTGTAGTTTTGTTAGCAGTGGTGAATCTGTATGGGTCTTCAGCAAACTCAATGCTTGCCTCCTCAGAAGAAAGAATTTGACCAAGGAGCATAAGGCAGAGGGAGAGATCGAGGCAAGTTTTAGAGCAGATCTGAAATTTTATTAAAAAATTTTAGAGCAGGAATGAAAGGAAGCAGAGTACACTTGTAAGGGGCCCAAGCGGGTGACTTGAGAGACTCAAGTGTGCAGTTTGACCTTTGACTTAGGGTTTTATATGTTGGCATACTTCTGGGGTCTTGTGTCTCTTCTCTCCTGATTCTTTTCTCGGGTTGGGCTGTCCACATGTGCAGTGGCCTGTCAGCACTTAGGAAGGGCTGTATGTGCAGTGTAATTATTGGAGTTGTATGTATGCTCACTTGAGGCATTCTTCCCTCACCAGTCAAGTGTTCCTAGAAGGTCATATACCAGTTAAACTCTGCCATTTTTCCTTTTAGTACACATGCTGGAGCCCACTCACCCAATTCCTGAGACCTTATCAGGAAGCAGGTGATCACTAGCTTCAGGTGTTTTCTATCTACCTGGAGACGGCCTTTTTCTGGTGCCAGCTGTGACCAATTATTATCTTAGCGAGACAGTTTAACAACCACCCAACCATCACCTGATGATTGCCTGACATTCCTGGTGAGTGGAGAGCCCTCTCCTGCCTTATTCTTGTCTATTTACTGTAACTCTTTTATGCTATGGAGACAGCTTCTTTCCTTAAACCTCATGTAACAACCTCTGCTAGCTTCTGACTTTTCTTCAGTTGCTTCCTCACCTCTCTCAGCCTTCATAGAACTGAAAAGAGTTAGGGCTTTGCTCTGGATTAGGCTTTGGCTTAAGACAAAGTTGTTGCTGGTTTGATCTATTTGGACCACTCACGCTTTCTCCCTGTCAGCAATAAGGCTGTTTTGCTTTCTTGTCATTTGTGCGTTCACTGGAGTAGCAGCTTTAATGTTCTCAAAGAATTTTTCCTTTTCATTTACAGCTTGGCTAACTATTTGGCACAAGAAGTCTAGCTTTTGGCCTATCTCAGCTTTAGATATGCCTTCTTCACTAAGCTTAATTTTTTTCTAGGTTTTCATTTAAAGTGAGAGATATGCGACTCTTCCTTTCACTTGAACACTTAGATGCCATGGGACGGTTATTAATTGGTTTAATTTCAATATGGTTGTGTCTCAGGGAATAAGGAGGCTAGAGGAGAGGGAGAGAGATGGGAAACGATTAGTCAGTGGAGCATTCAGAACACACACAACCTTTATTGATTAAGTTTGCTGTCATATGGGTATGGTTTGTGGTGCCTCAAAACAATTAAAGTAACATCAAAGATCAGTGATCATAGATCACCATAGCAGATATAATAATAATGAAAAGGTCTGAACTATTGTGAGAATATTGTGAGGATTACCAAAATGTGACACAGAGACGTGAAGTGAACACACACCCTTGGGAAAATGGCACTGATAGGTTTTCTCAGTGTAGGGTTGCTGCAAACCTTCAATGTGTGAAAAAACACGATATCTGGGAAGTGCGATAAAGGGATATACAATTAAGTGAAGTATGCCTGTATAATAGAATGTTTTTGAGTTCTGAATTATAAACTACATTTGGATGTTAAATTATGTGGTCACCTCACTTCTCTCCCTTTGATGCTTCCTGTTATTAATTGGTCAAATATTTGCTGTGAGCCTCCTGGGCCACACATGTGATTTAAGTTGGTCACTTAAGTTATTAGCATTAATATGGGCATTTTATCTTTAAGATACTTCTAATATGTTGACATACAGTTTTTAACCTGGGGTAGAGACTATATCTTTTTAAAAATGAGCTCTGGGTAGGTACAGTGGCTCACATTTGTAATCCCAGCACTTTGGGAGACCCAGGTGGGAGGACCACTTGAGGTCAGGAGTTCGAGACCAGCCTGGACAATATGGTGAAACCCCATCTCTATTAAAAATACAAAAATTAGCTGGGTGTGTTGGTGCACGCCTATAATCCCAGCTGCTTGGGAGGCTGAGGTACGAGAATCACTTGAACCTGGGAGGTGGAGGTTGCAGTGAGCTGAGATTGTACCGCTGCACTCCAGCCTGGACGACAGGGCAAGACTCTGTCTCAAAAATAAATAAACAATAAAAATGAGCTCTGTCTTCCAATTAAAAAGAAGACTATATCAGAAATGTCCATTCCTGGACATGTGTAATATGTAGAAGGAAACAGACTGTAACAGCAAGGAAATGAAGTAGAAGGTTCAGTGCTTGAAGGAAATGTGTAGTTGGTTAGACTGAAAGAGTTCTCCAGAAGAGTCATTCCACTAGATGGTAGCAATTGAGCTCCTCAGGTGGTCACAGTTTTGTACTAAGGGTCATGGATCTCTGTGGAAAGTGTAGATAAAAGCTAAATTTGATGCACACTGCTACAGAAATAAGGAATAAACACTTAGAAAATTTTGTAGCAATTTGACATTTCTATGACATTCAAGCTTGGGATCAGTGGCCTTGTTCCATAGATCATGTATAGACTGGATAGTGTGTTGTCAGACTTGCATGTGTGCATTGTGAACCAGCCATGCACAGTACAACTACATAGAGGTTTGTGACAGAGTTGAAATAATAATTAAAAAATACTGGTTCTTTCCCACAAATAGTTGGAGAGCAGTGATGTGGGTGATATTGTCTCTGTTTTGCAAGATAAACCAAAGCCTTGAAACCCACAGGTGAAGTAAGTGGCTTGCAGAACACCTCCAAAAGAATTGTCAATAAACCATTATGTAAATAGAATGCAAAAGTGCTCATTGAATTACTAGAAAAGAGGGAATGAAGAAATCTGATTCTTTGCCAAAAAGCAAATGACAATAGTCTGGAAGAGAAGGATCATAAAGTTTATGCTCCAAGTGCGAAATTCCATAAATTGTATTTAGTGACTATTTAGTATTATAAAATACTTTGAAATTGACACAGAAAGTGCCACACTTAGTTAACTCCTAGGTCTTTCAGCTAAAAGAGTACTGACCTTGCTCTCTTCAGCACTGACTAGCCGAAAACGTGTGGGATAATTGGCTGATGCCAATGCTCATGGTAGACATAAATGTGTCTTCTTGTTTTCCAAGCTGGCTGGCATTTTCCTACCCAGCAAAAGGCACACTGTGGAGGTCCTGTGAATTGACTGCAGAAATTGTTTACAGTAGTCAGTTTGGTAACCTTGAAACCAGGCATATTTCTCTGGTAAGAGAAACATTAAGTTTTGACACTTAGTGACTACATTGGAACAATGCAGACATTGCTTCTCTAGCAAACCAAGAGAAAACTTTGTGCTTCTCTAGGGCCCATTTAATCACTTTGTACCATATTAAAGTACACTGATTGCATATCTCAAATGTTTCTTTCTACACCCCTCATGTTTCAATGTAGAAGACATATTTCTATATTTTCCTTCTAATATTTTCTCTTAGCATTAGAATGTAAACTCATGAACAAAAGTTGTATATTTTATTTCTTTTACTTCATACTTTGAAAAATTGTACAATGAATTATTTACTAGGCACTTAATATGTGTTTCTTGTAACCATGGAATTATCAATGCATCATTAATACAGCACAAAGAACTGTGGGCATAGCTTAGCCTTCAAGGCTTAACACTGCTAGTTGCTGGTAATGTGACCTTGGGCTGTATTTAACCTCCTCTAAACTTTAATTTTCTCATTATGAAAATGTATAACAATTCCTGCCCTGCTTAACAAAAGATTGCTTGAAAAGTCAAGTTACTTCATATGAAAATGGTTTTAAAATTATAAAATATTAAGGAATAAAAATATGGCAGAAGCTTGATCATAATTTCGTAATGCCTCAGCTAAAGAAATGAAGTTAAACCATTCTATTCCAAATACACTAGAGCTAAAATTTGAATGTAATTGATTAAAACAAATACAAACCAAAACAAAAATGATTCACATAAACTTTGCTAAACTTCTTTATTTCAGGGTGTATTACTCAGGGTTCTCTATGGGGACAGCACTAATAGGATAGATGTGTACATGAAGGGAACTTATTAAGGAGTATTGACTCACACGATCACAAGAGGAAGTCCCACAATAGGCCATTTGCAAGCTGACGAGCAAGGAAACCAGTCTGCCTCCCAAAACGTCAAAAGCAGGGTAGCCGACAGTGCAGCTTTCAGTCTGTGGATGAAGGACTGAGAGCCCCTGGCAAACCACTGGTGTAAGTCCAAGAGTCCAAAAGCTCAAGAATTTGGAGTCCGATGTTTGAGGGCGGGAAGCATCCAGCACGGGAGAGATGGAGGCCAGAAGACTCACGTTCCTTCCACGTTCCTCTGACTGCTTTATCCTAGCAGCGCTGGAGCTGATTAGATGGTGCCCACTCACATTGAGGGTGGGTCTGCCTCTCCCAGTCCGCTGCCTCAAATGTTAATCTCCTTTGGCAACACCCTCTCAGAAACACCCAGGAACAATACTTTGCATCCTTCAATCCAATCAAGTTGACACTCTATATTAACCGTCACACAGGGTTGGGAGGTATTTTTTTCTTCTTTTGAGATGGAGATCCTAAAGCAGGATATTTGATATTCCTGCTTGTTGTAGTATATGTTATAAAACATTTCAGCATGAAAGTAATGAGAAGAGGCCAGGCGAGGTGGCTTATGTCTGTAATCCCAGCACTTTGGAAGGCCGAGGCAGGCAGATCACCTGAGGTCAGGAGTTCGAGACTAGACTGGCCAACATGGTGAAGCCTTGTCTCTACTAAAAATACAAAAATTAGCCGAGTGTGGTGGCACGTGCCTGTAATCCCAGCTACTCTAGAGGTGGAGGCAGGAGAACTGCTTGAACCTGGGAGGTAGAGGTTGCAGTGAGCCAAGATCCCTCCATTGCACTCCAGCCTGGGCGACAAGAGCAAAACTCTGTGTCAGAAAAAAGAAAGTAATGAGAAGAACTCTCTCATCTTGGGTCATAGTGGGATTGAATACAATGAACCCTCTTCAATAGAACCCTCTTCAAGCACTGAAATAGAAATAATAAACATAATTTTTTGGACAGCAGAATAAAATTCTTTCTAGTGTAATTATAGCATCTATCTTAAAGGGGAGTTGGGAGATTAAAAGAGAAACAATATTTATGAACCAGTTTGAGTTCCTTTAGCAAGAGACACTTTAGCAAGTCTATAGTGAGAATATATAACTTTTTATGAGTAATTTTGGCAAAAAATTTGAACTTTGGTATAGCTTACATAAGAAATCAGCAGTAATCATCACAGTGATAGTTTTAAAATGCCTCTTCCCATTTCCAATCTTGTAAAACTCTAGCATTTCAAGGGAAAAGAGATATTTACATGTGCTTAAAATACATGTGATGTTCTTAATCAAACACAAAAGCAGAGGGTTCCATTTCTTTAAGGAAGAATATTCAGAAATGCTGCCTTCCGAATATAACTTTATATTTTGCTGTCTAAAGATAAGGAAATGTGCCTTTTGTGGAAATCAGATGATATGTATTAAAAAAGCCCACACAAAGCAATATAATAAAATTTTGTGGCAGACAATAAGATCATAATAAAAAGTGGAGATATATTTTACTCCTATCACTGTCTGTAACACTAAAATGAGCTAATTTTGAGCATGTTCTTAATTTAGGATCTGCAATAATGGAAAATGATACTCATTCCTACAACAAAAACTCTAGCTGTAAAAAAACTTACATAAAAATAAAACTCCCAATTCAAATGTCGAACCCAGGAACTATGTTATTCCTTGGATTTGGAAATATGGTGTTCTTATTAGTGGATGTTTTCGTTAACTAAATTTTAACTTTGGGCAAGCAAGGACGATTAGTTGTGCATTTTTGAGAAACAAAAAGAAAAAGGGAGGGAGGAAGGAGAGAGAGATAGAGAAAGACTTAACACTTGGCATGAAGTTAAACTTTCAGAGGCTTCTGTTTGATGATCAGGCTTATCCCTAACCGACCCATGTTCCCTGTCATATTACCAGGCCATTGCTTCTGGGTTTGTCCTTACCCTGTTGCTTCAGAGGCCTTGATTCCACTTTATTCTATTACTTTTTAAAAAATATAAAGTATATGAAAAAATGTGCGCCAGATGAGCTATCTAGAATAAGACTGTGAACAAAATCTTTGTGCCATACAGAACCTAAAGGAATATTTATTAATGGATTTCTTTAAATATGTCATAAAGTTTGAATTTTCATTTCTATTTTTAGGCAAGGCAGGACCCAATCATTAAAAAACGAGCCATCCGACACAAACGAAGGTTTTCCTGCGAAGAGGTAGCAACTGAATAAATATTTGAACTCAAATGAGATTAATCAGCCATTAGGTCATGAAAACGGAAAACATCTCAAAGACCTAAAATAAATCCCTGAGATAAACAAAAACAACAAAAACTATGTTAAGCTGTTTATTTCTCAGTACGATGCACTCAGAGTCCATGGACAATGAAAATAATTATTTAATAAAACCTCTGAAGCTTAATGAAGGTAAAAGACCCGTGTATAAGCAAGTGATGAAACGATGGGGAAGGCATTTTTGAAATCATCTCTTGAGGTCTCATTGTTGTTTAAAGATGCTGAAATTCTTAGTCTATAGAAATTTGTAATGGAGTTTAAAACAGCATAACTGAGTCTAGAATAGATATTACCATAGCTTTGATAGGATTGTTTTCACTTTTATAGAAAAGTGTTTTAAAATGTTATATGTAATCACCTGGACCCAAAGGAACACTTGCTACCTAATTGGCCTTATTTGTTAAAGAATGATTCAAAGGAAAAGCTTTATGTTTCATGACTTAGGAATAATCTCATATGTCACAAACATCTTCTGCATGGCACATATCATTACCTGTTAGTGCCAAAGAGATCACTACAGCAATATGCATGTGTTTTGAGAAACACTGCTAAGAATTCATCCGTGGAATGGAGCTGAGAGTCACTCTGTCTGCAGTTAGAAATCTCAGGTTGTGAGAAAATAGAGGCTTCATCTGGTATACATACATCAGCAGATGTCTATTGAGGGGTGCTGTTTTGAAGTTCAGCAGATGCACATCTATAAACAGAGTACATGTACACACTTTTTTTGGCTAATGCTTTTCTAATATTTCTCTTTCTTCTGAAATTGTGTTGGCTTATGGAATCTTTGACAATTTCTGGGAGGGAGAGAAAATTCTTTCCTGGAGTATATAATTTTTGATGTAAGCCAAGAAGTGAGGATGCAAAGATAAAAACTGGGCTCTCCTGACAGTTCTGGAAAGGCTAGGCAAACTATTAAGACAGCAGATCTGTGTCCTTGAAAATAACTTCTATCCGTATAAGAGGAATGCATGTTTCTTTCTTCCTTAGTGTTTCTATGTTACCTAAAGTTGCCATCAAAACCATGCAATAATTTATGATGCTGCATTAAAATTGCGTGTTGCCTTTGTTTAAAAAAAACACTCATTATTTTAACTTTATAAAATCATAGGGTCAAGAGAAACAACAGTAAAACTATTTTTAAAGCACCTCTATTTTATTCTAGGGTTTAGTATAATACATGAAAAAAATGTCAATTTTTATTATTCCCTGCCTCAAGGTTTCTGCTGCATCCCTTTATCTTAGCTTAGATCCATACACAAAAAACAGGAATGTTTGTTTCTTTTTTTTTCCTTTTTGGAGGCAGAAAAATATTCAATATGTACTATAAGTATAATGAAAGGGGAAAATCATTTATACATTTGTTCAATACCATCATAAATCTGCTATGAAATGTTTGATGATTCAAATGCTTAATATTCTGTACAGTCAAGAAGAGAATTATACAGGTGCTATCTGGAACTATCTTTTTTGTATTTTGTTTGCTTTTCAATCTGATGTTGGTTTTCATCCACTTCTGATTCAATTTCCTTTAGCGCTTCTAGCCTTTTGTAGGAAATTGCTTTAAATGTTTCTATATGGGAATAAAATATATTTAAAATAACATTTATGCTCCAATTTAAAAGTAATACATTTCCATAACTTTGGAACAAACAGAAACCTTTAAAGAATAAAATTATAATTAGGCCTCTTTCACTATCCGGAGATAATCCTTGTTAGCATTTTGCCCTTTGGTCTTTTAAAGTTCATACGGAAAATATAAATCTATGTATAATATACATTTTTATTCATAGGAAATATAAAAATACATGTAATGTTACAAATTAGACTTGAGTTTATATTTACATATGTATATATTTAAAATTAAGTGAAAAAATAGGATTTTTTCACTTAATGTTATATTATTATGACGGATTAAAGATCCTTTGCCAATCCTTTTATTAAAAGAAAATCTTCAGCCAAATTAAATTTAAAGGAGTTTAATTGAGCAGTGAATGATTTGCGAAATCAGGCAGCCCCCAGAATCGCAGCAGATTCAGAAAGACTCCAGGGGTGTCTCATGGTCAGAACAAATTTATAGACAAAAAAGGTAAAGTGACGCACACAAATCAGAAGTGAGGTACAGAAACAGCTGGATTGGTTACAGCTTGGCGTCTGCCTTATTTGAACAGAGTTTGAACACTCAGCAGTGTATGACTGGTTGAAGTATGGTTGCTAGGATTGGCGCTGACTAAGGGATTGTTACAGGGCATACTCCTAAATTAGGTTTTCAATCTTGTCTACCTATTAAGTTAGGTTGCAGTTCATCCACAAGGACTCAAATATAGAAGTACCAAGTCCTTCTCAGGCCATATTTAGTTTGCTTTAACACTTCCATTGAGAAGCAATCTCTTTTCCCCTCCCTTGAAACAAGGTTGGCCCTGGGATTTAATTTGATGAATAAAACACAGCAGCCGAAGTGATGCTGTGTAATTTCTGAGACTAGGCCTTAAGAGATCAATGGCTTCTGCCTTTGCTGCTTAGAACAGTTCTTCTTGTGTTCTAGTCCCCATTCTTCCAGGGAGTGTAAGAAGCCACATGGAAAGGCTCATGGAAGATAACCCAGGTCCAGGCACATGAGGGTGGCCATTTTGGACCTTCCAGACATCCCAAAATTGTAGCCAAAATCATGCAAAACAGGAGAGTCACACAGTCAACCCATAGGACTGGGAGAAATAATAAACTGTTATAGTTTCAAGGCATTAGGTTTTGGAGTGATTTGTTATATAGCAACCTGACTGAAACAGAAATATTTTCATGCTGCTAAAATCTTTATAAACATAATTTTAATGGCTTCATAATATTGCATTAGATATACACACTATAATTTACTATTTTTCTAATGTTAGACATTTAAGGAATTCTTATTCTTTTCTATTATAAAAATGTTATAAAATAATATTTGTACATAGAAATCTGAGGATGGAATTGAGATCATTTCCTTGAGCTGGATCTCTGGAAAGGGTATTATTGCTTCAAATAATGTCAACCTTTATAGGACCATTGGTAAAGCTTTCTAAATTGCTAAGTGGCTTCTGCTATATCTCTCTTTCCTTTTTCTTTCTTTTTTGTTTTTGTATTTCCTTCAGGAACTTGTTCTACATAATTTGTGCTTTGTGCAGTAAATTGAAGTTTTCTCTGTGGGCTGGTCATGGTCTATTTTTGTAAACATCTGATTTATGGAAGCATTTTCTATATCTGGGTTACAAAGTTCAGTATTTATTAATGTAACTTTGTTATATAGTTCAATTCTTCCTTGCCCTTATTTATTTTTTATTCAATTGATTTTTCAAAGATGGATAGTAGTGTGTTAAAATATCTCATGATTGTATAACTGTCATTTCTACTTTCACTTGTTATAGTTTTTTTGCTATATATTTTGATGTCATGTTATTTTTTGCAAAAGATTCATGCCTCTGTCTCATTCATCCATTCACCATTTATCAAATGCTGGAGATAAAAAGGTAAAAAGACACAGTCACTCCTCTAGAAGAACTACAGAGTTGTGGGGAACCCCACCAAGACAAATGATGTCAGTTGAGAGGGTTGCAAGAAAGGTGAGGGGGTTAGGCAGAAACCTAAACCAGGTTGGATGGAGAGAGGAGAGCTCCTGGAGGAAGTATCACCTAGTGGAGACATTGCCTTCTTATGAGTTGCATCATTTCGTCAAAGTGATTCTCTGACTTGTTTCATTATTTCTTCTTGAATTGTACTTCATTTCACAATTTTACCACTATATTTCCATTTTTTTGTATGCTGCATATAATTGGATTTTCTTATAAAATTTAACCTGAGGGTATGACTTTTAGTAAAACAAATACTGAGCTCCTACTGTTACCGGTGGAGGGTGTCCAGGTTCCTGGCGTCTTGAACAAATAATTGGATAAAACGCACAAACAAGGCAAGGAAGGAATGAAGAAATTTATTGAAAATGAAAGTACACTCCACAGTGTGGGAGCGGGCCCGAGCATAGGGGCTCAAGGGCCCCGTAAACAGAATTTTTGGGGGTTTAAATGCCCTCTAGAGGTTTTCAATAGTTACTTGGTGCATGCCTTATGGAGAGGATATTTCCTGTCATAGCTGAAGTGTGAGTCGGCCATATGTTCCCTGCCTCCAGACCCTATTTTCCTGCCTGACTGCTATGTGCCAGGTGCCTGGCTAAGCCTGGGCATAAAGGACAACTGCTCCTCAAGGAGCTTGCAGTTCACTGCAGGAGTGGCAAATAAAGAAACTGACAAAGCACAAATGAAGCCCAAAGGAAAGGTTCCTAGTCTAGACATAGTCTTAAACCCTGAGAGATAAGTAGGAGTGATGAACTAGATGAGGCAGGCAGACAGAGATGGGTGTTGGGTAGACAGGACACAGCATGTCCTCTGGCCAAGAGCTGAGAGAGCACGTGATCTGTTTCAGAAACCACAAGTACATAGTCCCCCCTTACCCACAGGGATACATTCCAAGACCCCCAGTGGATGCCTGAAACCATGGATAATATCGAACTCTATATATACTATGCTTTTTTCCTATACATACATATTTATGATAAAGTTTAATTTATAAATTAGGCACAGTGAGAGATTAAAAACAACAGTAATGAAATAGAACAATTATAACAATATGCCAGCATTGCTACTCTTGTGCTTTGGGGCCATTATTAAGTCAAATGAGGTTTACATGAGCATGCGCACTGCAATACTGCAACGGTTGATCTGATCACTGAGTTGGCTGCTGAGTAATAAATGGGTGGGGACCTGAGGCAGCATGGAGACACCGACACAGGGATAATTCCCGTCCCAGGTGGGATGCAGTGGGATGGCATGAGAATTCATTATGCTACTCAGGACGATGTGCAATTTAAAACTTAGGAATTGTTTATTTCTGGAATTTTCCACTTAATATTTTCAGATTGTGGTTGATCGTGGGAAACTGAAGCCTGTAAAGCAAAAGTGGATTGCAGGGGACCACTATAGTTCAGCATGGGGGATCACTGGGGCTGAAAGACAACAGGAGTGAGCGGTGGGAGTTGTGAGATGGAGGTAAAAGATGGGGGCAGATCATGATGGACCCCAAAGGAGGTTTAACTTTAAGTTGGTGAGTGGCACGACTGGATTAGCTTTTGAGTGGCTCCTTTAGCGATAGTGTCTTCTGCCTAACAGCTCTGATTCCTGCTCTTCATCCTGACTAGTACTGACTACTGCTATGAGATACTATGCTAGTACAGTAGCAATTTCTACTACTGTGTAACTCAACTTACTTTTAATTTTGACTTGCCCACGGCACCTTTCAGCGCAGCTTCTCCATTTTAGTTACCGCTCCTGAGGGCCTGAATACTTCTGTAATTTCAAATTACAATGTCAGAGATCAAGAATCAGATCGATTCAGATCGTTCTCACGAGAATAGAGCTTTTTTGCTGTTGTTATCACTAGAATATCTCACGGAGCACCAGATGTTCTCGTGCATTAATGGGCTATTGCGTCCTGGCCCTCAGTTTCAAATCCCTTGTCAAATACGTTCCTGGATGCCCACTTCTGTACTCATAACTTCTTAGGAGACATAGGAGAGAGAACATTAGGGCACGTAAGAATCTCAGGGGATTTTATTGAAAACTTTTTGAAGGTTAGCAAACATTGAAACAGGTTATACCCAAACTTAAGCTCAAGTAAGGAAACTTATAAAAATTTTTACATTACCCTACCTATGTCCATGATATCTTATCTCATGTTCTTCCAATGATCCCCACTGCCAACTCCATGACCACTCACATTTCACAGTGGACAGTTATAGCCATTGGCAAAAGACATAGGGTGGGAGAACTCTGATATTTGCTTTTTCAGGGGTCTTATGTAGTATATTTTTTCATTCATCATTATATAATGATTATTTCACCAATTTAGACAGCTAAATTAACGATGTCACCAACTATTCAGAACACCCAGGACCTCTGCCATAACGTATCATCACTCCTTACATTACGTATCAAAGAGTTCAAATTGCCTATTTTTGCATATCAAACACAGTCAAATTAAGTCAATAGGGCCTCAAACCACTACAGAGGAAAAAGGCAAAGTCTAGGAAAGGGCATTATAGGCCACTGAGCTGGAAAAATAAAGAAAAATCGTTAGAGAAGTTAAAGAAGACAATAAAAGGAAAGACATCCAGTGTTCACAAATTGGAAGATTTATTATTAAGATAGTGATGAACTACAGATTCAAGGTGAACTACAGATTCAATGCAGTCTCTATTAAAATCCCATTGATAATTTTGAAGAAATAGAAAAATCCATCCTAAAGGTCATAATGGAATCTCAAAGGACCCCAAGTAGCCAAAACAATCTTGAAAAAGAAGAACAAAATTGGAGGTCTCACACTTCCTGATTTCAAAACTTACTACAAAGCTACAGTAATCAAATTAGTTTGGTACTGCCATAAAGACAGACATATAAACCAATGGAATAAAATGGAGGGCCCAAAAACAAACCCTCACATATACAGTAAATGATTTTTCAACAAGGTTGTTAAGACCATTCAGTGGGGGGAAAGACAGTCTTTCAACAAATAGTGTTATCCAGCAATTCCATTTCTGGATTGTATCCAAAAGGATAGAAAATAGGAACTTGAAGAGATTTTGGTGTACCCATGTTCATAGTGGCATTATTAACAATAGCCAAAACATGAAAGCAACTGAAGTCATCATTAATAAATGAAAGGATAAACAGAATGTGGCAAATTCATGCAACGGACTACTGTTCAGTCTTTAAAAAGGAAAGAAATTCTGACACTTGCTACATCATGGATGAAATTTTTTTGTTGATGTTGGTCAAATGGTATGTCCTTTTAATTTAAATTTAATTTAATGTAATCAATTTTTAAAAACTTTTATTTTAGAATCAGGGGGTCCATAAGAAGGTTTTTTACAAAGGTATATTGCGTGATGCCAAGGTTTGCAGTACAAATGAGTCTGTCACTCAGGTAGGGGGCACAATACCAAATAGATAGGCTTTCAACTCTTGCCCCACTTTCTCCCTCCCTCTTCTTGTACTCCCCAGTGCTTATTGTTCCTATCTTTATGTCCATGTGTACCCAATATTTAGCTCCTACTTATAAATGAGAACACATGGTATTTATTTTTCTGAGTTAGTTCACTGAGGATAATGGCTTCTAGCTGCATACAACGCGGACGAACTTTGAGGCCATCATGCTAAGTGAAATAAGCCATTCACAAAAGGGCAAACACAGCAATGATTCCACGTATATGAAGTATCTAGAGTAATCAAATCCCTAGAGACAGAAAGTAGAATGGTGGTGGCCAGGGGCTTGGAGGAGGGGGTAGGAGTTATTGTTTAACTGGTACAGAGTTTCAGTTTTGCAAGATGAAAAGAGTTCTGTGGATGAATGGTGATGATGGTCGTACAATGTGAATGTCACTGAAATTTACAGTTAAAATGGTTAAGATAGTAAATTTTAAGTTATGTATGTTGTACATACATACATTTCAAAAAAGATATTAGACTAAACTCAAGGTCTTTGAGATTTGGGATGAATTTTAGATCCATGGTTATGACAGAGAATAAGGGAAAGTGGGAAATTAAATTTTTTTCTTACCATTCTACATGGCCCACAGTAAAGATCTATAGAACATTAAACTTTTCTATGATTAAGATTAGCCCTTTGCAACAAACAGACAGTAACACGATTAAATAATGGGCGAGTCATGTGTTCTGCCAAGGACTATTCCTCATAGGATCTTAGGTAGGATATATCATCTTAGAAAAGAATGCTTTGTGTGTTTGGCACCAAGACAGGTGTGCTATGAAGAGGAAGTGTGTTTTAGGGTTGAGGGGAGAAAGGTGGAAGTTTAAAAGATGTATTTTAAGACAAATTGTGTTCAACATGGATATGTCAAACATGGCACATATTACTACGCTCACAGATGAGTGAGCATAGGAATAAGAAAAATCCATTCTCACTCTTTTTCAGTTACCGAGAGCCTCGGCGCATACATCCTTTTAGAATATTTTCTACCCTGAAAGGATATTTCTATTATTTATCTTTAATAAAAACTCTTAGTGTACATTAACTTTTAAAAAATGTAATAATATATTTGACTCTTTCTATGTTGGAAAAAATAATTCTTGAACATCACCATAATTGGTTTGTAGAATTCCACATGATAGAGGTGCACAATTTACCTAGTCAGTTCTCCATTATTGGACCTATAATTTACTTACACTTTCACAGGGAGCATGATACGATTTGCAGTTTTGAAACATCATGCCAGTAGCTTGCAGTCAAGTTTAACTCGGCCACTTCCTAGCCCAGCAACTTTGGGCAAACCACTTAACTTTCTGTCTCATTTTCCTTGTTATAAAGTAATAATAATAATGATAATTATAAATCTAATATTTATTGAAAGCTTATTATGCAGTAGGTATGGTGCCAAGTGCTTTTACATCCATTGTGTCTTTTATACATTAAACACAGGCAGTAGGTACTACTGTTATTACCATGCTAGAGATGAATGCTGACTTAGGTATCATGCCCAAGGTCATACATCTAGTAAAAGGGAGAGCCAGGACAGTACCTGCTTCAGAGTTTCCATGACGACTAAATGGGAAAATATATGCAAATGTATTTTTAAAAGTGATTTTTCCATGTAAACCCTGAGATGACTCCTGCCATTTTCATTGGGGAAATAAAATAGTGGCCGGAAGGTTTAGAGAGTTTTTTTTTTCTATTTTTAGAATAAAAACTAAATTCTGAAGCATGGTTCACATCACCAGTTTGCTTAAATACTAGGCAATCATTTCCTGTGGTTGCCAGGATTAAACACCAATACCTCACTGACAATTTCTAGTTTGACCTAATGGCTCTGACAATTCAACTCCGTCCCTCCCCATGCTATATGCCTCAGCCAGAGTGGGTTCCCTACAGTTTTCTTCTTTTAAATTTATTTTTTTTTGATGCATAATAGATGTACATAATTTTGGGATCCATGTGAGAATTTAATACATTCATATAATTTGTAAAGATCCAATCAGTGTGCTTGGGATGTCCATCACCTTAAACATTTGTCCTTTCTTTATGCTAGGACTATTTGAATTATCTTCTACTTATTACGAAATATACAATAGATGACTGTGAACTAGAATAACCCTACTGATCTCTTTAACTCTATGTCTTATTTCTTCTATCAAATCACATATTTGTATCCATTTATAAATTTCTTTTCATCTCCCTCTTCCCTACACTTTTCCGAACATATCAATTTGTCTTTCCTCATCATCTTAGCATGTTTTCCTCTGTGTCTGGAATATTCTCCACCAGTCTCTAATTATTGATATTCTTTGAAATGATCTCAAGTGCCAATGTAGCCATGAAATCCTAATATTTACAAATGAATATACATTTCCACTTCTGCTGTTCTGAATTGACGCTCACCTTACTGTGCCTTTTATTGTGAACATTCATTTCCTGGTGTGTAGGTGCTTAAAAGCCAGGATTAATGTACCAGCCATTTGGCATCTCTTTCAGAACCTGAGATTTAAAGAACTGGAAGAAAGCCAATGTGTGGGGATGTGTGTACGTGCACACATGTGGGAGTTCTGAGGGAGCGATGGATCATTTCGTTAATTTCTTTCAACAGCACCCAAACAAATTATTAGATATCTGCCTTGTGAATTTTGCCTTAGGAATGTTGTTCCTTTCAACGAGAGAAATTGAAACCAGAAAATACCAGGTCAAATAGGAATAAGGAAAGTTACTGTCACTTAGATGTAATTAAAATCTAGCCTAACAGTGAGAGGAGGTTCCAGCTGGGCTTCCTGGGTTGATTAGGGGCTCAGAAAGCTGTGAAACTCACTCCTTTCCTGCATCAGGACTTACTTTGGTCCTGGATGAATAATATTAAAGATATGTGCTTAAAATAATATTCCTAACATCAAAACTTGGGCATGTGTTTTCTTCCCCCAAGAAAGCTATAAACAGCGAAACTTTTGCTGTAAGCTTCCCTGTGTCCTCGCTCCCTCTCTCCCTTGCCCCTTCCCTGAAACTAAAAGGAATGTTAAAAGCCCATTTTCCTGCGATCAGCAGACCTTATCTATGTCCCAATTCCAATTCCTTGTCAACACAATCTGTAAAGTCCTGTGAGATCCTGTCTCCTTTGCCATGCCGCTGCAAGGTCATAAAGCAGGTAAAAGTTAAGTTACCATGCCGGTTTTCCTCAAGATCTAAGACATCTTAATCGTCTTTGTTTCTTGCTCTGGTAACATCTTCCCACCTCGGGTATTTCCCGCCTTAAAGAGTTTAAAAGGTGATCAAAAGATCTAACACTGGCTACCCGCGGGGGACCCTTCCGCGCTGTGGAAGCTTCCTACCGTCACTCTGCTCAGTGAAGCCCACAGCCTTTTTCTCTCGGTCCGATCCGTGTCTCTGTCACCGCGGGCTGCCCTCACACCCAATCTTTGGCGTCGCTAAAGCAGGAACCTCCGGCGTGACGGGGGCACATACCACCCAGCCCGGCCTGGCCAGGCAATCGGACTCGATCTTCAGATGATCTTACAATTGGTCACAAATAGGGGTCCTGCGAGGAGAGAAAGCTTTGTCAAGCTGACGTCTCAATCCTGTTTTGAATGAATAGGCACAGGACGGACTCATTACGTCAGCACTGTGTAGGGCCGCAAGCTTCCTGCTCACCTACAGAGAATACATACTGCTGCCTTCCTCTTTGGCTTGCAATTTTACTCAAGGACACACACACACACACACACACACACACACACTCCCACACGCTGGCCTTTCTTTGACCTACTTGTCTCAGAAACCCCTTCTTCAGGAAAAAGTTTTTTCTGACTTTTGAAAATGTAGCCTAAGTAAGGGATGAGCAAGGCTTAGGCTTCTGCCAAAATGGCGGCTGTGGAGAGAAGTGGCCGGATATGGAAGGCTCCCCCTCTCCAGCGCTAGTCTCCAGCCGCCATCTTATTCAGGCCCTCGTTGGTTTCTCACCCAGATGACTGCAACAGCTTTCTCATTCGTCTCCTGTCTGATGCCTCCCTTTCCAACCAACCTGCACATGGCTACCAGACAGATATTTCTAAAATTCAAGCCTGAACGTAACACTCCGCTTTTGAAGTGGTCCAATAACGTTCCACTACTTTCAAAATAAAGTTCGTAATAAGTTTAGCATGCAAGCTTCTCCATTATCCAGCCCCTAGTTCTGGCTCCTGCATCATCTTTAGATATACGGAACCTCTAGCAGCGCTGGGATAGGGTCATGCCTTATGACGCTCTATGGCTTCCCGCATGTTCTTCCCTCTGCTCAGAATGACTTCCCACCACCTGTTTTCCTAATTAATGTGTACTCTACCATCACATCTCTGCTCAATATCACCTCCCTTGAAAGGAATCCTGGTGCTCCTAATCTGATTTACATACCCCTGGCTACCCAAGCAAGAGCTAAGATAATTACCTGACCCTTGTGCCTATCCCAATTCATTGTGAAATTCTTGAAGTCAGGGAGTATCTTGTTCCAATTTTGTACTGAATGAATTGCTAAGGTTCAATCATCAATGGAGATGTAGTTGATACTTATCAACTACAATATGTTAAATACAATTAAAATTTTATTATTCAGCATTAATTGATTATATGAAATAGATCTTGTAGTTTTTTAAATGTACAGCTTTGTTGTAAATAATTTACAGTTATTTTAAAAGTGTTAGCTGCTGTCTGGCTTGGTGATTCCCTGACTGCTCAATCCATTGTCCCTTTGTTGTAGACGTTGCTCCTTTGTTGACTGAGGCATTTTCCAGCCATCTGTTGGCACAAATGTTGGGCATCTTGGAAACAGGAGCTAATAATATAAAAACACAAGATAAATGATCACACTGAGAAATCACCGTATTTGCCTCCTATGCTGCTGTAAAATTAGTACCACCTGGGGAACTAAAGTGTTGCAAGTGAATCTTAAGCTCCATGAGCAAGTGATAATTTAGTAAGGGCTGTTTTCAAAAGAAAACACTTTGACAATAGAAAGTTTCTGTTGTCATTTAGGGTTATAGCCATTACAGGTAATTTTAAATATTCTCTACTGTTCATTTTTAATTAAGTAATTTGCACAAATTTGGAGAAAAATCTGACTAGCCTGATTAGATTCTTAGGATTACCAGTAGGGTTGTGAGAAGATGATTTCTGAATTGTGACTTTTGTTTTTAGTAAAAAAAAAAAAAAAGTGAGATCCCTGCTTATAGTTATTTTAACCAGTGTTGCAATGAGTGGCATGTAAATGATTTATTTTAAATAATTGATGGAAGAGCCAAGGAAATAAAAAAGGGTGGACCATTGGGGCAATATAAACTGAAAATAGTGAAACTTTGATATAGTAGAATCCCTCCATTTTGCCAGATAGATACACTTACTGAATTTTCATGTAAAATAAGTAAGAAATATTTTAATTTTAATTTCAAAATAAATGAGGTAATGAATTTAATAGAAATCTTAATAAATTTCTTCTGTTTGTGTAAAAAATAACTCATGTCAATATGCACAAAAATGTACATGTTATCTTCTCCCATGAAAAAATAGAAAATATACGAATAACATTTTTCAAAGGCCCTATTAAGAGAAAAAGAGAAATAACATAACATTAATAATGTTCTGTTGAAATAGAATAAGGTAATTTTGTAAAAGAACAAGTGTGGTTTTACTTGGGGAAATAAGAAATGACTGACGTCTTATTGAACCGATGGAATTTGAATAACATTAATACTGCATTATTCAAGAGATCAGTGTATCAGACGTCAGTTCACAATTCTAGGTGGATCACATTTGGCTAACCATTGATAAATGTCTCAAAATTAAGATTGTGACAAAATAATCACTTTTTAAAATTACACCATTTCATCTCTTTTGTTCATAGTTTTGCAACTTGATTAATGAAAAAATCATTTGCTTGGCATTCAAATTAAAGCTTCAAATACACATATTTGTGGAATATATATATATCTATATATCTCACATTAAAAAAACAAGGCATCAAACTATTGCATAGTTATAGTCTATATTGATAGCAAATTGTGGTCTGTAATTAAACCACAGGAAAAAAATGGAGAAATGTGATGTTTTAAGATGACACATAAAATGATATTTTGAATTCAGACAATGAGCGTTCTTATCAAAGAGGATTTTTTGTTCAACACTTCTTATAAACGTTGTCCTAATTTTTTTGTTCACTCAGATAATTAAATGCAATTGATATCTTTAGTTAAATACTGAATGTATTATAAAAATAATATTCAAGATGTTCTGAGTCATTTACAGAAAATGTTGTACCCTGTAAAACCAATAATTAATGGCAAGTTAAAATCAAGGAAAGCAGCTACTAATAACTTTACCATCAATATAAGATGATATTAAGTTATAACGCATGATGAGTCAGATCATATTTTATTAAAAATGAATAGTCTTTACACGTGAATAGTTTAGAGATAGCGAGTAGTCAACCTGCTCTTTTGAAGACTCTCACTTATGACTGTTCTTAGACATCACAAATTGATCATAGCACTGTTTTGATGGAACCTGAACTGAGCCTCATATTTCTTTCCACAACTCAAGACATCATTACCAATCAACTGGATGTGACACTTGAGATGAAATTTCTTTACCATCCCTGAGACAGACAATTCTTTTTCTCAGAAAAGGGAACCGAAAGAGGGATTATGTGACTTGGCTCAAATCACATCACAGCTCTGTGACTACATCCCAGATTGGTATCTGTCGGTCTATTGAGTTCTTTATATTCCCCAGTTTATTATTATTATTTACTGTATTTGATTCTCTGGGGGTTTAGTATAGATTCTACATATAATAGCCACTCAACAAATATTTTTAAATGACAGGCTCAATACTAAGCATAAGTTTCTCATTTCATTATAAAGTAAATGAAGCACATTAACTATTATGGAACTCATTAGATGGTATTTCTCTTACACACTTTTGGCTGAGTGCAGATTCTGAGACACTGGTGCTTAAGGGAAAAAGGAGCACCTGAGTGACAGAAAGAGTGCTTACCTTGTACTTTTAGAGAAAGTGAAGCTCTGTAAATTTAGAGAGTTTTTCTGTGAACTCAAGAATATACAAAATAGGAAGCCAAGATCATAAAATTTTAATTCATTTATTCAACTGTGGGGTTATGAGAAAAAGTAGGTAATAGCTTCTATTGAATAGAAATATAATAGAAGTTAAGAAAACAGCTTGGGTAAAAGGTATTAAGTTATAGTGTATATCTATATTTGCTGAATGGATAAAGTATTGATGAGGGCATGCAAAGTAGGTTAGAATTAAAGCTGGGGTAGGGTTAGATTGGGAAATTTGTGTTTTGGAGTAGAATTGTAGCTCTAAAGTGACTGTCTTCTCAAAGAGCCAACAACTTATATTAAATGTTTTTTTTTTGTTTTTTTTGAGATGAAGTCTCACTCTGTCGCCCAGGCTGGAGTGCAGTGGCGCAATCTCGGCTCACTGCAACCTCTGCCTCCCAGGTTCAAGAGATTCCCCTGCCTCAGCCTCCCGAGTAGCTGGGATTACAGGTGCCTGCCACCAGGACTGGCTAATTTTTTGTATTTTTAGTAGAGATGGAGTTTCACTGTATTAGCCACGATGGTCTCAATCTCCTGACCTCATGATCTGCCTGCCTCGGCCTCCCAAAGTGCTGGGAATACAGGTGTGAGCCATGCGCCCGGCCATTAAATGTTAATTGCAGCTCACACTGATGCATTTTAATGTCTGATAAGCCAGTTGTTCTCTTGCCTTGTTGCCCTGGCTAGAGCCTTCAGTACAATGTTGAATTGAGTTGGTAAGCCTGGATATCCTTGTCTTGTTTCTGATATTGGAGGAAAAGCACCCAATCTTGCACCATTAAGTGTGATAAGTTAGCTGTGGGTTTTTGTACATGCCATTTTGATAAACCTTAACCTGTTGATTGAGTTCTCATCTATTACTAGTTCGTTGAATGTTCTTGTCATGAAATGATGTTGGATTTCGTCAAATGCTTTTTCTTCATCTATTAACATGATCATGTAATTTTTGTTTTTTATTCTATAGATATGAAGTTTTTTCAGATATTAAACCAGCTTTGTATTCTTGTGATAAATCCCATTTGGTTATGATATATAATTCTTTTTTTTAAATTTTTTATTTTATTTTATTTTATTATTATTATACTTAAAGTTTTAAGGTACATGTGCACAATGTGCAGGTTTGTTACATATGTATACATGTGCCATGTTGGTGTGCTACACCCATTAACTCATCATTTAGCATTGGGTATATCAACAAATGCTATCCCTCCCCCCTCCCTCCACCCCACAACAGTCCCTGGAGTGTGATGTTCCCCTTCCTGTGTCCAGGTGTTCTTATTGTTCAATTCCCACCTATGAGTGAGAACATGTGGTGTTTGGTTTTTTGTCCTTGTGATAGTTTGCTGAGAGTGATGGTTTCCAGTTTCATCCATGTCCCTACAAAGGACATGAACTCATCATTTTTTATGGCTGCATAGTATTCCATGGTGTATATGTGCCACATTTTCTTAATCCAGTCTATCATTTTTGGACATTTGGGTTGGTTCCAAGTCTTTGCTATTGTGAATAGTGCCGCAATAAACATACATGTACATGTGTCTTTATAGCAGCATGATTTATAATCCTTTGGTTATATACCCAGTAATGGGATGGCTGGTTCAAATGGTATTTCTAGTTCTAGATCCCTGAGGAATTGCCACACTGACTTCCACAATGGTTGAACTAGTTTACAGTCCCACCAACAGTGTCAAAGTGTTCCTATTTCTCCACATCCTCTCCAGCACCTGTTGTTTCCTGACTTTTTAATGATTGCCATTCTAACTGGTGTGGGATGGTATCTCATTGTGGTTTTGATTTGCATTTCTCTGATGGCCAGTGATGATGAGCATTTTTTCATGTGTTTTATGGCTGCATAAATGTCTTCTTTTGAGAAGTGTCTGTTCATATCCTTCGCCCACTTTTTGATGGGGTTGTTTTTTTCTTGTAAATTTGTTTGAGTTCATTGTAGATTCTGGATATTAGCCCTTTGTCAGATGAGTAGGTTGCGAAAATTTTCTCCCATTTTATAGGTTGCCTGTTCACTCTGATGGTAGTTTCTTTTGCTGTGCAGAGCTCTTTAGTTTGATTAGATCTCATTTGTCAATTTTGGCTTTTGTTGCCATTGCTTTTGGTGTTTTAGACGTGAAGTCCTTGCCCATGCCTATGTCCTGAATGGTATTGCCTAGGTTTTCTTCTAGGGTTTTTATGGTTTTAGATCTAATATGTAAGTCTTTAATCCATCTTGAATTAATTTTTGTATAAGGTGTAAGGAAGGGATCCAGTTTCAGCTTTCTACATAAGGCTAGCCAGTTTTCCCAGCACCATTTATTAAATAGGGAATCCTTTCCCCATTGCTTGTTTTTCTCAGATTTGTCAAAGATCAGATAGTTGTAGATATGCGGGATTATTTCTGAGGGCTCTGTTCTGTTCCATTGATCTATATCTCTGTTTTGGTACCAGTACCATGCTGTTTTGGTTACTGTAGCCTTGTAGTATAGTTTGAAGTCAGGTAGTGTGATGCCTCCAGCTTTGTTCTTTTGGCTTAGGATTGACTTGGTGGTGGGGGCTCTTTTTTGGTTCCATATGAACTTTAAAGTAGTTTTTTCCAATTCTGTGAAGAAAGTCATTGGTAGCTTGATGGGGATGGCATTGAATCTATAAATTACCTTGGACAGTATGGCCATTTTCACGATATTGATTCTGCCTACCCATGAGCATGGAATGTTCTTCCATTTGTTTGTATCCTCTTTTATTTCCTTGAACAGTGGTTTGTAGTTCTCCTTGAAGAGGTCCTTCACATCCCTTGAAAGTTGGATTTCTAGGTATTTTATTCTCTTTGAAGCAATTGTGAATGGGAGTTCACTCATGATTTGGTTCCCTGTTTGTCTGTTATTGGTGTATAAGAATGCTTGTGATTTTCGCACATTGATTTTGTATCCTGAGACTTTGCTGAAGTTGCTTATCAGCTTAAGGAGATTTTGGGCTGAGACAATGGGGTTTTCTAGATACACAATCATGTCATCTGCAAACAGGGACAATTTGACTTCCTCTTTTCCTAATTGAATACCCTTTATTTCCTTCTCCTGCCTGATTGCCCTGGCCAGAACTTCCAACACTATGTTGAATAGGAGTGGTGAGAGAGGGCATCCCTGTCTTGTGCCAGTTTTCAAAGGGAATGCTTCCAGTTTTTGCCCATTCAGTATGATATTGGCTGTGGGTTTGTCATAGATAGCTCTTATTATTTTGAGATACGTCCCATCAACACCTAATTTATTGAGAGTTTTTAGCATGAAGGGTTGTTGAATTTTGTCAAAGGCCTTTTCCGCATCTATTGAGATAATCACGTGGTTTTTGTCTTTGGTTCTGTTTATATGCTGGATTACATTTATTGATTTGCGTATCTTGAACCAGCCTTGCATCCCAGGGATGAAGCCCACTTGGCCATGGTGGATACGCTTTTTGATGTGCTGCTGGATTCGGTTTGCCAGTATGTTATTGAGGATTTTTGCATCAGTGTTCATCAGGATATTGGTCTAAAATTCTCTCTTTTTGTTGTGTCTCTACCTGGCTTTGGTATCAGGATGATGCTGGCCTCATAAAATGAGTTAGGGAGGATTCCCTCTTTTTCTATTGATTGGAATAATTTCAGAAGGAATGGTACTAGCTCCTCCTTGTACCTCTGGTAGAATTCGGCTGTGAATCCATTTGGTCCTGGACTTTTTTTGGTTGGTAAGCTATTGATTATTGCCACAATTTCAGCGCCTGTTATTGGTCTATTCAGAGATTTAACTTCTTCCTGGTTTAGTCTTGTGAGGGTGTATGTGTTGAGGAATTTATCCATTTCTTCTAGATTTTCTAGTTTATTTGCGTAGAGGTGTTTGTAGTATTCTCTGATGGTAGTTTGTATTTCTGTGGGATCGGTGGTGATATCCCCTCTATCATTTTTTATTGCGTCTATTTGATTCTTCTCTCTTTTCTTCTTTATTAGTCTTGCTAGCGGTCTATCAATTTTGTTGATCTTTTCAAAAAACCAGCTTCTGGATTCATTAATTTTTTGAAGGGTTTTTTGTGTCTCTATTTCCTTCAGTTCTGCTCTGATTTTAGTTATTTCTTGCCTTCTGCTAGCTTTTGAATGTGTTTGCTCTTGCTTTTCTAGTTCTTTTAATTGTGATGTTAGGGTGTCAATTTTGGATCTTTCCTGCTTTCTCTTGTGGGCATTTAGTGCTATAAATTTCCCTCTACATACTGCTTTGAATGTGTCCCAGAGATTCTGGTATGTTGTGTCTTTGTTCTCGTTGGTTTCAAAGAACATCTTTATTTCTGCCTTCATTTCGTTATGTACCCAGTAGTCATTCAGGAGCAGGTTGTTCAGTTTCCATGTAGTTGAGCAGTTTTGAGTGAGTTTCTTAATCCCGAGTTCTAGTTTGATTGCACTGTGGTCTGAGAGACAGTTTGTTATAATTTCTGTTCTTTTACATTTGCTGAGGAGAGCTTTACTTCCAACTATGTGGTCAATTTTGGAATAGGTGTGGTGTGGTGCTGAAAAAAATGTATTATAATTCTTTTGATATGTTGCTAGATTTTGTTTGCTAATATTTTGTTGTAAGTTTTTGTATCCATATTTATAGTTTTCTTTTTTGTATGATGTTTTAGTCTGGTTTTGGTATGAGAGCAAAGCTGGCCTCATTAAATGAACTAAGACGTGTTTTCTCCTCTTCCATTTTTTTGCAACGTTTGATAAGAATTGGTATTATTTCTTCTTTAAGTGTTTGATATAATACAGCAGTGAAGCCATCTTGCCCTAGGCTTTCCTTTGTGTGTAGTTTTTTGTGCTATTAATTCAATCTATTCACTTGTTAGGTCTATTCAGATTGTCTATTTCTTCTTGAGTCCGTTTCACTAGTTTGTGTCCTTCTAGGGATTTCATCATTTAATCTAATTTATTGGCATACAATTTTTAATAGTATTCTTCTATGCTATTTTATTTCTGTAGGTCATTAGGAATGTCCTCTCTTTCATCTATGATTCTAGTAATTTGCTTCTTCTCCTTTGTTTTGTGGTCAATATATGAATAGCTAATGGCTTGTCAGTTTTATTGATCTTGTCAAAGAGCCAACTTTTGGTTTCATTAATTTTTCCATATTATTTTTCTATTCTCTATTTCATTAATCTAACTATAAACATTATTATTTACTTTATTTTACTTGCTTTGGACTTAGTTTGCTCTTCTTTTTCCAGTAACTTAAGGTGAAAGTTTATGTGATTTGATATTGTCTTTCTTAATATAGGCATTTACAGCTATATATTTTTCTCTAAGCATTGCTTTAGCTGCGTCCCATAAATTTTGATATGTTGTGTCTTCATTTTAATTAATCTCAAAATATTTTTGACTTTCCATTTTATTTCTTTTTCAACCCATTGATTATTTAGGCACGTGTTGTTTCGTTTTCACATATTTGTGAGTTTCTCAAAATTTTTCCTGTTACTGATTTCTAATTTCATTCCATGGTGGTCATATAATACACTTTGTATTATTTTTGTTGTTTTAAATTTACTGCAGTTGGTTTTATGGCTGAACATGTGCTCTATCCCGAAGAATGTTTTATGTGTACTTGGGAAGAATATCTATTCTGTTGTGGTTGGATGGAAGGTTCTATAAATATCCTTTAGGTCTAGTTGGTTTATAGTGTTATTCAAGCCTTCTATTTAATTGTTACTCTTCTGTCTAGTTGTTCTATTCATTATTCAAAGTGGGATAATAAAGTCTGCAGCTATTACTGTTGTTCATTTTTCTCTCCGTTTCTGTTAGTCTTTGTTTTGTGTATTTTGGTATTCTGCTATTATGTGCATATAGTTATAATTGTTATATCTACCTGATTGTTTGTCTCTTTTACGTTTATAAATTGTTCCTTTTATTTCTAGCTTTTTTGTTTTAAGGCATATTTTGTATGATAGTGGTATAGCACTCCAGTGTTCTTTTGATCGTAGTTTGCATGATATAACCATTTCTATCCTTTTGCTTTCAATTTATTAATACCTTTAAGTCTAAAGTGTGTCTCTAGTAGATAGCATATAGTTGAATTATGTTATTATGCAGTCTAACAATCTTTCCCTTTTGATTGGATTCTGTAATCCATTCACATTTAATGTTTTCATTGATATAGTTGTATTCATGTCTGTCATGAGTAAGAGGTACCTGGTAGGTATCCTCTGAAGAAAAGGTAAAGGAAGAGAGAAGTGTAAGTGATGTGGACCTTTGCCTTTATCTCATGCGAGTGACTTACATGTATATCTAGCATATGGTGAACTCTCGAGTACTTAGGATTATCAAAGGGGAGGGGAGAGGTCAACAGAACCAGGCACCAGCCACTTAGTGCAGTTATTCTAAGCTCAGTACTTACTGCATGAAATTGAGTAAGTGACTGTTCTTTTTGAGCCATAACTTCTTTATCTGTAAAGTAGATGTAGTATTACATACTTTGCAGGGTTGCTGTGAAAACTAAGTGCCCTGTTGTGTGCAATGGCATTTGGAACTAGGCCTAGCTTGTTGTATGTGCTCTCCACCCTTCTCCCTTTAGCGCTCCGCTTCGTGGAGGGATTTGAGACTATAGCATTGAATAGAGATTTAAAAAGTTTTGTGAGTGATCCAGTACCAATTTTAACACATATAGCAACTCTCAGTAACCATGCGCATTACACTCTTGTGTATCTTTATAAAGGAAAAATTCTACCATGTGTCACTTCGAATAAATAGTGTATAAGCCAAAGGGCCTGTCCGAAGAAAACCAGTGAGGATGCAGAACCTTGTTTAAATAAAACAAGATTCTAGATGGCTAGAAGTAGTGAAAACTAAACTAATAGTTCCAAAGTTCATGATAAATGAATTAGGAAAGTAATCAAAAAGGCTTAGCAAAGCAGTGCAGTCATTCTTCATCTTAATGAATCTCTTAAAGAGTAAATAAAAGGAGGAAGATGAAAGTAATTATTGACTGTGTACCTAGTTGTTGGAGCTGCTGGTATCTCCAAGGAATACAATTCATAAAGCTGAGGCTTTAAGTGAATATCCATATATATCATGCAGCTGCCTCAGAGCTGGGGAATGATATATCATGTTTACATAATGGGCGTATAAATACTTAGTTTAATGAACATGTCATGTAGAACTCCATCCCTCTGTCAAGACCGCTGAATTTATAGAGTGAGTTTCTTGGGTGTTAGGAGGGCTAGAGAGAACATGGCAGGAAGTGTCAGATGCTTGAGTTAGCTCTCATTTTAGCGATCCTTGCTGGGTAGAGAAGACTTTAAATTTCCCTGCCTGCTATTGAACAGCAAAAGAGTCAGAGGAGACGAATGAAGAAGAAAACATTATTGGCAAGTGTTCCATGAAAGGAAGAGGAATGATCCACAATATTATTATTGCTATGAGAAATGTAACAAATGTTCTTTCCGACTATATCGGAAAGGTATATATGGGTCAGAGGGTGGGTTTGCTGGTGCAGATTTTATTTGAGTCAACCCAATAGAATACTATTAGAGCTGGGAAATTCCTGTTCATTTTAATGATGAATAAAGAATATGCAGATTAGCCGGGTCATTTGGACTGACACAACAATTAAGTCATCTTGTCCAATAAGTTGTATAATAACTCTGATTATATAATGATCACATTACTTTACAAAGCGGGTGGGGATCAGAGCAGGAGGAGACCACACAATACTTAGGGGCTGGTTGCAGTAAAGTTCTGGATAAAAGGTAATGTGTGGGCCGGGCGCGGAGGCTCACGCCTGTAATCCCAGCACTTTGGGAGGCTGAGGCGGGCGGATCACGAGGTCAGGAGATCGAGACCATCCTGGCTAAAACGGTGAAACCCCGTCTCTACTAAACACACACACACACACAAATTAGCCGGGCGTGGTGGCAGGTGCCTGTGGTCCCAGCTCCTCGGGAGGCTGAGGCGGGAGAATGGCGGGAACCCGGGGGGCGGAGCTTGCAGTGAGCCAAGATGGCGCCACTGCACTCCAGCCTGGGAGACAGCGAGACTCCGTCTCAAAACAAACAAACAAACAAACAAACAAACAAAAAGGTAATGTGTCCAGGATGAAGCAAGACACCAGTCAGCAGTTGAAAGTTCCAGAACAGAGAGAAGATCTGTTGAAGCAGATTGCTGGGGCCCCAGTCAAACAGAATTCTAGTTCCAGCCCACTTTTTAGTGTGGGCATATCCAGCTGTGTTGAGGATATTGGAGTCCTGACTGTAGCTGTTTTAGGAGCTCAAGTTGCAGACACTTGACTAGTTTCTCTCCTCACCTCCTGGAGAAGGCGAGGTGCTAAATATCCAACAGATTTGGTTAGAATTGACACAAAGATTGAATGTAACTACTTTTTTCCAGCTGAAGCTCTTTAGGGCCTGATACTGAGCAGGGCTGAGCAAGGCTGAGATTGACATACTCTTTGTGTAAGTGTGGTGGAAATGACAAATGTGTGGCCCAAGGCCGCCTTTCGGTTTGCAGATACAACTGATATTTACGGAGCCTCTTGTCGTCTGCCATTTAGGTTATGTCTAGACAGAAAAATAAGCCCGAAGAACAGTCAATCCAAAACTTCAGACATTTTCATAGCGGAATTGAATCAACTGTAATCAAATAGATATCTTATGTTTAAACCAATCCTAAAATGACCTTCCTCTAAAAATAAAGAACCGTTCTGAAAAAGGTCAATTCTGTTGTATTGTGTGGTCAAGGTCTAAAATATTTGCCTCTTAAAATCTTTTCTAAAAGAATGTTACAGGGATGGTCACTAGGAAAACCTGCCTCTTCCTGTTGCTTCCTTGAGTCAGAACTATTATACTGTGGTAACATGGAGCCCATGATAGCAAAAGCTTGCCCCCTGATTTCTAGGAAAGCTTCTAGACCACATCCTCTTTAGCCTCCAGTCTATGGCGAAAGCTACACCTAGTTTGTTAATCACCAGGAAAACCATGTTCTTTCTTTAGAATCTCTAAAGATATGACAATGGAAAAAGTGTGAACTACGTTTAATTTTGTTTGCTGATCTTTAATAAATGAGTTAATCAATATGTGTAATCTTTTCCCAGCTTTGCTAAACGTTCAGAAAATTTGAACAGTTAATATTGCCTTACTAGAGGAGATTTCTATGAAAAAATTCTATTTTTTCCCCCAAATTAAAATTATGATGGCACATTAAAGGGAAATATACTACACATTGTGGGTGTCTAAACTCTAGGGACTACAATTTTGGCCAAGATTGAATTTCTACTTATACATAATTTGCTATTATATTCTGTTATAGTGGGTAAATCTTTAAGATAAGGGACAGAAGGAGGAAAGAGAGAATATGATTATAGTTTATATGCTGTAACAACATATTTCTTATTGTTAACTAAATTAGATCCAGATATTTAAAATAATTAGTGTTGAATGATGTAAAACATTCAGCTGTAGAGTTTACACTTTTTTATCTCAAATCGGTATCATTACATTCATATTTTGCAATGTGAAATTCCTTAAATTTAAGATAAACATAATGAAATTCTGACCATTTTCAATAAACCCTATACATTTTCCTGTACTTTGATCATATATTGCTCTCTCTATAGTAAATTCAAAGTTTGGTTTAGTGGAAAGGGTGTTGGTCTTGCAGTTAGAGTATCTGGCTTTGAATCCAGATAGGTCTACCTATTAAGTATGTAAACTTACAAGGGTTAATTTATTTAATCCTGTCAAGTCTCAGTTCTCTCATCTGTAAAACAGAAACAATAATAATTTCCTCACTAGGTAATAATGGATATGGACTTCGAAAGCAACTAGACTAGTGTCGATGCTTGCTAGTGCCTGTCTGTAAAACAGAAACAATAATAATTTCCTCACTAGGTAATAATGGATATGGACTTCGAAAGCAACTAGACTAGTGTCGATGCTCGCTAGTGCCTCCATGTGGTGGATGGATGGATGGCTGTTCCAGGTGACCTTGAAAGTCATACCCAACTTTAGTTTCTTTGACCAGTGGGTTATAAAGGGTCCTTTGCACTGTTTTTCATTCAACTCACATACTATTGGGCATGTACTAGGTATCAGTTACTCAGCTGTGTCCTTGGTGGGTACGTATGGGGGACGTGAGCACATGGGGAAAAGGAATACATTCGCCTCTCTTCTGCCTTGCTTCCTTGCCTTCACTGTGTACTGTCACCTTCCAGCTCATCCAGAACTTGTCCCTTGTCTCTGTCTCCATTGACTGTGTCCAGCGTCCTGTACTTTTTAGGACCCATTCCCCATCTTCTGAGGTTTTTTGGAGGGTAAATGAATTAATACAATCAAACACTTAGAGCAGTTTCCTGGCATTAAGTAAATGCTCCACAGTTTTAGTTATTATTGTTATCTGCTCATTTCTCCTGAGCTGTGGTGTATTCTACTGGGTTGGTCACCTTCTATTCAGGTTCCTTCTGGGCAAGAAGTTCCCTCACTGTCTGTGAGGAATACAAGAAAGATGAGAGCAAGGATAAGAGTGTTGGTATTTAGGTTAAAAACATTGAGTATGACCTTTGTAAGATAAGAAACTGCAGAGTTATCCACAGGACAAGCATATCTTATGTGATAAAATGTTGACTTAAAAAGTATTATTTATAATTTTTCATAAGTTTTATTTATTTGTCATACTTTTCATATTTCTAAGTTTTACAATGTATATAAGATATCAAAAAATGAAAAAGACTACAGAGAAAAGCATCCATGCACATCACATATCTTCTGCATTCTGTAAACAACTCAGTTTACTTCCAACAATTGCATCAGAAAATTTCTTACCAAGGAAGAGTGACCTTTAAAAGGAAAGACCTGACAACCAGAAAAACTACACACCATTTACAGAGGGATTCAGTGGAATTTACTTCCTCTGTTTCCCTGGCCCCTGGAGGAAATTATTCATTCTGGAAGGGCACAGTTGATTGAGGAAGAAAGACACTCAGATAGAAAGAGACAATGCTTTTGAACTGTGTTTTTGGGAGAGACCTTTAGATTCTCATCTATAAAGGGAGGCATTTGGACCAGGTTATTTTAAAGGAGCAGGTCAAACAAGGTGAGCTGTGCTGTGCTAAGCTACACATATTTGTGCCACTTAGGTAGAAATCATAAGGTTGTTACCAGACTGCAAATGCCTAGCTAGATGAGTCCAAGAACTTCAGCTGACTAGTTCTTGAATGCACGGTACATAGCCCAATACCTGGCCAGTCTTCTGTGTTCTGTCTATTACACCTGCAGAGAGATACTTCAGAAGAGATGTTTTACCTTGCAGGAGTGTGGTGAGGGGGCAAGTGAGGTAATGCATTTAGATGTACTTAGAAAGCTGAAAGATCGTTTTCCCCTTTAGAGTTATAAAATGAAGGAACTAAAGATAGAGTGAAGATATTTCTTTGATTTTGAGAAATCTAGAGCTGGAAGAAAATGTAAGCATAATCCAGTGCAGCCTACTCATTTACAATGGTAGGAGCAGTTCTAGAGGTAAAGTGACTAGCCAGTAAGGTAGCTGGTGGCTGGCAGATAATAGAAAGCAGAAGTTCACAGTTCTGAATTCATGAACCTGCAGTTTTGATCCGTTAATATCAATATTCATAAAAGATCATAAAGAGACATAAAGCAAAAGAGGTTACCTGCACCAATATAACACCCAAGGCCATTGTGATATTTGCACTTGAAAATTTCAACTAAATAAGTAATAGACATTTTATAAAAGAAAGCTATATTGCAAGTCAGGCTTTTTTTTCATAAAACAGTGGAAATATAAGTTTAAATATGGGAATAGTTCTATGCATCTTTTAGTTGGTGACTCTTGATCTACCATGGGAGGCTTTGTACAGAAATTGCATTTATTTCCCCTCATTGAGTTAATGTGCATATATGCAGAGCACAATTTAGTAGTAATAAACAAGGTCTTCGTTTGGTAGTAATGAACCAGGTCTTTGGTTTATTTCTTTTTTTTTTTTTTTTTTTTGAGACAGAGTTTCACTTTTGTTGCCTGGGCTGAAGTGCAGTGGCACGATCTCAGCCACTGCAACATCCGCCTCCCGGGTTCAAGGGATTATCCTGCCTTAGCATCCCAAGTAGTTGGGATTACAGGCACCCACCACCACACCTGGCTAAATTTTGTATTTTTAGTAGAGATGGGGTTTCACCATGTTGGCCAGGCTGGTCTCGAACTCCTGACCTCAGGTGATCTGCCATTCTTGGTCTTCCCAAAATGCTGGGATTACAGGCGTGGGACACCACACCAGACTGGTTTCTTTCGTTTTTAATGACTATATCTAGCTCTTTGTTTACCAATGTACCAATGTGTATTTTCAGCCCAAATCATTAGAAGTTTAAACATATTTACTTCTTATAGTTGCAACTTTTAAGTGAAATGTTTGAGAATATCTTTGATTATCGGACTCAGAAGGGATTCTATAAGCTCAGAAAAATGCAAAAAATCTGCTCATGTTGTATGTGTGGATGTCTTTAGGATAATCTGAATTTTCAAAATTTATCCACAGGTAATTAGCGTTGGTGTTCATCATCTCTACGGAGTCTTTGCAGTGGGGATGGTTTGAGTGGGAACTGGCAATGTGGCAGTTAGCAGGTGAGTACTCCGAGAGACCAGATAGAAGCAGAAAAAAATAAGAAGGGTTAAGCACACTTTTCACATATATCTTTAAAAATAATGGTCTATTCTTATACATGCTCATTTTAGAACATTTAGAAAATACCAAAAAGCACAAAGAAAAAAAGGAAAACAAATCCTGCAATCCTGTTATTCAGAGATAACAACCATTACCAGTTTAGTATGTAGGACCTCCAGACTGTTTTTTAAAAAATATGTTTAAACAATATGTATAAAGAAAAATGAAATCTTACTGTCTTATAATCAGTCTTCTCTACCTACAATACCATAATTATATTTTATATAATTAAATACAACATATGCTTTCAGTCACATATTGAAAAAAAGATTTCTGAGGATCATTCGAACCAAATACCACGTATAAAGACTTCATTTGTAAAGTGTCTTAAATTGTTTAATTCCTATCAAGCTCCCACCTTGCACTGTGCGAGGGATATAAGAGATTTTACAGTGATGATTTTTTTGTAATGCAGTACTAACAGATACATTTTTGAGGATAATTGTTTGGATTTTTGCAGGGAACTTGTGGTTTTTAAACCTACAGCACTGGTTCTCAGAAATACTTGTAATTTAAAAGTAACAAATCTTCTTCCCAGAAATATTCCCTATATGTTTTTCCTTCATAAGGTGAGGAGAAGTAGGGATTTTAGAACTTCTGGACAATGCATTTTATAAGACAGTGTAATAAAGTTAGCTAGATTGTGATGGGGTGGTGTCTTCTTCGCCTCAAGGAGAAATATATTTTGAGCATAGATAATTTTTAAATAGCTAAGGCCATGGGCAAACCATTTAATAACATTCTCTATAGAAAAAGAGAATTCTGTTTATAGAAATGAATCTCAAGATATTCTGGGCCATTAGGTCGGTCCATGAAGAGTAGAGAAGGGTGGGGATTCTAGAGAATTGGGATACTTTATTTACCCCTGAGGTTCAAATTTGGTGTTGTGGCCATTATTGAGAGTATCCAAAATAAAAAGAATGGGTACACATTTACATGGATAAACACAGAGGTTCTTTTATTTTATTTATTTATTTTGAGACAGGGTCTTTCTCTGTCACGCAGGCCGGAGTGCAGTGGTGCAATCATGGCTCACTGCAGCCTCAACCTCCTGGGCTCAAGAGATCCTCCTATCTAGCCTCCTGAATAGCTGGGACTACATATGCATATGTAAATATATATATATATTTGCCTGGGTAATTTTTCAAAGTTTTTGTAGAGGTGGGGTCTCACTATGTTTCCCCGGCTGATTGTGGTCTCCCGGGCTCAAGTGACCTTCCTGCCCCAGCCTCCCAAATTGCTGGGATGACAGACATGAGCCACTGTGCCCCTCAGAGGTTCTTTAATCTCCTAATCCACTCCAGGAAAGGAGAGCTGAAGGTAGGGAGAAGGATTCTCTTGCTTCTGCAGTGAGCCTTATTGATCAATTCCTATTTGCATAATGAGCACTGCCAACTTTGAGACTGCCCACAGCCTTGTTTTTTGTAGAATGCTTATCTCTTTACTTGTTCCAATTTCAGAATGCAGCTCAAACTCATTGCACTCTAAACTCCATGCAGAACTGTGAAGTGGATAAATATGTATTCAGTGCCCAGAGCAGTGTTTGCAACATTTTGTACATATTAAGTACATCTCTTCCCTCCAAGAATTCTAAACAAATTGAGACATAAAGTGAAGTGTAAGAAAATTTTAGTATTACCAGAGGCTAAATTGTAGGTCATAGTGAAGGGTGAGAAGCAGATAGGCCTGCTAATCTCATTCCTGAAAGAAAAATAGGCAGAGTGGAGCAAAGCATGGCTGTTTATTCTTCCCAAGTTAATTAATTAGCTAAGTCCCTCCACCTCCCAGGGATGGAGTGAGCAAAGGAAATTAGAGGGAATTTAGGAATGTGCTTTGGGAAAATCCCTCCTCATGAGAACCAGGAGTGAGGGAGAACAAATTCTTCTCTATTAGCAGATTCTCAATAGAGAGTTTGAGTGTCAATGAATGACTGAATGCATGCATTAATGACTTGTGGATGCATGAATACCATTTCTTTCCAGACTCAAGTTTTCCTGGGTAATAGTCAGCTAACCACCCATCATGGGGCTGATGGTTCTTGGGGTCACCTTGGAATTGTTGTACCTGGTATGTTCAAGTGACCTTGTTACTAAATCTCACCTGTAAATAGCTCCCTTGAAGCTTGGAATCTGGCTCTGTATCTTAGTCTCCAGACCGGGGAACTTGACCTGGGCACCTGGATCATGCTGGCCTCTTCCTAGGGGACTGTTGTCCAGTTCCTAGGCTCTGTGAATTTTCTTTAGGTTGCCATATTCCAGCTCTGATGATCCACTTGATTTTTAAAGACTTAGTCGTTTTGAAACGTTGGTATTGTTCCTTTATTCATTTTACCCTGTAACAGTTTTTCACTTTTGTTAGTTTTTTTTTTTCTTTTTGAGTTGATATTTCCTAACACTCTTTGAACTATAATATATGGACTTAGACTCTTTTCTCACTCTTCCATACTAGGTGGGTGACAGCCAACTTCTATGGTGGCTCTTGTTCACTTAGTTTAACTCTTTTAACTGCACTTCCCACCACAAACACTTTGGGGTTGAAACAACTATGACAGTTGTTTGTAAATTAGGTTGCAAGTCCCTAGTAAAATAAGGATCATATTTTAGTCCTTGTAAACTCAGGCAGTTAATTAATACTTACTGTTATATGTAAAAAGGAATGTCTGAGGAATACTGCTATTAGCTTCCCAGTAATCATAACCCCTGAAAAGTCCCCAAATAGCATACGGCTGAAAAGTCTCTGAGTGTAGGCCATGGTGAACACAGCCAAGAAGAGCCAAAGCTAAGACAATTGAAGTAACCGATAAATCACTGACAAATAGGAAGATGCAGACCCACTAATTTGCAAAGTAATGTCTCACTGCTGCCAAAAGAAAGTCTGCTGAACACTAAGCAGGTGAGAAAGCGGAGGAGCCAGAGTGTAAGTTAATCTCCTAAAGTTATGAGACTGGCAAGTCTCGGGGGCTGGATTCAAACTGGGGTGGTGGGAGTCCAAAGCTGACATTCTTGAAAAGCCATGTTGTCTCGCTAGGGAAATTTGATTTTCCTGGATTTAGTCTTCTTCTCCCAGGGCAGTGCCAGATAAATATTGCCAAGGTCTCATTTCTTCCACTTCCCATTTCTAGGTTCCAAGCTCACCATTGCGATTTTGTTTTTAGAGTCTTCCTCCACGTAAATTACAACAGTATGGGTTGTTTCTGTTTATTTACTTTTAAACATGTTCTAATCCATTCGCTATGCTATTTCATCCAGTCTGTTTGGATTGCGTGTTAGGTATTTGCAAATCCTCTGGTTATCCAATTATCCAATATCTGGATTACTCTCAGAGGAGCTGTCTTGAAGTGCATTCCTCTAATTGTGTGTGTGTTTACCAGCTTTGCTGCAATCAAATTTCTGTCACTTTTAAGTCCTTGGGAATGCTTCTAATTATTGTTTTAATTTACCATTGACAATTAATAGATAAAATATGGATGGACAATAGTTGGACTATTGATGGACTATTAAACCATTTAACTTTCGAAGAATGAGTCAGTCCTTAAGAATTCCTAATTATTAGCTGAATCCCAACCTCACAATTATCTTTCTAATTTCATTACTAATTTTTATGAACTGGGACTGGTAAAAAAAAAATCTTGCTTGTCTCAGTTTACTTTTTTAAAAAAAATCTGCACCTAGAGATTGTCTAAGAATAGCATGGAAGGGAATTTTGTATTTATGGTTTGTAATATGATCAATTTGCATCATTAATAATGTGAATCATGGCTGTTAAATGAGCTTAAAATTTCCACCAGTGTATATTATGTCCTCCTGCAAATGAAGAGGTAACATTTGACTTAAATACTAATGGTAGGATATACTTCAGATCCTCTAAGCAATTCCTTGAGATATTTGGGGGGAAGGTGCTTTATATATTCTCCAACAAAGAATTTGAGACAGCCACTTGTGAATTACTATGTGCTGACAACTTTATCTGACGGTACCAAAAGATGTGGCATGGATTATGAATGAGCTTGTGGAGACAACTCAATTTTATGGACTGTCAATCACTTTAAAGACAGGTGAGGTCATATAATAAATACCCTTGCTCCTCCAAAAATCCTTCGTGGATGCTCAGACCTTTTGAAAGCTTTGACTGGATTTTCCTGCCTTGGCAGTAAACTCAAATGATCAGTAAAGTCAGTTGTCACTTGGTAGAGTGGCAGGGCTGGCTGCTGCACTCACACCAACCAGAGGAACAGAAGGGGATGAGATTTTCTAACCCGCTTTACAGATGTGAAACCTGGATTACCCTTGGTGTTCCATTCAGTCTTTGGAGATGTTTCCATTCATAAATTATAAATTTTGTGTATTCTGTGCATGTCACGAGAGAATAGCAGATGATAATTCCAAGACTGCTATTAGAGGAAGGCAATCCTTTGGGAGAAAGGGAGGTGGGATGAGAGACAAAGAGAGGGAATTAGAAATGCATTTAGATGTGAGAAGCTGAAGTAATGCTATGATGACAATTATAGTTTGGAAGTGTCAGCAGCTGGGATCTGCTGCCACTTGCCAACTGTAGACTCTTTAGGGTCCCCATAACAAATGCATGGTTCCTTTGGAGCAAAGGGTGATTTTACAAAGCAATAGCAGAAATGTCTAAGGAGCTTGAGACTGTGGAATAGCTATTTAGCCATAAACAAACCCTATAGAGAGAGATGTGTGAGGGAGCAAGATGAAACAAGAATAATACGTAGGGGAGCCGGCTGAAGTTTAAGAATTGCATAAGTCTTGTTTAAAACTTCATTTAGCCATGGTCGTAAGAAATTATTCTTTAACACTTTCTTGCATTGCCTACTTTTGAATGAAACAATCTGCCTTTTGTATTTGGAAAATTCATTTTAAAGTAATGGCCCAGAAATTGATTTCAAAATCAGATTTCAAGAAATAAAATCAGAGTAAAAATAATGTTTTTCCAAGTTCAATATATATATGTATACATTTCATATCACATGATCTACCACATTTTTTCAGGTGATTTAATGCCAACACAACCATTCCCTGCCTGATGCTCTCATTTGGTTGTCTAGCAGCCAGCCACAGGAGCTGGTAAGCAAGCAAACAAAAGGCAGAAAGGCAGCAAGAGGGAAGGCAAAAACATTCTAAGGAAGTGTATTGTATCTTCTGTCCTCCAGCAAATTGCATTAAGCAAGTACATTCTCTCTCACCAAATGAAGTGGTAAAGAAAAAACACTATGGTTCTGTTTAATGTTCTGTTTTTCATTATCTGTCCCTTTCTGAACAGGCCTGAGTACTGTGGTGTGCATTAAGAGTTGAGCTTTTGTTTCTTTTTTTTTTTTTCATAAAACCATTTGTTAAGTAAAAACTGGGCATAAATAACTAATTCACTATCAGTATATTCTGACTAAGTTAAGTGGGACTGATTATGTCATATTAAGCAATACAACTAAGTTCTATACTTTGATTAGGTTCTAAGGGTGTACATTTCTCTCTCTGTCTGTCTCTCTCTCTTTTTTTGAGATAGAGTCTCACTCTGTTGCCCAGGCTGAGAGGCACCATCAGGGCTCACTGCAACCTTAACCTGCTGGGCTCAGGCAATCCTCCCACCTCAGCCTCCTGAGTAGCTGCAACTACAGGCACGCACCACCACACCCAGCTAACTTTTCTATTTGTTGTAGACAGGGTTTCACCATGTTGCCCAGGCTGGTCTCGAACTTCTGGGCTAAAGCCATCCACCTGCCTTGGCTCCCTAAAGTGCTGAAGTTATAAACTTGAGCCACTGCGCCCGGCCTGTGGTCTATATTTTTCTCTTGGACCTAAGTTTGCTTGTAGAACTCTGGTTATTACTGCAACAATAAGATTACATATCCAATGTTGGGGGAAATGCCCTTAAAGCCACCAAAAAACCTCTGCATTTTTGGCCAAGAGTCAGTGTTTCTTTTAAAGGGTAGAAGTCCTGAAGCTCAATTTGAATTAGTTGAAATTAACAAATTTGTATATTTTCATTGATTACTTTTAATATCAGGGAAATGATAAATCATGTGATTTACTTCAGCATTACTGAAAGCCAGAGAGGAGGGGTTCTGGGTTCAGGTCTAATTTGACTTTCCCACACACACTGTGGAAACTGACAAAGACATCGGTGGGGACTCAAATCAAGGTGTCTGAGGCTTACAAGGGTCAGCCTCAGAGCAGACCAAATGAGACCCCCAAATGTATGTGGATTTGTTCCATTAGTAATTCGAAGAGATTGAGGCAAATGCTGCAGGGGTTAACAGTGATCTTGCAGAAGACAAGTGCTCTTCAAGGTGTGGCAGAACTCAGTGGAAGGCTTGTGGAATGGATTCCTGGTGAGGCAGGCAGTTGGCAAAAGGTATCTTTTCTTGCAGAAGCAGAATCTTCAGCTTTTTCGCTGAGGTTCTGGGGCAGAATTGTACCATTCAGGAGGAATGCTAGCTATTTTCAAGGTCCCAGTTGCAGAGGTAGGAGCCAGAGGGCTAACAGATAGAGAAGAAAGCCACTCTGAAGAGTCCCATTTTTGTTTTTGTTTGGAGAAGTCTCATTCTCAGCACATGCAGGTGGATCACACACTTAGTTCCACGGATGGGCCCTTGTTGGCCTAAATCAGTTAGCCTTTGTTATTCCCCTGGTCACAATGTTTGGTTTATGAATGAAAATAGCAAACAAACAATGAGACATTTTTGAGGTTTCAGGAAGAGAGTTTTTCTCTTCTACTAGACTCAAACCAGAAAGTATGTGAAGAGCTACAGCTGTCTCACTACCACATAGATTCTTTTTTCTTTTCTTTCTTTCTTTTTTTTTTTTTTTAGACAGAGTCTCACTCTGTCATCCAAGCTGGAGTGCAGTGGTGCAACCTCAGCTCACTGCAACCTCCACCTCCTGGGTTCAAGCGATTCTCATGCCTCAGCCTCCCGAGTAGCTGGGATTACAGGCACGCACCATGACACCAGTCTAATTTTTGTATTTTAGTAGAGATGAGGTTTCACCATGTTGGCCAGGCTGGTCTCGAACTCCTGACCACCCACTTCGGCCTCCCAAAGTCCTGAGATTACAGGTGTGAGCCACTGTGCCCAGCCACTACCACATAGATTCTAAGCACGGTGTCAATACTGAGGACTTTGCAGCCAGGAGGTGGAAAGACAGGAATCAGATCCTGGTCGTGTTCTTGGCTCTCCAGCATCAAGCTCTCTGGATGGGTTTCCTAGGATGCAGATGCTGAGCCAGAGTTAGGAAGACAGAAGGTTTGCTGAGGAGTAACACTAGTGAAAGAAAAAGGTGGCCAAGCATGGTGGCTTATGCCTGTAACCCCAGCACTTTGGGAGGAGGAGATGGGTGGATCACTTGAGATTAGGAGTTTGAGAACATCCTGGCCAGCACAGCAAAACCCCGTCTTTACTAAAAATACAAAAATTAGCTGGGTGCGGTTGTGCACCTGTAATCCCAGCTACTCAGGAGGCTGAGGCAGGAGAATCGCTTGAACCCGGGAGGCGGAGGTTGCAGTGAGCCAAGATCACATCACTGCACTCCAGACTGGGTGACATAGTGAGACTGTGTCTTAAAAAAAAAGAAAAAGAAAAGAAAAGAAACGGGAAGAAACCAGATTGGGCTGGGAGAGCTTTTGGACCACAAGGCAGACCTGACAAAGTTTGCCAGCCCACGGGGAGCTCTGGAGAAAAAAACGTCTCACTAGAGGAGTTTCCTGTTGCATGGAAACAATTAGATCCTTGTACCAAAGATTTGGTCAGTCACTGACTGTGGTCTGATCCCGAAAGACAGCCTCTGCTCCAAATGCCTTGCTCAGTCTTTGGCTGGGGGTTGCATGGAGAGAAACATGATCGTGGCTCAGAAGTTGATGCTGATCATGCCGGAGCTACCAGCTGGAAGGTAACTAATCATGCTCTGAGTGCTGGGCAGCTAGTCCTTTCTCAAGGGGTGACCTGAGAGGGGCATCACTGTGTCTGCCACACAAGCCACTGAGAAAGCCAGTATATGGTTTATGTGACCAAATATATCCCCTTTAGTCTTGAAATACTGAAATACGACTGAAAAAATTCTGACAGGGGGAGAAGTGGAGTTTCTGCTCTGAGGTAGCAGATGAGAACATGCCTGTGAGTCTGAGATGCAGAAGCCTGCAGAGGCTGTTGGTCAGCACTGGTCAGTGAGGCCAGACCATCAAAAAGGGAAGGGGGTTTAGTGATCCCCCTGGATGAGGAGCTGGAGAAAGAAGCTCATGTTTTTCCTGTCTCAACCAGCTATGCTTACCTTTGCCTTGAGTGATTTCAATATTCATGTGGATGAGCTTTCCAAACCGTAACCTCACATCTTTGACCTCATCTTCTACCCTGGTGGCTCACACCTCGAATCCACTTTCACAACTTACCCAATAGCTCACGCTCTGAACTTCATGACCAATTAGAACTGCTTTACCTCCTAAATCTTAGACTTCAAGAACTCATTTTACAATCACAAATTCCAATCCTTTCACCTTTCTCACTCTTTCTATAACGAATGTGATATTCAAAACACATAAAAATATCTAGATTTCCAAGTCATTCTTTTTTCCCTTTCTTGTTCTAATTTTTAGGTCACTTTGGCTTCACTTCATTTCGAGTTCAGCATGGACCCTGTGGTCAGTTTCTTAACTCTGCTCTCCTTCCTCCATCCAGCTGTAAATGAAGTGTCATCCAGGATTTTACTCTCCATCTGTTTGCTCTTCTTGAGTTGTATCAATTCCCATGACTTCCACTCCATTATTCATAGAAGACTCTCTTTAGAGCTGACCCATTATCCCTAGACCAGTGCTTTCAGTTATCTACCACCAAATTCATGTGGATGTTTCACCGTCATTGCAAACTCACACTGTGGGCCCTAGACAGTTAATTTTCTCTCCACAGTCATCAACCTGCTATTTCTGTTAGTTACCAAGCAAAAGGGGCTCACTGCTCAATGCACTAGAAGCCAATATTATGGCACTAGTTTTTTGAGAAAGGAAAAGTTTTTTATAACAAGTTGACTAACAAAGAGACAGGAATCCAGCTCAAATCTATCTTCCTGTGCTGGCTTTAAGACAGTAATTTTATTAGAAAAGATTAAAGGGGTGGATTCTGAGATTAGTAGGTGATTGATGGAAGGAAAGGAAAGGTTTGGAAAGTCCTCAGGCATATGCATTTATCTGTTCATGCTTCTTCATGGATCCCTTGTGCAAATTCAGGGCAGTTAGCATAAAACATACAGTGGAAATTTAGGCTGTAACATCAGCAAGCTCATTCTGTGCAATCTCTAGCTGGCGGTATTGGTTCGAACTGACTTCAGCCAGTTTTGTTATCTTACAAGCAGAGGGAGTTTCAGTGCTTAGGCAAGTTGTTTCTTTTCTTATCTGCCATTTTGCAAACCGAGGAATTTCTGTTAGTCATTAGTTTCTTTAACTCTTTGGGGCCCAGCTCCATTTTTTTGTTTTCTACCCTTGTCTGAAATACAGTCATCCTAGTTCACCTGGGCTAGTCATGGTTCTCCAGTGATTGCTCACTGCGTTCTGCCTCATTCCTCCCCTATAAAGTTCCCCATCAGTATTTCACCTAACTGGGGTTTTTTTTTTTTTTTCAGCCACTGATGATTATTTTCTAGATTGAGGTTGAGCAAACACTTTCCTCAAAGGACCAGACAGGAAATATTTTAAGCTTTGAAAGCCATATGGATTCAACTTTTCAGTTGTATTGTAAAGGCAGCCATAGACAACATGCAAACTAATGAGCCTGGCTGTGTCCCAATAAACTTTACTTAAAGACACTAAAGTTTAAATTTCATATATTTTTCATATATCAAGTAATGTTATTGTTTGGGACTCTTTTCCCCAACCGTTTTAAAATGTGAAAACCATTCTTAGTTCCTGAACCATACAAAAACAGGAGGAAACCAAATTTGGCCAAACATTATAGTTTGCTTACCCCTGGTCTAGATCCATTATTTTACAAGAAGTTGCAAAACCAAGATACTCTAATTCTATAATGTATACTGCATTTGATACTGGAATTATTTTATATAGATGTTTGTGTCATCAGCTATGGATATCCATAGGCACATTTTGTACTAGAAAGACAGGATAAATGCCTGATTTTTTCCCTTATTTAGTAATTTTTAGAATAATGAGTTTGTTCCTAAATGTGATGGTGAATTTTATGTGTCAACTTGACTGAGCTACAGGGTGCCCAGACATTTGGTCAAATATTATTCTGGGTGTGTCTGTGAAGGGGTTTTTGGATGAGATTAACATTTGAGTCAGTTGACTCAGATTGCCCTTATCAATGTGGGTTGGCCTCATCCAACTAGTTGAAGGTCTGAATAAAACAAAAAGGTCAACCCTCCTTCAAGTGAGAGGGAACTCTTCCTCCCTGCATTGAGCTGGATATTAGCTTTTCCCTATCTTTGAACTTGAACTGAAACTGTTTCTCAGGCTTTTGGACTTGGACTGGAACTAAAGTATTGGCTCTCCTGGGTCTCATGTTTGATGACTTCTCCTACAGATCTTGGGACTTGTCAGCCTCTATAAATTGCATCAGCCAATTCCTTATAATAAATATTTTTCTCTATACCTTCTATAGGTTTTATTTTTTGGAGAACCCTGGATAGTACACAAAAATAATCAATGAAAACCTAAACTCATGATTTTTCACGTATTTTAGGTTTTCCAATCTATTACATTATGCTAATTATTAGTATCTTGATGTTCTATGTAACTCATCTTTGGCCAATGACAGCCACTTTAAGTTGAATCCATTATCCTGTTGACATGGTGCTAGCAGTACCTTTTAGTTTTCTTGTTTTCTGGTATACCGTTTTATATTCTAGGCTCATTAAAAAAACGGTTATTTTAAAAAGAATTATTTTAAGGAGCAAATGATATTTTGGTATAACAGTCTTAGTGCTGGGGGGTGTTCATAGCTAATGGGTTTGTTGCTGTTTCTAGACTTTTTCAGTGAAAAAGCAAAGCAAGCAAATATGCTTGTATTTTTTTAAAAAGAGAAAATATATCATGAAATAATACTTATATTCTAAATTCAGAAATACTGTGTTACAGAAACTACTTTTATTTATAGGTTTGTACTCTTACATTAAAAACCTTGTTTCTTAATTACAGTAAATAATACTTATATGTTTTAACCTATAATTTTAAAATATCAACACCAATATTACTATAAAAATACAATTACCAGCAGCCAGGCGTGGTGGCTTACGCTTGTAATTTTACTCTTTGGGAGGCCAAGGCGGGTGGGTCATCTGAGGTCAGGAGTTTGAGACCAGCCTGGCCAACATGGTGAAACCCTGTCTCTACTAAAAATACAAAAATTAGCCGGGTGTGGTGGTGCATGCCTGTAATCCCAGCTCCTTGGGAGACTGAGGCAGGAGAATCACTTGAATCCAGGATCCTGGGAGGTGGAGGTTGCAGTGAGCTGAGATCGTGCCACTGCACTCCAACCTGGGCAACAGAGCCAGACTTTGTCTCAAAAAAAAAAAAAATACAATTATCAAACATGGCTTAGAATTTACTTGCAGTTCTAGTTGTTCTTAAGGTATTTCCCAGTAGGAATATATTACTAAATTGCCATGTTTTAAACTATTTGAAATAATTATTCTCTATATCGAGAAGCTACAGATGTCACACACACAGTTAGATTTCTTTATCTATTTTGCTTTTGATTTTAGATATTAATGTTTTCATTTTGATTTGATTTTGTTTTGTAATTATGTAAAACATTTGCATCGTTCTAAAGTCAAAACTCCATGGGTTACTTTCAGAGAAGACTAGCTTCCATCTTTGTCCCCTCTATACTTTTTTCTCTTCCCCTTCCTACCTGCCTTATGCTAACAATGTGTATTCATTTTTGATATATCTTTTTGTATTTTTAATAGAAGCAAATGTATACACGAATCCTTCTCTTTTACACAAATAGTAGCATACTATACACAGTACTTCACGATGCTTTTCTCACTTAATGCTATTTTTGGCAAACCATCCACAGCTATGTATAGATATATCGAGACATTCACATTCTTTTTTACAGCTGTGATACTCCATTGCGTGACTGTACAATAATGTATACAAAAATCCCCTTTTGATGGACAGCTGGGTCCAGTCTTTGGCTTTGCCAATGGTGCTACAGTAAGAAACCTTATGCATGCGTCATTTTGCATTTTTTTTTTTTTTTTAGCATATGTTTGGGTTAAATACCTAGAAGTGGGATTTCTGGGTTAAAGGCAAATTGCATATGTAATTATTCTAGATATTGTCAGATTCTTCTCCAAAGGTGTTCTACTTTGTAATATTCCCTCATAAATGCATGAGAAAGCCTGTTTCCCTACAATCTTATTAAAGAGTCTTGTTAATTTAGAATTTTTTGCCAATCTGATATTCGAAGAATAGTATCTCAGTGAAATTTTATTTATTATTCCTTTTATGTTGAGTAAGATTGGCATCTTTTTATATGATTAAGAATTGTTAGCCTTTTTTCTGTGAACTCTGTATCTTTCATCATTTTTTTACTGGGGTGTTAACATTTTCCTATTTTTAAAGGTTATTTCTATAATAGTGTTTTTAATCTTTGTTATATACATAACAATTTAAAAATCAATTTGTCATCTGTTTAGTTTGCTTTTGATTTTGTTTTTGTCACAAAATACTTTTACAAAAATTTTTATGCAATCCATTTTATCAATTTCTTTTATCATCGATACCAAATTGAATCATGGTTAGAAAAATTTTACCCAGTCCCAAATCATAAAGGAATTCATTCATGTTTTCTTCTACTGCTTTTGTGATGTTGTTTTTTACATGTATATTTCTTGTCCATTTAGTATTATCTTGCTATATGAATTGAGGAATCTGATTCTATTGTCTCAATGCCAGGTATTAAAAAAATCAGTTTGTTTCAACTGCTTTGCCCTTATCATACACTATACTCATACGACTTTATCATATCCTACATTTCCGTATGCAATTTCTGAATTCTCTACTTTGTTTCCTTTATCTGTTTGTCTGTTCATGTACCCATACCACACTCTTCTATTTTACAGAAACTGTGATATGTTCTATTTTTGGTAAGGCTAGCTTTCTTCCTCTTTATTCTTCTCTTCTTGAATCTTTCTGATTATTCTTGAATGTACATCCTTTCAAAAGGACTTTCTATTCAAATTGCTTGGTTCTAGAGGGGAGAAAACTTGATAGTTTTTATTGGTATCACATTACATTTAGATGGTAATAAAAGGAGAATAAAATCTTTATGATGTTGAACTTCTTATGCAAGAATAAGGTTATGTCTTATTTTTTCACATCTATTTTTGTGTCTTTAAGTTTGCAGTTTTATTCATATAGTTTTTGGACATTTTGTATTAATTTTTTGTCTATAAATTTTATTTTCTTTTGTTGTATGTTATTCAGTGGGGTTTTCCATTTTATTGTGTGTACATAGGAGGACTATTTTTGGCATTGTATAAGTATTTTTGAAAGCAACTTGGCAAAACATATTCAGAGCCTTCCACATAATCACACCTTTGATGTATTGTTACTGAGTTATTATTGAGGTATTATCCATCATATCTTGAGTTTTTTATTACACGAAGTAATGATGCAAATTCCTACTGACTGTTCCCACATTCTTCCTCCACTCTCTGTCTTTCCTGTCTCAGATTTCTAATAGCGTGTTTCTCATTTCCCAGTCCTCACTTTTTTCCCATCATCTTTAGTCCCACAGCAAAATTTTCAGGGTCTATCTTTGAAATATGTCTGGAGTCAACCACATCTCAACTTCTCTACCACTATAAGCCTGGTCCGAGCACAATCATCTGTTACCTCCTAACTAGTCCTTTGGATTGCACTCCTGTGCCACTATTGTTTTTTCTCAGCACAGGCACCCGGAGTGGTCCTATTAAAAGATAGGGCACGTCATGGTCTTTCCCTGCTTAGACCCATTTTCTGATCATTCATCTCATTCAGACTCAAAACAAAAGACCTTGGGAAAGCTGACAGAGCCCTTACTGCCTCCTGGGACTTGCTGTCTTTATTCCAGACACAGTAGCTACTTGAACAAGCCAAGCAAGCTCCTTCCTCAGGGCCTCTCCACCTATTGCTCCTTCAGCCTAGAGAACTCTTTTCTGAACAATTTCATGGCTTGCTCCCCTGCTTCCTGCATGTTCCTGCTGAAATGTCACCTTTTGAGAGGCTTCCACTCTTTTACTCTCTGTCTCCTTGATTCCGCTTTATCTTTCTTCATAGTTTGTATCCTCACCTGACATGTTATCTATTTAATAGTTTATGACTTGTTGTCACTCTCTCTTAAACAGAATATAAATCCTATGGGCATCAGGCCTTTGTCTGCCTTTTCACAGCTGTATCTCCAGCACATAGAAAAGTGGCAGGAGCTCCATAATTACTTGAATTTTACTAATGAATATAACGTATTGGAGCCTTAAGGAGTATAAATTACGGTTTAAAATGAAGACAAAAATTATTTTAAATTATGTGATGCTAACTCTACGTCCCATAGGAGTCAGGGGAAAATCCATGTGAGATTGAATCATTAACACATGGCTTCTGGAAAAGACAGGGCTTGAACAATGAGCTACATTTGGATACATGGAAGGAAGGGAAAGAGAGGACATTTCAAGTGTTGAAACAAAGACAAAGGCACACAGGTATGTGGGAATTGTTGTAGATATCAGTATAGAATCAGATAAAGGGTAAAAGCCATATTTACAAAACCCAAAATAATAGCTTAGTTTATTTCTCAGTTTATTTGAAATGTTCTAGAATGATGTGTTAAGGCATTCTTTCATTGCTATAAAGAAATACCTGAGGCTGGATAGTTGATAAAGAAAAGAAATTTAATTGGCTCATAGTTCTGCAAGCTGTATAAGCATGGTGCCAGCATCTGCTCGGCTTCTGGGGAGGCCTCAGGGAGTTTTTACTTAAGGTGGAAGGGAAAGTGAAAGCAGGCATGTCACACAGCAAGAGCAGGAGCAAGAGAGAGAGGAGGTTGTGCCACACTCTTTTAAACAACTGGATCTTGTGTGAACTCATAGTGAGAACACACTCATTATCATGGGGATGGTGCTATATCATTCATGAGAGATCTGCCCCTATGGTCCAATCACCTCCCACCAGGACTCATCTCCAACACTGGGGATTACATTTCAACATGAGATTTGGGTGTGACAAAAATACAAAACCTATCAAATGAGTTGATATGGGTTATAGATATATAGTTACGCTTTAAAAAGAAGGCACTTTGCTTCTTTTATTTTGTTCTTTTATTTTGCTTTTTAAACATCATCTTCATGTAAATAGGTCACATATTATTTTCATTGGCTTCATAAGCCTTCATATTAGTCTATCAATGGAGCTATCATTACGAAGAAAGGAAGCTATTGAACATGTAGGCTATACATGTGTAGAGGAAGGTCTTAAGTCACATGTTTAATGCATACGGTGGGGAGGCATATCATTCTCTTTGACACCTGTTGAGTGGGATGACTTTGGAGTAGGTGCCAGCCAGGTCATATTGGTTGTGATTTTAGAGGCCCTTCTGGAAAGGGTGGGCCATACTGTCTCTGTCCCAATTGCTTAACACTGCTGTAAGAAATTAGCCACAGGCAATAGATAAACACCGAAGGGGATCATGTTGTAATACAGTTATTTATAAGAGCAGATGATGGCTGGATTTGTCCCTTGGCCATTGTTTGCCATACTGTACTTTAGGCCAAACTCAAAATTGGACAAAGCTTGTCTCTGGTGTCTTCTCTCTTCCTCTTCTTAGTTGGCCTCTTGGCCTGTGCCGGCATTTCACTCCCCTACACCAATGATGTTCCCAGGTAGCTGACCTGGTTGGCAAGTCACCAGACAAGGTGGTCTGTGAATCTCAAGAGATTTGCCCTCTAAGGGCATGTTTGCATTGAATTTTTTTTGTTTGTTTGTTGTTTTTTGTTTTGTTTTTTAGAGATGGAGTCTTGCTGTGTTAACCAGGCTGGAGTGCAATGGCATGATCATAGCTCACTGCAGCCTTCAATTCCTGGGCTCAAGTAATCCTCCCACCTCTGCTTCTCAAGTAGCTGGGACTGCAGGTGTGTGTCACCACACCTGGCTAATTAAAATGTTTTGTTGTTGTTGAGATGGGGTCTAGCTATGTTGCCCAGGCTGGTCTCAAACTCCTGGCATCAAGCAATCTTCCTGCCTTGGTTTCCCAAAGTGTTGGGATTACAGGCATGAGCCACTGCATCAGGCCTAATAAAGGATTCTGAAGTTAAAATAAAAAGGCTGGTCTATGAAAAATACAGCTAATTTTATTTCATCTGGTCATAAAGATGATGCATAGTGATTATCAAAAACTTGAAAAAGCAAGAAGAAAAAATATGACAAATTCTACTATAGTCAACATTTTGGAGCACAAAAGAATTGATTTCCTGTTGGAGTATTTCAGGCTCTCAGGGATGCAGTTGGCACCAATATCTTACACATTAGGCTTGTCTTAAGCTTGACATAAGAGCAGCTGCTGCCCATTTTTCTAATCTGTGAGGGCAGCTCTATTTCCATAGCCTCTTTTACTCTGTCTATCCCTTACTTTCATATCTCTCCAGTGAGACAAATTCTTTGGCAGAAGTATTTAATTATAATACAACTAAAGAAAGCAGAACTGAGAAAAAATAATGTATGACTTGAGGCAAGTCACATATTATCTGTGGGTCTCAATTTCCTCTCCTGGTAAATGAAGGGGTGCACCTAGATGATGGTGTCCACATTCTAGTATTTTGTGAAAACTATTTTGCCTTCATGATCCTAAAGTCAGGGCCAATTTAGACGAATGCAATAAAAGTTAGCAAAAAGGTGGGCATGGTGGCTCATGCTTGTAACTCTAGTACTTTGGGAGGTCAAGATGAGAGGATGGCTTGAGGCCAGGAGTTCAAAACCAGCTTGGTCAACATAGTGAGACCTCTTTTCTACAAAAATAAAAAACAAACAAAAAACATTAGCTGGGTATGGTGGTGTGCCTCTGTAGTTACTCAAGGGGCTGGGGTGGGAGGATCGCTTGAGCCCAGGAGATGGAGGCTGCAGTGGCTATGATCATACCACTGCACTCTAGCCTGGCACTGCACTCTAGCCTGGGCAACAGAGTGAGATCCTGTCTCCTAAAAAAACAAACAAACAAAAAGTTAGCAAGATGAGAGACAAAATTAAATGAAACTATTATGGAATTAAAAGCAGAACCAATTGAAGTAGATTCTGGACCCAGTAATATAATGATATTATGGGATAAACTTGCAAGAGGAAGCCAGAGTCAGAGGCATTGTGGGAAAAATGAGAAATGAAGTGATAATTTATTTGGAATGAATCAGGTATTACAAAATACAAGAAGAGAGGAGGTAAGAATAATGAATACATCATTCATGTATTCACACCCAATATGTGTCAACAGATACATATTAACATATAATTACCATTTAGTCTAACAAGCGTTTTATTGGAATACAGAGGTCACAAATGCTGGATCATCACTAGGTCCAAATGATCTTATAAAGTGGCAGATTTGTAGTGGAGTTGGTATTGAAGACAACATTCTATAACTAAACTTATTCCTTCATTGTTTTCGTTGCTGGTGAATTTGTATCCATACAGTACTGCAGCAACCTCAATTCTTGCCTTGTCAGAAGAAAGAATTCAACTGAGGGGTATAAGGCAGAAGGAGAGATTGTTTTAGAGCAGAAGTGGAAGTTTATTAAAAAGCTTTAGAGCAGGAATGATCGGAAGGAAAGTACACTTGGAAGAGGGCCAAGTGGGTGACCTGAAAGGCAAGCGCATGATTTGACCTTTGGACTTTTACACATTGGCATACTTCTGAGGTCTTGTGTTACTTTACCCCCCTCGCCCAACTCCTGGGATCTTATCAGGAAGCTGCTGATCACCAGTTTTAGGTGTTTTCTATCTATTAAGAGACTGCCTTTCCCTGGTGTTGGCTGTGACCAATTATTACTTTAGAAAGACAGTTAACAACTGCCTGACCATGACCTGATGGTTGCCTGATGTGTGTGTGTGTGTGTGTGTGTGTGTGTGTGTGGCCACTGCTGCCCTGCTCATACCTGACTAGCCAACTACTGTAACACTTTGAGAAGTTACTCACACCCCAACTTTACAAAACATGCTGAAACCATATTTCCATGATTAAATTCATTTACTAATTTAACAACATATATGCAATGCCAGATTTTCACTTTAGGACCAAACCTTACTTTATTTTTTGGACAGAGATGGGGAGACAGAGAATAAGTCCCTTAAAAATTAAATCTTGTAATTGCTGGAACAGTCTTCACCAAACCCAGCCAATAGCTTGTTATACGCTAAATATAACATGTCATCTTGTGACAAAATCCAATTTTGAGAATAAGTGAGAATTCATTTCAATTTTCTGTTGTTTAGTGTACTTGAAAACCAGAAACTTACAGTTGAACTTTTTCATATTTATTTTGTGTCAGGGGATAGGGAATGATTTCCCCCAAGTCCCTAGAAGATGGTAAGATTGATGAATTGTTTACACAGGCAATCAGAATTCAGCTCAGACACCATTAAGCAATTCATTGTCTCGACTTATTTTAGCTTAACATGATTTCACCCCTTAGTCATTTCTGAATGACACCCACAAGGAAAGTTAATTAGTTGACCTTATTCAGTTCTATATAGTAGGTATGTGGCAGTTAATATATTTCACGGCTGGTAATTATTCTTACTGAATTACTGAATTTTCACAATAATTTATATTTCAGAGGTTAAAATGCAGTATTTAATTTACAATATAAGAAATGAGCAACATTTAAAGCCTGAGGTGGAGGACAAAAGTATCATGAGGAGAAAAATTAAAAGAGCATAAAGAGGTTATAATAATGTGGTAACTTTGTTTCAAAACCATTCTTTTACTAACCAATGCTTAGGCAGACAGCCAAGCAACACTAAACGGCGTCATTGTTGACGACTTAATGTAATCAATTTTCAATTACAAAAATGTAGGTGAATTTAGGCCTTGCCCTTTGTTAATTCCTACTAGTTATGCTTCCTTTTTTAGATCACAGAAGAAAATGTTTGAAAAATTTGTCCTTTTTTGACCCTAAATAAATAATTCTGCTTTTCACCAAATAAAACTATTAATAGTAGGATTTGACGGTGAGAGGTAAGAATATTTGCTTTTGTAGAGGAAAAGCCATTTCTGTACAGATGTTCATCTGTCTTTAGTGGTTAAGGATAGTTGTGTTTGAAAAGCAGGAACAGATAAAATGAATCCGTTCTCAAAATCTTGTCTATCCTCTTTTATTTTTGTGCTTGGAAAATTGAGGTAATTTACATGCAGCACAATGCTCAAATATTAAGTATAACCACTAACCAGATCAAGGTGAGATATAACGCGTTTTACTTTACCTCAAAAGTTTCTTCTTGCTCCTTTCTAATCAGTAAGACTCTCTCCCAAGAGGTAACTATTTTTCCTGACTTCTATCACGATAAATTAACTTTATCTGTTTTTGAACTTCATAGTTCAAGATGGTTTAGTTCTCCGATTATTACTTTTAAAATCCTGTCCAAATCATCAATACAAATTTGTTCAGATGTCACAGTATACCAGGCAGAATGCTTCAAACTCACCATGTTCTCTCCCCTATATTGGATTTCCTGTCAGTATCATAATTAAAAGTGGATCACTTGTGCTTTGGTTAAATGATTCTGAGCTCAAATGGAAAGGCTGTGAAACAGTTAATCCTGGTAGAATGGAGCACCCTGGCCGATGCCGGAGTCAGAATTCAGCAGCAGGTGTCCCTGGGGAGTGGTGTTATGGGCACTTTTCCGAATCTGGGCCACCGGAACAGAGAATACACTGTGGATCTGATTCCAGAAATGGAGTATATGGTGAGGCCAGCATTATGGGACTAGGACAAGAGCCCATATTAGAATCAGCGAGCAGCAGCATGAATGTGATACGCCTCAGAATTAGGGCCTTTAGGCCTGCCTGTATCCATTTTGTCTCCGAACATTGAAGTTAGTCCTTCTGCCTGTGAGGGTTAGTACCAGCCTGCAGATGGAGATCCAGTTCTGGGAGACACCCTGTAAATGTTAGAAAAAAGTAGCACTCTCTTTCCCAGAGAACCTGCAAAATAAAGGCTGGCTCCCTACAGGGCAGATTCACCCCTCATTGCCAGGTCCACGCCTTGACGGGCTGGAGCTGCCAGCGCTCCGCCAGATGCACCCTGAGTTTCAGACAGCCAGAACTCAGCACAAACTGCTTCATCAGCCTCCCCTTCCTGCATTCCCACCTTTAATAAATAGCCCATGTGCAGACAGTGAGAAAGCAAGCCTGGAGGACTAGCTTCTCAGGGCTCCCATCTGAGCTCTGTCACTAGCTTTGTGACTCTGGACAAATTGCTTTACTCCTCCAACTCTCAGTTTCTCAATCTGTTGAAGAGGAACATAATAGTCCTTACCTCATGGGTTAAATGAGATCATCTGTGCAAGCGGCTAGCAGCCCTCTTGGTCCCCTTTTACACTGGATGGAAAAGAAAAAAAGAGCCTCTTTCAACTATTGGCCTTCACAATTCAGCTAAAAGACTCTCTACTCAGAGACCTGCCCTGATCCCACCAGTCTGTTCATGGTGCCTCTCTATTTTTAAAATTTTATTAATTATTTTTAGAGATAGGGTCTTACTCTCTTGCCTAGTCTGGAGTGCAGTGGCATGATGACAGCTCACTGCAGCCTTGATCTCCTGGACTCAAGATATCTTCCTGCTTCAGCCTCCTGAGTATCAGGGACTATAGGAATGCACCACCATGCCCACCTAATTAAAAAAAATTTTTTTTTTATAGAGATAAGTTCTTACTATGTTGCCCAGGCTGGTCTCAAATACCTGGGCTTAAGCAATCCTCCCTCCTTCACCTCTCAATGTGCTGGGATTACAGATACAAATCACCATGCACCCAACTGCTTGTTTATTTTAAATAACAAACAATTTCCTTTCTAGCTGTTACTCTGGACAGTATACTACTGAGGCTAGTGATTGAGTCTTTCATGTTCATGGTTCTAGCACCGCTATGGTGTCTGGCACATGATGGGCACACAGGAAATATTTGTCACACACATGAATGAAATCTTTGGTCTGGCAATTATATATTAAACATCATTCATCTTAACTATTTATTTGTTGGTATAGCATTCATGTTCAAGTTTATTTTGGAGGGAAGGTATGAGTTTCAGTGAATCCTTCAAATTTACCTGTTGAGCTCCCCTAGCTATCTTAAATTTGCTTGACAATCAACACCAACACAGAATTACTATTTATGAAATGATTCTCCGTTGGAAGGCTCTGCAGTGACACTGCGAAAATAGCTATAATTTAGCAACCGAGTAGCATTTGCCTTAGTGAAGGAGTAAGTGGTAATAATAACCTTAGTTCTGACTGATACTACAGAAACTGTCAGATCTCTGGGATGAAGATTTACAGAGAAGATTGGCCATTAATTTCACATTATGCTTTAGCCCTTTTTATGATATATAACAGTTAAGGTTCTGACTATAAGCCCCAATGCTTGAGAAATGAGACTAGCAAGGTAGGAAACACTTCCACCTGCCCTAAATATAACTACTAGATTCTCTGTTATTATTAGATTGTTAATATTGTGACCAAAAAAGTGCCCCTGTGCATGCCTCCCACTAGTGATGGAAGCAAGCTGAAAGTTGCAGGGACTTCCTGTAATGTTACTAGCAGTCTTCACCCACCTTCCTAGCTCTTCCTAAGGTCCTGTCTAACTAAAACATACACACATGGCGTCTATGTACACCAACAGCGTAAATTCTTAAAAGGAACTGTAAGAGAGGAAGAAGACTTTTTTTCTCAACCTTCATCAATTCTCAGTTGGGACAGATCCCTGTAACAAAAGACAGATTCACAAGAGAAAAACAAGCAGAAGTTTATTAACATGTATATTTCAATGTACAGGGGAGACACCCAGGGAATGAATAGTTCTCACAGAGGTGGTTTTGAATCCCAGTTTATATGGTGTTTTCAACAAAGAACAGTAAATGTTTAGAGAAGTGACAAGACAAGGAAGAGGGCTTTGCATCTCCAGCGGGAGTAATGTGGGGAAAGGCATATAACTGGCAGATAAAGGCTGGTTAGTAGAGCTTGTTAATATAGATCACTCTGGTGCAATCTTCACGCCCTTAAGGGTCTAAAATTGTCTTCAGTGGTTAACCTTCGTTCTCCCTGTTAGAGAGGGGAAGTGAGATTTTTTGACTTTGTAAATTCATGTCCTGCTTTAAGCCACATAGACACAGAACAGAGAGCTTTCCCGCATCTGCTGTTCCTTCTCCTTCTTCTTTTCCTTCTTCCTCCTCCTCTTCTTTCTCTTCCTCCTCCCCTGCCCCACTCCTCCTCTTCTTCCTTCTTCTTTTTTCTTTTTGGAGGCAGCATCTCACTATGTGCCCCAGGCTGGAGTATAGTGGCACGATTATAGTTCACTCCAGTCTTGAACTCCTGGTCTCAGGTGATTCTCCCACCTCAGTCTCCCAAGTAGTTAGGACTACAGGTGTGCACCACCACAGTCAGTTAATTTCTAATTTTTTTTTCTTTTTTTTTTTTGGTAGAGATAGAGTCTTGCTATTTTGCCTAGGCTGGTTTCAGACTCCTGGCCTCAAGTGGTCCTCTCTCCTTGGCCTCCCAAAGTGCTGGAATTACAGACATGAGCCATGGCACCCAACTGGCATCTGCTTCTTAAATGCCATCAGCTGACTGATCTTTATGCCAAAGAGGAATATTGTGGGGTAGCATATTGTGGTCTTCCACAAAACAAAACGGCTCATCCTTAAACTCATAAAACTACAAGCAAGTGTTAATACAGTAACCCTTCTTGACTCCATGACTGTGGCATTATAGAGTTGATATCCTAACTGTCTTTGTTCCAGAGTTCTGTTTCCCATGCTTCTTTATTCAGGCACACACACCAATACTTCAGAACATGTATAATCATCCATGCTTCAGGGAAGTTTGAGGAATCATTGTTTAAAAAATTATTTAAAACATCTTGATGTAATAATCCTCACAGCCCATGATTGTTATCCTGGGGACACGACACTGGATAGAAATAAAAATGATGTATAATTCCTTTATATATATATATATATATATATTTTTTTTTTTTTTTGAGATAGGGTCTCACTTTGATGCCCAGGCTGGAGTGCAGTGGTGTGATCTCGACTTCCTGGGCTCAGGTGATTCTCCCACTTCAGCCTCCTGAGTCGCTGGGACTACAAGCATGTGCCACCATACCCAGCTAATTTTTTGTAGAGATGGGGTTTCACTATGTTCCCTATGCTGGTCTTGAACTCCTGGGCTCAAGTGATCCACCCACCTCAGCCTTTCAAAGTGCTGGGATTACAGGTGTGAGCCACTGTGCCCGGACCAATGTTTAGTTCTTAAATAAGATGTAGGGAACTAGGAGAGATTTTACAAATTTAATCTTGGTACTGATACAGCTCTGATGACTGGAGGAACACCAGGGTCCTCGGTCTTGCTTCAGTAGGGTTAATGTCACAGACACACGTGGAGTGGTTTTGAGGAGTGAAAAGTTTAATAGGCAAGAAAGAAAGAAGAAAGAAGAGAACAGCTCCCCTGTACAGAGACAAAGGAGGAGGGCTTGGACAAAAGAGAAACCTTGTGTGCGGCAGAAGGGCGGTCTATTATATTGGGAGGCTGAAGGAGGTGGTGTCTAGTTTGCATAAGGCCCAGGGGACTGGTTAAACCATGTGTGTCTTTCACGTAGCCCTGAAAAAATCTGGCCCTCCCACCTTAGCCCTTTACTATGCAAATGCGGGTCGCCATGATGTTTTGAACACATACTGTTATGTCGGGGTGGCCATGACACTTGCCACACCTGGTGACAAGGAGAAGATGGCGGGAATCACCATGTTGGGTAGACCCAGTTTCTGTTTGCTGGTATTTGCATATCAAAGCTTGCTGGCCTGGCTCTTTAAGCCGCCTTTCTGTTAGTTTCCACCGAGAAACTTTACCCTATATAGCTGCCTAAAAATTATTTCTTAATAACTCCTGTATTAAGTACCAGGGTACAAACTTTTCTAGAAAAGGATACAGAAAATGAGGAGAGCTCATGGAGTCGAGCAGGCAGTACCTTTTCTGCATTGCTGTGATAAGCCTTTAACACCCATCCATTCTAACCTATAATTATTGAGAATTCTTTGTTGCAGCCAGTCTCTTTATCCGTGAACTTCTTAGTTTATCTGCTAATTACCTGTTTTTGAAATGACTGGGGATTTTGTTTATTAAAGTTTGCCGCAGGTACATTTTTAGAAAGTGCACTGCTTTTCCTATTTGTAATCAGCAGTACTCTGGTAACTGCTGGGCTCGAAGTGGTAATGCTAGCTGTAATATTTGGAGCACCTCCTGTAAACCAGGAAATTTACATATGTTGTATTTATTCTATTCTTAGAAAGCCTTGCAAGAGGGATCTTCTATCCTGACGTTCCAGAGTAGAAACCAGGTGTTCTTAGAAGCTGAGCAACTTGCCTGAGGTTAATTGGAATTCAACATCAGGCTGGCCTCCTCCCTAGAACCTCCGCTTTTCCTATCTACCATTTCCTGCTGTGGGATGATCTATTTGGAAAGAACACACGTTGTTGAAATACAGTGGTTATGAAGGGGATTGTTTTACATGTTCCTTCTGAAATCCTATAGAATGTAGTTGAATGTTTACGTTGCTGCTTCGGTAATGCTTCAGGTGTGAAGATGCAGTTCGGGTTGTTCCTCTACCTTTGCACCTTCTTCTTACCAACTTTAATTTTGTTGCTAAAGATTTGGGTTACTTTAGATTTCCTAGCAATCACAAAATCATCATAGGGTATTCACTTCAGTCAACACATTACTATTCTGGTATAGGCTTCTCAGAAAAAAAAATTTCTGTAAAAGATCAGTTACCCAAGGGCAGGAACTTACCAGCAGATCCTGAAGGTTGCAAAGAAATGATTATCATTTAACTCTTCTATCTTTATGATAAAAGTGACAGGAGCTGCTCTTACAGATTCACATGCATGTGTAAATAGCGATGGAGAAGAATTCCGTAACACTCCCAAACTGGAGTGTGTTTTATACCTATTTAATTTTTCAAGAAATAAAATGTCTTACAGGCATTCTGTAATTAATCTTCACATCTCTTGGCTTTTCCCTGTTATTCTGATTAATTGGAATCAATAGTGCATGTTAATTATATGGGCAAATTAAGTAGACTGTATACCTAATGGTTAATAATCATTGTGGGTTCCCATCTTAGCTTCACCACTTACTGCTGTGTGACCTTAGCAAGATCATTAACCTCTCTATGCCTTGTTTTCTCCATCTGCAAAATGGAGCTGGAAAACAACTGCACACATTTCAAAGCTGAGTAGCAAGGTTTAAAAATACAGTAAGCCAAAAAATGGTTGGAACATAGAAATCAATGAATATTAGCGATTCCTGTTGCGAAACCTGCTACAAGTACATGCTAAAATCATGTACATGCGAAACCTGCTACAATCAATGAATATTAGCGATTCCTTGTTGCAAAACCTGCTACAAGTAAAAATACTTCCATCACTTTATTTAGGGAGATAAATATATCACTGAATTCTTCTGAGGCAGGGAATAAGCTTTAAAAAGGCAGTAGAATGTGGTATAAATAAAATCAAATGTTTCTAAAACATGAAAACACTTCAATGAATTTCAGCCCAAAAAGTATTGAACCAATATATTTGATCCATAAGCATTTATCATCTTCCAAGGTGTACAAGAAAAATCATATCAAGCCTTTGCTCAGGCAATTGCAATCTAGCTGGGGAAGGCTGACACATTCGAGAAAAGAGAAACAGATGATTAAGCACCAAAATGAGAGGAAACCTGCAACAGGCATTCAGTAAAGGATGAGAGCAGGTAAGTCAGACTGGAACAGCCTCAGAAGGACAGCTCTGAGATGGGAGAATATGGCTAGATAAGAAAAGACTCTTTAGAAGGGTGGGCATCATTGTACAAACAAACCAGTGCTTTTCAAACATCAGTGGATGCATGAATCACCTAGCAGGCTTGTTAAAATGCAGAGGCTGTACCAGAGGATGGAGTGGACTCTGCATTCTTAACCAGCTTTCATGTGATGTTGTAGGAACTATCACCAGCTTTCTGGTGATGTGGAGTCCAAGGAGAGAAACAACTTGTGTTTGGGAGACAGCAAGTCGAGGGTGTGGTGTTGAGAATATTAAGAAGGCTGATTTCAGGAGTCCAAGCACAAAGTGAGAAGGGCCCAAATTGAGATAGTGGCAGTGGCAATGGAAAGAAAAGCATAAAAGACTATTCAAAAGAAGAAGAGAAAAATGCATAACACTTGGCAAAATACACAGGGAAAAGGAAGCAGCCTCAACGATAATCTTTGCGAGATGAATGATGCCGTCGGCACAAGCAGGGAAGGTTAAGAGAAGAACTGGGTTGGGAAGAGAGGGGAGTGATGAAGTAGATTTTTGGAATGTTGAATTTGAGGTAATGCTGAATGAAGCATTCGAGAGGAATATCCAGTGAAGGGCTGGAAATGAATGTTTAGAATGGATCTATACAGAAGTCATAGCTGAAGTTATAAAGAAAGAATTCTGTCATTCTTTACAGATCAATGAAGAGTGACAGGAGCAGAATGGAGGACAGTACAGTTGGGGACATCTCCATTTGAGATGAGAGAGAGAGAGAGAGAGAGAGAGGAGAGAGAGATGAGTCCCCACTTGGTGGGAGAGAAGGGGGAGAGGTGAGGACAGAAGGGAAGGACCTAGTGTATTAGAGTATCCTTGCACTGCTATAAAGGAATACCTGATGCTGGGGAATTTATAAAGAAAAGAGGTTTAATTGGCTCTTGGTTCTGCAGACAATACAGGAAGCATGACACCAGCATCTGCTCAGCTTCTCAGGAGGCCTCAGGGAGCTTTTACGCAGAAGGTGAAGCGGAAGCAGACACATCACATGGCTAAAGCAGGAGCAAGAGTGGGAAGAAGGTGCCACACACTTTTGAATGACCACAAGAACTCACTATCATGAAGACAGCACCAGGCCATGAGGGATCTGGCCCCATGATTCAAACGTCTCCCACTAGGCTCCATGTCCAGCAATGGGGATTATAATTCAACATGAGATTTGGAAGGGGACAAATATCCAAATGGTATCACCTGGAATTGCAGATTCCCTGCAGATAAAAGTGCCCTTGAGAGTCCCGATGCCTTGTGAATCAAACCAGAGCACAGAGGTTCATTCAGCAAATCCATCAGTAGCATTCATTTCAAGGTTTTTCAATTTACAAATATTATGTATTCATAGGATAAAATTCTGAAAATTTAGAAAATACACAAGAAAAGGAAATAAAAATCAAATGTAATTTTATTACTCAGAGAACCTATCTCTTTTTGCTTAGGTATGTGTGCACACTGTTTTATGCCTTTTCCTTTGCAAACACACGTTTTTCACAAATTGGAATCATGCTATCTATACTATTTTGTGTTTGCTTTTAAAATACAGTGTATTTTGAACACTTCCCCCTGACCTGAAGCATTCTATTGTAATATACTTTTTTGTAGATATGTTCAGTTTGCCTGGCAAAGTTAGCAACTGAAAAAGAACCTGAAAAGGCATTAGCATCAAGTAAAGATTTTGTTCCATTCAGGAACAACCAGAACATATTTTTGGGCTGCGGGGCAAGAATCTATGGAGTGATTGAAGAGAAATATTTGTTGAATGAATGAACAGAAGGTGAAGATGGTGAGAAGGCAGAGAGGGGGAGGTGACAGGAGAGCAGGGGTGGCCTTGAGAGGAAACAGGTATATTTTCTGACGGAAAAATATGTATTTGGAGCTAAAGAATTGGGCTGATGAAGGAGAGAATGCTGGATGGTGTTAATATTTGCAATAAATGAATGAGTAAAGACATCTTTTAAGAAATGGGAAAAGGGAAGTTAATTTTTAGAAAAGAATAGGATATTGGCATTGTTCCTGAGAGCATAAACCTGGAGAATTAAAAACAGATGAGGCCATCATAAACAAATGAGCATTGTGTTATTGCCACATGAACTTAGAGCACTTGGAAATACAAATGATCCCATAGGTATTGCTGAGAATTAGTGGGTACACAGATTTTATTTAAATGAATTATTCAAACCTGCTTGGTCCTGTTCTCATGCTGCAGGTTCTTAAAATCCTCTGAAAATATACCCAAAGAAGAACTCTTTATTGACTGGTGTAGTTTTGAGGAAGAAGATATTAATGTGTTTTATTCCTGTGTAATTTTTTTACTTTTATTTTTTCCATAGATGTGTGACACTGGCCTCCTTTCTAGGTGAAGTAAAAGGGCTCAGACTTTTCAGACAAATCCTTTTATGTTATTCCACTCAAAAGTCCTCATTTCTTATTCAGAGACACATAGCAACAGACTTAAATACCAGCTATTTGGTCTGTTTTTGGAGTTTACTTGGTGTGTAAAAGTTATTAATGAGCATTTCTGTATTTCTGTAATAAAAATTCAGGCTGACAAGAAGTAAACAATGAATCTTTTCCATTCTTGTTTCTCGGTGATTTAAACATATATTTGTGTGTTTGTTTTTACTGTATACTGAGGCTGATAGTATAGTCATGGTAGAAGAATATTTCCAGAATAATTTATTCTATAAGTGTCAGTCAAAACCATCAGCTGTAGCCTGTCTAACACTGACCTTGGATGTAGGAGATGCCTGTTCTATTCTAAGCTCTGCAACCAAATAGCCCTGGGGTTTTGAGAAAGTTATGTGTCTTCACTTGTGGCTTTGCTGAAAGAAATGATTTGAGTTGATTATTTTTATTGTCCCGATCTAGGTCCTAAATTTCAAATCTATATTTAATTTTTCATAGCAGTACATCAGAATAATTACTACTTGTAATAATTGTGGTTGTAGACTGCCCACCTTGATACTACTGTGTAGATTATACCAAGGTGCAAGGGGAAATGACCACTGGAATGAACCCTCAAGTGGCTTCAAGGATACCATTGCTACTGCGGGTGTTGGTGTCTTAGAAAGCTAACCAGTGGTTTTAAAGGTCACCTATGCAAAGTTATTCATATTATGAGTATGTGTTTTTCCCTACCAGATAATCTTTATGACGCTACTGAATATAACTGAAAAAGATCACACGGTACTCAATGATCCTAGGAAATGGTCACGCTGTACTAAAGGAAATTAAGGCAACAAGAGCAATTATTAGAATCACAGCAGTGAGGTGGAGAAGAAGGCTGAAATGACATTTTCAATTTAGAAATTCTATTTATAATCACTGGAACTTTCCAATACTGTTCAGCTTTGGACTAACATGTTTTGGACATATTCTCGGCTTCAAAGTAAATTTATCTGAAAAGGCTTATGTAATTCTGTTCATTCATTTGAGCTTATGCAGTATTTCAGGGAAAACAAGCTGACTTTTTTTTTTTTTGAGAAAAATCTAAAGATATCTTCCCAGTATATTAAAGAATAGCTAGATCTATGACTTACATATAGTGACTTACTGACAACATGATTCATTTCAAACAAAGTTCTTAGTGAGGCAAATCTAATTAAGTAATTCTAGAATACAATCTATATTTGAATATATGTCTATTTAGAATTTCTCTGGAACAAATGCTGTTTCTGCTGTTAGTAGGAAAATAGGCACCCTTTTTATTCCAGAAAGACAGTTATTGAGAGAAAAGGCATCAGGTGATTAGAATCCCGTTTTTTTAATACAGCATTGTAACAAGGAAATTCATGTAATCAATCAGTGAAATATACTGGCAACTCTTCCATCTATTAAGGAGCAGGGGACCAGCTGCATGTTCTCCCAGATTACTTCATAAATACTTAATAACACATTCTATCATCTGGCTATTTGCTTTACAACTAGTTGGTCTGAATCTGATTTGCAACTGTGCCAGGATATTTCAGTCACATCTGTCAAAACAAAGTGCCATTGTCTCACAGAATAATAAAAGAAAGCAAAAAGTATACCAGAAATGAATGTTTTACCATTTTATGATTTTAGGATAACAAGGAAAGCTCCTCTGTTGAACTTACTTAGAAGAAATTGAAATAAGATGTAGTGCATAATTTACTTATCAAGTTATTATTGTACATGCTTGCTGGAAACTCCCATGGCAAAATGTGTAAACAAATAAAAGCAACTAATTTTTTTCAGTTTGTCAGTCTAGCTGCTCCAGAGGGATTGCTCTCCAACTAGTCAGCCCATCAGGAAATAGACATGGAGCAGAGGTAGAAAGACTTACACACTTTCTATTTATTTCTACATCAGAGGAATGTGGGCTTTCCTGTTATGATTCATATTTGATATCTGCAAACTGTGGAAATGGCTGGCCTCTTAATACCTTGTTGAAGAACGGCAGCAACAACAAATGCATAAAGTCATTGTCATTTGTGTCACAAAACTTTCCTTTGATTCTTTGGGTTAAAAAGCCCAGTAGAAGCAAAAGTTTCAGAACCTTTTACACCTCTTGGAATTTACATAATTTAACCATCTACAAATTAAATTATTAAACAGTATTAAAGGCAGGGTTCCCAGAGTAAATGATGCATCTTTGCCATTCATTTCGTTTGTCCCATTCAGTTAAATTTAACCAATAGGAAAACCTAGACTAAAACAATAATAGAAAATTACTGCAAATTAGTCAGCTGGACTTGAGAGGCACACTGTAAAAACATGTCTAATCTATTTTCCTTTGTGAGTCTAAACTACTTTTCCAATTACTTGGTGAGCCCTCTCCAACTTTACAAGGACTGTTAAGAGAGAATCTAATTAGAGATCTGTTCACTGAAGTACCTAGAGGGTCATTTTGCCAGGAGCAAAAAAAAGTTCTGCTGCTCATGAGTCATGTTTGAGGAACAGTTAGGCAGTGGACTGCCAAATGGAATGAAGATCTCCATGTTCTCCTCAAATAGTCTCAGCCTAGGGAGTAAAACACATGAGGACCCTTGGTACATATGTAGGGTGGAAGTCCAGCAAATCAGAAGTGTTAGAATCTAGTACTTCAAAAAATTTTTCACGTTTGAAAGTTTTTCCCTTTCCCTCCCCAATGATTCTAGTTGGAAATTAAATCCAAATCTTTTTTTTTTTTTTTTTTTTTTTTTGAGACAGGGTCTTGCTCCATTGCCCAGACTGGAGTGTGGTGGCTCGACCACAGCTCACTGCAACCTCCCTCCACCTCCCAGGCTCAAGGGATCCTCCCACCTCAGCCTCCTGAGTAGCTGAGACTACAGGTGCACACCATACCTGGCTAATTTTTGTATTTTTGGTAGAGACAGGGTTTTACCGTGTTGCCCAGGCTGGTGTCCAACTCCTGAGCTCAAGCAATCCTCCCATTTCAGCCTTCCAAATCCAATTCTAAAACAGGTACTGAGCACATACTGTGCAAAGCACATCATGGTGGATACAAAGTAGCAGAAGCCTACTCTGATTTTAAGGAGTGTTAGCAACAAAATGCTTGTTCCTCTGTGTGGTGAAGAAATAGCACTCGAACAGAAATTTAATTTTCTCAGCAAGGCAAGTTTTACTTCTGGAGAAGGGTGCAACTTGTGGATGGAGTAATGGCAAGTGTACATTTGGACAAGGGAGGGGAGGGGGTTCTTATTCCCCCTACTGCCGTGTCGTTCCAGTATCGGCTAGGGTTGGAGGGCACAGTCTAAGCTAATTCCCACTGGCTATTTTAAAGAGAGCAGGGGTATGACCTGGAGTGGCAGGGTGAGTAGTTTGGTGGGAGGGGCGGTTACAGAACGGGTAACTCAGGATGATTCAGGTCAGAGCAAGTGACCAGGGGAACAGATGTGAACTACTGATTAGAACTGGCGGGGAAGTTATTTACTGAAACTGGAGGCAAGCGGGTGAAGAGAACCAGAAAGTTAAAGTTTAAAATGGAGAATCAAAGAATAAAACTTAAAGTATAACAAAAAAAAAAGAGAGCTGAACATAGTGACATACTGATTCTTTGAAGAGAAACTTGGAGTTCACTATATCTAACAGGAGCATGCAGGCAAATGGAGTGTTTCTGTTTCTTTAAAGGAATGCAAAGAACAGTGACTAATCATTGACCGGTAGGACACACCTAAAATTCCTTGCAATATTCTCCCTAAATATCTGAGTGTTCCAGTCACATTCATCCTCTTCCATCGTACATGTCCTGCTGACACACACAGATTTTCACCCTGGAAACTTGACTTGCCTTCTCTTCTAGGGGACAGGCTAAGCCTGTCTTGCTCTCCACTATACCTCCAGTATTTAGTAGAGGCATTCAATACACATTTGATAATTAAATGAATGAAATCATTTATAAGCCATGCAGATTTGATTTTTAAAACCACTTTTAAGTGTATAATTCAATGGCATTAAGTACATTTACAATGTTGTGCACACATCACTACTGTCCATTTCTGGAACTTTTTCATCATCACAAAAACAACTTTGTACCCATAACAAAAAGTCCACATTTCCCCCATCCCCAGGCCCCTGTTCACCTCTATGCTATATTCTGTCTCTATGCATTTGACTATTCTGGGTACTTAATGCAACTGGAATCACACAATATTTGTCCTTTTGTGTCTGGCTTCATCAGAGCTTCATATCTTCTTATGGTTGCATAATATTCCATTGCATATATATACCACATTTTGTGTATCAACTCATCCATCAGTAGACATTTGGGCTGCTTCCACCTTTGGCTTGATGTGAATAAAGCTGCTATGAACGTTGGTGTACTAGACCCTGCTTTCAATTCTTTTGGGTGGAATTGTTGGATTATATGTTTAACTTTTTGAGGAACCACCAAACTGTTTTCCAAAGCAGCAGAATCATTTTACATGCCCCCCAGCAAGGCATGAGAGCTCCAGTTTCTCTATATCTGTATCCCTACCAACACCTGTTATTTTCTTTTTTATTCTTTTGGATTATAGTCATCCTAATGAGCATGCAGTACTATTTTGTTATGATTTTGATTTGCAGTTCCCTAATGCAAAGATGTTACAATGTTAAGTATCTTTTCATGGTTCTTATTATTCTTTAGAGAAATACCTGTTCAACAGATTTGATCTTTTAATGATAGTTGTAGTTTTATTTGTTTCTAAGGAGTAAAATCTTGGGCAAGTCAGGTGAAACTTTGGTTATCTCTGTGTTGCCTGTGGGGGAATGTTCTGGGTAAGATGAAAGTCTGTTCCACTGTAGAAACATCTGTTGTTTTTGCCTATATTGCACCCATTGCCCCTTCTAGTAACATACTCTGATTTGGCTTTTGCTTTGAGGAATATTTTTTTCATCTTGGTGGCCCTGTCAATCAAGATAACAACCCTCTCAGCCCAATAAATAGTCATGTGATCAAGGTTAGGCCAATCCGATATTCTCCCTGGAATTTAGACTCTGTACTGAACAACCCAAAGGATTTGATTGAAGTTGATTCATCCTGATTTACCGCTTTTCTATTGCTACTGTGACAACTTTCTACAAACTTGGTGGCTTACAAAAACATGACAATAAATATTGCCTTATATTAATAATTCTGAAGGTCAGAATTTGGACAGGGGTTTCACAGAGCTAATATTAAGGTGTTGGCAGGGCTGTGAGGAGAAGCTGTTTCCTTGTCTTTTCCAGCTTCTAGAGGCCTCCTACTTTCCTTGGCCCCTTTCCCCTTCCTCCATCTTGAAAGGCAGATGAAATCTTTTCATAGGGCCCCTCTCTGATGCTGCTCCCATCGTCACCTCTCCTCTGACTCAGCTCGCCTGCCTCCCCTTTCCACTTTTAAAGACCCTTGTGATAAAATTGAGCCCACCTGGGAATCCACGCTACTCTCTCTGCTTTAAGGTCAGATGAGTAGCAATCTTGATTCCATCTGCAAGCTTAATCACTCTTTGTTATGTAATATGAAATATTCACAGGTCCTAGGGAATAGGATGTGAGCATCTTTGAGGAGGGCCATTGTTTTGCCTTGAAAAGTCTGTTACTATCTCCTTCCCATACCTCAGGAGTGCCCTGGTTGTCATCCTGAGGACTGATTTTTGGAATTCTTTTCTGATTCTGTAAACTACTTTGCATTTTTCCAATAAACTTACTCTTTTTGCTTAATTTAGCTGGAATTTGCCCCTTTTGCTTTTGAAAAAAGAACCCAAATTGATATACATGCTTGTTAGACTCTCTAGCTGATAGATAAGGCAGCTAATAAAAGAGCCAATTTCAGCCTTATTCTCCCTCTGTACTTGCTTCCTTTCTGATAGAGGATTCCAGTAAGACAAGGCAGTGCAGAAGTTTGTGCCTTAGAATCGTGTACCCTTTAGCAAAAAGATCCAAGGAAGATATTTAGAAATGAGACTTTCTACATTAAGTTGATGAAGAAGGCTGAAGCTCACTGCACCTCTCTTATAAGTAACAATGAACAGTACTTGATGCTGTTTGTTCGTGCAGGAAGGAAGCACTGAATAAGAAATATTCAAAACCAAGAGCAGAATACACAAGAAAGTAGGAGTTTCTGTTTGTGTATCTACTGTATAAAAAAAGACATAAACCATAAAAATTGAGTCCTACCAACTAGTATTGTCTTGAATCTTATCTGTTTTTACTCTTATCTGCTTATTTGTGGGACTAATATAGCCACTTAGTTTTTTAAAGAAAATAATGTTAACATAATTTATCATTTTTCATCCTTTCAATTTTATCCTACCTATGTGTATATATTTAAATGTGATTCTTACAGGGAGCACATAGTTGCATTTTGCTTTTTAGAAATCTAATCTGACAGTTTCTGCCTTTTAATTGGAATATTTGGACCATTTATTTATACTTAATGTGATTGTTGATATGAATACGTTTAAGTCTCTCTCGCTGTTTGTTTTCTATTTCTGATGGGAAATCATCTATCTTCCTTCTCTTATTCCTCTCTATGTAATGTGTTACTTTGAAGATTTTCTCTTTATCAGTTTTTTATTTTTTACTTATTTATTTATTTTTGAGACAGAGTTTCGCTCTTATTGCCTAGGCTGGAGTGCAATGGTGTGATCTTGGCTCACTGCAACCTCCGCCTCCCCAGTTCAAGCGATTCTCCTGCCTCAGCCTCCCGAGTAGCTGGGATTACAGGTGTGCACCACTATGCCTGGCTAATTTTGTGTTATTAGTAGAGATGGAGTTTCACCATGTTGGTCAGGCTGGTCTTGAACTCCTGACCTCAGGTGATCCACCAACCTCGGCCTCCCAAAGTGCTGGAATTACAGGTATGAGCCACTGCATCTGGCCTCTTTATCAGTGGTTTAGACTGATTTGGTTCCCTTTATAAATAGTTTTGACTGGATGTTGTTTTCTTTATGTTTCCTCTGCTTGGGGTTTGCTGAGATATTAGATGTGTTGGTTTATAGTTTTTATCAAATTTGACAAAATGTTGGCCGTTATTATTTTTTACTTTGAAAAAAAATTTTTTTTTAGAGCAGTTTTAGGTTTACAGTAAAACTGAGAGGAAGGTATGGAGATTTCCCATATACCTCCTGCCTAAACACATGCATAGCTTCCCCCATTATCAACATCCCTCACCAGAGTGGTACATCTGTTACAATTGATGAACCTACAATGACACATCATTGTTACCCAAAGTCTGTAGTTTACATTAGGGTTCACTCTTGTTGTTGTACATTCTATGGGTATGGACAAATGTGTAATGACATGTGTCCACCATTACAGTACCATACCCAGTATTTTCACTGCCCTAAATCTTCCCTGTGCACTGCCTATTCATTCCTCCCTCACCCCTTACTTCTGGAAACCATGGATCTTTTCACTGTTCTATAGTTTTAACTTTTCCAGAATTTCATATACTTGGAAACTGACAGCATGTAGCCTTTCTAGTTTGACTTTTTTTCATTTAGTTATGTGCATTTAAGGTTTCTCCATGTCTTTTCATGGCTTGATAGCTCATTTCTTTTTAGTGCTGAATAATATTTTATTGTCTGGATGTACCATAGTTTTTCCATTCACCTACTGAAGGACATCTTAATTGCTTCCAAGTTTTGGCAATTATGAATAAAGCTGATGTAAACATCCATGTGCAAGTTTTTTTGTGGATATGTGTTCAATTCCTTTGGGTAAGGACTAAAGAGTGCAATTGCTGTACTGTATGGTAAGAATAGTTTTAGTTTTGTAAGAAACTGCCAAAATGTTTTTCCCAAGGGGTTGTACCATTTTTCATTCCCACCAGAAATGAAGGAGAGTTCCTCTTGCTCCATATCCTCATCTGTCTTTTGTGGTATCAGTGTTCTGGATTTTGGCCATTCTAACAGATGTGTGGTGGTGTCTTATTGTTGTTTTAATTTGCATTTGTCTGATGATATATGTCGTGCTGCATCTTTTCATATGCTTATTTTCCATCTGTATATCTTTTATGGTGATGTGTCCATTAAGGTCTTTCAACCATTTTTAAATCACGTTGTTTTCTTGTTGTGGTTTTAAGATTTTGCATATTTTGGATAAAAGTCTTTAATCAGATATGTCTTTTGCAAATACTTTCTCCTAGTCTATGACTTGTCTTTTTCATCTCTTCATGTTGTCTTTCGCTAAGTAGAAATTTTTAATTTTAATGAAGTCCAATTTATCAGTTCTTTCTTTCACAGATTATGCATTTGGTGTTGTATGTGAAAGGTCATTGCCAAATTCAAGATTGTCTAGATTTTCTTCTATGTTATCTTCTAGGAGTTTTAAAGTTTTGCATTTTACATTTAAGTCTGTGATCCATTTTGAGATCATTTTTGTGAAGGGTGTAAGGCTTGTTTCTAGATTCATTTTTTTTGTATGTAAATGTCCAGTTGTTTCAGCACCTTTCGTTGAAAAGATTATTTTTTCTTCATTGTATTGCCCTTGTTCTTTGTCAAAGACTGGTTGACTATATTTATATGGGTCTACTTCTGAGTTCTGTATTCTGTTCCATTCATCTGCTTGTCTATTATTTGTCACTATCACTGTTTGGATTCCTTTCATTTTATAGTAGTGTAGTATCAGTCCTCCAACTTTATTATTCTCATTTAATATTGTGTTGGCTATTCTGAGTCTTTGCCCCTTTATGTAAACTTTAGAATCAGTTTCTTAGAATCTATAGAATAACTTGCTAGAATTTTGGCTAAGCTCACATTGAGCTTATATATCAATTTGGGAAGAGCTCACATCTTGACAATATTGAGTCTTTCTACCCATGAACATGGAATATCTCCCAATTTCTTTCTTTCTTTTTTTTAAACAAAGTTTTATGGTGTTTCTCATATAGAGCTTGTACATATTTTATTAGATTTATTTATTTTTTCTTTTTTTTTTTTTTTTTTTTGAGATGGAGTTTAGCTCTGTCACCCAGGCTGGAGTGCAGTGGCACAATCTCAGCTCACTGCAATCTCTGCCTCCTGGGTTCAAGCAATTCTCCTGCCTTGGCCTCCTGAGTAGCTGGGATTATAGGCACATGCCACCATGCCAACCTAATTTTTGTGTTTTTAGTAGAAATGGGGTTTCACCGTGTTGGCCAGTGCTGGGATTACAATGTGAGCCACCATTCCTGGCTGATATTTTGTAGATTTATTTTTAAGTATTTTATTTTTAAGGGGATGCTAATGTAAATGGTACTGAGCTTTGAATTTCAAATTCCACTTGTTCATTGCAAGTATATAGGAAAGTGATTAACTTTTGTATATTAACCATTGGTTAAAAAAAAAAAAACTTCAGTCAAATTAAATTTAAAAGAGTTTATTTGAGCAAAGAACAGTTTGTGAATCAGGCAGCCTCCTGAGCCACAGTGGGCTCAGAGAATCCAGCATAGTCAAGTGGTAGAAGATTTATGGATGAAAAAGGAAAATAATGTACGTAAAATGGAAGTGAGGTACAGAAACAGCTGGATTGGTTACAGCTTGGCGTTTGCCTTATTTGAACACAGTTTGAAAAGCTGGCCACATGTGATTGGCCAAAACTTGGCAATTGACACAAGAGTAGTCTATAGTCTGTTTACATCTCCACTTATTATAGCTCATGTACAGAGAAACCTTCAGGTTGAACTTAAAATATGTAAGGAGGCAGCTTTAGGCTAAATTTGATTTAACACCTTGCATCCTGAAACTTTGCTGTAATTGCGTCTTAGGTCTCAGTTTTAATGAATGGATTCTTTTGAATTTTCTACATAGATAATTACGTCATCTGCAAACAAAGTTTTATATTTTCCTTCCTTATCAGTATATCTTTTTTTATTTAAAAATTAATTTAATTGATACATAATAATTATACTATTTATGTGGTACCTAGTGATGTTTCAATACTTGTCCCTAATCTCCATAGTGATCAGATCAGGGTAGTTAGCATATCCATCATCTCAAGCATTTATCATTTTTTTTTGTCTTGGGAAAATGCAATATCCTTTTAGCCATTTAAAACTATAAATTATTGTTAACTATAGTCATTCTATGGTGCTTTGGAACACTAGAACATATTTCTCCTATCTAGTCATAATTTTGTTTCCTTCAGCCAATCTCTTTCTATTATCCTCTCCCCATTTCCCTTCCAAGCCTCTAGTATGCTCTATTCTACTTTTTACTTCTATGAGAGCTGCTTTAAGCTTTCACATATGAGTGAGAACATGCAGTGTTTATGTTCCTGGCTTATGTCACTTAACATAATGGCCTCCACTTTCATCCTTGTTACCACAAATGACAAGATTTCATTCCTTTTATGGCTGAATAGTTTTCCATTATATATATACTACATTTTCTTTATTCATTCATCTGTTGTTGGACACCTATGTTGATTCCGTATCTTGGCTATTGTGAATAGTGCTGCAATAAACACTGGAGTGCAGATGTCTCTTTTATATACTGTTTCTTTTCCTTTGGGTAAATGTCCAGTAGAGGGATTGGTGGATCCTATGGTGGTTCTATTTGTGGTTTTTTGAGAAACTGCTATACTGTTCTCCATAGTGGCTGTATTAGCTTGCATTCCCACCAACAGCATCTGAGTTCCCTTTCTCCACATCCTCACCAGTATATGTTATTTTTTGTCTTTTTGATAGTTGGCATCCTAACTATGGTGAGAGAATATTTCATTGCAGTCTTGTCTGTGTTTCCCTGATGATTAGTCATGTTGAACGTTTTTCACCTATTTCTTGGCCACTTATATGTCTTCTTTTAAGAAATATTTGTTCCAGATCAATAACAAGCTCTGAAATTGAATCAGTAATAAATAGCCTACCAACCAAAAAAAGCACAGCACTGGACAGATTCACAACCAAATTCTGTCAGATGTACAAAGAAGAGCTGGTACGATTTCTACTGAAACTATTCCAAAAATTGAGGAGGAGGAACTCCTCCTTAACTCACTGTATGAGGTCAGCATCATCCTGATACTAAAACCTGGTAGAGACACAACAACAAAAAAGAAAACTTCAAGCCAATATCCTTGATGAGCATTAATGCAAAACTCCTCAACAAAATACTAGCAAACTGAATTCAGTGGCACATTAAAAAGCTAATCCACCAAGATCTACTGGGCTTTACCCTGGGATACAAGGTTGGTTCAACCTATGCAAATCATAAATGCAATTCATCATATAACATAAACAGAACTAAAGACAAAAACCACATGATTATCTCAATAGATGCGAAAAAGGATTTTGATAAAATTCAACATCCCTTCATGTTAAAAACTCTCAACATACTAGGTACTGAAGGAACATATATCAAAATAATAAGAGCCATCTTTGACAAACCCACAGTTAACCTCATACTGAGTGGGCAAAAGCTGGAAGCATTCCTCTTGAAAACCAGCATGAGACAAGGATGCCCTCTTTCACCAATCCTATTTAGCATAGTATTGGAAGTCCTGGCCAGTGCAATCTGCAAAGATAAAGAAATCAAGCGCATCCAAATAGGAAGAGAGGAAGTCAAGCTATCCCTGTTTGCAGACCACATGATTCTATATCTAGAAAATCCCATAGTCTCAAAGATCCTTAAGCTGATAAACAATTTCAGCAAAGTTTCTGGATACAAAATCAACATACAAAAATTACCAGCATTTCTATACACCAACAACAGTCAAGCTGAGAGCCAAATCAGGAAGGCAATCCCATTCACAATTGCCCCAAAAAGAATAAAATACCTAGGAATACAGGTTACTAGTGAGGTGAAAGATCTCTCTACAATGAGAATTACAAAACACTCTTCAAAAGAAATCAGAAAGGACACAAAACAAATAGAAAAACATTTCATGCTTATGGATAGGAAGAATCGATATTGTTAAAATAACCATACTGCCCAAAGCAATTTACAGATTGAATACTATTCTTATCAAGCTACCAATGATGTTCTTCACGGAATTAGAAAAAACTATTTTAACATTTGTATGAAACCAAAAAAGAGTTCAAATAGCCAAGGCAATCCTAAGCAAAAAGAACAAAGCTGGAGGCATCATGCTACCGGGCTTCAAACTATACTACACGGCTACAACAACCAAAGCAGCACAGTACTGGTTCAAAAACAGTCACATAGACAGATTCAGGATCATCATGGCAGACAGGAGGCAGGAGTAGATTGCAGCTCTGTCTCGGATGGACAGAGCAGTGTGTGGAGGCTCACATCATGAATTTTAGATTCAGAAAGACTGCAGGAATAAACCAGTATAAACTGCTCCTGCAGGACCTGGGAGACACCCCAAATATTGTGAGTGCCCAATCTGTGGAAGTGGGAAAGCAAGATTATCTGCCCCTGAACACACTCCCCCATTGGGGAAACTGAAGGTCTAGTTTGCAGGAGAAGTTTCCAACCTTACCCGGAGCTGAGTCAACTTAGAGAGCCAAGCAAAATACAGGGGTAGAGGAAGCAGCAGGAAAGGCCTTGGGAACTCGCTGGGTCCCCAAGCAGGCCATTCCTGCCTGGCACCATAGGGAACCTTCGGTGCCCAGAGGCATGGGGAAAATGGCACAAGGAGAAGAAAGTCTCCAGCTGAACTTTGTAACAATTTGAACCGGGCGAGAAGCCTTCTGGCCAGAACTCAGGGGAGGGCAGGAATCTGGTGTGCAGACACCATAGATGGGGGAAGAACTAAAGCTAAAGCCCTTTTCTTTCACAGCTGGGAAGCAGGTAGCCTGGGGCAAGTTCTCAGCCCTGCTTGCTCACTGCCTGGAAACAGACTCGGTGCTGTTGGAGGGAGCATGGTGGCAGTGAGACTGGGGCCCTTTGAATTGCATGACAGCTGGATGAGGCCTTTGACTGCCAGCTTTACTCCACTTCCCTGACAACCTGCATGACGCAGCAGATGCAGCCATAATCCTCCTAGGTACGCAACTCTATTGACCTGAGAACCTCATGCCCACCCTCCACAGCAGCATCAGCAAGACCTGCCCAAGGAGAGTCTGAGCTCAGACATGCCCAGCCCTGCCCCCACCTGATGGTCCTTCCCTACTCACCCTGGTAACTGAAGACAAAGGGCATATACTCTTGGGAGTTCTAGGGCCCTGCCCACCACCGGTTCTTCTCCATACTACCATAGCTGATGTTCTCTAGAAAGCGCCACCTCCTGGCAGGAGGCCAACCAGCACAAAAATAGAACATTAAACCACCAAAACTAAGAACCCTCACAGAGCCCATTTCACATCCCTGCCACCTCCACCAGAACAGGCGCTGGTATCCATGCTGAGAGACCCACAGATGGTTCACATCACAAGACTCTGTGCAGACAACCCCCGGTACCAGTGCAGAGCCAGGTAAACTTGCTGGGTGGCTAGACCCAGAAGAGAGACAACAATCACTGCAGCTCAGCTCTCAGGAAGCCACATCCATAGGAAAAAGGGGAGAGTACTATATCAGGGGAACACCCCATGAAACAAAAGAATCTGAACAACAACCTTCAGCCCTAGACCTTCCCTCTGACACAGCCTACCCGAATGAGAAGAAACCAGAGAACTAACTCTGGTAATATGACAAAATAAGGCTCTTTAACATCACCCCTAAATCACACCAGTTCACCAGCAATGAATCCAAACCAGGAAGAAATCCCTGATTTACCTGAAAAAGGATTCAAGAGGTAAACTGAAACATGTGCGAGTTTGCTCCAAGCTTTGCCTCATGTAGGGATCAAGGACCACGGAAAAGATTATTATATATTATATATAATATATAATTATAATTGTATATTTAATTATAATTATACATATTATATATTATAAAATATATATATTAAGTCCTTCCCCCTTCTGGGCAGGACAATTATTCCCATTCATTTCTAGGCCTTCAGGCAGTACTCGGGAGTGACCCCAGCCAATTGCCCTCAATTTCCAAAGAGCTACTGGAAAACAGCCACTGCAAGACTGTAAGAGAAAGAGAAGAAAAGAAAATGAAAGTGACCCAGGTTCCTTAAGCAAACCGGTGGTGGTGGTCAGGCTTCTCCACGAGGAAACCTCTCAGTTTCACTGGCCATGGCCAGAAACCTGCAGTTGCTTCCATGTTTAGGTGCTGCCCACCAAGGGCCCCAGGTTGTAAAGGAAAAGAGATTCCCTTGTATGGAGCAGAAAGGAAAAGGAGAAAGGAGAATAATAAATTCCAAACTTTGGGCTTACCTCTTCCTCCTGGCTGGCTCGCCAAGGTATGTTAATGGTGGGGGGTATCTAGGTTCTTGGCATCTTGAAGAAAGAATTGGACAAAATGCACAAACAAAGCAAGGAAGGAATAAAAGGATTTATTGAAAATGAAAGTATACTCCACAGTGTGGTAGTGGCCAAGCACAGGGGCTAAAAGGCCCTGTTACAGAGTTTCTGTGAATTTAAATACCCTCTACTTGGGGTATGCCCTCTGTAAACGAAGACAATGAAGTAAAGTTACAAAGTTATTTACATGGTGTATGCCCTATGGAGAGGATATTTCCTGTTATAACTGAAGTGTGAATTGGCCTTATGTTCCCTGCCTCCAGACTTCATTTTCCCGCCTCACCACTACAAAAACTGCTAAAAGGAGCTCTAAATCTTAGAAACAAATCCTGGAAACACATTAAAACAGAACCTCTTTAAAGCATAAATCTCACAGACCTGTAAAACAGAAATACAATTTAAAAAGCAAAAACAATAAAGAAAAAAACAAGGTACACAGGCAACAAATAGCACAATAAATGGAATGGTACCGCACATATCAATAGTAACATTGAATGTAAATGGCCTAAATGCTCCACTTAAAAGATATAGAACTACAGAATGGATAAGAAATCACCAACCAAGTATCTGCTGCATTCAATAGACTCACCTGGCACATAACGACTCACATAAACTTAAAGGGGTGGAAAAAGGCATTCCATGCAAATGGACACCAAAAGTGAGCAAGGGTAGCTATTCTTATATCAGACAAAACGAACTTTAAAGCAACAGCAGTTAAAAAAGACAAGAGGGACATTATATAATGGTAAAAGGCCTTGTCCAACAGGAAAATATCACAATCCTAAACATATATGCACTTAACACCAGAGCTCCTAAATTTATAAAACAGTTACTAACAGACCAAAGAATTGAGATAGATAGCAACACAATAATAGTGGGGGACTTCAATACTCCACTGACAACACTAGACAGGTCATCAAGACAGAAAGTCAGCAAAGAAGCAATGAATTTAAATGTATTTACATGGAAATTAAATAACGTTCTCCTGAATGATCATTGGGTCAAAAATAAAATCAAGACGGAAATTAAAAAATTCTTAAAATGGAATGACATTAATGAAACAAGCTATCAAAACCTTTGGGATCAGCAAAGGCGGTGTTAAGAGGAAAGTTCATAGCCCTAAACACCTATGTCAAAAAGTCTGAAAGACCACAAACAGACATTCTAGGGTCACACCTTGTTCGAGAAACAAGAACAAATCAAACCCAAGCCCAGCAGAAGAAAGGAAATAACCAAGATCAGAGCAGAACTAAATAGAATTGAAACAAAAAAAATACAAAAGAGAAATAAGACAAAAACTGGTTCTTTGAAAAGGTAAATAAAATTGATAGACCATTAGCAAGATTAACTAAGAAAAGGGGAGAGAAAATCCGAACAATCTAAATACGAAATGAAACGGGAGATATTACAACTGACACCACAGAAATACAAAAGATCATTCAAGGCTACTATGAACACCATTATGCACATAAACAAGAAAACCTAGAAAAGATGAATGAGTTCCTGGAAAAATACAACCCTCCTAGCTTAAATCAGAAAGAATTATATACCCTGAACAGACCCATAACACGTAGTGAGATTGAAATGGTAATTTAAAAATTACCAACAAAAAAAGTCCAGGACCAGATGGATTCACAGCAGCAGTCTACCAGACATTCAAAGAAGAATTTGTACCAATCCTTTTGACACTATTCCACAAGAGAGAGAAAGAGGGAACCCTCCCTAAATCATGTTATGAAGCCAGCATCACCCTAATACCAAAACCAAGAAAGGACATAATCAAAAAAGAAAACTACAGACCAATATTTTTGATGAACTTGGTGCAAAAATTCTTAACAAAATGCTAGCTAACTGAATCCAAAAATATATCAAAAAATCCACCATCATCAAGTGGGTTTCACAGTAGGGATGCAGGGATGGTTTAACATATGCAAGTCAATAAATGTGATGCAGCACATAAACAGAATTAAAAACAAAAATCACATGATCATCTCAACAGATGCAGAAAGAGCATTTGTCTAAATCTAGCATCCCTTTATGATTAAAACTCTCAGGAAAATTGGCATACAGGGGGCATACCTCAATGTAATAAAAGCCATCTATGGCAAACCCACAGCCAACATAATAACAGATGGGGAAAAATTGAAAGCCTTCCCCCCTGAGAACTGGAACAAGACAAGGATGCCCACTCTCTCCACTCCTCTTTAACATAGTACTGGAAGTCCTAGCCAGAGCAGTCAGACAAGAGAAAGAAATCAAGGGCATCCAAATCAGTAAAAAGGAAGTTAAACTGTCACTGTTTGCTGACTATATGATCGTTTACCTAGAAAACCCTAAAGACTCCTCCAGAAAGTTCCTAGAACTGATAAAAGAATTCAGCAAAGTTTGCAGATACAAGATTAATGTACACAAATCAGTAGCTCTCCTATGCACCATCAGTGATCAAGTGGAGAATCAAATCAAGAACTAAACTCCTTTTCCAATAGCTGCAAAAAAAACCCCAAAAAAACAAAACAAAACAAAAACTTAGGAATATACCTAACCAAAGAGGCAGAAGACCTCTACAAAGAAAACTACAAAACACTGCTGAAAGAAATCATAGATGACACAAACAAATGGAAACACATCCCATGCCAATGGATGGGTAGAATCAATATTGTGAAAATGACCACACTACCAAAACCAATCTACAAATTCAATGCAACTCCCATTAAACTACCTCCATCATTCTTCACGGAATTAGAGAAAACAATTCTAAAAATTCATATGGAACCAAAAAAGATCCCACATAGCCAAAGCAAGACTAAGTAAAAATAACAAATCTGGAGGCATCACATTATCTGACTTGAAGCTATACTATAAGGCCATAGTCAGCAAAACAGTGTGGTACTGGTATAAAAACAGGCACATAGGCCAATGGGACAGACTAGAGAACCTAGAAATAAGCCCAAATACTTACAGCCAACTGACCTTTGACAAAGCAAATGAAAACTTAAAGTGGGGAAATGACACCCTTTTCAACAAATGGTGCTGGGATAATTGGCTAGCCACATGTAGGAGAATGAAACTGAATCCTCATCTCTCACTTTATACAAAAGTCAACTCAAGATGGATTAAGGACTTAAATGTAAGATTCTAGAAGATAACATTGGAAAAACCTTCTAGACACTGGCTTAGGCAAAGATTTCATGACCAAGAACCCAAAAGCAAATGCAATAAAAACAAAGATAAATAGTTGGGACTTAATTAAACTTAAGAGCTTTTCCATGGTAAAAGGAATAGTCAGCAGAGTAAACGGACAACCCACAGACTGGAAGAAAATCTTCATAATCTATACATCTGACAAAGGACTAATATCCAGAATCTATAATGAACTCAAACAGATCAGCAAAGAAAAAACAAAACTTCCCATCCAAAAGTGGGCTAAGGACATGAATAAACAATTCTCAAAAGAAGATATACAAATGGCCAACAGATATATGAAACGTGCTCAGCATCACTAGTGATCAGGGAAATGCAAATCAAAACTCAATGCGATACCACCTTACTTCTGCAAGAATGGCCATAATCAAAAACTCAAAAAACAGTAGATGTTGGCATGGATGTGGTGATCAAGGAACACTTCTACACTGCTGGTGGGATTGGAAACTAGTACAGCCACTATGGAAAACAGTGTGGAGATTCCTAAAATAGCTAAAGGTAGAAATACCACTTGATCCAGCAATCCCACTACTAGTTATCTACCCAGAGGAAAAGAAATCATTATACAAAAAAGATACTTGCACATGCATGTTTATAGCGCCATGATTCACAATTGCAAAATTGTGGAACCAACCCAAATGCCCAACAATCAATGAATGGATAAAGAAACCGTAGTATATATACATATATACAATGGAATACTACTCAGCCATAAAAAGGAATGAATTAACAGCATTTCCAGTGACCTGGATGAGATTGGAGACTATTATTCTATGCGAAGTAACTCAGGAATGGAAAACCAAATATTGTATGTACTCAGTGATATGTGGGAAATAAGCTATGAGGACACAAAGGCATAAAAATAATACAATGCACTTTGGGGACTTGGGGGAAAGGGTGGGAAGGGGGTGAGGGATAAAAGACTACAAATAGGGTGCAGTGTACACTGCTTGGGTGATGGGTGCACCACAATCTCACAAATCACCACTAAAGAATTTAGTCATGTAACCAAACACCATCTGTACCACAAAAACCTATGGAAAAACAAAAAACCAAAAACAGTCATATAGACCAATGTTACGGAATAGAGAACCCAGAAACAAGGCTGCACACCTACAGCCATCTGATATTTGACAAAGCTGACAAAAACAAGCTACGGGGGAAGGATTCCCTATTCAGTAAATGGTGCTGGGATAACTGGTTAGCCATTAGTAGAAGACTGAAACTGGATCCCGTCCTTACACCATATACAAAAATCAACTCAAGATGGATTAAAGACTTAAATGTAAAACCCCAAACCATAAAAGCCCTGGAAGACAACCTAGGCAATACCATTCTGGACATAGGAATGGGCAAAGATTTCATGACGAAGATGTCAAAAGCAATCACAACAAAGCAAAAATTGCCAAATGGGATCTAATTAAACTTAAAAGTTTCTGCATAGCAAAAGAAACTATCAACAGAGGAAACAGACAACCTATAGAATGAGAGAAAATATTTGCAAACTATGCCTCTGACAAAGGTCTAATATCCAACATCTATGAAGAACTTAAACAAATTTACAAGAAAAAAACAACCTCATTAAAAAGTGGGCAAAGGACATGAACAGACTCTTTTCAAAAGAAGACATACATGCGGCCAACATTCATATGAAGAAAAGCTCATCACTATCATTAGAGAAATGCAAATCAAAACCACAATGAGATACTATCTCATACCAGTCACAATGGCTATTATTAAAAAGTCAAAAAATAACAGGTGCTGGCAAGGCTGTGGAGAAAAGGGAACACTTATACGCTGTTGGTGGGAGTGTAAATTAGTTCAAACATTGTCGAAAGCAGTGTGGTGATTCCTCAAAGAGCTAAACACAGAACTACCATTTGACCCAGCAATCCCATTATTAGGTATATACCCAAAGGAATATAAATTGTTCTATTTCAAAGACACATGCACATATATGTTCATTGCAGCACTATTCACAATAGCAAAGACATGGAATCAACCTAAATGTCCACTGATGGTAGACTGAATAAAGAGATGTGGTACATATACACCATGGAATATTATGCAGTCATAAAAAAGAATGGGATCATATCCTTTGCAGGAACATGAATGGAGCTGGAGGCCATTATCCTTAGCAAGCTAACATAGGAACAGAAAACCAAATACCACGTGTTCTCACGTATAAGTGGGAGCTAAATGATGAGAACACATGGACACAAAGAGAGGAACAACAGACAGAGGCCTACTTGAGGGTGAAGGGTAGGTGGAGGGGGAGGATCAGAAAAAATAACAATTGGACATGAGGCTTAGTACCTGGTTGATGAAAGAATCTGTAAACCAAACCCCCATGATATGATACAAGTTTACGTGTATAAGTAACCTGCACATGTACTCCTGAACCAAAAGTTGAAAAAGATTAAAAGTAAAAAAAAAAAAAATAAGTGTCTGTTCAGATCATTCTGAATTTTTTTTTTTTTTTGCTTGTTTTGAGTGAATGAGTAAATCTGGTCTGTGCTACCCTATTTTGCTTGTAGGCAAAAAACTTACTTATCTCTAAGTGAAAATTTTTGAATATTGGGCTTACAGAGGTTTTGCTAATTTATGACTTGATGATTCTTGGTAACTCATATTAATGGGAATATTGCTGCTTCTTACTGGTAGATAAAATCTCAGGTATTTTACCCAATCCTTTTTGAATTATTAAAGAAAAATACCAATAAGAATATATTCGATATAAAACAACAACTAATGACTTATTTTTTCTGGTAATCAACTTTTAAAAGTGTAGTAGAGAAATGTTGAGAATGATGAGTTGATATTGAAAATTGGGGCATCTTTACATGTGCTGGGGCCTTTAGGAGAGGAAAACATTATTTATTTTTGTAATAAAGATACAGAAACCTGGGCAAGAGGGAACCTGCTCTGGTCCCTGTGCTTTTGAGGGACTCCCTGTCACCTTTCTGGTCACACTTCTCATTAAGGAGAAGGAGTCTGTGGGTCCAGGCAGCCTGCAACCTCCCATCTACCATATTCTAGGTCCCCATGACCCTAGAATCCTTTACACACATAGCCCTGAGGTTGCTTGTAGAGCCTGTGTGGGCCTCCTACCTCCACTGGCCTCCCAGGGTGGACCACAGCTCTGATGTGCACGTTTGAGGCCTGAGCGGAGGCCAGTCCCCTGCTCCCATGGCCCTGAGATGGCTTCTAGGGCCTGTATGGGCCGCTTACCTCTACTGACCTCCCAGGGGTGGACCACAGCTCTGATGTGCACATTTTAGGCTTGAGAGGAGGCCAAAAGCCTGTAGACAGAACTTGAACTTGAGGGTATCATATGCATGCTAGGGAGATATTTCATTTAAAATCAATATAAATATATAAGTATAGTTTTTTTCCTTATGATGCAAATAGTAGGGAAGTAGTCAAGGGTCTGGTCTTCCCACACCACTGTATCCTACCATGAGAACGTGAGAGAACCTGAGAATTCTAAATTGAAACCAGGCCTGCCATGTTGTTATAAAAATGTGTTTGCAGGCCAGGCGCGGTGGCTCACGCCTGTAATCCCAGCACTTTGGGAGGCCGAGGCGGGTGGATCACGAGGTCAAAAGATCGAGACCATCCTGGCTAACATGGTGAAACCCCCTTCTCTACTAAAAATACAAAAATATTAGCTGGGCGTGGTGGCGGGTGCCTGTAGTCCCAGCTACTCAGGAGGCTGAGGCAGGAGAATGGCGTGAACCCAGGAGGCGGAGTTTGCAGCGAGCCAAGATTGCACCAGTGCACTCCAGCCTGGGCGGCAGAACGAGACCCCGTCTCAAAAAAAAAAAAAAAATTGTTTGCAAAGGTAGGGTGATGGAAGCTATTTTGTTAAATGTTTTGCTACTTATAATTTTAAGATATTTAGACATACAGAAATGAGCTTCCATTTGTACCCTTGCCTTGGACTCCACAAGCATTAGGTGTGGCCCTGCTCAGAATAACAAGTGATTCTCCAGAGCTCCCTATCAATAAAGACTTGCAGGAAAGAAGACGAATGGACCCTCTAGTGCTCTTTTTCTCTGGCCATTCATGAGGGATAACTGTGAATAGTGGGACCTGTATCCCAAAGCCTGATCTGTCATGTTTAGTGATTGGGTAGCCTCTCCTTAGTAGAGAGCTTTTCCCTGAGAAGATTTTGTAAAATAAGATTTTAATGTGCTTTGAAACTTGGTCCAATCAATAGAGGTCTGCTATATTTTCACTGGAAACATGAAAGAAGGGGGCTAGAATGAGGGGTGCTACAACCAATGAATAATACTACTTGTCACTTCAGGAGGTTTGAAGTGACTTTTTCTGTATGTTTTGGCCATTTTGCAAAAGACAGCTCTTTGTTTTAGCAAAAATGGTTATGCTAGTTTTTAGTTGTTTGCATTAAAGTTGCTTAAAAATTTAGAGCACTTAATAATCCAATGCATGAAACCATCTGATAAAATCTACATAAATATATGTGCATAGTTTTTTCCCCTTTCAATGACTTATTGCTTATTCTTAGCATGACACATACTTCCTTATCAAACAAGAGGGTCTCATTAAATTTTACCCACAGTTCAGAACTTCAAATGTCTCACCAAAGTTTTAAAATTGAAAACTAACAAGGACAGCACCATACAGGCCTAAAATAATTGTTAATATCTAATGTAATTCGTTTCTGAGATTTTGATCCCAGTTAGCTTATTGTTCTGTTGAAATGTGAAAACAGAGCATGATTAATAATAAGTTTTTGACAACATTTAAGTACTTAAAAACAACGTTAAAAATGTTGTGTGTGTGTGGAAATATCAGGGTCTTTCAGGTCAATGGAATGAGTTTAAAATGGCATTATAGAATTTGGCCTCAGTGGACCTAGCCAGGTTTCAGACTTCACAATCAACTTCCCTCTGACCTCAATTTCTCTTTCTGCAGATAATAAATGCAACCTATTTTGTAGGGTTGATTGAAAGATGAAATATGACAATTGTTTACAAAGTACCTGTAAATTCTAAAATTTATACAAGTGTTAATCCTTAATAATGCTGCTGCTTTGGGCGAGGAAGGGAGAAGGAAAAAACTTATAATAAGCATCATCTGTGCGACTGGCCTGTGCTTGGCCTATGTCACAACAATCCCAAGAGACAGGGGTTGTTTTCTTTATTTTACTATTGAAGAGATTGAGAGAAAGAGGAATCTGCGGAGGACCACAGATTTCATCAATCTGTCTGCCTGACGCTGGAGCTTGCGTGTTCTCCAGCAACACCACTTGGTAATTTATATTTTTATGTGTTACCTTTTCATGGAGTACATTCAAGAGAAATATTCTTCCTTTTTCCCTTTCTTCTTTCCAATATATGCGGGGTCACAAAAACCTTTTCAGAGTAGACTGAGTCTTAGAGGATGAATACATTACCAAGCAGACAGAAAGTGAGAAAAAAGTTCAAGGACAAGGAAAATCATTTGCAAATTCCAAAACTTGGGGCATGTTGTTCTCAAGGGATTGCCGTCAATTTAGCCTGACTAGTGCTGGTGTTCTGTCTTTGTGTGAGGAATGGGAGGGAAGTAGAAGTGGGAGTTTTAGGAGATGAAGCTCAAGAGGCGGGAGGAGCTAGAAGGTCAGGAAGGGACGTGTGAGCCACATTAAGGACTTGGGAATGGATTCTGTTGGGGATGGGGAGCCCTCATGGGTTCCCCCATTTCTTAGGGAGAATAAATTATTCAATCATGCATTAAAAAGGTATTATGGGGTGGTGTTAGTTACTTTACTATCAATTCTCACCAAATGGATGTTTTAAACTTACAATATCTGACCTAGAAAAAGCATAGAAAATGCAATTTCCAGTTGGGCGTGGTGGCTCATGCCTGTAATCCAGCACTTTGGGAGGCTGAGGTGGGTGGATCACAAGGTCAGGAGTTCGAGAGCAGCCTGACCAACATAGTGAAACCCTGTCTCTACTAAAAATATAAAATTAGCCGGGTGTGGCGGTGTATGCCTGTAATCCCAGCTACTGGGGAGGCTGAGGCAAGAGAATAGCTTGAACTCGGGAGGCAGAGGTTGTGGTGAGCCCAGATGGCACCATTGCACTCCAGCCCGGGCAACAAGAGCAAAACTCCCTCTCAAAAAAAAAAAAAAAAAAAAAAGAATGCAATTTCCCCTGAAGCTCTTTGTGGGAATGCCCTATGCCCAATTTTAAGATTTCCAGCCCAGTACTCACTGTCTAGTCTCTACTAAACTCTCCCAGTCTCTCTTAGTACTCGCTTTGAGCTTTCTGCTGGGAGTGAAGCTCAAACTCATTTTCTGATACCATAGTCCCCTTTTGCAGTCAACTCTGATTTACTTCAGAATGTCTTTGTTTTAGTAATTTCTTTTGAATTCATACTGGCAAAGATGGAACACTTTGGCATGAAAGAAAAGTTAGAAATCATCCTTTTCTCAGTGGAAATGTATTCTGACCACTGGAAATAAATGTGAACAGCTGAAGACCGGTGCAATGGCTCACACCTGTAACTCTGGCACTTTTGGAGGCTGAGGCGGATGGATCACTTGAGCTCAGGAGTTCAAGGCCAGCCTGGCCAACATGGTGAAATCCTGTCTTTACAAAAAATACAGAAAAATGAGTTGGGCGTGGTGGCTTGTAGTCCCAGCTACTTGGGGGGCTGAGGTGGGATAATCACTTGAGCCAAGGAGGCGAGGTTGCAGTGAGCCCAGATTGCACCACTGCACTCCAGCATGGGTGACAGAATGAGACCCTGTGTCAAAAGAAAAAGAAAAAGAAAAAAAATGTGAACAGCTGTAGAGTTCAGTTGAGCAGGGGATCTGTAGCATGCTCGAAGGCCTGAGAGATGGAACATACAAACACATAAGGCCAACCGTATATTAAAATAGAACTCTGACACACGACCTGCAGTAGCAACCTGGAAGGCCAAAACCATGCACCCTGCACCAACCAGCCCAGGAAGCCAAACCACAACCTCTGTGGCAATTGGCTCAAAACAGCAAGGGCTTGGTCAATAACTGACAGCCTTCCTAATGTCTCTCTCCACTTCAAATGTGAGACGACACAAAGAAAGTCAAATACGCTCCCCTGACCAAGCACGTAGGGTGCCTACTTCTAGTAAGTCGCCCTCAGCTTTCCCACACCAACGGCCTCTGCTCAGCATGTACCTGAAGCCTTCCTTATTTCCAGGATGAAGCTTTTCAACTCCTCTGCCTGCTTTTGAGTCTCTGTCAAATGCAAGTGACTGTGGCCAACTCCTGTGCTACAGCAAGCTCTGAATAAACAGCTTTGCTTTTTCTCATCTTGGCAGCCTTCATTGACGTCCAAAGGTTCTTTTAGTAAATGAATATTTGCTGACCAGGTGCGTGGTTCTAGGAACAGGAATTATCACTGCGATCTTCCTGGTTACAATATTTTGCATCAACATCTGATGGGATTCTTTAAACTTAGGTTTTATTATGGCAACAAAAAAGATGAAACACAAATGAATTTATACTTTGATTTGAACTACATATGTTAATCAAACCAGGTGACAAGATGAAAAATACATACATATGTATACAAAACTACAATGACACTTGATATGTATATGGCATTAACTCCAGTTCTCCTTCACTAGGGGATTAGTGGAATTGTTAAATCTGCCCTGTTCTGTCTTCATTCTCTTAGTGTTTTAATCTCATCTGTGTTTTGGTCTGACCTTATGCTGTTCTCAGATGCTGTCTGTCAAAGTGTTGCTCTGCTGCCTTTTGCTTAAGAATACTTTACTTGAGAATGGTAATGACGATGGGGTTATAGAACTGGAAAAAAGCAACAACAAAAACCTTATTGCTTGCTTTACCTAAAAAAAAAAAATCTTCCTCACTGTGCAAAAGTAACTGATAATATCTCTTCTATGGTTCTATTAACTGGTTAAATTCTAGGATTTTTTCTTTTTTGAGACAGAGTCTCACTCTGTTGCCCAGGCTGCTGGAGTGCAGTGGTGCAATCTCAGCTCACTGCAACCTCCGCCTCCTGGGTTCAAGTGATTCTCCTGCCTCAGCCTCGCGAGTAGCTGGGATTACAGGCATGTGCCACCATACCTGGCTAATTTTTGTATTTTTGGTAGAGACAGGGTTTCGCCATGTTGGCCAGGCTGGTCTTGAACTCTTGACCTCAGGTGATCCGCTTGTCTTGGCCTCCCAAAGTGCCGTGATTACTGGTGTGAACCACCACGCTTGGCCAGAATTCCAGGATTTAAAAAATCTTTTAAATGTCCACTTTTTATGGGTTGTCATATGGCTGTTTCATTTCTCAGGGGTTCATAGCTTCCTTAAACTGTTTTGCCTTTTCATTCCCTCCTGTTATTTCCACTTCCTCTAGGCCTTCTTTCCATGAGTCTTTTCTTCTTCTCTCCTATGACTGCATTATAAGCAGATGTTCATGCCAGAATTTCATATTCTTACATGTGGTAAAAAAAGGGTCAGTGTTTGCAATAGGCTATTCCACCTGACATAAGGCTGACAATTCTAAAACAATTAAAAACTGAAGATGGCATTTGTCAGAAGTTGACAATGTGTTATTATCCTGTAGTCTTGATAATGAAAATGCAGTTGGTACTTTTGGCTGTTGAGTAGTTTTTTTTGGTTTTGATTAATGTTTTAAAAGGCGTATTTTCTCTTTTTAAAGATGAGACCTCTGTGAGGGTGAGGATTGTATCTTACAAGATTAAATGCACAGCAGAATTGCTAGGAATATAGCGCAGGTATGCTTGGTCTTCTGAACACATTTCCTTTGACAAATCACCGTTTACCCATACTTTGTGTGTGTGTGTGAGAACTTTATTCCTTATGCCTTTATTCCTAACCAACCAGCATGCCTCCCTGACCCTCTCCATCATCCCAGCCACAGGAAAAACACATGACCAGCCACCACCAATCACAGCCCCTCTGTCCCTTGCATTAGGGACTGGCCCAAGGCCCACCCCAGAGGACAGGTGGAATTGGGTGGTTGCCCAGCAGCTCCCAAGTACAAGCCCCTGTCATCTCTTCAGATGTCCATCCATGGTGCCCAGTGCATCACTAGGCTCACAGTCAATGCCCCAGGAATGTTTAGAGAATGAATCTTGGAAATGACCGAATGCCGTGAGGGCACTGGAAGTCTCCTTCCCTGTCACCAAGTATTTCTTTCTTCCCCTCATTCTCTCCATGTCGTCCTATACTGTCATTTACATTGCTCCTTTGAATTGGCATTTTTTCCTAGAAAGTCTCAGTGTAGAGACAAATACGTTGCTTAGGAAAAGATTCACCTTTATATTTTCTTTCTCCTGTTGTTGACTGACCGAAGGGACCCCAACTGCTGGGCTTGGAACTCTGGCTGCCTGTTGGAGACTCCACTGTGGGCCCAGCACTGTCCTACTGGGGGAAGAGCCTCACTGTCTTCCCCCAGCACCTGGCCAAGCTGCAGAGTCTGCTGGAGTCCTGTTACGCGTCCACACTGCTCATCAAACTGGAGATTAAATCCATCTGTGGCTACCTTCACTCACATCACAGATAAAATCTCTTGAAAATTAAAAAAAAAAACTATTTAAAAAGGAATATTTTTTTTTTTTTTTTTTAGATGGAGTCTCACTCTGTCACCAGGCTGGAGTGCGGTGGTGCAATCTCGGCTCACTGCAACCTCCACCTCCCGGGTTCAAGCGATTCTCCTGCCTCAGCCTCCTGAGCAGCCGGGACTACAGGTGGGCGCCACCAAGCCCAGCTATTTTTTGTATTTTTAGTAGAGACGGGGTTTCAGCATGTTGGCCAGGATGGTCTCAAACTCTTGACCTCGTGATCCACCCGCCTTGGCCTCCCAAAGAGCTGGGATTACAGGCAAAAGAGAATATTCTTTCAACATACAAATGTACTTTTGATAATTTCTTATTAACTTCCTACTGAGCCTAATTTCAAGAGGACCTATTTTAATTTTAACTTGTCTCTCATGCATTCTGATAGGGATTACAAGACTGAAAGATAGTCTCGAAGTATGGAGGGGTGAGAGGGTATGGGGTGTGTGTGTTGCTGGAGATAAAAATTAATATCTGAAGTCAGAGGCTGTTGTCATCCTTCATCTGTGCACAGATTCTCAGTGTCTTCCACAGTACATAGCATAGAGCTGGTGCTCAGTGATGAGGCTGAATAAGTGAACAAGACCACCATTGACCCAGTATTATGTCAGGCACTTTTAAAAACAGCTTTATTGAGATATAATTGATATACAAATAGCTGCATATATTGGATGTATGCAATGTGATAAGTTAGGATGTATGCATACATCCTTGATACCATCACGACAATCAAGGCAGTAAATATATCCACCACCCCCAAAAGTTTCTTTGTGAGCCTTTCTTTTTTCCTTTTTTGTGATAAGAACACTTAACATAAGGTCTACTCTCTTAAATTTTGAAATGCACAATACTGTATTGTTAACTCTAGGCACTTATTCATTTTGTATAACTTTATGCACATGTATATAATAGATATTTACAATGAAATGTTAATCAGCCTTAAAAAAGAAGAAAATCCTGCCATTTGCAACAACACAGGTGGGTCTGCAAGACTTTACACTAAGTAAAACAAGTCAGTCACAGAAGAACAAATGCTGCATGATTCCACTTAGATGAGGTATCAAAAGTGGTCAAACTTATAGAAGCTGAAAATAGAATAGTGGTTGCCAGGGGATGGAGGTTGGGGGAAATGGGGAATTGTTGCTCATGGATAGAAAGTTATAGTTATATAAAATGAATGAATTCTAGCAATCAGCCAGGCGTGTTTTTCTTATAGTATCTCTTTTAATCCTCACAACGTCACTTCAAAGCTTTTATCATTATCCACATTTTATAGTTGAACACACAGAGCTTGGAGAGTCTAAAACAGGTGCTGTGGAAAGGCTTTGAATTCAGGGAGGTCCGTGTTAGTATCTGAATTCTGCTGTATTCCAGAACCATGACCTCGAGCAAATCACTTAACCACTGCATTGCCATTTTCCTATTTGTCAAATGGGAAAATTAACAGACACTGCAGGATGATGGAATCATAAATGCAGAGGTCCAACAGATGCTAGATAATAATTGGGACTTTTGAGGCCACTCAATCACTAAGTAAAAGATCTGGCATTCAAACCAACTTCACCTGGCTTCAAAGCTGAAAGAAGGGCATGGACCTCAGCGATGCCACAATCTGGTTAACAGAGCATTTAAAGGTACTGTATAGGGTTCTAGTGGATGAAAATTATTTGCAGAAATTATGACAGTTGTATTCATGTACTGTTTATCTTAGAAGATACTCTAGATAGAAGCAACTCTTTGTGTTGTGGTCATCTTATATATCTTTATATTCCTTAATTATTTAAAATACTTTTGCACAAAGTGGTTAATTACTTGAAAAATGTATTGTTTCCTAATATATGCATTAGGGAAATTAACTTCCTGTTGGCTATGTCCCATGTTTGAGCTCTGTGTCTCCTTGGCTTTTCCACTGAGAACCTAGGGTCAAGTAGATGCAAAATCAGCTGAATATCATAATTTAAGATAGTGTAGTTTTTTTTAAAATAGCATATATATGTATATATATATATAATTAGGTTAAAGGATAGAAGAGATAAAGGTAATAGAGATAATGGTACATTTTAAACTGCAATATTCACATTACCTGAGTACCCTTATTTTGTGGAACACAATCAGCACAAATTTAAATGGATAAATATATTTTCTGAAACAAAGGAATTTATACAGGATTGAAATTTGTGTAAAATGAGTCTCTGGTTTGTGCAAGTAAACCCATTCCCTGATATATAGATGTGTATCTATATACACACACATATATGTATGTTTGTGTGTATATACATATATGTATATATATGTATATATACAGGAGTGTATGTGTGTGTATATGTATATGTATATATACATATACACACATGCATATGTATATATACATATACACACATATATACTTACATATATACACATATACACACATATATACATACATATATATATACATATATATGTATATATATGTATATATATATATACGCATTTGGGAAGGCATAATGACTTTTGCCTTGATAAATATGAACCAATACTCATTGAGGTACAAAAGAGATTTTCTAGTTGTGCCAGCAACTAATGTAATTGTTTCTCAAAGCAAATTTGTTAAATATTTGAAATTGAATCCTTGCTGGCTGAAATCTGACTTGGTGACTTGTGAGGCAGGTCTTTAAAATTGCATGAAACAATGAAGATTCTGGTGTTCAGGCAAGAAGCTTGCCAGAGAACTGCATTTACACACAAAGCAATTATCACGAGAACATCAACACAAAGCAATTCTTAATTATAAAATTCATATATCAGGAAATGGGTTTATCTGCACAAACCAGAGGCTCATTTTACACAAATTTCATTCCTGTGTAAATTCCTTTGCTTCAGAAAATATATTTATCCATTTAAGTTTTTGCTGATTATGTTCCACAAAATAAGCGTACCCAGGTAATGTGAATATTGCGGTTTAAAATGTACTATTATCTCTTATTATCTCTATCTCTTCTATCCTTAACCTATAAAAATTTTCTTAATGGATAGAAAATCCTACCAAGTAAAATAGGAAAGGTTACCAGTTTGAAATAAATTGATGACATTTTTAGGTAAAAATCAGACTACAAATACAAATTGAGGGCTACTGTGTGTAACCCATTGTGTTGAGTACAATACAATAAGACATGAACATGTTTTCTTTCCTCATGGACTTTTTTTTTTCTTGTTTTTTGAGACGGAGTCTCTCTCGCTCTGTCACCCAGTCTGGAGTACAGTGGCGTGATCTCTGCTCATTGCAACCTCTGTCCCGCCGGGTTCAAGCGATTCTTGTGCCTCAGCCTCCCGAATAGTTGGGATTATAGGCGTGTGCCACCACACCCAGCTAATTTTTGTATTTTCAGTAGAAACAGGGTTTCACCATGTTGGCCAGGCTGGTCTCGAATCCCTGACCTCAGGTGATCTGCATGCCTCCGCCTCCCAAGGTGCTGGGATTATAGGCGTGAGCCACCGCACCCGGCCTCCTCATGGACTTTTAATCTAGTTGAAGAAAGAAGAGGAAAATTTACTAAAGGAAATATGACAGTATGTAAAGCAAGGCTTTTTTCAGTGCAAGAAATAGTACAAGAATTGGATAAATATGATAGACTGATAAATTTTCATATAATTTGGCAATCATTTGACGGACAAGAGGGATACAGAGTGAGGTTTTATTGTGAAAAGTGTCTTGAAGAGGAAAAATTTGAATTAAGTCTTGAAATATGACTAGGTTGCAGATAAACTGAGAGGAAGATTTGTTACATTGTTTTTTTCATTAGACAAAGGCTCTTGTTCCCAGCATAAACATATTCTCAACCTTTTATACACATTTTTCTGACTAAATTTTGGCATTATTCTGTTAGCAAATTGTAATTTTTCTTAAGTATGATTTAAAAACATTTGCCGCATGCTTTTTAGTATATTTTTAATCTGACTGCAAAGCGATATGTGCCTATTATAGAAAAATAACTATAAAGAAGAAAGTAAACACCACCTAACTTCTACCATTTACATTTTGGCATATTTTCTTCTATTTTTTATTTTTATTTTTTCTGATCATAAAAATAATAGGCCGGGCACAGTGGCTCACGCCTGTAATCCCAGCACTTTGGGAGACTGAGGCGGGCAGATCACAAGGTCAGGAGTTCAAGACCAGCCTGCCCAACAAAGTGAAACCCCATCTCTACTAAAAATACAAAAATTAGCCGGGCGTGGTGGTGGGCATTTGTGGTCCTAGCTACTCGGGAGGCTGAGGCAGAAGAATTGCTTGAACCCAGGAGACAGAGGTTGCAGTGAGCTGAGATGGTGCCACTGCACTTCAGCCTGGGCAACACAGCGAGACTCTGTCTAAAAAAAAAAAGTAATAATATACATTTGGTATAAAATCAATTATGTATATAATGCACAGAAAGTAAAAATTTCCTGTGATTCTCTGTGATAACCACATTAGTATTCCTAGGCTGGTATTAACAATTTTGGAATAAACCTTTCAGAGCATTCAAACTCAACACAGCAGATTATGCAATGATAGGGCATGGTGAGGACTGTGACATGCTTCCGAATGCACACTCCATCCACGGTGCTGAAATTCAAACCTTGCTGAACAATGACCAAACAAAATACACTACTGGGCTGTGTTTGGTCCTGCAGTATTCTGTTTGCAGCACCAATTTAGAGAAAAAGACATGAAATTTCTTTGTAAATATAATTTTTCTGGCTCCATAATTTCCAAGTTTTTGTGTTGTGATTTACTGAAATATTTCTTTTCTAATATTCTTAGGCATTTCTGATTTTCTAACTCTCACAGTGTGCATAAAGCTTTCCCACCTGGATGTATAACAGCCCCAAACTGAAGTTATCAACATCTCTACTCAAACCTTTCCTTTGCCAGTGTTTTCTGTTTTAGCGCGATAGAGTATAACAGAATATCTCCAAACCCCCAGGCTATCCTCTGTGCTGGGGTGTTTTTTGCAGGGAAGGGTGGGTAGCGGTGGTGTCTATATTTCTTCTAAATCAACCTAAAAAGCTGGCCATTTCTGCGTCTTGTTCCCAGTTCTTTCTCTCAGCTGCAGTGACTGCTTTCCACACTTCTACTCCATATTCTTTCTCCCCCATCCATCCAATGCCACTGTCCAAGACCATCACCATGTACAGCAGATTTTAAAACGCAATCAACACTTAAAAATTAAATATTTAGACATCTCTGTTTTAATGTGACCTGGCCTTTCCTGCCACAGAGTATTTCCCACTGGTAGACTTTCCTTTTAATCCCCATTCACATCTCTGCTCTTTTCCCTGTTTACGGATCCTGAAAACACTACCCAACTAGGTTGATACAGTTTGGCTCTGTGTCCCTGCTGAAGTCTCATGTTGAATTGTAATCCTCAATGTTGGAGGTCGATCGTGGTCGGGGGTGGCTGGAACATGGAGGCAGATTTCTCATGAATGGTGTAGCACCGTCCCTCTTGGAACTGTCCTCGAGATAGTGAGCGACTTCTAGTGAGATCTGGTCCTTTAAAAGTGTGTGGCACCTCCTCCTTCTCCCTCTTGCTCCTGCTTCTGCCATGCAATTCTTGCCTTCTGCCATGATTGTAAGTTTCCTGCGGCCTCCCCAGAAGCTGAAGCCACTATTCTTCCTGTACAGCCTGCAGAACTTGAGACAATTAAAGCTCTTTTCTTATAAATTACTCAGCCTCAGGTATTTCTTTATAGCACTGTGAGAACTGACTAACATCTTAAGCAGTGGAGTTCATTTTTCTTGTTTTGCCCTCACTCATTCAGACTCATTAAGTATAAAGAGTCAGATGCTGTACTAGGCTTGAGGGGGAAATGTGAATAAGACAACCAGCCTTGACTTTCTGGAGCTTGCACGTACCTCTTTCCTCACTCTTGCCTCTGTCCTTGTTGCCATGGCCCTTTCCTAAGTCATCACACTCTCTTGAACACAACCATAGCCTTCTAGGTTGACCCTTGCTTCCAATCTTGCTGCTCTCCAGATTTTTCCTTCTTGTCCTTTCTGCCTTCACTGCTTCAAGGACAATGATTTAAACATGCAAACCTAGCTGGAATCTCTTTTTCAGGGTTCCCAATGCATGTAGGGTCAACATCCATCAAAATCATGTAAATGACTTTTAGAGTGCTCTAGAATCTGCCTCTGTCCACTTACCCAGACTTCTGAATGCTATTCTACATTTGTCTCACTCTAACTAAACTGGTTATCTTTCTGGTTTTTTTTTATTTGTATGAATTTAAGGGGCACAACTGCAATTTTGTTACATGAATATATTGCATAGTGGTGAAGTCTTGGCTTTTACTGTATCCCATCACCTGAATAATGTACACTGTAGCTATTAAGCAATTTATCATAAACTTTCAACTCTTAAACCTGCCCTACTCTCCCCCAACTCTGAACTGTCCACTCTGGTGCTAGTGGTCTGCACTTCCTTCCACCACATCTTCACCTGGCTCAGACAAGTCCTTCAAAGTTGAAGCATAAACTTGACTTCCTCAGGCACCTCTTCCATTCAAGGTTATATTCTTCTCTAATTAGATGTCCCAATTTAAGTTTATAACTTCAGTTTCACAGCACTCTTCACACTTAAAATTATTTTCTAAAATTATTTTCAGAATACTTTCTAGATTTGGAATTTGCCTGGCTTCAGGGTTTAAATACTGTATAGACCCTTGTCAAATGCCATCCAAAGCAGTGATAATTATACTCCTGTCAGGGATGCTATATACTTAGGAAGATTTTTAAAAACTTACATTTGGGCTCAAGATTTTCCTAGATAATCTGTCTCTTGATTTATATTAAAATCTCTTCTTCTTCCTACATTTTGATGTATATGATAAGGTTTAATATATAGATGTGTTTTATAATATGTTTTCAGAAAGGCAGGTTTTTTTTTCCTGTGAAGTAAGCTATGGCTGTCAGTATAGTAAGTCAAAATGAAGCATGAGTTTTCATTTAACACCCATCATGTCTGTTAAAAATCTTTAAAGTTATTTTTTCACAGACATGATTTGTTATTTATAATCATTGTAAAAATACCATTTAATAACTTTTTTCTATAACATTTTTATGCTGTTACTCTGCTTCCATAAATATAATCATCAAAGACTACTTAATGTAACCTTAATTTAAAATATTATATTACCCTATTGCTGAAAGTTTACATTTTTTACTATTTCATGTGATGCTAAGATAAACATCTTGATGAATATAGATATTGACAAATTTGTATTCTTAATTTCCTAAAAGTGAGATTGAGAGTTCCAAGTGCATGGGTATTTTTATTCCCCTTGAGTTATTTTGTCAAATGACTTTCCTAGAAGAAGTGATACAGCATCACTGTGGCTAAAAGCCTGGACCAAGAAATGAGACAGCCCGGGTTTAAACCCTGCTTCACCAACTGTTCAGCTGTGTGCCCCTGTCTCAGTTTCCTCATCTGTATAATAAAAAGATCAAGATAACTTAAAAAAAAAGATTTGTGAGGATAAAGTCTTAGTAGGTGAAAAGTACTTGGAAAATTCTCAGCCTGGCACTACTAATGTACAAGAATATGAATTTTATTGAATTTGTATGAAAATCAATTTTATTTGAAAAAACTTTTTAAATAAAAAATAATAATACTTCTTTTGATTTATATTTTTCTAATTTTTTTTCCTCTCAAGAAGTTTTTTCAAAAGCTACTTGTATAAAGATCAGTTTCTCAACAGGGAGTAGACAGTGCAGAGGAATTTCTAAAACCCTATTTACAAGTAAGTTGAAAGCAAATCATGCCTTTCTAACCAACTGTTTGTGGAGTAGTGTCTAGAGGAACTGCTGGTGGCTTAGACTTTAATGTCTTTTAGATTAAAGAGAGGTCTTGGAAACAATGTGAGAAAATGAAAAAATGAATGTTGTTTTATTTTGATTTCTACATCTCTTCTTAACTTCTCTCATGAATTTGTGCTTTTACTGTATTATCATTTTTGTGTGCATTTAGCTTTTTTTCCACAAGCTAATTCAAAATAAAAGATCATATAGGGGAGTAATAGAATCACAGTATTCGGTAGTGGAATGTGATAGCTGTTTCAGAATTGTCTGGACTAATGGGGCTATCATGAGACAGGGCGGGTGGGGGAAGAATGGGCGGGGTGAGGGGTCAGTGAAGGGTGAGGAGATGTGGGGCAATTTTTGCTACAAAAGCTCTTCTGGTCATCAGTAAATAGGGAAAAATTATGTTGCGTCTTAGTTCATTTGTGCTGCTATAACAAACTGCCTGACGTTGGCTAATTTATGAAGAAAAAAAATTATTTTCTCACAGTTCTAGAGGCTGGGAAGTCCAAGATCAAGGTGGCAGCAGGTTTGGTGCCTGGTGGGGCCTGGTCTGTGCTTCTAAGATGTTGCATTTTTTGCTGTGTTCTCAAATGGCAAAAGGGCAAAAAGGGCCTTGCTAGTTCCCTCCACTTCTTTTTAAGGCACTTATTCCATCCACGAGGGTGAAAATCTCATGGCCTAATCACCTTCTAAAGACCCGTCTCTTAATGCTGTTGCCTTGGAGATTACATTTCAACATGAATTTTGGAGGGACACAAACGTTCAAACCACAGCATGTTACCATTGAAAAGTAAATCTTCAGAAGGTGAAAGCAGTCTAGAAGGTGATTGTCATAGAAATGGACTCAAAGAACAACAAAAAGAAGCCCAATACATCCAAGATAAAAATGAAGAATGAATAGAGAGTATCACAGACTTGTATTAATAGAATGGCAATGTTATGAGGTAGTTTCAAATTGCTATTTAAAATCTTGTGGAAATTTTATTTGAAATGCTCTGATCTATACTTTATGAAACATGTCAATCTGGAAAGAACCTACTGAGGCAGTTTGCAAAAGTTTTATGTTACTAAATATTCATTAAGTTAATCTGGATAAATTTTATGTTCTATGGCATAAATAACAAAATTAGATATCCAAAGGAGAAATGTTTCAGGTTTCCTGAGATTAAATGGAAAATTAGCTCTGCTATTTAAAACTTAAAGGAGTTTTCACTGCCAGAACCAAGATGTTTGCAGAGCCGGTTTTTTCTTTTCACTCTTCTGTCATACCAAAGAAAAGGCAGGAGTTGCTAGGAGTTGGGTACCAGTGGATGCTAGGCAGAGAACCAAAGTTAATGTGGGAGCTTAGAATGGAGGGGCAAGTTAGGAATTAGAGCAGAAAAGGCACATATTTGGAAGAAGACATGCTTTAAGTGTCACAGCAGATCGTAGGGCAGTAATGAAAGAGATTACACATTATCAAGTATTGTCCGTCAGAAGACAATAGATGACAAATTCCGGGCAGGCAAGCCAGTTGCAACAAGGAATCGATGGTTCAGTTGTCACAGGACGTCCTGATCCTAGGTTTAGTTTCTGATCCAGCTGAAGGCTCCTACACACTTTCTGCTGATCCTAGGTAGAGCTCAGGTGCAGATAGACCTTTTCTTGGGATATAATTTGAGCATCGTGATATGGTTATTGAAAATAGGGGAACCATCTCCTAAAGTCTGTATTGTGGCAGATGACCTAGAAGGGGCATTTTGAAAACGAATAGTGCAAGTCCTGAAGTTGAAGAGCTGGGACCAGGGTCCGCAACTGCCATGCACCAGCTGTGTGACTTGGAGAAGATTAAGGGCTTTGAGTCTCAGCTGTCCAGTTTACAAAATTGGGATAATAATATATTATATACATACATGGTATATTCGAAGGTAGTATAGGCTGAAATGTTTTATACTAATGTGCTCTAAATAGTAGCTTACAATCCTGAACTCGAGATTTTAGTGAACAGAGGTTTAAGTTATTTGATATCAGTTTTTATTCAAGCTATGTTTAATTGCTGCTTAAGCAGGGTTAAATGAAGGAAATAATGTTCAGTGAGGGCAAGGTGCCATGTGTAAGAACAATGTCCAGAGGTTTGTAATGAAAGATTGGGATTCAAGTTCTGACTGTCACTTACTAGATTAAGAGGTGTGCACGATGGCTCACGCCTGTAATCCCAGCACTTTGGGAGGCCGAGGCGGGCAGATCACGAGGTCAGGAGATGGAGACCATCCTGGCTAACACGGTGAAACCCCATCTCTACTAAAAATACAAAAAATTAGCCAGGCGTGGTGTCGGGTGCCTGTAGTCTCAGCTACTCGGGAGTCTGAGGCAGGAGAATGGCGTGAACCTGGGAGGCAGAGCTTGCAGTGAGCCGAGATCCCGTCACTGCACTCCAGCCTGGGTGACAGAGCTAGACTCCATCTCAAAAACAAAAACAACAACAACAACAAAGTCATGGACTTAGACCAGTTCCTTAATCTCTGAGATTCAACTTTCTTCCTCTGCAAATAAGGATAATTATAAACGCTTTATATGCTTTAAAGATGTGTTGATGGCTTTACCAAGGATGGGTTTACCAAGGAGTTATGATGATGGGTGCTACCCATCCGTCTCAAGCAGAATGATGCTCTATCTGAATTTCTACAAACATAGGTGAGTGATAAATTGCCAGAGTAGATTAACTAGTTGGCAAGTGTGTAGGGCTTCAGCAGCACCAGATATAATAATTACATATTTAGGTACAAAGAGCAGGTGGTAGACTTAACTCTTTCTTGGCTGGGAGTATGATCCACTCTGCTCTATCCTCTGGGATATTATTCTGTTGCAGGAAACCCCACAAGTCTTAAAATGAAGTGTGCTTTTGGATAAACTCCTAATTTTTACTATATTAAAAATCAAACCCCTATATACATATACCCCAATGTGCCTCTTAATGTATCACAGAGTGAAATTTCTGAAGACTACATATTTGCTAGGGTCAACCCAGGATTTGCCCTGCTCTTGATTTAAATAAATGAGAAGGAAAGCCGATGTCACAACAGGCAGGAGGAGACTTTTTGCTCCTGTGGAGTTTAGAGTATCCAGTTCCAATCTATTTTTTCATTCATTATTAATTTCCCTTGCTTATTATTTGGTTTCCCGATGGGATTCATAGGTTTGTTGTAGCTCATTTCCTGAGGGTTTACATTCTCTCTTTCGGTTGAGAGTATTCTTATTTCTTTAGGAGCATCTCTTTTGTTTTATATAACCTCAAATGATATTTCCAACTCTCTTCTAATCGGTTGCATGTTTAAAGGAAAGAAATACTGTACTAAAGCTAAAGAGACTTTGAAGCAACAGGGCATTTATAATTTATGCTGAGGAGGGGTTGACAAGGCCTTCTCTGGGACCAATAGATGTTAATGTGTTTGAAAAGCTCAGATTTTCAGAAGGGAATTGCATAAATGTTCTTTCAGATTTGTAAGCTAGATCAATTTGCTTAGATATTTTTAGATAGGAGCACTTTATAAATATCTTTCATTTCAAACATCAAAATAAAATCAAAAGTGGGAGCATGTCGCTTTGACTTCTTTTTCTCTATTAGTGGAGATCAGAGGGGCAGCTGCAGTGTAGACGGGGCTGTTTGCCCCTCCTGGCAGAGTAGGTGCTAAACCCCATGTTTATCCCTATCTGCGTTAGGGCTCTCAGCAGAGAAAGGCAGCACAGGCTTCACATTCCTGGACCTGTGACCACAGGAGAAAGGACCAAGGGCAGTGCTCAGGAGGATTATTTAGGAGTTCTACTGAAATAGAATTTGAGCTGTGGGTGAGTAGGAGTGTGCACGTGCATGTGTATATGAAGTGAGTGAGGAGCTAAACGTTTGCTCTCAGAGGTCATCTACACTGAAGATGAAAAAGACAAAACGGCAAGGAACAATTGTTGAGCACCTACTGAAAGGAGAGCACTGTGCTTTACATACACAACTTCATTTAATCCTCAGTATAACACTAGAAGGTGATATTTTGATGCTGAGGGAGCTGAAGTCCTGAGTGTTTGAATAACTTCCTCATCCTCAAACAGCGAGTAAATAGCAGTACTAGATTCTGACTTCTAAGGCCTCACCTTTCTGGGACATTACACCAGGGAAATTCAAGAACAGCCCTTCTCTAACCTTGTGATTGAAAAAGGTCAAGTTTAAAGATGGGAACCGGATCTCTTCTCCAAGGAAATGATCCTCCACTGAATGCTGTCAGTGTATTGACACCAAATACAGTCTCTCTGATGATAGAGTAGGCACTTCATGTATGGATCCAAATTGCCATGACTTGATTGCTACAAACGAACTTGTCCTCCCTCCTTCTTGTTCTGCCTTCTGGTTTTGTCCCTCAGCACTCTCCTTTTGGTCTACTTTGTCACAAACCATCCTGGCACTCTTCTATAATTACTTGCTTATTTTCCCATATCCACTGCTAGCTCCCTGGAGGAAGAATAACATTTTTGATCACTGTTGCAGTCCCAGCAACTAGAACAGTGCATGGCATGCAGCAGGCATTCAGGGTATCTGAATTCAGGCACAGTAGTCTCAAGGGCTTCTGAGAAGGGTGGGTTAGAACCCCACTGTGATCCCAACCATCCCAAATAATCACAAGATCTAAGTATAAACAGTGTCCTCACTATGTGAACACAGCTTCAAGACAAGTCCCCTATCTCTCATTCCCACCAGGGAGTTGCCCTCAGTTCAATACATATTGAATGACACCGTAGTGTCACTTGTGTAGCTGTTTAGATGTACAAAGAGACAAAAGTATAGACTTTACAAATGAAAGTGCCTGTATTTCTTCCTTTCCCTTCCCCTCTCATTTCTTCTCTCACTCTTGTTTTTTTTTTTAAAGAGACAGGAAAAAATTATTGCTGTAGGCTTGTGATTTATGAATTCTAACTTAGAGATTATTTTAAAAGATTTGAAGACAATGACAAAAACCAATATTAATTCCTACATCCTAAAATGGATAAAAATACACTTGTATTTGATGTAAGTGACAGCTTCAGTTGAACAGGAATAATAATTATTGTCAACAAGTGTGCCCCCCACCACTGGGCATTGAATACCACTAATGCTAACAAAATAATTATTAATAAATTAATTCTTTGTGTATTAGAGCAAGAGTCTGAGCTTTGGTTCTATCTGATTCTACTTATATGGTTTAGATTCTGGGCACAATTAGGATTCCTGGTCTTGTTTGAGGTAATAACAAGGGGTTATTATGATGGATGCTACACATGCATCATCTCCAAGAGCTACAAGGCTCTTGTAACAGCCTTGTTTCCTGTATACAAATAATCATTTACATTACAAAAAATTTCTTCAGTGAAGAACACTTAATGAACACTTAATGTCTGTACAACCCAATCCCCCTAACTACCCTAGATCAACTGGTTTTCCCTCAATGTATCTGTAATACTATCTTTCTGTCTTCAACTTTAAACTTGTGAGAAGATCCTTGTTATTTCTTGGCTCAGAGAGAGGTAGTTTACCTTCTGACAGTAACAAAAATGTAGGAGTTAGTATAAGAAAGAAATAAAAGGGAAAGGAGGACCTGGAAACATAGTTTTGGCCTTAAGATGCTGCCATCTTTGAATAATAGTTGAAATGCAGGAAAAGTCAAAGCCTTAGAAGAATGAAGGGCTGTGAATGGATTTTATTACATTGCCAATACAGTTGACCCTTGCATAAAGTGAGGCTTGGGGTGTGGACCCCCGTGCAGTTGAAAATCTGCGCATAACTTTTGACTCCCAGAAACTTAACGACTAAGAGCCTACTCTTGATGGAAGCCTCACTGATAACACAAACAGTTGATTAACACATTATTTTGTATTTTATATGTATTATATACTATATTCTTAAAATAAAGTAAAGAAAACAATGCTATTAAGAAAACCATAGGAAGAGAAAATAGATGCACTCTTCATTAAGTGGAAGTGGATCATCATGAAGGTCTTCAGCCTCATCATCTTCATGTTGAGTAGGCTGGGGAGGAGGAGGAAGAAGATGGGTTGGTCTTGCTGTCTCATGGGTAGAAGAGGTGGAAGAAAATCTGCGTATAAGTGGATTCATACAATTCAAACCTGTGTTGTTCAGGAGTCAACTGTTCTTCCAATCACAGTTCACAGTTTCACAGCGCAGCTTTAGGGACATTTAAAATTATTCTTTGTCGGGCACGGTGGCTCACGTCTGTTATTCCAGCACTTTGGGAGGCCAAGGTGGGCAGATCACTTGACGTCAGGAGTTTGAGACCATCCTGGCCAACATAGTGAAACTCTGTCTCTACTAAAAACATAAAAGTTAGCTGGGTGTGGTGGCGAGTGCCTGTAGTCCCAGCTACCCAGGAGGCTGAGATAGGAGAATTGTAGGATAATCGCTTGAACCCAGGAGGCAGAGGCTGCAGTGAGCTGAGATTGCACCACTGCACTCCAGGCTGGGCAACAGAGCGAGACCCCATCTCAAAAACAAACCAACAAAAAAAAATAAAAGAATTATTCTTTGAAATAATCTATGAAAGTGTTTCTATAATACAAATGTAGAAAAATAATGTAATACATAAAATTAATATAACATAACTTAATACACAAACTTATAAGAATAAATTTTGCATTGAAGAGAATCTCAGAAGTAAAGTAACCACAGTCTCCTGCACTATGTAGTTACCATGAGGAAAGAACCCTGGGGCTATGTATGCCAGGGCAGGGAGCCTAGAGAGTCCGCAGAACCTCTGCCATGGCTGTTCACTTGGAATGCTTTTCTTGTTCACCCACACCAGTGTTCCTCTCAGAGCCATCTGCAGGGACACTGATAGATATCTAAAGGATGGATGTTTAGCAGGATATGATGACCAGTGTCATCTGTGGGTCCAGGTGTCTTAGTTAGCTCAGGCTATAATATAACAACATACCCCAGACTGTCTTATAAATAACAGACATTCATTTCCCATAGTTCTGGAGGCTGGAAGTCTGAGATCATTGAGCTAATGTAAATATAATCGGGTTCTGGTGAGGGCTCTCTTCTGGGTTGCTGACAGCCACCTTCTCCTTGTATTCTCATGTGGTGGACTGCAGACAAAGCAAACTCTCATGTCTTTTCTTTAAAGGGCACTAATTTCATTCATGAGACCCCTTATGACCCAATCACCTCTCAAAAGCCCTACATCCTAATAACCATCACACTGGGGGTTAGGATTACAACTTATGAATTTTGCTTATGTGAAGAATATTCACATGACCATTGTGAACATTAACAGTCAGTCCATTGTGCTGGGTAATGAAATCTCAAAGATGCTCTCTTCAAGCTGCTGAATTGGAGGGCATGCATGCTGTTTTGACAGCACCTCCAATAGGGAGGGGAATGCTAGGCAGAGGTGAATTTGACCATCAATACTGGTATTGTGGAGTGGGGGCAGCATTGAGGGGTAGCTGCCCCTAGGGACCAGGGAAGGGTCTTAATGAGCCATAAAACTGTGAATTTTGAATTTTCAAATGGAAGAATCTACCTTAGATTCAGAACAGAACGATGATTATGTTAACTGTTGATTAGGTAACTAACACCCACCATATTCCCAAAGATGTGGAGAAATGACATGAAATTTTGCATGCCACTTGGAAACTCTTAGATTTGAGCATCTCAAGACTTCCCCCTTGTTACACAACAATCTTTGAGAGCATAGTTTTCTTTCATTGATTTTTGTCAACATATTGGTTTAAATTTTGCCAGGTAAAAGCTTTGGAACTGCAGAACAGGGCCTTTGTTCCTTTTACATCATGCTGCCTTTCATTTTCTATTATAGCATTCTCTCTAAATGATGTGCCTTAAGATTCATTCAGAATGCCACGGCTGACAGATGGCATTCTCCCTGTCTGACTTGGTGCAACACAGCCGGGCACTCTATAAAAACTGAGAAGTCAGAGCTCTCCTAATTCTCTGCTCAAAATTGAGTACCTGTTGAGGAACCTGGCTGCTGCTTAGCAGCTACAGTGTGGGGCTGGGAACTGGTGTTCAGGGTTAACTGACGCACGGGGGCACGACAGCCCTGCTCTGGGTTTCCTCTGCCATGTGCCGGGATGGGCGACATGCTGGCCTCTGGGACCGGTCAGCAGAGGTAATGTCTCCCTGTGGTGACACATTTTAGTGGCTTACAACATCCAAGCATTATTTTCTACTCTCATCTCATGTTCCTTGAGGGTTGACTTTGCTGCACAAGTCCCCATTCCAGGACCCAGGATGACAGACAGCCCCTAACTGGGCCATGCCAGGGCTGTGGCAGAGTGAAAGGGGCTGGAATAACTCATGAGGGCTTTCAGAGAATCTGCTCAGAAGGGGCTCGTGCCACCTCCGCTCACATTTCGTAGGCCCAAATGGACTTGGTCAATGTGGGAAGAATTATAATCTTCCTGTGCAGAGGGGCTGACAACAAATGTTGGACAGTAAAACAAACAGCCACAGCCTTTCTCCAGCCTCGTCTCCCACCTCAGTCTCTGTACCCAGGATTCTAAGCCCATGGTGCCACTTGTGCTTTGCGAAAGCCCTGTGTTCTCACGACTTTCCATTTGCCTTCCCCTGCCCAGAATGCCCCCTTCTCTTATTCATCTGGAGACCTTCTTCTCCTTCATGTGCCACCTCTCCAGGGATGCTTCTTCTTTTTTTCATTTTATTTTTAGAGACAGGATCTCACTCGGTCACCCAGGCTGGAGTGCAGTGGCATAATCTTAACTCATTGCAGCCTCCAACTCCTGGGCTCAAGCAATCCTCCCTCCTCAGCCTCCCAAGTAGCTGAAACTACAGGCATGCACCACCATGCTCACCTAATTAATTTTTTTTTTTTGTAGAGACAAAGTCTCACTATGTTGTCCAGGGTGGTCTTGAGCTCCCGACCTCAAGTGATCCTCCCGCCTTGGCCTCCCAAACTGTTGGGATCACAGTCTTGAGCCACAGCACCTGGTCAGGGAGTGCTCTTCTAATCCTTCCAAGGAATGTGTGGTTCTTTTTCCCCTCTCTACCAAGGCTCCTGGTACACAATTCAGCTGTACTGTTTTGTAACCATAGGTTATCTACCTGCTTTCCTCAAGAGACTATGACATTTTTGAGGACAAGCTGTATGTTTTGTTCATCCTTGATCCTAGCTCCTAGCTCAAGGCCTGCCGTTCATTTGGCATTCAGCATTTTATTGAGTATTAAATAAATGCAGTAATGCAAAAACAGATGGAGAAAGCTATTTTATACCCCAGTCCTTGTTGAGACTAGTGCTTCTCAAACTGTGATGAAAGACCACATCTGTAAAATTTCTAATCTGATGCAAAACGATACTCTTGTAAAATACAATAAAAATTAAGTTCTGGGGAAAAGATCAAGCACATGTCAAATTGTTATCAAAGTTGGTAAATGCTTACTCTTGATTTGTATATTTATCTCATTGCAGACCAGTAATAAACACTCCGTGGTCAGCAGACTATGCTTTGGATAGTGCTATGTTAGATTCATTCAAAGACATTTACTGAGTTCCTTTGTGTGCCAGGCAATGTTCGAGGGGCAGGGGATTCAGCTATGAACAAGACAGACAAATTCCCTGCTCTCAAAGGGCCTACTTGCTAGTGGGACAAGTGGAAAATAAGCAACAGACAAATCAATAACTAATGTGACTTTGAATAATGATTAGTGCTACCAGGGAGGTAAAGGCAGATAATGAGACAGATTATTTATGAGTCGTCAGGGAAGCTCTCTCTAAGAAGGGGACATTTTAGCAGAAACCTGAGCAATCTAGGCCAAGAAAGCAGAATATGTTGAAGTCTTGAAGGAGAAACAAGCTTGGGGCAATTAAAGAACCGAGAGGCCAGTGGGACAAGTGTTTAATTATCATGGAGAATCGTGGGAGAGGTGGAGTCTGAGAGTCAGGCCAAGGCCAGACCATACAGGACTTTGTGGGTCATGGTCAGATGCTTTGATTTTATTGAAAGTGAAATGGAAGCCATTGAAAGATTCTGACTGGGGATGCATCATGGTCTGGTTTATTAAAGCAAATTACTCTGTTTGTTAGTCTATATGGCAAACAGGTTGTATGGAGAAAAACTGATCAGGTGGGAGGCTGTTTCAGAAGTTCACATGAGAGATGGAGAGGGATTCACTCAGCAGTAGATGTGCAGATGGGTAGAAGTCAACAGACTGAGGATGTTCTCTGGAGAGAGGACTGCTGAGACCCACTGGCAGGCTAGATATTAGATGTGAGGGAAAAATAAAATTAAAAAATGACTGCTAGTTGAACCAGGTGTGGTGGCACACCTGTAGTCCCGGCTGCTTGGAAGGCGGAGGTGGGAGGATCAGCCTGGGCAACGTAGCAAGACCTCATCTCTTAAAAAACAAAAACAAATGATTACTGCTAGAGTTTCAGCTTGGCACTTGGTATTCAGTTGGTGAATATGTTGTTAATATTCACAACATATGGGAATGATGGGGAAGATGGGAAAGGAGGTACAATTTAGGTGACAGGAGGGACTGTGCCTGGAAATGAATGAAATTCATGTAATGTTTCTTTATTAGATATGTTTGCCGTCAGTTTTTATAATATAACCTCTATCAAATTACAGAAATGTCTTTCATTTTATTTCTCTGAGTGATATTTTAAAAATTGTAAATAGATGCTGAAATGTATTGAATGTTCCTTATAAGCTTCCTAAACAATTTATTTTATTTTGTTTCTTTTTTATTATATTACCTTGAATGACTTTCTAATATTGAACCAAAGTTTGCTTTCCATGATAAACCCTATTGGTCATAAAACATAATAGCACACTGTACAAATAATTGGAGGATACACGTTTACGTAAACACACACAGAACTTACTTATGAAACTTGGCCTTGTTTTAGGTCATAATCTTACAGAATTGCTGTTATATATTTTATGATGACAATGAAATTGAATTACAGATAAATAACAAAATGATTTTAAAAATTCCACTTACATTTGAAAACTAAGAAATGCTTACAACTAATTTAAATGAAAATTAGAAAATACTTAGAACAGAAATGATCGTACTACATATCAACATTTGTGTGATGTGGTATAGCCTTAAAAATTTTTATTACAATTATTAGATTACAAATATCAAGATTCTGAGTTAAAGCACACAAAAGGTCTATCATTTGCCATAGATTCTAAGAGAAGCTGTTTAAAATTTTATTTGTTTGTTTTTTAAACAACCCACGGGCAGTTAGGCCTAGCTAGAGAATTTTCCTCGCTGCTTTTTCTGGGCTTTATTTCATCTTATTATTTTCACATCTCACCTTTTCTTTGAATCCTAGATTTTTCTGGTGTGGTCTCTAAGCAGGGTTTGGGCCTGCCCAGGACCAAAGGGGTGGTTAAACCACAGCAAATAAAACTGGGATTCACACTGGCGACTCCCTTCACACACTGAAACTATAGGTCACTGGGGGCATATATTTATATATACTCCCAAGTCAGCCAATGGTTTCAGTGTTTATTTACTTTCCTGGACTGATGTTCTGGTTTTGTACTAGGACTAAATTTTTCCTGTCTTTTCTTCCAAGCTCATCCATTTATTTAAAAAGTTACTCATTTTCGATATTTTCTTCTAAGCACTTTAAAGTGTTACACAGCAACAAAATTTCAATACTTCTTGTCTTTTGCACTACCAGAAACTTCAATCTATCCCACTATTTTTGACATATACTGCCTTTCAGTTCTAAATATTTTATTATTTCCATTATGATTCTTCTTTATATTTCATGGTGCGGCTGCATTTGCAGCCTGTGCGGATTTTCCCCCTTTTTACTGAGTTTCGTTTTTATCACATGGTGGCATCATAATTTGTTTTGATGGTCCCTTTGATATTCTTGGAAACTGTTTAAAGGGAATGTGTGATCAATTTTTATAAATATTCAATTATTCACTTAAAAACATGCACTCTCCAATTTTGGGGTATAGGATTGTATTCATGTAAAGCTTGTTAATCATGTAATCATATTTTTATATCTGTGCTAATTTTTGCATTCTTGATCTATCAGCTGCATAGAGAGGTGTGTATCAGTAATTCCCTGCATGACTGTGGATGTGTCAATTTCTTATTATTCTGCCACATTTTCATTCATATATTTGAAGCTCTCCTTTTGGATCTCTGACTGGAGTTGTTCAATAATTTTACTCCAAGGCAGTGATATCATTAACTCACTCGTTTACCTCTGGCATTCCATTTCCTCTCCATTTCTGGCATTATTTATCTCTCCGAGCTTCAGTTCATATATTCAAAATCATTTTACACATTCCAACTAGTACTTCTAAAGGCTTGAAATGGAAGAGTTGTCATACTGCCAGAACCTGAAGTTTACAGAATTCATTTAACCTATAAAACGGGATGAGATCACCTAGGGAGAGAGTGTAAAATGAAGAGAAGCTCAGAGAGGAATGACCCGCAGGAAACTCCAATATTTAGAAGATGAATGAAATGAGATAAACTGGAGTATGATCTCCCTTTATTCTAGAATTTTTGCAAGCTGTCTTCCTGTTAGAGGTTTCATGAATTCTCAACGATTCGAAAAACAAATGAAACAAACAGAGGCCAGCCTTCTACAAACACTCATTAATATCTTAACCAAATATAAAATATGATAATAAGAGCATTGGCAAATATTATATCTTTGGTGCATGAAGGCAGCTAGTTTTTTCTTGTACATAGAGATGTGTCAAAATCACTCTTCCTTTTACTGAGTCTTGAAAATAAGGAAAGCTTCTATTGCTGGCATATTATAAAAGTAATGTGATGTCTACTTTCATTTGTTTTATATTGAACCCTCTGGCAAAGCATAGTCATTGCTTCTTGTCAATCTTCAGATAGGGAGGAGAAAATGTAGAAAAATTTTGAACTGGTATCCTCTGAAACAGAAAGTAATAGAATGGCAAAGACCGATAAAAGACGAGCAGATATACAACCTCAGTATGGTTTGGCTCTGCATTCCCACCCAAATCTCATCTCAAATTGTAATCCCCACATGTCCAGGGAGAGACCTAGTGGGAGGTGATTGGATCATGGGGGTGGTTTCTGCCATGCTGTTCTCACGGTAGTGAGGGAGTTCTGACAAGAGCTGATGGTTTTAAGTGTGGCACCTCCTTGCTCTTGCTCTTTCTCTCTCCTGCCGCCATCTAAGACACGCCTTACTTCCCCTTTGCCTTCCGCCATGATTGTTAAGTTTCCTCAGGCCACCCCAGCCCTGCAGAACTGTGAGTTAATTAAACCTTTTTTCTTTGTAAATTACCCAGTCTCGGGTAGTATCTTTATAGCAGTATGAGAATGTTTAGGGATGAGAAAACATGAAAAGACCCACATAGTACAATGAGATTAGAGTAAATCCTGAAAGTTCTGAAAGATTTCAGAGATCTATGAAACTTCTTGGGTCAAAAAAAAAAAAAATTAACCAGAAATGTTATGAAACAATTTCTCTCACAACATCTAGAATGCTTCTGCAGTTCCCAAGGTTGATAATTACATTATGCAGAGACAGAATTAAAAACAAAAAATTACCTAAGGATATACAGTGAATGTGCTCATTAATAAGTATTTAAACTTGGGAAAGATATAAGGGAGCAATAATGCTGTGACTGATACTAGTTCTAATGGAAAAATACCAACAAGTTGCTTCAAAAAATGAAGAAAACTTCTTTGCAATGACTGAGTTTTCAGATGTACACATCAGTTCTCCTACATTCTTAAATATATTAAACCCAATTTGCATATGGTTATATTAAATCAAATTACTGTATAACACTTAAAATATTTAATTTGGAATGTGTGCAAAAAATCAAGGCTAAAAAACAAAAAAAAATTCTATTCCATTATTACAATTTATTATAAATATTCTCTAACAGAAAAGTAGTATTTTTTTCAAATTTTCTTCTTTAAATTAACATATAAAATTGTATGTATTTCTTGTGAACAACATAATGTTTTAAAGTATATATACACTGTGGAATTGTTGAATATAGCTAATTGATAAGTGTATTACCTCACCTAGTTATCATTTTTGTGGTGAGAACATTACATCTAGTCTCAGCATTTTTAAATAATACGATATATCATCATTAACTATGGTCACCATGCTGTACAAGAGATCTCATAAAACAATTTATCCTATCTAACTATAAATTATTTGACCAACACCTCCCCAACCATTGGTATTATTTGACCAACACCTCCCCAACCATTCCTCTGCAAGCACCACCCCAGCTTCTGGTAACCACCATTCCGTTCGCTACATCTATAAGACCAACTTTTTAAGATTTCACACATGAGTAAAATCATGTGGGATTTGTCTTTCTGTGCCTGACTCATTTCACTTAACATAATGGCCTCCAGGTTCATCTATGTTGTCAGAAACAATGGGATGTTTTTCTTTTATTATGGCCGAATACTGTTCCACTGTGTATGCCATGTTTTCTTTATCCACTCATCCATTGATGGACACTGGGTTTATTCTATATCTTGGCTATTGTGAAAGGTGCTGCCACAGACATGGGATTTCATTGACATACTGACTTCCTTTCCTTTGAATATATTCCCATTGGTGGGATTGCTGCATATAGTTCAACAAATTTATGGGAGAATTAGCACTAAGTGCTTCTTGCAGCCTGGGAGTGGGGCTTTTACTAACAGTGGATGTTTTCCTCCTGCTACTGCCTGAGTGTTGAACATGCCCACTTCCTTGTTCTGAGCTTCTTGCGCTTGAGCAACACTGTTACTCCTACTCCCTTAATATTGTGATAACTGGTCCTCAGAGAGGACCTTCTGCTGTTGTCTGCATTTGGGCCTACTTCCCTTCCCCAGACCCTGTCCAAGTCTTGGGGATATATCTATTTCTAGGCTGTAGACACTTCTATTCTGCCTCATCCTACCATCAACTGTCCTGTGCCAGGCCATGCTTTTAGATCCAAAGCCTTTGTACATCCTGATCTCTCTGCTAGAGTACTTTTCTAGCCTCTTCTCCCACTCTCACCAACTATTCCTTTGGATCTAAGCTCCAGTTTCTCTTCCCCAGACACTTCACTTCCAGAACAGGCTTGATTCATTCCTACTCTGTAACAGCAGCCTGTTCCTCTCCTTCATAGATTTTATCTCTATTTTTAACATAGATTCCTTGAATTGCTTGATGAATGCTTCTCTCTGTCAGTAGGCTATGAACTCCGTAATGCCAGTGTCTAATGGCATTATATCTCCAATAGTTAGCACCAAGGGTGGCGCATAGTAGGTATTAATAAAAACATCAATTGAATGAAATGTATGAAATATGACACTTAATATTAGCCATTTGCTTTGGATCATATAGGCTTATAATTGTATTTTTAAAAAAATTTTTATTTCCATAAGTTATTGGGGAACAGGTTGTGTTTGGTTACATGAGTAAGTTCTTTAGTGGTGATTTGTGATATTTTGGTGCACCCATCACCTGAGCAGTATACCCTGCACTCAATTTGTAGTCTTTTATCCCTCACCCCCTTCCCACCCTTTCTCCCTGACTCCCCAAAGACCACTGTGCCATTCTTACGCCTTTGGATCCTCATCGCTTAGCTCCCACATTTGAGTGAGACTACACGATGTTTGGTTTTCCACTCCTGAGTTACTTCACTTAGAATAATAGTCTCCAATCTCATCCAGGTTGCCGTGAATGCCATTAATTCATTCCTTTTTATGGTTGAGTAGTATTCCATCATATATATACCAGAGTTTCTTTATCCACTAGTAGATTGATGGGCATTTGGGTTGGTTCCACGTTTTTGCAATTGTGAATTGTGCTGCTGTAAACATGTGTGTGCAAGTATCTTTCTGGTATAATGACTTATTTTGCTCTGGGTAGATACCCAGTAGTGGGAAATGGTGGTTCTGCTTTTACTTCTTTAAGGAATCTCCACACTGTTTCCCATATTGGTTGTACTAGTTAACATTCCTACCAGCAGTGTAGAAGTGTTCCCTGCTCACCGCGTCCATGCCAACATCTATTATTTTTTGGTTTGGTGTTGGCCATTTTTGTAGGAGTAAGGTGTATCACATATTTACATTTCCCTAATTACTAGTGACATTGAGCATTTTTCATATGTTTGTTGGCCATTTGTATATCTTCTTTTTGGAATTGTTTATTCATGTCCTTAGCCCACTTTTTGATAGGATTGTTTGTGTTTTTTTGCTAATATGTTTGAGTTCATTGTCAATTCTGGATATTAGTCCTTTGTCGGATGTATAGATTGTGAAGATTTTCTCCCACTCTGTGGGTTGTCTGTTTACGCTGCTGACTGTTCCTTTTGTCGTGCAAAAGCTCCCAGCTATTTATCTTTGTTTTTATTGTGTTTGCTTTTGGGTCTTGGTCATGAAATTCTTGCCTAAACTGATGTCTAGAAGGGTTTTTCAGAAGTTATCTTCTAGAATTTTTACAGTTACAGCTCTTAGATTTAGTCCTTAATCCATCTTGAGTTGATTTTTTTATAAGGTGAGAGGTGATCATCCTGTTTCATTCTCCTACATGTGGCTAGCCAATTATCCCAGCCCCATTTGTTGAATGGGGTGTCCTTTCCCCACTTTATGTTTTCATTTGCTTTGTCGAAGATCAGTTGGCTTTAAGTATTTGGGCTTATTTCTGGGTTCTTTATTCTGTTCCATTGGCCAATGTGCCTATTTTTATCCTATTACCATGCTGTTTTGGTGACTATGGCATTATAGTATAGTTTGAAATCAGGTAATGTGATGCCTCCATATTTGTTCTTTTTGCTTAATCTTGCTTTAGCTATGCAGGCTCTTTTTGGTTCCATATGAATTTTAGAATTGTTTTTCCTAGTTCTGTGAAGAATGACGGTGGCATTTTGTTGGGAATTGCATTGAATTTATAGATTGCTTTTGGCAGTATGGTCATTTTCACAATATTGATTCTACCCATCCATGAGCATGAGTTGTGTTTCCATTTGTTTGTGTCATCTATGATTTTTTTCAGCAGTGTTTTATAGTTTTCCTTGTAGAGGTCTTTTACCTCCTTGATTAGGTGTATTCCTAAGTATTTTATTTTTTTGTTGCAGCTATTGTAAAAAGGGCTAAGTTCTCGATTTGATTCTCAACTTAATTGCTGTTGGTGTATAGGAGAGCTACTGATTTTTATACATTAATTTTGTATCCGGAAACTTTGCTGAATTCTTATATCAGTTCTAGAAACTTTCTGGAGGAGTCTTTAGGATTTTCTACGTATACAATCATATCATCAGCAAACAGTGCCAGTTTGACTTCCTCTTTACTGATTTAGATGTCCTTGATTTCCTTCTCTTGTCTGATTGCTCTGGCTAGGACTTCCAGTGCTATGTTGAAAAGAAGTGGTGAGAGTGGTCATCCTTGTCTTGTTCCAGTTCTCATGGGGAAAGCTTTCAACTTTTCTCCATTAACTATTATGTTGGCTGTGGGTTTGTCATAGATGGCTTTTATTACCCTAAGGTGTATCCCTTGTATGCTGATTTTGCTGAGAGTTTTAATCATAAAGGGATGCTGGATTTTGTCAAATGCTTTTTTATGTCTATTGAGATAATCATGTGATTTTTGTTTTTAATTCTGTTTTTGTGGTGTATCACATTTATTGACTTGCATATGTTAAATCATCGCTGCATCCTTGGTGTGAAACCCACTGCATCATTGTGGATTATCTTTTTGATATGTTGTTGTATTAGGTTAGCTAGTATTTTGTTAAGGATTTTTACATCTATGTTCATCAGGAATATTGTTCTGTAGTTTTCTCTTTTTGTTATGTCCTTTCTTGGTTTTGGTATTAGGGTGATGCTGGCCTCAAAGAATGATTTAGGGAAGATTCCCTCTTCCTCTATCTTGTGGAATATTGTCAATAGGACTGGTACCAATTTTTCTGTGAATGTCTGGTCGAATTCAGCCATGAATATGTCTGGTCCTGTACTTTTTTTTATTGGTAATTTTTAAATTACCATTTCAATCTGGCTGCTTGTTATTGGTCTGTTCAGAGTATCTCATTTTTCCTGATTTAAGCTAGGAGCATTATATCTTTCCAGAAATTTATCCAAATCTCCTCTAGGTTTTTTAGTTTATGCACATGAAGGTTTTCATAGTAGCCTTGAATGATCTCTTTTATTACTGGGGTGTTAGTTATAACAGCTCCCATTTCATTTCTAATTGAGTTTATTTGGATTTTCTCTCTTTTCTTGGTTATTCTTGCTAATGATCTATCAATTTTATTTATCTTTTCAAAGAACCAGCTTTTTTTTTTTAATCTCAGAATAACTTTATTTTTATTTTATTTTTTTTGGGATGTGTCTTTTTTTTTATTATACTTTAAGTTTTAGGGTACATGTGCACATTGTGCAGGTTAGTTACATATGTATACATGTGCCATGCTGGTGCGCTGCACCCACTAACTCGTCATCTAGCATTAGGTATATCTCCCAATGCTATCCCTCCCCCCTCCCCCCACCCCACAACAACAGTCCCCAGAGTGTGATATTCCGCTTCCTGTGTCCATGTGATCTCATTGTTCAATTCCCACCTATGAGTGAGAATATGCGGTGTTTGGTTTTTTGTTCTTGCGATAGTTTACTGAGAATGTTGATTTCCAATTTCATCCATGTCCCTACAAAGGACATGAACTCATCATTTTTTATGGATGCATAGTATTCCATGGTGTATATGTGCCACATTTTCTTAATCCAGTCTATCATTGTTGGACATTTGGGTTGGTTCCAAGTCTTTGCTATTGTGAATAATGCTGCAATAAACATACGTGTGCATGTGTCTTTATAGCAGCATGATTTATAGTCCTTTGGGTATATACCCAGTAATGGGATGGCTGGGTCAAATGGTATTTCCGGTTCTAGATCCCTGAGGAATCGCCACACTGACTTCCACAATGGTTGAACTAGTTTACAGTCCCACCAACAGTGTCAAAGTGTTCCTATTTCTCCACATCCTCTCCAGCACCTGTTGTTTCCTGACTTTTTAATGATTGCCATTCAAACTGGTGTGAGATGGTATCTCATTGTGGTTTTGATTTGCATTTCTCTGATGGCCAGTGATGATGAGCATTTTTTCATGTGTTTTTTGGCTGCATAAATGTCTTCTTTTGAGAAGTGTCTGTTCATGTCCTTCGCCCACTTTTTGATGGGGTTGTTTGTTTTTTTCTTGTAAATTTGTTTGAGTTCATTGTAGATTCTGGATATTAGCCCTTTGTCAGATGAGTAGGTTGCAAAAATTTTCTCCCATTGTGTAGGTTGCCTGTTCACTCTGATGGTAGTTTCTTTTGCTGTGCAGAAGCTCTTTAGTTTAATTAGATCCCATTTGTCAATTTTGCCTTTTGTTGCCATTGCTTTTGGTGTTTTAGACATGAAGTCCTTGCCCATGCCTATGTCCTGAATGGTATTGCCTAGGTTTTCTTCTAGGGTTTTTATGGTTTTAGGTCTAACGTTTAAGTCTTTAATCCATCTTGAATTGATTTTTGTATAAGGTGTAAGGAAGGGATCCAGTTTCAGCTTTCTCCATATGGCTAGCCAGTTTTCCCAGCACCATTTATTAAATAGGGAATCCTTTCCCCATTGCTTGTTTTTCTCAGGTTTGTCAAAGATCAGATAGTTGTAGATATGCGGCGTTATTTCTGAGGGCTCTGTTCTGTTCCATTGATCTATATCTCTGTTTTGGTACCAGTACCATGCTGTTTTGGTTACTGTAGCCTTGTAGTATAGTTTGAAGTCAGGTAGTGTGATGCCTCCAGCTTTGTTCTTTTGGCTTAGGATTGACTTGGCGATGCGGGCTCTTTTTTTGGTTCCATATGAACTTTAAAGTAGTTTTTTCCAATTCTGTGAAGAAAGTCATTGGTAGCTTGATGGGGATGGCATTGAATCTGTAAATTACCTTGGGCAGTATGGCCATTTTCACGATATTGATTCTTCCTACCCATGAGCATGGAATGTTCTTCCATTTGTTTGTATCCTCTTTTATTTCCTTGAGCAGTGGTTTGTAGTTCTCCTTGAAGAGGTCCTTCATATCCCTTGTAAGTTGGATTCCTAGGTATTTTATTCTCTTTGAAGCAATTGTGAATGGGAGTTCACTCATGATTTGGTTCTCTGTTTGTCTGTTATTGGTGTATAAGAATGCTTGTGATTTTTGCACGTTGATTTTGTATCCTGAGACTTTGCTGAAGTTGCTTATCAGCTTAAGGAGATTTTGGGCTGAGACAATGGGGTTTTCTAGATATACAATCATGTCATCTGCAAACAGGGACAATTTGACTTCCTCTTTTCCTAATTGAATACCATTTATTCCTTCTCCTGCCTAATTGCCCTGGCCAGAACTTCTAACACTATGTTGAATAGGAGTGGTGAGAGAGGGCATCCCTGTCTTGTGCCAGTTTTCAAAGGGAATGCTTCCAGTTTTTGCCCATTCAGTATGATATTGGCTGTGGGTTTGTCATAGATAGCTATTATTTTGAAATACGTCCCATCAATACCTAATTTATTGAGAGTTTTTAACATGAAGTGTTGTTGAATTTTGTCAAAGGCTTTTTCTGCATCTATTGAGATAATCATATGGTTTTTGTCTTTGGCTCTGTTTATATGCTGGATTACATTTATTGATTTGTGTATATTGAACCAGCCTTGCATCCCAGGGATGAAGCCCACTTGATCATGGTGGATAAGCTTTTTGATGTGCTGCTGGATTCGGTTTGCCAGTATTTTATTGAGGATTTTTGCATCAATGTTCATCAAGGATATTGGTCTAAAATTCTCTTTTTTGGTTGTGTCTCTGCCCAGCTTTGGTATCAGAATGATGCTGGCCTCATAAAATGAGTTAGGATTCCCTCTTTTTCTATTGATTGGAATAGTTTCAGAAGGAATGGTACCAGCTCCTCCTTGTACCTCTGGTAGAATTCGGCTGTGAATCCATCTGGTCCTGGACTCTTTTTGGTTGGTAAGCTATTGATTATTGCCACAATTTCAGATCCTGTTATTGGTCTATTCAGAGATTCAACTTCTTCTTGGTTTAGTCTTGGGAGAGTGTATGTGTCGAGGAATTTATCCATTTCTTCTAGATTTTCTAGTTTATTTGCGTAGAGGTGTTTGTTGTATTCTCTGATGGTAGTTTGTATTTCTGTGGGATCGGTGGTGATATCCCCTTTATCATTTTTTATTGCGTCTATTTGATTCTTCTCTCTTTTTTTCTTTATTAGTCTTGCTAGCGGTCTATCTATTTTGTTGATCCTTTCAAAAAACCAGCTCCTGGATTCATTAATTTTTTGAAGGGTTTTTTTGTGTCTCTATTTCCTTCAGTTCTGCTCTGATTTTAGTTATTTCGTGCCTTCTGCTAGCTTTTGAATGTGTTTGCTCTTGCTTTTCTAGTTCTTTTAGTTGTGATGTTAGGGTGTCAATTTTGGATCTTTCCTGCTTTCTCTCGTGGGCATTTAGTGCTATAAATTTCCCTCTACACACTGCTTTGAATGCGTCCCAGAGATTCTGGTATGTTGTGTCTTTGTTCTCGTTGGTTTCAAAGAACATCTTTATTTCTGCCTTCATTTCATTATGCACCCAATAGTCATTCAGGAGCAGGTTGTTCAGTTTCCATGCAGTTGAGCGGTTTTGAGTGAGATTCTTAATCCTGAGTTCTAGTTTGATTGCACTGTGGTCTGAGAGATAGTTTGTTATAATTTCTGTTCTTTTACATTTGCTGAGGAGAGCTTTACTTCCAAGTATGTGGTCAATTTTGGAATACGTGCGGTGTGGTGCTGAAAAAAATGTATATTCTGTTGATTTGGGGTGGAGAGTTCTGTAGATGTCTATTAGGTCCGCTTGGTGCAGAGCTGAGTTCAATTCCTGGGTATCCTTGTTGACTTTCTGTCTCGTTGATCTGTCTAATGTTGACAGTGGCATGTTAAAGTCTCCCATTATTAATGTGTGGGAGTCTAAGTCTCTTTGTAGGTCACTCAGGACTTGCTTTATGAATCTTGGTGCTCTTGTATTGGGTGCATATATATTTAGGATAGTTAGCTCTTCTTGTTGAATTGATCCCTTTACCATTATGTAATGGCATTCTTTGTCTCTTTTGATCTTTGTTGGTTTAAAGTCTGTTTTATCAGAGACTAGGATTGCAACCCCTGCCTTTTTTTGTTTTCCATTTGCTTGGTAGATCTTCCTCCATCCTTTTATTTTGAGCCTATGTGTGTCTCTGCATGTGAGATGGGTTTCCTGAATACAGCACACTGATGGGTCTTGACTCTTTATCCAATTTGCCAGTCTGTGTCTTTTAATTGGAGCATTTAGTCCATTTACATTTAAAGTTAATAGTGTTATGTGTGAATTTGATCCTGTCATTATGATGTTAGCTGGTTATTTTGCTCGTTAGTTGATGCAGTTTCTTCCTAGTCTTGATGGTCTTTACATTTTGGCATGATTTTGCAGTGGCTGGTACTGGTTGTTCCTTTCCATGTTTAGTGCTTCCTTCAGGAGCTCTTTTAGGGCAGGCCTGGTGGTGACAAAATCTCTCAGCATTTGCTTGTCTGTAAAGTATTTTATTTCTCCTTCACTTTTGAAGCTTAGTTTGGCTGGATATGAAATTCTGGGTTGAAAATTCTTTTCTTTAAGAATGTTGAATATTGGCCCCCACTCTCTTCTGGCTTGTAGGGTTTGTGCCGAGAGATCCGCTGTTAGTCTGATGGGCTTCCCTTTGAGGGTAACCCGACCTTTCTCTCTGGCTGCCCTTAACATTTTTTCCTTCATTTCAACTTTGGTGAATCTGACAATTATGTGTCTTGGAGTTGCTCTTCTCGAGGAGTATCTTTGTGGCGTTCTCTGTATTTCCTGAATCTGAACGTTGGCCTGCCTTGCTAGATTGGGGAAGTTCTCCTGGATAATATCCTGCAGAGTGTTTTCCAATTTGGTTCCATTCTCCCCATCACTTTCAGGTACACCAATCAGACGTAGATTTGGTCTTTTCACATAGTCCCATATTTCTTGGAGGCTTTGCTCATTTCTTTTTATTCTTTTTTCTCTAAACTTCCCTTCTCACTTCATTTCATTCATTTCATCTTCCATCACTGATACCCTTTCTTCCAGTTGATCGCATTGGCTCCTGAGGCTTCTGCATTCTTCACGTAGTTCTCGAGCCTTGGTTTTCAGCTCCATCAGCTCCTTTAAGCACTTCTCTGTATTGGTTATTCTAGTTATACATTCTTCTAAATTTTTTTCAAAGTTTTCAACTTCTTTGCCTTTGGTTTGAATGTCCTCCTGTAGCTCAGAGTAATTTGATCGTCTGAAGCCTTCTTCTCTCAGCTTGTCAAAGTCATTCTCCATCCAGCTTTGTTCCGTTGCTAGTGAGGAACTGCGTTCCTTTGGAGGAGGAGAGGTGCTCTGATTTTTAGAGTTTCCAGTTTTTCTGTTCTGTTTTTTCCTCATCTTTGTGGTTTTATCTACTTTTGGTCTTTGATGATGGTGATGTACAGATGGGTTTTTGGTGTGGATGTCCTTTCTGTTTGTTAGTTTTCCTTCTAACAGACAGGACCCTCAGCTGCAGGTCTGTTGGAATACCCTGCCCTGTGAGGTGTCAGTGTGCCCCTGCTGGGGGGTGCCTCCCAGTTAGGCTGCTCAGGGGTCAGGGGTCAGGGACCCACTGGAGGAGGCAGTCTGCCCGTTCTCAGATCTCCAGCTGCGTGCTGGGAGAACCACTGCTCTCTTCAAAGCTGTCAGACAGGGACATTTAAGTCTGCAGAGGTTACTGCTGTCTTTCTGTTTGTCTGTGCCCTGCCCCCAGAGGTGGAGCCTACCGAGGCAGGCAGGCAGGCCTCCTTGAGCTGTGGTGGGCTCCACCCAGTTGGAGCTTCCCGGCTGCTTTGTTTACCTAATCAAGCCTGGGCAATGGCGGGCGCCCCTCCCCCAGCCTCGCTGCCGCCTTGCAGTTTGATCTCAGACTGCTGTGCTAGCAATCAGCGAGACTCCGTGGGCGTGGGACCCTCCGAGCCAGGTGCGGGATATAATCTTGTGGTTCGCCATTTTTTAAGCCCGTCGGAAAAGCGCAGTATTCAGGTGGGAGTGACCCGATTTTCCAGGTGCCCTCCGTCACCCCTTTCTTTGACTGGGAAAGGGAACTCCCTGACCCCTTGCGCTTCCCAAGTGAGGCAATGCCTCGCCCTGCTTCGGCTCGCGCACGGTGCGCGCACCCACTGACCTGGGCCCACTGTCTGGCACTCCCTAGTGAGATGAACCCCGTACCTCAGATGGAAATGCAGAAATCACCGTCTTCTGCGTCGCTCATGCTGGGAGCTGTAGACTGGAGCTGTTCCTATTCGGCCATCTTGGCTCCTCCCCCTCAGAACCAGCTTTTTGTTTCCTTTATCTTTTGTATATTTTTATTTCAATTTCATTTAGTTCTGCTCTGATCTTGGTTAGTTCCTTTCTTCTGCTGGTTTTGGGTTTGTTATTTTCTTGTTTCTCTAGTTCCTTGAGGTGTGACCTTAGATTGTCTGTGCTCTTTCAGACTTTTTGATGCAGGCATTTAGGGCTATGAACTTTCCTCCTAGCACCACCTTTGCTGTATACTAGAGGTTTTGATAGGTTGTGTCACTATTGTCGTTCAGTTGAACTAACTTTTTAATTTCCATCTTGATTTCATTGTTGACCCAATGATCATTCAGGAGCAGGTTATCTAATTTCCATGTATTTGCATGGTTTTGAAATTTCCTTTTGGAGTTGATTTCCAGTTTTATTGCACTGTGGTCTGAGAGAGTGCTTGATGTAATTTCAGTTTTCTTAAGTTTACTGAGGCTTGTTTTGTGGCCTATCATATGGTCTATCTTGGAGAAAGTTCCATGCACTGATTAATAGAATGTATATTCTGCAGTTGTTGAGTAGAATGTTCTGTAAATATCTGTTTAGTCCATTTGTTCCAGGGCATAGTTTAAATCCATTGTTTCTTTGTTGACTTTCTGTCTTGATGACCTGTCTAGTGCTGTCAGTGGAGTATTAAACTCCCCTACAGTTATTGTGTTGTCTATGTCATTTCTTAGTTCTACTAGTAATTGTTTTATAAATTTTGGAACTCCAGTGTTAGGTGCATATGTATTTAGTATTGTGATGTTTTCTTGTTGGACAAGGCCTTTTATCACTGTATAATGTCCCTCTTTGTCTTTTTAAACTGCTGTTGCTTTGAAGTGTGTTTTATCTGATACAAGAATAGCTACTCCTTCTCACTTTGGTGTCCATGACATGGAATGTCTTTTTCTACCTCTTTCCTTAAGTTTATGTGAGTTCTTATGGGTTAGGTGAGTCTCTGAAAGGCAGCATAGTTGGTTGGTGAATTCTTATCCATTTTGAGATTCTGTATCTTTTAAGTGGAGCATTTAGGCTGTTTACATTTAACGTTAGTACTGGGATGTGAGGTAGTGTTTTTTGCCTGTAAACCTTGTTTTTTTGTGTGTTTTTTAAATTTGTATTTTTGTTTTTTAGGTCCTGTGAGATTTATGCTTTAAAGAGGTCCTTTTTGATGTGTTTTCAGGATTTGTTTCAAGATTTAGAGCTCCTTTTAGCAGTTCTTGTAGTGCTGGCTTGGTAGTGGCAAATTGTCTCAACATTTGTTTGTCTGAGAAAGACTGTATCTTTCCTTCATATATGATGCTTAGTTTCACTGGATACAAAATTCTTGGCTGATAATTGTTTCATTTGAGGAGGCTTAAGATAAGGCCCAATCCCTTCTAGCTTGTAAGGTTTCTGCTGAGAAATCTCCTGTTAATCTGCTACGTTTTCCTTTATAGGTTACCTGGTGCTTTTGTCTCACAGCTCTTAAGATTCTTCCCTTTGTCTTAACTTAGGATAACCTGACAACAATGTGCCTATGTGATGATCTTTTTGTGATGAATTTCCCAGGTGGTCTTTGTGCTTCTTGTGTTTGGATGTCTTGGTCTCTAGCAAGGCTGGGGAAGTTTTCCTAGATTATTCCCATAAATATGTTTTCCAAACTTTTAGATTTCCCTTTTTCCTCAGGAACGCTGATTGTTCTTAGTTTTGATGTTTAACGTAATCCCAGACTTCTTGGAGGCTTTGTTTATATTTTCTTATTTTTTTTCTTTGTCTCTGTTGGATTGGGTAAATTCAATAACCTTGTCTCTGAGCTCTGAAGTTCTTTCTTCTGCTTGTTCAGTTCTATTGCTGAGATTTTCCAGAGCATTTCGCATTTCTATAAGTGTGTCTATTGTTCGTTGAAGTTTTGATTGTTTTTTTATTTATGATATCTATTTCACTGAAGATTTCTCCCCTCATTTCTTGTATCATTCTTTTGATTTCTTTAAATTGGGCTTCACCTTTTTCTTGTGCCTCCTTTATTAATTTAGTAACTGACCTTCTGAATTCTTTTTCAGGTAGATCAGGGATTTCTTCTTGGTTTGGATCCATTGCTGGTGGGCTAGGGTGATTTTTTTTTTTTGCAGGGTGTTAAAGAATCTTGTTTTGTCATATTACCAGAGTTGGTTTTCTGATTCCTTCTCATTTGGGTAGGTTCTGTCAGAGGAAAGGTCTAGGGCTCAAGGCTGTTGTTCAGATTCTTTTGTCCCACAGTGTGTTCCCCTGTTGTAGTACTCTCCTCCTTTTGCTATGAATGCAGCTTCCTGTGAGCTGAACTGCAGTGATTGTTATCTCTCCTCTGGATCTAGCAAACCAGCAGGTCTACCAGGCTCTGGGCTGGTGCTGGGGGTTGTCTGCACAGAGTCCTGTGTTGTGAACTGAATGTGGGTCTCTCAGCTGTGGATACCAGCACCTGCTCCAGTGGAGGTGGCAGGGGGCATGAAATGGACTCTGTGAGGTTCTTTAGTTTTGGTTGTTTAATGTTCTATTTTTGTGCTGGTTGGTCTCCTGCTGGGAGGTGGTGCTTTTCAGGTTTGTAATTCTAGTCTCTTTTTTCTCTGTTATCCCTAACTCATCCTCTTCCCCCCCTTTTTTTTCATTTATCACCCCACTGCAAGACATGTCCCTAGGTCAGCCACTGCACTATATCCTGATTGAAATATTTAAAAAGTTTGTTCTCAAAGATGACCCATAATTTTCTACTGCAAGTTTTTACTTAGGTTGTTACATCCATTTGTTCTCTTAGGGCTCTAGAGTACTTTTCCCCATAGAGGGGATTCATGAGGAAATTTTATTAGATTTGATTTTATGAGAGAAAACAGTTCTGTTTGGTTTGTGAGGAAGCCACAGGTTGATTAACCACCACCCCCGCTTTTTTTTTTCCCCAAAATGCAGTAGCAAGAATAGAAAATGTAATAAAGCTGAAATCAGAGATATAACTTTATCTTTACTTTTTTTTCATCACTGCAATTTTCCTCCTGGAGTTTGCTTCATTGAAGTATAGTTTAATCTACTTTGTATAAGGACTGATTCAGGGCAGGATGGCTGACATATTCCACAACTCGGCAGAGCAGGAGCAAGTTACTGATGGAGTGAGACCATCCTGCTTCACTCTGTGGCATAGGCATGGTGACCAATGGGTTGTGCATCATGTTGACAATGAAGGCTGTGGGCACTGCTGAGGCAATTAGCTTCTTGGCTGACCATAAGCTGTTAGCAAAACTTTCATTTTTTCTATTTGTACATGGCAGAACACCTTAGTTATGTAAGAATCCCTGGGCTGCTGTGAAGAGTGCCTATGGCAGCAGAATAATGGTCTCCCGGAGGCGTACATATCCTAATCCCTGCAACCTGTGGATGCTACTTTCATGGCAAAATAATTTTGTAGGTGTTATTAAGTTAAGGTCTTGCTATGGGGAGATTATCCTGGATCATCCGAGTAAGTCAAGTGGGATTACAAAGGTCCTTTTATATGGTACAGGGAACACAAGGAGGCAGAAAGAACTGTGTCCCAATGTTGTGAGAAGAGAAAGACACAATGAACCACTGCTGGCTTTGAAGATGGAAGAGGGAGCTGCAACCCAAAGAATGCCTCTAGAAGCAGGAGAAGGCAAGAAACAGATTCTCGCCTAGAGCTTCCAGAAAGGAGCACAGTGCCAGCACTTTGATGTTAGCCATTCTTAAGGTGTGGATTTCTCTTCCACATGCCAGTGGCATGGTGCGAAGTAGGCTATTTTCCTTTACTGACAATCTATAGATTTGTGGCCCAGAATTTCTGTGGTCTTGAAGTATTCAGTGCTGGGCAGAGAGATGTTCTCTGATTCCATGTCCCTGTTTTTGTCAAAGACTCTTTAGGTGGTGGGAGAAGAGTAGGGAATTGGACTGGGGACGTGGGGGTGCACAAGGAAGTCTGGATTTGGAACTATGAAGACGGAATGGGCACATTTATTGGAAAGCTGGGTCCAAGATGTTTGTCTTTCATGTACACGAGTATGTGTCTATGATGGAGCTTTCTTCTAGGAAGTTTTTCTTAATGCCCAGGTTGGATTGAGTGCCCTTTTTGTGTACTGAGTGCATATTTCAACCAGGCATTTATGTTTCATGGGTCTGTACTTGCCTTTAGACTGTGAGCTTCTTGAGGATGGAGGTTGTGTTCTTTTCCTCTCTGTGGATGACCAGTACCCGGCCCAATGATGGCGTCCCTAAATGCTAGTTGAACTGAGCTGATGAAGTGTCTATGTGGCATCGGGAAAGCCTCTGGTTGTCTATACTGATTGTAGAAACTAGACAACTAACAATGGAATGAAATGCTCTGAGAAATTGGCTCGGCAGTGTTTTCTCATTTGTGCTTAATTTTTATTTAGCAATTTAGAATAGTGAAATATTAGAAATAAGCTAAATGTTAAATATGCTATGGTGCACCAACTCAATAGAATTTGATGTAATGATTTTACCATTTCTATCATGTTTAGTATACACAAGTAACTAGAAAAGAAAAATACCATAATGCCAATTTATCTGAATGCTATGGCTACATAAAAATATAATAACACAAATCTTAGAACTACTTTTCCAAATTACCTAAATGTGTTATTACTATTTCATAACTAAGAAAGGATAGATTCTGAAAATCATTCTTGTGCAGCACAATTATGATCATAGATTTTAAGTGTTAAGTTTTCTGTTTTGTTTGATTACAACCTGAAACCATGTATTGTTTCTCAGTCCTTGCTGTTGTACGCATAGCATGGTATCTGCTCATAATTAAAAAGCATGAAAGTTACTGATTGATGGATTAATATTTATTTATTTTGGAAATATTGCAGGAGACTAGCTACTGACATCAATCTGAATTGATTTTAGCATCACTGTGATTTGTGCAGGGCACTTCCTTGTGATACAGTGGCATTGCACATTAAGTGCTTAGGCTCTGGAATTAAACAAACCTGGGCTTATATCCTATATTGTCACTTATAAGCTATGTGACCTTGGGAAACTTCACTTTTCTAAGCCTGTTTTTAAAAAAATTAGTAAAATGGGGCTGGGTGCGGTAGCTGGCTCACTCCTGTAATCCCAGCACTTTAGGAGGCCAAGGCAGGCGGATCACCTGAGGTCAGGAGTTCGAGACCAGCCTGGCCAACATGGTGAAACCCCGTCTCTACTAAAAATAAAAAAATTGGCCCAGTGTGGTGGTGCACACCTGTAGTTCCAGCTACTCAGGAGACTGAGGCAGGAGAATCTCTTGAACACGGGAGGCGGAGGTTGCAGTGAGCCGAGACTGGGCCGCTGCACTCCATCCTGGGTGACAGAATGAGACATTGTCTCAAAAAAAAAATTGTAAAATGGGGTTAATAATAGTACCAGCATTGTGGTTTTATTGGAAGGATTAAAGGAAATAATGCATTTGCTTGTAGCACAATGCATTGACTATAGCACAGAGAGAAAAATCCATGTCATCTACGACGATGGGTGAAGATGATTGCATAGACAATGCCCAGTTACCTAAAATATTTTGAGAAGCACATGGCGGGAAGTGCTACATGCCTCCCAATACCCATGTCTCCCTTTTAGGAAAATGAACTCTGGTTTTTAGCTGACACCTTGCTGTTAAGCATCTCCCCAACTGCTTTGCAGAGAAGATAGTATAGTTTCATTAAATGAGGGGAGGTAGAAGAGTGCCATTTATTTTCTTACTGGTGCTGATTTGAAACACGTATGTGCTGGGCATGCCGGTGAGCCACTCATTTAATGAGGGGAGGTAGAAGCCCTCTGGGAGGCCGAGGCAGGCAGATTGCTTGAGGCAAGGAGCTCGAGATCAGCCTGGGCAACATGGCGAAACCCCATCTCTACAAAAAATACAAAAATTAGCCAAGTGTGGTGGCACACACCTGTAGTTCCAGCTACTCAGGGGGCTGAGGTGGGAGGATCTCTCCAGCTCGGGAGTTGGAGGTTGCAGTGAGCTGAGATTGTGCCACTGCACTCCAGCCTGGGGGACAGGTATTGCAACCTTAGAGAATGACATGAACCTCTAGATTATTTAAGCATTTGTTAGTGTGTTTTTTCTTCTTTATGTGCATCTGAACTACATCACAGATGTTATTACTCTTTAAATAAAAAAGCGGGTTTTATTCCTCCAAGACTTTTATCAAAGGTCCAGAAACATCTTTGTTTTAGAGACAGAGATCAGCTACAAGGGAAGGTCTAAAATCAGGGTGTAATTAATAGTGAGCCAGCTGGAAACAATGTTTTCCAGGAAGGTAAATTCAACTCTAAGGATGCATTGGTGGAATCTCTCTGCAAGTAACCCTGAGGAAAGGAGAAGAAGGGAAGGGAAAATCACACAAGAAGCCTGGAAAGTGAGGAGGTAGTCTCAGATCAGATGCACTGTGGAGCCTATGTCTAGGTAAGGGCATAAGTGAGACCACGTGCATTCCTTTTCTTCCTACCATGGTGTGTTTGCCTTTATTTCTCGGGCTTAAGCAAGACTAGTGTGTATGTATTATTAGACTTTGATAAAATAGGTTGGCTTCTGTTTATTTTTCTTGCTGTTTATAGACTTGTGGCAGCAGCAGCTTATGGTGTTGATAAAGGACATATTTCTGTTTTTTCAAGTTTCTTTAAGGGATCAGGGCGGATGAGCTGTAGGCAACGTAATGCAGGCAGTGATGCCAAACAAGCATGGGCTGCCAACTCTAGTCTGGTTATTACGGAAATCAATTCCATTGAAAGATCAGAAAAGCTTTAAAACTGAGAGACAATTGTAGGATCACTGTTATAAAATACTGAGTTTGATTTGGTGGGAAATGGCATGCAGGGAATGAGGGATGGGAAAAGCAGACCAGCTCTCATTTCTCTTCTTTTTTGCTCTGTGTGTGTGTGTGTGTGTGTGTGTGTGTGTGTGTGTGTGTTTTAAATAATTAGGTCCAGAAGTTAAACAGTTAAACAAAACAAGAGAGAAAACGAATTGCAACAGTGGGTTTTCTGCCCTTCCTTCACCATTGGCAATTCTGTCTACCACAGCTGCAATGGCTGAATCATAGTTTGGGTTTTCTTTGTAGCTATTTTGCAGATGAATAATCAGGGTAATTTCCAGCATCCAGGAAACAATATATACAGTAAAAACAGGCCAATGTGTTTTTAAATTTTTCCCTCCAGCCCTCCTATCTCTGCCTTGGAAAAAAAATCCTATTCATGTAGAAACGATGTCTTTTCCTGTTATAATAGCATAGACTTTAGGTCCCTCTATCTTTGCTTTCTTTCAGAAGTGACTCTCCAGGGGAGCTAAAATCCATGTATTTGGGCACACACTTGAACAATATTGCTAGAGAAATTTAAGCAAGAGCACAAAGGTATGTGATTTTACAAGCTCTCAATGACTGTATGACTATATAGCTGATTCAAGTTTTTTTTTTTTTGAAAACCCAAGAGCCTGTTCCTTTTTCTTTTAAGTGTCCTTATGTTTTGAGTTTCCCCAAGAAAATGCCTTTTGTGGTTCCAAGTTTCTCATTTTTAATTCATTCTACTAAGTATTTATATAGTTCCAGGATATGCTGTCAGCATGAACATATCTTAGAATCCCTGATCCCCTCCCCTTTCTTACAAATGGAAGTTTTATTTGGGGATTTTTAGAAAAAACCTTTTCATGCAGATATTGCACATCCGATTCTTTTGATGCTTTGAAGAACTGTTCCTTGGGAAATGGACTCAGGATGCATCATTTCTGGGGGTGTGGGGAAGTTCCATTTGGAACCATGAGTTAATGAACAAGGGGACCAACCAGCTTTGAGGGAAGTAGTCCTAGTTGTTCTTTTGTGTGAGGATTGGTATAGTGCTTTTATCATCTGTGCCTTACAAAGTTTACAACAATCAATATTTTAAAACATCTTTACAGAAAATGAAACTGTGAACTCCTCATACTGCATCTGAGAGCTGATTTGGCATTTTATAAATAGGCATATGATGTCTAAATTACTTGTAATATAAACTAAGAGCATCCTCAGCATTGATGATGGTTGCATATGATCCAGAATTATAATGATGAATAATGCATTGGGTTTCATTGTTCTCTGTGATTGCCCACTTTGTTATGCAGGGACGGATTTCCACGACAGTGTCCCAGATTTGAATTGTACAGTTTTTTTTTTTTGTAGTAGCTTCCCCAGAATGATGTAAGCTCATTGGAAATATTCACAGAAATCCTTGCTCTCTGTGCTTCATGGAGATGCAATCTCAGAACTTTCTCCAAGGACTGGCTCATCAAGTATAATTTAACATGTCTTATGATCTGGATCGCCTGTTTTGCATGGATAGAGCTTGTCAAAGCACAAATCCTTGCATCCTTGATACATTTGAACAAATAATAATATTTTAGTCATTATTTGGAGAAGAACAATATTGAGTTTTTATACAAATAAGATAAAGCATATAAAAGGGCTGGATGAACTATATATGTCACTCAAACACGAGGCGTACAGTGTTTTAGATTTGCATGTCCCCCAAGAAGGCTGCGTCTCCCCCAGTCTCCATTAGGTTCAAGGGCAAAGATTTGTTTCAAGGACCCTGTAAGAAGAAACTTGATTTTGGAGCCACAGGGTAGGTTAGGGGGTGAGCAACAGGAAGAGTGGCTTAAAGCACAGTGTTTTATATTTCTCCTTTACTGTGACTGAATAGGCTCTAACATCTGGACCAGGGCTAGCCTAGAGTTAGAGTAAGATAGCTCCCGCCCTGGAGGCTGAGGCAACACCAGGCGGGAAAGCAGGTTGGTGGTGGGGTGATGGTAGCGGTGGCGAATAAATGGCCTTTCCTCCACCCCCACCCAAAGTCTGGACTAATTGGGAAATAGATGGAGGGATCAGGTAGATGTAAATCAAAGCATCAGCTTTATTACTGAAAACACCTGGGTTGAAGAAACTGGCTTATATTTGCAGACAAAGGAGATTGTTTATGCTCCCTCACATTAAATTTGAGATGGATTGGATACAGAAAGTGAAGGGAAAAGATGAAGCAGGGATAATTCCTAGATTTTTGAGTTGGGCACTCAGACGACAGAGCAGGGGCATCACTGTCTTGGACAAACACCACCATTTTAAGTTCCCCTTGATTAAAAACTGCCTAAATCCAGCCCCAGAAAGCATCAGCATAATGGCTAATGTCAGCATGACCTTAAACCACAAGTGACACTCCCGCTAGAAATATTCCAACCCTGAGATGAGCCCCCTCTGACCAGAAACATGCCAGCCCCGAGATAACCTCCCCTCCGACCGGAGGCATTCCAACCTGGCAATAAAACTCTCCTCCACACAGAAACATTCTGAGCCTGCGATAAGCTCTCCCTCCCCAGACCCTTACATACCCTTAGTCTATAAGAGAAAATGCTCCTGACTGAAATCGGCCAGAAGCCCCTTTCAGGTTTATTCTCCAAAGTAAACCTGTTTTTGTCTGTTAAGCTGCTTTTTGTGTCTTTCTTCTCTCTTCAACTCTTACAATAGATACTGGTGGTATATTAAGATGGGAAGGAGTGGGTTTTGAAGGGTTTGGAGGAATCAAAAATTGTTTTGGCTATGGTACATTTTGAGATTCTCATAAGACCTTTATGTGGAAATGTCAAGCAGAAAGTTAGTCTTTGATCTGGCAGTGCATGCTAGTTCTTTATGGTGTAGGGAATTTACAGGATTCAAAGAGTAACTGAATTGCAGAACTTGAAAAACGCATTAAAAGGCATAGGGTTCATTTTAACTAGATTCAGATTGGTGCAGGCATCATTGAGCACAGCCAGTATTGTTAAGATTATAAACTGGATTGTCTGATCTCCAGACCCTGTTGTAGGGTTTGCTATTTTTTTTAGTAATGAATTTTTAGTAGACACATTTTTCCCCCACCTACCAAATTATCTCCTAATAAGCCATTCCAGTCATTACTGGAAGGCACAGCAAGCAAGCAGTGATTTTGGTATAAGAGATAGTGTAATAAGATAGCAGGAAGGAGCAGATCTTTTACATTCCTATTTCTGAGGTAGTTTCTTTCATCTTGAAAGGACTATTCTTGCAATTGGAAATAAGGTAAAAGAAAATGAGAATATATGACATTTCCATTATTTTTTAAGCTACATGTTTATTGTTATCATATGTTGAGTCTGCCTTATGAAATTTTTGTATTGGAATTATTCCTTTCTGTACAATTAATTAGCCCAGTGTTTTCTTGATATTTGCTGTTTGCAAAATATTAGACTGAATGTCTGATAGACATGTTCTGAAATGCTCTAAAGACAAGCTTCTAAAGTTAGAGCATTCTGACTTTAGTCAGTTGCCTAAGTAAAATTTGAAGACTAAGGAGAGAGAATGAGTATGAATCAGCTATGAATTGAGGTGTCTTTGATGGACCCAGCTACAGCTGGGAAGATGTTTGCCCCAAGTTGGCCTGGATATTCCCTAAACCCCTTCCCCATCTGGTGCAGCCCGTTTTATAGACAAAAGTCAGGACAGGATAGATGAACAGCAAAAAGGAGAGAATATTTCTTCTGCAGTAAAGGGAAAATTCTGAGACATTTTAGTGGCAGAATGATGACTGAATTAGAGATGAGCAATTTGAATGCTTTCCCTCATAAATCTCACTCAGAAGGGAAATACAAGACAGTTTCACTTAGAGACAAGACTACAGCAATCCTAAGAGACAGGACATATTGATACCAAAATGACAAATGCAATTTTAGCTACAAGAATGCTCTGTCATCTGCCAGCTGAGCCAATGACTTGGCTAAAATCTGGGAAAGAGTAAAGAATTGAAATGAAAGCACTAGCAGAAAAGAAAAGGTTTGCCAAACGAAATCTGAAGTCAGCTCAAGCAATAAAGTCTTGGACTAGTGGTTTCTCCCTTAATAGCGCCTAACTTTGGTGTTGCATCTTGCATTTTATACTGACTTGTTGTCAAATAGTTATTTTCAGGGTAGAATAAGAAATTAGAAAATGGATGGAAAAATATAGAAACCTGTTGTAAAGTTATATTGCTTGCTTCTGCCCAGGAATAATGCATGACATTTAATCTGTATACTAGTTCAGCGTCACTGTGGGTCATTTATATCTGTCTTTATCAACAATACCTGTCTTAGGTTGAAAACTGCATGTTAGAGATTTTGCCTACTGCCAAATTGCAAAGCAGACACATGGTCCTTTTGATATTTTTCTTTTTATGCCATTTCTTTTTTACTGTCTTTTGGGTATCAAGTGCCTCATTCATTCATTTATTCACCCACTCATAGAATTTTAATGGATTATGTGCAATGTGCAAGGCACTGGGTTGATGGTTAGGGGAGGTGATTGAGTGAGGTAAATGTGTGATCGAGGCATACAGCAATGCAGGAAAAGCATGAAAGAAGACACTAACTTGCTTGTGATTCTCCCAAAACTGGCTTTTATTTGTACTTTGGTGTAATTCCATTCACTTATCCCAGGAATTGACATGAAAGCAGCCTCACAAAATGGGATACAATGTAAATTGTTGGTGATGCTGCTAATTGACTTTCTCATTGTATTTTTCATGAGAATCCCCAGAAGGTGGTTCCATCTGCTCTTAATACCAAGACAGTTCTTCTGTGTAATTGGTAAGATTTTATCTTATGGATAATGTAATACTGTAACTGACAATGCTTCCTTTTCTATTCAGCAAGCCAAGCACAGTGTGTAAGTCATTTTTATATCTGTCTGTCTACCCAGCATCTATCTATCCCATCATCAATCTCTATCTATCTCAGTCTTGTTTTGCTCAATACCTTCACATTTGTATGTCTTTTATTTTCATTTAAAGCATGGCATATACATAGAAGAGTACAAAATTATAGGGATGAAGCTCAAAGAATTTTCACAAAGTGGTTTTCATAACTGTGTAACCACTTCCAGATCAGGAAATAGAACATTACCATACACAGAAGTTTCCCTTTTTCTACTATGGTCATGATCCAGCCCCTCCCCAAAGTGAGCCACTATCTTGACTAGTATTGCCTTTCTGATGAATGTGGATTGGTATCTAATTGTGATTGGAATTTGTATTTGCTTGGTGACAAATGATGTTTAGCATTATATATTGTCCTGTGTATGTATTGAAAATAGCTTCTCATCACGCTGTGGCTTGCCTTTTCACCCTTTTAACGATGGCTTTTGATGACCAGGAACTTATAGATTTTACTTGATCTTTTCAAGAAATCAAATTTTTGCTTTGATATTGTTTTCTGCTTTTGGTTGGCTTCCTATTTTATTCTTTTCTGCTCTTATGTTGTTTATTTTCTTCCTCCTGTTTTCTCTGGATAATTTGCTGCTATTTAAAAAAATTTCTTGAGATGGATATTAGAGCACTAGTTCTTCAGTCTTTTTTCTTATATCTTTAAGATTTACAAATTTACTTTTAAGTAAGTTTTAGCAGAATTGTACAAATTTTGGTAGTATTTTTGCTATCATTAATTTAAAAAAATTTTTGAATTTTTAATGACATTTCTTTGACATACGGGTTTTCCAGAAGTGCCTAATTTCCAAATATTTAAACATTTTCTGGTTAACTTTTCTGGTTGATTTTTTAGTTTACATTTATTGGCGTCAGAGAAAATATCTTTTATGATTTCAAATTTCTGAAATTTGTTGAGGTTACTTTAAGAATACTATATGGTCAATTTTGACAAAATAGTCTTTATGCACTTGAAAAGACTATATTCTACAGTTATTAGAAACAATATTTTGCATATCTCAGGTTAATTTTTAAATCATATTACTAAGTCCTCTATATCCTTACTAACTTTGTCTTTTTTCGATTAGATATTGATAGTTTTGTGTTAAAATGTCCTACAGTGATTGTAAATTTGTCTCTTCGTCCTTTTACTTCTATCAGTTTTGGTTTAATAATTTTGAGGATACATTAGGTGTACATAACTTATAATTTTACCAATGGATTGAAACTCTTGTGTTTAAGAAATGATACTCTTAAAAAATTTGTTTTTGATTGGAAAAAAACAACTGATCTAGTTAAGCTGTTGTATAGAGTTTATATGAATGGAAGGTAGGGAAAAAGTTTGGAAGAATAAAAAAGCTTTTGAATATTTTAGTGAGAGGAGTCATAGGAGCAGAGATGAGATGTAAGAATCTTAATGTGGCTGGTTGTATCACGTGGAATGGATTTCATGGAAGAGAAATGGAAGCAGACCAATGGAGCCTATTGTGGTTCAAGGCAGTACTTCCCAACAGTGATTAATAAATCAATAGGGAAAATCATTCTAAAGTGGGTACTGGAGACTATTTACACATATCAATTAAGAAACTCATTATTTGAATTTTTTTTATTCTCTGTGGTCAGATTGAAAGGCTTCTAGTTTCTATCAATTGAACACATGAGGGAATTAGTGGAGATCAGATGAACATGTTAATATCTCAGTTACTCTGAAGATTTAGCATTCAGTTTTGTTCTTAGTCATGTGTTGTTTAATTCATACCCCAAACTGACCAGTGGTTAAAGTCAGGAAATAAAAAATGTTGACATTGAAATATAACAGTTCAATGAAAGACATACAATTATGATATGCAAATTTATCACCAGATGATTTTTTGCAAACCTGTAATTTAGCAGGTATCTGATCAAAGTTCCTACCTAGAATATAAAAATCTTACCAACATTTCAATAAGCAATGTTAAAAGAGAAACTATAATGATGATTTTATTTCAGTTATCATGTCATTGTCATTGACTGGGAATAATGATCTTTCACTGCCTTAACATCTTATTTGTGGAGAGTCCTTACAAACAGGATGCTGAAACTTTGTCTTCTCTCACCTCGCTATATAGAAACGGCTACACTGGGCCATTCTGCCTACTCTGCCCTACTCTGTCTATCGAGTAGCCAAAAAAAAAAAAAAAAAAAAAAGAGAGAAACAAAATATAAAAATTAAAATGAACTAGTTGATTATTTTAAATGCAAGATTTACAAATGTGGTATCAGGAAGTATTTAAAAACATATCATTGACATTGTACCACATGGTAAATTTCAATGCACATTTTAATATAGAATTCATTCTCAAACAAAATATAGCGTATGAAGGATTGACTCTAAACTGAATCAAAGACCCTGTTGCCAGTTTTCTTTGCGAACTCAGCTCAGTGGAACAAGAACAAAGGTCTGGTAATTATGCTGTACATAAATGCTCTTGGGCCAGGATTTGTTGACCTGGGGAGAGCTGAATTATGTTGGCCTATGCTTTATTCTCTAGGGCTTGGAATGCATTCTATTGCTAATATAGAGGCAAATGAGATGTCCATGACCCTGATCAATGGCCCCTGGCACATATCTAGTTAGCCTACAGGAATAATTGTTTTTTTTTTTTTTTTAAATCTCATTTTCCCTAGAGGGGTTAACCTTTCAAAAAGTCTCCTATGATTCTCATTTACTCAAATGTTATCACCTACAACCAACTTCTCCTTAGTAAGAATTCTGGCTTAAGGTATAGTGCTGATCTCTCTGCTATGTCTGGAAACATCTTCATTTTGCCTTTAGTTTTCAGGGTATGTAATTATAGGTTGTCAGTTATATTCTTTCGGTACCTTAAATATATTCTTTCATTGTGTACTTACTTCCATCATTTCTCTTCAGTAGTCAGATGTCAGTTACATTTTTGCTCTCTTTCTGAGAAATAGGGTCTCACTATCTTGCCCAGGCTAAAGTGCAGTACCTATTCACAGGTACAATCATCGTGCACTACAGCCTTGAACTCCTGGTCTCATGCAATTCTCTTGCCTCAATCTCTTAAGTATCTGGACCTCTAGGTGTGTGCCATTGTGCTCAACTGCTCTTTTAAAATTAATGTGTACTTACTGTTCTGACTGCATATCAGATTATTTTGTCCTTAGATTTTAGTAGTTTTACTCTCAAACTTGGAGTGTTTATCTTATTATTCTGTTTGTAGATTATCACACTTCCTGAATAATTAACTTGATGTATTTCATCATTCTGGGAAAATCTGAGTCTGTTATCTCCTTACATATTGCCTCAGTCACATTATTTTATCACAGTTCCCCTCTTGGAAGCCTTTTACATATATGCTAGAATTTCTCACAGTGTCCTTTATAGTTATTATTGTATATTTTGTCAGGTTTTCTTTTTCTTTGCTTCAATAAAGACATTTTACACTGACCTGCCTCCAGTTTATTAGTGCTGCATTCCACTGTCAAATCTGCTGTATAATCTTCTATTTGTCTAAAACTTAGTTTTTCATTTATAGAATTTCAATGGAATATTTTCATATATTCTTCATCATACATTTCTTTGAAAATATATTATTTTTAATTTTTACTTTAATTAAAAACACTTTATTGAGGTATGATTGACATACAAAAAGCTGTACATATTTCTTGTATACAACGTGATGAGTTTGGAGAATTTTACTCTCTCTTCCACATCTTATATTGTTGATGTCAGAATTTACTTCTTTTTATATTGTCTATTTAAGAAAACATTTCTGTGGTTATACTTATTCTCAATACTCTTGTCTTTTAGCTTTTATATTAGTGTTAAAGTGATATATGTACTATGTTAAAAATTACATTATTCTGCATTTTTCTATAAATTTACCTTTACCAGTGATATTTATACTTTCATATGCTTTTATGTTTCTTTTTAGCGCCCTTTCATTTCAACTTAAAGAATTCTGGCCAAGCACAGTGGCTCATGCCTGTAATCCAAGCACTTCGGGAGGCAGAGGCAGGTGAATCACCTGAGGTCGGGAGTTTGAGACCAGCCTGACCAACTCTACTAAAAATACAAAATTAGCCAGGCATGGTGGCACATGCCTGTAACCCCAGCTACTAGGGAGGCTGAGGCAGGAGAATTGCTTGAACTTGGGAGGTGGAGGCTGTGGTGAGCCGAGATCACACCATTGCACTCCAGCCTGGGCAACAAGAGTGAAACTCTGTGGGTGGCAAGCCACCCAGGTGCTGAGGCAAGAGACCGAGGACACGAGCTGTTCTAGTATAATAAAATATAAGACAAGAATAGTTATACCAGATATATATCTTAGATATGCTTATATATGAATATCATTAATCATTAGTTGGTAGCAATTACTCTTTATTCCAATATTATAATAATCCTCACTCTACAATCATAACCTAGGAAAAACCAGGCCATACAGAGATAGGAGCTGAGGGGACATAGTAAGAAGTGACCAGAAGACAAGAGTGTGAGCCCTCTGTAATGTCTGGACAGGGCCACCAGAGGGCTCCTTGGTCTAGCGGTAACGCCAGCGTCTGGGAGGACACCCGTTGCCAAGCAGACCGTGGTCTAGCGGTAGCATCAGTGCCAAGGAAAAACACCCGCTACTTAGCGGACTGGGAAAGGGAGTCTCCCTTTCCCCAGGGGAGTTCAGAGAAGACTCTACTCCTCCACCTCTTGTGGAGGGCCTGACATCAGCCAGGCCTGCCCACAGTTATCGGGAGGCCTAACCGTCTCCCTGTGATGCTGTGCTTCAGTGGTCATGCTCCTAGTCAGCCTTCATGTTCCATCCTGTACACCTGGCTTTGCCTTTTAGATAACAGTAGCAAAATTAGTGAAAGTACTAAAAGTCTCTGATATGCAGAAATAATGGCATAAGCTGTCTCTCTCTCTCTCCTCTCTCTCTCTCTGCCTTGGCTGCCAGGCAGGGAAGGGCCCCTTGTCCAGTAGACACATGACCCACGTGATCTTACCTATCATTGGAGATGACTCACACTCTTTACCCTGCCCCTTTTGCTCTGCATCCAGTAAATAACAGCGCAGCCAGACATTTGGGGCCACTACCGGTCTCCGCAACTTGGTGGTAGTGGTCCCCCAAGCCCAGCTGCCTTTTCTTTTATCTCTTTGTCTTGTGTCTCTATTTCTACACTCTCTCGTCTCTGCACACGGGGAGAGACCCACCGACTCTGTGGGGCTGGTCCCTACAAAACTCTGTCTCAGAAAAAAAAAAATAGAATTCCCTTTAGCACTTCTTGTTTGGCAGATCTAGTTGTGATAACTCCCTGTTTTTGTTTGTATGGGAAAGCTTTTATCACACCTTCATTTTTTAAAAAAAATATATAATATATGGTTTATTTGTAAAAGTCACATAATTGCACATCATGAAATTATTTTCCTGGGATTCTGTTTCAAAAGTTCACTTTTAAGAAAAGATGAACACATTTTATTATTGTTGCTGAATTTCCAAACAAAAAAGCTTGGAACTTGCCATTTATTACTAAGAAAGTAGAAGTTATTATTTTTTTTCATTTCAGTCAGTTTTTGGGGAACAGGTGGTGTTCAGTTACATGAACAAGTTATTTAGTGGTGATTTGTGAGATCTGGATGCACTCATCATCCGAGCAGTGTACATGGTACCCAGTGTGTAGTCTTTTATCCCTCATCCCCCTCCCATCCTTTCCCCCCGAGTTCCCAGAGTCCACTGTATCATTCTTATGCCTTTGCAGCCTCATAGTTTAGTTACCACTTATGAGTGAGAACATACAATGTTTGGTTTTCAATTCCTGAATTACTTCACTTAGAAAAACAGTCTCCAATTCCATCCAGGTTGTTGTGAATGCCATTATTTTGTTCCTTTTTATGGCTGAGTAGTATTCCAAGGTATATGTATACCATATTTTCTTTATCCACTCATTGATTGATGGGCATTTGGGCTGGTTCCATATTTTTGGAATTGTAAATTGTGTTACTATAAGCATGCATGTAGAAATATCTCTTTTGTATAATGACTTCTTTTCCTTTGGGTAGATATCCTTTTGAAGGACAAATTTTCTTGGTTGGCAGTTTTTTCCTTTTAACACTTTGAATATATCATCCCACTTTCTCCTGGCCTGCAATGTTTCTGCTATGAAATCTGCTGAAAATGTTATGAAGGTACACTTTTATATGACAAGTTCCTTTTTTCTTACTTCTTTCAAAATTCTATCTTTCTCTTTGACTTTGATGATTTAATTATAATGTGTTTCATTGTAGACCTGTTTAGGCTTAACCTACTTGGTATCTTTTGAGCTTCATGAAACTGGATGTCCATTTCCCTCCCCACATTCAGAACATTTTCTACCATTATTTCTTTAAATAAACTTTCTGCTTCTTTCTGTTTCTCTTCTTCAAGTTCCATAGTGTGTATATTGGCTCACTTAGTGTCTCATAAGTCCTGTAGGCTTTCTTGAGTTTTTTTTCATTCTTTTTTCTTTCTGCTCCTGACTGGATCGCTCCAAATGACTTGTCTTTAAGTTCACTGATTTTTTTCTTCTGCTTGATTAAGTCTACTATTGAAACTTTGTTTAATTTTTCAGTTTAGTCTTTGTGTTTGTCAGCTCTAGAAGTGCTGTTTGATTCTTTTTTATGAGTCTATCTCTTTGTTGAACTTCTCATATTTTCATGTATTATTTTCCTGATTTCATTTCGTTGTCGGTGTTCTCTTATAGCTCACTGAGCTCCTTTAAAATTATTTTAATTATTATTATTATTTTTTGAGACAGAGTTTCACTCTTGTCACCCAGGGTGCAGTGCAGGGGCACAATCTCTGCTCACTGCAACCTCTACCTCCTGGGTTCAGGCGATTCTCCTGCCTTTGCCTCCCAAGTAGCTGGGATTACAGACATGTACCACCACGCCTGGCTAATTTTGCAGTTTTAGTAGAGATGGGGTTTCGCCATGTTAACCAGGCTGGTCTCAAACTCTTGACATCTGGTGATCTACCCACCTCGGCCTCCCAAACTGCTGGGATTACAAGCGTGAGCCACTGTGCCCAGCCAATTATTTTAAATTCTTTGTCAGGTAGTTAGATCTCTATTTCTTTAGGATCCATTACTGGAGTTTCATTTTAATACATTGGTGATTTCATGTTTCCCTGATTCTTTTTTTTTCTCTTTTCTTTTTTTTTTTTTGGAGACACTGGCTTGCTAGGTCATGCAGGCTGAAGTGAAGTGGCATGAACTTGGCTCACTGCAGCGTCTGCCTCCCAGGCTCAAGCAAACTTCCACCTTGGTCCCCCAAGTAGCTGAGACCACAGGTGCATGCAGCCACACCTGGCTAATTTTTGTATATTTTGTAGAGATGAGGTTTTACCATGTTGGCCAGGCTGGTCTCCAACTCCTGGACTCAAGCCATCCACCCACCTCGGCCTCCCAAAGTGCTGGGATTACAGGTGTGAGCCACCACACTCGGCTGTTTCCCTGATTCTTCATGACTTTCATAGGACTGCGTTAGTATCTGCTCATTTGAAGAAGCAGTTACCTCTTCCTGTCTTTACAAATTGGCTTTGGCAGGGAAATCCATTCACAAATCAGGCTGGCCTAAGATTCTTGTTGGTCTGGTTAGTAGGGCCTGCAGATGGGCTGGCTTGTAAGATCTGTGGTTAGCCCTGGTACCAGGGTCTGTGGGTTGGTGGGCCTAGTGCCATGATCTGTGGGTGGGCAGGCCTTGTGCTAGGGGCTGTGAGCTGGCTGTTGAGATCTCTGAACCGGTTGTTGAGAGCCGAGCCCTCACCTTTTTTCTTTGTTCTTAGCTACCCTCAGGTGATCTAGCCATTCCAGTTCCCTCAGTGTTATGGGTGAGGCACAACAGAAGCAAGTCTCTCAGGTAGTGCCAAAGGCAGGAGAAGTTGGATGCCGACTTCACCCTGTTTCCCTGGGAGAACTTGCAGGCTGAGGTGTTCTTTCTTGGTGCTATGTTGTGCTGGCTTAGGGGAGGGATAATACAGGTAAAAAGATACTATTCTTTTTTCTCCCTTTCAACACGTTTTTTTTCTCATTTCTGCATCCCACCAGTGTGCTGTAACCTCTCACTTGGATTTGGAGCTCTCATAAAGATATTCTCATCTATGGAGGCTGTTAAATTGGTGCTTTCGTAGAGGGCCAAGGGCTGAGATCACTTATTATATCATCTTGTTGATGTTACTCCTCAATAACAGTTAAAGTCTATTTCTTAAAACTCTAATACCTTGATTACCTTTATATGTGTCTTAATTGTCTTGATTTTTTTTTCTCTTGGTCTTGGTTTTCTTCATATGCCTGTTAATTTTTGATTAATGCTAGAAACTGTGTATAAAAATTACAGAGGCTCTGCATGAAACTTTATCTTCTGGAAGGCAGTTTAAATAAAAGAACACCTTCCTCCAACCAGGGATAAATTGATTTGAGGCTGTGTTTCAGTTTTCTTAAGGCCTGGACTATTTGGATTTGCCCTTATTCCTATGGTGTAGTCTTTTAGGGGGTCCAGCTGAAAGTCTGGGATAACCATGGCACATCCACTTTGATGAAAACTAAATTCCGTATTTTACCTCCCTACCTCCGTGAGATTGATTAATGTTTTTCTTTGCTTTCAACTTCTTAACTTAGTTCTTTTGGAAGGCCATCTCCAGCTCACAGCCCATGTGGCTTAGAAATAAATACATTGTTTTTGAGGAAAACAGCAGCAAAATACCAGATTCACTTCAGTGTTTTTGTTTATCTCTGGGATCTTGAACCCCAGATATTTTGGTAGCTTTCCGAGGACTTCAAATAGGTTTTTCTCTGGTATGTGTTTGTGTGTGTAGCTGTTGTTAGTAGAAGGTTTGTATGCTATAATAACTTTCACTATATTTATTTCTTTAGTTGTGGTTTGTGCGTGTTTCAGATGTCCTTATAAATTACCTCAAATGTTTTCTGTAACAAAGCTAGAGTATGGAAATTCAAAGGACACAGAATAGCCAAAACAATCTTGAAGAAGAACAAAGCTAGAGGATATTTAGATTACTAGATAGCAAAATGATTTATAAAGCTGTAGCAAATAAGACAGTAGAATATTAACAGAAAGATATGCAAATACACAATGGAACAGAATAGGGTACAGAAACAGAACTACATATAGATAGTTATTTGATTTTTAACGAAAGTCTCTTTAAAAAATGGAAGTACATTTGAAGAAAGGATGACCTCCTCCATAAAAGATGTTGTATTAATTTGAAGAAATGACAAAACAATGTTGATAGTTATCTCACACCATAAATAAGACCCAATGTCAGATAATGTGTTCATGTAATTCTTGTGGGTATAAGAGTCCTTAAATAAACTGAGTAAAATTTTCTTCATGATCTAGTAGTAAGCAATGATTTCTTAAGCAGGGCACCAAAAGTGTGAGTGGTAAAAGAAAAACAAAATAAATTACATTAAAATAAAGTACCTCATATACATCAGAATACATAAAAAAGGAGGTGATATTTATAATTTTTACATGGATATCTGTAATGGCAAGACTTGCATGTTGAATATAAAGAAATCTTTCAAATTAGTAATAAAAAGAAGAAATTCAATAGATAAATAAACCTAAATGCGCACTTAATAGAAATGAATGTCCAAATTTCCAATAAACATATGAAAAGTGCTGTACCTCACTAATTATTCCAAAAACCCAAATTAAAATTATGATGACATATCACTGTGCACCTAAGAGGATCAATAAAAGGAAATAAATGGAAGACATAAAATGTTGACAAAGATATGAAGGAATTGGAACTCTTGAACTCTGCTGGTTGGTGCAGAAACTGATGTAACTGCTTGGGAAAACTGGTAGTATCTGCTAACAATGAATTTTCTCATACCCTATGTCCAGCAATTTTACTTCTAAATACATGATGAACAGAAATATGAACGTAAGTCCACCAAAAGCACCATTCTTAATAGCTTCAAACTGGATACTGAATAAATGTTCATCAATAATAGAATATATAAATCAACTATGATGTATTCATAATTGCATACCATGCAGCAGTGATAAACTCTTGCTGTATACAATAATATTAATATATCTTATCAATAGAATGTTGAATGCAAAAGGCCAGACACAAAACGTAACCTCTGTATGATTCCACTTAAGTAAAATTCAAAAAGAGGCAATACTCATCTATTGTGCCAGATGTCAGAGTAGTGGCTACCTTTGGGATGGTAGTGATATATTACATTCAAGAAAAATCCATTTTAAAATAGACTTTAAAATAAATGTCACTTTAATGGAGATAAAAAGTATAAATAAAGACATGACATTTGAGTTACAGTTTGAAGAGTGATTTTTGGGTTCTCCAGGCAGATCATTCCAGACTAGAGAAAATATCATTTTGGTATTGCAGCACTATATTTTTCCTGTTTATTTTTCCTTTCTGCATTCTTTCTTCCCATTAAAACTTAACTATTTTGCATATTTTTTCTTTAGAAACTATCTACCTCTAGATAGTTTAGCTAGTTTAATATGTTACTGCACCTAGATTAGATTTTAGACTTAATAGTTTATTCTAAAAAGTAATTGATGTGGAAATTTTTATACCTAGGCAGGCAGGAGGGGAATTAAAAAAAAAAAGAACCCATTTAAAATTACACCATATACAGCATGACCAGTGTAGTTTACATCAAGGATGGATTTCTACAGTGCTTGGTATGTTGCTATACATAGATAAGCACTTCTAAATACTAAAATGATATTTACCATTACTAGCTTTGTTTCCCAAAAGACCTCAACGTATTCCTAATGAGTAAATTTTACCATCATCACAATGTTTAATTCATTTGCAGTGACTTATTCATAAAATTCAGATTTCCAAAGATAATTTAAGAAAATAAAGTAATAAAGCATATAGCTCTTGTTTAAAAAATGCACAGGGGCATTAACATTGTGTAATAGCATAGTTTCCATTATAGAACCTAATAATGGTTCTGAATTAACTGGATTTCATTAAAAATTAAAGAATTGAATGATCAGAGGAAAGAAATGATAGTTTTTCTCTCAGGCTACTTTGCTAAGTCAGAAGTGAGGATATAAGACAACCAGGTCGACGGTATCAGAATTAAGGAGTCAATCCTGACAACTGAGAATTCAAATAATGATCTATTTAAAGAGTGATTCATTTAAAATAAGCTTCTTTAGGGGCAGGTTGCATTAAATAGAAATAATCTTAAGCATAATCCAGAAGTTTGAAATATGTCTGCTTTTCTATGCATATGTACTTGCTACACTCAGTTTATTTTAATTTCTCTAGAGAATCTGATTTTGCAGGGTAGTTTAACCTGATGGGGGCAGTGTGTGCCTGTTAGTCCCAGATAGAGTCTAAATTATTCTAAGGGAGAAAGGTAAGATTAAGGGAAAAATGCCCTACACTGCTTAGAGAATGGCCGCAATAGGCTGCTGATGACTTTCCTGGCTCTGAAATGGCAGCTTGCATACGAACAAAACAAATAAAGGGATCAACATGAAAAACCAAAGTTTTATCAGGTTTTCCACAGTCCACTAGAAGAGCAGCTTGTCAAAAGATTATTTTGTAAAGCTCTCTAACAGGCTTTCCAAAGCTGCTTTCTTAATGCAGTCAAAACAGATAATGATGTCTCCCCAAAGATCTGCTTGAAGAACAGCTAATGGATTTTTAGGCATTCCCCATTGTCATGATTTGCTTATTAGAAATATACAGTTCTTTGCACGTGGGCTTGTCTTTATCTCACTTCTTCAACTGGAATGTGAGCGGAGAACTCTGTTGCATTCACTTGGAAACTTTCGCTTTTCTGAGGAATGTTCGCTGTCCAGCCATCGTTATTCTGAATGTGTGTGGGAAGGCTCTAATGATCAGTCTGGAAAGCTTGTTTTTTTTTTTTTTGCCTTTGCCTAAGACAAATATGTTTTCTCTTTTAGTCTCTTAGGCATGAGGCATAAAGAAAAATGGACCTTGTCTAGGCAGCGCCTTCAGATCTATCTTTTGTTCTTACGTCCCCTTCCTCACAATGCCCAAGATGGCTCATGATGGCCAGAACTGCCTGTTTGGAGTCCTCTAATTTTATTCTGCAAAGCAAAGAGGAGAAGCTATTTACAGGAATGAAATGCTACTCCAATTCCTGTATACTTTTGAAGTACTTCTAACTTCAAATGATTAACATGATCAAGACTCATTTATTTATATTTTAAGAATATTTTTAAAAGCTGTTTTGTTATGAAATTTAACAAATGTGCAGATAAATGTATAACAGAATGATATACAGTATAATGGTTCATGGTTTATCACAAACAACCAGGTTAAATAAAAATATAGAACATTATTCGTATCCTGAAAATCTCCCTCATGCTTCTTCTGAGTCACTAACCTGTCCTCCTCCTCCAAGCATAACCTGATTATCGTAGCAACCACTTCCTTGTTCTTTTTTCTAGTTTAACTTCCTGGATTAGTCAGGATTCTCCAGAGAAACAGAACCAATAATATACATATATATGTGTATATATATATATACGTATATATAAGTGTATATATACGTATATATATATATAAGTGTATATATATGTATATGTGCATGTGTGTGTTAAATAGAAATTAGCTCATTCAACTATGGAGTCCGAGAAGTCCCACCATCTGCTGTCTGCAAGCTGGAGAACCAGGAAGGCCAGTGGTGTAATTCAGCCTTTGGACTCAGCCTGAGTCCAATGCTTGGAGGCACTGGACAGCAACAAGTTTGTGAAGAATTACATACAAGGATCTCTGGGAGAGCATGCTTAGGAAGTGGATGGTTAATTTTATGTGTCAACTTTACTGGGCTGAAAGTGTTCAAGTTTTCTAGTTGTTCTTAGTAGAAGGCTCAGTTATGTTAACCAGCCCACCATTCTCAGAAGTGGAACCTTATTTATTTATTTATTTATTTATTTATTTATTTATTTATTTATTTATTTAGACAGAGTCTCACTGTCACCAGGCTGGAGTGCAGTAGCACAATCTCAGCTCACTGCAACCTCCACCTCCCAGGTTCAAGCAATTCTCCTGCCTCAGCCTCCTGAGTAGCTAGGACTACAGGCATGCACCACCATGCCCAGCTAATTTTTGAATCTTTAGTAGAGACAGGGTTTCACCATGCTGGCCAGGTAATTTATTTTTTAATTCAAAAAATACTTATTAAGTGCCTACCAGCCAGGTGCTGCTCTAGGATCTGGGTACACAGTGGAGAAGAAAAGTGAATTTTCTGTTTTACAGGAGGGTTGTATCCAGTTGAGGGATTTGAATAAGAAAATGTTACAGTGCTCTTCTTTAAAACTCCTGCATAGCTACAAAGTAACATTATCATCATAATAAACATTAGACTACACGTTAAAATGGGTAGTGGTGATTGGTTTTACAAAAATGTTTCCCTTTACAATAAGACTTACAGTAGAATTTCTTTATAAGCAAAGTATTTTAGAATTTTGGAATAGATATTACCTCCTCGTCCCATACCCTGCCCCTCAGCATCCCTCAGGACTACTCAGAAATGCCATTTGTAGTATTTCTAGTTTTATATCCAGGATGGGCTTGAGCTGGGATGTTCTAGATGCTATGCTTGTTGAAGAAAGATGTTGGCTGACTGTAGTTTCCTTTCTTTTAGCCTCACCATCTCATTTGTTTCTTTTTCATTTTTACTTTTAAGCTCCTCTGCCTTCCCTGTGTCCTGTGTCATTCATTCCTTTAAATCCTTTGCAAATCTAGAAGTAAAGTCCACACAGGTCTCAGAGTTGTTCTTGTCGCTCTTCCTTTCTCTATTTTTGTGGGTACCTAGGCTCTGCTTTTGGTGGTTACAAAGAGCTAACACCTGTCTAATCTCCATGGCAATTTCTTTCTTATTAATAGTATTCTCCCTTGAGATTATACTCAAATATTTTCCTTCTCCCACTATATCAAGATTTTAAAATCTGAAATAGGTTTAGCACTATGTAACCCCCCCTCAAATTGTAAACAAAATATGATTTCTATTTGAAGGTATTAATTTTCTGGAAAGAATGCATATTTTAAAGAATATTTTTTATTAGGGGAATTTTCAAACAATCACTGAAGTAGAGACTCCAGGGGAAGTTATACAAATTCCCCTGGAGTCATTATGAACAATTTGCAATGCTTATTTTACTTATCCCTGCACTGTATTTTTCTGGAGTATTTTAAAGCAAATCCCTCATATCATGTCATTTCTTCTATAAAATCTTTAGTATGTATCTTCAATTGTTTTTTCCTTACATGGTCACCATGCCTTACTATAACTAGCAAGATGAACAGTCATTCCTTAACCTCATTTAATTCTCAGCCCATCATCAAATCTCCCCAATTGTCTCATATGTCATTGTGTAATTGGACTATTAGATTTTGTCATTCAATTATTCTAATTAGGACTTAAAGTTCACCTTTGGATTGGTAAACCTCTAAAGTCTCTTTTATTGTGATGATCACCCTTTCTCCTTTTTGTGCTATTGAATTGTTGGAGATTATTTGTTCCATAGAATGTCTCATAATCTGGATTTGGAGGACTCCATTTGATATTGTCACTTAACTTCTAATTCTCCTTTCTTTGTATTTTCTGCAAATTACTTGTAAATTTGTGGATGGTCTCTAGGTTTGATTAGATTCATGTTTTACACAGTTACTACTTTTTAAAAACAGTTTTAGTTTTTCAAAAATAAAACCTGAGGGTTCAAAATTTTGACCCCCAAAAGTTTAAAAGACACTGTCATAAAAGCAACTATTCAAGGGCAAGTATATTTGATAGTCATCATTAAATTATTTCTGTAGTATGCACAGTGTTAACCACACAGACATTTCTGAGCGAATACATAAATGAATGGATACAATTTTTGAGTAAGTTAATGAAAGAATAATTGGATTTACGTTTTTTTCTCTCATCACCCTGAATTTATTAATACAAGTTAAATAATTTTAGAGTCTAAGCAGATTTAGAAATGGCAATATAAAGATAAATAAAGTAAATACACACTTGCCCAACTGACCAAAATAAATACCAATTCAGTTCAATGTGTTTTTTCAAGTGGTGTATTTTATTTTGTTCAACAGTTTTTGTGGTACTGAGAAGAGTGAAGATATCTACTTATTTACAAAGCTGAAATTCAGAATATCGTAGGAATCACAGAGAAGTATGGAGATTACGGCTGAAAATCCTACAGAAGTTTTAGTCTACTTTTTCACCAAATATATAAATCTCCTCTACATTTTCATTGACTTATGACATTAAACCTTTAATTGAACATGTAAGCAATAGGAAACTCATTACCTTTGTAAGACAGTCCATTCTATTTCAGGAAGGCATTAGTTGGATACTCATCCTAATGTTTATTGAGTGCCTATTATTGACTGGGTACTTGTTACAACTTGTGATTTTTTTTCAACTGATTAATTTACTTATGTAAAGTCTGTCTCCACCACGTGACTATAATCTTCAGGAGCGCAGATGCCATGCGTGAATTATTCAGTGTGTGTTTTTGGCACTCAGTTCATATATTTGTTGAGTGAATGAATAAAGAATCAGGTAGAGAGAAATTAAGTATTTTTCTTATGATCACACAGCAAAGCTGTGAACTCTGATTTCCACCCTTAAAGCTTTTTAGAATTGTAAATATACCTATGCTTAGACTTAGTCTAATTCAGTTTTACATAGAGGCTTTTATTTTCTTTTTTAAGCATGAAATCATGAGTCCTAAACCTCCTCTTTTTAAGATTGGATCTTTAGTTTTCTCACCTTTCTCACAAGGTATAGTGACTAGAAATCTTATTATAGCATACATCTTTAGCACATCTTTCATAAAATTTTGTTGTCAGTAATGAACACATGGTCTGACATTACAAGTTGACTATTATTCTAATTTTGATACTATCATTGTATCAGTGCAGTCTAAGATTGCATTTATTTTTTGTTTCCTAGCCATGTCTCATTATTGACTCTTAATTTGCTTGACATCATCCAAAATCCTCAGTTCTCTCCATATGTAAAGCTGTGATTTTTGATGACTTTTTGCTACTCATGCTCCTCTCCCATATTGTGCTAGTAAATTATATTGTTTTTAATACAACCATAGAACATTGGGCTCAATAATGAGTTTTACATCTTTATTAAATGACATCTTAATTGAAGATGGTTGAATACAAGTCTTTGCATCTGATTGCAGAAACAAAACAAAAGCTAAAGCCATAAAACCAGAAACAAGTAAGTGTACCAATAAAGGATGGAGGGGGATGTTGTTTAGTAGCAACATATGGGAAAATGACTTAAGAACTTTAGTCGGCTCCCTCAGAGCTGGCGTATCAAATGATTGCCAAAAATTTATGTCATCTTAGGATGTATTAGTACCCAACACTGGGATGACAATTTTATTTCCTCATTAGTGCCAGCTGTGATCATGTGGTAGTGATGGCCTAGAGGCTGTACTGAGATGATTTAAGATGACTCCCATCTCAATGCCAGGAGTTATTGGGATATCTGCTATGGGAGTGGGAGTGGAGAGTATTCATATGTGTGTCTGCATCTTTGATTATGAGTTTGAGGGGTAGCAGAGCCAATCTATATTGTGACTGCCCAAATGTGCAAGATATTAGACTGAAAATGTTTTCATAAGGCAGAGCCCATCAGGGCGAGAGGTCTCTGAATTCTCCCATGTGGAGAGCTTGCAAGAATTGAAACTGTCCAGACTGGAGAAGCAAATGCTGAATGGCTGCCGTGTGAAAGAGGGATTGAGTCTGTTGTTACCTGTGAACTTATGGAAGAGTTGGGTTCTGATAAACTTCATGGACGGAAACTAGAAGTTGTACACAGATTTCAGGTGAGTGTAAGTAGAACTTTCCCAAAATTGAATCTGTTCTAAGATGAAATAGAGTAATCGAATTGTGATGAGTAATTGCCATTGGAGGTTTAAGAAAAAAGCTTGGTGACTCCATGCTGGCAGTCAATGTGGGGGCTGGGTGACTTTTTATGTCCCTTTTAGTTTAGAGATTCTGTTTATTCATTCATTCAAAAATACTTATGGAGTGCCTACTCATTGCCAGGGAATTTTCTAGGAAAGAGGAAACTGTGGGGAACAACAGATAAAGTTCCCGTTCTCATAGGCTTCAAGGTCTCATAAGAGTGGGAGAGCCAGATAAGTAAATGGGTAAATGAGCAAGGTCATTTTAGATAAACGCTGTATAAAAAAAATTAAATGTGAATGATAGTAGGATGCTGAAGGAAAGGAGAAACTGTCTAGGCTGGATTGCCCGAGAAAGCTCTTAAGAGGAAGTACCATTTGAATAGAGAATTAAATTATTACAAGTAGGCATTTATGCAGAATTCTGAGGGAAACTTTTGGTATATTTTTGCATAAACTAATGAAGTTAGATTTCTATGATCTGTTCTTGAGTAAACTCATGCTGGCTCTTAAAGCTACAACTTTCCTTTTAAACTGCATATATCTCTCTGGTTTGATCAACAATTCTAGAATTTTCTTGGAAATTAATCATTATCTCACCACATTGTATTTACACTATTTATTTTTCCCATTTTGAAAATGGCAGAAATTTTTACCAGTCTTCTTTCACCTCTCTCATTTTCCATGATGTGCAGTCAAATCTGCATGTTCTTTTTGTATTTGTAATATATAGCACTGTATTTCATTAGAGCTAGAGGCAGAAGCTCCTTTAAAATAGTTGAATTCTCTTTTACTCAATTCATTGACTACCTTGGCTTTAATTCCTTCTGGAATTTAAAAATTTAAAAATTTAAAAATTTTAGAGAAAAAGAGAAATGAGGTGTTTTGCCTTTTCTGCATCTGTTAACATTTTTACCATCTGCCCCAAGTACTGGTCCAATTCCTTCCTCATTTTACTTTAGTTTTAAACGTATTGAAAATGCATTTCTCCCCCTTATGTTTTTATCAGTTTCTGCTTATTCTGGATTTCTTCCTTTTCAAGTGTTTTCACGGATTTTTATTCTTCTTTTGTATTCTCCCTGATTCTGTGACCATTTCTCTATCAGTTAATTAGAGAGTTTCCTGGCAGACCAGTTGATTTCATCAGTGGCCTTTGCACTTTCTTCCTCCTCAGGATCATTTGTGATTGTATTGTTAGATTTATAGTTATAGGAACTTCATCATTTGCATTTTCCTACCTTTTTACTCTGTGCCCATGTGCACTTGTTAATCTTTTCCTTTTTTTTTTTTTTTGGTTGATATCTGCACAGCACAGAGGGCATAGAGGGCATGTCTGGTCCTACCCACTATTACCTCCTTGGTTTTTCTTTTTTATTTTGTTTTGTTTTTAACTTTCATTTGAAGTTCAGGGGCACATGTGCAGGTTTGTTACATAGGTAAACTTGTGTCATGGGGGTTTGTTGTACAGATTATTGCATTACCCAGGCATTAAGCCAAGTACCTATTAGTTGCTGTTTTTTTTTTTAATCCTCTCCCTCCTCCCACCTTCTGCCCTGTGACAGGCCCCAGTGTGTGTTGTTCCCCTCTATGTGTCTATGTATTCTCATCATTTAGCTCCCACTTATAAGTGAGAATATGTGGTATTTGGTTTCCTGGTCCTGCATTAGTTTGCTTAGGATAATGGCCTCCAGCCCCATCCATCTCCCTGCAAAGGACATGATTTCATTCTTTTTTATGGTTGTCCATTATTTCATGGTGTATATGTACCACATTTTCTTTATCCAGTATATCATTGGTGGGCATTTGGATCTTTGCTATTGTGAATAGTGCTGTAGTGAACATGTGCATGCATGTGTCTTTATGATAGAATGATTTATATTTGTATCAGTCCATTCTCATGCTGCTAATAAAGACATACTCAAGACTGGGTAATTTATCAGGTTGGTGCAAAAATAATTGTGGTTCTTACAATTAAAATTGCAAAAACTGCAATTACCTTTGTACCAACATATATAAAGGAAAGAGGTTTAATTGACTCACAGTTCAGCATGACTGGGGAGGCCTCAAAAAACTTACAATCGTGGTGGAAGGGAAAGCAAACATGTCCCTCTTCACATGGTGGCAGGAGAGAGAATTATTGCCCAGCTAATGGGGAAGACCCTTATAAAACCATCAGATCTCCTGAGAACTAACTCACTATCATGAGAACAGGATGGGGGAAACTACCCCCATGATTCAATTATCTCCACCTTGTCCCTCCCATGACACGTGGGGATTATGGGAAGTACAATTCAAGATGAGATTTGGTTGGGGACACAGCCAAACCATATCAATATTCCTTTAGGTATATACCCAGTAATGGGATTGCTGGATCCAATGATATTTCTATCTTTAGGTCTTTGAGGAATCTTCACACTGTCTTCTAAAATGGTTGAACTAATTTATACTCCCATCAACAGTGTATAAGCATTCCTTTTTCTCCACAACCTCGCCAGCATCTGTTATTTTTTTGAATTTTTAGTAATAGCCATTCTGACTGGTGTGAGAATCTTCTCAGTTTGTCTAAACTCACAGAGGATGTGGTCACTTTCCTTAAAGGCTCCTGTTGCTTCTGGAGTTACAGTTAGCATAATGATTCTTTCTTGCTGGTCATAATTTAATAATTATCACCTTCATATATCTTGTGTTCTTTCCAATTTTTTGATACTTCCTCTCTTGTTGGAATAGATCTAGAGGTATCTCACAGGTAATTTTCTGAGGATATATGAGGGCATTAGATAAAAAATTAGAATCCAGGATAGTCTGAATCAGTCAGATATACTGTAACATATCTGCATTTTAATAGAAGAATTATGGACAAAATATTTTAACCCAAATAAATTATTCCAGTGTGGGTTATTTGGTAAATCATGGGAAGTCCATGGGATTTAGTAACGTTTTAGTGAAAGAAGAACCTTTGAGAATATTTTAAATCATTACATAACTTTCTCCATGATTATGAGAAGAACTGAAATAGCCAAAGTGAGTTGTTCCAGCTGAAGAGGTAAACTTTGGCTAATGATTTAATTAAAACAAATCAGTCGAATTCAAAGTCCTGGGAAGTTTTTGACATGAGGAATACAGCTGTAAGTAAGCTCCATTCAGCACCCACAATCCTATGTTATGGAGATAAAGGGTACTAACATCTCTACCCTTGTCCTTCTCCTTGAAAAAGGTGCACAGGCCTGTGGAAAGATAGAAGAGGAAATGATATTTGTGTGTATAGTACTCATATTCCATTCATTTTAATTTTTGATATTGGTAGGAACTTTTGCTCTCTCTTTTTTACTTTCACTCTTGCAAGGAGTTAATAAATTTTACTGGTCTTTTAAAAGAATCAGATTTTTGTTTCATTGACTTTCTCTACTGCTTTTCTGTTTTCAATTTCCTTGACTTCTGCTCTTGCAATTTTTATTTCCTTCCACTTAGTTTGGGTCTATTTTGTTTTTGCTTTTCTAGTTTCATAAGATGAATGCTCAGGTTATTGTTACGAGACTTTTCTTCTTTTTCCTTATAACCATGTAATGCTATAAATATCCCTCTAAGGAATATTTGTTTCATTCTACAAATTTTATTTTCTGTGCTTTTCTCCATTTTCATCCAGTACAAAGTAGTTTTTAATTTCCTTTGAGAATTCTATTTTAGCAAATGGATCATTTAGAAGTACTGTTTAACTTTGAAGTGTCTCTATATTTTCCTGTTATCTTTCTGTTATTGATTTCCAGTATAATTCTATTATGGTCTGAAAATATTTTTTCTATTATTTTGGTTTTTGAAATGACCTAAGATTTGTATTTCGACCCAGAACATAGTCTATCTTTGTAAAAGTTCTATGTATACTTGAAAAGATTGTGTTGTTGCTGTGTAGAATATTGTGTTAATCTATCACATTCAGTTGGTTGATGGCATTGTTCAGTTCTTCTGTATCCATGCTGAGTTTCTGTCTACCAGTTGTAGTGATATTGAGAGATGAAAGTCAAATTCTCTAACTATAGTCCTGCATTTATGTGTGTCTTCTTTCAGTTCTGTCTGGTTTTGCTTCATTTATTTTGAAACTCTGGTGTAAAATGGCTACACAGTTAAGATTGCTATTCCTTCTTACGAATTTACCCTTTTATCAATAGGCAATATCCTTCTTAAACTCTGATAATTTTTTTGCTCTGAAGTCTACATTGATATTAGTATATTCACTCTAGCTTCCTTTAGATTAGTGTTTGCGACCTACTTATAACACTATATTTGAAATGAGTTTACTAATAGACAGACTAGAGTTAGTTTATTATATTTTATCTATTCAGACAATCTGTGTCTTTTAACCTGGGTGCTTAGACCATTTACATTTAATGCATTTATTGGTATATTTGTATTTAAGTCTACCATTTAGTTGTTTGTTTTCCGCTTGTTCTCTTTCTTTTTTTGTACCCCTCTTTCTCCTTCTGAGCTTCTTTGGTTATTTGAAGATTTTTTAGTATCCAGTTTTATCTATTATGACTTTTTGCTATATGATTTTGTGTAATTTTTTTTTAGTGGTATCTTTAAGGATTCTACAATACATAGTTAACTTTTCACAGTATAATTCAATCAATATTTTGCCACTTTAATTGAAATGTAAAAATCTTACTACATTTTAGGTCCCTTTGCTCTCTCCCATTATGCTATTGTTGTTTTATATCTAAATATTTACAGTTCAAATGCCATAAGTCAATGTTATGAAATTTGTTTTCAATTGTCTGACATATTTTTAAGAATTCAAGAGAATAGTCCATTATGTTTACCAAGATATATACCATTTTGTTGTTATTCTTTTTTTCTTGTTCTAAGTTTCTCTCCAGTATCATTTCCCTTTATTCACAGAACTTCCTTTAGAAATTCTTTTAGAGAAGATCTGCTGGCTATAAATTGTCTTAGTATTCCTTCATCTGAGAATGTCTTTATTTCACTTTCATTCCTGAAGAATATTTTAACTAGGTATAGAATTCTGTGTTTATAATCATTCAGTACTGGAAAAATACTGTGCCACTTTCTAACAGTCTCCATGATTTCCGATGAGAAATATACAGTGATTTAAATCATTATTCTTGTATATATAAAGTGTTGTTTTTCTCTGGCTGCCTTCAGAAATTTATATTCTTGTCTTTAGCTTTTAGCATTTCGATTATGCTATGTGGGCATGGATATTTTGGATTTATCTTGTTTGGTGTTTGTTCTAGTATCTAGCCAAATAAATTTTCATTATTTCCTCAGATATTTTTTCATTACTACACTCTTCCCTTTCTCCCTCTGGCACTCTGATGGCATGACGTAAGACCTTTTGCTATTGTCCCACTGGCCCCAAATGCTCTGCTCATTTTTTCTTCATGCTTTATGCTCTTTGTTATTCAGACTGGATAATTTCTATTACTCCATCTTCAAATTCAATGACTCTTTCATCTGTCATCCTCATCCAGCTATTGAGTCTATTCAATGTATTTTTGTATCAGTCATTTTGTATTTACTTGCCAAGATTTTTAACTTTTACATTTGTCATGAGAGTATTCACAATTGCTAGTTTGAACATTTTAGTCTTTGTCAGATAATCCAACAATTGTGCTTTCTTGGCATTGTTTTCTATTGATTTTCTTTTCTTATGTGAGTTGACATTTTCTTGGCTTATCAGATGTTGAGTAATTTTAGATTACATAATGGACATTTTGAATATTACATCATGAAACTCTGGATCTTATTTAAATTCTATGGAGAATGTTGCTATTTGTGTTCTAGCAGACAATTAATCTAGTTAGACTTAGGTGTCAGATTCCTATCTACCTTCTATGGTGACCTATGGTTTCAATGTCATTTCAGTTGTCAAAGCCATTATAATGCTCTTTGGATATGTCCTGGGTGTCTATGATCTAGACAGAGGTCTATACCTAACATCAGTTCTCAAGGAGTTTGGAAGGCTAATTACGATCAGAATCACACATGTGCAGGTCAAGAGTGAGCCCAAGAGTTCAGAAACAACTAACCTCATGGGGTTACCTTCCCAAGCTTCTCTTTCTGCATGATTTCATGAGTATTTGTTGATTCTCTGGGCCACTCTTTTTGGTCCTCTGTCCAGAAACTTGGGGCTTTAGTGATCCCTCTCTGTGTGCACTTCTCTGATTGGGCTCACATTCTAGCCCAATAAGAGGGAGAACAGAGAGAAAAAAAACAACAGAGAAAGAAAAAGGCAATACTTTTTTTCTACCTTCTTTCAACTACAGTTTCACTGAGCAGAGAAGAAGGTTCCCCTTTCTCAAAGTTTTGGTTCTTGCAGAGTCTCATAGTTGTCACTGTCAATATTGATACAGAATTGCCTGGGGGCTGGGCCTGGTAGAAAAGAGAAGTAGAGTTCTCCCCACCATGAGCATTAAGAGCTCCTTTCCTAGTTCTCAGCCAGGCCTGTTGTGCTTCTCCTGGAGTTCAGTTTATCTGTGCTACAAGGGCTTGCTTCTGTGTTTCAGGCTGCACTGAATTCAAGTCATGGGCTAAAGGAGGGGAAAAATGGTAAATTCACCACTGATTCCATGGTACCTTGATGTGCCTGCTGTGATTTACTTTACGTAGTCTTCACATAGCTGCTCCATGCATTCTTTCTGGGTTTTATAGTTGTATTAAGTGGGATAGAATGAGTGCAGTGTGCTTACTCCCTTTCATCTGGAACCAAACTATGTGGATTTCCCAAATTTATTAGACTCTATTATCTGGGTTCCCTGGGAGGCTAGAACATGCCTAGTATTAAATTATTAATCAAATGTTGCCAGGAGATCATGCAATTCTTTATAAAACAGAGATGAAAGATCTAAAAACATAAAACAAATTTCATGATTTTCAGAATATCATGTTTATAACAAGGTATTAAAATCTCTATTATTTTAAACTCAAGAATGTATAAAAGTATATATGGAGAAAATAGGAAAATTTGAATTGCACATTTGCATTACAAGAGAATGTTGTTCATCAATTTGCTAATAAGGCAGTTACCTAAGGGACTAGATTTTGATGTAACTCTGAACAGAAGAAATTATTAAATATTTTAATGGATGCCATTTCAATAGTTTTCCGGTTGTTTCATCTGTAGCACAAATATGCAAATATAAAACTTAATAGGCAATGAGTTTTATGTGCACTAATTCTGAACTTAGCTTTGTTTCAGGTAGAAACTTTTTTTTTTCACATGTATAAGAATATTTATTGCGGCATTGTTTCTAATAACAAAAATATGAAAATAAATGCCCATCATTGAGAGACTGGACATGTTATGGTATACTAATTAAGTGACATACTATAAAGCAGTAAACAATGAACGAAAGTTACATAACATGTAACATGAATACTGACAAGGGCAAAAAGCAACTTTTATAACAATATAGACAGAGTGTTATTTATATAGAGCTTTGAAACATGCATAACAAAAAGTGTGCATGGATACACACTTTCAGCAATCAAAAAAACAGGCTCCATAGAAAAATGGCAAAATGTTAAGGTTTGATACATCTCCCACAAGTATGCCTGACAAAATTCTTTACATTTTACGACTGAAACATTTGTTACAACAAAGTTTAAACAGCAGAATAAAATTATTTTCAAGTTATCTCCTTCCCAGTAAAGTTTTCCTTCTCTTTGGTTGTAATAGAGTTATTTATCCATTTATCAAATTTTTGTTTTTGTTTTTGTTTTTTTTTTACTTTTATTCATTACAATTTTATTTTTAAAATAACCTTTGGAAGTGGTAAGAAATACAGGTAAAGATTAGTATTTATTGATATTTTAAGTGTTTGGCTGAGTTATTCAAATTAGCATTAAAAGGAGAAAATGTGTGTGTGTGTGTGTGTGTGTGTTCAATTTTTATTTTATTATTATTATACTTTAAGTTTTAGGGTACATGTGCACAACGTGCATGTTTGTTACATATGTATACATGTGCCATGTTGGTGTGCTGCACCCATTAACTTGTCATTTAGCATTAGTTGTATCTCCTAATGCTATCCCTCCCCCCTCCCCCCCACCACACAACAGGCCCCGGTGTGTGATGTTCCCCTTCCTGTGTCCATGTGTTCTCATTGTTCAATTCCCATCAGGTAGAAACTTTTTACAAAGGGACTTGGTAGTCAAATGCAGGTTCTGTCACAATTATGGCTCCTAAACCCCTATTTCCTCTATTTTGTTTTTCTTAGCAAACTGCTGAGTAGAAAACATAATAGATGATGGAATTCATCTTCATTTTCAGGATGCCACTAAAATACTTTTTTTGATATAATGTTTTGGAGCCTTGATATGATGTTATGTTGAAGGTTAAGACTGAAGAATAACTTACATGTAATGACTGCTATAACTTTTTAGTAGTTAAATCCTCTTAGGAATTAAAGGTAAATTCAATTATGCTGAATTCAAGGCTATAATTCCAGGTACTATGGGAATATTTTTAGCCTGATACTTATGATTACATGTTCACCTTTAATAACAGATTATTTATTTTTTCTTAAGTAAATTAATATCAAATGTGTATTTATAATTGGTAATTTGAAAATATCAATTTCTACTGCCAAATTTCAGCAAATCTAGGAGGAGTAGAAGTTATCTCTTGGATAGTTTTTTTATTGCTTTTATTTTGATATTGGAAACATGTCCTCATTTTCCTTTTCATTTGTTTAAGTTTTGTACAAAGAGCTTAATAGAAGTAATAAGCAAACATATAAACTCATATAAAAGTTAATATCTCGGGAAGTTTAGTTTCCCCATAACTCTACATTAGTCAAAATTTATTTTGTGGTTCTGTAGTTTGCCTTGACAATTACAGAAACTCAAGTAATGCGGTTTCCTTTGAATGGTTATTTAAGGCAAAGATGCTGCTGGACAGCACAAGTCATACTTGAAGAGTTTCCCTGGAAATCTTTGAAAAATTTCCAAACTTTGGAGCTTTGGAAATCTGAAATCACCTCTAACTAAAATATGCCTGTCTACCAAGAGCAATATTCTTCTGTTCCAAAAGTATTTATTGAGTGATTACTCTCTTCTAGACAATGGGGATATTGCAGTCAATAAAACTTGACAAAATTCTGGAACTCACACTCTAGTTCTGCAGTTTACACATTTTGGCATTTGTGGTTGATTGTTGAACCTGATCAGACTGGGTACCAGAAGTACTAATGATCTGAGAAGAATTGCCACTCGCCTTTGTATAGCACAATTTCTGGAGATTAAGCACAGGTTGCTTATTAAAATTCTAGATTGTCTCAAGATGGATGTTCTATAAAGTTTTTGTTATATTTTTTGACATCTAATTTTTCAGAATGAACCAGTGTGATTCTTTTAGTGTTGGTCTTAACCAAAGATCTTTCTGATACTGAAAGACCCCATAAAAACCCATTTATAACATTATTTTGTGTAATATGATACATGAAATATGTATATAAACATATATGTGCAAGATGAGAGAGGTCTTGCTACTCAGTATAAAACAACAAAATGGTCCTGAGAAGCAAGAGATCCAGAATGTCAGTACTGTACTGTAATATATAGTATAGAAGGACTATGCCATAATCATTTTTGCCTTTATCCATCTAACGGTCATTTTCTGTGTTATAGGCTCTTAGGACAGTAACATTCCCTCAAAGTGTAAATGCAATCTATTGCTCTGTGAGGATGTCTACGTTTTAAAGTCAGTTTATTTCTCTAGTACGAAAGTTGTGAATCATGCGAGGTTCTAGACATTTGCCTAATTCACAGAACCCTAGCCTGGATGGATAGCCTGCTGACATTGATACACAGAGTAGAGTCCTCAAAGACTAGAAAGTGAGAGACTTTTTTATACCATGTGGGAGTGCTGCCCCTTTGATCTCAAGACGACAAGAAAGGTGTGCATCCCTCTTTTATAACTGGTACAGGCAGGGAAAAAGGAAGCAGGTGAATCTGAACATTGGTGTCAGAGGGAAGTTCAAGTAGACAGGAAGTTCAGGTGGAGAAGCTTTGATGGCAGGTACGAGCAAGCTGGCCGTGTGGTTTTCATGTCTACAATAAAATGCACATTCCTAGAAAGCCTTTGGTGAGGGGAGGAAGGTAGGTTCCCAGTGCTGGATTTGCAGAGATATTGAACAAGGCACAGACCTACCACAGCAGAACAAGATAATAACCTCTCTTCTAGAAATCCAACTACTAGAAGAAAGATACGATATTCCCAAAACATATTTTTGAGTATCTATCCTGTACCAGGCATGACTTTAGTCGCTGAACAAAATAGACAAAATGAGTCTCCTGTGAGGCTGACATTATGGAGGTGAGAGACAGAAAATAAACAAGAGAAATAAGTGAAATATTTGATATTTTAAATGGTGATAAGTGCTGTTGAGATAAACAGAGAAGGAGAGTAAGTTCTGTATATGGAGGTGTGTGTGCAACTATACATAGTGAGGCTAGGGAGGTCCCCGCTGAGGAAGTGCTATTTTAGAACAAGGTCAGAGAGTGATCAGCCTTAAGTCAGATCATGCTGAGCTTCTTTGGGGTTATTAAACAATTACCTGAGTATAGATAGAATTCGTCTCAGGTTCTGGAGTGGTGATAAATCTTGGGGTTCTTAAGTGGTCCAAGTTTTGGAGATCAGGCTCTGTGGCTCATGGAGTTGAGGATTCCTATTTATATCTAGGTAATGACCATGAAGGAGTGAAATGACGTAGGAGTCCATTTGAGGCTCAGCACCTGGCCATGTTGGGAGCTGATGGACCTGGAGAAAGCAACACCAGGCAGATCAGCAAGGTTTCAGTCAGTGACTGAGATGCTGTGATAACTAAATCAGACAGGCTGGAGTCGAAATGGGTATCAGGGCATCCACAGGAATATTTGTCTGTGCTGGACTTTAGAAGCACCACCCAGGCTTTTGGTCCTAGCCCCTAGGTAGAACTTCCGGAATAGTAAACATACCCATAAGTGTAAGGTGAACTTTGACACTTGTGTTTATGTAGTCACCACATGCTCTAGTCTGACTTGAGTGAGATTGCCAGATAAGCTACAGGATTCGCAGATGAATTTGGATTTCAGATAAACAAGAAATAATTTTTCAGGATAAATGAATCCCAAGCATTGCATAGATATACTTATGTGAAATTTTTATGTTATTTTTCTGAAATTCAAATTTAACCGAACATTCTTTACTTTTACTTGCTAAATCTGGCAGCCCTAGATCTGAGGCTCATCTGCAGGCCCACATCCTGGGTGGGCCAGTCTTTTAGGTGTGTGGTAGAGGCAAAGACCTCCTTCCTCTTCAAAAGCATTTTGGTTCGTAGGGATCCTAGTATCCTTCATGTCAGGGGTCCTAAAATTAATACTTAGGGGCTTTTCAGAAAACTCTGTTATTCACAGCAGTGGTGTAAGTAAATGGCTAAAGAATTTTAGAAGTACATGACCAGCCTGGCCAAAATGGTGAAACCCTGTCTCTACTAAAAATGCAAAAATTAGCGGGGCATGGTGGCACGTGCCTATAGTCCCAGCTACTTGGGAGGCTGAGGCAGGAGAATCGCTTGAACCCGGGAGGCGGAGGTTGCAGTGAGCTGAGATCGTGCCATTGCACTCCAGCCTGGGTGACAGAGCGAGACTGTCTCAAAAAAAAAGAAAAGAAAAGAAAAGAAAAAAGAATTTTATATCCCCAGAGCAGCTTTTAAGCTTTTAACACCACAGAACAGATGTAGAAAACATAAAATCAGAGCAGTGCCAGGAGTCTTGAGCCATGCCTAATGGGTCTCCTCTATTTTCTGTGATGCTTCCTAAAGCCTGTATGTGGAAATCTGGGGATCCTACATACCCAGTTGGAAAACCACTTCTTTAGAACCAAGAATTAGCTGAAGAGATCATGAATGATTAAAAAAACTCCCTCCCCTCCGTGTTTTTGATCAAGCATTCAAAGTCCTGGAGTGGGGAAGGGGAGGACGTATGCAGTACTATGGTTTGAATGTGTCCCCTAGATTCTAGGGGAATGAAAATTCAATCTCCAATGTGATGATATAAGGAGGTGGGGCCTAATTGGGACGCGTTTAGCTCTTGAGGGCTCTACCCTTGTGAGTAGATTCATGCTGTTATTAAAAGTGCTCGTGGAAGTGGATTCGTTCTCTTGCCCTCTTGCCTTTCCACCTCCTGCCAGAAAGGACGCAGCAAAGGGCACTCACCACACCTCATGCTGGTGCCTGGATCCTGGACTCACCCGCCTCTAGCACTGAGAGCCAATACATTTCTGTTCATTTCAAATTACCCAGTCTCAGAGATTCTGTTACAGCAGCACAAAATGGACTAAGATATGTAGACTTTTTTTTTCCTAAAGAAAAGGTATTTGAATGGGATCTATTTCTAATAGTGAGACTATATGGGAAAAGTATATTTTCTTGGTACCATATCCCCACACACTTTTTTTTTCTTGCCATAATAACCATCATCATAATGTCCAAGTTATTTTTCTCAAAGGGTATTAGTCTCCGTTTTATTCCTAACACAAAAGATGTAACATGTCTTTTTATTTGCGTTTGATTCAATTCTCGCCAAGTTTAAAGATCTGCAGGTAATTACTCAGAGAGTCACAGGTCAGTTAAGAATACTGAAGAAATACATCCAGGCAATGCATATGGTATTTCAATTAATTTTTATATAAAACTCTATCAGTTCTTTTTTTGTGTGCTGTTGTAACTTTGGATAGTTTAACAACCCTAGGAGCATATCCAATTAGAGTTGGCTTCAGAGTGGGTAAGGTCACATGGAAAATGCCATCTTAAGGGGTCAGATTTATAATGTGATTCTTAAATTCACTTCAAGACTCACTTGTTAAAAATCAAGTGTACTCCCAAAGGAGGGATACCATCTTTATTTCTGACTTATTTTCAAGTTAAAATGCTAGGTAGACTTGAGCTGAAGTGTATTATCACAGAATAGGCCTTGACAACTCTTACTCAGGTGAAACTCTATGCTAGAGTTTCTCAAAGCTTGGACCAAGGCTTTTCCCTGCAAACTCCCTAACCTTCATTTCTTCCATTTCATTCTCATTTCTTTCCATCCTATCCTTTTCCTTTCTCACTTGCTCACTAAGTGATCTTATACATTCCCGTAGGCTCCTTTTCTCTATCCAAGATAAATATTCTTGATACTTGATTTTATCCTTTCTATCAGCAGTTGGAATATGGGCAGGTAGACTTAGCAAATAATATACTGGTAACTTGGTTTGAATTGAAGGTTGGTAAATCAAAGAAGCATGGAGCATAGAGAGTTCATCTGAGGGTAAATAAGCAGCATTCATATTCTAGGGGCAGCCAGGCCTGTGGTGCCAGTGGCCATGGGCAGTGTCTAGGGCCAGCAGTGATGGCTGCCATGATCTCACCAGAGGGTTCCGATGGTGTGATTTTCACTGTGTTCTTGGCCAACCAGCATTCTGCAGTTTCTGCTTATTTTCTGAGTCTGTTTCTCCAGACATCTTGGAAATTCTGTGAGCTGTCCAACATCCATTCAATGCATTTCTTTTCTGCTGAAGTTAGCCAGAGTTAGTTTTTATTGCTTGTTGATTGCCATGACGCTCAGATTCATAGCTTTAGCCCAGACCTCTTTTCTGCTTTTCTGAGCTTCAAATTTAAATGTCAGACTTGTTACCTGGATGTCTCACAGTCATTTCAAATTAATGTATCAAAATCTGAACTTTATATTCTTCTCCCAGGCTCGATATTTCCCCGGTCTTCCCCATTCTACATTGTTGGCTAATTCAGTCATCTGATATCATCTTATATGGTCGATTATTGACTTCTATCTGGCTGCGCTAGGCCAGCAGACCAGCACATAGCCAGAACAGCCAAGTGGGAGAGTAAAGATCTGCCGAGAAGGGCTGAAGGGTAACTTCTCAAAGGGCTGCTTTACTTGCATCTGAGGGTGTGTCTGTGGCTTTTGGCATCCCCTTGTGGTACCCACACTCCTCCAGCCTGGCCTTGTGCCACTCCTGTTCTGGCTGACTGTGCTGTAGACCCAATGGCCATCTTTTAGTTCCTAGAATATGCCAAGCTCTTTCTGTTCTCAGGCTCTTTCACAGGCTGTTCACTGTGTTTGGAAACCACTTTCCTCCTCTTCACCTCTTGGATTCGTTCCCATCCTCTAGCTGCAGTAACATTTCTTTGCCTTCTCAGATCCCCCCAAATTAAATTATATGTCCCCAGTATTGTGTTCTATTTTTCCCAATTTGAAAGTTTATATTGATGTGGGTCTGTAATTATTTGTTTAACGTTTGCCTTCTCCACTAGACTATATGCCTCCTGAAGGTAAGGACATGGTATGGCTTACTTATTGTATCCCCAGCACCTGCATAGCATGAGACACATGGTAGATATTCAATAAATATTTTTTGGATCAATGAATGGATGAAAGAAAATCCTAAATTTGGGCAATGAAAGTGAGGAAGAGAGGATAAATTACAAAGGAAGGTACATTGCTTTTGCCCTTTAGTGAATTTATCAAACTAAGTCCCCATCCTGTGAGAGGTTTTTGTTTTTGTTTTTATTTTTATTTTTTATTTTTTGTTTGACTGGGCGGCATTGACAGTTCAAGACAAATATGATCTGGGAGGTCTTTGTGTAGAGTAATCTAGGCTTCTTCCTATTTTTGCCTTGTTTAGCCTCACACATATGGATGCAACCAAGGAGTGCCACTCTCCCAAACAGCTCCCTCTGCAAGCCCTGGGCAGTATTTGTGAACTCCATTATTTGCCCACTGTTGTACCAAGTTGCCCATCTTTCTTACCACCTCTGCTACTCTTCTTGGGGGCTCCCCTGTCTAACGTTGAAGGAGGGGCCCTTTAAATCAGCTGAGAGTTCCCTCTGTAACCACCATCTGTCTACCACTTTAAACTCACACTTTCATAGGAAACCTTGCTTTTCGGGTTACCCTAAGGTTCATTTTTATTGACAGTAAATGCTTCTACTGATGTGGATCTTTCCAGAGATGGTTAAGGACCCTTCTTATTTATTAGAAAGAAAAAAATGCCCATCCATGGTTCATGTACACATGGCACCTTCCCGCTGTCTCCCATTCTCAGCTCCATAATGGATTTAGGAGACAAACCACCTGTGTCATGGTCATCCTATTTCCCACTATAGGCTTTTACCTTGACCTATTAACTTGGCAGGAAACAGCTAAGAAGAACCACCTGTCTGCAAAGAAGCGCAGAGTATGGTATGGTAAAGTTGGATCTGTGTTGCCTCCCAGATCTCATGTTGAAATATAATCCCCAATGTTGGAGGTGGGGCTTGGTGGGAGGTGATTTTGTCATGGGGACGAATCCCTCATGAATGGCTAAATGCTGTTCTCATGACAGTGAGTGAGTTCTCACACCTCCCCACGTCTCTCTTGCTCCTGCTCCCACTATGTGAGATGCCTGCTCCTCATTCACCTCTTTCATGAGTAACAGCTTCCTGAGGCCTCCCCAGAAGCAGATGCCAATGCTATGCTTCTTGTACGGCCTGCAGAACCATGAGCCAATTAAACCTCTTTTCTTTAGAAATTCCCCAGCCTTAGGTATTTCTTTATAGCAATGCAAGAACGGCCTAACCCAGTGTCTGTTTGATTCTGGCTGCCACGCCTTCTCTAAGGGGAAAGACTTCCTCCTAAATCATCTTTGGGTGGCCACTCATCAGGAAACCACAGTATATACCTATTTTCCCTTTCATCCTACAGTAGCCTGACCATTCAGAAGGAGGGAAATCCTCTTTTCTTCTGTCACCCTACCATGTGCTTATATGCTGTCAGTCTCCCAGGCAAGTGTGCAGGTCACCTGAGGTTGTTTGTATCATAGCTTCCTTAATCCCAGAACTACTTTAGAGCAATGAGTTACTAGTATGGACAGAGAGTTTAATTTGTCAGTTTCTTGGAAGCATCAATCCTTTTACAACATAACCTAATAACAGTTCAATCATTTTTTTTCATGTGAGGAAATGAATTTTCTGATAAATAACTTGTTAGGAAGTTGTTTGAAATTTTTGGAAAGGGTTAGGCTGAAGAGACATGTTCTTCTGCTTAATAAGTTTGCAAAGTGCTGGAGTAGAATTTTCCCTGATGATAACACAACTGTTGGAGTCATAATCATGCCTGCTTCTTAAAAACCATAGTGCTATACTGTACTCTGCAATACTCAGGATGGTGATTTAAATAACTGCCTTGAACATAGAGTACTTCTGAAGCACAGTTGATTATGAATTTCCAGGCTTGAAGCTCTTAGAACTCAAAATATAATCCTAACACATTTTATTCTAACTACTCTTATCAGTATTTTTATGGATCATATTATTTTTCGCTCATTTGGAAGTGTGGTTAAGTCCATAATACCAGCACCGAGGGGGGTGGATAGCAATATGAACAACCCTAAATAATGAATTATGTAAAAGTCAATGAGAAGCTCTCTGTCTTGTCATGTAGCAGATCTAACCTATCTATTTATGCTCCGCTTGGGCTAACATTAAAGTCAGTTTACAATCCTGGAACAGATACTAATGACTGCTAAGGTAAATGGTGTGCAGATGTTTTGTATTCCTCGTAACTCAGGATGGCTCCCTATTTTTTTCCAAGTCTAGCACCCTACCATTTCTCCATTTTTCCTGAAATGCCTTGATTCATCAAGCATCATCTCATTGCTCTTGCATCTTCAGAGTTCTACTCTCCATGGATTCTTTCTTCTAAACCTATAGATATATCCCAGTGTCCACAAATCTAAACAATAACACACATGCACAGTAATTCTTCTTTTGAACTTGATTTCTCTCTAAGCCGTCTCAGTTCTCTTATTCTGTTGCTGCCAACCCTCTTGAGATCATGATGTATGCACTAAGTTTTCACTTAACTTCTTTGGTAAGCTCCTAGAAACTGCAACTTTAAGCAAAATGACATATAACAGGTCCTCAAATAATTTTTTTTGTTGTTTAATGTTGTTTTGTTGTAATGTTGAAGAGAAAAAGATGGCTTTGTTACATGTTATTTCGCTTAAAGTTGCAGGTTCCAAGAACCTGTCAACAAAGTGAGAAATTAATATTCTGCTTATTACCTTCACTTTTTTCATGTTTTACTCTCTTTTCATGTATTTAAAATGTGTTTTCACCTTCCCTTCTCAATTAGTTTCCTAAGACCACTGTAACAAATCACCAAAGTTGGTGAGATAAAACAACGTAAATTACAGTCTTACAGTTCTTGAGGCTGGCATTCCAAAATCACATTCACTGGACTGAAACCAAGGTGTCATCAGGACCACATTCCCTCTGGGAATTCTAGGGAAGAATCCATTTCCTTGCCTTTCCCAGCCTCTAGAACTGCATTCCTGGCCACTTTCAGCTCCTAATGACCATCTGTCTTCCTTGGCACTTGGCCTCTTCCTCTGTCTTCAAAGTCCACAGCATAGCATCTTCAAATCTCTCTCTCTGCTGAGGTCATTGTCTTCCCTTCTCCCTTCTGTATTAACTCACTCTCTCTGCCTCTTTCCTATAAGATACCTGTGATGGCATTTAGGACCCACCCAAATGATCTGGGATGATCTTCTGATTTCAAGATCCTTAACTTAGTCAAACCTGAAATCTTTAGGGGTCATTATTCAGCCTATCACACCTTCTAAGAAGAAATCTGTTCAGACTCCTAACCACAAACCTGATGGCCATTTCTCATTATTTTTCTGTGCAGTCTTTAGGTAGCATCTACCATGACCTTGCCTTCTTGAACATCTGTTCATGTCTGGCTTCTGTGTTATTACTCCCATTTCTCTCATGACCGTACTGTGTCTTTTTCTTACTCCTAAATGTACACTTTCTCTAATGTTCTCTCCTTCATTTTATTTTTCTTGCTTTCTGTGCTTTCTTGCTTGACAATCTCATCTGTATCCACGACTTCTCGATCTTCAACTTTTGGTCAGATCCTGTTTTGAGATTCAGCTCTCTCTTCTAGCTGGTGCTGAATTTTCACACAGATGGTCCTGAGGTTTAGAAGGAAGACTGAATTCATTACCCAGCCTTCTAATCCTCTTCTTCCTCCTTAATCAGCATGGCAGTTAATGACTGCAACATCCCGAGGATAATAACACTTCTTTCTCTTTTTCTTTGTCTTCACCACTACCTTATTTCAGGCCCCAGTTGCCTCTGGTATGAACTGTATCCTTCATTTCCTAACAGATTTCCTCTCTGTGGTGCTTAGCCATTCTTTGCCTCCAGAATCAGCTTTCTAAAGGCTAGCTGTGATTTGTGTAAGGTTTGTATTAAAAATCCTTAGTCTCGGCCAGGCACGGTGGCTCATGCCTGTAATCCCAGCACTTTGGGAGGCCAAGGCAGGCGGATCATGAGGTCAGGAGATGGAGACCATCCTGGCTAACATGGTGAAACCCTGTCTCTACTAAAAAGGCAAAAATTAGCTGGGCGTGGTGGCGCGTGCCTGTAATCCCAGCTACTCTGGAGGCTCTGAGACTTTGTCTCAAAAAAAAAAAAAAAAAATCCTTAGTCTCCCCTCCTACCTCTTCCCACCAGCATGTTCTGATTAAAAGCCAGACCTGTGGCCTTCATGGTTCTCTCCAACTTGATTTCAAGTGCAACTTACAGATATATCCTTCCCCTCTGTACTCACCTTGGGCTCCTGCTACCACTTGCCAAATATGTGAACTTTGTGTCTCTGCACCACTGCTTATTCTATTATGTCTGATTCCTCTGTCATCTTTATGAAAATCTCTCAGTACAGTCCTCAAGGCAAAGCATAATATGCAAAGGCATGACAATTAAATGTATTTTAAGTTTAAATAATTTTTTGATTTTGTCCATGAGTTGTCACTGCAGAGAGCTAGGATTCTCTGATGGGCCTCAGGAAGTCATGCTCTTATCAGAACTAGAGGTTGTGACTTAATTTGTGTTAGTGAAAGAAAAGTGTTACTTAGCCAAAGTCCTAGTTTAAATAGTTCATTTCACTCATTCATTCTGTCTTTATCTTCTATGTGCACTTCACAGCTCTTATTGAATATCTGCCATGTGCTGGATGCTGTTCTGGGAACTGGAGGGTAAATTAATAAGCAAAGCGAACATGGTCTCTGCCCTTCTGGAGCTTGTAGATTAGTGGGGAAACAGTATTAATCAAATACAGTCAGGAGTCACTTAATGATGGAGATATGGTCTGAGAAATGCATCGTCAGGTAATTTTGTCATTGTGTGAACATCATAGAGTGTACTTACACAACCCTAGATGGTATAGCCTGCTACATACCCAGGCTGCATGGTATGGCCATTTGCTCCTAGGCTACAAACCTGTACAAGTTACTGTATTGAACACTGTAGGCAATTGTAACACAATGATATTTGTGTATCTGAACATAGAGTAGGTACAGTAAAAATACGATATTATACTCTTATGGGACCACTGCTCTGTGTGTGGTTCATCATTGATGGAAACACTGTCAGTGCATGACTGTGCAGTAAAAGTCGATGACATCTGTTTCAAGTGCAAGAAGAAGAGGTGCTCAGCTTCATTGGAGGGTATCAGGAGGTGCTGACAGAGTGCAGGGGTTCAAAAAAGCCTTTTTTAAGGAAATAATGAATGAAAAGCAAATGGAAGTGGGACATTCTCAGAAGACCTGATCCACATATTATACAGAGATTAATTTGGGAGAAAAAAACTCATCTCTGATATACATTTAGCACTACAAGTTGGGAATGTGCAGGTTGTTAAATATAGAAATTATATCCTTTAACTGCATATCTGAGGATACAAAACTATATTAGGGCCAAAAGTGGAAGAGGAATCATAGTAATTTTACTGGATATATGGAGGTGTAAATGTCTCTGTAAAGATAACTGGAATTCCAAAAATAGCTTTGTGAGAAAGGTTGGTATGTTTTGCTTTTCCAAAGTGTGTTGTTAAATCATTCCATAGGAACAATTCTTACTTCCTCTGGAGCACTTGGCTTCCTCATTGTTTACTCAACACCTGCAAAACAGCTTGTTCCCTTTTTATTTTAGCCCCAGAATTCAGACTTAAGTGTTAATCGTGCCCCTCATTTATCATCGCTGTCATCATCAGTCTGCACACATCTCCTTTCACTTTTTTATATATTTTCCTCTTTCTTCCTTGATTCTTCTGCCCCCCCCAACCTATCTCTTTGTATATAGATATATTCTATTCAATACATCTAAATGTGAGTTTGCTCTTCCACACAACCTGCTCTCTCTCCTTATTTCTAGTCTCACGGGTCAGAACTCTCCTATTGGGTGTGAGTGATTCCACCTCTGAGATATCTCTGGACTCCGCCCTTCCCTCCAGCCATCCTGCTACGCCCTGATTCAGACGTTTCCTGTCCATTTCCTGGTCTATTGTAAATGATCTCTCTAAGTGGTCTCCCTAACCTCAGTTTTATTTTTTTGCCAAATGTGGCCAAGATGACCTTTCTAAAATACACATTTTTAAAACTTTCAATGGCTCTTCATTTTTAATGAAAGTTCTTAAAATGGTATCAAAGCTCTTTTTATTCTGACCCTGACTGCACTCCTGGTATCGCTGTGCCCTGTTCATAAGCACCCACTTTCACTACCTATTAAGCTACTTCTAGTCTTCTAAATGTCCTTCTTGCTTCTTGCCTTCATGCCTTAGCACATGGAGTTCAAAAGGCAAAGATGGCCAGAAAAAGATACTTTGACTGTAGAATCTGGCAAGAGCAAAGGCACAGAGGACAGTCAGGTAAAGAAGGTTTAGGAGAGTGTTTCTAAAGAGTAACCAAGAATAAAAGATTGACATTTTAAACTATTTCTATTAGAAAAAGCCAGTAGAACCATTAGGATGGGGCACAGTCCCTACCTAAAAGGATTAGGGAATGGGAGAGTTTGGGAAGATAAAGGGGAAATCATTGAAAGTTTTTGGGAAGGGGAATGATATGAGTGGAGCTGTTGGCTGGGTATGTCCTGTGAGTGGACTGCATGGAGAAGACATTGCCAGTGAAGTCAGTAGGTTATGAGCCTGTTGGAACAGTTCATGGTATAACTTTTCTTTTCTTCTTTTTTTTTTTTTTTTTTTTTTTTTGAGATGGAGTCTCACTCTTGTTGCCCAGGCTGGAGTGCAATGGTGCAAACTCGGCTCGCTGCAACCTCTGCCTCCTGGAATCAAGAGATTCTCCTCCTTCAGCCTCCTTAGTAGCTGGGATTACAGGCACCTGCCACCACACCCGGCTAATTTTTTTGCATTTTTAGTAGAGACGGGGTTTCACCATGTTGGCCAGGTTAGTCTCGAACTCTTGACCTCAGGTGACCCATCTGCCTCAGCCTCACAAAGTGCTGGGATTACAGGCATGAGTCACCACACCCAGTGATGGTATAACTTTTCAAGTAATAATATTTAATCTAAGAGACTAAAAATTTTGGTTGGGGTGAACTTAGAATTTACTACCACTGATTAGAGAACAACCAGGAGCTTATCTTGAAGACACCCATGGAATGTGTTTTCATATCCCAATGAATAAACTATTTGACTTTTTCCCTTTTAAAATGCCTCAGTTTGAAGGCCTCCTAGAGTTTGTCTAGCACATATGTGTAAAAACTACAGATTGGGTAGGAATTTATCACTCAGTTTTAAATTGGTTTATATCTAATCATATGTTGTTTAATTAACACACTTCATGCTACACTTAATGCTTTGTATAGTCACAAAACATTAAGAATGTTGATGTCAATATTTAAGAACATGATCAAGAGCAGAAGTTTTAATAAACCTTCAAATTTATTTCAAAAAAATTTGTGACGAATCTGTAATTTGGCAAGCAACTAATAAAAATTCTTATGTAAAGCAGCAAGATCTTACCAACACTTCAAAAATCAGTGATAAGAAGAAAAAAAGATAGCAATGATCATATTCCTTTTATGATTTCATTGATTGGGATGAAGCCTATTTTCAGCCCCAGTGTGTCACTTGTCCACTTTATCCCAAGGCTCTTTCACTTTATTTACAATCAAAGCTCAAACGTTGTAAAAATAATCCAGTTGAATTTTATAAAGGCAAACATTTTAAATAACGAAAGCATTTTAAAATCCATTTTCAATATTGAAACACTTGTGGTATGAAGATAACCCTGAGAGAGATGGAGCAACTGTGGGCCCAGGTGAGCTGGGTCTGGGGCCATCAGGTTAGCTTACTTATGGCAGTGCTATGCCTCCAGCCTTCTTCTTCCTGGAAAGTGACCTTGCAGAAAGGGTGATGGCTCTCAATTAACATTACCAACAACCCTGGGCTCCCAACTGGGACTTCCACTCTTGAAGATGTTACTGATCACTCTACTGGTATCTTGACTATTCTGCTTCTGTCAATATCCTTTTCTATAGAAAGCCTGTTTAACTCATTCATGTTGTAGCTGGGGTCTAATTTTTTTGTCAGTCTTAGTCTACTGTTGACATGGCCAATTCAGGGACAGAGCATTATAATGTCAGTTAAAAACATGTGGATTGAATCATGCTGTCTCTCAAATAATTAACTTAAAAAATTTAATAGTAAGTGTTATTTATTAAACGGTAAGAAATCAAGATTTGTCTTCATATCTTGAAATAGGATTAAGTGCATCAAAATTCATAACTCATTTAAAATGAAAATGTGCATTTTTACTTAATATCACTTATATGTCAAACAAAAATGATTAAAGTTCCCATGGAAGAGGACAAAAATTATTTATACACACAAAAGTTGGGTCATACTGGCTCCAGGAAAAGACAATGCTACTTGGAAATGAAATGAGTGCCTGGAGGTGGGAGACCTTTTCAACAGTATTACATTTCAGAAATATCTAATAAAGCATCTAAGGGACGATCTCATGCAGGTAATTAGTAAGATTAGCGTCCAAAATTCTCCTATACATTATTTTGTACAGAAGCAATGCTAACTGCAAAATCATCACAACATACTCAGCCCAGTGCAAACACAGTGAAATGCTGTTCTTACAATTTCAATGTGCCTGTTGTCCTAAATGTGATTTCAATTTTAGGCAATTTGACAGGAATAACTAGCATTGGTATAATATTGTTGACATCCATTATAATAAATGATTTGCACTGATGCTAAATGTATCTCCAACTTTCATGCTTTTACCCACTTTCAAAGAGCTTATGAAAATTTGGAAATTATCACTCTAAAATAAGAATAAAGATATCCATTAACAAAAGAACATCTTGCAAAGTTAAACTTTGTTTTTTAGGGCCCCACAAATTGGCCATGGAGGGTAGAAAGATCAGAAAGAGGTAGCTCCACCTCTGTGAGGACTTCAGAGTCTAATCAATAAATGTAACATTTTTGCACTTTTGCTTCACCTAGAACTAGAGATTACATTTAAAATGCTTTTAGAAAAATTCTACTTTTCTTCTAGGAAATCAGACCTAGCTTTTAGAAAACACTGCAGCTGATGTTCAGTTTTTGAAAGCAAAAACCTTTCACTGAGGACAATGATATGAGATGTATTATAGTTCTTGATAAGCACAAAGCAGATTTTTGAATTTAAGGCTGGGGAATGGGCAATGAGTGCTGGAAATAGTGGAAAGAAGACATCAGCTAATTACGAAGTGTTTTAATCATGAAATGTACCTGTCAAAGCTGGGCTGAGAAGTGACAAATCATATAAAATATATTAGCCACTCAAAATTAATATTCCCACTCATCTGCAAAAAGAAATAGAAAAGTGAAAAAGCCTGATTTCATCTTTCCGAATAAGATAGCACCTCTAGTAGGGGATCGCAAAGTCCAGAATTAATTTGGGTAGTTTCAGGAAAAATAAATAAAGAAGGTGGAATGTCTGCAGTCCCTCCTGAAATTTAGTAAATGAAATCCATCTTCACTGGAAGAATATTACATTGCTTCAATCACTTTTCATGCTTCATACATCTGTCTCTTCCACTGCAAAAGACTGTCTGACCCCTTGATAATGTTCTTATCTGATCTGACAATCCTTTACCACTTTAGAGTCATTTAGAACATTTTGAACATCAGATTGCTATAGCACTAAGTGGACTTTTGATCAATGGTGCTGATCGATCTCATTTGATTCTGATTGCCCATGCTAAACACATCAAAATACTGGGTAAAATATTTTAAAATAGGCATTAAGTTATAAAAATGTATTGAAAACACATAGAGAAGTTTAAAACAAGATAAATGAGATCTCCCTGTGCCTGAGATGAGGCAGGAATCTCCAGGGGTGAAAGGAGTTGAATCTGCCTGATACACGTCTCAGATATTAGGGTAGACTTTTTAAAGGGAACTGGAAATATTTGCTCACCAACTTAGCATTATGACTAAAAGGGAGCTGTCCACTCCAGGCCAGTAGTGTGAAAAAAGATGTAAAAACACCCGGATTTTCATATGTGGATGTGAGGGCCACATTTGTGAATGTTTTGTCATGGCCCTACTTTGGTGACTCCAAGTAGATTTGATCTTGCAATATCAGGATCAGCTCCATGAAAGCTTCCAGAAAATTTCATGTGCCCTTAATTCCTTGAGATGTGTCATTTAACATGCACCCTTCTGACCAGCTTAAACTTTTTTTGAAATCATGCATCCCTAATGCTATAAAAACCTTTTCTTGGACAATCTATGATCTTTATCACTTCAGTATTGTTTCTGCCCTGTTTTCTTACCCTTCTGGGCCTCCAGTTATATGTATGTTGGATCTTTGCGTCATGCCTTATATATCATTTATATGCTTTTCCTGTATTTTCCATTGCTTTTGCTCTCTTTGTTTCTGCCTGTTTTTGACCAACCTATCTTTGAGTATTAATAATTATTTCTTTTTCACGTCTGGTTTTCTAGTAATCATATGAATTTAACTCTTAAGTGTAGTTGTTAATTTTTTGTAAGTCCAGCACTGTTGGTTAATTCTTTTCCCAGTTATCTGGAAAAAATTCTTCATTTCTCATTTATTATCTGGAATTATTAATCATAAATTTATAAAATTCCAATATCTGATAATTCCAATAGATATTTTACCTGTGACTCAGCTTTTATTGTTTATTATTTTTCTTTGAATCCTATTTCTTGGTGTGCCTAGTTCTTTTTATTGAATGTTGAGCATTGTGTGTAATGCATTGTAGAGGCTTTAGGTGATGTTATCTTCCTCCAGTGCATATTCTCATCATCTACTAGGCAGGAAAAGTGGTGGCTGATCATCTTAATCCCATCAGAGACTAAGTTGACTGAGGACTGGTTTGGAGTTTTCTTGGTTTTGTTATTTTAAGACTTTGTCTGAGTCTGATTTGTCCTCACTCCTAGGGTTTATTACACCAGATTCAAATCCTGGGGTATTTGTTAGAGGCCTGTTAAATTATATTGAATTCTACAGAAAGACCAAAGATCAAATAGAATCTATCTTATTGTAGAGAATTGCTTGCTAGAAGCCACTTCTCCCCTTTTCCTACACACTTCTCACCTTATTGAGGTGTTCCCAATGAACTGTTTTAAGCTTTGACTGTTCATTTGAATGAAACGGGTCACTTTAAAAATTACTCAGGCCCAAGTTATTCCCAAAACTAAGTAAGAATCTCTTGGGGTAGGGCTCAAGCATCAGTAATTTTTTAAAGTTCTCCAGGTAATCCCAAAGTGCAGCTGAGCTTGAATGCCACTGTACTGGTCTTCCAGAGTAATCACAGTGAGATTGGCTTCTGCGAGTCATGTGAGACACAGAAACATAGTCACCTACCAAATATTTTTGTTATGTGTGTGTAAAGCTCTTCTAGTTGCTTTGTTCTATTCTTCAGTTTTTGCCCATCTTTACTCAGCACAATTCGTGCCAGTGCTAGGCTAAAAAGAAATCTATATGAAACAAGATCATTTTTCCTTCCTAGTGGGTGGAGATGGACTCGTAAGTAGTAAATCCACAGTATGAGAAGTGCTATGACAGAAATAAGCACAGGATGAGGTTCTTGATCTAGGCTTGCTGGAGGAGACCTGGTGAAGAAGATGGAGTAATTCAGGCAAAAAGCAAGATGGGGCTGGGCACGGTGGCTCACACCTATAACCCTAGCACTTTGGGAGGCTGAGGTGGGAGGATTGCCTGAGCTCAGGAGTTTGAGACCAGTCCGGGCAACACACTGAAACCCCGTCTCTACTAAGATACAAAAAATTAGCCAGCTGTGACAGCATGCACCTGTAATCCCAGCTACTCAGGAGGCTGAGACAGGAGAATCACTTGAACCCGGGAGGTGGAGTTTGCAGTGAGCTGAGATCGTGCCACTGCACTCCTGCCTGGGCAACAGAGAGAGACTCTGTCTCAAAAAAAAAAAAAAAAAAAAAAAAGCAAGATGGGAAGAGGTCCCAGTGGTACAGATAAAAGAAACATATAGGCAAATCCTTTAGGCAAAAACTATAAGGAATACTTAGGGAACTGCAAGATCCCATAATCACTATGTTTGCTCTTCCCACTCAGTCATCACCATTTTACAAATTGTGTTTTCTGATTTCTGTATGTATCTCACTTGCTATATGCCATTTGTGTTTCTCTTGATTTTTATCACCTATTTGGATTCTGAATGAGTCAGTTTGGGCTTTCATTATTATTATTATTATTTTTGCATATTCTGGTCTGATTTGTCATTTTGATACATGTTTTTATTTTAACCTATGACACCATCTTATACCTTATATTATTCACATGTGACTGTTTGAAATTATTTCTAATTCATCTGTACGATGTAAATTGAACACCTACTATGCACTGGACATAACTCTAGGTACTTGTGATATAGTAAGGACGCAGCAGTAAACCAAACAGGCAAGAATTTCCACTCTCACAAAACTTGTACTAATTGAAGAACAAGCTTAACAACTTTTGGTCACTGATTACATGATGTATTTTGGAATCACTCCCCTAGGTTGTATGCCTATCTTGGTTCACCATCTCTCATCTTGGTTTTGCACTGTGTATGTAAGATCTACTGCTATTTGTGTTCTTGATGAGAAAATCTCTCATGTGTTCTAAGCCAGCAATGGCAACATCCAGAACTCTCACAGGGATTAGTAGACACAGCTCATGCAACCACCTTTTTATAAATAAAGTTTTATTGGAACACAGCCATGCTCTTGTGTTTAGGCATTGTCTATGACTGCTTTCAGGCTATACCAGCAGAGCCAAGCAGTTGCAACAGAAGCCATATGACCCATAAGCCAAAAGTACTATCTGCCTCTTTAGAAAAGTTTGCCAACATCAATCTATTCTAGATTATTCACTGTTGTCTTTTAATTCCATTCCCGTGAGCCCTCATTCTGTGGATGCCTTATCTTGCTGTTGGTTGTTCTGTGTGTTAGAGGGGAACACATACTCCCCACTTCTAATGTTTCATGAGCATGGAAGAATCCTAGAGTTCATATCCTTGACTCTTTGTCTCCTCTCTGCTCCTTCCCTAGGGAATGACTTACCTGACTGAAAGAAGGACCTAGACATGTATGGCTTAGCTCCTTCTCTTTCCTTCTTTTGAATCCACGTGCCAGTGGAGAGGTGCATTCTTGACTGTTCTTTCTACCCAGGAGAAGCTTAATAGAGAAGATCCTACCTCTATTGCATAAGTCTGAAGTTTGAGAAGAAAGTTTAATCAAACTTGCGTTTTGGTGAACACATGCGTTCACCAAAAAGCATTAGGACTATAAAAGAGACATTGGAATCTTATCTGCCTGATTCGTTCATCTATCTTTCAATTGGTTCTAAACTTTTGGGAAAAAATAAAATGTCATTTATTGAACCCTCCTTATAAGTTCACATTCTGGTATATCAGCTAGTGGCCTTGATAAATAGATAAGGACTAGAATTTGAAGAGCAAAATACACACTGATGAGTTCTGAGAGTGACTTTAGGAAGGCAGGACATGTAGGATTTTAGCCTTGGTGGGACCTAGCCACTTACGGAGGCTTTGTCTGCAAGGTGGCTGTTTCTAAATGGTGTGAATTTTAGCAAACTCTTGTTACAGACTGCCTGCATCCCAGCAAATACTGGCCACTGGACATTTCAGTAAGCATGCAAAGCTGAAGTGAAGTTTCAGTTAAATGGCAAAAGAGTCCTTCTGTGAACAGGCTTCAGTATCAGGATGCTAAAAAAAATTTGCTGCTTTTATTCAGTTTTTCAGCAAGGTCTACAGGCCATGACATTAAATGCAGGTTATGCTACATCAGCTTCCAACCTTGCAGCTTGACTTTTCTTAGAGGACTTTGCTTGGGCTGTTTGGACCACCTTAACTGGAAAGAGAACTGACAGTACCTGGGAGTTATAGAAGCCCAGCTGGCCAGTTCTCTTGCCTGGAGACCAGACAGACACCAGGGTGCAATTTTTATGTCCAAATACCCTGAGGGTTCAGGCAGAGGGTAGAACTTTATCTGAAATTATATCTTTTCTCGGCCTTTCCCCTATCCTGTTTTTCCTATCCTCTCTTCATGGAGCACTTTATTCATAAATCACTTGCGTTCAAATTATTTACTCAGGTTTTTTTTTTTTTTTTTCTGGGAAAGTGACCTAAGACAGTATGTTAGAAAAACAAATGCCGCCGGGCACGGTGGCTCATGCCTGTAATCCCAGCACTTTGGGAGGCCGACGTGGGCAGATCACGAGGTCAAGAGATTGAGACCATCCTGGCCAACATGGTGAAACCCGTCTCTACTAAAAATACAAAAATTAGCTGGGTGTGGTGGCGCATGCCTGTAGTCCCAGCTACTCTGGAGGCTGAGGCAGAAGAATTGCTTGAACCCAGGAGGCAGAGGTTGCAGTGAGCTGAGATCGTGCCATTGCATTCCAGCCTGATGACTGAGTGAAACTCCATATCAAAAAAAAAAAAAAAAAAAAAAAAAAAAAAGACAAATGCATGGGCAAGAAAGAATAGAAAATGCAAATGCAAAAGAAAGGAGGCTCTTGGATCAACCAACAATAATACTAGCCCTACACGTAGTAGAGATGAAAGGGAATTGTCTAAGTAGAAGGTAAAACTGGATCTACCCAAAAGAAGTTGAAGAATAAAGAAGAAAAGAAAATTCTGGTGATACATCCCATGATTGCAGAAAAAGGTATACTAAATAAGAAATGCTATTCATAGCTCAGAACATTCAAACCTGAAGAAGGGCATTGTCTTGAGGATCACATTGTATTGGATTTTCACTAGGCTCCTAGAAGTGCTAGATTCAGTAACATCAATCAAAGTTTCAGCTCAGGAATCTTCTGAATGTGATTCTCCACTTGAGGTAAATGTGGGAACAAAGGAAATCTCCTCAAATAGGCATGTTTAACAGTCCTAACGTTTCCATAGTAAGAAGCCGTGGAAGGAACCTGAGTGGTGCAGAACTGAAAACATCTTTTCAAAAGAGACAGGGAAGGCTGTGTCACTTGGCAGAGCCCATCCTAAATACAACATTTATGTTCCAGAAACAGTGGAATCCAAGGGGAACTGCATAGTAAGGGGTTTTTAAAATGGCAGATGGAAAGATATGCATCACAAATAGGATCTGGTAAGTTAGCCTGCTAATATTGCTAATAGTTTGCCAAAAGGCAGTGGCATCTTAATACAGTGGCCTGAGAGAAAAGTTGACATGAACAGGTATGTGTTTTTCCCACATAAAGAAAGTCCAGCACCATCATAACCTCCTGGTAGCACTTTTTCCTAAGTGAATTTGTTCTCATAGATTCCAAAAAAGCTTTGCATCCTGGCTAGACTGAAGTGAGAAAGTCTATCTTCCTGCCCTCAGGTCTCACAAGTATCTCCCTTGGTTTTTGCAGCATCAAAGGTTGGGTTCTGGGAACAGAATTCTGCCTTGGTTAATTTCACTAAGAAGTCAGAGATCATTTGCATTGTCAAAATTTGGGTGTAGAAAAAATAATCTTGTATGTCTACCAACCTTTTGGATTTTTAAAAAAGAGAGCATATGAGAAGCTAATTTTAATTCTGAGGTCCTGAAGAAACCACATACATTTGCATGAAAGAAAACAAGGCAAGCAGCAGCTGCTGAAGAAACCCAAGTATGCCCAGGTTCAGAATAAGACACCTCTATCCGAGACTGAGAAAATAAAAACTTTGGAAATAATGATTATAAGACTGTAACTGGAGACCTTTGGTGTTTTGTTCTTTGAGCTTTTACTTATAAGAACTGGAACATTTTATTTTGTACTATAATGACTTTGGACATTTAACTTGCAGAAGCAAGAGAATTTGACTTTGGATGGAATTACATTGGACTTTAACTCTGTTGACTTGTAAGGGAATTTAATTTTGAGACACTAATGTCTCTGGAAAATTTACACTGGAAGGCGATTGTATTCAAATTTATGACTTATATGTGTTGGCATTTTAAAAAATGGTATATCTTGGTGTTGTTATTCAGTCTCTTTGCAGAAGCTCTGACGGGTTTAGTTAGATGTGGTGAGACATTTTGAATGAGAAATTTAGACAAAATATGGCCTTAGAGTTAATTTAATTGCTGACTCTTCTGATCCGTAGTTAGATCCTTCAAGGAGCAAAATTCAATCATATTTACCAGTTGTTACCAGAAAGATCCACAAAACAACTATAGTTAGTACTGGGGAGAAACTTATGAAGACAGTACTCTAATAGATTTCTGATCTGTCAGAAAGGTGTCACTACCCTCCTGGGTGACTCTTGGCTTGATTGTTAAATCTGATGGGCTAACAGAACAAACAGCTGAGGAAGACTAGGAGGAAATACTACTCCTTGACTTTTCAGGTTTTCATTTGGAGGTACTTCTCTAGAGCAACTCTCCTGACCTTTTGTTCCATGGGAAAGGAGGGAGGTTTCTGGTAAGTGATCAATAATCATCGATCCACATGTCTTGGTTGAGCAGAGCTAATTTGTCTGGGGATTCTCTTCTCCTTCTTTTTCTACCCCCAAACTAGTGAAAGTTGGTCTCCATGGTCTGCACACCCAAATGTTTTATCCAGTAGCTTTCTCAAGTTCTAGATTCGGGGCAGAGAGTATTGGAAAGCGCTTTTTGTTCTCAGACCCAAGACACACTTTGCAAATATTTTTGTCAGTAACAAAAGTGATATTTTGATTTGTAGTCTGTTCATGTCTCAGTGGGTTCAGAACTTGTGCAGGAAAAAGAAGGGTGTTATATATTTGACACTTTGAGACTCCCAAGCCTAGACTTTGATTTGCTGAGCCCTGGTCTTCCAGCTTGATTTCCTAACTTGATCTACTGCCTATGGCTTGATCATTTTTCTGTGGTATATTATAGAATCATATCCTCTGCCAATTGCCCTTATTACTATCCTAGTGTCAACAAGGTAGACATGACTATACTCTTTTTATTGGAAATAAAAAATTTAAAATGACTTATGAAATCTTAATGGTAAAGTGGAACGTGTTTGGCACAAGTAAATGGATAAAATAATTTTTATAGGATGGATTTGGAACCATTCATATATTAGACATAGTGCAGATGAAACATTTACCTGTTTGGTTGAATTTTTCACCTTTCATCCAAAGTTTGATATCATATAGATGTAGTAAAAGAACATTGGATTAAATTCCAACAACTGTGTGGCAGTAAATTCTCATATCATCTCTGATCTAAGCCAGTCCCAGAAATCTGCCCACATGCTGAGGCCCCTGCTTTTTAGTTTGTTCTTGATCAATTTGTAATACTTTAAAAAATGTCTTCATCCAAACTTTATAGAGAGTAAACTTCACATAAAATATATATATATAGTTCTTAGTGCTTTTTTGTGACTTCTTGTTTCCTTTCAACCTAGAAAGTAAGTCATTTTTTTCTTCATTTTGAAGAAAAATCACACCATTAGGTTTTCACATTCAAGAGATTTTTTTGAAGTTGCTAAAAGGCACTTATTCTCTCCTATTCACTACATACTGGTTGGGTGATACTGCAGTCCAAGATTTTACCTTTCTTTGAGCATATTTTTTAGGCATCACAATTCAATATGTTTTTACAGTTATGTGTTTTCATGACTCCCTGTTTGTAATCCGTTGCAATTGAATGAAGGTGCAGGAATGATCTTGCATTAATAAATAAACAAAACAAGATGAATTTATTCGATCCAGGTGACAATAATCAGAAAAAAATTCTATGTAAAAACTGGTGACCAAATTATAAGTGGATTTTTTGGTCATTTTTCTATTACTGTTATGGAAGCCAGGTACCACAGTGCAGAAATATTTAATTTCTGAGTTTTCTTCTTTACCTTTTCAGCAGTATTTTTAAAGACAAGATGCAAGTAGTTTTTAAAAGAATGATGCTTTATTAGTCAACTAACCACAGGTCTTCTTTGTACTTGAAAGAGTGGAAAATTGACTTCACATCTTTTGAGGTTTCTATGTAGGATTTACCTTTAAAGACAGAAAAAATGTTTCAAAGGCAAATACAACACAAGAATTGATAAATCTGGTTTCCTACGCAACGGAAACTAAAAGCTTGACAAATCCTTTGTCAGCTACGAGTTATATTATCAACTGAAAATAAGAAAATACAGATGAAAGCACTGCGATTTCATGCAAGTCATGACCAAAGTAACTTTATTTGTGAAACATACTGTCTTTTGTTCAGGGCATGAGCCGTAGTACTGTATGTTTGCCTTGGTAAACAGAGTGTCAGTATATCTAAGAGCAAGACATTTTACATCCACAGTCTCAGATGAATATCCCTCTCTTGATTTTCTTCATTCTAATGGGTTTTGAAATAATCATTGAAAAGTGGATCACAGCTGTAGTTGCCAACATGCAATTTGGTCAAAGAAGCTGTTTAGCTTTCATCCTGTAATCAGAGTTGACAATCTAAGAAGCATAACGGTCTCATGTTTGCTAGAGGAGGACTAATAAAAACCCCCAACAGAGTTCAAATAGACACTTAATGCCAAGTTCATCTGGAGAGCTTTTCAAGACCAACTTCTCAGGTGGTAGGTTAATGTGGAGCATTATGTGTACACCCCATCCCCACTTCTACACCCATCACACATTGGAGTGTCTTTCCGATATTTTCCCCCTTGACACAATATGGACAACATTGCATCATTACTGGACTGTTTTTTAAAATATCTGAAAACTGAGACAGATTAGAGTGACTACTGAACTCTCAATTTACACAAATCAGTATAAACGTGCCCATTTCCAGCCCTGAATCAGTACAGAGAAAGATGAGTGCTTTTGTTTCTGGTAAGTTTTTCTATTTAAATATAGCACAGAAACAGAAATGGGTGGAAATAATAGATGACATTTTGTTAAAGTGCTGTTGAGACATAGCGTGAAATCTAGTAATCATTTAAAAAAATATGTCTACATATTTCAATAAATGCTTTAATAAATTTAATTCGGTATTGGGGTAAGTAATGATTGCAAGTACAACATAGAGGTGGCAAGTTGAATCTCCGGGGTCAAACAGATCTGAGTTCAAATCCAGGCTCAACTGACTACTGGCTGTGTTGTGTGATCCTTGAGTCAGATACTTAACTTTCTTAACCTTTCTTTATTTATAAAACAGGAATAAATTACTATTTTTTCTATTGTGAGGCAAGAGTTAAGACAGTGTGTGTCAAGAATAGATTTAAATTTTAGATTATGTATTTAAGTGCTTTTAATGTAAAACATGATACTTTAAAGTATTACACAAGATATTTTTAAAAATTGGAATATTGGAATATAGCCATTAATTGCCTCAGAATTTCTACAGGCTGTGATGGATACACATTTTTAACAGGTACCACAGCAATTCTCGCTTGGGTGTCTTTGGCCCTTGCTCTGAGAACCACTGTCCTAACTTTGATACTCAATGTGTGGTCCGTGGACTGGCAGCCTCAGCCCCCCGGAGGAGCTTGTTAGACAGAAATGCAGAATTACAGCCCCATCTCAGACCTACTGAACCAGAATCTGCAATTTTAGCAAGATCCCAGTGCTTTATACACACAGTAAAGTTTGGGAAGCTCTGATCTAGATGCTTCCCAGTTCCTCTGGGACAGCCTGCTGACGGAGGGGCCACAGTCACCCAGTGGCAGTGTCTGATGGCAGCTGGGCAGGGACACCGAGCAGTTCATTCCTTTCTTTCTGAAAGATGAAGGGTTTGATCAATGACTTGAGCCCTTTCAGCTCTGAAATTACCAGATTTTTAGAATTGCTGTAACATCAATTTCACCTTTCTCTTTTTCCTTTTTATCCATTTTTCTAAGCCCTTTTCACTTCTCTGGTCTAATTTCAGCTTATACTTAGCTACTCATCAGAACATAGCCATTAGTAACTTATGCGATCCCGTTCTCTGTCACTGTGAGAACAAATTCCTTCACACTTACGCTACCCCTCCTGCAGCTGAAAACTCATTTCTCTTTTGTTTTACTCTCCTTTCTTTAAATGTTCTCTGTCTGGTTTCCTATTTTATTCCCATTTCCCAAAACAAAAATGTTCATAAATATTTGAAAAAAACAAACAAATAACTCCCAATCATGACTAAACAAACCTTTGACACATTTTTAAAATAAATAAGATATAAAAGGAAGGCTAACAGGAAACCTACGCATTTATTAATTTAATCACCACTAATGAACTCAGACATCCCTATGTGCATGGTGCTGAGGCTGAGGATACACAGGTCAGTGGACAGCTCTGCTGACAACTGAGTCGTGATTTCAGATCTATAAACCGTAAGGTTCTTTTTTTATATAAACTAAGCAGAAATGCAAATCCGGAAAAGTTGAAGTTCTAAGAAAATCCGTCAAACTGTTCTACCAAAAGTATCTTCTTTCATTTTCTTTTTTCTGTTCTTTTCCCTCTCTTCTCCTCTCTTTTCCTTTCCTTTTCTTCCTTTCTTTTCCTTTTCCTTTTTTCTTCTCTTCACTTCCTTTCTTTCTCTGCTTCTTTTTCCTTTCTTTGTTTTTTGTCTTATCATACTCACTTTTTTTCCTTACCAGGTAACACCAACAGACGGCATTAACCTAGATGCAATGTAAAACAAATTAGGAATACTCATCTTTTTTTTTTTTTTAGGTACTTAATAGTGTTGCTTTTATCATTCAACATGCATAAAATCTGAATTGGGTGAAATAAATCCGCTGGACATTCTCAATCAAATGAATCTTGCATTTTCTTCTTTTAAGTTCTATGTATGATACTTCTGTGAATTAAGAGAAGGCTCCAAGGAGCAAACCGTAATTTCTGAATTGTAGCTGGTTTATCACACTCGTGATTAACATCGTATCTACATGCTTACATTTTGGCAGCCATTTAAGAAACTTTTCTCCACAGTATTTTCAGAAGTCACATATTTATGACACATGCATATTTACTTTATTGTTTTTAAGAACATCATTTTTGTCCAAAGAACACAATATGAGGCTTGTGAAGGAGCTGAGAATAATTGAGAACATGGAGAACAAAGAAAAAAAGAGGATACATCTCCTCAGGGAAAAAAGTAATGCAGAAAATAGGCACTAGTGGTTTCATAGAAACAGATGTAGCTAAATCATTGTTTTACAGACTCTAGAAAGACAAATGGAATTCCCAGCTCTTAAAACGGGAGGTAGGGAACAGGTTCCAATCTGGAGTGTAGAAAAATTTATCATGTTTCATTTTATTCTAAGACATATATTTTTTCCTCTCACATTTTAATCATCTTTAAATTGGGATGCCTCTTATGATAAATGTTCTGGTATTGTTTAATAGGAAGTATTTTCCCCCTTTCCTTTCCTCGCGGTGGATAAAGTAGTGACGTGGCTTACAAACGATGGTTACTGAGACTCAGCCAAGTACAGGTGCAGGGGTGATTTCAGTGATGCCCGGACCTATTCCGGCTCCTACCCAGAGTATTCTAGGGTTGCTCCTGCTTAGGTTGCTGAGGCCTAAAGATTCATGAACAGAGCTTATTTACTCTGTAGCCTTTAACCAGGAGTGGGCGCACATCGAGTTGTGTCAGTCAGCGATTTCTTTGTTTGAATGGGTTTAGTTGGAACTTCTGATAGATCCTGGTATTCGCAGTTCTGCTTGCTAGCTAGCACATCACAGTGCCTTATATTCACCGCTGTTTCTGATCATTAACCCTTCATCTTTTGGGAACAGACCTGTGCTTAGCTTTAAGATGGAAGACACATCTTTGTTAAGAACGAAGCCATCTAGAGAATAGAACAGTGCCCTAGCCAACAAACCTTTGCACTTAACAGAACCAAAGGCTTCTACACCTATTTCTGTGGCCACAGATTTACAATTTCTTCTGATCACAAGACTCTTGAGAAGTGTTTATCTCAGGTGAAGCCCGTACCTGAGTCATGACAGATACCACGCCGATGACATTCGAGACTTCTGCTTGTCTGTACATCCAGAAGAGCCACGTTGAGTGTTGGTGGGCCGAGTTGTTGCTTTTGTAGATACTCAATCTCTGTGCCCCCTACACTGCAAGTTTTATATTGGAAGAACTCTCTTTTATATCTTTTCAAACAGCTAGAAACTTTGGTGCAGTTTAAACTGGAATGTAGAGGGTATATACCTAGGAGAGAAATTGCTGCCTCATGGGTTATATGTACATCCCGCTTTAGTCACGTTGCCAAGTTGTTCTCCGCTGTGGGTTTACCAGCAATATATAAGAAATTCGTTTGCCCCATATACCCCACCGCCATCCTTGGAATTGCCTATGCTTTTCACTTTAGCAATTTTTGGATTTGTGGTGCCATCTCATTGTGGTCTCAGTTCGCATTTGGCTGATGACTAATATACCCATTTATATTCTTATTGGCCCATTTGGATATCTGTGTGTGCATATATATATGATTTTTTTCTTCTGCCATTTAAGCATTTTGCTTGCTTTTCTACTTGGTTACTGTTCTTATTGACTTATGGATGCTATTTATAGAAGTACTCTTTCTGTCTTATATGTTGTTGTGCATTTTTTTCTCTCACCCTGTGGCTTGCACTTTTACTCTTTTAATGGTGCATTTTGATGTAGCCCAATCTGTCAGTTTCCCCCTTTATATTTAGTGTTTTTTGGGTACTATTTAAAAAGCCATCCCCTACATTGGAGTCATGGAGATATTCTCTCACATTATTTTCTCTTTTTTTTTTTTTTATATTCTCACTCTTTCGCCCAGGCTGGAGTGCAGTGGCATGACCTTGGCTCACTGCAACATCCGCCTCCCAGGTTCAAGCGATTCTCCTACCTCAGCCTCCCAATTAACTGGGATAACAGGCATGTGCCACCATGCCCGGCTAATTTTTGTATTTTTAGTAGAGGCGGGGTTTCACCATGTTGGCCAGGCTAGTTTTGAACTCTTTACCTCATGTGATCCACCTACCTCGACCTTCCAAAGTGCTGGGATTACACGGCTTCTTACATTATTTTCTGGGAGCCTTATAATTTTACATCTCACATTTAGTTAATCATTCCACCTTGTTGTGAAAGCTGACTTATGCCTCCCATATCTCACCTTCCTCCTACCTAAGACAGAAGCCTCCTTCTTCAAGCTGTTTAGGAGTACTGGTGACTTGCCAACTTGCAGTTGGGCCTTCTTTGGGTTTTCCCCTCCTGTAGCCTCCAGAGAGAGTTGCCTTGTCCCAAGTTCTCCCACTTCCCCAGGAGCAGCCTGCATCTGGTGATTGTTCAATGGATAGTGTAAAGACTTGGCCCCATTACCTAAATTCTGGGCAGTTCTGCAGGTTCAACTCAGCTCCAGAGCAACTCCTGTGGCCTCTGTTGCAACTGCATTGCAGTTCAACCCTCCCTTTGACTAATCATCTTTACTTCCTCATTTTTCACCTTTATAAATCATGTTGCAATGGATGAAACTTTCTAGGAAGATAAACTTTCCTTTTTTAAAGATTACTTTTTTTTGAAAATTAATTCGATGATATGTATTTACATACAATGAATGTGGTCATTATTAGAGCTATTAAAATGTTCAAAAAATTTTTTAATCATTCACTGATTTTTAACATTTTACTTTTTTAAAAAATAAACTTTATTTTTTAGAACAGCTCTAGGTTTATAGCAAAATCTAGCAGAAAATACCAAATGCTCCCATGTACTTCCTTCTGCCCACACATACACAGTCCCCACTACTATTAACATCTCCAGCCAAGGGGGCACATTTGTTAAAATCAATAAGCCTACATTGACATGTGATTATCACCTAAAGCCCATAGTTTACTTTAGGGTTCACTGTTGATGTTGTACCTTCTGTTGGTTTTCATAAAGGTATGGTGATATCCATCTATCATTATAGTGAAGCATAATATTTCCCTGATCCCTTTATGGGACTCACAAAGAGGGTGCCTCGTTTACTCAGCCCACAGCTCTCAACTCCTTGCGGGAGGCAGCGCGTGAGTGAATGAGGTGGGAACTAGAGTGCACAAGCACTGGAACCAGCTGGCTACTTCAGTGCTGGCAGAGGCAAGTTCTACTCACTTGGACCTGTTGTGTTCCACCCCTTGTGGGAGGGAGCGCACAGGTGAGCAGGTGCAAGTGCTGGGGTGAGTGCTTTTAGGCACCAGCGGGAGCAAACTCTGTGTGGGCCCCATAGCAGTGTCTGGCGGGGGTGCCTGTGACCCCTGAAGCCCCAGAGATAGTGTTACAGAGCTCTTTTAGCTCTGCCATCTGCAGATGGCTTAAGTGTTGACAGCTCAGTGGACTCTCTGCCTTTTCTCATGAGGGCAAAGTGTTAGTGTGACAGCTTTTTGCATTTGCACTTGCGGCTCCCAGTCATCCTGGAAAAATGAGGTTGCACAAACTAATCAAAGAATGGTAAATGTGAGAGGTTTATTGCTGACAGAGGTGGCTCTCAGCAGGAAGGGGAGCTGAAAAGGGGATGAGGCAGGAAGGTAATCTTCCCCTGAAGTACGACCATCTCTGGTTGGATTCTTCTCCAAAGTTAAACCAACAAGCTGTACCTCTGAAGTCAAACAGCTTCTCTCCAACATCCAGGTGTAGTCTGACATCCAGCTGCTTCTCCTCTCTGCTGGCTGAGTCTGGGGTTTTTATAGACACAGGGCAGGGGGCAGGGTGGGCCATGGGTGGTTTTGGAAAAGGCAACATTTGAGTGGGAAAACAGGGATATAAATTCTCACTTTGGGCTGCAATCTCAAGCTTTTCGGCTTGAGGGTGGGGCTTCGCCAGGCACTCACCCTTTTCTGCCTAGAATTTCTCTGCCTTCTGTCCCTATCAATAGTGTCACACAGAATAGTTTACCCTAATGTCACCTGTGCTCCATCTATTCATCACTTCCTCCCCTCTGTGGGTTTTTTCCCATCTCTATAGTTTTACCTTTTCCGGAATTTCATACGGTTGGAATCATACAATATGTAGCCTTTTCAGGTTGGCTTCTTTCACTCAGCAATGTGCATTTAAGGTTCTTCCATGTCTTTTCATGGCTTGATACCTAATTTCTTTTTATCACTGAATAATATTCATTGTCTGGATGTAACATATTTTATCCATTTACCAACTGAAGAACATCCGGATTATTTTGCTGCTTTGTTTTCTGAGACTAAATTTTTCTCAACCTAATAAATTAGAAAATTCTGTTTAAAAAATTGTTTCTTTAAGTAGTATCTGGCAAAATGATTCTTTTGTAACAGATACACAGCAATATTTTGTTGTAAGAATAAATGAACCAAATTTCCTCTGCTAGTCTTAATTACTGAAGTTTTACTAACAGTCAGCCCCGAGGGTTATCTGACTTCTCCCTTAGTCCAGGCTTCCCATGTGTAAAGTACACCTAAAAGAAATATTTAAATCTTTGTTGTAGCATAATGCAGAAGCATCATAGGAAGAGATAAAAATAGAACCACAGAAGGGAAAAAAGTAAACAATGGCTCAAGAAGTGGAAAAAATAAAGTTTGTTTGAATTATTCTTTCTGAAGCCAATCCTTGAGTTGTTTTCTCTCTTTTTGATTTCTGCAAACTATATAACTTTCAGTTATCCAAAGCCCAGATAATCCTTAGCCCAGTGGAGAAGAATTCTCCTGATCTTAAGGGCTGCTTAAGAAGCAACTGTGCTTTCATAAAAATCAGTTCTGATATTGTATCTTTCAAAAGGCAGGAAGAAACAGTGCAGGGCATCAATACACCATCAAAAGAGATGGCTCAGCTGGGACCCAGGTGCCTGGGGAGGAGATTTCTCACTGAGTCGGGAGGACCTGTGTTTCTCTCCTCTCTCTGCGCATGTGGTGGTTCATCTGTGCCTCTCTCTTCTATAACCTCGTGCAGCTACTTGCTGAAGAGGAATTATGAAAAGATCAAATGTGGTAACCAGTATGATGGTGAAATCCTGGACGCATGTCTTATTTGCTTCAGTGTTTTTAGTTTTTAGGATGATATGCGTTTTGGTTGCTGTCACAACTACCACCATCATCATCATCACCACCACCACCCACACCATCATTATCACTGTTTGTGTGTGTGTGTGTGTGTGTGTGTGTGTGTGTGTAGATGTGAGAGGACTGTATGTGTGCTATTGTCAACTTACACTTATATGCTGATCTTGAATAATGATACTGGTTATTTTCCTAAGTTGCTTCTGTAGAGAGGAACTAAGGTATCTGATTGATAATCTGAGAAGTAAAAACACTAATAACCTTGGCCAAGGCATGATTTGATTATCTATTTGCATTCAGGAATGTCAATCAACATTATTCTAAAAAGGGCTGTGAGACAAGGAATTTAGTCAAAGCTACTCAGTTTGGGGAAAATGTTTTTGAACCAGGGATTAGGAAGCTGGTATCAGACACTGAAAAGAACAAAAGGTATAATGAGGTGGCTTCCAGATGCTTTTCAACATTGGAGATGGGAAACTGAAAAGGAAGGAATAAAAGCAAGTTACCTGCAAGTTGTGCCTCAATCTTGGCTGGAGGATGTTTATGTCAGTCTTGGAAAATTTGGGCTCAGTAAGTCTCTTTGCTGTTGTTAGTGATATTTTAGTTTCAGAAATCTGCAGTGTGAACTTTTCCCTTTTATGCTGTTTGTGTTACTCCTGCTTGTTTCTCCTTTGGTTTCTCTTCACATTCAGCAATAAACCATTAGGAAAAATACTAGCCTGCTCTACCTGAGATGAGGAGAAAGAAAAGGTATCTCTGTCCATCCTTGAAATAGAGGAAAAAGTAAACCAACAGTTTACTTTGAGTAAGATGTCTGGGCCCAGTGTGAGAACAGGAAACACATCAATGAAAAGTCAGAACATATCAATGAAAAAAAGTAACTTGGAAAAAAGCCAGGGGGAAAGTATTCCTTTCACCATGGGCATGGTAACTCACGCCTGTAATCCTCGCACTTTGAGAGGCTGAGGTGAGTGGATCACCTGAGGTCAGAAGTTCAAGACCAGCCTGGCTAACATAGTGAAACCCCATTTCTACTAAAAAAATATATATATATTAGCCAGGCATGCTGGCATACGCCTGTAGTCCCAGCTACTCAGGAGGCTGAGGCAGGAGAATCACTTGAACCCAGGAGGCAGAGGCTGCAGTGAGCCAAGATCGCACCACTGCCCTCCAGCCTAGGTGACAGAGCAAGACTCCATCTCAAAATAAAATAAAATAAAGCAAAATTAAAAGAAAATTTTAAAAAGAATGTGTTCCCTTTACATTCAGAGATAGATAAAAGTAGTTGTGTCTGAGGGCAAGTAGGGAGTGGTGTAAGAGACGGTGTTATAAGCCTGTCTCTATTACCTGATTTTTTTTAACCCTTGTGCATATATCACTTGAAAGAAAAGAAAAAGTCACGTCTTATTTAATGGTGCCCTGAGTTTAAATCCAATGCAACTGGAGATATAAAATCTTGCATTATTTGCAGTTGTGCCAGTGAGAAAGACTTGGTAAGTGGGCTCACTCATATCTTTTTTTTTTTTTTTTTTTGAGATGGAGTCTTGCTCTATGGCCCAGACTGGAGTACAGTGGTGTAATTTCAGCTCACTGCAACCTCTGCCTCCCGGGTTCAAGTGATTCTCTTGCCTCAGCCTCTCAAGTAGCTGGGATTCCAGGTGCGTCACCATGCCCGGATAATTTTTGTATTTTTTAGTAGAGATGGGGTTTCACCATGTTGGCCAGTCTGGTCTTGAACTCTTGACCTCAAGTGATCTGCCTGCCTCAGCCTGCCAAAGTGCTGGGATTATAGGCATGAGCCATGGGGCCCGGCCAGGCTCACTCATATCTACATTATTTTTCAGTTATCCAAAGCCTAAATAACCCTTAGAAATAAAATAATCTCAGTCCGTAAGGTTTGGCTTGCTGAACATAGTGATGAGTACATACTGAGGACACATTCTAGCCCCTCGATTGTGAGTCAAACAACCTTTATTGAGTGTATTTCTGATAGTCACTGGGAAGGTGAAATGACACGCACTTCAGTCATGATGGTGAATTTATGCCACATTTTTATCTGGGGCTCCATCCTGTTAGACAGAGTCTCAAGTCTATCTCCAGAGCCTTTAGTTTTTTCAGGTGGGGCTGTGTAGCTGGAAAAGATTGTAGACTTGACTGTCAGTCTGAGAGATGAGTGGTGTGGGAAGAAAGAGTATGTCTAAGAGCGGCTGAAATCTTGATGGCCTTGGGAATCGCGAGATTAAAGGGTACTTAAGATATGGCCTTGGGAATCGCGAGATTAAAGGGTACTTAAGATATGGCCTTGGGAATCGCGAGATTAAAGGGTACTTAAGATAGTTTCCAAGGAGTAAGAATGATGACTTTGTAGGGAGATATACTGTTTCTCTGTGGCCTGGTCATGATCATGGCTGAGGAGTTGAAATATGTGAATCTTTTCTATTGATGATGATTTGCTAATTTTTACTGGAGAATTTCTGAGCTTTCCTAGAGTTACTTTTATTTCCGTGTTGACTGTGGTTTTCTTAACTCTTTAACACAGTTCTTATTTTTTGTATTTTTCTGTTCTAGAAACCATGTATGGGTGCCTAGTTTCATTCTTTTAGTAACAAATGGCTTGGATAGTCATTCAGCTAGGCTGAAGCAGTCAAGGTGCCCACAGACCAAGTGTAGTGATACCAGCCAGTGGTGGAAGGGACACTGGCTCTGTGATGAGAGACGACCACCGGGTGAATTCCTCTACTTCCCCGGGTCAATGCCTCTACTTCTCAGGCATCCATTTTTTGAATTTGAAAATGGAAATAATGCTACCTTCTTACCTCCCAATATTTTTGGGAAGGTTGAATGAAATAGTGTATAGTGGAGTATTTGCTAAATTTCCAAGGCTAAAGGTAACTATAATAAAAAAAGTAAGAGACTGGAGCACTGAAGGAGCACTTAGTGAAGTGGGAGTATACTGACAAGCAAAGGACCATTAAGAAAAACCTTTGTAAGATGTGCATCACTTGAAGAGACCCTATCTAGGGTCTCTTCCTCATAACTGCATCTTTGCAACATGCTGCTAAGTCTTCTTATAATGTTAAAAATCACTTTGTTAGATCTTACATGTATCCCTAAGCAGAATGTGCTAATTTTCTGCATCCCCAGATCATGCGATAGAGCTTTAAATGTCTGCCAAATCATGGGCTAAAGTTCCTTCAGTTTTTGTATTCAGAGCTATTAATTTCCAATTTAGAACCTGTAAATGCTTTTGCTTCATTTTCAGAGCCCTTTTGATAACCAGTGAGGATCTACCTTTAAGCGTCAAGCACCTCTTTCCAAATACCCAGAGTTACAATATACAACATGTCTTTGACATTGCTTAGAAGGGGTTATTGGGGCCATCTATGTATATTTCAGGGCTTGTAGTCTATCAGTGGACTATGCGCTTTGTTCTTTCCTTTACATATTTACTTCTCAGTACAATTCATTCAGAGGCACTTCTGTGGCAGCTCTATCAGCCGTAATACTAAAAGCAAGAAAGTTCTTGTGATGTTCAACCAATAGCTCAGGAATTCTCCTCTGTACTTATCCAAAAAAATTTGAAACTTTATTTTAATAACCATCCTCCTAAAATGTCGGGCAACATGACTGCTTTTCTTGATGCTTTGCACTTCACAATGTACTTTTAAAAAATAGCTCAAGATGTGAGTTCTTAGGTAGTTGATGTATTATTCAGAACAAATTCGTTTGAAGGTGCATCAATACTTTACTGTCGGAGCCACTATTTCACGTTTCCTTTGTTTTAGTTCACTCAGTATCTGGGTCTTAGAGTCTAGAATTCATAGTGATGTGTTCATTCTGTTGAGGAAGAGTGTCTTTTGAAACGTCATTCAAAAAAGCAGAAGGCTTGCTTTCCTTTCTTTGCAGCCTTTGCTTAAAGAACTTAGTTAATTGAGCCTACTCAGAACTTTCATGTGGCCTGAAAACTGTATCTATACCTTTCCACTGCACTCCATACTCTTGTGTTGTTTAACCATTGCCACAAGTGAGGAAGGCAACAGGATCTTCAAGATCCACAGTTTTGACCATTCACTGAGTACTGGCATTCATGTTGCCAAAGGGTTAAAGTATTTAACAGGACTCTTTATGTCCTAATCTGGAAAAATCACATTCAATAATAATTTAGAATTTGGAGTCCTCTTTAATTTTCTCTCTTGCAAATTTGACTAGCAATTAATATGAAATGGAATGAAATGGAGTTAGCATTTGTGAAAGTTCCTGCAAAAGTCAAATTAGACAAAGTAGAAGCATGTAGCCTATGCCTCATGGATATCAGCATTGAAGTGTTGTGAAGTCAGACTAAAGCAAGCTTCAAAACGTGTTTTGTTATAGCTCAGCATGGAGGCAATGCTTTTGACCTCGGCTGTTAATTTGCAAAATGACGCATCCAGAGCAGTATGGTAACCAAGGCAAAAATAGCCTCCTTCTTGGCCCCTTGCCTGAGAGCACAGCCTCAGAGTTATGTTGGCAAATTGAAGCAGTCAGCATGACGTCAGAAACCATGCTTCAGTGTGCAAGAGGTGATTGTGAAAGGAAACAGTCACCAGGATGGTTACATTTTAGGTGAAGCCACTATAAGCTGACTTCCTGCATCATAAAGAAAAACTGGGAGAAGCTGGTTGTTTTCAATTCAATAGTGTGCCTACCACCCACTAAAATCTCTGCTTCCTTACAATAACATATATTCAAGATGAGAAGTATAGATTGACTCTTTGCACCTCGTTAAGCTCATCCTCTTGTCTTCCAAGCAGGAACTTATAAAAACTGTGGTAACTGCCTGAAATTATGTCATAGTCCACTGAATAAGTGAATGCAGTTAAAAAATCTTCATAACAGTATTGTTTGAGAAGTTTTATAGCCAAGTTTTTACTTTATTCGTAAGACTTCATTGGTACAACCCGCAAGTAGCAGAGATCAATTCTTTCCACATTTCTTTTGTGTGTGTGTGTGTGTGAGAGAGAGAGAAAGAGAGAGAGAGAGAGAAGGGTCTTCAGTGTGCCTGGGAGTCATGGAAACAGCATAATTTGGCTTGGCAATGTGTTCCTTTATAGTAGAATTTTCCTGAAGATTGCAGTAAGATATTATGGAAAGAATTCTAAACTTGGTTTTGTATCTTACTATTTTGTGATCTTGGAAAGGTCACTTGGATGTTCTGATCTGGAATTCAGTTTCCTTATCTATAACAGCAGACTTGGATTAGATAAAGTCTCAACTTTCAACCCCAAACTCTGTTATATTCCACTGTACTATTAAAGTGAATATGTACAGCCTTGTGGAACAAACACATGCATGGGAGTCCGACTAACCCGGGTTTTAATCTCTGCTCTGTTCCTTATTTGCCATATGAACCTAGCAAACCTTCACTTTTCTGACGGTCGATTTCTTCATCTTTAAAATTGGAATGATAGCATTCCTTCAGGATGGTTGGAAGGTCTAAAAATAATATGTCAGAGAGATAGTATGGTCCCTGGCACAGAGTAGGTATTAAATATTGATAGTTCTAATTATTGACACTATGATAAAGGTTAGTGTTTTTTAAGTTTGACAGTGAGAATCAGGTGGAACTGAGCTTAGAGGATGTGGCTGAATAAAGAGGTGGTTGTTGAATAGGCCAAACTGTCCTGGTGACTTTAGTTCGTGATGGGGCCAGTGTTTGCAGGACATTTGTGTAACTGTGCAAGGTTCATATACTCAATGTGTGGCAAGTCAATACACTGAGACACCAAGTTGCAGCAGAGAAAGAGGTATAACTGCAAGGCAGCTAAATCAGGAGACAGGAGGAAGCCAAAAAGCTACCCCCCAAGAAATTTGGGGATAGAGATTTTAAAGGGTTTAAATGAGTGGTGGGAAGAGGTGTGGAGGTCAGTGATTTATCAAAGCATGCAGGGTGAAGTCGTGGGATAGGGACATGAAGGAACTGCATTTTTTTTTGCTGATTTGGTTTCTTGGTGAGGGTGTTCAGACTGATTGGTATCAGCCATTCGCTGGAATCCAGAATCTAAAAAACATCTCAAATAAAAAGTCTTAGGCTTCTGACACTCAAGATGTTATCTATAAACACAACGAGGAAGTTAGTGACCTATGTCCCAGCCTATGAGACTTTTGGTTAGTAAGCAGCTCCGGTGAAGTGGGTCAGAGGGCAGCTTGATTAATGCTTAATGGTATTTCAGTCCAGAGCCTGGCATCCTATTTTTATTAACCCTGTGGAAAGGAATTCATTTGGGATTGAAGACTCTATGTATTTTATTTGTTTTGCTCTTCCTGATTCCTTAAGAAAATGTTTCAAAGAAAGCCCTTCTGTCTCTCTGCTCTGCTGTTCCCCAGCTGTCACGAAGATAAACTCAGAGTCATATGGGGGTAATCGGTCCCAATAGCCAATAGGTAATTCCTGTTTGTTTACCTATATAAGTAGCTCCATTTCTCCATTTCTCACAACACCAAAGGCTCAGACTTTGGACACACTATTGTTGTTCTGTGATTTTAACCTACTATTAATAAATAATAGTTTTCATTTGTTGGGCTATAAGTTTGCCAGACCTAGTGCTTTAATACAACATACTAATAGTTCTACTTCTATCCACACAAAAGCCTGTGGGTGCTTTTGTTATTCCTTCTTCCAGATGAGGAGACCACGGCTCAGAAAGGTTGAGTAGCTTATAAATTTTATTTAGCCTAGAAGTAGGAAGAAGCCCATAATTATTTCTGAAATTTGGATTATTCCCACTAAGATTTACTATATCACATAAAATCAACAATGCAAATGTTTCTGTTTTTATGCATGAATCATAAAAATTAAATAGAACTAAAGATAGCTTTTTTCAATATTTTGAGAATTTTTAACCTCAGTTACCTCTGAGATATCTAAAGACACATAGAGGGGAACAACAGACACTGCAACCTTTCAGAGGGGGAAGGGTGGGAGGAGGGAGAGGATCAGGAAAAATAACTAATGAGTACTTGGCTTAATACCTGGGTGGCCAAACTCCCATGACATGTGTTTATCTACACAACAAACCTGCACATGTACCCCTGAACTTAAAATTAAAAAAAAATAAAGACACCCTGAATAGGTTGTCTCTCAAATAGCTTTGACACTGCTGACGGAAATGTTTTGCCAAATCAACCCATTTTAGCAATGAAAGAGCAATATTTTAAGTATCATACAGTAAAGCAGAGGTTGAATAAGGATCCAATTTTGAACTTCAAGTTTTCTATCTGCTCCTTAATCCCCAAGCTACCTGTCCCAAATTTATATGGAATCTGAACCTGTATTTCATCTTGGAATGAAAATTAAAAAGGGGGAAAAAAAGCAGTTTTAATGATGTCAAAGATTAGGACCTTACATTTTTTTAACCTCAAAATACTTTAGGTCAATTTTATACCTTCAGCCTGAAAATGTAGATGTATTTCAGTGTTCAGTTCATCCCTATACATCATGAATTTTTAATGCTAATCAAATTCTTTATGGCTCTTCATAAATCTTAAAAAACCTGAGTTGGAGAGCAAAGACATAATGCAGCTGAAGTTTATGGGTATCATCTGAGCTGAGCATTCACATAAAAAATGCTATAATCATGATTATGAGCAAATGTATTCAGGAAGAGAAAGATGGCAGACAGAACCTTAGCCATTTCAATTACTAGAAGAGAATGATCAACACCAACCCTGGTAAATGAGAATAACAATAACCAAATTCGTAAATAGGACCACTCCCTTCTGAAATGTTTCTAAAATATTAGATTGTACATGTATTTTACAAACAGGATGCTACCCTTCCTCATATGTATGTCATTGGGCAGGGCCCAATGTTTTATAATTCAGAGATTTAGAGAACAAACAACAAGCATAGTGTATGAATTAGGTTCCCGTAGCAGTAATGCAGCACAACAAACAACCTTCAAATCTCACTGGCTTAAAATAACAATGATTTATTTCTGGCTCATTGCTCTGCAGTTCAGCTAGTGTGGTTCTGTTTTAGGCTGTGGGTTGAGTTCAAGTCTGTTTCAAAGGTTCTTTGTTCTGAGATCAGTGGTTACCTGTGGCTTGTTCTTCTCATGGAGGGTGGCATACATTCAAAGGTGTAAACAGAAACATGCAATGCTTATAGCTGGGAATTGACACACTTTCACTTCCACCCACATTCCATCATTAAGGGCAAGTCACATAGCCCAAGTCCAACATCACTGGAGCATTGAAGTATCTGCTATGGCTCACCCTGTGGTCCACCATGACAAAGACAATAAGGGATGAAAAAATGAGCAATCTAGCATAAGTGCTACAATATAGCATAAACAGTGACTAAGTGTTAAGCTTTCTGAAGACACAAAGAAAGTGGAGCCATAAAGTTTACAACTGTGCTCTGAGCTGGGCATGTATCACTGCTGTTTCCAGTCACACTTGGGCTTGGCTCCTGTTTGTTTAGCTCTCTGGAAATCCTAAGGAAAATGGGTATATGGAGGGAGAAGAAAGAAAGGGGACATTCAGTGAGAGAGTTTTAACTGGTAGACTTCCATTCGTGGCAGCAAAGACACTTTATTAGATGTGCTACTGAGTCAGCTCAGCCCCAGAACTTCAGAGCTGCCCCTGAGTCTGATGATACTCTTTCATTGGCATATGTACTTCTTGAGTGCCTCTCAAGTTCATGGCACTGAGCTAGGTGCTCTGGAGAAGAAGGGAAGTAGTAGGGAAAATTAGGAGAGGATTTAGTAAATGCAGATAAGAGAAAATATGAAGTTTTGTACATGGAAAATCGTAAGGGGAGTAAAGAGGATTGATATTCAGGTGCTAACACTCCTGAGGAAAGAGGGACGTGAGAGAATGTTTTTGAAGAGAATAGGAAGACAGTAATGCAGGATTCAGTGATTCATTTATTTAGCAAATATTTGTGAGCATCTCCAGTGTTCCGAATCAGAAGCTATGTTATGAGTTAAGATACAAGGGATAAGAAGACACAGTCCTTACCCTCAAGTCACTGATGGGGAGTCGTACAAGTGGATAGGTAATTGTTAAACCACCTTTTTAGTGCAAAGATAATGAGACTATGAAGTCTTTCAAGAGTCTAAGGAAAGGTATGTAATTCAGGCCTGGGAAGTTTGTAAAAGCTTCTAGGACACTCTGACATTAAGCCAGGCTCCAAAAGGACTTAAGATGATGATATAGGCTTCAAAACAAAAATATTAGTGATAGTAGAGGAAGAAAGTCTAGAAGTAGCAAAAGGGAGCAAGGAGTTTACAGCATTCTGAACTGAATTGGTGAGAATGGAAGAAATAATAGCTTCCATAGAAAGGAAAGCCATACCATTTGGTGATGTTTCAATTATGGCTCACAGGTGCCTAAGTCTTAGCCAAGAATTTTTCCCACATATCAGTAAATCCAAGGGATAATGGAATGATCTAATAGGGTACTCAGTAGAAGGGGAGGATGGGGCTTGGTCATATAGTGTGAGAGTTGGTTGTCCTAATGTTCAGTCCATTCTTAGATTACAGAAATAGAAGAGCAGGTATCAAGTCTTTGCATGTGCTCATGAGATTCCACCTGGAGTTTTTAGTCTGGGAGTATATTAGTCAGGGTGTCCAGAGAAAGAGAACCAGTAGGATATTGTGGAGGCCAAGAGAGAACTTCCTCTTGGCCCTGTGAAGTTTGCTGGAAAGTCAACTCACAAAAGGCAGATTAATTGGAGAAAAGGCATATGAATCTATTTTACATGTATACACAGGAACCGTAAGAATGAAGACCCAAAGATGTGGGGGAAAATATCCATTTTTATGCTTAGGTTCCATAGAATATGGACAGGCCTGTAGAAATACGGTTGGACAAAACGTGTATTATCTAATGCTAATGGACCGTGTGGGGAAACTCCACAAAGCCTGTCTGTCGAGATTCTTCTTGTCCTCTCTGAGCAGCATTCCTTCCTTCTGGGGATGGGGCAGGACTCTCTCTGGAATGTGGGTCTTAGAACCTACAGTCAAACAAGGTAGGTCAAATAATTTCTCTAGGCCCAATTTTTACACAGGTAGAGCAGAGGAAAAGTTAGATCCCATTTTTCAGTTTTATGGCTGGCTTAGGGGAAAAGGAGTCCTGGTTTCCATGACTTGCCTTGGGGAAGAAGAATTCTAGTTTGTATGGCTAGCCTTAGGGAAGAATGGGACAGGGAGACAGGGGGACAAGGAAAGGTCAGAGAAAAACTTTTGCCTCTACGGCTTCATTTTGGGGTATTGTTTCTGGCCTCAATAAATACACATATTTATTATGAGGAATTGGCTCTTACAATTACGGAGGCTGAGAAGTCCCACAAATTGCCATCAGAGTCCCAGGAAAGCCCACGGTGTAATTCAGTCTGAGTCTGAAAGCCTGAGAACCAGGGGAGTCACTGGTGTAAATCCCAGTTCTAGGGCCAGAGAGATAAGATGTCCCAGCTCATGCAGGCAGACAGGAAGCAAAAAAAGTAAATCCCTCCTTCCTTCACCTTTTGTTTTATCCAGACCCTCAACAGATTGGATGAGGTCACAATGGGGAGGGCAATCTACTTTACTGAGTCCACCCATTCATATCCTAACACCCAGAAATAAAGTTTAATTGGGCATCCTGTGGCCAGTCACGTTAACACATAAAATCAACCATCACTGGGAGCATTCTATTAATAGCTATGTAGATGAATTAATAAAAGTAGTTCAGAGGTTAGAATCATTTTGATTGGGGCTGGCCAGTGGGAGGGTGCTGAGACCATCTCAGTTGTGGAGACTCTAACCCAGTGATGCTAGAGGAATTAAAGACACACACACAGAAATGTAGAGTGTGGAGTGGGAAATCAGGGATTTCACAGCCTTCAGAGCTGAGAGCCCCGAACAGAGATTTACCCACGTATTTATTGACAGCAAGCCAGTCAGAAGATTTACGAAAAGTATTCCTTATAGGAAGTAAAGGGATGGGCCGAAATAAAGGGATGGGCTCTGACTAGTTATCTGCAGCCGGAACATGTCCTTAAGGCACAGATCGCTCATACTATTGTTTGTGGTTTAAGAATGCCTTAAGCGGTTTTCCACCCAGGGTGGGCCAGCGTTCCTTGCCCTCTTCCCAGCAAACCAACAACCTTCCAGGGTGGGCGTCAAGGCCATCACAAGCATGTCACAGTGCTGCAGAGATTTTGTTTATGGCCAGTTTTGGGGCCAGTTTATGGCCAGATTTGGGGGGCCTGTTCCCAACAGGAGGGTTTTATTAGGACTTGAAGAATGAGTAGTTTAATTGGACAGAAACAGGAACTCAGTTATCCTCATCTCCAAATCCTTGCTTGTAGTATTCCATTCTTACCAGGAATATGTTTTTCCTTCTCTCACGGCTTTGTCCATATCCTATTCATCCTACAGGGGTCAGTTGCACTTTATTGCCTCTGTGGAACGTTTCTTCACTGTTCCAGAGCACATTCACTACCATTTTCTCAAAAATGCCACTTAGGGTCTGTCCCATTCCTTTTCAGTTTTATTATGTGTTCCTTCTTAATTTAGTGACGATTTCATTAAGGTATATCCTGCCTCTTCAAGTACTTTGCATGTTCTTGGAAGGCATGGGAGCACGCTGCGCATTGCTTCTACCATTGGGTTTTGAACATGGGCGTGAAACCGTCCCTACAGTGTTGACAAGTATTGCATGCTGGGTTCTGGGCAGAATATAGTCATAATTAAGCCTTAATCAGGCTGCACTTTGGCCCACTTCCTTGTTGCTAAAAGTCACCTAGCACTAGGTACTGACTGTATTCCCGTTGTGCCTACAGATAGGATCTCAGACATTAGAATCATGAGGCTTTTGTTTAAGAATTGCTTAAGATGCTTTTCAGATCATGAATTCCAGTGGAATGGCTGACTCCCACCATTCTGAAGACCCCCACAGAGAAAGAGAATCAGCATGAGAATACAGTTTCTTCATCTCCCTGTCTCATGACTTCACCCCACACTCTTCAGCCAATCAATGATCACCACACTTGGGCCCACTACAAAATCCTTAAAATCCCTGGCTCTAAACTCTTTGAGGAGATGGATTTGAGGTTTCCTCCCATCTCCTCATTCGGTGACTCTAAGATTAAACCTCTTCTCTGCTGCAACCTGGTGTCTCCGTGTATTGACTTGAGGTGTGCATCAGGCAATGAGCCTATTACAGTTGCAAGAACTTAAAGGATATTTAGTGAATAAATAGGAAAAGAAGGTGGTGACTAAAAACATTGATGGGGAAATAATGCATGAAGTTAGGGTCTGGTGGAGGTAACCTGTCTAAACATGACCTTAAATAGGACTTTTCTACAAAGTGAGAAGAAAAAAATTTCTTTGGTGAATTTTCAAATGTATAATTTAAAGCCTTATCATATTAATATTTAGCCACTTTCTTTCACATTTGGGGTGATTTTACTTTTCTCTGTGTGGGTTGTTATGACTTCAAGTTTGAAATTTTACAAATGTGGTTTTAGTGCTTTTAAGTTATGTAGCTACAGGTATGTTCAGAGTGCTTTTTCATTATGGAATGCATTTGTTGGGGATCTTCTAAACGCTTAATAATCATAGCTCAGACTACTTAGCTTGGTTTCGAGAAAAAGAAAAAGAGACACATCTAGGAAAGAAGCAGCATGGAATTAAACATTTTAAGGAATAAAAACTTAATGAAAGGAGATATTTAATCTCAGATGATTTGGGACAAATTCTGGAATATTTACCATACTCAAGCAACAGATATTTTTAATACAGTTTTGTTGCTGGAAAGGGATCCTTATCCAGACCCCAAGAGAGCGTTCTTGGACCTTGTGCAAGAAAGAATTCAGGGCAAGTCCATAAAGTGAAAACGAGTTTATTAAGAATGTAAAGGAATAAAAAATAGCTACTCCATAGGTAGAACAGTGGCATGGGCTGCTTAACTAAGTATACTTATAGTTATTTCTTGATTATATGCTAAACAAGGAGTGGATTATTCATGAGTTTTCCTGGAAAGGGGTGGGCAATTCCTGGAACTGAAGGTTCCTCCCCTTTTTAGGCCATATAAGGTAACTTCCTGACATTGCCGCGGCATTCGTAAACTGTCCTGGCATTGGTGGGAGTGTCTTAGCATGCTAATGCACTATAATTAGCATATAATGAGCTGTGAGGAAAACCAAAGGTCATTTTCATTGCCATCTTGGTTTTGGTGGGTTCTTTACCACAAGCTGTTTTGTGAGCAAGGTCTTTGTGACCTGTATCTTGTGCTGACATTCTATCTCATCCGGTGACTTAGTGTGCCTAACCTCCTGTGAATGCAGCCCAGTAGGTCTTAGCCTCACTTTACCCTGTCCTTATTCAAGATGGAGTTGCTCTGGTTTAAATGCCTCTGACAGTTTGACAACATGACCCTAGAATTTTATGATGTCTTATGCCACTGTCTCATTTTACAAGTGAGAATATGTAAGAGCCTTTTCAAAATCATAGAACATATAATGTCAGGGCTCCAAATTCTCAACCCGGTCTTCTTTTTTTTCATGTACAAATAATATTTGTTTTAGCATTAATAGTTGGGTGAGAGTCTTTCAACCTGAGATACCTACTTGCATTCATCAAATACTTTTTAAAGGCTTTTGGCAAGTTACTTTCTATATGCATGCCTCAATGTCCTTGTCTGTAAAAATTAACATAACTTTTGATATGTGTGCCACGATTTCCCTGTTTGTAAAAATTAACGTAATATTTGGCTTCTAAAATCTCTAAAAAACATTATAATTAATGATATTATTGAGATTAATGGGGATTAATGAGAAAATGCCTCAAAAATATTACATTCTTCGTCTGGAAAATTAGGAGGTTGGTTGAAACAGATGATATCTAACAGTATTTCTAGCTCTAAAGGAGACCCACTATTTCTGTATAATAAAAAACCTCTTTTCCCCCACTTTTCCTTGCTGAGTTAAGTTCATCCTTTGAAGCTCAGTACAGTGGACTCAACTTCCTCTTATTGCCCCTGGTTGGAGGTGGACAAACTGCTCTGTGTTCCTTGAATCACCTGTGTATGCTGCTAGCGTTTTCCTAAGTGTGTTACTCTTCCTCTATTTGAATGAGTTATTTGATGTTGGATACTATGTTTAATTTTTCTTTGTAACACAGATGCCTAGCACAGCATCTGGAATGAAATGGGAACCAAATAAATATTTATCAAATCAATGAAAAATCTAAGATTCTTTCAGCTTCTGCGGATGCCAGTGATGAATTGTTATCACTTAGACATAAATGATCAGTGTGTGTGAAATTCTAGATGATTAAGGGATATTTTAAATGGAGGGCAACCTCTCTGAACCTAGAATTGTAGCCATTTCACCCTCTAGGAAAAAAGTTTGTATTTAAAATAACTCACCTGCTAATTAATTGTTACCTGCATGTAAGTGGAGAACCATAAAGGGAGGGGACATATAATCAAAGATAGTGGAAGGGAAACCACCCACACAGGGTTAACAAGAATTACATGCTGGGTCCTGGACAAAAATATAGTTATAATTAAGCATTCATCAGGCTGCATGTTGGTCCACCTCCTCGTGGCTGCTTGCTAAGTGAAGGGAAAGTCACCTAGCACTACATACTGACCATTTGTTCCTATAGATAGGATCTCTGATGTTAGAATCATGAGGATTTTAAGAATTGCTTAGGATGTTTTTCAGATCCTAAATTCCAGTGGAACAGCTGACTCTAACTATTCGAAGACCCCCACGAAGGAACAGGATCAGCATGAGAATACAGGGTCTTCATCTCCTTGTCTGGTGACTTCACCCCACACTCTTTGACCAATCAAGGATCTCCACACGTCTGGTCCCCTATTGGTCCAAACCCCTTAAAATCCCTAGCCCCAAACTCCCAGAGGAGGTGGATTTGAGGTTTCCTCCTGTCTTCTCATTTGGCAGCCTTATGATTAAACCCCTTTTTCTGCTGCAACACACTGTCTCAATGTATTGACTTGCCATGCATCAGGCAACAAACCCATTGTGGTTATAACAAGAAAAGGAGGGTGAGCTCAAGGTAACACTGTTCATGTAAACTAAATCTATAATCATTACTGTAATAAATTTAGTGGTAACTATTTGCCATTAGATTGCCACATTTTATATAATGATTATTGAAATATTCTTTTTTTGTGAGCACAATGAAAACATGTTTATTCTTGAAAAAATATTAATGAAGATTGGAATAGTGCATATTGTCAACAAAAAGATACAAACTCTGTAAAATTTTTGAAGAGGTTTATTCTGAGCCAAATATCAGTGACCATGGCCCATGACACAGTCCTGAGAACATGTGCCCAAGATGGTCAGGGTGCAGCTTGGTTTTATACATTTTAGAGGGGCATGAGACATCAATCAAATACATTTAATAAATACATTGGTTTGGTGCAGAAAGTTGGGACAACTCAAAGCAGGGGCTTCCAGGCTATAGGTGAATTTAAACATTTTCTGGTTGGCAATTGGTTGAGTTTGTCTAAAGACCTGGGATTGATAGAAAGGGAATGTTCAGGTTAAGATAAAGATTGTGGAGACCAAAGTCTTTTGAAGTCTTATAGTGGCTGCCCTTAGAGACAATAGAGGACAAATGTTTTCTATTCAGATCTTAGTTCATTTCTTTAAGATTGGGAGGGTCTGGAAGAAAAAGATCTGGTTATGTTAACAGAGATGCTTTACAGATGCAAATTGTCCCCCCACAAAGAACAGCTTTGCAGGGCCATTTCAAAATATGGCAAAGAAACATGTTTTGGGGTAAAATATTTTGATTTTCTTCCTTGTCTCGGAATGTTACGCCAGAGTTAGGTTGGAAAGTAAGTCACAATAGATAGGGTTAAATTAAACCTTATCTGATGATAATTTGTGGTTTGTAGGGCATGACTCCCCAGACCCCTTTGATAGGAATTTAGGCAAAATAAAAAACCAGAGGTTAGTCCTCAGTACCCCCTCTTGGTCAAAAAGCATTCCATAGAATGCATATGTGGGCCAACAAACAACAGCAGGTTCCTCTAGGAAGGCTCATTCCCAGAGTTATCCGATTTGGTCATTTGGCAAGGTCCTACAGCGCCAGGAAGGCTCATTCCTAGAGTAGTCTGGTTGGTGGTAATAGTTTTAAATATTAGCAGTTTGGATCACGGTGGGGAGAACACAGTCTGACTTGATGTAATAGCCCACTGTTTAAGGTATGAGATGGAGTCAGGACTAGGGTTTGGTCTAAACATCCCAGATCAGATCCATTTTGCAAGCTATCATGATCCGGGCTTTCAGTAGTGCCTTTTTCCTTTTGCTGTATCTGGCATAACATTTACAAGAGCTATACAATACTAACACAGTGATGAATATCATTAAAGATAGTGAAGATTAGGCATCCAAGAAGGTTATAGGTAGAGTCACAGGGCAGTAAACAACCTAATGAGCCAAAATACCACTGCGTGCATTGTTACATTCTTTGATCGGACTCACTGTGTTTACCCTCTTTATCAAGGGCCATTTGAACTTTATAATAAGTCTTATTTGAAGATTGTAGGACTGACATTAAATCAGAATCCAATAAATTTAATCTGTCTTCTGGCCAATTTATCTCCATAGGTATAACATCCTGAGGAGGGTATAAATCAAATGCAAGAAATACCCTGCCTGGTCCTCAGTGTCTAAATTGTTAGAGACTTGTTAACAGTAGACAAATCTATTTTTCCCACCACTTCTATATTGCACCATATACTTGAGAGATAAAAGGAGACTTTGTCACAGGAGAAGTCATATGATTCTACAGTGTCATTTTGTTTTTTTCCCTCGGCAGAACTTCCTATGGCCGAGGGCCTTAAGAGTCGAAAGACTCATAGCCAATTAATTGTGCTAGGCCAGATAAAAATGGATGTGGACAGGCGTTCATTACTTCTTATACTTATTATTTTAAGTAAAGAAGGCCAACGACAAAACCAAAAGGCAAAGTTCCAAGACTGACTTACTTTTAACTTGTATATGTGGAGCCACTGTCAGCTTGGTTTTTGTTACATACTTTTAATAATTAGCTATATAAAACATACGCATTGTTCTGAAAAATAATTTAAAAATATATAGATAGATTTGTCTTCACAACTCATATTTGGGCGTATTATACTCAGGAGGCTTTGTTACAAGGTATTTTCATCCTGTTAGTAAAGAATTTCCTTTAATTCTATAGTAAGCAAACAATTTTTATGGTGGGGGTGGATGCAAAAGTGACACGTAATAATTTAGAAGACAACTAATCTTGTTTTACCAGCTGTTTAACGCATTTTTGTACCCCTTTCTTGATTTGGAGGGTTTGACCTTGACCTAATTTTATCCCTCAAAACCAGCCCTTAGGATCTTTTGCACCCACCTCTTCTGTGATAGTCCCTGGGCCTAGAGGGAGGCAGCTTGTGTAGTTTTAAAAGCAGAGCATTAGCAGTGAAACAGACCCAGGCCCAGTGAGATGCCAGATGAGGGAGATTCATATCTCTGGTCTTCAGAATACCATGATTTTTGTTTTCTTGGAAGTAAAACAAGGAGAGATAAATAACATTTATCGCTTGACAATTATAAGTGTAATTTGTATGTCAGAAGAGAAAAAGGAACCTATTCCATTACGGCACCAACTAAAAATATAAAGAAAAATTATAATCTGGTACTTTCTAGAGGATTATTGTAGCCAAGGAATAATTTAATCTGGTATTAATGTTATGCTTTTCCTTTGAAATGAATTTTTTAAACTATTACTGAACTTATGCAGACAACTATAATGTCATAAAATTACAATCTGAATTTTGGGGAACTCAGAAAGGTAAATTTGCTTACAAAAACATACTTTACCCAAGTAATGTAAAAGAAAAAGATTTTCTTGATCCTTCTTTAACCAGAGCTTTTCAAACAAGATGTCTACCTTGGAAATGCCATTTACAAACCAAACAGCTCATGAGAGCTACTAGGCACTGGAGAATTTAGCAGCTCCTCACAATTAGTCCTAGGAAAGAGGCTCTCTGTTTATTAGGTAGCAAGATTTTATGTAAACCATTTTTTTTTATGCTGGAACTCGTTTGGAAAACATTATTTCCATTAAGATGCGGGTAGCTTCAGTTAATATTCCAAAGCAAGGCAGTCAATGTCCCATCAAGCAGAAATTCTCTAGTTCAGTCATTGCCATTGAAAGGTACTTACAGTTTTTGCCATCATCCCCAGTAAAAGCTCCACATAAAGGGCTATGCAGTGGAGGGGTCATCCTGACTAGCACTCCAGCTTTTACCCTATATTTTGCGGGCTTAGACAATTTATTAGTTCCCATTTAGCATGTGCAATTAAGTATTTCTTGAAAGAACAGATTCATATGCCTTCGGTTTATAGTATTAGACAGAGGAAACACCCCCTTAGTTACATACAGTACCCATTTTCATAAGACTTTTAGGTAAAGGGGTTACAGATACCTTACATAAAGCTTGTTTAAACATCTTAAATTTTATAATTCTATTAACCTGTATGTTTTTATGTTCTGGTCTCAGGAACCCTTTTTCACCCCCAGACCATTTTACCTTTTCTGGTGAAAATGGTTGGGCTCCCAGCAGGGAGATGCATGCGTAAGACCTATGAGGGGTAGCAAATTTGAAAAGGCTTCTTAAGCAGTCTTATAATTCTGTGGGAGGGGCACCCATGTAAAGGGGCCCCGGTTAACCCCCCAATTTACCGTGACTTGGGTTATAGGCATATTTGGTGGGAGGATATTCCAGTTATCATAAAGCTAGTCCAGCATGGCTTGCATATGAAGCATATTAACTGCTTCATCTGGGGTGCTTCCCTTGGTATTTTATAGGGAGAGTTGGGCAGTCCCCTTCTCGGGGGAAACAGACCTTATTGGGCCAGGTTGCTTTCTCAGGAACAACCTTCTGTGCATTTGGATCGCATATACTCAGAGATTGTTCAGTAATGAGCTGTGGGTCCTGCATTAATCCCCCCAAAAAAAGCTCTTAAATTCTGTAGCACTTAAAATTAAGAATTTTGTCCTTAAAGTGGTTATTTTTACAATCCACTAAAGATTTTTTTTAAGAAGCTGAACGATACCAATCTACAAAATGGAACGATTCCTTTACATTACACCCTTTGATTTTAAATAGTTACTTGGTTTTGCCCTTACCCCATATTGATCTTTCTTTCTTTCTTTCTTTCTTTCTTTCTTTCTTTCTTTCTTTCTTTCTTTCTTTCTTTCTTTCTTTTCTTCTCTTTTCTTTTTCTTTCTTTCTTTTTTTTGGAGTTTTGCTCTTGTTGCCCAGGCTGGAGTGCAATGGCATGATGTCGGCTCACTGCAACCTCTGCCTCCCAGGTTCAAGCACTTCTCCAGCCTCAGCCTTCTGAGTAGCTGGAATTATGGGCATGTGCCACCACACTTGGCTAATTTTTGTATTTTTAGTAGAGATGGGGTTTCTCTATGTTGGTCAGGCTGGTCTTGAACCCCCGAGCTCAGGTGATCTGCCTGCCTCGGCCTCCCAAAGTGCTGGGATCACAGGCGTGAGCCACCGTACCCAGCCGACTATTTTCTTGCTAACCATAGGGCTCAGACTTTCGTTGCCCTTGCTTGTTTTTTTTTTAAAATTTATTTAGTTTTATCTGTATGATTTCCTTCATTATAAAGCAACTCTTAAATAGTTTCTTAACCAAAAAAAAAAAAAAACTTACTTTTTTTTGAGAATTGACATCTTTGTGTTTATAAAATTTTGACAAAAGCATATTTTATGCTTCTACTATTTTAACTTTTTAGTGACCCAAATTTCCAGTGGTTGGGCAGGGGGAAACTCTGAGGTTTTGAACATGACTGAGATTTTTAAATTCCTGGAGAGTTCTGAGACTAAATTTACCAAATTAATTTTACCAAAGCTTACCAAGGCATTGAATTAAAAGACATCGGAGCTAGCTTCTACAAATCTGAATACACACTTACATTTATTTTTATTTTTATTTATTTATTTTTTATTATATTTTAAGTTCTGGGATACATGTGCAGAACATACAGGTTTGTTATGTAGGTATACATGTGCCACGGTGGTTTGCTGGTCCCATCAACCTGTCATCTACATTAGCACTTACATTTTTTAAGTTATTTGATTGGAGCTTTTTCTTTCTTTCCCTTTTTTTTTTTGAGATGGAGTCTCGCTCTGTCACCCAGGCTGGAGTGCAGTGGTGTGATCTTGGCTCACTGCAACCTCCACCTCCCGGGTTCAAGCGATTCTCCTGCCTCAGCCTCCCAAATAGCTGGGACTACAGGTGCATGCCACCATGCCCAGCTAATTTTTTGTATTTTTAGTAGAGACAAGGTTTCACCATGTTAGCCAGGATGGTCTCAAGCTCCTGACCTCATGATCCACCTGCCTCGACCTCCCAAAGTGCTGGGATTATAGACGTGAGCCACCATGCCTGGAGATTGGAGCTTTTTCATGTAATTTGGTGGTGAACTATCACTTCCACATGATACATATAAGGATAGGAATATAACTGGCATGCAGAACAAAAAGCATGTCCAAAAGATACTTTATTTGCCTGTTTTCCAAAAATAAATTTTCCTTATATTAGACAATTAGTAAAAGTTATAGGAGCCAACAAAAGGTGAAGGAGAGAGTCATCATTCAAGGCCTTTTCAATAGAGAAAGAGCGGCACTTTTAAGATATCAATCTGAAAATTGTTAAAAAGGCATTATAGAATTTAAAAATTTAAAAAGTTTTTGCATTAAAAATAAGTGAATATTTATAATAAAATCTTGTTTTAACCAATTATTTACTTATGTATTAGTGAATTTTTAAAAATATTAAAGACCTATCTTTAGAAAGATTATAATAATTTCCTTTTAATTATAGCCGATTGAACTATACAACCCCTTTAAAAATTCCTTTTGCTAACTTTATTACAACTTACACAGACCATTCACAATGTGCTTAAATTTTGTTTTGTCTTAAATATTCCTCTTTCTTGAAAAACCCAGTCATTTTGTTTTAGGACAAAAATTTACCACACAAGATTCTGTCTTATATAAAATTACTTTTTTACCTTCTTTAGTCCTCAGCATTTTAATCAGTTTGCTAATAAAGAAACAAACAAAATGCTTATTTGACTTAACTGCATTTCAAGACAGTATGCTAAAGACATTTTTAAAAAATGATAAATTAATGCCCAGTGGATGAAAGAGTTGAAGGAATTAAAAGCAGAAATTATGAAGTTTTAAAAATACTGTTTTCCAGGGTTAAAATAAAATAAATATATTACTAAACAACAACACATAGTTGAATATAAATTGTAAAATCTTGATTCCTCACTGATTATAAAAATAATTTATTAGAATATAGACCAGACTGTACCACATAGGACAGAAATTTTCAAGGCATCAGGTAGTAGTTGGGCAGGAATACCTTTCCTGCTCCTTCTTACCCAAAGATTTTGTAAATGAATGAAAATCAATAATGAGGTATGTGCTAAGAACATACCATAGTGCGCTCTGTTTTAAAAATGAATACTTTAGATGACAATGTGTTATTTGTTTTCAATTCCTCTAACTTTGGCCATAAAAAATGTCCATGTTACCTTTTCTCATTCAAGCTTCTAATGATTGAATGCCTGAGTCTGTCTGAATTGTTACAAAGAAGCAATGCAAATAAAGAGAAGTTCCAATTCCCCAAAGGCTGCAAAATGACACCCTCCAACTTTAATTGGCTGGCCTCCTGAGTGTGTAAATAAATTGCAGATGGGGAATAGATCTGTAATTTATTTTTAGTAGACCAGGTTGGAGAAAATAAAATATACCTGACCTGTAAGTTTTTATGTTTGTAGGAGAATCATGAGTAAAGTTGGTTATGACTTTATATTTTCAGTGTATGCAAAGACATTTCAGTCACTAACAGCTCTGTTTGCTCTAATGAGACTTTATGGTGAACGAAAGACTTGTAATAAGAAACTACGCCGCTGAAATTGCAACAAAAATTAGCGACAATAAGCACAGATAGTATAGTCTATTTATGAAGAAGTGTCCTGAAAATTTGTGGTTGTGTGTGCACATTGGCAACAGGAAGTTCTTCTAAACTTGGCAAGTGGGCAGAGGGGAGCAATCCTTACATATGTGAACTGGTTTCTACTATCTCTTTTACATAAATTTTTTGTTTCTTTTTTTTTTTTTTTTTAAGACACAGTCTCGCTCTGTTGCCAGGCTGGAGTGCAGTGGCGCGATCTCAGCTCACTGCAACCTCCACCTCCCAGGTTCGAGCAATCCTCCTGCCTCAGCCTCCCGAGTAGGTAGGATTACAGACACGCACCACCACATCCAGCTAATTTTTTGTATTTTTAGTAGAGACAGGGTTTCACCATGTTGGCTAGGATGATCTTGATCTCTTGATCTCGTGATCTGACCACCTCGACCTCCCAAAGTGCTGGGATTACAGGCATGAGCCACCGCGCCTGGCCGAGAATTTTACTAAACTTGTGTTAATGTAGTTATTACATTATTTGATCTTTCAAAAAAATTAAAAATATTTAATATATGCACTTAACATTTGGCATTTTCTTCTCCTTTTTTGAATGTAGATGGGGAAATATTTGGTTAAGATGCTGGCTTTAGCTCATTCAGTATGAAATCTTTATTACTTTTTTCGTTAGGTGTGTGGGAAGATAGGATGTAAATTTGGAAGCAAGTTTTTATTTTACTAAATCTGTTAAACTTTTTCTTTATAGGTTGCCTAGGGGATATGAGGAGGGGGGCATTAAGAAAATAGGTGTTTACAACTTGAGGACGTATCTTATAGATAGCAGCTTGCAGGATTTTTAAGTGTGGGTGCCTGCCTTGCAAGCTACAGGCTACCAATTCAAATAGTGGCTTTGGGAAAGGCAATTGTGATTTTCCTTTCCAGAAAAATCTAAAACTGTTTAGATGCATTTACTATGGAATAGATTTTTAAAAACTGAGCATCGATGGTTTTGAATTCAAGCATAGCAGAACTCTGCATGTGAAATTTCTTTAGTGGGGAACTGAGTCAGATAATTATTGTGGCATGTGAAAGATAGGAAGAAAATTAGAAAAAATACAAGTTTCTTAGTTTTTTATTTTTGTAGATAATGTGAATGAGTAAAAATTAGAATTTAATATTTGGTGACTATTGACTGCAACTCCAACCCAGTATAACAGACCTGCATGTTTCTGACCTGAGATCAGCATCAGAAGGAAAATGTACATTATGGAAGATGGAGGCTCTGGGGTCCTCCTAATATAATATCCAAATGTTTCTGATGAGGAAATTTGAAATTGTCAGGAAATGTGATAGAAACGTCAATAATATAAAAATAAACTGTGTAAGTTGTAAAATATAAGGCACAGCTCAGTTTATTCTGTGGTAGGGTAAAAAATTACAGATTTTTGATTAGCTAATAGATCTACCTCTATCCTGTTAAATTATCTGTACCATCTCCTTGCCTTGAAATTATTTCTTTTTCATGTTACATCTGTGTTCTCCTAAGTGTGAATGCTGGAATGAAGCTACTGCTATTGCTACTCTTGCTCTTGCTACTCTAGCTCCAGCAGGTATCTGGCACTTCCTATGTGAAAAGCATGAACTAATATCTTTACATGAATTCGGTTATTTGATTCTCACAAAAATCCCCTGACATCAGCAGTTTCACCAACTTCCTTTCATGAATGAGGACACTGAGGCTTAGAAGGATTTGAGCCAGGCAATTCAGTGGCTTAACCCACATCTTATCAGCTAGTCCATAGTAGTAACACTCCATTTGCCTTTAGAAAAGCCCTTCTCTTACCATCATTGTCAAGGCTCCATCAGGGCTGCTTTCATAGGATGTAGTTTTCTGGCTTGTTTGATATCATACACATCACTTTATACTTGATTTCTCAGCCCAGCTGTCATAAGAAACTCTTTAACTTGTACCTATGCTCTCCTCCTCCCAGTATGAACCTGTGCATGTGCACGGGCTATTACTTACTAATTAAACAGCTATTTGCATGTCTACTATTGGTGCTAATTTGGGAGACCCAAAAAATGGGTAACACCCAGCCTTTTCCTGAAAGAGAGGACAGGAATAGAAGTCAGTAACAAAGGTTATTGTTGTCCCTCATCTTCTCTTCAAGGTCTTTGTTGGCATAACATCCAGCCTGCCTATATTTTACAACTGTTCTATTTTAAGCTGCTTATGCTTTCCTGACTTACATTTTTTCTTCTGTCTATGGCTCTAGTGTTGAATTGAGATCCATTTATTTATTAAGTATCTGATGACTATATAGGAGTTTTCGGAGACTAATAAACAATCCTGTTTCCCTATCTGTGTTTGGAACTAATTGATATGAACATGGAGGTCTGATAGCTGGAGATAAAATAATGTTTTATAATAACTTTAAAGTTATTTGGAGGTTGTGGCTGAGGTTTGTCAAGTGAGTTTGCTAATATATCCCCTTCCCCAATGCAACTGGCAGCCCTAGGAAACCATGGGGCAAGTCTTCTGCTATTGCACAGTAAAGAGGAACAATACATACAGTCTCATCTTGTATGCAGATCACAAAGAAAAGAGAATGAGATAGGAGAAGAACAGAGCATGGCTGTTTTATTCTAACTCACCTGCCAATCAGGAGGAATGGGTTGAGGGGTGATAGAGAGAGGCCAGGAGAGTCACTCCAGTGGAGGTCCCCCCTTGTTCATGCAGAACAAGGAAGAGCAATGAACGAAGGTTCCCTCCAACAAATTCAACTATGTTAAGAGATGTGGTTAAAAGATGTCAGTCAAATGGAAAGCCACATACAGAAGCAGGCAGTTCTAACATAAAGAGGTCTTATAAACAGGTCCAAACATTGTAGGGGGTATCAGAGATAGATTCCCAGAGGAGATGACATTAGCTGACTCTTGAAGGAGGAGTAGGAGTTTGCCAGATAGAATGGGGACCGTATGAGCCATGTAAGCATTTTCTGGCAGAGAAATAGCATGCAAACAAATTCTGAGGCTGGAAACGCTTGAAGAACAATTGTTTTGATAGTATCAGGTTGTAAACTGTCAAAGGTGAGATAATATGTCAGAATATAAGACTGGATGGTAGACACACTTGATTGACTCTCTGTCCCTTGCTTCTGAGTGTGGCTGTGTTTGGGGACTTTAAATTTGTTTCTTGAAGCTCTGCCCTTTGGCCTACCATTGCACTAGCTGGGAGTAAGAATCTCAGGGCATCTTTGCTTTAAGGGTAGGCAGACTTTATTCTGTCTTTACTTATCTCAGCCTCACAGACTGAGAGTTTGAGATTTGAGATTTCTTGTGCTTCCAGAAAAGTCAGATGTAATTCTAGCAAAGATTGGAAATGAGAAGCAATTCCTAGTTTAGGAACATTAGTCTTTTCTGATTTAGGCTCAATTTTTATATTTATTTAGTAGGTTGGAAAATTGTCATTGTTTTGACAATTAACAGTGACCACAAACCCTGGGTCCAGATATGGCTGGCTGTTTACTGCCAATGCTACATTGGTAAGTTCACAAGTTAGGTGGATGCTAATACCACAGGCTTTCAGATTCCCAGCCAGGCTGACCTCTGAGAATAGAGTGATAGCTTGCTTCATCCTTTGAGCATGCTCACAGAACATCATCCAGCTCCTGGAGGGGTTCATCCATCATGGAGCCTGGCAGATGGCTTGGCGTGCTTGGCATTTCAAATTTATACTAATGGAAAGCATTGAAGGACTTCGAAGGTAAGTCTGCATCTCTTAGTTTTGTTTGGCACATTGAAACCTTATGCCAGAGTAGCCTGAAAGTTATGTTTACCACCCTGATTCATTACACAGGCTTTTTCGTAAGGAATTATTGCTCTTGGTAGTCCCTGGTACTTATATAATGTGTAGTAGTTTACAAAATACTGCAATGTCTACATTACAAAAAATTTTTACAAAAGAATTGTAAAATGTCTCTATATTATCTCATTTATCTTGATAGCAAACCAATAAGACAGGGCAATAGTTATTTGCGTCATTTCATAAAAGTAAAAACTGAGGCTTAGAGAAGTTAAGTTGTATCTCTTAAGCCAATGCTGTCTGATAGAAATATAATGCAAGCCACATGTGTAATATTAAATTTTTGAATTCCACACAAAGTAAAAAATAAACAAGGGTGACATTAATTTTAATATGTTGTTTAACCCAATATACCCAAATGTTATATCTGCATGTAATCACTTTAAAAATTGTTGAGACATTTTATATCTCACTTTTCTTACTAAGTCTTCAAATTCTAGGTTTATATCTTAGGAATGAAAGGGTACACCCAATAATCTCAATTTGTGAAAATACTTACACTAATGCTTTCTGTAAATGAAATTAAGATTTTACATCTAATCCTTTTCTAGTGTCTTTATTTGCTTTGTCCCTATTATTTTCAGCCCTTGTAGGCCAAAATTTCATTCCTATTGATTGTTCAGTGTGGGTGGAATAGGTGGGTGGACATTTTTATTGACTAAATAAAATATACACTTTTTTGAGATTCATCCCGTTTTCCTGAAATAGCAACTCTACATTCTCCAGGTAGCTAAAAGGAAAAATCTCAGCCTCTCTAGACAGCTGCTGCAGAATATTATTTCTGAGGTGGCTCAAAGGTTTGAGAATCTTCCTTCCATAGGAGCAGAGAGCACATATATGGCATGCTTGGTTCTAGGAGGCTCCCTTCTTCCCCACATCAAAAAATCAAAACCTAAACCAACCAAACAAAACTCCAAATACTTTTGTAGAAAAAACTTCCAGGGAGAGAGTATTTGCAACATTGAGATAAAATAAAAGTGTTATGTTCCAGTCCTTCCAGACTCAGCTCTGAGCTCTGCAATCTCCAAGTACGTTTGCACAAGTTGTGCCTTTGTGCTGTTGTCTACCATCTCTAGTCAGCTGCTGAAATTGACTCATCAAGGATGAGTTTGCGGTCTTCAATGAAACCTTCTTTAATTTCCCTAATTAGAATGAACATTTTATTCTCCTGGATTCCCATAATAGCTTGATTGTAATTCTATTATGAAAAATAATTACATTGTCTTCTATAGTAAGTTGAACCAACTGCAAGTGCTTTTTTTGTTTGTAGATAAACACATTCACTTTCATATGCTTCAACCTACTGTAATTAACTAGTGGAATTCTAAACACACAGACACACACACACACACACACACACACACACGCTCATACATCTACAAGTTAAAATCTATGTATTGTTAACTTCTGAATCTCCCATGGCATCTTGGTCACAGAAGCCCTTCAGTAATGGTTTGTTGAATTGAACTGAGTGAAATAAAAACAGAATGCATGTTGGGGAAATAGAATTATATAAATCAACCCTCTTTCCAAAATGACTCACAGATTGCATGTACCTTGTGATTCAACTTAAGTAGGAATAAAGGACCTTGGGCAGGAGGTTTTGAATTTTATATGTTAAGTAGGGGGTGTCAAAGTATTTTGAAGTAATCAAATTTCAGGCTTTAGATATGCTAGTTATAAGCAAGGAAGCTATAGTATTACTGATGGGTGGGGTGTATGTGTGTGTGTGTGTGTGTGTTGCGCATGCATGTGCTACTTTAAATTAAACATCCCAATTTGGGGTGAAATCTTTAATAAATTGAGAGTAAGAAAAAGTCTCCTTAGTGCTAAAACAATTGTTCCGACTAATTGGGCATACTGAACCGACAATGGGCAATGTTTTATTTATTTGTTTGTTTGCTTATTTTGGGGGATAAAGACACAATAAAAAATAATATAGTATCTTCATGTCCTGTTATATTTTTATATTAAGATTTAGTGAAATCTTGTTCAAAAAGCCAGTTGCTTCAAAATCAATAAATTATTCTTTGGCTTTGTTAATTTTTCTGTGTAGACCTGTTCAGCAGATGCAACCTGATTACGCCAGTGGTATTTTTATTAAATATTTGCCCCAAAGACAATTGCATTAGGGATTCAGAAAGAAGGAGCACTTACGAATTTGATGTATCTGGTATGAATTTTGGATATGAAGCTACCTAATCAGTTTGAAACGCAGTTTCTGAATCCTTAATTTAGACGTTGGTCTCAAACTGTGGCTAAACAGAGTATGAGTCAAATTGTATAAAATAAAGTGTGTACTTTTTTTGTGGGGGAGCTGTACATCACCCGTGAGGCTGTAGAAAGAATATCTCATTAAATATGGAGAGTTGGCTCTGGCATATGCTGCCCAGATTTTCCTTCTGAAATGAAATACTTATTCTCCAGCTGCTGGAAGTGGTATAAGAAGACACACCTCAGCTCATAGCCTTCTGCAAAGTGCCTTGGTTGAGAGGCCTTCCTTGCTCAAGATCACGCCCCTTTCCAGGGAAGGTGGCATCCTATGAATGTCAATGCAAATGTGTAAAGCCCTGTCCTTCACAGCCCTACTCTGGACCCAGAAGGGTCATCCCAGCTTGAGTTCCCCAAGGGGTTAGCCGAGGTCTTTGTTGAAGTCATCTTCTGCTTCTGCCCAACCATGCTTTGTTCCCTTTCCTTTCCTTACACAAATATTGGTCCCAAGAGTTTTTCAATAAATTTCTTGTGTGCTTGTCTTTGTCTTAGAGCTCGTTTTTATGGAGTTCAACTAATAACAATATTAAATTAGGAGAGCAGAGAGGTTTTGAACTAACAGAGACTTAACCAGGACTTGAGGCTAAGTTTTTTTCTCAAATTATCAAGTCTTAGTATGGAAATATTATTGATGAAGAGACCCAGATGCCATCAGCCAATTGCCCTTAGTTGCCTAGTACTGCAGAAGAGACTTGAATTCATAGCGCCTTATTATTGTTTTGGCTGCAGCATGGATTAGAGGTTTGTCTGTCATTTATGTTTCTGTTTAGCTGGTTCCAGTGTGAGGTTACCTATATATCTGACCTAAAAGTCCTCCAGCAAATCAGTTCAAGTGAATGATTTCACAGATCCAGATAATTCTCCATAGGCAATGTACAATTTTGGGTTTGACAGTTTCCTGAAATAGTCTGAGTTGGGCAAGAGTGGTTGTAGTCTTTTCTGGCCTCTGTAGTTTATTGCAAAAGACTTGAATTTGTAGAGACCTTCTGGAGTATTCCTGGGGGAATATCTGAATAGGATCAGAATCATACTTGGATCATTTTATTCAGGCTGAGTCGTCTGGGTCCATCCTTGGAGAAATCTAATTTCCTGGGCCTGCTTTTGTGGTTTGCTTCGACGTAGTGTGAAATGACTAGACCGTTGAAGAGTTTCTGTATCCTGTGCATTTGAATGACCTCCACATGACATAGCACAAGTGGTTCTAGGCTAGTTTTGTTCTCAGTGCCGCAGTTCTGTGTGAAAATTCACCTGTCAGAGCCAAGCTCCCATTTTGAGCTCCCTCTTTTTTGTTTTCCTCTGTGTTTTATTTAGTCTTTTGTAACTGTCTTGGAAGACGCTTAGTTGTTGTTTTAAAAGTTAGCCCAACTATTTTGAATGGGCCAGTATTTCTGCTGCAAGACACTTAAGAGAACAGCCAAGCTTATCTTAAATAGAACTGAGCTATCCATTGCCGTTGGTAGTTTGACCAGGCTAGTGGGAAGAAACTGAAAATGCTGTGGCCAGAAAATAGAAGACATGGACTCTTGAAAGAGTTTGGAGAAACATGACATCCTTTTAATGGATTTTTAAGTGTTATCTTTGGAAAGAGAAAATAAATTAGTCTTTTCTGTTTCTTAAGAAAGCAGGAATAGAATTAATGGGTGGAAGTTGGAAGGAGGCAGAGGAAGCACTTTCTAACAAATATTGTCTTGCATTTAAATGAGCTGTTGTGCTAATGTGTTCCATCTGATTAACATGTTGAAGGATAATCGAGGTGTCTACTTAGTTTGAGGTATTTTGCCTTCACTAGAGGACTGGATGGAAGAGGTTGCAATGTTGGTGCTCCCCAATGACCGCACTCCTGATATTTATACTCTGTGCAATCCTCTTCATGACTGCTGCTGAGCTCAGCCATGGGACTTGCTCTGGCCATTGGTACATGCATGAAGCAAGTGGAGGCATGCTGAGTGCTGCACATTTGTAACACTCCCTCTTGGAAGCCAGAAGGATGGCTTGAGGCCAGGAGTTTGAGGCCAGGGGCTGTGTCATAAAGAAGTTTGGGCTAAACTGCTGAATGATGGGAGGTACTTCAGGGAGGCAAAGCTCCCAGTTAAATGCAGCCGAATGAATGATTCTAGCCTCACCACAAAGAGAAGAAATATTACCCAATCAAGCTCAGAATCATGAGAAATAATAAGTCATTGGTTTAAGCCTCTAAGTTTTGGGGCGGTTTATTATGCAGCAGTACATTAATATAATGGAAATACTCAATTACATCATTTCTGGGAGCCTCCCCGACTCTTTTGCTCTCCAACTAGTTGTAAATAGTCGGGGGAAAGAACTTGAATAGATCAAAAAGCATATGGTTACAAGCCACCCTCTGAGATACTGTGGTTCATTCTTTCGCCTTGCGGAAATGCACATTTAAACTATCTTTACTTAGTGACAATCCAACAAGTACATAAATAGCTCCCACAAAAGGAACACTTCATCCATCTTCCTTGGCTGACTAATCCCGATTGTCTGGCAAATACTGTGGGTATGGGGATGATATCCTGGCTCTGAGATGAGAATAAAGATTCAAAATCTCCCGCAAACCTTCACATTTCTAAGTCTTCAGCAGATGTTAAATGCAATTTAATTAGCAATGATTAATTCCATATACTGTTTTCTTATCTATTAAATGAGGTTTCCACAGCAATTTAGTGGGAGAAAAGGAAACATTAAACAGAATATAAATCAATGTAAACAATTAAAATCAATCAGATTTTGTATTTGCCTTATAATTTAAAAAAAATAGTTATTGTGTGTTCTTCCTTTTCAAGAAATTCTTGATAATCAAAGTTTATTTTTTGTCCTTTCCACTGGTGTTTCAAACCAGGAGTATAAGGGAAAGGCACGGATCTTCCTGATGTGTTTGATTTATTTTGAATGTTGGTATATTCATGGATCAGAGCAGCAGTTTAGTTTCAGCTTAGCCTTTAGGAAATTTTTTATGATGCTGGTATATAAAATCATCATAAAGGTAAAGTCAATGCACTGCGGTTTCCCTGTATAATGTTCCTTCACTTATTTATTTTTTTGGGCTGCCATGAGAAGATATATTTATTTTTGCTGTTAACTGTTTGCTGAAGATTGGGTGACTAATACTTTTAGGTAGCTCAGTCAGTCCATGTTTTGGGGTTTCTTAAAAGTTTTGTTACACTGTGCAGCAGAGCAAAACCCTGTCTCAAAAAAAAGTTTTGCTACAAACGGTTATTAAAAATATTGATAGGGGCTGAGCATGGTGGCTCATTCCTGTAATGTCAGCACTTTGGGAGAATGGGATGGGAGGATCTCTTGCGGCCAGGAATTCAAGACTAGCCTGGGCAACACAGCAAGACCCCATCTCCAAAAACAAATTTTAAAAATTAGCCTGGCCTGTTAGTATGTGCTTGTAGTCCTAGGTAGTTGGGAGGCTGAGGCAGAAGGATGGTTTGAGGCCAGGAGTTTGAGGCTGCAGTGAGCTATGATCATGCCACTGCACTCCAGCCTGGGCGACAGAGCCAGGCCCTGTCTCCAACAAACAAACAAACAAACAAACAAATCCTAATATAAGTCGTGTCTGTGTTTAGTTACTTCCATGCTGGTGTGGTCAAGATCTAGAGTTCAGCCCATGAACAGGCTGGTGTACATTGTTTCCTGACTTCCTGACTAGAGCTGGACCCACAGCTCTAATCATCCACCTTGCAGATGGAGCACCTGGCAACTCAAAGGCAACGAAATGAGATACTGGGGATAGCCCAGGGCTTAGTCATCACTGCCTCTGGAAAAGTACCTCAAGATGGAGGCCCTGCATCAAATTTGAAGGGCACTTCATCAGATAAACTGAAAAAGTGCACTGTAGCACATCTCATGAATGGCCTGTGAGGGGAAAATTGCTGAAATGGTGATGAGAGGATGCTGGCTTCTTTTCCCATATGCTAGTCAAGGACAGTGGTATCATGTTCTGTGCAGCCAATGTTGGCATGAAAAGACTCTCAGGGGTCATTATTGGTGGGGGGTGTTCAACTGGAGGGCTAGCAGGTGAGGATGTTCAGGACTGATCTGACACAGGAGCAGGTGGGGAGGAAGTAGCCTTGACTTGGGTCCCAATCTTCTCCAGGGGAGAAGGCTCCAGTGTCAATCTCCCGACTCCCTGGTGTTGAACTCCATTTTGCAGTAGCCCTGGCGTTGTCTGGATGTTCTCATAGAGTCGTTCAGGGCCACAAACTATATTTCCTGCAGTCCTTTTTTTCTTTTATAAGTTCACCATCTGCAATCAAAGTGAGAGCTCCATCACTAGTAACAAAACACATGGTCCTCATTTCCTTTCCTCCAGTCCCTTTCCCACTGACCAAGAACTTTGCATTGAATGCCACCCCATTTGTTGGGTAGAGAGTGCAAAAGTGCGGGGCTTTGTGAGTGCTTGTTTAGAGGATGAGGAACTTGAGGGAGCAGGGGCCATTGTTAGTCATTATAAAGCTGGTCAAAGTTTGTACACCCCCCAAAGATATATCAGATGTCAGATTCTTTGCTATTGTTACAGGAAAGGGGTCCCAATCCAGACCCTAAGAGAAGGTTCTCAGATATTGCTCAGGAAATAATTCAGGGTGAGTCCAAAATGCAAAGCAAAAGAGAGTTTATTAAGAAAGTAAAGTGATGAAAGTAAAGCTACTCTATACACAGAGTAGGGGGTTCCTGAAAGTAAGGGAGGAACGTGTCCACTCTAGACACAGTGCTCGCTTATACAGGATAAAAAAAATCATGGGGAGATGTGCTCTCTACAAGGGTTTGTGATAAAGGATTAATTTTCTTAATTACTCTATTTTGTAAGAATCAATATTATTATCTTTAAAGCAAAATTAGGAATGTATCTGTTCTCAAGATATAGGAATATCAGGACATGCCTCAGTCTGGGTCTGCCTAGTAAACATGAGCAATTTGTTCCCTTAACCATAAACGTCTAGAGGCTAAGAATACCTAACTTTCTGGGAATGCAGCCCAGCAAGTCCCAGCCTCAATTTCCTAGCCCTCCCTCAAGATGGGGTCTCTCTGGTTCGAACGCCTTTGACACTATCATGTATTATTAAACTCCAGTTGACCTAGGTCTGAGGGGAAATGTGTTATTTTAAATGCAGTGTTTGATAAGCAAACATAATAAAAGTAATATTTAAAATGGCTTGAAAAGAATAAAACTGCTAATATTTATTGAGTGCTGACTATCTTCCAGAAACTTTATTTTTATTAACTAATTTATTCCCCTAACAAACCTATGAGGTGGATCCTGCTATTACCTGTATTAATATCTGAGGAAATGGAGCTGTTGAGAAGTCATGGAGTTTGTCCAAGGATGCTGTGGCAGATTAAAAATGTGCATAAATTATTTGACACTCCCCTGAGTTAGGGGAACTTGGTAGCTCTGTGTCTGTTTGGACAAATAGAATACGGTGGCAGTGACACTTCACCCGTTAAGAGGTCCAGGCCTTAAAGGTTTGGCAACATCTACTTTTTGTCTCTCGGGACACTTGGTCTTGGAGCCCTAAGACATCATGTAGAAGCCTGAGGTCCTCCTTTTGGGAGGAGGCCCAAGGCAGCCAGTGGAGGGGGCAAGTGTGGACAGATTGATACCCAACTGAGACAGACTGATGCCCAGTGAGCCCCAATTGTCACAGCTACAGCTCCCAGCTGTTCACGTCACTTGGCTGAAGCCCCAGACATCATGGCAGGCAGATGAGCATTATCTCTTTTGCCTTGAAAGAATTCCTGACTCACAGATTCATGAGTAAAATAAATGACTATTGTTTTAAGCCACAGAGTGTTAACTAATTTGTTTTGCAGCGGAAGATAAGCAGAATTGTCACACAGCTATTACCTGAGCATGATGGATTCCATCCAAGTATTCAGGCTCCAGAGTGCATGTGCATAACAAATATTCTATACAATATAAGGTATCCAGAACGTTTTACCATCACCGTTCACACAGCCCCTCTCTCACCTCTCCCACACCTTCCCCACGGGCTTTTCCCTTAGCCTGTTTGACTTTCCTCTGAAGCCAGCTGACATGTTGCAGATGATGATCTTGCTTGTTTACTGACCATTTCTCACCCTCAGCCCTTGAATGGATGCTACACAAGGGCAGTGGTTTGCTTGAGCTCTTCTTCACTGCTACATTCCCAGCATCTGGAATAGGGCCCAGCATGAAGTCAACACTAAAGATTTTTGAGTGAGTGAGTAGATAATAGACATTTTTCATTTTATGGCACATACAATGGAAAATGCCTTTTGCTTCTGTTACTTGAGACATTCTGTGTAGCTATTCTGGTTTTCTCTTCAGAGAGGAGAAGAGAAAGATCAGAGAGAAAGGGCACTGCAAATAAAATGGATGATATATTAATCTCATAAGACAATTACCTGAGTTTAACCCAGGCTAGGGAAAGCCAGAAAGGCAAATGGTAAAAAAGCAATTGGGATGAGCCACATGTTATTGAAGATGATATTTTTTTCTGGCTGCAAATCTGATAGTGAAATCTTTGGTGAGAATGTACAGAGAAGCATGATCCCATAGAAGTGAGTGACTGTGGGATCTGGCGGGGGCTGGAGGACTATTCAAATGTGGCATATTACACATTTGGAAGAATTAGAGTAATGACTGGATGGTCTCTAAGAATTACATCAGCTGAAACAACTAAATAGGCCAAAATAGATTAAGCAAGAAAAATTATTTTGTTGGTTAGAGAAGAAAGATGAGATAAGGCAACTAGACCTTTCTGGAAACCCTAGAGCAAAGACTGACCTCTTCCAATTCTGGTGAGGTATTAAGAAAAATAAATCTATATGATAGTTAGATGGAGTATACAGTTAGTAAGTTGACAATATCCAGACAACGAGGTCCTGTTGTTACAGCATAACACCCAAAAAGATTGTAAAGGTGACTTGTACAAGAAAATAACTGTTTGATAGGAGAATGATAAGTCAGGAAATGCCTTCCACTAGAGCTTTCCTGCTCTCTGCTTTGTGTGTTGTTAGTCCAACTGGCTTCCAGAGGAAAAAGTTAAGCCTGAATGGTGTCACAGATTTAAGTGCTTTAATGAATGACAAAAAGAATAAAAAGTGATGTCATTGAGAAGTTACCAGCCTCTAAATCAATTGAGGAGGCTGAAGTTAGACCAGAACTAAATATATTCAGGTAGGTGTGCTACAGTGGAAACTGGGAAACTGTTCTCCATATGGCGTGGGTGAATATTAAGTTCCCTCAGGAAATTTAAACAATTCTCTGTGGGCACATAATTCACGTTTCATAATGTGAGTTTCAGAATGATTTCCCAAAATTGCCACATAAAACCAAAACTGTAGTGTCAGTCTGAAATAAAGGAAAGAATCATTTCCTCTGAGCACATATAGCTAGTTCAAGGTGTCTGAGAAAAGAGAAATTGGATACTGTTCATTTAGAGAACGGAGAGTCAAACGGTTAGAGTTACTTAATGAATTAAATTAATTCTTTTCTAATTAATTTATGTTTTCTAATTAATGTATGTTGTGTCAGATATTATAATGTCAATCATGAAACATCGCTCATAAATAAGAAGTGCCATATGTTTCATTCATTCTGTGGTCTGGATAAGCTTTGGTAAAATGCAAATGTCAGTGAATTGGGCAAAGAATTGGGAATTGATTTACCAGATGGCCACTTTAGCCATATTCTTTTTTTTTTTTGTCACCTGATTCTCTGCTATTCATGCCATTTATTTTATTTAATCTCCAAACGACCAAGGCCAATGCCAATATTTAAAAATGAATATAGTGAAATCCTAACATAATCATAATGCATATATATTCATGAATCTTTTAAAGTATTGATGACTTGTGGAGCTTTCTGTTTCACTAGGAGAAAATTGACATGTAAGTGAAGTGAGTTTTTCTTAATCATATATATATACTTTATACATATATGTATATATAAAACTAATTGGTAGTTGCTACTATCTAAAATACAAGACACAAAAACCCTATTTGAAAATATATCCGTTGCATTTGTATTTCCAGTATGAAAAATTATACCTCAATTTGTTGTGGATATTACTTATGAATTCATTAAATTCTATAGCTTTGGTGGCTGAGTAATGATACTAGCAGGTGACACTGTGTGTCTCTAGATGCTAAGCACTGTTCTGTTGCTTTACTTGTACTAATTTATTTGATCCTTATATCAACTTATCCCTATTTCATAGTTGAGGAAACAGAGGCACAGAGATGTTATGTAACTTGGCTAAAGTCAGGAGTTAGTAAGTGGCAGACCTGGAATTCCAATATAGGCCATTTGACTCCCCAAGTCTGCATGTACAACCAGTAGTTGTACTGCTTTTCAAACATTGGCTGGCACCTGGTAATTTTGCATCTTGTCTCCTAGTCCTTTCAACTGAATTAATATATCAATGTTGAAAGAGTACCAGTTCATCTCCTAAAAAGTAAGGACATTTTCCTTGTGTTAGGCTCTTGATGCAGAGAACAACAAAATTAAAATTTAATGGCTGGTTTGGAAGGTGACTGTGAGTAGTGCATTTCTTTAGTTTAATATGAAACTGCGCAGTGGTGAAGAGGGGATGGGGGAGATGGCTTACCATGAAAGCTTTTCATAAAAGCAGTGATTCAAGTGATGTCTTAGAGTGTTGATGTATACTTCTTTGTTCTCCTGCTACTTGTAATGAGTGTCAAGGAAAGAAGAATAAGTAGGAATATTGTAGAGTCCAGGTTGTTTTATGAAGCTCTAAGGAATATGGATAAAATAAAATATTACTGCTGTTTCCCAGATGGGGAAATTGAGAAATAGAATCGGCTTCCAGGTGTTCAGAGAAATCAGAAGCTCAGCCAGATTGAGAAACAAAAATGTAGAATTATAAAAAAAATTAGAACTAGAGGGATTACAGTACCCATCCATTTTGTTTGACAGATGAGAAAATGAGGCTGGGTGATTTTGTATGTTCTTTCTTTCTTTTGAAGGTATGCATGTAACTGTGTATCTCTATAACCTTACCTTTTTCCTGCAAACCCACAAAACAAGTACAGTACAGTAGGACTTTTATAAGTGAGAGAATTATGGTGAAGGAAAAAATAAAGATTGGGATAATAAGCTAATGACCGGTGATGTTAGAAAACAAAATGCATATTATGAGGTCATCAAACACTGTTAGGAAACTATAAATTTGGCTCTCAGATTTCTAGCAGCCAATGCTAAGAAAGAAGCATGAGCCATCGTGTTTATCAGATAAAGCCACCAATTTTCCAGAATATGCACAATCATTCCTGGTTCTGAGCCCTGAGAAAATGTATCCTAAGGACCTTATAGAGAGGGGCCCATTATTACAATGAACAATATCCTCAACAAATAATTACGACAAGCTTCACAGGACTGTTGCTTTACCTTTACTCCCTGTAAAGGCTGTTGGCAGAATAAATCAGCTCAGCTTAGCAGGAGGATTTTTTGAGGGGCCAAAGCAGTGCAGTCCAGATATGAAGGTAGCTCATAGTCTTCTTAAGGATGATTTTCAAATTTTAGGAAAGTGAATAGAAAACATATACTTCAGGTAATTCTGTTAAGTACATTTTTTTTTCTCAATAAGGTTTTCAGTCAGTATTGAGTGGCAGTGAATTTCACTTTATCCTCTCAAGTGAATGTTTAGGCATGCAGAGAGTCTGTTTCCTGTTTTTTTTAAAATTAATTTATTAAACGAAGACCCAGATACCCATAAGCACTCAGAGTTCTCTGAAGCTGAGGAGGCTTACCCGTCTCTTTGCAGGAGCTCTTATACTCTCCTTTGCACGTATTTTCCCCAGCCTAATGTTTATACTTTGCCTTTTTGATAATGTAATTTTCCATGTAGTTATGAATTTGCATGTGTTAGAGTAGGAGGCCACTGCAAACTCACAGAGTGATGGGCTGAGCAAGTACTGAGGAGTAAGCCAAGATTTTCCCTAAAAATAATTTTAAGTTTATTCCAGTACATGAACAGATGGGTGACCGAGGCCCCCAAAACATGGCCACAAGAATTTTTGTTTGGAACAGTTTCAAAGTGGGTGGTAACAAATGCCCACTATGGCCATAAAAATAAACCTCAGGAAGAGATCCATAGAACATCTAAACTTTGAGCAATGTAACCTCCTACAGAATGCTGTGGAATGAAATTATTACACAATATATCCCTAAGGCCTGAATGAGTCGTAACCACAAGCAGCCATGTATTAGTCCTTACTGGAGGTACCTGTGATCACCGTATGTCCTGGTTTCCTGGATGGTCCTGGATAATGCCTGTTGTCCTAGCATGATTGTCAATACTAACTCCTTTATCGTCAAAAGTATTTTTGCTCCTCTAATGCCTTTCAGTAACATTGGTAATTATAGAAGTTTCCTGAGAATGTTATGTTAACGTAAAATATTTTTCCAGAAATTTTGCCTCCATGCTTATTGGTTCTGCCTTCTGCATTTTTGGGAAAACAAGGATGATCACTAACAAATCCTAAAAATGACCCAAATTTTAATCTTAACCTCATATGGAGCACCTTTATGTGTGTGCGTGTTTGTGTGTGCGTGTGTGTGTGTGTTCAACTAATTGTAAACTTTAGAGTAATTTCTATGTTGTAAAGATCCATTGCCTCATAAAGGTCCTAGAATTGTTCATTTCTCCTTGAAGAATAAATTAAACCAAATAAAGTACTTCCATTGGAAGGCTTATATTGACCTTATAACTATGTGTTAATTCCCTAAATGTTAAATAAAAGGATTAACCTCTGGCACACACACAAGTGTCTTGGCTTGAAAGATGGATGAAATGACCACAGTACCCTTACCTGATTCTTGTTTTTGGAGTCAATACCAAGGGGAAGTCCATACAAGCTGTATGGATTATGTTTAATGATGGACATCAATAAAGTGATCGGCTGGATCATGGATAGAATACTAACCTGAGAAACCAAGGCTTCCAACTTATTGATGAAAACTTGCCACACCTTTGGAAGAATCATTAAATCATTCATAAGAGGGGGTGGTTCTTTAAACAATAAATAGCTTACATTCTGGTCACTACTAGGTCGTTTAAATATATGGGGAAGAATTTGAGGCTGTAATTTGGAGAGTTCCTTGAACAATTCTGAAGGAAAGAAATCTTTCCCCAAGAGCATTATATAGACTGAACTTTTAAAAATAATGAGCTGTACAATATGAGGAAGTAGTATCCTGATACAATTGTAGAGCTGGCTGAGATTCACAAAGTTCAGAGTAATTGACCTTGGTTTGTCCAGCTGGGACAAGTATGTGGCTTAAGGATCAACTTGAAACTGACTTCTTATGACCCCTTTCGCCAAATTTATATCTTCAGTAACTCATTTCACATTAAGCCCTACTGTTGTATCTAGGGGCCTGTGTCAGGCCCTTCCTCATGAATTTATTTGCGCAAGTTCTTTCAAGGCAAAGAGTTTTAAAATCACAGAGACCGTTGTGATTTCAAGTATTATGGCTCTATTTCCTTGTCTAGATACTGATATAACTGTAATTGTGGATGGGTTGAAATGTGAGCCAATGCTTGGGAGTTAAATTGTTCTCATTGGTGGAGAAACCACTTGTAATCACTTTTTAAAAGACCCTTAAGACTCTTCCAATCTTAAGTGGAATTGATTAATCTTTTTGTATGTGTTCCCTGTATCTTTTACGTACATATGTTATTTATCTCTGCCATCATCACATATTAAGGCATTTATTTGGTTATGTGCCCATCTTCCATCAAAGACTCTGAATTCTACAGTGGGAAGGACTGTGCCTTGTTTGCCTTTGCTTTTCCAGTGCCTAGTGCAGAGTTTGTGTTGAATAAATGGAAGAACGTGTTTTATTTATCTGACAATTTTTAAGTAAGAAAATTCTTCCCCCAAAATTCAAAAAATTATGACAGACATCTACCACTCATATTTACTGAATATTAGTTTTTCATATTTGTTTCAGATAATTTTATTTTTAAAGAATTAAAACGTTACAGCTGCAGCTAAGGCCCTCCTCTCCGTCCCATTACTCTGACTCCCTAGAGATAAACATGTCCTGGAGATGCTTGTGCCATTTTTGAGACGTTTTTGCTGCTTCATTCATATGTAACATCATAACATAGTATCATCATAAAAATAGTATTGTTAAAAGTGTTTTCAAATTTTGCACATTATATTATGTAAATCCTTTTACAACTTGCTTTATTAATTTAATATTTTAAAAATATTTATCTGTATTGATAGTTGCAGATCTAGTTCATTCATACTAACATGTGATTCTACCATGGCTTATTTATCTATTTCATTACTGATAGACGTATGAAGTTCGTTTTCAAATTTTCCCATCTATGAACAATCAAGCAGTAAACATTCTGGTATATATCTTGTTGAGTAAATATGTAAGTTTTTCTAAGATATATGAGTCCAGAAAAAGACATTTCTGGACTTTAGGTTAATCATATCTTTAGCTTTCCAATGTGCTATGCCAATTTATACCACCACCATCAGTATATAACCATTCCTATTCCCTCATCTCACTAATACTTGGTGTTAACAGACTAAATTTTTGTCAGCATGACAGGTGTAAAAATATCGCATCATTGTTTTAGTTTGCATTTCACTGAAACAAGTAAGAATGGAACTATTTTCATTTGTTTATTGTATATTCATCTTTCCTCTTCTATAAATTGCCATTCATGACCTTTGGCCACTTTTCTATTGGGTTATTTATCTTTCATTATTGGGTTTTAAGTATTTTTTAATATATATTTGATCGGAGTCCACTGTCAATTACATGAGTTGGAAATATATTTTCCCAGTCTGTAGTTTGTATTTTTAATTTACTACATTTTTCTCAGAGATTTTAATTAGCTAAATTTCCATCTTTTCCTTTATTTTATGATTTTTTTGTACCTTAAGATATCTTTCACCACTTTAAAGGAAAGAGACATTAAATATTGTATTCCAGAACTTTTAAGTTTTGTTTTTCATATTTGTACTTTTAGTAAGCCTGGAACGAATTTTTAGATTGGTAGGAAGTAAGCGTCTAGTTTTATTTTTTCCATGTAGATAGAATGCTTTTGTTACTTGCACTTTCAGTGTCATATCTGGGAATCAGTACACTGCTGAATCCAAGGCCGTGTAGTATCACTCCATTGTTTTCTTAGTGTTAGCTCTTACATGTAGGTCTTTCTTTAGGTGTAGATTTATGACATTTATTCTACAAATGACTGGATATGCTTTATCAATGCGATTTTCTTTTAAGTAGTGTCTGCTATTAAACTATTATACCTTTAATTTTAATGGCAATTTTTTCTCTAAAATTTCTACACACTATTTTAATAGTATATGCTTCCTTAGTTATATTTTTATTCCATCTTTAACATGCTGATTTTATTTTAAATGTCATTATTTTATTTTGTAGCATTTTTTGGATTCATAGATTAGGTCAGCTTCTTGGATTTTCTAATCTTGTTTGTGTTTCTGCAATCTTTCAATAAATGATTTTCTGGAGTAGTTTGTGATTTTTGCACTGCAAATTTTTGAAACTAAGGTTATTACTTTTCATCAGACCCGGAAGGTTCTTGGTTGTACAAGTGTTTGTCTTGTTTAAGTACATATGCTACATATGCAGAGATCCTCACGAGTCAAGGACCATGGTTAAAGAACCAATTTCTTGGTTTTGGGATTCTCGTACCATTTATTATGGTGTCAATTCAGATTTGATACCTTACACATATTTTTTTCATAGGGTCTTGGACATAGATTCATCTCCTTGAGGAATGGGCTTTTTCTAGTCTCCCAAGGGGCCAAGCTTTCCAGGATTCTGCCTTTTGATAGAGAGTATGAGTCCCTGCTTATTTCGTAGCTTTGAGACCATTCTCTTCTTTTTTTGTGTTGTATTAAAACCTTATCTCCTTTCCCCTAGGGCCTATATAATGATCTAATATCCCTCCCAAGCTACCAAAGTTCCCTCTTATCACTTTAAAACTCTGACTTTAAGCTCCTATTCATTTCTAGTGGATGAGGATATTAGGCACTTGTTTAACAGGTTTTTACTGAGTACCTATAATAAGTCAGTATTGTTCTAGGACTTGGGTTATGTCTATGAATAAAGAGATATAGATTTCCATGTTTGTGGAGTTTAGATTCCAGCAGCAGATAGATAAATGTAAACATATAATTAAAACAGTAAAGTATCTGAAATCTTAAAAGATAATAAATGATATGGGAGAGGGATATAGGCATCTCATAAAAGGGTCAAGAATGGAGGAGGAAGGGAAGCAAGCTGGAGTATAAAGTCATGTTTTCAGGGTGAGCTTCATGGAAAGGTGGAATTTGAGCAAAGGCTTAAAAAAAAGAAAGTGTGAGCCAAGCAACTTCCATGGAAAGGGTGTTTCATTGAGGTGAAACAGCAGAGTAAAGACCTGCATGTATGAGGATGCTGCAGGCTTTGTGGGAGTGGCACAGAGGCTGGTGTAACTGGAGCTGATTCGTTTAGAGAAGGAGTCCTGGGGGAGGAGACCAGAGTCGAAGGGAGAGGACAGGTCCTGTACAGCTTGAAAGTCATTGTAAGGATTTTGGCTTTTAGTCTGTGCTTTGAAGAGAGCAGTGACCTGATCTGACATGTTCTAAAAGATCGCATTGGTTGGCTGGGCCTGGTGGCTCATGCCTGTAATCTCAGCACTTTGGGAGGCCAAGGCAGGCAGATTACTTGAGGTGAGGAATTTGAGACCAACCTGGCCAACATGGTGAAACCCTGTCTTTACTAAAAATACAAAAATCAGCCAGGTGTGGTGGTGCACACCTGTAGTCCCACCTACTCAGGAGGCTGAGGCTGGAGAATCACTTGAGCCCGGGAGGCAGAGGTTGCAGTGAGCTGAGATCACACCACTGTACTCCAGCCTGGGTGACAGAGTGAGACTGTCTCAAAAAAAAAGATCTTGTTGGCTATATGTTGATAGCTATGTTTAGCTATAGGTAGATTGTAGGGGACGTGGTAGGGATAGGGAGATATATTGAGAGGGTACTGCAGGAATCCAGGAGCAGGGATGACAGAACCTGACAGGTGTGGTAGCCGTAGAGGGGGCAGGAAGGTACAGCCAGCACTGGTTCCCGATGGATTGGCTATGACAGAAACATAAAGACAACGTTTTGTTCCTTCCTTTCAGCTCGCTAAGTATGTATCATATTTATTATTTTCTTAAATCTAACATTTCTATTTGATCTTAAGGGGAGGGTAGGTCATGTTACTTCATCTTACCTTTTTCTGGGAATGGAAGCCAATGACATATTTTAAAATGTCATCTTCTGTTTAAATACATCTTTGAAATTTTTGTCATGGTACATGCTTAGAAGTTTTAGGAAGTTCAAGCTCTTGAAAGAAAATCAGAGAGACAAATTGCCTGAGCCTGGGGAGGAGCTGCTAAGAGTGTACTCTGTGCAGATGGCTCAAAACAACAGCAGGGGGCTGTGTGTGCAGGGGATTCTTAGGATCCCATAACTCCTCCTGCAAAGAAATAAATATCTATCTGGAAAAATGTGCAAGCAGGGTTTTCATCTCAACAACTGGCACAATGTGGATATAGGGCTTTCCTTTTTCTTTTGTTTTCTTCCAATGAAAGAAAAAAAGTTCAGAGCACTTAAAAAGGTTTCTTTTCCCCATGAGGTAACAGCGTTCTTCCACCTGAGAAAAACCCTCAAATATTCCAAGGTGATGAGGGTTTTTCATATTGATTGTGGTGTAATCTCTTGGTAAACAGAGAAAGCTGAGTGGTTTAGATCAAGAAACCATAACTAAGGCACCACCCAGTGTGGAAAAAATAATCAAAATCTTTTGTAGTATTTATCTGGAACAATGCAAGAAGATTCATACTCACAATCTAAGGTGAATATAGCAAGATGATTACTCATTATGCCCAAGCTATCCATTCCTGTTTGCTTGAAAAAGCCATTTCCAGTTTTTGGCCGAAAAAAAGTAAGCGGGGTAAAATTATGAGCACCACAGCAGGTAGACAGCTTCTATTAATGTCTGTGAGCAGTATGTGGTGACCACTCTTGCCCTGTGGACAGGCAGTAAAGACCTATTCTGTTTCCTGTGGTTCCTAAGGTTTATCCTCCAGTACCCAATGTCTGCTTCCCTATTGCACTTGAAATGGAAAGGGATCCAGGCAAGGGACCTCTTTTTCCAGAGTGTTGCTTATTGCAAAGGAATAACAAGAAGTATAACATTTACCAAAAAGATTCACTCTTCTCAAATGCTTGAGATTCACTAAAACCTATTGTTTATTTAAAGAAATACTTTGATCTCTATAGGATCTATAAATAACCTTTAATATCTTTTATTTTCCCTTAAAGACAGTATTCTCAAACTTTAGTTCTAATTAATTAGGTTTGGGATGGGATCCCGGATTTGTATTTCTAACAAGCTCCTGGTTTGTGCTTGTCTTTGAACTAATCTCTGACTGTCTCAAGGCAATGGTTTTTGAGCTTGACTATACCTTCAATTCCATGTAGGGCTTTCAGAAATCCCAAATAACTAAAACTGCCTTTGCAAAAATTATCACAGCGAGAAAATTATGGCAGTGAAAGAGATCTGACCTAACTAACTCCATCTTATCTTTAACCTCCAAACTGCCTGTATTAGTCCATTTTCATGCTGCTGGTAAAGACATACCTGAGACTGTAATTTATAAAGAAAAAGAGGTTTGATGAACTCACAGTTCCATGTAACTGGGGAGGCCTCACAATCATGGCGGAAGGCAAAAGGCACATCTTACGTGGTGGCAGGCAAGAGAGAAAACGAGAGCCAAGCGAAAGGGGTTTCCCCTTGTAAAACCATCAGCTCTCATGAAACTTGTTCACTACCACAAGGACAGTATGGGGGGAACTGCCCCCATGATTCAATTATCTCCCACTGGGTCCCTCCCACAACACATGGGAGTTATGGGAGCTACAATTCAAGATGAGATTTGAGTGGGGACACAGCGAAATCATATCACTGCCCTTGGTCATTCCTGGATGTGGGCCAAGCTAACTTAGGGGAAAATTTAGTTTATAGTTTAAGTGATAATTGCCCTTCCCCAAACTAAACCGGCTTTATAAAATTAATGAAAGGTTACCAGGTTAAAATGAGAGGGGTCTGAATTCTGCAAAGTGGTAGGTTAAACAATTACCAGCTGTTGTTCCATGGGTCTCAAGATTTACAACTTCCCCAATTACTCCTGTAAATAAAACCATTAGTAGAAAACTTAAGATTGGCCTTTTAAGATGTCTTTTCAGACTTTCACATTATCGACTACTGAATGACTCCACCTGGACCAGTGATTCTTCTGTGACTCCCACCCAGAAGCGGACTCAGTGCACGAGGACTATTTTCCACATCCCTACAATTGCGTCCCCAACCAATCAGCAGCATCATTTCCCCTGCCTCCTGCCTGTCAAACTACCCTTGAAAACCCTAGTCTCTGAATTTTCAAGGAGGCTGATTTGAGTAATAATAAAACTCTGATCTCTCTCCCATTTAGCTGGCTTTATGTGTATTAAACTCTTTATTGCAATACCCCTGTTTTGAGAAATCAGCTCTATCTGGGCAGTGAGCAGGAAGAACCTACTGGGCAGTTGCATAACTGACTGCACCCCAGACCAATTGAATCAGAATTCTGAGTGTGGGACCTGGCATCTGAATTTTTAAAGCTTCCCATGTGATTCCAACATGCCACTAGAACCTTCGCAATTAGGTCTTGGCAGCTCAATGCATTTGACAGAATTGCTGTGGATAAACTGTGTGCTCTTGGGCTAGTTTTCACTAAATCTCAATGAACTCTCTGGATGCAAAGCTTTGCTGTGCGAAGTGAGAAATATAACACTATGCAAATATAGGACTCTTACCTAACTTTGCAATAGACATTTTGATGCAGATGGGTTTAATAAAGACTATAAATTTCTCCATGTGCAAGCCTCTTAGTGCAAACCTAAACATTAATTATTGGAGCTGAATTATGTATATTGACATAATAAAGAGGGAAAAATACTTTCATTTTCAAACTGTATTTTTGGGTTATAAAACATTATTGTATAATCCAGGACCTGAAATTTCAATTTTTGGAAATTTTTAGACTATTTTACAGAGAACCAGGTTAGTTTGGGCAAACTGATAACTTGATTTTTTTTTTAAGCATAAGCGTTATGTTTCTATCTCTTTTTCCTCTTCGATACGACCAGAAGTTTTGTTATCAAAAATGCACCTTTGACATTGGCAGACAATTGTTTATAAAATTATAAAGAAAAAAATAGTGAGATGAAACAATTGAAGCATTAAAGACTATTCTGAGCATAATTTGGCAAGGGCTTATACATTTTTTGATGACACAGGACTTGGGTTTTGAAGATGGCTTATATTTATTCACTTGCTGTGTGACCTTGGATAATTCACTTAAACTTTTTAATGCTGAGTTTTTTGATCTCCAAATCAAGGTTAATGACATCTCTTGTGGGGACCACTGTGAGAATAAAACAAGGTAATTATATGAAAATGTTTGCTAAGTTGCAAAGTACTATAAAAATATCAGTATATCGTGTTCAGAATCAACCACATTAGTAAGATTGTTTATTTCTCAGTAATGTTAATAAAATTCACTGATTACTCACTAGACTACAAGACTCCTGAGGACAGAGGTGGTATTTTATTTTGTTTTATTTTTAATTTTTATTTATTTATTTATTTATTTATTTTTTTTTGAGACGGAGTCTCGCTCTGTCGCCCAGGCTGGAGTGCAGTGGCGCGATCTCGGCTCACTGCAAGGTCTGCTTCCCGGGTTCACGCCATTCTCCTGCCTCAGCCTCCCGAGTAGCTGGGACTACAGGCGCCCGCCACCGCGCCCGGCTAATTTTTTGTATTTTTAGTAGAGACGGGGTTTCACCTTGTTAGCCAGGATGGTCTCGATCTCCTGACCTCATGATCCACCCGCCTCGGCCTCCCAAAGTGCTGGGATTACAGGCGTGAGCCACCGCGCCCGGCATTTATTTATTTTTTGAGATGGAGTCTTGCTCTGTTGCCCAGGCTGGAGTGCAATGGCGTGATCTCAGATCACTGCAACCTCCGCCTCCCAGGTTCAAACGATTCTCCTGCCTCAGCCTCCCGAGTAGCTGGGATTATACAGGCGCCCGCCACCATGCCCGGCTAATTTTTGTATTTTTTTTTAGTAGAGAGGGGGTTTCACCATGTTGGCCAGGCTGGTCTCGAACTCCTGACCTCAGATGTTCTGCCCTCCTCGGCCTCCCAAAGTGCTGGGATTACAGGCGTGAGCCACCACGCCAGGCCCAGGGGTGGTATTTTATTTATATTAATATGCTTACCTCATAGCACAGAGCTTGGGACACAGAAGAAGCTCAGTCAATGATTGCTGAATAAGTTACCATCTAGACATTTTAGTGCGGTGTTCTCTAAGACAAGTAGCACAGCTTTATGTGAAAATCAGGTAGTAAGCTGGGAAGCAGGGCATCTCTTGTGTGTGACTATAATTGTTCTCTGGGGATGCAAGTTCTGCATTTCCCTCATTAGTACAAGAACCTAACCTCTTCCGTTAATGGGCTCAGACACAAATCTACACATAGGTAAGGCTACCTCTGTCCCTTTTGTGCTGTGAAGACTTCTAATTTAAGAAACAAATGGCCAGTAGAGAAAAATAACAGTTATTATGTTATCTGAGGGATTGGCAGTTGATAGGTTTCATTTTTCCCGTGACCTAAATTGCTCTTCTGGAATAAATCAAGTCACTGGGTAGTGAGTTTCTAATCTTTTTAGGCTACATGACTGAAAGAATGCACAGAATGAACATCTAATAATTCAAAGAATTATTGATTCTTTGTAAAACTCTCATTTTCTACGACCCCTGAGAAATATTCAGGAATTGAAGAGATCCTGGATCATTATCATGTTGGGTATTTATCTTTGCTTTGGTACTGAAAGAAAAAGCGTGTGTGCGTGGGGGTGCAGGAGATGGAGTCAATTCAGATATGTTCAGGCAGATACGAGGGTGGGTAGGAGAGGGTGATAGGTCAATTTATCCTATTAGGAATAAGGGATCTTAAGAGGAAATGTCATGCCTAAGGAAAGTAATTTAAGCGAGTGGAATTTGGGTCTAAGAACAATTTATTGATCCTTTGAGGGGATGGGAAATTTCTTGCTTGGTCCATTTTTACCTGGTTTTCCTAGTCTAGGCCTGCTATGGAGTAAATAGTGCACCCCTTTCTTCATTCATATGTTGATGCCTGACGTTCAATGTGACCGAATTTGGAAATAGGGCATTTAAGGAGGTATTAAGTGAGGTTAGAAGAGGGTCCAAAGAGACTGATGTCTTCATAAGAAGAGGGAGAGACACCAGAGCTGTCTCACTGTGTGTTCTCACACACACACACAAGTCCATGTGAGGATACAGCCAGGAGGTGCTGTCTGCAAGCTGAGAGAGGCCTCACCAGAAACCAAACCTGCTGACACCTTGATCTTGCACTTTCTAGCTTTCAGAATTGTGACAAGATAAATTTGTGTTGTTTAAGCCACCCGGTCTGTGAGATTTGGTTATGGCAGCCCTAGCCGACTAACACAAGACCATATGGATCTTACAGCACTTTGGGAGGCTGAGGCGGGCAGATCACTTGAGGTCAGGAGTTTGAGACCAGCCTGGCCAACATGGCGAATTCCCGTCTCTATGAAAAATACAAAAATTAGCTGGGCCTGGTTGTGTGTGCCTGTAATCCCAGCTACTGGGGAGGGTGAGAAAGAAGAATCAGTTGAACCAAGGAGACAGAGATTGCAGTGAGCCGAGATTGCACTACTGCACTCTAGCCCAGGCAACACAGTGAGACTCCATCTCAGAAATTCAAAAAAAAAAAAAAAAAAAAAAAAAAGGCTGTATGGGTTTTTGATTGAATGCTAGAGAAAAAGGAGTTATAAAAGAAAAGAGCTATATTTCCAAAATCTTTAATAGATGCTAACAGAGAGTAGCACAAACATAGGAATGTGAAGAATTGCTCACTTTCTAGACAGAGCAGCTTTAGAACCAAAAATGACCCCCGTGGCATTAGTAGGAGAGAATACCAGCAGTGGCCCCAGGAAGCAGCCTGGCATTGTGTCTTGGCACATGAGAATCACCTCATTGCAGTATAGCTTAGCATGGCACATCTTCCTTGGGCAAAAGCTGATGATCAAGCAGAACCAGTGGGGTGGCTGCAGCAGGGGAAGGCTTGCTTGTCACTATCAGACAGAAACCCAAATCCAAAAGGGAGAGGAGAATATGAGTAATTGAGAATTAATTACTCTTCCTGAATATATATGAGACATTTCCTCCAAACTCCCTAAAATAACTGGAAGATAAAGAAACTTTGAAATGATTTAGATTCTCTGTAATAGTGGGTGTGAGACTATTTCATTAGCTTGATGAAACAATCTCACAGCACATGCAAAATGACAATATTAACATTAACGATGTAGAAATAGGGATCAGACAGAAACTAACCTCTGTAGAGCACCTGTGAAATGCTAGACAGTGGGCTGTTATCTGAATTATATCTCATTCTCTGCATAACAACTCTGTAAGCTGGTTCTATTGCTCCTATTTTTTAAATGAGAAAATTGGGTCTCAGAGAGGTTATGGGATTTGCACAGGGTCACATAGTTAGCGCTTTTGGAAACTGGAATATAAAATAGATATGCTGGCTCCAAAGTATACATTTAATACACTACCATCCATGGCTTGATAACAATTTTGAGCACTTTTCTGTTGTGTATGGAGGAGGAAATATCAATAATGGTTTTAAAGCAATATAAAGATACCACACTTCCCATGTCCCATGTCTCCCAAACAATGGAAGGAAACAGTTTGGGTACTTATAGTCCCACTGAACAGGTATATGAACATCATTATTATTCCTTCTGTCTTGGCATGATTGAGCATCTACTGTGTTCTGGACACTGAGGATATAATGATAAACAAAACTTAGAGAATCTTTTCCTAATAGAGCTTAGAAGTATTGAGCAAATTACGATGTCAATAAAATATACAATTAAGCATGGTGATCATTGTTCTTCAAAAAGGTCATTGGAGGCATGAAAGGATAACAGAGATGAGATTTAGATGGACACTAAGGGAAGGCGTCTAGATAATTTTGATATCGGAGCCAAACCCTGATGGATGGATGGGATTGATTAGGCAAAGCTTGGGGAAACTCTGCCACAGGTGGACAGAGGGAAGAACCCAGGAGAAAGCACAAGGAGGGAACAGGTTGGACTTGTTTCAGAACCAGCATGCAGGTCAGTGTGGCTGGAGTTTAGAGAGCACGGAGGAAAGATGAGGGTCTAGATGGAGGCAGGAGCCATGTTATTTGGGGCTATAGAAGCCCATGTTAAGGATTTCATATTTCTTTTTAAATGAAATGGAAGACCTTGAAAGAGGTAGCTGTAAGCTATGATCACTTTGTATTTTATATGGAAAATAAATTGAAGAGGGCAGGAGAACAACTGGGTGACAAGTAAGAGAAGAGAAATTGGAAAGGAAGACTGAGAAGGGGGACCAGAAAGGGAAGAAGATAACACAAGCTATAGAAGTTGACTCCTGAAAAAAGCGGGAATACTCTGCTAAAAGGAAGGAGGAAGGACAGGAAGGTGAAAGAGTCTGAAATGCTCCAGGCCATCTGAACTGGGCAGAGAGACATGAAGACTGGAGGGCCTGGGGAGAGACAGTGAAGATTCCGTGTGGCTGAGGCTGCTGAAGTAGAGGCACTCGGGCAAAAGAGGCAGGAAAAAGGGGGTTAGGGTCAGATTTTAAATTTCTGAAGGGTTTGGTTGTGCTGTCTTCATGTTGTGATTTTAGCAGTGGGTTGCTGAGGAGAAGCTAAAGAAAGTAGGAGGTGGAGCTATAGAAAATATAATTGAATGTTGGTGGGAGTGTAAATTAGTTCAACCATTGTGAAAAGCAGGGTGGTGATTCCTCAAAGAACTTAAAGCAAGATTACCATGCAATCCAGCGATCCTATTACTAGTTATATACTGAAATGAATATAAATCATTTTACCATAAAGACACATGCATGTGTATGTTCATTGCAGCAGTATTCACTATTCACAATAGCAAAGACATGGAATCAACCTGAATTCCCATCAACAGTAGACTGGATAATGAAAATGTGGTACGTATACACCCCAGAATACTATGCAGCCTTAAAAAAGAATTAGATCATTCCTTCACAGCAACATGGATGGAGCTGGAGGCCATTATCCTAAGCAAACTAACACAGGAGCATAAAACCAAATACTGTGTATTCCTACTTAAGAGTGGGAGCTAAACAGTGAGAACACATGAATATTAGGAGAGCAGCAACAGACACTGATGCCTACCTGAGAGTAGAAGGTGGGAGGAGGGAGAGGATCAGAAAAAATACCTATCAGATACTGTGCTTATTACTAGAGTGATGAAATTATCTGTAAACCAAACCCTGTGACATGCAATTTATCTTTATAACAAACTTGCCCATGTACCCCCAAAACTAAAATAAAAGTTAAAAAACACAAAGAAAATATAATTGGAAATAAAAAGGTCAAAGAATTGAGGTAAGGGCTTTTCATACAATGTCATCTGTGTAGGCACTACGTTGTCTGGGATGATGGAAGGAGCTAAAGTCTTCAGTGAATGAAGGAGCAGGACCAGGAGCTCAAAATACTTCTTTGAAGACAAAGAAGAAATGATATTACCAAATGGTTGGCTCAAAAGAACAGGGATTTTGCAACAGAGAGAGTATGTCATGGTCTTGAACAAGCAATGGTGAGTAAAGGAGACACCGAATCTTCTCTTGGTCATGAATATGTTGGGATATAGAAGAGAAGATAGCCTTCATTTCAGAGGGTCTAGGGGAAGCAGGGTACTCAGGGGACAGCTAAGACTTGATTAAACCAAGTATTGATTAAGGCAAGATAGTGAAGAAGAAGAAGTCAAAGATGTAGAGGAGATTTTTGATTACACTTTAAATTGAATATCAGAAGGGGAGAGCATCTTGGATGGAGGAATAGAGAGGATGCACAGAATTACAGTGGGTGTAGAATTGAGTGGTGGTAAGAGCTAAGAATGAAGGGTCCCTTGGTGAGTGAGTGCGTGAATAATTGTTCAATGCTCTGCGCTGGGTTGCCAAAGTTTGAGTTAGTACGCCTCTTGGCTCTAGTCATATCCCCAGTTGCCTCCAGTAGGCCTGCCATTTGTTTGGGAGCTTGAGAAGTCAGTGAGGGCTGCTTTGGGTAGTCCTCTATGTTTTGAAAAATAACTTAAATCCCTCCCCTTGGACCAAGTAAAGAGACTGCATTCTATTAAATTTTCATCATAAGGGAAACAGATCAACGCACAACTAACACTATTCTTTTCAGAGTGCTTATAGTAACAAAACAAAATAAAACAAAACAAAACAACTTTTTAAATGGTAAGATAAAGCACTAGATAACTGAACACATAGAGACATGGCGAGTCCTCAGTTTCAGTTCTCAAGTTTATTCTACTAGTTCTTCTGTATTGTAATTGTAGAACATTTTGTTTCAGCGTGGGAGACAGCTATTACTGTCATCCCAACAGCATAAAAAGTAGATTCCATAAGCTGCTATATATACATACTTCATTTAATTCAAAAGGAGTGTCATCCTTTAGGAAATAATTTTCAGGGATGATTAGAAAACAGTCCCAAGGATACATAAGAACATGTCTAAATAAACTTCAGAGTAATTCAATGAACATTTTGCTGTTGTGAACATTTTCTCATGAGCTGTTCTTTCATTGTATAACATAAAGAAGTTACATGGAAAAAAGGAAATGCAATGTTCAAGGCAAAATAAAATTTACCTTATCCATCACCATACCACCTTGCAGGAGGAAGAGAATTCCAAATACTTTAGCATAATGGGACAGAGGTGAGAGAGTGCATGGTATATTCAATGGACTAGATGTCATTTGGTAGAATGACAATGAAAGTTCCAATTAAAAGACAAAGGTGGGTAAGAGATTAGGCTGGATAATTAGGAGAGTGTAAATGATGAAGGCAATAAGATATTTCTTGCTGAGAAGTTTAGACTTATTATGAGGTTAATGAGGTACAACTGATAGCTACTAGACAGAGGAGGAGCACGACCAGAAATATATCTTTAAAAGATGTTTAGTAGCTGTGTGGAAGGTAGATTGGATGAAACAGATATGGGAGAAGATCAAGTAAGATGTAGTAATTGAAGGGATAAATGATGATGGCTTAAACAAATCAAGGGTGGTGGGGGACCGACGGAAACTTGAGAGAGATTAGGTAGCCAGAGCGAGTGAGACAGGATGGTCCCACCACTTGTCCAGAAACCAGGGACTCAAGTCAAATGCCGAAGTTTATCATTGAGTCTTTCTGCCTTCTTTTTATCTTTTATCTTTTCATCTTTTATCTTTCTAGGACTCCCCTCTTTTTTTGACCGAAGCCTGAATATAATATCCTGATGGTTTTTGTATTTTTCTAGCAATGTGTTCCTTTGCTTCTCCTGTACACCTTTGAACACCATGGCTATTCCCATTGATTTAAAAGAGTACGACACTGGGCAGGATTTGTGAGGCCTAGAGTTCCGTCCTTGCTTGAAGTTGGGGTGAGATGTTTCTGACTTTGATGAAATTTTATGTAACATCCCTGGGAAAGCCTATAAGGGCTTAATCTATACTTTTGAGCTCCAGAGTGTGAAGGAAAGGATAATGATACCAAGCACCTTTACTATTGCAATATATTTTCTCACTTGGTCTTGAGTTGTCACAACAGTCCTATGAAATAACTACTATGACAAACCGCGTTGTACAAGTGAGGCTATTGAGGCACAGAGAGGTTATGTAACTATAAGATCACCAGGGAGTAAGTGGCAACTTGTCTAAGGCAAGCTCATAGGTGGCAGAGTCAGGATTTGAACCCAGGCTGTGTGGCTGTAGGCTGTTAACTGCTACTGCTACTCTCTGCCACTTCTCAGCACTTGGGGCCTACTAGAGTAGCCAGGGAGGTTGAATTTCTTGTGCCACAGAAATTCCCTTGATGTTCATCTACTAGTCAGAGATGAGGGCAGTATTTCTACGTCAGGGCTTCTGCAGATTGATAGTGTTCTTCTTGTCATCACAGGGGAGAGAAAAGTTTAGGGTTGGTGCGAGGGAAGTGCTGTTTTCTAGGATTAGCTTTGTTTTTTATTTTTAATTTAAAATTTTTAATTTCTGTACGTACATAGTAGGTGTATATATTTATGGGGTACATGAAATGTTTTGATACAGGCATGCAATGCATAATAGTCACATCATGGAGAACGGGGCATCCATCCCCTCAAGCATTTATCCTTTGTGTTACAAACAATCCATTTATACTTTTTTAGTTACTTCAAAATGCACAATTAAGTTCTTATTGACTGCAGTCACACTGTTGTGCTGTGAAGTAGTAGGTCTTGTGGTTGCCTTTGTTATCCGTGTTCCCATGCCTCAAATCCTCTAAGGTTGCCATTTGTGGTACCCATTTCAGATACGTTCCCCAACATTGTTGATGATGATAAAGCAATGGATAGATCCAATAGTCTAAAGTTGTCACAAGAAAGGGATGGTGATAAGGGGATGGGGGAGTGAGACTATCATATCACATCTATCTATCTGTCTGTCTATCTGTCTGTCTGTCTGTCTATCCATCCATCTATCTATCTATCTATCTATCTATCTATCTATCTATCTATCTACCTATCTATCTATCATCTATTTGTCTACCTACCTATCATCTAATCTACCATCTATCCATCCATCTGTCTTCTAACTATGTATCTCTATCTATAGTTCCTGGCTTCTATGTATCATGTTCTTTACTTGACCCTTTCACGGAATTAGATCATTTCATTCTTAAAGACTGTATGTAATACCCCTATTTTACAGATGAAGAAATTGAGCCTAAGAAATAGTACATCTTTTTCAGACCTGAAGTCAGAGTTTGTAGTCAAATTAGTCTGACTCCAAAGTATGTAGTCTTTCCCTTTACCACACAGCTCTTAGGCTGGGTCTTTTAGTTTTTGGCCAGATGTCTACTTGTTAGACCAGATTATTGCTGTTTTAAGATTTTTCCAGATCATCTCTGTAATGATCTCAATAGAACATTTGCAAATTAACCTCTGTCTTTCTCAATACTGGTTGTGTGAAATGTAATACATTAAAAAGAAAATCTATTCTGTGTAGGCAAATAAAGGTGTAAAACTTGAAGGGGATGCTAAAGATAAATTTTGCTTTTGTTTTAGATGAACTGTGTAATCAAATGCCATTTGTCTTATTCTGTGGGAGTTTTGAGAAAAGCAGTGCAGAGAAGACCGGAGAAGCCATGCCTGTTTTTCCATATACAACATAATTAGCATATTAAAATAATTTTAATGATAATATGCTTACTCTATAATCAATTAAAGTTCCATTCTAGGGACTTACCCTATTAGGCCAGTGCTTAGCTTTATTATGTAGAAGGAACAAGCTAGGTAAGGTATCTCACCAATTTTTGCCTCATGTATTTGTTCTTTACCTGATGTATCTCTCAGAATATCTGGTTACTGTGGCAACAGAACATATCAAAATTTCATCTAGGTAAATAGATGCAAAGGAATTACTTATTTTAATATGCATATTTTTTCCTTCAAAGTCTGTTTTCTACTCAAGCTGATTAACTAACTTTGCCCATAAAAATTAACTGATTTTGCCCATAAAAACCAAGATAGGTTGTATTGTCTTTACTCACGGTGCCAAGAAGTGTAAATTATGTTGCCAGAAATAAATCACAACACAAAAATGAATGAACTCAATAGCAATCAGCATCATATATAATAGGACCCAAATGAACTGTTTGTTCATTTCCTACCACTTTGATTCCATGGATCTTAGTTGGGGGGACTGAGTTCTTGAGAAGAATACTCTTTAAAGAAGGATTTCCACAGGTTATTGGCTAAAAAAGCAGGGGCTCATGTAAACGATGCTTTTTTCTTTTTCTTTTTCTTTTTTTGGAGGGAGGAGAGAATGAATTTCCCAAAAGTTCCATCCAGGATTTATCATGCACTTTCTTTTTAATAATAGAGGAACTTAATGTCATTAACAGCTATGACCTGTAAATTTTGTTTGAGACTACTGCATTTGCTGAAATTAAATTTTTACTTCCAAATGTGTAAACACATCTCAGCTAGGGCTTTTATATAATCGTACTCTTGCTCTGCTTGCTTACTGGTATTTATGACTGCTTGCTTCTGTTAATTGGCTAATGTTTGTAAAGTGCCTTTGAGATGAAAAGCTAATGATCTCTGTAGGGAGGAGGGTGTGGGTGGCTTCCCAACAGCTCCCTAAGGGTGTCTCTTGGGGCTTTGACTGCCAAGGCTTGCTTGTGGGCTCAGGGATAATGAGGAATCCCTTAAGACTTCAATGTCCCTGGTTCTCGAAGTCTTTTCCATTTGGTTCTCCTGGCTTTTACAAAGTCACTCCTTGGAGGAAGTAAAAATCATCATTCCTGCAAAGCTCTAAGACTTTTTTTACCCACTTACCACTAGAGTTTGCTCTAACGCAGTAGGACAGCATCTCTTTGCTATTACAAAAGAACTAATAGTAATAGAAACACATAAACAAGTCCAAAAGATGTTGCTCTTCTTATTAGAGACATATGTTTTATTATTTTATCTTTTTTTTCTGTCGAATCAGGTTAAAGGGAGCTATGTTTTTATTTATTTATTTTTGTGTTTTGAAAGGTAGGACATACTTTTGTTAAAAGAGGTTGACTAAGAAAACTGTAATTGCAAACCAATAAAATTTTCACCCATTTATACAACAAACATATATTAGAAGGGAAAATAATTTTTTTTTAAAAAAAGTAATGTATTATCATTTAGATAAAGCTACTGATTTTTTTTGTCACTGTATAGAAATGATATTTAGAATTTTCATGCATTACATGATTCCCATGCTGGGATTTTTTGGTTTTTAAATAATATTAAATAATACTACCGGTGTCTTTGTTGGCCTACATGCTGCTTTTGCTAACATCTTATTTTTTTTGCATTTCCTGCATCTCTACATTAGCATTGCACAGTCACATCCCTGGTCACTGGTCTGGGATACAGCCCCTTGGGGACTCCCTCCCGGGGTTTGTACAGTCAGTTCTGTAGAGGAACGTGGTGTCCAAAGGGACCACACCACTGCCTGGATTCTCCCATGGAGACCAAAGATTTTCCAGCTATTTATTTTTCATCAGCTGGTAATTGCTGGACTACTTAGAATGAGTTTCAGAAGCATCATTAAAGATACAGAAAAGCTCAGTTCAAAGACATTCCTTACATCAATTTTCACAATCAAGAAAAGTTAGAAAAAGCTGAATGCCCCAAAATAGACTGGCTGAATAAATGATGGTGCGACCACTTAATGGGCTATCATGCCATCATTAGGACAACATGAGGAATGCTTATGCTTATGCTATGATGTAAAGTAAACAAAAGACAATAGAAAAGTGATAATAAAGTATATTCTTAACAATATAAAATATGCATAGAAGCTGCCTGTAAGGGCACGGTGGCTCACGCCTGTAATCCCAAGGACCTTGGGAGGCTAGGGAGGGTGGATCACTTGAGATCAGGAGTTTGAGATCAGCTGGGCAACATGGTGAAACCCCATCTCTACTAAAAATGAAAAAATGGGCCGGGTGTGATGTAGTCCTAGCTACTCCGGAGGCTGAGGCAGGAGAAGCACTTGAACCTGGGCGGTGGACGTTGCAGTGAGCCAAGATCACATCACCGAAATCCACCTGGATGACAGAACAAGGTTTCAAAAAAAAAAAAAAATTGTAAGGAAATATAATAAAACATTAAGATTGATCATTTTCTTCTTAATCATTGTTTCATATGCTTTGAAATTTTACGATGAGCAAGTGTTTTTCCTTTTTAGTAATTTTCCTTTTAAAATAATTACATAAAACATACAAAAACTACAGAGAATGATATAAAATAACAGATATCTTTGTATTCATATGAGATCTTGCATGATTTTGTCTCATTTGCTTAGATATTTTCAGTTATTTTTTTGAGATAAAGTGTTTGATTTCTCTGTCTTTCTTCCTGGAAGTAATCACTATTCTGAGGTTTATGAGTTTTATGTTTTTGTTACATGTGTAAGCTTTCATAAGTGTTGTATAATATTGTTATGTGTATTTTAAGCTTATACATAACAATTGTTGTTCTACATGTCATTTTACAATTTACTTTGTTTAGTCAACCTTTACCTTTAAGATTTATTCATGATGCTGTATGTAGAGCTACTTCACTTTCAAATGCTCATATATAATCCCATTGATCCGTTTATCAAAATACAACCATTTATCCATTCATTCTCCCAGTAGGATACACTTCAAAGTTATTTTAGACTTTTTGCTCTTGTAAAATGTTGCATTTAATATTCTTATGAGTCTTCTCTACACATATTTGAGTTTCTCTAAATGTACCTAGAAGTAGCATTACTAGTTTGAAAATATCCATATCTTAACTCTACTAGATTTTACTAAATTATTTTCCAGTTTATACTCCCAATAGCAGAATACATGAATTACTATTTCCCTACATTCTTGTCAACTCTTGAAATTAGACTTTTAAATATTGGCTAAGTGGCTAAATATGAAAGGACATCTCGTATGGGTTTTTATGTACTTTTCCCTGTTAATTAGCTTTTAGGCTCCACTTTGATGTGAATTGCCTGTTTCTTTGCCTATTATTCTGTTAGGTCATTTTTCCTTTTCCTACTGGTTTTTTAAGCATTTATGATATAGTTGAGATACTAATTCTTTGTCAGTTTTATGCATGGCAAATATTTTCTTCTGGTATGTAGATTGTCTCTGTATTTTAAGAGTTCCTTTAATGAATAGATGTTTTAACTTTTAATGTAGCAAAATTTATTAAAATTTTCTTTACAAGGTTTTTTTGTTTCTTATTGAAGATATATTTTGCTTACCTGAGGTCATAAATACATTTACTACTTTCTTCTAAAACAATTGTTTTTGCATGCTGTGTGATGTAGAAAGCTAAGTTAATTTATTCCTGTGTAGCTAACCATCATCCTGGCACCACTTCTTATTAAATAGTCCATTGTGACCACACTGATTTGTAATGTTGTCTTCAATTTATGACAACTTTTCAAATGTGAGAGATGGTTTGGTTCTGAACCCTTATCTTTAATTTGTCTATTTGGTTGTTGTTGTTCTATTACAACACTATCACAATCACTACAGCCTTACAACATGCTGGTATTTGCTAGAGCAGATCGGTCTATCTTATTTTCCTTTTTAATAATTGTCTTGCCTGTGCTGGACAGTTTATTCTTCCACATATATTTCATTATCATCTTGTAAAGTTATTTAAACAATGCTTTTGGAATTTTGATTGGATTTTGGTGATATTTAGAGATTAATTGGGGAAGGATGATATAGTTACTATATTGAGTTTTTCTATCTAGGAACAGTTCATTTCATCACTTAGGTCTCGCGTATCTTTAACATTTTATAATTCTTTGTATATTTTTATTAGATTTCTTCCCTATTATTATGTGTGTGTATGTGTATAATATTGTTACACGACTACATTTCTTAAATTAAAGTGTCTGGTCTATAGGAACTCTGTTGATTTTTCTGTATTAATGTTGTTTTCATCAACCTTGTTGACATCTTTTATTAGTTATGAGTTTATCTATAGATTCTTTTGAGTTTCCTATGTAGAAAACCATGACTTTTACAATAACAAATGTATTTCTTTTTATCCACTATATTTTGATTCTCTTTTTCTTGTGTATTGAGCTAACAGAGACTGGCATCTACACAATGCATTCTTCTTTCTTAAAAATAGAAACACGATGTGCCCAGCTAAAAAAACTACATTTTGCAGCCTCTCATATAGGGATGACAACTGAGATGTATATAGAAGTAGGTGGGTTGGACTTTCAAGAAAGTTCTTTAAGGGGAAAGATAACTCCAATGATAAGTGCATCCTTTTGCCTTTTTTTCTGTCTTCCTTTCTGAATCTTGGATCAATGGATGTGATGTTTGGAGCTCCAGCCCCCATTTTGGCATCATGAAATTCCCCTGAGAATGCAAGCAAATGTTGAGAATGGTGGAACAGAAAGGAAGAAGAACTTGGGCCCTGATATATTTATGGAGCTGAAATTTTAGGTCAGCACTGACATCAGAATTTCTTTTAGGCAAGAAAACTAACTTCCACCTTGTTTAAGGCACTATTGGTAATGTTTTCTGTAACACACAGCCAAATTTAATCATAAATGTACATAGTGCTGTGTTTCCAGTAGCATTTTTAATTAAAAAAGTGATAGAGGGTATGGTCTTTTTCTCAAATTTGGGAGAAAATGCTTCCAGTTTTCACTATAAAGTTTGCTGTTTGCTGTAAGTTTTTTGTAGAAATCTTTTTTCATCATATGTTTTCTTTCTTTTCCTAGTTATCTGAATTTTATCAGGAATGCTTGTGGAATTTTATCAAATGCTTTTTCTGAATCAAATTTTTTTCTGTATTATTTTATCTACTAATATGATTATATTAATAAATTTTTCTAATTTTAATCTATCCTTTCTTTTCTGGGATAAACTCTAAGTGGTTACTATGAACTGTCTCTTAATATAACATTACTTTAAAAATATATTGCTTGGTTTGATTTGCAAATATTGTATTTAAAATTTTTGTATTTATATTCAAAAGGGAGGAATGGCCTATACTTTCCTTTTTATGATTGGCTCATCTGATTCTTTTGTTGAAGTCAATTTCATGAAATGACTTGTGAGCGCATTTCACTTTCTATTTCCCAGAACAGTTTGTGTATAGCAGTGGGGTTATTTTTTTTCCTCGATTATTCATATTATCTCATCTGTAAAACTGCCTTGGTCAGTGATTTTCTTGCAGGTAAAATTTAAATTCTTTTTAAATTATAGAAAAGTTTTCAATTCTTTTGAAAAAATTTGATTTTAAGTTGTTTCATGTTCTGTTTTTTCATGAGATAATTTTGCTACCTTTATATTTTTTGAAAAATTTTCTATATCTCTAACTTTTCATATTTATTAACAGAAAGGTGTTCCTTATAATGTCTAATGACATTTTCCTTCTATTTTTGTCTGTATCAATTTTTTTTGCTAACATTATTTATTTATGTCTTCTTTTCTTTTATATTAGGCGATATCCAGAGATTTTTCTATTTTTCTTAGTCTTTTATTTAAAAAACACTTTAAAATTTTATGTCTTTTTCTGTTTTCTGTTTCATTAAATTCTGCCAATTTTCTTCCAACTTTCTAGGGCTTATTTTATGGTTATTATCTGTCTTTGTGAATTAACTGCTTACTCAGCTTTTTTCTAATATAAACATTTACACAATACATCATTCTCTATATTCTGTTTTGGTTGTGCTTCACAACGTTTTTTTTTTTTTGAGACGGAGTCTCCCTCCGTCGCCCAGGCTGGAGTGCAGTGGCGCGATCTGGGCTCACTGCAAGCTCCGCCTCCCGGGTTCACGCCATTCTCCTGCCTCAGCCTCCCGAGTAGCTGGGACTACAGGCGCCTGCAACCACGCTCGGCTAATTTTTTGTATTTTTAGTAGAGACGGGATTTCACTGTGTTAGCCAGGATGGTCTCGATCTCCTGACCTCGTGATCCGCCCGCCTGGCCTCCCAAAGTGCAGGGATTACAGGCGCGAGCCACCGCACCTGGCCTGTGCTTCACAACTTTAAAAGATAGTGTTTTTATTCTCTTTTAATTCTGAGTATATTCCAGTTTACATTATGATTTTTTTTCTTTGATCTGTAGATTACTTCGAAGTATGCTTTTTTATTTTTAAAAGACTTTCTGTCTTTTAGTATCAATCTATGTTTTACGTTATTGTTTAATCAATTTTTATAGTGTTGTTACTTTTCTAAACATGTTAAACATTCTTTCTGATTGCTCTGTTGTATCAGAGGATGCTAATGCTACTTCTCTCTATTTTGTTGTCTGTTGATACACTCTTGATTGCTCATTTTTCTGTTTCATTTATTTTTAAAAATTGCAAATGCCTCTTGAGTGTTGTTTGCTTAAGTGTGGGAGTTTAGTGCATCTTGGATTATGGAACTTCTTCAAAGTATTCTTGGTTTTGCTTCTGCTAAAATTTTAGGGAGTTCTCATTAAACATATAGCAGTATTTACCTTAATCTCCCAACTTGGGAATCTTATACCACCCAGATTGCTAAATGTTCCCCAACACTCACGTAAATTGCAGATTTGGAGTTTTGCTTCTGATAATGGAATTACTTTTCCCCAAAGCCCTCACAGAAGTAATTTCTCATGTTTCCCTGGAGAAAAATTGGTAAGAGAGTTTCTAGACCCCTGTTCCCGGAGAGGTCACCCATTATAGGGTCCTGGCGAAATGTGTGAGTCTTGGTGTCACTTTCCTGCCTTTCGAGACCCTGTGGCCATGCATCCATGTATTTCCTCCCAGGAGTCAGGGACTTATTTTAGGACTAATATTTCCAGGGGACCAGGTTATTGCTTGTGTATCAGGAGACAAGCTTATTGCTCTGTTTTTGAGTTCCTCTTCTATTTCTGGCACCTGTAGATTTCCTTTGCTTTTTTCCAAGTTTACCTATTAATCTTATTTGGTTACATTTTAGCCAGCATTTCTATGTGGTGTTGCTGACGCTGTAAATTTGAAGTCTATATTAGCACTGGATCCACGGAAACTAATGTAATTGGAGAGGGAGGAGAAGGAGAAAATAATTCAGAAATACAGAGGAGCTAGGCAAGGAGCGGTGATAGATTGCTCCAGAAAGGCAGTAAGTATCTAGCATCTTCCGGGGAGCCCCTGGGGGCCTATCTGACCTGTTTGTTCTTTGGTTATGGAGTACTAAGAACAGGGCTGAGGCTGGTGCCCTGACAGAGTGGGCATTTGCTGCGCTGACTTCTGGAAGTCCTCAGTCCCATTGTTGACTAAGTGCCAAGATCACGTGGTAGGACATGTTTCTAACAGAAAAGGAAGCCATGCTGCTGCTGTGCATGTGCTTACACTGAATAGGAGTGAAGTTTTGCATCTTCTAAAATGCATTAAAGAGTGATCAAAATTACAGCCCTCTCTGAATGAGACTCTCCTTTAACACAACTTACATTCGGTAAGTGCCTACTATGTTTCAACAAATAAGAGATGGGTAGGTGGGTCTCTGAAGCTGTCAGCTTAGCAGAGGAGGTGGGAGCACACAGCCAAGCCTAAAACAATTTGAGGCTTGTTATGAAAGTGATATGAACAGATGCTGTTGGAGCAAAGGCGAAGGAGGAATGAATTGGTTGATTCAAATGAGGGGGAGTGATGTGGTAGGGAAATCTTTCTAGGGGCAATTTCTGAGCTTTGCCATGTAGGATGAACGGGAAACTACCTGTGGGGAAGGAAGAGAGGCAATGTAATCTGAGCAGAAGAGCTGAGACCTCCCTCTGCAGGGTTTTCAGACCCCTGTTGACCAATCCACTGGAGCTGGAGCCTTGGGTATTGTCAGAGTAGAGGAGGCTGGGTCCAGATAATAAAAGACTTTGAGTGTAACAGTTGCTTTCATTTGTTTGGAAGATGCTTTTTCCTCTTACCTTAGGGAAAATAAATGTTTATATCAACTCAGTACATGCCTACATTTGGATTATATTTTGGTTCCCTTAAAGTCCTTCCTATATACCTAATTTATTTATTCAAATGTAATAATGTTGGGGAAAATAAGGGGGTTTGAAAGTCTGTTGCACAAAAACCATTCAAAAATATAATTTTTAGTGATTATCGTAAAAGCATAATACAGTAACTTTATCTCTGAATGAGATAGATATAGATTAAGCAAGGGTATGCAGTTTTTACTATGACAATTTCACATTGCATGCTATTTATACTACTTGTGATTTTCTGAAAGAGATACCAATCAGACTTGCAAATTAATGTGGTTAGCATTTTACTCAAAAATAATGATTTTGTTCCTCACCTTTATTTATAGTCACTGCAAAGTTATAAAAAGGAACAAGGGGGAGAACTTTCACTAAATTGGTGAAGTTTATTATAGTACTTTTTAGACTAGCATGATGTAAGAGGAAAGATACTAGGAAATACCAACCCAAAGCCTTTTAATATTCATTTATAATTGTATGTATGTTAGACCCCCCAATTCACAGGAGAACATTTATTATTTTGGTCATAGTTTTAATTAAAAATCAGAATAAATATGACTTTCTATTGCCATGCTTGTCAGTTTTACTTAACCTTTTGTTCCTTTATTTAAAACATCTATTTTCCTACCTGTCTATTTATCTAGGTAGCTTAGCATCTACCGCTAGTCCTAGTGGTCACTGAATTAAAATATAGTAAAACATAATACCTGGTTCCTTTGATCAATGCCTTGCTGTTCTCTACTTTTGCTTGCCTGGATTTTGGTATCTATGTCATCTTCAAGATGGATCATCCCTGGTTTGAATTTGTGAATGCAAGTTCATTCAGCAGTCTGATCATGTGTGGTGTTTTTGCAAATGTGAATGAATAGAGATTAACTTCATGCCACCTACTGCAATAATTTCTCTTGTAGATTTGAAACTAAATTGCAGAAGGGGATGTGTGATATATGAATATGGCATGATGCTTTTCTCCTATCTCCTTGTTTTCAATCCTTAGAAACCTGAGTATTTGGGAAAAATGCAAATTCTGAAAAATCTTAATAATTTTTCGAAGACCACTTTTGGTAAACTTGTAGGTTTCAACTCTTACAATTAGGAGGAAGAAATTGCAATTATTTTGGTGAATTTGTTAAAATTTTGCAAAAGATCACATACACTAGATGAGACTCAAACAACTGAAATGTAATTGTTTAATGAAAATGGAAAGTCTGAAGAGAGTATTGTGTGGTGGTGCCAGCCCCTGAAAAATGAGCAAAACAGCTCCTTGTCTCACATAAAGTTATTTCATTAAATCGGCCTTTCGATTTTAAACAACCTTTAGAAGCAGAATCAGAAAGACATTTTTAAGAAATGAGGGAGGAACGATGACTCAGAGGATGAACAAGCACAAAAAAATTAGGAGAGGAAATTATTACCTGGAGGCATTAAATATAACAAACTTAGCTGGTATTTGTCACAGCAGTTTCAACGTTATGCACAAAAGAAAACACATTTAGCTATTGGTTTCAAAACAGCGAGGAATCACCGAATCTGGAAGTGGCACTTCTTATAATGTTTTCATTCACACAGCCAACACTTATTAAGTGTTATTATTCATGAGGCACTAAGTAAAGCAACTCCTGTTCTAAGGAGCTCCTAGAAGTGCTGGGAGGTGTTAGGAGGTGGGGGAGAACAGTGAATTCCTTCAGGGTGAAGGGTGCAGGGGATGGGCAACCCCAAATATCAAAGCTAGTGGGGTAAGAGCTGCATGCCCTTGGCTGGCTTCGACCGGCTTAGCCTTTCCAGATTATTTACATTTATTGTGCCTGCCTGTGCAGGCCATTGGATTTAGAATGAGCCTTCTCTCAGAGCCAGGTCCAGAGAGCCTCTGCAATGCACTAGCCTTCACAAGTGCTCAAGAGGGAACAGACAGCTTGCACAGGTGTGGTGAGACCAACGCCCACCATTGTGGATCTCAGGACTCCAATCTGCTATAGTGTAGAAGGTTCTTTCTGCAGTGGTTCCTGGGGGCTTGTCATTCACTCGTCCCCAAGGAGGCTACATGCAAATTAGCTAAACCTCACGGGTTAGTGATTGGCTCTGGGAGGGAGATTTGGCCCTGCTTTTCCCACCCATTTCACCACAGCTTTCATGGAGATGTAGATTAGGAAGCCCTCCCTGATTATAAGATCCTGATACTGGGGCCATCCCATCACTCTGACTAACTCCTATGTGGGTCCCACAGAATAAAGACAACTTGTGACTTGAGCCTTGAAGAGTGGGGAGGACTCAGCTCGGTTGATCTGGGGCAGGGCAGGAGGGGTAGATGGACTCCAGTAAGCACCAAGGAGCAGGGTCATGTTAGGGTATCTTGCAACAAATTTTAAGAAGCTGAGAATTGACACCCATAGGCGAGGGAGGAGAAGCAGTGCAAAACGAGGCTGAAGAAGAATGCAGGATTCACACATTCAGGACCTTGCATGGGAAGTAAGGGTGTGAGACTTTGTTTTGAAAGTGATGGAGAGACATGGAAGGGTTTTAAGGAAGCGACAACATTTGCTTTGTGTTTCAGAAAGAATCATCTGAAAGGAATGTGGAGATCAGAGAAAAATGATGGGAAAGTTACCACAGCCTGCAAATGAGAAATGATGAGAGCCTGCCTGGGGTAAGGCAGTTGTGTGGGACGGAAAGGAAGCACTAGATGAGGCAGATGCTTAGGTGGAGCAAGAACAGGGCAGGAGAAGCAAGTAAAGGAGGGGACTGAGGGACGAAAGGGGCCTAGAGCTCTGGAGGGCTTCTGGCTGGGTGGCTGGGTGGCTAGTGGGGCCATCATTGCAGGAAGGGGATCAGGAATAGATTTGAGTCCAGATAAGACAATTAGGTTATTTTTGAATATATCAAGCATGTAGTACTGGAGATATTCACTGTGCACAGAAGTTTGTTGTTCTGGAGAGCTGTCATCCTGGAGTCTTGGATTTGGGCAGGTGGTGGGTGTGGTCAGCTAAGGATCGAATGGGGCGGACATATGGGGAGCTGGAGCCAAGACCCAGGATTATCAATACTTAATAGACATTTTAATAAATAGCCATAAGCACATTTCTATTAAATTAATTCCTTTTTTCTTTCTTCTTCATGTTGCAATATGACCTGTTTGAGAGAATATTGAGCTGAACTCCTTGGGCATGAATTGGGATCTGTTTCTGGAGGGGTAATTGGGGGTTAGCATCTCTCGCCTTCAATGTCTCATTTTAAAAAGAAGGGATTAGACTGCTTCATCTCAAATCTTACAATGTTATAATTACAGGACTTCTTATGAAGTTGCTGGAGGTGATGAAATGAGGGAGTCTTGTGCTTTCTTCATTTTCTACTGTTGTTTTCTACCTCTGTTTTCTCAGAGGTTTTCTGATCATTGGCAGTGGATAACAGAAGGAAAGTCACTCAAGGGGCACAGGAAAATTTCCTCATATAAAGAATAATCTCGAATGCGAAACAGTGCAAAGGTGGAGAAACTCAGAGATAAGCAGCTACCTGCACATATGCCTGACTCAAATAATTTCCTTCCTGGGTTTATATTTGGACTTGGTGTGCCTACTCTTTGATACAGTGGCATACTTTAAAGCACACTTTCTCTGTGGTCTTACTAATTTTTTTTTTTTAACGTTTCTTTTCTTGGCCTGTTTGCCTCATTTTTCCATTTTAAATAGATTTTTTAAAAGAGAAGTTTTAGGTTTGCTGCAAAACTGAGCAGAAGGCACAAAGATGCACATATACCTACAAACACAACCTCCCCAGACATGCACAGCCCCCCACTGTTGACATCCCCTACCAGAGTGGTGTCTTTGTTTTTTGTTGGTTTTTGCTTTTTTTTTTTTTTTGAGACAGGGTCTCCCTTCTTGCCCAGGCTGGAGTGGACTGGTGTGATCACAGCTCACTACAGCCTTCACCTCCTGGGCTCAAGCGATCCTCCCACCTCAGCCTCCCAAGTAGCTGAGACCCCAGGCGTGTGTCACCATGCCAGGCTAATTTTTTAAATTTCTGGCTAATTAAAAAAAATTTTTTTTTAGAGATGGGGGTCTCTGTAAATTGCTCAGGCTGGTCTTGAATTCCTGGGTTCAAGTGTTCCTCCCTCCTCAGCTTCCCAAAGTCCTGGGTTACAGATGTGAGCCACCACTCCCAGCCAAGAGTGGTACATTTGTTGCAATCAATGAACCTATATTGACACATTATTATAACCCAAGGTCAATAGTTCCCACTGGGATTCGCTCCTGGTTTTTCTTGTCCATTCTGTGGGTTTGGACAAATCTGTAATGAACATATAACCACCACTACTGTATTATACAGGGGAGCTTCACTGTCTTCAAAACATTCCCTCCTCTATGTATTCATCCCTTCCTCCCCACTGTGCTCTATGCTCTTATGTTTTAATTTAAATCATATCACATGTCTGTTTGGTTGCAATTTTCATTTATCTTACAGATTTGAATGTGCATTAAAATATGCAGGGAATATTTTAATAACCTAGATATAGTAATAATTTTTATTCACATCAAAAGCTTCATGATGTAGATTATTATTATTGTTTAGCTTATAATGATAATTTTAGTAACAAGTTATAGTAGTTGGAGCTTCACTGCTATCAAAAGTTTTCTAGTTAAATTAGGCTAGCCCCCCAAGTTTTTTCAGGAGTCATCAAGGTGAAGAATATTAATAAAAACTGCTTAATCAGGTAAACAGACAAAACTGTATCAGTTTATAGAACAGGTTGTTTCTGTTTTAGCACAATAATCTCCTTTATTTTTTGTCACAGTGAATAGTTACCTGATATCTAGGGTCAAAAATCTATGACTTGAAAGCCACCACCTGCATTTGTATTAAAATCTTTTGGAAGCTGGGCGTGAGTGTGTCTGTGTGTGTTTCAGTGTGTGTGCATGCATGCTCAGTACGTTTCAGCACATGAGATGGAAATAAGAAATAAGCAAAGTGTAGTGGGCAGGAGAGGATTGCACTGAATTTTTTATTTGTTTATGTATGTATGTATTTATTTATTTATTTATTTGAGATGGAGTCTCACTCTACCACCTAGGCTGGAGTGCAGTGGAGCGATCTCGGCTCAATACAACCTCTGCCTCCCGGGTTCAAAGCATTCTCCTGTCTCAACCTCCCAAGTAGCTGGGATTACAGGTGCCTGCCACCGTGCCCAGATAATTGTATTTTTTTGTAGAGACGGGGTTTTACCATCTTGGCCAGGCTGGTCTTGAACTCTTGACCTTGTGATCCGCCCGCCCTGGCCTCCCAAAATGCTGGGATTACAGGCATGAGCTACCGCACCGGGCCCTGAATTTATTTTTTAATGATAGGAAAAAAAAAAAGGAGCCGTAGAGAGATGACAGAGCCAAATGAGGGAGAGAGAAAAATACATTAGGTAGAGCAGCAACACACAGATGCAGGAGGAATTGGGTCATTGTGGAGGAATGTTGTGGAGAGTGGCTAACGGCACCAGGGTCCCCATGGTGGAAACCACTTTTTTTCTCTAATTAGGATCTAAAGAGTGCAGAGCAGTATTGGGTGTGTGTGTTGCTGCGACTCACTGCCTTGCCTTTTCTCCCTAGCCGAGAAATAGAGGATTCTTTACTCATTACTTTATTTGGATTTTAACCAAGGCCAGGATCTGTTACTTGATATAGGAGGTTGAATTTTTCTTACCTTCCTCTAACCTGATTATGAGGGCTGCTATTGTTTTTAGTTTAAGCTAATCAGTCCAGGGTTTCTTGATTTAGGCATCTCACTAGAAAAATCTTTCTGAACCTTTCCCAGGTGGGAGAGAAGTTTCCTGGATTAAATACCAGATTATAAAATAAACTGGTCTTAACAACAAAACTTTTTTGGAGCCCAGAGTGCGTAGGTTATATGAAACCAAGTAGGAATGAAGCATAAACATTGAACTACAATCCTGCCACATTTCACATAACTTATTTTAAGGAATATTCATATTTCTCATAGTAATCAAATTAAATTTTATGAGTGTCTTTGAAAAATTGTACAATGCACCTTTCTGCTTTACCTGATTTAGGAAAAAAAAAACCCATTCCAGGAAAGAATGTAATTGAATAATTAGGATGTATTGCTCTGGTGCTAGTGGCATGATCGCTTTTGAGGGATGAAGGGTAAGAAAATTGTTTAATAATATATGTGTCCGTTAACTTGATATTATTCTTCAGTAGACTCTTACCAATAGTGCTGTCTTTTTTCTTTTTCTTTCTTTCTATTTTTTTAATCTCTGATACCTGCTAGAGTGCCTGACATGTAATAGACACAAATATCCTTTTCTGGATGAATGAATGACAGGGACAGAAAAGCTTTTGTATTTGAACTGGAGAAGAACATCATAGCAATGATGAAGGTAACAGTGGCCAGACACAGTGGCTCACACCTGTAATCTCATCACTTTGGAAGGCCAAGGTGGGTGGATCACTTGAGGCCAGGAGTTTGAGACCAGCCTGGCCAACACGGCGAAACCCCATCTCTACTAAAAACGCACACAAAAATTAGCTGCGCATGTGCCTGTAATCCCAGCTACTCAGGAGGCTGAGGCATGAGAATCCTTTGAAGCCGGGAGGTGGAGGCTGCAGTGAGTTGAGATTGCACCACTGCACTCCAGCCTGAGCAAAAAAAAAAAAAGAGATAATAGTGATAAAGGTAAGAGTTAATATTTATTGAGGGCTTACTATGGCCCTGGCACTCTTTGAAGTATTTCATATGTGTTGACTCATTTAATCCTGACAATAATTAGGCACATTATAGATGAGGAACCAACGAAGAGATACAACTGCTAAGCAATTTACACAAGGTCTCACAGCTAGAAAGTGCTGGAATCAGGACTTGCACCCTAAAAGTCTAGCTCCAAAGACCATGCTCATTCACCACCAAGCTAAACAACCAGCTCAGGCCCTGCCCCATTTGTTTTAGGTGTTGTGATGAAAGCAAACACTACTCTCGGGTGAGCTATGGTCATGCCTGCAGTGGACTTGGGCTATAAAGATGGCGTGAACATTGACACATGCAAGGTGGTATAGGAAGAACTTCAGGTAGATGGTGGAAAGGAGACTCTGGCTGTAAGCAGGGAGCTCGTGGGCCTGCATGACTTGCACACAGCAGATCCTGCCCTGTAGTCCAGCTTCACTGACCTGGGACGTTTCCAAGAGCCCTGTGAGGACCTAGAGGGTCAACAGGGGCCATATCCATTTTAATGGTCTTATGCCCATGTAACCTTTGCACCATTTCTTTGCTCGTTGGAAGCAAGCTGAAGTAAAAATAATTTTCAGCTGAATTTTAATGATCATTCTCCCCAGTCTTCCAGCTTGGAGTAGGCGTGGTGACTGTTCATCATTTTTCTCATTTGTAAGATAGAGGTGATAATAATCCCTGCCTTGCAGGGTTGTTGTTTAAATTATAGGACCTACTACATGTAAACCTTTTAGAAAAGTGCTTGGCACATAGCAAGTACTAAAAAAAAAATAGCTCATTGTATAAAACTTTGTATTCATGAAACTTCAGTTTAACTGTGTTACTAGCAGTTGGATAATTCCAGTTCAACTGAAGGAAAGCAGGGAGCCGTTGATCTGAAAACTCACATTATCAGTTTACCCTGCCCTAAGTTGGGTAAAATGGAAGGATTTAAAAAGGGAAGCACCCTATTTTAGAGACAGAGAAATTGAGGCAGAGTGAGATCAATGGACTCGTTGAGCATCATGCAACTAATCAAGCAAGATAAAGAATTCTTAGGCAGTTATACTAATTGGGGTGAGCTTGTGGTGTGTGAGTGTTTATTGCTTTAGTACTAATGGTAATGAGCTGGTGAATTCCAGGAAGGTTGACCTGTATCAGGGTCTCAAATGGCCAATGGCCCAAATTCTCATCACGAGTTTTACCTATAGTTTGTAGTAAAATAAAGCCCTATTTTCCTTGTGGAAATCACCGGCAAATGATCCCTAATAAAAAGCTTTCCCATCTGATACACAGGGAGAAATGATTAACGTGACCCGTCCCATCTCAGTCTCTGGAGTAGGTATTTTTATTGACTGAGCTTCTTTTAGAGAAGAAGAGAATGCTATTTTACCAGAGAAAAGTGCACGTTTTAAAGGGGGAGCATCTGCTAGTTGGTTCCCATGTGGGGAAGGGGTAAGAGCCTTGGAGTCTGTTGAGTCCCAAGAGATCAGAGAGGCCACCTGATCCAATTCTCACACTTGACTGGTAAACTTGTGCAAGGTCGCACAGCTAGTAGGTAGAGGAGCGGATGCAGCCCCGGCCTATTTTGATTCCAACTTCCATTGGCTGCACCCTTCCTGCTGGTGTCTAACATTGTTTCCGTGTAAAGACTGATTGGGGATATTGTCAAAATGACCATGGTACTGGGGTCTGAGAAGCATCCCGATAGCTGTATGGGATTCAGGACTCTATTTTTCACTTCTTATGTTGGAATTTAACACACACACACACACACACACACACACACACACACACACATATATATTTTAAAATACAGGGTCTCAGTAAGTTTCCCAGGCTGGTCTTGAACTCTTGAACTCTTGGCTGAAGCAATCCTCCCACCTCAGCTTCCTGATTAGCTGGGATTGCAGGTGCTTTAATTGACCAAGTGTATGAATTATTTTACTTCAGAAAGTAAGAATAGTTTTTTTGAAACCTCCCCTCACTGTTTTTTGAATAGTGGTTATACTTTTTATGAGAGCAAATTGTGTTTTGGACCTTTGGAAATAGCACTTGTGCTTCTTATTTGTATGGTTCCGAACTGGGCAGCCTTTGGCATCTGTGCCGTAAGCTTTGAGTGGGAAGGCTAGTGTCCCGCAAGCGAGAGCCAAATTGGCCTGTGCTTCCTGGGAAGTGACAGGATTTTAGACTGTTGATTAGTCTGTTGGAGACAATGGTAAGATGACAAAAGAGTGAGGAGAAGACAAAGCCACCTTTAGGAAGAATGCTTTGGATTCGTTGGGAATTTTACCCCAGAGGTAGGAGAGAACTGAATCCCCAAAGTTGAAACATGGACGGCAACTTTGATTGATGGTCTGAAAAGAATATTTTCGGTATCTCATTGGTATGTTATATCTGATTGGAAGAGTCAGAGTGGCATGTGGGAGCCATGAGGGACCTGATGAACTTAGGAGGGCGGGATGAGACAGAAAGCAGGGACAGAATTACAGCAGTTGGGGGGGAGAAGCGAAGCAGCGCCCCCTGCTGGCGGGAGAATGGTACCGAGGACAGTAACACCACCAACCATAGATGCACGGTCTGGGCTGGGAAGAAATTGTCACTAAGGAAAGCATTTGAGCTACCTAAGATAGGCTCAGTAACAGGCAGATGACTTGGAGTCTCAGTGTCCTTACTGGATAGAACAAAAGAATACAGGTCTCTAATGCTTCCCAAAGCTGCTGTGACCCGCTGAGGCGGACGTTATCCCTGGGAAACCTGGTGAGCCGGGGATGGGAGGCACCTTTCTCTGAACGGAAGCTGCACCTCCCTCTCACTTTGTCCTGCTCTCCCTCAGAGAGCTGTACATGAATTCTTTTTTTTTTTTTTTTTTTTGGAACTTGTTGATCAAAATTTAATGTGTAGCCCTAATGAGAAGCTTCAGATTTTAAAAGAGAACTTTTAGACATGTAACAAGTCCCTAAATAAATGGAATGAACGGAGATTGTAGGACGACGTAAAATAGGATTGACATTTTAGGTCAGAATGCCACCTTCAAAAGATTGCTCTTCTTTCTTGGTTGAGCTTTGACATCATTCAGTCACTTATTTTTGGGATAGAGCCTTTCCTACTCACCTCTGTTAACACATCTTACTGTCTCTATCTTACCTCGTTCAGAGTCTCCAGCCTTTCACCTTCCTCATTAGGCTCGTAGATACCTAATATGTACTGAGCAGGGAACGAGTCCAGTTTCCATCATGAATCCTTTTGGGGCCTCCTGACATTATATTATGTTTTAACCAATATGTGTTTATGAGCTTTGTTTTCCTCTTCAACATTAGAGATAATTGGCCAGTAGTCTTCATATTGTAATTTATATTTATGCAAATTGAAGAAATTTAGGGCCAGAGAGAACATAAATACTCCATGATTAAACTTTATGTTAAAATGTTATTTATTGATTGCTATAGTTAATAACTTTTAATAATAGTACACAACTTATAATTTTCTCATTACAATACATTTAGAAAACCTAATACATTCTACAACATGAAAAACACTTTGCTGAAAAGAACTTATAAAAAAGGATACTAAAATAAATTTTAAAAAGAACTTTTCCTTGCTGAATTGTGCTTAAAACTACCAGTTATTTGACAGACAAACACCTTTTTAATCCTTTCTTCTTTAGAAGTAAGTTAAAATAGAAAGCTTTTTTAGGGTTTACAAATATATTTTTTACCCATCCTGAGTTCCAATTTATTCTCTTCCACCTCTTGTACTTTAAGATGCTGTTCTGAATTTCGAGATCATCCTTATGAGCGCACATTTAGAATGTTTCCATGAATTATTATGCTGCAAGTCCAGAAGTCAGGATGAGATAACTGGATGTATCATTTTGACCTGACCTAATTTAGATGGCTCACTCTCACACATGAGCCACTTTTTAATAAGTTTTGGTTGGTAACTTCAACCATAAAAAATCATTTTTACATTATTCCTGTTGACAAGAAAAAAATCTGACAAAATTAATAAGATCTCTTTACCCATTACAGATTCCACTCAATTCTTTTGGGAATGGGAAAACTTGTAAAACTGTCTTATAAGCATAAATCCTCCTCAGTTTCATTATATGATTTTTTAAACTGTAGATTTAAATCGCAATTTGAGTCCATTGATATTAATGATAACTCATAAAAATAGAGATAAAGAGAATTAGTTTCATTAAGAGAAGTACAATAAGATGAAGAAATACAATTGTAAATTATTGATAAATCTGTAACATGCTACGAATGAGTAGTTTCCCATATTTCACTTTGATATTATATTATGTGCTTTTCTTTCAAATGTCATCCTCTTTTTAACATAACCTCTCCAAAATAAAGGATAATGAACCTATAAGACTTTCTCAGTCATTCGAAGGATATTCTTTCTTTTCAGACTTAGTATAAATTTAGTGCAGCCAAAAATTGTTGAAGAAAATTCGCCATTGGTTCGGTCAAATTTGTATGCATGGTGTTATATATGAAAAAAGTTTCATAGAATTAGAAACTTCTGTGAAAAAAAAGTGAGGGGGAAATCAATCACACATTTGCATTGTGGAAACAAACTGAAGTTTTAAATCTCAGATGTTCCTTACATACTTATTAAATAGAAGACTAGGATTGCTAGTTCATTTGGTGTATCTATGAATGTTTTCAGATCTTGCAGGAAAAAAGTGTTGGAGTCTTTCAGTTATTTATTTCTTATATATTTATTCTCAACCAGTCGCTTTTCTGATGGCTGAAATATACAGTAAATAAATAGATAAATATAGAAATATACAGTAAAATAATCCTTGAAATAAACAGTAAATAAATAAATATAGTAAGTAAATAATTTCATTTATTTACTGTATTAGAGATATACAGTAGAAATAATAGTATATAAGAAAATATACAGTAAATAAATAGATAATACAGAAATATAGAAAATACAGTAAATAGATAATACAGAAATATATGAAATATGGTAAATAAATAGATAATACAGAAATATATACAGTAAATAAATAGGTAAATTATCACTGTCCACATAGATTGTACACAATAGTACTGAGGTGAGACAAATCATTAAAAGAAAAATATATATGTGCATGTATTTGTACATGTGAGTGTATTATATGAATATGTATTGATAAATAAGAATATAGTTTATTAAGTATTATGAGCATAAAAAAAGAGAACATGGAAGTGGGAAGTATTATGGGGTGTTATAGGGCCTGGGAAAGCTTTGCTGAAAAGATAATATTTGAACAGACTTGAAGATTTGAGAGAGTGAGCACTATATCATTGAAGAGAGTATTCTATGCATGGGGAACTGAAACAAAAGGGCCCTGGGGAGGGATGGCTCTAGAACAGCCATCAGCTAGAGAGACCACAGCAGCAAGAGGAAGCACACAGTATTAATAAAGAGAGAGTGGACTGACCTGCTAAGGAAATGGAAGGTCATTTTAAGGACCTTGCCTTTTTCTCTGTGTGAGATGAAAAGTTATTGGAAGAGCATAAGAAGCAAGTGCTCTGAATTGTTTTAATAAGATCTTCCTAGCTCTGTGTGGGGAATATATTGGCAGGGTTGGAGCAAGAGAGAAAAAAGGAGAAATCCCTTATATGATGATGGCTTTGGTAGGTAGTAGCAACACAAATTGTGAGAAGAGGTTGGATTGTGGATATTGTATTTTCAAGGTAGAAACAATAGAACAAGCTGATAGATTGGAGAGGATTGTGAGAGTGAGGAATAAGGGACTGTTCTGAATTGATTGGCCTTCAGTCAATTGAAGGGAGGGACTTCAATAGACTGAAATGGAGGCGCCCCTAGAATGCAGGTTTTGGAGACAGGACCAGTAGTTTGTCTTTGGAGATGCTAATTTTAAGACGTGTATTAGTCAACCAAGTGGAGATGTTGAATAAGGCAATAAATATAGAATTCTAAAGTTTAGGAGACACCCAGATTGAGATATAAATTTGAGAATCAGAAGCCTGTAGATGATGTTTAAAACATGAGATAACTTGAGATCGTTAAAAAAATTGTTATCAATAAGAAGACCCAGGATGGAGTCCTGGGGAACTTCAATATTAAGAGGTTGATAATAGAATCAGCAAAGAAGATGGAGCAAGTAGTTTGTGAGATAGGAAGAAAGGCCGGTATTTACCTATTGCCTGTACCACCATTGTGTCCTGGAAGTAAATAGATTGTTTTTGATTTTACAGGCTCATAGTTGGAAGGAACGTGCCTTGAATCTTAGATGAGAATTTGGACTTTGGACTTTTAAGTGACCTTGGAATGAGTTAAAACTCCTGAGTACTATTGGGAAGAGATGATTTTATTTTGCAATATGAGAAGAACATGACATTTGGAGGGCCAGAGGCAGAATGATGTGGTTTGGTTGTTTTGTTTCTTCTAAATCTCATATTGAAATGTGACCTCCAATGTTGGAGGTAGGCCTAGTGGGAGGTATTGGATCATGGTGACAGATCCCTTGTGAATGGCTTAGTGTCATCTCCTTGGTGATGAGTGAATTATTGCTTAGTTAGTTCATGCAAGATCTGGTTACTTAAACAGTCTGGGACCTTTCCCTTCTCTCTCTTGCTCCCTCCCACCATGTGATACACTGGCTCTCCCTTTGCCTTTTGCCGTGATTGTAAACTTCCTGAGGACCTCACCAGAAGCAGATGTCAGCCCCATGCTTCCTGTACAGCCTGTAGAACTGTGAGCCAAAATAAACCTCTTTTCTTTATAAATTAACTAGTGTCAGGTATATATAGCAAACAGACTAACACAGTGGGTGAATGTGATATCTATTGCTGGACTCTCTCTTCTATAGAATTGATATATATGTCTATCATTTTTCCAATACCATATTGCTTTTGATGACTTCTTGAAACAGTAAGTCCTCAGCTAAGGTCATCAATAGGTTGTTGGAAACAACAACTTTAAGTGAAACAATATGTATTATAATAAAACTAATTTTTTCCCACATCAACATTAAAACAAAACAATGTAGAATGAAACAATCTTACTTGAGGACCTCCTGTACATCATCTCACTTAAAGTCTCAGTTTTCAAGAACCCATTGATGGTGTTAAGTGAGGTCTTACTGTACTTCATTTTAAAAACAATTAGTGTGACTCCTCCAACTTTGTTTTCTTTTTCAAAACTGTTTAGCTCTTTCAGCTCTTTTGCCTTTTCGTAGACATTTTACAATTAGCTTTTAAGTTTCTTAAAAAATTTTACTCAGATTTGGATTAGAATTGTATTTTATCTCTAGATACGTTAGGGAGAATTGACATCTTAATTATATTGAGTCTACCACTCCATTAACATGGTATTTCTCACTGTTTATTCAGACCTGTTTTGATATCTTTTATCAGTGTTTTGTAGTTTTGATAATATAGCTATTATGCCTATTTTTATATACTTATACCTAATTATTTCTTTTTTTGAAGCTATTATAATAGTTTTATTTTTCAACATCAAATTATTTGTTGCTACATATTATATTTTTTCTTAGCAAGTAGACAATATTGTCTGTGAATAAAGATTATTTTATTTCACCCTTTCCAATTTGTATGTCTTTTATTTATCTTTCTTTTCTTACTATATTGGCTAGGGCCTTTACTCTTATGTTGAACAGAAATGGTTGGAGCAGATATTCTTGTCTTATTCTTGATTTTGGTGGTAGGGGGATGAGGAGAGGAATATTCAGACTTACATCAGTAAGTGTTACGTTAACTACAGTGTTTTCAAAGATGTTCTTATCAGGTCAAAGCTGTTCCCTTGTATTTGTAGTTTGTTGAGAGATTTTATTGTGAATGGGTGTTGTATTTTTTCAAAAGCTTTTACTGCATCTGCTTAAGTCATCATAGAGTTTTCTTTTTTTTATTCTGTTGACATAATGTACCACATTAATAGATTTTTGAATGTGGAACCAACCTTGAATCCTGGGAAAAAACAATCTGGTCATGATATATTAGCCTTCTTGTACACTTTTGGATTAGATTTGTTAATTGGTTGAGATATTTGCACTTATTTTCATGAGGGATGATCTGCAGATTTCCTCCCTTCCTTCCTTCCCTCCCTCCCTCCCTCTTTTCTTTTCTTTTCTTTTCTCTTTTCTTTTCTTCTCCCTCCCTCCTTCTGTCCCTCCCTCTCTCTTTTCTTTTTTCTTTTCTTTCCTTTTTTCTTTTCTTTTTTCTTTTCTTTTCTTTCTTTCTTTCTTTCTTTTTTCTTTCTTTCTTTCTTTCTTTCTTTCTTTCTTTCTTTCTTCTTTTCTTCTTTCTTTCTCTTTTTCTTTCCTCTTTTCTTTTCTTTTCTTTCTTGCTTAGTAGAATTCACTGGTAAAGCCATCTTGGTTTTCTTTGTGGGAAAGATTTAAACCATAAATTAAATTTCTTTAACAAACATAGGAATAAGTAATGTGTTTCTTTTTTGAGCTTTGGTAGTTTATATCTTTCAGTGAATTAGTCCACATAATTTAATTTATCAAATTTATTGGCATAAAGTTATTAGTAAAGTGTCCTTATTATCCTTTCAATATCTGTTTTATCAACAGTGTTATTTACTTTTCTGCTTCCAATATTGATAATCTCTTTTTCATAACACTTGTGCTAGAGGTCTATCAATTCTGTTGATATCAAAGAATTCTAAAAATCAGCTTCTGTTTGCTTTGAGATTCTTCATGATCTTCTGTCATCTATTTAAGTGATTTCTGATTTATTTTTATTTATTATTTCCTTTCTTCTCTTTGCTTTAGATTTAATTTGTTCTTCTTTTTCCAGTTTCTTAGGATGGAAGCTTAGATCATTAATTTGAAAACTTATGTTTTTTTTTTCTAATATGATCATTTCTTCCTAAGGACTGTCTTAGTTTCATTCATTATATCTTCATATGTTGTGATTTCACTTCAAATCCTTTAAAAACATTTCACATTTTCCTTGCCATTTTTTTCTTTGACTCATGAATTAGTTGAAAATATGATGTTTCCAAACATTTGGGGATTTTTGAGATATTATTCTCTTATTGAGTTCTAGCTTCTTCTATTGTGTTCAGTGAATATATTTTGTGTGACTTAAAAATTTTGTAGAATCATGTTTTATGACTCACAATATGGTTAACATTGATACATGTGCACTTGCAAATAATGTATATCCTGCTGTTGATTGGTAGATTGTTAGGTAAAATGGGATGATAATATTGTTCAGAATTTCTATGTTTTTACTGATTTTTAAATTTCTATTCATTCTATCATGTACTGAGAGAGGAGTATTAAAATTTCCATTTATATTTGTGGATTTGTGTATTTCTACTTTCAGTTCTCTCACTTTTTGTCTTATGTGTTTTTAAGCTCCTTCACTAGGTGAATGCACATTTAGAATTTTAATTTTTCTTGATGAATTCTAATGCTGTGATCTTTTTCAATCCCTGAGAATATTTCTTGTTCTGAAGTCTACTGTATCTAATACTAATTAAGTTACTTAAGATTTTTGTTGATTAGTATTTATATGCTGTATATTTTTCCACCCTTTGGCTTTTAACCAATCCATATCTTTCAATTTGAGGAGGAGTTCTTGTACTCCAGTCTGTTAACCTCCGCCTTAATTTTAGAATTTAGACCACTTACACTTAATGCAATTATTGATGTGGTTAGATTTAAATTAATAATCTACAATTACTGTTCTATTTTTCCTACCTCATCTTTCTTTTCTTTTTCTTTTTTCTTGCAGTCTGAATTAATTGAGGAATTTCTATAATTCCAATTTAGCTCTACTATTGGCTTATTAGTTATCCTTCCTTTTTATTTTATTTAATGGTTGCTCTAGGGGTTTGATATATGTCTTCAACATACAACAGTCTACCTTCAAATAATATTATACTATGTCACAGTTAGCGTAGAAAACAGTACAGCTGTATATTTCCATTTTCTTCTTCCCATCCTTTGAACTAACTATAAATGTCATATAGTTTACTTCTGCAAATGTTGTTAACCCTAAAGTGCACTCATTTTTTTTGCTTTCAATTGCCAACTATAACAAAGGTCAGAAAATAAAAAAAAATATCTTCTATGTTCATTCTCACTTTTATTATTGTGACACTCTTCATGTTTTTGTGTAGATTCAAATTTCTACCTCGCGTTATGCCTCTGCTTGAAGAAATTCCTTTAAAGTTTCTTTCATCGCAGGTTTAAGCTTTTGTTGGTCTGTAAGTCTTTTTGTAAACCTTCAGTTTTTGAAAAATATTTTGCTGGGTATAGAACTCTAGGCTAAATTTTTTTCTTTCATTCCTTTCAGCTATCATTTTTTGTTTGTTTGTTTTCTATCTTGTATAATTTCTGTAGAAAAGTATCTTCTACTTTACAAATTCTACTTGTAAACTCTTATTACTTCTGGTGTCTGTAGGTAGATTGGCAGGGGCAGGGGGATTTGTCCCTTTGCATCTTAGACAAATTAATATTATAATCAGATTTCACCAGAGGCCTCAAACTTCCATCCAGAGAAAATAATAAGATCAGAACACTCTAGGAGCATACACTTAGTGCTCCCTGATGTTTTGAGCTATGTTTTGTGGATATATGTGCATCATCTTCCTCCAAGAGATGGCGTGAACAATTCTGGCTATTGTTTGTGCAATTAAAGATAACCATGTTCAAGTAAATACCTGGAGGCAGGATAGGTATTATCTGGATATTGCTTAACATTTTCTTTGGCAGGACAAAAAGGGACTGAGAAAACTTTTGGTTATTTCTTTCTCTCACTGCCCTGGAATTTCCACCCCGTGGCTTTTGAAAAGAATCAAAGTCATGTGTTTTACGGACAAAGGACTTTGGCAGTACCAAGTTTGGTGGTAACTACAACAACTGTAAACAGCCAAACAGCTCAATTCTCTTAACATGCAAATATGCTAAAAATTTTTTTTTTTTTAAAAAGAGTCAACAGTTTCAAAGCATCAACAAATATTTGAATGGTAATAATCTTTGCATCATGACTGAGTCTCACCATGGCTTATTCTTATGGGATTAAATCATGAGTAATGCAGAAGATCACTCTGTGGAGCTGACCTCCAAATCCCAACCCTGTTGTCTCTTTCCACCTCTTATGATCTGTCATCTCTTTGCCTCTGGGCAGCTTAATTCAGTCTCTTGCCAGTCTCCTTGATCTACTCTTGGAGTTCACAGCTTATGCTCACACTTCATTTCCTTTCAGGGTGGAAAACTCTGAAACCCTTTCTTCTTGAAGTCCTTACTACTCTAGAATATGCTATGCATATATCACTCATGCATGGCATCTTCCTCTCTAATTTCGTTTTTATTTGAGGCTTCTACCCAGTACCCATATTGAATGAAAGATCACATTATATAATTGATTTCTAGATTTATTGATAACCAATGCTCATAATTAAGTCTTTGTCTGGGATAGAGAGTAGCAAAAAGCCACAAAATGATTGTCACTGCTAAAGTGGACTAAAACCTTGTTTGTGGGCACCTCAGCTATTACCTTCTACACATTATAGTTGACTTCTTTCTCTGTGCTCTGCTTGGCTCCCATATGTCCCTGTAGACTGATCAAATGTTTTTATATGCGTGGTACAACTCACCTCATCCTCTCAATCAGTCTTTGAACCTAGATTTGAATCTACTGATTTATATTGGCCCAGCCTGGCTCCCTTTAGGCAATGCACCAAGACCTCTCCTAGAAGTTATGCACTCAGAGGCATGTCTACCAGGATTTTGAAGGTGGACACACAATTTCTTTCAGATTTATGGGTCATAAATCTTTAGTCATATTAATTTCAAAAAGTCTTCAGATTCATAAAGATTTGGGTAAAATTCTGGATCTATCAATTGCCAGCTGTGTGACCTGGGGCAAGTTCCTAACATTCTCTAGGCCTCAATTCTGTCTTCTGTAAATGTTTTTTTTTTTTTTTTGAGACAGAGTCTCACTCTGTCACCCAGGCTGGAGTGCAGTGGCACAATCTCCACTCACTGCAAGCTCTGCTTCCCGGGTTCACACCATTCTCCTGCCTCAGCCTCCTGAGTAGATGGGACTACAGGAGCCCACCACCACACACGGCTAATTTTTTTTTTTTTTTGTATTTTTAGTAGAGATGGGGTTTCACCGTGTTAGCCAGGATGGTCTTGATCTCCTGACCTTGTGATCCATCAGCCTTGGCCTCCCAAAGTGTTGGGATTACAGATGTGAGCCACCGTGCACAGCCTGTGAATGTTTTATGCTCAAAACGTGTTAGTAATTATTTAATATTTTGTTTTTAAAAAATGATGTTATGATGATATTATAATAATGGACATTAATCATGTAAATATTATAATAAGCAAGGTGTGGTAGACATTAGCACTGTTCATTAATATTTGGTTCTCCTCTCATTCTGGTTGCACTGGAGGATTAAAGCTCCCTGCCCCTTGAAGTTAAGCATGGCCATGCGACTTACTTTTGGTTAATGAAATATTTAAGAGCTGGTACGTGACTCCCATTATTCTCCCATCTCTTTCTCTCCCTGCCAAGGTCATTGCAGAATCAATTGTTGATGAGGCTGAGCCAACACATGGAGTACTGCTGTTTTGAAAAGATTAAGCCATTTAGATTTTGGTATCATTTATTGCCAATACGTAATTTTCTTACTGTGAATGATTCACAAAGTCAATGAAGGAAAAAGTGGTTAACGTGGTGATTGTTTCTTGGATAAGCTTGTCTGCAAGAAAAGTTAGAGTCTTAGCCATGGTTAAGAGAAACTATCTCTAGGGGTGGCAGGGAGTAGTTTAAATGTAATATTCTAAGGCCTGTGGTGAACTCATGTTTTGGCTGAGCTGGCTGTTATAGCAGAAAGTAGCAGAGATAGAGAGGTAAGTTAGAGCCACTGTCCCAGTTTTGGGGAGAATGCCATGTAGTCACTGGAGTATAAAGAGGTCCAATTTCCAGGAGGGGCAAATTGTCAAAATGCAACCACCTATAGAAAGGGATTCAATGAAGAAGTACAGCTATGGAAGGTGAACCAAAATTCATATCATAAAAATGAGATGGAAACCCTGGTATTGAACCTGGTAAATATGGTATTGTTGGAGCCAAGGGCTGTAGTTTAATAGAATGGAAATGCTGAACTGTACAATCCTTTAGAATAAAATACTAAAAGTGTTGCATTGTGTTCTAAAAACTCTAGACTCAAACTATTAGACAAATGCAACCCAAATTGCCTGAGCAAGTAGTCATAAAATTAGCTTAATTTAGTATGACTTTCACTTCTGAAATTTCATTAGATCTTGGTAAAATTTTAGTAATTACAAATGCTGTACTATAGTAATTAGACATGAAATAGTATAGCTTGAAAACGAGAGATTGGGCCCTGCAAGAAATGATCATGTCACAAAAATTATTAGTTTTATATTACAGCTACATCAAAAGCTTGAAGAAAAAGAATCCTTAGGGATTTTTATTTGTCTCTCAGGAAGAATAAATTGATGGAGCAAATCATGCCTTTTAAAGATTAAGCTGTGGCAAGAACATTATTAACAAAGGTTTAGCCACCTTATGTGAGAATGCCAGTCTCATTCAAATTTTTCAGAAATTGCTCCAGGACTTGCTACCATGATATATATTTTTTTCCTTTCTGCTCTGGTTCTCTTTGGTCAAATATGAAAACTATTATTCTAAAGTTTAATAATTTTCTTTTTTTTTTTTTTTACTGCTGTTGCTGCCCATTAATATAATTGCTGAGGTTGCCAGGGACCAATGTTGATGGTACCACTGCCTGTAGAAGGTGCACAGAAGAGAAAAAACCCAAATAACATAGCTTAAATAAGGTAGACATTTATTTCTCTTCCTCAAAAAGGCAGTTTAAGGCTGGTACAGTGGCTTTGTGGCCAGTAGGGATCCAGGTTTCCTCCAGGGTTAAGCTCTGTCATTCTAGTTGTTGATTTCCATTTTCAAGACTATTTCCTTTGTTGGAAGCCACTAGCTGGAGGAAATATAAAAGGGCAAACATAACTTTCTTTTTTTCTTTTTGAGACAGAATTTCACTCTTGTTGCCCAGGCTGGAGTGTAATGGTGCAATCTCTGCTAACTGCAACCTCCACCTCCTGGGTTCAAGCGATTCTCCTGGCTCAGCCTCCCAAGTAGCTGGAATTACAGGCGCCCACCACAATGCTAGGGTAATTTTTTGTATTTTTAGTAGAGACGGGATTTCACCGTGCTGGCCAGGCTGGTCTTGAACTCATGACCTCAGGTGATCCATCTGCCTCGGCCAGGGCAAACATAACTTTCTACCATTCCATCCACTTCCATTAAAGAGGTTTCCTAGAAGCTCCATACAGCATTTCTACTCACACTTCATTGGCTTAGCCTTAACCAAGCCTAGCTGCAAGTGGAGCTGAGAAACTCAGAGCTTAATTCCAGGGAGCAGATGGGAGTCTCTGCTACTCTGCTCCTAATGAAGATAGAAAATAGGTATCAAAATGCAACTAGCTATCTTGTCATAACCACTAAAGCCACTGTCAAAAGTACTACTGAAGATTTGATTTCAGTGTCTCATTGGGTTTTTTCTAAATCAAAAGAACATTTTTAATTAAAAATATACGTATTCATTGTATAGTACAAGGAACGTACGGTGACATAAAAAGAACATTAAGTTTTTTCTATAATTGCACCATCTAGAAGTAACCACTAAGATATTTTGGTATATATCTTTTTGGTTTTTCATATATACTTATGTATCTACACACCTATATATCTATCTACATAAACTACTATCTGTATGTGTTGCATATTGTACATAGTACAAATACACATACATATAAAACATATAGTTAATTTTAACCATACTCTAATATTTTTTATTCATATTTTCACTTATCAACATTTCCTTATATCATTAATTTTTTTGGAAACTGTATTTAAAAATTTTTATTGCTATATAATATGCCATCATATCAAAGGTTTTATATATATATGTATTCAAATATTCTATAAATATGCTATACCTGAGTTTTCAATTTTATTCCTTACATGATAATGAACATTGTGTCTTTATATATTTAGATCCCTTTGGATTAATTTCTTAGTATAAATTGTTAGAAACAACTGTTTTGTCAAAGATTTAATATTTTGAAAATTTAATATTATGTTTATATTCAGATAATTTTACAATTGAGAGTGCTTAGTGTGAACCCAGAAAATCTGAGACAGGTCTCAGTTAATTTAGGAAGTTTGTTTTGCCAAGGTTGAGGACATGCAACTGTGATACAGCCTCAGGAGGTCCTGACAACATGTGCCCAAGGTGGTCAGAGCACAGTTCGGTTTTATACATTTTAGGAAGACATGAGATATCAGTCAATATATGCAAAGTGAACACTGGTTCGGTCTGGAAAGGCGGGACAACTAGAAACAAAGGTGGGAAGGCTTGAAGCAAGCTGGTAGTGAGCTTCTAGGTCACAGGCAGATAAGAGACAAATGGCTGCATTCTTCTGAGTTTCTGATTAGCCTCTCCAAAGGAGCTAATCAGATATGCATAGATCTCAGTGAGCAGAGGGGTGACTTTGAATAGAATGGGAGGCAGGTTGGCCCTAAGCAGTTCCCAGCTTGACTTTGCCCTTCAGCTTAGTGATTTGGGGGCCCCAAGATATATTTTTCTTTCACATTAGTAAAACTAAATCTAAATCAAAATTTATATTAGGCAATGCCTTCTGAAACTACAGGTGTTTATTCAGGCATTTTTTAAGGCTACCTTTGAGGATTGGTGTTTATACATTCACTTTAAAAACAACACCACCACCACACACGAACACACACACACACCCCGAAAAAAAAAACAATGAAACGCAGCAGACACAGCATCTCTACCTTTTATAAAATGTGAGTGAGGCATGAATGCTGTTTCTTCATGTTTCTTTTTGTTGTAAGCGTTGAACAGGACTTTTTTTTTTCTTGCATGTACAAGGAGATACTGAGCATTTTCATGTATGTGGGGCAGGAGTGTGGAGAGTTTTTGGAGGAGGATTAAAATACATCCATGGATCTTTGATCCTACTGGCCTTACAGGAATGATTGATTACTAGTAATGCAACAGAAAGCACGGGACGTAAGCGTATGACTGCTTAGGGAAAAAAGACTCACTTACTGGGCATTGTTCTTAGCATGTGGGAAGACACAATTTTTCTGTCTTGAATTCAGGCCTATAAGTGTCATTAGCCTCATGCTGATTGAGTGGGAAATGTCAGAGACCAGAATGTTTCCTTTATAACAGATTCATTTTTAAGACACTTTAAAGCAAGACTAAACTTAGAAAAGTTGGATATTTCAAGGTAGGCCTCTTATAATGGTCTTTGATATATCTTAAACATCTTCTTAATTAATAGTTTGGAGAAAGCTAATTAATTACCCAGGAGTCCTCAGAATAGCTTAATTGTTCACAGAAAAACTGAAGCTGTTTTCAGTACAGTAAAATCGTTCTAAAAAGAGAATGCCAGACATTTATATTTGAATATCAAGGGTTTGAAAAAATTTTAATGATGTGGTTGTCAATATGGACAAGGGAAGCAAAGAATCTGCTCAATAATTATAATTAGAGATCTGTATTTAGGAAGAAATCTTAAAAGTTTGCCTAGTATTCTCTTTGCTTGATTTCATCCCAAACGATCAATTTAACAAATCTCATTCTTGAGATGTTGAACTCATTTTCATGACTTGGAGTAGAGAGGCTTGACTCCAGGAATTATCTCTTGATTTTTTTTTCAAACTTTGGGATACTTAGTTTATGGTAAAACTTCTAGTTAGACCATTTGCATTTAAAGACAAAATGCATCTTCTTTTTCTTAAGACATACTGAGATAGAACAAATGCTGTCTACTGAGTATACATTCTGGATCAAATCCTTCATGTATGTTGCCACTAATTTTCACAACAAGTCTGCAAGGGAGAAATTATTAATTCTTTATAAATGAGAAAACTGAATTTCAGAGAAGGTGGTACTTAATTTGCTTCAGGTTTCATAGTTACGAAGAGTCAGAGGTGGGACTGAAACCTAGGTCACATGGGGGTCAAGCCACCAGGATGGCTCCCTGAGGAAGATATTGGTTCTGGGATGGAGCAGATAAAAAATGAAAGGTGAAGCTCACTGAATGACTTTGTGAAAATAGATAGGAAGATAAAAAATAATACTTTAAAACACGACCTTTGTTAAGTTTTTTTTCTTATTTAAAATCAAAAAACCCAGGAGAGAAGGGGAAATTTCAAAATTAAATATTAGTCAATGCAAACTATTCTCTTCTAAAAAGATACTTAAAATCTTAAATTTCTGGAAATTGTATAGTCTTGAGCATTTATGCTGATTCGATTTATCTGTAAAATAGAGGGAAAGATGTTTTGAGTTGACTAATAAAATAAGTGGTTTCTTTTCTTCTGAGGGCCTCATTATACTGCAAGGCTTAGAGCAGTGTCAGCAGCAGAAGCATCAATTTAACACTCACTAAGGCTCCAAATGTATTGAATGCTAAGTAGGTGAAGAACTTACACAATTTAGGAAGCACTACTTTGAGGAAGATGGGAGCATAAACAGCATCATCTTTTCATGTTAGGGCTTTTTATTCATTTGTCATGTTCAAATGCTCATTGTATAACTGTAAGGTAAGATAATGTTTAAAGAGCCTGATGTGTTTAGCTCATGAGAGGCAACATACCTCAGTGCTTATGGTCTCCTCAGCAAGATTTCCTGGGTGCAAATCCTGAATCAGCCATTTACCAGCGGTTGTACCGAACCCCTCTTAACCTCATTAGGGAAGGCACCAGGTTCAAGAGGTGGAAGAAGAGACCCAGAACCAGAAAGCAAGACATGGCTTATACTAAGGGATTATATACAGGGGAGAGAGTCCATGGTGGTGGGCTGGACAGCATACCCCACTTCCTGCAGTTCAGTGGCAGTGGGCTGGGCAGGAAAACCACAACTGCTTGTAAACAGCATGCAGTTGATACAGCATTTTCATTCAACACCCGCCCTAACACCCTCCACCTGGCAACCTTCATTTAACCCAAAACTCAGGGCCTCAATCCCCTGTACAGCTTGTATTCCACAGGATGATGGTGGGGCAGTGGGCAGCGGGTGAGTGGGTGGGGGGGCAGTGAATGGGGTGCCAGATGTTTCTCATAGATAACAAATGTATCTCTGAGTTGGCCACTTCTGGATTCCCTAGCTCAGAGCACATAGTCAGGTGCATGTGCCATACACGGTCATTCTAAGGGTTTGCTTGTTATTGCTATAAGGTGTATTTACTCTACACTAGCTGTGTTTTCTTTATGAATAGTTTAACCCCTCTGGTTCTCAGTTTGCTCATCTCCAAAATAGAGATAATAACAGAAGCTCTCTCACAGGGCTGTTATGAGAATTACACGGTGTAAGAGCAAGCTGTAACGTATTTAGAATGTTTTATAATATATAGTAAGTGCTATGTGAGTGTTTGATGCTTGTTTTAGGAAACAACTTATAAAAATGGATACTTGGGTAAATAATAACTCTATCCACAACACATAATTTTGAAAATGCAATTTCACAATTTCTTCAATGTTTTTAGCACCAAAGAGATGCCATGATACATTTCTGTTGTGGTGTCCTGTGTTAAACAGAAGCTAACTCATTCTAATGAAACTTTGGAAAGATTCGAAGTCTCTAAGTTTGTTTGAAGTGGGTTTTCCTTAAATCAGGGAAGAGGTTGGGTAAGATTGACACTTTCAGTTCTAGAATATCAAGAGCAAAGAATATTTCCTGAACAATTTCAGAGAAAAACAACAAGAAGGTTGGAACTGCATCTGATTTCTCAACATGTATATCTTGCACCAGAGGACAGCAAGGCCATAGTTTAAAAAATCTGAAGGAAGATTATTTTAACCTAGAATTCTATGCCCAGCCAATCTTACAATCAAGTGCACAATAGGTTAGCAACATTTCCAGATGGTCAAAGGCTCAGAAAGTTACCTACCATACTTCCTAAGTCCTAAGTCTTACGTAAGAAATTACTTAAAGATGAACTAGAGTGAAATGAGGAGCAAAGCAAGCCAGAACAACAGATGGCAATGAGGAAACAGTTGATCCTGCTCAGGAGAGGAATGAAGCAAGTTCCTGTGATGACAGCTGGGCAGTCAGCCTGAGAGCCATTGGTTCAGGCTTGAGCAAGGAGAGAGAGGACCAGAAAGGAGGAAAACTGAGAGAGTTTCAAGAAATTTGGTAATGTTCTTGAGGGAGTAGTTATGTTAAGGCAGACTACATAAGGAAAAAGAAATGGCAGTTAGTAAAAACAGGAAAAACATATTGAGTCCTCAATTGGACCAAGGGCAACACTGGATCATTGTTTCTGTCTCTTCTCTCTTGATTATGTTATCAGCTTCTATGTGATTCATTAACTGAAATAAACTTCTCCAGTTCCTCCCTTCTGTGCACTGGGATTGAGGGGAGAGTGAATTGTTCATGTTCTCTGTCACTAAGCCTAGAATAGTTGCACTGACTCTCACGCAGAGACAGGCCACAGTCAGTGGAGCAGTGCAGCAGTGCAGCAGCCTCCAACAGCCTTAGAGATGAGACTCAGCAAAACTGACTGTATTCATCATTCAACATTCACTGTTGATAAAGACATACCCGAGACTGGGTAATTTGTAAAGAAAAAGAGGCTTAACGGACTCACAGTTCTACACGGCTGGAGAGGCCTCACAATCTTGGTGGAAGGCAAAAGGCACTTCTTAACATGGTGGCGGCAAAAGAGAATGAGAGCCAAGCAAAAGTGGAAACCCCTTGTTAAACCATCAGATATCGTGAGACTTCTTCACTTTCAGGGCAACAGTATGGGGAACCCTTCCCGTGATTCAATTATCTTCCACTGGGTCCCTCTCACAACATGTGGGAATTATGGGAGCTACAATTCAAGATGACATTTGGGTGGGGACACAGCCAAACCATATCACTGATGGAATGGTGAAGAGAACTAGCCATTAGCAAGATGACAAACTGGTTAGTGCTGTCGTTCAGGAGAAAGCAACTTTTCTGACTCATGCCAGACAACTGTGTTTATTGCAAAGGGCAGAATCCTTCATCACAACTGACAGAGGCCTTGCTTTTGATACCTATTTTCCATGTGCCTGTGTCTGGATAGGACATTGTGTCTCAGGCTACCAAGGAACACTTTCATTTTCACACTATGATGTTGTTAGCATCATGCATTACTTTGAAATTGTAGTTTGGTTAAATTGTTCTTAAGCTCAGAAATTGGGACCATGCGTGTCAGTGTATTTGGGCTTTAAATAATGATAAAGTATTTTGGCTGGGCGTGGTGGCTCACACCAGTTATCCCAGCACCTTGGGAGGCCAAGGCAGGTGGATCAAAGGGAGGTCAGGAGTTCAAGACCAGCTTGCCCAACATGGTGAAACCTGATCTCTACTAAAAAAAAATACAAAAATTAGCCAGGCATGGTGGTGCATGCCTAGAGTCTCAGCTACTCAGGAGGCTCATGCAGGAGAATCGCTTGAACCCAGGAGGTGGAGGTTGCAGTGAGCTGTGATGTTGCCACTGCACTTCAGCCTGGGCAATAGAACAAGACTCTGTCTTAAAAAAATAATAATAATAAAAATAATGATAAGGTATTTTTTATATAAATAAGAAGTAATCATTCTATTAAAGAACACATTTAATATAGGATGCCAAAAGTATTAATAGCAATTTCCACATTGGAACACCTTAGGTCCTAATGATGACTTATCCATTACTAGGGAATCAGTAATACATGATCTATTTGCACTCAGGAAGGTTCAGGAAAGAAGGCTAGATGTACATAATCTGGGAATGTTCATTAACATTTCCCTCATTATTGCCTCATAAATTATTTTATCAGATAACAGTAGTTTCTCTCAGAAACTGGTTTCAACTCTTTATTTCAAACTTCCAAAGAAAAATGATGTAATAGTTCCTATGAATTATATCAGCTGTGATCTTGAGAAGGCTACTTGAAATATGAAAGAAGAACTTTAGCTGATTAGTTCATGAAGAATCAATTGGTTTATCTATTTTCTCCCTTTAAAGGATTTTTGTTACTTCTACCTGGTGCAGCTTGATAATTAATTTGGAATTATCTTTAAAGAATTGAGAAGAGATGAATGTTTCAAATCTAAGTGAAAATGAGTAAGAGATAATTTTCTCTGAGAGAAAGAACACTGGTATATTACCTGATAGCCTCATTACTAGAGAAACCTGATTATTGATATAAGTAATGATAATCTTATTTACAAAATGATTTTTTATTAACAAAACCAACACAAATAAAAAACAGGGGAATAAATGGCCACATATAAATCGAAAGCACACAAGAACAAGCAAGCTATAAACCTTGTCCAACAGAAAATCAATAGCAGTGATTTTTATTTTAGGTCAGCGGCCTATCAATTATAAAGGGATGGGAGATCACATTTAGTCATTATTTAGCCAGGGACAGAAAGAGTAAACTGAACCATATATTTCTATATTTCTTCATAGAAGCTTGATTTTTGTAGGAGAGAAGGGTTCCTATTGAAATGACAATTCTGCACATGCGAAATGTGTGGTATTTTTGTGCCTTCTTAATGCAATGAATGCAACAGAGACCAAATTAGAGGCAAATGAAGTGAAGTGGAGGTCAGAATGTACAGGACCCAGGATACATGGTTGATGAGAAGAGAAGAGATTTGGAGGGATGACTTACGGCCTTTAAAAACATCAATTTAGAGTTTTCTCACTTAAAGAGGGAAATATAGACATATGATAAACTGCAAGCTGCCTTTGGGACTGAGATCACCATTTACCTAATCTACTATTAATCTGGCTCTGTTCATACACTGACTTTAATCGTAACTCCATTAAGTTCCATTTTAAGAATCAGATGCTCACTGTTTCTGATATAAAACTAAGTAATTTATAGTCTGAAACCCATCAGATTACTTTCAATTGAAGCTTGGTTTTACATTTACCTGGCATGAACAATGTAATGTTTAAAATATGCAACTGGCCAGGTGTGGTGGCTCACGTCTATAATCCCAGCACTTTGGAAGGCCGAAGCAGGCGGATCACGAGGTCAGGAGTTCGAGACCAGCCTGACCAACATCGTGAAACCCCATCTCTACTAAAAATACAAAAATTAGCTAGGGGTGGTGGCACGTGCCTGTAATCCCAGCTACTCAGGAGGCTGAGGCAGGAGAATTGCTTGAACCTGGGAGGCAGAGGTTGCAGTGAGCCGAGATGGTGCCACTACACTCCAGCCTGAGTGACAGAGTGAGACTCCATCTAAAAAACAACAACAACAACAAAATTATGCAACCAGTTTATGTCCAAAAATGGCTATCATTAAAGTACTAAGATTTCTCAAAATAAAGTGGTGATATTTTTTGGTGTTTAATAGCAATTCACATGATTTTATCAAAATAGTATTTAAGTCAAAATGTTGGTGCTAGAAGTGATTTTAAAAATCCTAATCAGGCCGGGCGCGGTGGCTCACTCCTGTAGTCCCAGCACTTTGGGAGACTGAGGTGGGTGGATCACGAGGTCAGGAGATCAAGGCCATCCTGTCCAACATAGTGAAACCTCATCTCTACTAAAAATAAAAAAAAAATTAGCTGGATATGGTGGCTCGTGCCTGTAATCCGAGCTACTCGAGAGGTTGAGGCACTAGAATCGCTTTAGCCCAGGAGGTGGAGGTTGCAATGAGCCGAGATTGTACCACCGCACTCCAGCCTGGCAACAGAGTGAGACCCCGTCTCAAAAAAAAAAAAAAAAAAAAAAAAGAAAAAGAAAGAAAAATCCTAATCAATCAATCTTCTAGCTATTTCATATTTCATGAACAACAACTTGTGAAATCAAATGGATGGCTTTTTAGTTTTGCAATTATATTTTCTTCTTTTTACAACTCACTGCTCCTTTTGTGTGCTTTAAATAGAGTTTTCTATTCATCATTGAATCAGATACCGTTGGCTTCATACCCAGCATCCAATTCCTTCTTTCTTGTTGACAATAAAATCCTGATTTCTCTAGACATCGGCTCCTCAGGGAGGAATCCTATCTCTAGGTCAAAGGGACCTTTATTTTTCTAGTGACGGTCATCCTGTCTTCTTGCCATTAGTTGGTATAGAAGTAGGCAGAGGATCTAATTTTGACCGATGAAGTATGAAGAGATGTCCTACTGAAGCTTTCTAGGAAAGATTTCCTTGTGGGATTCAAGAAATATATCCAGGGGTGTAACAAAGTACATTATCCCCATAATGATAGTTGTGCAGCTGGACCAGAAAGCAACTGGTTTAAATTTGAGGAAGCAGATGAAGGCCCATAGGGGAGAAAACTAAGAGAAAGGGTTTGAAAGAATTTGTTAATGTCCTTGAGAGGTTGGCTATGTGAAGGCAAATAATAGAAGAGAGAAAGGCAATGCAAAAGTACTTGAAAAATGTACTCTGTATGTAATGAGCTCAAGGACATCGCTGAATATCACTTTTGAATTGCTTCCTTCTTGATTAAGTTGTCAACTTCTATGTGACCTATTCATTGAAGTAAAGCTCTCTAGCTCCTCACCGGTTCTGACTCATTTTGCTCTGAGACATTCAAAGAGCAGATCTGCTTTTCTGCTATTGCTCTGAGGCCAGAAACAGCTGTGACCATCTTGGTGGTTTTCTGATGCCTAAGTCAATGTGGGGCAGCAGGGGCAGGAGAACCACAGGGAGGCAGAGGTGAGCCATGTGCCTGCTCCTCGGTCTGCTCTTCCTTCAGGTTCACTGTCATGTGAGGTTAACTGTCACCTTATCATTTATTCCAGTTTGAGTCTGGGCTTACTGTTACTTTCAGCAAACGGACCCATTCACAAAATCAAACCTTCATTGGAACTTTACAGACCATGTTAATATACTTCCCGGATGGGATAATGAAAGACATACAACCATTTAGGCATATGTTGGTGCCATCTCCTTTATTCCTGTTCCTCATAGCTTTGGGGCTAGATGGAAATAGGGATCCTTTCTCTGTTGCAACAGCGTTTTATGAGCCTCTCTCCTCAACATAAATAAACTTTTTCTTGCATCACGTCGTCGTGGGGCCCAGACCTCGGATCTCTTATTTTCATACTCTACCTCTACTTTCCAGATAATTTCATCAAACTTCATGCTTTTAAATACCAACAAAACACTGACAACTTCTAAATTTACAACTCTAATCTGGAGCTCTTCTCTGAACTCCAGAATCCTGCCTCCTAGGATCAACAGATTTTTTTGACATCTCCATTCGGATATCTAACAGGAAGCTCAAATTTAGTAAGTCCAAATACACATTCGGGCTCCCTCAAATGTACTGCCTCCTCCCCATAGCCAAAGAAGTTTGTTCTGCCATAACATTCTTTTCAGTTACCAGCACTATCTTCCCAGATGCTCACGTCGAAAAACTTTGAGCCGTTGTTTTTGACTGATATATTTCTCTTATACCTCACATCTGATTCACCAACACATCCTGTTGGCTCTATCTTCAAAGTATACCTGGACCCAGACCTCTTCTAATAACTTGCATATTACAGCACTTGATACTGGTCTGCTTTCTCTTTTAAGTGCCAATGGCCCCATGTTCCCCTCTCTAATGCCATCTTCACTACTCTCCCTTCTCACTGCAGCCCAGCTTTGTTGCATTCCTTGCTATTCCCCATACAGGAAACAGCAGGAAGTCTTCCATCTCCACTTCCAGGGCATTTCACACACCCTCTTCTCTTTGCCTGTAGCTATCTCCCTATCCCCAGCGATGCTCTTGCTCTCTAACTTCCTGCAGGCATTTGCTCAAATGTGAACAAGAAGTGAGGCTTTCCTTGACTCTCTTTTTGAGATTAGATTGTCTTTTCATCCTCAGACTCTCTATCTCTCTGGTCTGTATGATTTTACTTCTTAACACTTACCACCATCTGGCATACTATATATTTTATAAATATGTCATTGTATGTTTCCCCCTCCAGCATGTAAGCTTCATGAGGGCAAGGATTTTTGTGTGTTTTGTTCATTACTGTATTTTCATTGCCTAGAGTATGATTGGGCACATTGTAGGCACTCAATAAATACTATGTTTAAAAGTAATGCTTAATTAATGAAAAAAAATCCCTGTTTCTTGATGATAACTATCAATCTGACAAGTGTGTTCTTTCTAGTAGGTGCCAATGATAATGTACTAAGATTTTAGTCAAGAGATATGCCTTAATCTACTAAATATTCCATTTAAACATGGGCTCTTTGAAGAGAGTATCTTAACAAAAAACAATGAATTTAATAGTGCATAATTTAGTAATTGTGAGAAGGCAAGCTTGCCCTAAACCTTTGTATCTGTTAACATTCTTTCAGTTTTAATAGAAACCCAACTCATATTTAAAAATAAAAAAAAGTATTCTCTAACTTAATGGAATATTTGGATATGAGGTATTGGTCAGGATTTCCATGATTTGGGCTTCATTTCTCTTTTTCAGGAGTCTTGGTGTTTATACTTCTCTGTATGTTGGCTTCATCCTGAGGCTGGTAAGATGTCTGTAGATATATGGCCTCATATCCATGCTTGGCAGTGTTCAAGCAAAGGGAGGGGAGGTTGTTTTAGAAAAATTTCTCAGAAGAGTTAGGAAGAATTTTCCTAGACGCTTCCAGTAAACCACTCCCCTATACCATTTGCTCGGTGTAAGTCATGTAACCATTCCTGAAGAAATTACTGGCAAGAGGTTTGAGGTCACCTATAGTTGTCAAGTCCACCCCTAAAGCTGAGGTAGACTTCGCTTGAGATGTATGGGGTTTCTGGGAAAAAGAGTGGGTTTAACAGCTATTAACAATTTTGGTTCTACGAGGAAGGAGAAAGAAGAGGTTAACCGAGTGTAGGCTGTAGCTTTTATATCTTAGGGACCAATTATTTCTATTATTTCTATTCTATCCAGCTTTAGGAATAAGTTTATTAACTTCAACATAAGAGCCATAAAGAGTTTGCTTCTTTAGTCTTTCTCTAGAAATTCAGCTAAATTGATGCTGCCTATGTGGGTGAAGAATTTAACTGTTTGTCTTCTAAATGAACTCAATGTCACCTAGAAGGAAAACAAAAACTTTATTGTGTTTTTTTCTTAAATATCTTCAAGTGTTTTGAATTTTTTAGCTAGTGCTTTGTGAGGCATGAAATAAATTTATTAGTTCCTAACATTATACATACATTTTAATATATGCTATTGATATATTTTAGATTTATTAGAAAAATGCATGTATTTATTAAGGTTATGAAATGAAAGTGAGATAAATGTTTGTCTTATCCTGAAGACGCGGTGTACTCCTTTTAAAAGAGTATATTGAAAATATATACTTGGATCAGTTTGGGGACAATTAAAATAACAGAAATCTCCTTTGTATCTTAAAATATAGGTCATAAGAATAATTTATTAGCATATATAACTTGAGTTCTCATTATAAATTCAAAACCAGATCCACGTTCAATGGAAATATTCCAAATATTTATAAATCAGTCGCAGTCTCAAGGGCTCCCATTCAGCATTTTTTTAGTGATGCATTTTTTTTGGAGGTAAAGTTTACATAACATATAATTAAACATTTTAAACCATACAGTTCAGTGGTATTTAGTACTTCTACATTTCTGTAGTCATCATCTCTATCTAGTTCCAAGTAATTTTTATCATCCCCAAAGGAAACCCTTTACCCATGAAGCAGTCACACCCCATCTACCCCCACCTCAATCCCTAGAAATCACTAATATGTTTCTGTCTCTATGGATTTACCTATTCTGAATATTTTACCTAAAGGAAATCATACAATATGTGACATTTGTGTCTAGCTTCTTTCTCTTAGTATAATGTTTTTGAGATTCATTTCTGTTGTAGTATTTATCAGTACTTCACTCATTTTATGGCTGCATATTTCATTGTATAGATAGAGCATGTTTTGTTTCTCCATTCTTCTGTTTATGGACATTTGTGTTGTTTCTATCTTTTGGCTGTTGCAAATAATGCTGCAGTTTTTGTTTGAATATCTGTTTTTAATTCTTTTGGGCTGATATTGGGGTGAAATTGCTGGGTCATATGGTCATTGCATGTTTAACTTTTTGAGGAACTATCAAACCATTTTCTACAGTGGCTGCACCATTTTGCACTCCTACCAACAATGTACAAGGGCTCCAATTTCTCCACGTCCTTGTCAAAACTTGTAGTTAAAAAAAAATATCCATTCTAGTGGATGTAAAATGAGATCTCATTGTGGTTTTGATTTGTATTTCCCTAATGACTAATGATATTGAGCATCATTTTTATGTACTTGGCCATTTGTATATCTTTTTTTGGAGAAATGTCTATTTAAGACCATTACCCATTTTTTAATTGGCTTGTCTTTTCACAGTTGAGTTGTACCATTCCTTATCCTGAATAATAGACCCTATTCAGATACAGTTTAGTCTCATTATTTGTAGATTCCGTATTTGTGAATTTGCTTACATATTAAAATTATTTGTAGCTCCAAATCAGTATTTGCAATGTTTTTGTGGCCATTCAAAGACGTGCACGATAGTGAAAAATTTAATTGCCGGAGGTACATGTTCCCAGCCGAGGTTGATTTAGGCATTGCTCCACCTTCTTGTTTTAGCTGTCATACAGAGGTGACCAGAAGATGGAGACAGTAGGGACAATGTGATGATAATATATGATATATATTTCCCTAGGGGGAAATATATATGTACATTGTATATATATATATATATAATATACATATATATGTTAAATGATGGATACATGCATCCTATCACTTTATATATATGGGATATATCCATCACTTAATATATATATGTTTAATATATGTATTTTCCTAAGGGCAGTGTTTCAGTTTTTGCTAATTTAGTGTTTGTTTTATAAATTTAAAAAATTATTTGTTTTATTTTATTTTTAATTGACAAATAATAATTGTATATGTTTATGGGGTACAATGTGATGTCTTGATACATGTAAACCTTGTGGAATGATCGGATCATTCTAATTAGTATATCCGTCACTTCAAATATGTATCACTTATTTGTGATGAAAACATGTAAATTTCTCTTTTAGCTATTTTAAAATATTTAATACATTATAATTAACTATAGTCACCATTTGTGCAATATAACACCAGCACTTATTCCTTTTATTTGTAAACCAAAAAGTACCTGAGACTGGTCTCAATTAATTTAGACATTTATTTTGCCATGGATAAGGATGCATGCCTGGGAGAGAGGACTATGCCTTTTTCCAAAGATGATTTTGAACGCTTCAATATTTAAAGGGAAAAGGGTGGATGTTGAGGAAAGAGGAAAATATTTTTAAAAGGTGTAGGTAGATAAGATGCAAATGGTTGCTTTCTTTTTGAGTCTTTGATCAGTCCTTCTTATGTGAGAGGGCAGGAAGAGGAAAAGTCACTTATGCATTTATCTAGCTCAGTGAGTCTGCATTTCTACATAAGGTAAAATAAACATAGGGCAGAAGAAGTAATCACATAATGCATTTGTCTCAGGTGAGCAGAGGGATGACTTTGAGTTCTGTCCTTTGTCCTGTACCTGTGAAGATAAGCTATCAATTTACACCATCAGGGTGAAATTCAACGGAACTATTAGGGTAAAGATTTTGATGCCTACAAGGAATTTCCTAATGGGCAACTTGTGAGGGAGGTATGTGGCTCTTTAAAATCTTTGTAGTTATCTTATTTAGGAATAAAATGGAAGACAGGTTTGCCTGATGCAGTTCTCAGCTTGACTTTTCCCTTTGGCTTAGTGATTTATGGGTCCCAGGATTTATTTTCCTTTCACATATCTAAATGAAACGTTGTACCCATTGACCAACAACTCCCCTTTTCCCATTCAACCCTACCCCCATCCTCTGGTAACCACCATTCTACTCTCTATACTTCTATGGGTTTCATTTCTTTAGATTTCATGTATGACCCTTGTCTCTTTGGGCCTGGATTAGGTTATTTCAGTTAGTGTAATGTCTTCTAGGTTTATTGGAGGACATTATATTAAGGATGTTACACATGTCCTTAACCTTGGCAAAATAAACCTCTACATTGATTGAGATCTGTCTCAGATACTTTTTGGTTTACCAATAAGAGGAGTAAGTGTTGATGTTATATTGCACAACATGAAGTCTATGGTTAATTATAATGTATTATGTATTTTAAAATAGCTAAAAAGAATTTTTAATGTTTTCATCACAAGTAAATGATATATATTTGAGGTGATGGACATACTAATTAGCCTGATCTGATCATATGGCATTTGTCTCTTTGTGCCTGGCTTACTTCACTTAATGTAATGTCCTCTAGGTTTATTCATGTTGTTATAAGTGTCAGAATTATTAATTTTTTTTCTTTAAGGTTGAATAGAGTTCCTTTGTGTATATGTACCACATTTAAAAAATCCATTGATCCATTGTTAGACACAGGTTGTTTCTATACCTTGGCTATTGTGAATAATGTTGCAATGAACATGGGAGTGTAGGCATCTCTTTTGACATCCTGATTTCAATTCCTGTGGTTATATATTCAGTAGTGAGATTGCTAGATTATATGGTAATTTTACTTTCAGTTTTTTTCAGGATCCTCCACACTGTTATCCAAAATGACTGTACTTACAATGCCACCAAAAGTTCATAACGTTCCCTTTTCTTGTCAACATTTATCTTTCATCTACTTGATAATTGCCAATCTAACAGGTGTGAGGTGATATTTTTAATTTGCATTTATTTTATGATTATAGGTTTTGAACATTTTTTTCATATCCCTGTTGGCTATTTGTGTGTCTTCTTTTGAGAAATGTCTATTTAAGTCTTCTGCTCATTTTTTAATAGGGTTATTTATTTTCTTATTATTGAGTAGTTTGAGTTCCTTGTATATTTTGGATGTTAGCTTTTTATCAGATGCATAATTTGCAAATATTTTCTCCCACTCTGTAGGTTGTCTCTTCATTCTATTAATTTTTTTTTTTTTTGAGACAAAGTCTCACTCTTGTTGCGCAGGCTGGAGTGCAGCGGCATGATCTTGGCTCACTGCAACCTTGGCCTCCCAGGTTCAAGCGATTCTCCTGCCTCAGCCTCTCCAGTAGCTGGGATTACAGGTGTGTGCCACCATGCCCGGTAGAGATGGGGTTTCTCCATGTTGGCCAGGCTAATCTCAAACTTTGACCTCAAGTGATCTGCCCGCCTCAGCCTCCCAAATTGCTGAGATTACAGGCATGAGCCATCGCGCCTGACCATATTCTATTGATTGTTTTCCTTGCTATACAGAAGCTTTTTAGTTTTTCGCAATCTCATTTGTCTAATTTTGCTCTTATTGCTTGTGCTTTTGAGGTTATATTTAAGAAATCACTGCCCAGACCAATACCAGGGAGCTTTTCTCTCATGTTTCCTTCTAGTAGCTTTATAGTTTTATGCCTTACATTTAAGTCTTTAATCCATTTTGTGTTGATTCTTGTATAGGGGGTGAGATGAGGGTCCATTTTCATTCTGCTGTATATAAATATCCAGTTTTCCCAACACCATTTATTGAAGAGACTGTCCATTCCACATTGTGTTGTACCTTTGTGAAACTCAGTTAATCTATGGGTTTATTTTTGGGCTCTCTATTCTATTCCATTGGTCTATGTGTTTGTTTTTGTGCTGGTACCATGTTATTTTGATTACTACAGCATTGTAATATATTTTGAAATGTGGTAGAGTGATACCTCCAGCTTTTTCTTTTTGGCAAGAATTGCTTTGGCTATTCGAAGTGTTTTTTGTTTCCATATAAATTTTTGGATTTTTAAAATTTCTCTGCAGAATGAACATTGGAATTTTGATAAGGGTTGCATTGAATCTGTAGATTGCTGTGGTTGCTGTGGACATTTTAATAATATTAATGCTTTCAATTCATGAACACAGGGTATCTTTCCATTTGTGTCATCTTCAATTTCTTTCATCAGTTTTTAGTATAAGAGTCTTTCATTTCTTTGGTTAAATTTACTCCTACTTTATTTTATTTTTTGATGCTATTGTAAATGAAATTGTTTTCTTAATTTCTCTTCCAGACAGTTCATTGTTAGCATATAGAAATGGTACTAATTTTTGTAAGGTGATTTTGTATCATGAAACTATTGAATTCATGTATCAGTTCTAATAGTTTTTTTGGAAGAGTCTTTAGAATTTTCTATATATTAGATCATGTCATTTACAGAGACAATTTCACTTCATTCTCTTCTATTTGGATGTCTTTTTATTTCTTTCTTTTGCCTAATTGCTCTGGCTAGGACTTCCAGGACTATGCGGAACAGAAATGGTGAGAATGTGCTTCCTCGTCTTGTTCCTGATTTTAGAGAAAAAACTTTCAACTTTTTACCATTAAGTATCATGTTAGCTGTGGGCTTTGCATAAATAGCCTTTATTTTGTGAGGAACATTCCTTCTATACCTAATTTGTTGAGATATTTTGTCACAAAAGATGTTGAATTTTGTCAAATGCTTTTTCTGCATCTATTGAGATGATCTTATGGATTTTATCTTTCATTCTATTAATATAGCAAATCACATTTAATGATTTGCATATGTTGAATCAACCTTGTTTCTCAATGATAAATCCCACGTGATTGTAGTGAATGGTCCTTTTAATGTACTATTGAATATGGTTTGCTAATATATCTCAGCATTATTTGATTTTATCTGCACATAAATTTGACAAAGTATTTTCTTCTTGGTTTCACACAGCCAGCCCTAGAAAATTGGTCTATGGGGAAATAATTCTTCCTGATTATTTTGTCTATGGCTAAACCTTTGACAAGATCATTACCACATGAGGCACTGAGGTCATCAGAAGTAATTGCCAGGTACCCAGACTGTGAAGGGGCAGAAGACTGTCTCTCTGGGGCCCTGTCTGGAAGAAGGATTTACGTATCTCATGAATTCTATCTTCAGCTTATCAGTGAGCTAGCCTCCTCCATGTTACTTAGATTTCTCTTCAAAGGATCAAACCTTTACATGAGGGAAGCATAGATTAGCCATCTTTGGTCCACTAGAAGATTACTTTGTGGGATTTCTCTGTGTAAAATCTAAGAATGAAGCTGGTTCCTGTTTTTCTTTTTTCCTTAAATGGAGCTTTGAAATACTAGACAGACTAGAGCTGACTAATAGAGATTCTGCCATTGAATAAATGAAGAGTAGTTTTCAGTCTAAAACTCATACTTGAGATGAGCCAAGGCAAATTAAATGCTTCAGCTTTTTGTCTGAGAAGAGAGACAGAAAGACCTGTGCTTTAAACAGAATGCTCCTAGAATCGTATCTTTATGGTAAAAGGGTCATTGTTTTGAAAATGGGCTGAGAAAATAGATTTCATTGCCTGATTAAGGACTACCTCTGTGTATTCTCAGAATTCTCATTGAGAGGTTTTGGGAGGTTCATGAACGATTAATTGTTAAAGTTAAATCATCTTTGAAGAAAAGTATCTCCCATCTTGTGGTATAGGGGCTGTTCACATAGGCTGTTTAGTAGGCATTCAGTAATATTTTGTTGAAATAAGTGACTAAATTAGATACTATGAAGAAATTGAATGGCATGATGTGTGAAAAGATAGCATCATTCCAATAATTCAGATCAATTGATGCAAGAAATGAACTTTTACTTTTCAAGATAATTTTGGCCTGTGGTATCACTGGATTAAGTACCAGGAAATTACCTTCTGAGTAAGTGAAGGAGCTTTGTAGAAACATATAGAAAGGAAAACCTTGTCTGATTAGGCAATAGTTTACCTTCATAAGGGATGCCATTAAACACTACGTATTCTGCTTCTTGAAGGCAAATTAAAAAAAGAAGTATGGTTATCAAAATAAGTTCTAGCCAAGATAAGGAATTGAAAAGAGTCAGAAGACTTAATAATTGGCAAACCCTAAAATATTATTGGCTATCACTTTATCCTTATATGCAAATATATATACACATATATGTAATACATATATACACATATGTTATACATATTATACAAGGATATATACATATATAGACTAGGATATATACATATGGCACATTGCATATATGTAATATATACATATATGTTCACATAGGCTATTCAGTAGGAATTCAGTAATGTTTTGTTGAAAGGAGTGACTAAATTAGATATTATGAAGAAACTGGCACGCTGTGTGAATATATACATATTACATACATATGTAATATATACATATGTATGTAATGTGCCGTATGTGTATATCCTAGTGTAATACATATATATACATATAGTATATATATGAAACTTCCTTGAGAAAACCCCTAAAACATGCATTTTAATATCCAAGAGCTGTGATACATATATATGCTATAGATATGTACTACATATATACACATATATGTATATATCCTTTTATAATACATAAATAGATTTTGCCATTCAACGGAATGTATTATAAAAGGATAAACTGATGGCCAATAATATTTTAGCGTTTGCCAATTCTTTTTTTTTTTTCTTTTTTTTATTTGAGACGGAGTCACGCTCTGTCGCCCAGGCTGGAGTGCAGTGGCGCGATCTCGGCTCATTGCGAGCTCCGCCTCCCGGGTTCATGCCATTCTCCTGCCTCAGCCTCCCGAGTAGCTGGGACTACAGGCGCCCGCCACCACGCCCGGCTGATTTTTTGTATTTTTAGTAGAGACGGGGTTTCACTGTGTTAGCCAGGATGGTCTCCATCTCCTGACCTCGTGATCCACTCGCCTTGGCCTCCCAAAGTGCAGGGATTACAGGCGTGAGCCACCGCGCCCGGCCAAGTTTGCCAATTCTTGAGTCTTCTGACCCTTTTCAATTCCTAGTTTTGGCTAAAACTTATTTTGATACCTGTTAATTGCAACAAGACTGATATTTTAGGATATTTAGAGACAAATACAATTAAAAGCGTCTTACACATTTTATATTTCCTATCAAATCCTGTACCCCCTCCACTCCCATTTGTTACCAATGATGCTTCTTGCCTTCCTTATGCCTGACATGGGACCTAGAGTTGGCATTGCTTGGCTGTTTTCAAGAAAGTGGTACAAATGCTTAGCAGACATGCTAATCAACAGTTTTCTCCAAAGGATCAAACTTCCTTGAGAAAACCCCTAAAACATACATTTTAATAACCATGAACTGAAGAACAAAAAGCAAAACCTTTGGCTTCCTCTTTTGCCTTCAGCTCTGAACAATCTAAACTGATGCAAGATATAAGTCCAAAGTAAAACAGCCGCTAAATTCCTTTCTTTAAGTAATGCACTGAACTCTGTCTAACATGTAGAATAGAGTAGAGCTGAGTGATGTAACTGAATGAGATTGGAGGGTTCCACTTACCACTCTCCCTGGCAAAGGCAGCCCTCAAGACCCTTCTCCAGAATTCCTAGTGTGCCATGAATCAGAACTGGAAAACCATTGTATTATATGATCCTTTTTAGTCTTAAGATTCAGAGGCAATTAATTTATAGACACTTTGTCTGATTTATATTTGCCTTTATGTTCTTATTTTTAGCATGATTAACATTTTGAAAAATGATTTAGAAGTCAAAGTAGTTGACTTACTCAATGAACACAGAAATCAACCTATTGGGACATTTTATTTGATCATAGATTAAATTAAAAGCTTTTTAAGAGCAATAACTGAGCTGTAGGCAAAATCTTTATTTTGCCCTATTGCTTAATAAGAAGGAGCTTCAGTTGGTAAACTTCTCAACCTAGCACCCCAGATAAATATTGAATGAAATAGTTTATAAAAGCTTTGGCTGTAAGTCAGGAATGATTATTTTAATATTTTCTCTCTTTTTAATAAAAAAATTAGAAAAGTTCATGAGTAATTCTCCTATTCTTACATACCACAACAAATCATATGATGTGAAAAAGGGTGGAAATTGGAGAAAAATGTAGGTGGAATAGATATTGAAGTAGAAGATGCTGGCAATGGGATAGACATGTGGCATGATGCCTTCTGACTACTGATTATGTCACATTTTTCACTGTTGTGTTTTGTGTGTATTTTGTATAGATTTGCATGTGAAATTACTGTACAATAAATACTATATGGGAAAGAACTTCATTCATTCATGGTGTATAACAGAAAACAATCTTTACCACTAGTGATAAAATTATGCCAAGGTCTTCATAAAAAATAACTTAATAAGTGAAAGGCCTCAAAAATGAGTTTTTTCTTTTTTATTTCAAAGTGTTAGCTACTCCAAGGCTTCCATGGAGCTTTTAGGAAAAGTAATTCTAGTAATAGCTGACTTTGAGTTTTCATGGGAGTGGCAAGTAGCAGTGAAGAATGTTATATAGGTTAACAATTCCTTGAGTGATTAAAAAAATGTGATACATAGCAAACTACAGACCATTCTGAATAATTAGTGGTGCAGGAATAATGCCATCAGATGTACAGATATTACAAAAGGGAAGAGATTTTGTTGTTGAAATGTTTCTATTGATATGAACAACAAACTGTGTCTCTTGCATCCAGAGGTATGCTAAGAAAAAGCATGAGCTGATGCATTACTATATTTCTTGAAGAAAATTTGTTTGCAGCAAGTCAAAATTTCTGTCCAATTTCCAATTTGTAAAATAAAATGTCTTGAATTATCTATGCACATCTCAAGTTTGTTGAGGTCTTTAAAACTTGAAAAGCACAAAAAAAGTTTGTTTTAATACCACCAGGATGAAGATGATCTCCACTTTTCCAAATGGCACCCTTCTATTTATGAGAATCATAATAAGAAAATATGCCTCATGACTTCAAGAGAAAATGGACATTCCTCCTTGGGCTTCAAGAATAGAAAGATACATGGGCAAATAAACAAACAAAGAAACAAACATAAAACCCTCTATTAAACAACAAAAAAACCCCAAAACAAACAAACAAAAAACTTTCTATTTTTTTCTTTACTCATACTTCCTTGAATAAGAAGTATGTTTTCTAAGGATACTCATGAAAACTCTTCTTGCAAGCTAGGAGCTTTTTGCTAATTGGGTTGCCATAGGAGTGGCAGTGTGAAAATCTAGCAATTTGACATTGGGTCGACTGACCAGTAAAATCATCTAAAATTAGCATTGGCATCTTGACTTTCCTTCTGGGCTCTCTATCCAGTAGTGCTCAGAGCTTGTCTATAAACTTTAAATAGTAGGTCTAAATAAGTACATTAATCAGGAAAAAGAGGATCAAGATCCAGGTAACAATGACGCTTGGCTCTAAATAGGCTGGCGGTAAAATGAGACAGGTGTTCCTGGGGTGGGAGAGGGGGCTGCTAATTATTATTCATAAGCAGATGGCATATGATCAGTTTGTAGAATACTTTTATAATATTGCGTGTGACATTGTAAATCCAGATTCCTGAATATGAATAGGTGATAGCAAAATGGATAGATTTTTATGTGATGAAGCTTTTGAAAGAGAATATCTCAAAATTCAAGAGAAGTATAAATTTCCTCATATATTTGAATGGAGGCACAAGTTCCATTTTAGTGGATACATGAGGTTGACGACCTTAAATCTGAAATGAATGTAAAAGTGAAAAAAAAAAAAAAAGATAGTTTTCCCCAGGTGTCCTTGCTTTTATCACATTGGTACTACAGGAAGTGCTATTGTAAATCCTCCAGGCTTTTTAAATGGAAACAAATCTACAGAGGTGGAAAGGTCAGACATTTAAGGACACTGTAACAACAATGACGCCCTGGAAAGTAGCCAGTTTCCTACCTGGAATAGGGTTGCTGTGGCACTAGTTTGGGCATGTGCCAAGAATGGAGGCCTGCAGGAGACATTAAACAGCTGCGATCTGGTGAGCTGGAACAGAATGACCCAAGAGGGCAGAGGAGACAACATATGGACACAGCACAACGTCATTCAAGACAAAGTAAAACAGGAAAATGAGAACTTCTAATAGAAAAACAAGGCGTCCACCCCTGATGAGCCAGGTGGCTTCTGGGGCTTCCACTTCGTCCAGAATAAAGAGTCACGTTCTTCATAACCACATCTTGAAAACAAGCTGTTGACAAATTAGCACATAACAGACCTATAGCCAGGAGAAATTATTACATGGGGTGACTTTATCCAGTGTACATTCTGTTCACTGAAGTTTAGTTCTGGGGTCTTTGAGGAGATTCATGTCTATGAATACACAAAGTAAACTAGTAGCAAGGTGTGTTTACCATTGAATGAGTGTAGGCAGCATGAATTAGAGCATCAGACTAGGAGTCACAAATAGGGGTTCGAATTTTATTTCTCCCATACTTTGGAGATAGGCTTGGGAAAACACATCATCTCCATTATCACCATCATTATCATCGTCGTTGTCATCATTATCACTATTATCACCATCATCATTACCTCCATGAGTTGACAGTTAGTTTGTTAGTCTCTGTGCTAACACTTGGAAATCACTCAAATCCTGGAAATGTCCACTGTCCTCCAATCCACTCCACTCCTGATTCTTTTTTACCAGGGACATTTTTATTTCTTTGTATTCTTTTGTAGTGCCCACCTAGGACTCATTGTTATTCATGTGACCACCTTGTTACCTCCAAGAAGGTCACAATGAGATTAGGGGATTTAAATAGTGTGAGAGCAGTTCCTGGGAATAAATTGGATTTCTTGAAGGCTCTGAAAGCTAACCTGCTAACCTGGCCAGCTGTAGAGAGGGCCAGGGCCTCGGAGGGCCAGGGCTGGGGAGATGTGTGTGATGTGCAGCTGCTTGATTCACAGTTAGGAGAAGCTGGATCAGTGGTTCATGACGATTTCGTAATGAAACTAAGGTGTTGAAAGAGCAGGTAACTCAGATATAATGAGCTGAAGTCAAGGAAAGCATATATAAAGTAGTAAATTTAGATATCAGAAAATTTATTCTGAAAAATCTAAAGAATCACTTTTATAATTTTATTAGTTTATATTTGCTACCCTTACAGTACAAATTTCCTCAATGACACTGAAGTGTCATTTTGCTCTGTAGACTTTGCTTGGGGAGTCTGGACCAGTAATCATTTGCATAGTTTATATATGATTATGGAAAGAAATGGTGGCTTGGGATATCTCATATGTGTGTTTCAAATTAGCAACTGTCTTGAAAACATATGGTACTGTGTAATTTCCTGATGTTAGAACTGAAAAATACAGATGTGATAGCCTATAAAATTTGCTTGGGAATAATGAATATAGATAATTGTAAAGTAAGATTTCTTAATTATCACACTAGACTCTAAATTGAAGATTGATTTCACCAGTGACTTTTTAATGGTTTTACTAATCAGGTTAGATTAGCTGAGAAGTGGTACCAGACACTCCAGTTTATAATCTACAATGCTATCCAACAGGAAGGATCCAGTAGCCACATGTGGCTCTTGAGCACGTGATACATGGTTAGTGTGACTAAGGGGCTGAGTTTTAAATTTTATTTAATTTTTAGTTCATTTAAATTTAAATAGCCACACTTAAATAGCCTATTGGATACTGTATTGGACTGTGCAGAACTAAAAGGATGCTCATCCTAAATTTATTTTTGAACTATGCTTTGGCTTCAAGTTGAGATAGCAATTCATTATTTTAGTACAGAAATAACTCCATGGATAATATGAATAACAATTCTTAAAGAAGGAGCATTAAAACCCAGTTTTGTCTAAGACTTGTGTCATGACAAAATAGTGAGTCTATTTATAGCCTTCAAGTTGGTCTTGAAAGGTCCATCTGTTCCCTGGAAAATGCAAAGGAGTTGTTTGTGGTTAAATAGTTGGTTAACAGAACTTTCACTATTTCATCTGCTTCTATCATGTGGAACACAGAACTTTTTGGGGAAAAAATTATCATTTATTTCAGAAAGAAGAATAATAGTATTCTTGAAAATAATAGATCTTTAGAAAATCTAGAAAATGATATTTACTGAGCTTTTACCATCTCCACAAGCAGTAGAGTTTCACAACAACCCTAAGGGGTAAGGTTCTCTCCATTTGACAGGTGAGGAGACAAGGCCCAGAAAGAATAACTAACTTGTCAAAGGTCACAGGGCTTTTGAGTGGCATAGCCCAGGGTTCTGAACTCAGGTAGTGTGGCTTTTGGGGCCAAGCTCTTAACCACTAGGCTATAGTTTTTTCATTTCATTATGGCTGTTCTGTTGTATCTTCTATCCCTTCTGCCTCCTTCATCCTCGAGTGCTTCAGGTATAGAATGATGGAGAGATGGCTAAATATTCCAGTTCTTGTACTGGCTATTCACCAGATAGAGGACCTTAAAGAAGCCCATTTCTACCTTCTCTTACTTTTTATATATGGCAATTAAGATGTACTTGGGGCTATTCTGTCTCCTTGAGATGGATCTGGCTGAAGTGCCATTTGGAGGTGGTAGGCAGAAGAGCTTCAGGAAGCACAATCTTGGTGACTCAGTTAAGACAGCCTGGGCCATATTTGGTGTCCAATTTCCATAGTCCAGGAAGAGCACAAAACAAAGTATGGTTCTGCATAATAGTACCCTGCCCATATTGTCAGAAGAGGCTTCTACTAAAGTTCCCACAGAGTTCATAACCCTGGCATGCTGAGACTGAAGATTTATTCAACACATAGAGAGAAAAATTAGCAAGAAGCAAAATGGGGGTGGAGGGAGCGAATATTGACTTTAAACTGAGGAGAACAATGATCTTGCTATTTGACATAAAGAAAAAAGAAAAGCTATTTTCAGCTGACTGGGTTGCAGGTAGGTGTTCCTTTTCAGGTGCTTCTAGTTACCACCACTCTTCCTCAGCGATGTGGTGGGATAGAACTTCTTCTGGTTACCCATGAGACCTGAGACGAAGATGGGCCAATAGGCTTACTCTATTAAAAGGGAACTGGGGGCCAGGCGCAGTGGCTCACACCTGTAATCTCAGCACTTTGGGAGGCCAAGGTAGATGGATCACCTGAGGTCAGGAGTGCGAGACCAGCCTGACCAACACGGTGTAAACCTCATCTCTACTAAAAATACAAAAATTAGCTGGGCGTGGTGGCAGGCATCTACAATCCCAGCTACTCGAGAGGCTGAGGCAGGATAATTGCTTGAACCTGGGAGGGGTGGTTGCAGTGAGCCAAGATTGTGCCTTTGTACTCCAGCCTGGGTGACAGAGCAAGACTCTATCTCAAAAAGAAAAAAAAAAAGAATTTGGGAAGCAGAGATGCCACTCTATGGTGCTCTGAAAGTGCTTGGCATCTTTAGTTTCAGACATTGAACAGTGAAATAATTATTTTAAATATTTTTTGATTTGGGATATAGGCTATTGGTATACTGCGCATGGTCCCAGGAGAAAGCAGGGGAGTCTACAGGTAATTAAGTGCTAGGTGTAAACAGCTGAGATGGAGAAAAAAATCTGAGCAGGGACTACTAGTAGGTGCATAGAAAAGTAAACCAACCATTCCATACACCTTGCCTTAGCCAGATATCATCCACTTTTTCTCATTGAAATGCAAAGAAAGTCATGCTCATAACAGTTCACAGGCGGGTTAATTGAGTAAGTTAGAGGATGTGTATACCTCCTGTGTTATTTCTTTTAAACACTGGATTTCTAAAAATATTGAATTTAGTAAAAAATTAAAATCTCAATCTGTTACAAAGTATGATTTAGAGTAAGATAAGTTAGGCAATATTTTAATGACTCTTTTTGTGTTAAAGTCTGGGATTCTGGAGGTATTGCAAATTTGTTTCTATGTGTGTGTATTCATAGCATCTATGACATGTCTTTCCTCATTTTTCATCATTAATACATCCAGACCAATCACTTTGGCATAAGCAGGGACATCTTTGTCATTAATTGCTCTATTTATGTTACTGTCTGTCCCACTAGATTGTGAAACTTATCAAGGCAAGGGCTTTGTCTTATTGATTGATGCTTTCCCAGGGCCAGGCACATTGTGTATCACAAAATGGGCACCCACCCATGTTTGCAGATATGATCAAAAGGATAGTGGAAGAGCTGAGCAGAATATTGTTTAGAAAATTGACGTGTAAAAAATGTTTCTTTTTTTTTAATTGACTAAATTATATTTTGATCAAGGAGCGTAGTCGGTAGGATGCCTATTATTAATTTGCTGAGACTTGCTTTATGGCCTGGCATTTGGTAAATTTTTGTAAATATTTGATGTGTACCTAGGGAAAAAAACTGTAGTCTCTTAACTGTTGGATATAATGTTCTATATGTTCCTTAGAGCAAGCTTGTTAACTACAGTGTTCAAATCTTGTTGGAATTTATCTTCCTCTTGCAGAGCTGTCAATTTTTTGATGATATAATTTGAGGTTTTGTTCTTAAATACATCAAGATTTTGAATTATTTTATCTTCTTAGTGAATTTAATCTTTTGTAAAAAAGCTGTTATTTTTCTTAAATCTAGTAATGCTTTGTCTCAAAATCTATTTTATACAATATTTATAAAGCAACACCAGTTTTCTTTTGGTTTGTATTTGCCTTGTACATATTTTTTATCCTTTCATATAAACTTTCTGTGTCTGTATGTATTTCACAGAGTCACTTATAAATGACTTAAACTGGAGTTTTAAAGAACTTGGTGAGACAGTTTTGTTTTTAACAGGAAAGTTTATCCCTTTTTATAATTATTGGTATACTTGGATTTATTTCTATATCTTAATTTTTACCAGTTCTTACTTTTGAGAAATTTTGTGTTTTACCCTTTTTGTTAAACTTTCATTTGGATTGTTTTATTGCTTTGGGTTTTTGTTTGTTTTGTTTGCATATTTTTCTCATTGGCTCTCCATTATAATTAATATTTTGAAAATTACACTATTCATTTGTCAATTCAAACTTTTTTACTTATTTATTTATTTTACTTTTACAGATAAAATTGTATGTATGTATCATGTAAAACATATTTTTGAAGTATATATACATTGCAGAATGGTTAAATTTAGCTAATTAAACTTTGCATTGCCTCACATAGTTATCATTTTTGTGGTGAGAACCTTTAACATTCACTCTCTTAGCATTTTATAAGAATACAATATATTCCTCTTAACTATAGTCACCACGTTGTAAAATAGATCTTTTGATTGATCTTATTCCTCCTATCTCGCTAAAATTTTGTATTCTTTGAACAATATCTCTTTTCCCCTCCCCCAACCCTGTACCTGTGGTGATCACCATTCTACCCTCTACTTCTACCAAATAAACTTTTTTTTTTTTTTTTTAAATCTCACATATAAGTGAGATTATGCAGTATTCGTCTTTTTATGCCTGGCTCATTTTACTTAATATAGTGCTCTCCTGGTTCATCCATGCTGTCACAAATGGCATAATTTCCTTCTTTTTTATGACTGAATAGTATTTCATTGCGTATCTATATCACACACATTTTCTTTATCCATTCATCTATTAAAGGACACTTAGGTTGATTATATATCTTGGCTATTGTGAATAATGCTGCAATAAACATAGGAGTGCAGGTATCTCTTTTACATACTGATTTCATTTCTTTTGGATTATATACATAGTAGTGGAATTGCTGGGTCATATGTTAGTTCTATTTTTAATTTTTTATGCAAATTGTATACTGTTTTTGAAACAGGATACATACTAATTTACATATCCACAAACAATGTAAACATGTTCCCCTTTCTTCACATTCTCACCAACATTTGTTATCTTTCACCTTTTTGATAGTAGCCAATCTAACAGGTGTGAGGTGATTATCTCATTGTGGTTTTAATTTGCATTTCCTTGATGATTAATGATGTTGAGCATGTTCTCATATACTTGTTGGCCAATTTTATGTCTTGTTTTGAGAACTGTCTATTCAAATCTTTTGCCCATTTTTAATCCAGAATATTCTTTTCTTGCTATTGAGTTCCTTGTATATTTTAGATATTGATCTATCAGATATATAGTTTGCACATATTTTCCCCCATGTTTTATGTTGAATCTTCACTCTGTTGATTGTTTCATTTGGTGTGCAGATGCTTTTTAGCTTGATATAATCTCACTTGTTCATTTTTGCTACAGCTGCCTGTGCTCTGATGTTGGGTGTATATATAATTGTTATATCTTCTTGATGGATTGATTCTTTTATCATTATTTAATTCCTTCCTGTCTCTTGTGACAACCATTGACTTAAAGTCTATTTTTTTCTAATATAAGTGTAGCTACTTCTGCTCTCTTTTGATTTCCATTTGCATGGAATATCTTCTTCTATATCTTTACTTTCAGTCTGTGTCTTTGCAGGTGAAGTGAGTCTTTTGTAGACAGCATATAACTGTTTTTTCTTTTTTTCCTGTTCAGCCACTCTATGTCTTTTGATTGCATAATTTAATTTATTTACATTCAAGGTAATTATTGATAGGTAAGAACTTACTACTGCCATTTTCTTTATTGTTTTCTAGTTGTTTTGTAGATCTGTGTTTCTTTCTTAGTCTTTTATTGTCTTCTGTGACTAATTTTCTTTAGTGGTATGTTTTGATTCCTTGCTTTCTTTTTTTTGTGCATTCACTATAGGTTTTTGCTTTCTGGTTACCATGAGTTTTACAAAAAACATCTTATAGTTATATTATTTTATGCTGATAACAACAATGTAGATCACAAAAACCATGTCTTGGATTATATTATGTCTTATTTGAATTCATTATTATTGAAGATCTTTGCCCTTCTTGTACCTGAATATTTATATCTTTCTCCAGGTTTGGAAAGTTTTCTGATATTATTTTCTTAAACTTTCTACTCCTTTTTCCTTCTCCTTTTTCAACTCCTATGACGTTTACTCTTGTGATGTTGTCCCATAAATCTTGAGCAACAAAAGTTTCTTTGTTCCTTTCATTTTTTTCTCTCTTCTGATTGCATATTTTCAAATGACCCATCCCTGAGTTCACTCATTCTTTCTTCTGCTTGATAATTCTGCTGTTGATGCTATTTTACTTTTAATTTCATTCACTGTATTTTTTAGTTTCAGGATTTCTGTTAGATTTTTCTGAAATTATAATAATCTCTCTGTTAATTTTCTTATTTTGGTCATTTATTGTCTTCATCATTTTGTTGAATTGTTTCTATTTCCTTGATGTTTGATAAAAAATAGTTATTTTGAATTTTCATAAGACAGTTCGTACATCTCCATTTCTTTAGGGTAAGGCACTGGCACTGTATTTTGTTCATTTGATGATGTCATGTTTCTATGATTATTCTTGATCTTTGTGGCCGTGCATTAATGTCTGCACATTTGAAGAAATAGGTACATATTTCATTCTTCACAGACTGGCTTTGTCTGGGAATGGCTTTCAACAGTGAGCCTGTCCAGAGATTCTAAGCAGACCATCTGATGCTCCCTAAACTCAGGGCCACTGTGAATGGTATGGCATCAAGCTGGAATCCCATGGCTGCTGAGGCTGGTGCAGAGCTGGTGTGTGCCTAAATCTTCTGGCTTCTGAATCTGTTGCAATGTTGGCTTGTACCTGAAGTCCACTGCTGCTAAGACCTGTTATAACTGAATGTTGTCTGGAGCTCAAGGTCACTGTGATTGACTGGCAATGATGTGAACTGGAGTTCAGATCCACCTCACAGGGGATACAGGTTTCTGTCTGCTACCAGGTCGTGTCTGGAGGTTGAGTCCATGAATACCAGCCTGAAGTCAGAGGCCATGGAGTTCTGCTCAATGCCTTGTTTTATGGTGGCAGACCCACTATTGGGGTCCAAAGCAAATTCCTTCACTTTCCTTTCTTTCCTCCAATAAGATGGTATCTTTTTCCACACAGTGTTGCCTGGGATTGGAGAAGAGGTGATATGGGTAATGTGGAACTGTCTTCCTACCCTCTTCAATGCATCTTTTCTTATTATTGTGCTATAGTCAGGTACTGTAATCTCTCATCTGGTTTCCTTAGCTCTTGTGAAGATTTTTTTGTGTGTGAATAGTTGTTCAAATTGATGTTTCTGCAGGACAATTACTGAAAAATCCTATTCTGCCATCTTGCACCACCTTCTTTTTTATATATTTATTTTAAATAACTTTAGATAGTTTTATATGCATATGTAACTAAATAATGTGTAAAGTTGATCAATATCTTTACCTTCTACTTTACCCTTTTTAACTGGTATGTTAAAATGCTTTAACTCATCACAACTCTCCAACTTAATTGTATTCTATTTCTATCTAATGTTTTCCCTTAATCTGTGTTTTTAATACCATTCTTTAAACATTATAATTATTTTAAAAATAATGATTCATAGATTTACCAAAATTACTACCCATTATTCTCTTTTTGCATCTCAGAACTTCTATGATAATTTTCTTTTTGAATGAAGCAGATGTTTAGATCTCTAATGAGAATTTATAGTAAACATTCCATTTAGATTTTTTTTTTGCTGAAAACAAAATTTCATTACTATTCTTGAAAGACAGCTTTGTTAGTATAGTATTTTAGATTAACATTTTTTAAGGAAGATTAAAAAGTCTTTTACTTTTTCTGCTTTCTATTGTAGCTATCAGTTTAAAATAATTCTTCTTATCACAGACTTCTTTAAATATCACACTTGGCTTTAGTGCTCTAAAATTCACCAAAAATATCTGGTGACTAATTGTACAGATATAGATAATATACACATTTTTTCTGTAAGACAATCAGTAGGTTTCTGTGATCTGAGGTTTTTCTGTCTTTCTATAGTTCAAAAATTATTTGTTTCTATCCCTTTGATTATTGCCTTAGTTTAATTATTTTGTACCATATCTTTTTGTTTCTCTGATCAAACGTATGGTTAGATCTTTTCACTCCTTCTAACTGCTTTCATATTTTCAATATATTTGCATTTAGGGTTAATTTCAGCATACTATATTTGCATCTATCTTCTAGTTCATTAAATTTTTCTTCAGCTGTACCTAGTTTTCTCTTTAATGTGTTAACCTGTTAATCTGTTAACCTGTAATCTGTTAATCTGTTTACATTTCAATTATTTTATTTTTCATTTCTAAAAAAAATTTCACTTATTTCCAATTTTATTATTTAATTTATATAGTCTGTTGTCCCTTGCTCATAATTTCAGTAAATATCTTATTGATTGAAACATAGAAAGTGCTAATTTTATATTCTCCTAATTAATTTAATTTCAATATTTATAGTTATTGCTGGTATCTTGTTTTGGCTGACTCTCATTAATTTCACCCTATATGCTCACATATTTCATGATTTTCTATCATGAACTCATGTTTCTTGGAACTTCAGCTGTGATAATTCTTTGAGGCCTGGATATGACTGCGTTCTCTGGAGAGGAATTCTGTTGGCTTCTATCAGTCACCTGATTGTATTTCCAATTTGATATCACTTAAAAATCTTTGTTGACCATATATGTAGAAGGAATGCAGGTTGAAAATATAGATTATAAAAGCCAAATTGTGTTTACTAGTCAGGGAACCTTAGAGAATTTAGCTTACTTGCTGATCCTTCTGTTTGGTTGATTTCACCCTCCAGGATTTTCATCAATTTTATGAAGAGATCTGTGAAATCTTTCATTTTGGGTAGTCCTTGATTTTATTACCTATTTCCTATGTTCTGCACTTCCATGAAAACAGAAACTGGAGATTATCATGATTGAGCAGATGCTTCCTAGGGAAAAGTTGGCTTTAGGCCTTTATTATCTTCCAAGTGTCTTCTTTTTCTCTTGTTTTCAGCTTCTGTGCATTCTTTGACTTCTTGCTCTCTCAGGAAATCATTTAAAAAGATGATTTCAATGCATTATCAAACGTTTTGTTTACTTATTTTTGCAGAGTATATGGGTTGTTTACCACTGGGCTCTTTTCTTCCGGAGCTCTTTGGGAGAGGCGTTCCTCTATGACCATTTGTCGTAGGTACCACTCCGATGTCCTATGAGATGATAGAGACAAAACAGTAACTTATTTACTGATATTCTTGAAAATAATTTGGTAGTGTTATAGATTTTTATGTAATTAGACAAAAGTACACTCAAAGAGGACATTATAAGATTGTAAGAGTGAGATGTAGACAGTAAAAATGAAATGACAGCCCCAGAACAAGTTGTTCAATCTAGTTTGTGGGATTGCACATTTGGCTGATTTAAGTTTTATTTTCATAAAAATTATAAGTTAAAATATTCTTTAAATGTACTGTTAATAGTGGCTTATTAGAACAAGATTTAATACATGGTTTTGAGCTGTGACTATGCTTATGTAATATTGACCATACAAAGTCCCTGGAAAAATCTTTCCTTTTCGTATTACACTACAGCCAAGAAAATTTGAGATTTCACCCTACACATTTCCAAACTCAAAGCTATAATGTGGTTTTGATACTATGACTGTTGCTGTGGAGATTTCTGGGTTGTTTACAAAACATAAAACAGAGAATATTGAATAGGGGAGGGAAGTAAGCAGCAAATATTTATAAACTGCAAATATAAAAGATTCTCTTTCAATAGTTAAGCTGTCACTATTACTTTGTTACCATGGGTCAAATGTTAATGTTTGTATCTACCAAGAAAAATATCTCTTTTCCTTGTTTACTCTCCTGAGCTTAATTATTTTCAGACAAAGAATCTACAATAGATCTTCTCCAGCAGCTCTGGAGGTCAGACCCAGCTGTGGAGAGAATCATTTCTAAAAAACTAGAAGGCACGTTGGGAGGTATGCTAGCTTTTTCATAATATCAGAGCAATGATTAGGGCATTTTGTACGCCAAAAACGTCGTTTTTTTCTGTTGTCAAAGTCATAGAAATATTCATTAATATTCAATTTTACATGTGGCATTATTTGAGATTATCATATAGTCATCATTGTTATTGTATTATTAATATGTGTTGCCCTGAAAGTTGTTTTGAAAATGATAGGATAAAATCATAAGTAAATACGGATGATTACTGTGGAAATACCATTTTTATTTTATAATAGTGTTAAATAATGAAATTTTTCCTCTAACTGGGAATATTAACTCCATTAATTCCACGGCACAACTTCAAGACTACTACTTTCTGTGGATGAATGGGAAATTCAAGACAGAAAATGGATGGGCGATATGGAAATACAACTGGTAAGATGTGGAAAATCTGGGTTCTCTTTCTGGCTCTGCAGTATGTTAATGATGTGATCTTGAATAAATCACTTAATCCCTCCAGGTTTAGGTTTCTCGTGCATAACAATGGGGACGATACTGGTCATGTGGTAACTAACAACATGAATTTGAGGAAGTTAGATATCAATTTGAGTACTAAATCTGCTGTCAATGAACTATGTAATGTAAGCAAGTTTTTTAACCTTTTTAGGGCTCAGTGTTCTCACCTATAAAATGGAAATAGTAGAGTTTTCTGGATTATTATTTGAAATAATAAATTACTTGTTTCTTTTTTCTTGTGCAAATTCTTTTTTCACCTCATTATTCTTTCTGTTAGATATTAGGTTTCCATTGTGTCAGAGTAGGATTGTTACAGCAAAAATGAAGAGACAAAATCGTCAATGAAGGCAGAGGTCCTTGAGTCAGAGGTGTTTGAACCAGAGCAACTCCATCTTGACTAGGGGCTGGGTAAAATGAGGCTGGGAATTGCTGGGCTGCATTTCCCAGAAGTTAGATGTTCCTAACCTCTAGATATTTACAGTTAAGGGAACAGATTGATAACATTTACTAAACAGACCCAGACTCAGGAATATCCTGATATCCCAATATCTTGAGGACAAAAGCATTCCTAATTTTGCTTTAAAGATAAAAATATAGCCAGGCGTGGTGGCACATGCCTGTAATCCCAGCACTTTGGGAGGCAGAGGCGGGAGGATCACAAGGTCAAGAGATGGAGACCATCCTGGCCAACATGGTGAAACCCCATCTCTACTGAAAATACAAAAATTAGATGGGCATGGTGGTGCACACCTGTAGTCTCAGCTACTCAGGAGGCTGAGGCAGGAGAATTGCTTGAACCTGGGAGGCAGAGGTTGCAGTGAGCTGAGATTGTGCCACTGCACTCCAGCCTGGTGACAGAGTGATGCTCCATCTAAAAAAAAAAAAAAAAAAACTTGCAAAATATAGTAATTAGAAAAATTAATCTGTTATCACAAACCCTTGTAATAGAATACATCTCCCCATGATATAAACAAGCATTGTACCTAAGGTGGGCATGTCCCTCCCCTTTTGGGAACTGCCTGCTCTGTCTATGGAGTAGCCATTCTTTATTCCTTCACTTTCTTAGTAAACTTGCTTTCACTTTGCTGTATGGACTTGTTACAGGTAGTCATGTGCAAGCCATTAGAAATGTCAGGTGACGGTTTGGCAGTTATCGCTTTGCCTCTCTAAAAATGATAATTTGGCAGTGCCAGGGAGAGTTCATTTCCAGATGGCCCACACCTGTTAACATCACAATATTAATTGAATGCAGGCCCCAGGGAGAAGCAACTTCCTGGGAATGTGTGTAAAGAGACAAAAATGGAGAAGAATGATCTTCCAGAGGCACACTCCACTGGAAAAGGGAAGAAAGCCTCAGATGGGCATGCCTATAACTCCCTAAACACACTGCATGTGCTCAATTCCCAAGGGTAAGGAGGGCACCACGCATACAGAAAGCCCACCTGAAAAGAAGAATCACAGGAAAGGGGCAAGCCTATAATGTCCCAGGGTCAAGGTTAAAGGATCTTCTTTTCTCTTTTTGACATTCAGGCGCCCAGTTGGATCTCTTCCAAGAGTTCTTTACTTTCTTTCCTGTTCTAAAGACTTTTTAATAAACTTCCATTCCTGCTCTGGAGCTTGCCTCAGTCTCTTTCTCTGCTTTATGCCCCTCAGTTGAATTCTTTCTTCTGAGGATGTAACGGCTGAAGTTGCTGTGGAAGAAAATTTTCTAAGCCAATATTCTCGACTCTTGTCCCATAATAGTTACCCATTTATTGGCCAGAGGAAAGCAGAGGCAAGCAGAGAGATGGACACTTAAGCAATATACTAGTCAGTGTCCTGAAGAGGAGACTCTGGCTCGCACCTTGAGAGGAGGTGGAAAGAATGAGAGAACTGGAAGATAAGTTTATTAAGCAACAAATACACTGGAGTCTTATGTCACTTTCTGAGTGACGACTTGCAAAAGAAGGTTCCTTTGCTCATTAAAACAACTCAGTAAGTGATAAAATATTATGTACACATATTATACTTGGGGTTTTAACCAGGAGGAAAGCCATAAGTTTTACTCACATTTTGTCTTTATTCCTTGAGTTTTCCTCAGATTCATCTGACAAGCTGATACCTGAAGTTATTCCACTGTAAAGGAAAATCTAAAAATTTCAGGACCCCCAGACTCTTTATGCAAAAAGGAAGCTGGGAGGCTGAGTCAGACAACACCTTCTTCCAAATGAATAGCTGTTGCTGGCATTATGTATTAGTGGGATCCCCACGGAAAGGTAAAAGGCCTCCGGCATCTATGAATGATTGCCTCCACAGCTCATTCATAAGTAAATTATTTGTTGACCTCCCATAAACAAGGACATGCCACTTTTAGCTTTAGGTCTACAAATCCAAGTCTAGCCCCTAAAACTAAAGTCTAAAACTAAAGTTCATCCCACACTGATAATGTCAATTGTAAGCTTATCTTCCCAGCTGTAAAACAAAAATAAGAGGAGATCAGTTCCTCCACCTACCCAAAGATGTCTTTGTAAGTGACTCTTCCTCTGCTCCCCTTTTCTCTTCAAACATTCACCTTATCTTATGTAAAATGTAGATTTCCTGGGCAGGAAATTAAAGTCTTACAAGTATGAAACCTTTCGCCTGACTGCCTACCTGCCCCTCTTCTTACGTGCCTTTCCCACCTTTAAGGAATGTAGAAATACTAAACCTCCTAAAAACCTCTTTGAGAAAAAGCCCCAGGCTCTTCTGTGGTTCACGTTTTTTTTTTTTTTTTTTTCTGGGACATGCCCTAAATCTGGCTAAATAAACCTTGATTGACTGAGACTTTTGTCTCAGTCACTCATTTTGATTTTCACTGTGAAAGGAAAATATCTTGGGCCCCCAAAATCACTAAGGAAAACTCAAGCTGGAAACTGCTCAGGGCAAATCTGCCTCCCATTCTATTCAGTCACTTCTCTGCTCATTGAGATAGACACACATCTGATTTGCCTTCTTCGGAGAGGCTGATCAGAAACTCAAAAGAATGTAACCCTTTGTGTCTCACCTATCTGTGACCTGGAAGCTTCCTCCCCGCCTTGAGTCTTCTTGCCTTTGCTTCAAGTTGTCCTGCCTTTCCAGACCAAACCAATGTACTTCTTACATATATTGATTGATGTCTCATATCTCCCTAAACGTATAAAACCAAGCTGTGCCCTGACCACCTTGGGCACATGTTGTCAGGACTTGCTGAGGCTGTGTCACGGGTGCATCCTCAACCTTGGCAAAATAAACTTTCTAAATTAACTGAGACCTGTCTCTGATTTTTCTGGGTTTACATCACCATAGGATGGAATTGTCTGATACAAGTCCCTTTATATCTTCAATGTTGAGAATTCAGTCTCTGAAAAGAATTTGCGCAGGGTCAAGCAAAGCAAAGATCAGGACCTGGCCAGGGTTGGGGCAGTGAGAGGGAAACAGCTGGTAGCATTTTCCGTGGCAGAGCAGCCAATATGCGGAGGCAAAACTAGCCAAACACTGGGGCCAAACACTGAGCTCCATCCAAACATCATTTGTTTGGCTTTATGCCAGCTTCCTAAAAAGTTTTGATTTAAATACTACCAATCAGCTGTTGATGAAGGGCATTAACATCAACAATGTTTTCTTCCTTCTATCCTGGCTTCCCTAAAGGTTTGACTTCACAAGGCAGCCAGGGATTCTTTTAAAAAACATAAAACATCATGTCCTTGCTTTTCTCACATCCCTCCAATGGCTTCCCATCTTTTAGAGTAAAAACCGAAGGCCTTGGATCACCTGCAAGCTCTCTGTGGTTTGGAGCCTGCTCTCTGATCTCATTTCCTACCCTCTTGTTCTGTCTCACTCTAGCTCACCAGTTATTATGTTCCTGGCATGTTCCTGCCTCAGAGCCTTTGCACTTTTCCTCCCGTTAATGGAATGGGCTTTCTCTATGTGGCCATGTAACTCTCTATCATTTTATCCAGGTCTCTGCTCAAATGTCACCATTTTGGAGAGGCCCCTCCAACCATCTTCTCTGAACAACACTCCTCCCCTACTCTAATGCTTTCTTCAAAACATGTTTAACTAACGTACTGTTGCCCAGTGTAAAGCTTGTGTGACCTAGCTGAATTTCTACCTTGTTCTCATGCTGCTTATCTTTAAAATACAGCATGCCTTCGGTAAGAAGTTCCCCTTGTAACTAGACAAGCTGAGAATGGTTAGAAGTGAGACAGCTGACTGAAGGACCCCCCAAATACCTGATGCTTTATTTTAATTTCATTTCCATGCTAAATGACACTCCTACCAGCATCATGACAGTTGACAATCACCATGACAATAACCAGAAGAAGCTGTAAAAGGACAAAAAGGAAGGTGGCATGCTGGTTCTGAGAGGTCCACCAGCCATTTCCAGAAAAGACATAGGTATTCCTCCCCTCGTTTTTACTGTCCACCCTCTTCATTAGAGAAATTCTCTGTCTTAACCCCCTTACCCCTTGGTAGTTGAGAAGTTGATTTGCGAGCCATGCTCTTGCTTCTCCGTTCCTTGGCCTTTTGGTTTTGTGTATTGGCTCTGTGACACCGAAGAGAGAAAGATCCCATCTTTTGGGGCTACTGAGTTTATCAGAAATTGTACCACAATGTAGATTCCATTCCGGAGGAGAGTGTGTTTTTTTTTCTGCATCTCCAGTTCCTGACTTATAGAAGGGGCTCAACATAAATATCAGTTGAATGAATGAATGAATGAATGAATGGAATGTCTATTATGTAACAACAAATTTTCTAGACATCATATATATTTATACATATGGACATTTTATACATATATATAATGTCTAATCTTTACAACTACTCAGAAAAATGTGATTATTCTAATTTTATAGCTAATGAAACCAAGGTTTAGATACCAAACACCTGCCCAGGTATGACAGCTACTAAGTGGTAGCACCAAAATTCACATTCATATTTATCTGATCCGAAATCTATAACTGCTATGCTTTACTATTAAAAAAGCCACTCCTGTTTTTAATTATCTTAAATTCTTTGAAAATATATGAATTTTTTTTGGTGATAACTTTTCTATTAGGTCATAAAATTGTTGAAGTTAGAGACTATGTCTTTCTTATTCACTCTGTAAATAATTGTGGAGTCCCCATTTTTCTATCATTGATATAGAGCAATGAAGAAATCAGTCATGGTTTCTGCTTAAATGGGATCTATACCCAAGGATTCTTTAAATTTATGTCCTATTTCCAGCAGCTTCCATATTGCTGGCTCATAGAACATACATACAAGATGTATGCGGAATTAATGGTAAAAAAATGCATGAGCTTTTCCTATACCCAGATAGGTTTCTGTTCTTCTATGCCAGTCAGGAGATCTGCTCTTCTATTCTAATAAAAAGATAAATGAACTTTGTTTGTAGGAAGGTTAATCTAGAAAACTGCATGAAAAGTTTGAGAAGAAGTTAACAAGTTCTGTTTTCTATTCCGCTTCTTCCTTCTAAATTGAGCATCTACTCCTCGTTGGCATAGTCCATGAATAGATATTCTATTTGACTTGTTATGAATGACCAATCCTTACACCACAGGAGACTTATGACTATAAATAAAGATTAACTTCAAAATTACATCAGCAATTCAAGTGTCTTATAGTGTGCTAAAAAATAGATTAAAGTAATTATCATCAATGTGCCATTTTAAGCTGTAAGAAAAATGGTCACACTGTCATTTTGATAAATAATGCTGGTATGAGAGAATGTACATGTTTTAATTTTATCCTTAGGAGTTGCAAACCCACATCCATTTAAAAGCAGTCTGGGGTGATACAGTAGGCTTGTTGTTTGCCAGGGGAAAAAATTATTATCATCTCTTTGAATAAATGTGCTGATGGCCACTGCTCAGTAATCCTTCTTCTTAAGTAGCAGATCCGTGGCTTCAATGCAAGGTTATAATTGATTATCAGTATTTAACAGTCTTATTAGTTAGAAAGCTGTATATAAAATAGATTCAATATATAGGTTTAATATAAATGGGACACAATGCCAATCTACAATAAATAGTTCTCATACCATGAAATGACCCAAGCAAATTTCCTAAAATCCCTAATGCATCCTTGATCAAGACTAAAATAGCTTCTATTTCAAATTGTGCATCACTTTTAATATTGCGTCTTTGCCTGAAAATAACTTTGAGGCATTATTTAGCCTTCTCTTTCATTTCTTTTTTTTTTTTTTTTTTCTTTTTTTTGAGACTGAGTTTCCCTCTTGCTGCCCAGGCTGGAGTGCAACAGTGTGATCTTGCCTCACCACAACCTCCAGCTCCTGGGTTCAAGTGATTCTCCTGCCTTAGCCTCCCAAGTAGCTGGGATTACAGGCACGCACCACCTGGCTAATTTTGTATTTTTGGTAGAGATGGGGTTTCTTCATGTTGGTCAGGCTGGTCTCATACTCCCGACCTCAGGTGATCTGCCCGCCTCCTCCCAAAGTGCTGGCAAGCATGAGCCACTGCACCTGGCTGCCTTCTCTCTTATTTCTAAAGAGGACTATGTTCACCACTTTGGTACTGGGAAATTAATTTTGTTTTAAAGCCATCAAGAAAAAGAGATTTCAGATTTAACCTTCTGGACCCATGAATTACTGGACTGGGTAAAGCAAGGCAATCTAATCTTGTACTTAGTCCTAGAGAGTTTGGCAGGATGGGGATCTAGCCGGCCTTTCCCCTTGGCAGGCTCTCCTGCCTCCAGACTGGGAGATGGCACTGCCACCACCCAGGCCATTTCCTCTTCTTTGCATCTTCTCCAGGTGTAATGCTGCTCCTGGCATATGGAATGTGCTTAATAGTTCTTAAAAAAAAATAAAACTCACTTCGTAGTTTTTCTTCTTGGAACCATGGTTTTCATTAAATAATGTTATAGGTTACACTCCCTGAGAAATAGTCTCTGAGGCTCTGGAACTGGCATGCAGAAAGTTTAGTGGTAAGTTTGTTAATTGGGGTTAATCCCTATGAGGGATTAGGAAAGCCTGATTGGGGAGAAGGAGAAAGTAACTGCAACACAGTTGCAAAAGATATCTTAAGTGACTCTGTAGACTGCTTTGGAGCTGAGATGGAACTGCTAGGCTATCTTCACTGAAGAAAAGGGGGATCAGCCTTTCTACCTATTCAGGTATCAATTATTAGATGCTAACTGGTCCTGGGAAGGGAGCAAACATTGAGAAAGGAAACTTCCTTCAATTTTTGAATTTTCAGTTCAATTTCTGGACAGGTCACAACTCTGAGCCATCAGCTGCCAACATTTGTGGAAGCTATGGGAACACATGTGTAGGTCCTAAAGGGAGCTGAGGTGGCGCACTACTGCATCCACTGCAAATAAACACTTTAAGCATAGCATCCCCCGTAAATAAATATTTGTTGAATGAATTTATTGTTGCAACTTTTAAAGGTTAGGTACCTCCAACATGATGAAGTGGGAGAAGAAATAGTTATATGCTAAAAAAACATTGTGGCTGGAAAGGTGGGATGAGATCAAGAAGCAGCTTATGTGATACAGAGGGGAGGTTTCAATTTTGTGATATCTATACAATCAAAGCAGAGGAAGAAGCAAGAATTGTAGCGACAAGGGGGAGATAGAAGAGAGTTGGGAAGTCTTCCTAATTCTCCAGACTGACCATGCCTTGTGTATTTATGAGAGGCAATGATCTGTGTTTGTCTTTACATCCCCACTTTGCACCATCACCCACTCTCTGCATACATGGAAGACACATCTTAGCATCTCCACTGTTGCTCCTTTAACTTTTTTGCCTACAATGTCCCCATCTCTACAACCTTTCAAACATTTACTTATCATTAAATAAAGATTTAGATCAAGGATCTGCCCATCCTTAAGCTTTCTCTGATTACGCTTCTCCTGGTGCTTGAGAATCTACAGCTTCCTCCTTTATGTGGTCTCCCTAATGCATATTCTCCAACCGTTTCTTAGCTTAGCATTCAGCTCTCTTGCTTAGACTAAAAACACTTTGAGAGAAAGATATCCTATATCTTGTTGGATAACTATAAACTGATATTGTGACTGGCAAGTGGTAGTCACTGTCTTTTGGCTGAGTTAATGAATTACACAGGACTTGAGTGGGAGTCCAGTGGTTAAAGAGGACTCAGTGGACACTGTAATTTAGCAGGACATAATACTCAAGGGCAAGAAAAAAGAATATGTCAGGTAATTTTAGAAAGTTGTTAGCAAGACTTTTCTAGCTGGGGCAGAGGAGTCAAGCGGGCAGAAGGTAAGGTGGATGAGTGTCAGATTGGAGAGGACCTTAAACACTTGGATAAGAAGTTCACACTTAGGCGTTTTAGTTAATGGTTTCCCAATATGGGCATGTTTCCAAAGTCTCATTTAAAGACTAAAAAAGTGACTCATATGGTGTACAGAATAGCTGAATTATCTGTCAGACAGACCAGTTAGGCAGTTATTATAATTACCTCCCATAAGGTGGAAGGAAACTCATTTTCAGTGAGCGATGTAACAGACAGGTAGTGTGGGGGACACTGATTATCCAGTTAGGTCAAACCCAGAACAGGTCAGAAATGGAGCATGGCAGGATACAACAGACAATGCAGAAGGTAGCCAATAGTGACAGGACAAAGGCTGTGTCATCTCCTGAAAAGACGCTGACAGATGATCTCACACTTCATCATCTGGGAGGCTGGCTTTCAAGTGGGTGGAACAAGAATGCAGAGAACTTGGCAGCAGGTAATAGGTAGAGTCCAGCAAGCCAGCTGGCAGTAGAACAGTCTGGCAGAAGTAATGAGAAGCTGACCATATATCAGGATTTAGGAGATAGAATCCAGTTCTTGGGAATACTAGACAGAACAAGATAGACTCTAGGAGTCTAGCACCAGGTGAAGCACCAAGGCAGAAAGTCAGTTACTGAGATCAGGGCATAAGGTATGAGGTGATCACAGTAACAGGTAGCTTTCTTTAGATGTGTAAGCTTTGTTCTTAGCCATTGCCAAAGAAGGAGTTACACTCAGTGACCTCTCACAACAGGGTCTTCTTTTAAGGATATGCAGAGAGTAAAGAAGAGAGGGGTGGACATGCAGCCCCCAAGAGCATTTGGGGTCCAGCCATAGCTTTACTAGCCTGACAGCAACTCTGAACACCCAATAAGGATTCTAAAGGTTGTTGCCTCAAGAATGGCATCGACCAGAAGAATTAGGCTATTACTGAAGATTACCACTGTACACTTCCATGCCTTGTTTCTGCTTGTGGTTTCTGCTTACTGCTTTCTGTCTGTGTGACTTCCTGCTTCTAGCTGTTCGTTAGCTCCCTTTGAATGTTTTATATTCAGATTTCCCAAGAGGGGTTCCAGTTGGCAGAATTAGTCAGTATTATAGCGATTTGGCAGGACTGCCTCATAAATGCACTTAAGGGGCTACTCACAAGGCTATAACCTGCGACCCTTAGGTCAGAGGCCATCACTGGCCAGGGCAGCTGTTCTCCTGGTGCTTGGATTACTTGATCAGCTTCCTTTTGCCAAAAGGAGTAAAAGCTGGCAGTCCTGAAGAGACAGAATGGACTCTTCCACTCCACCAAAACAGGAGTAAAAAGTCAAGACAGTAGCAACAGGAAGACCAATGCAATGTTGACTTAGGGTTTCAAAAATCCAAACCACTAGGCAGGTAGTTTCAAAGTGATGTATGAGAGAGGAACATTATGAAGACTTGGCAGGGATTGGCTGTTAAGTATTTTGAGTCTTCTCATGTCTTCCCTTCTTCCAGAAAATCTCTTAACAAAGTGATTTTAAAAGGTTTCACACATTGTAGAAATGAGAACTTAAAGGAAAGTTCTTAGGATTGAGGCCTATATGCCATCTTTTGTTTTCGGTATTATATGAAGACTACAATCAGCAAAAGTCCATAACAAAATAAAGGTTCCAGGAAAGATAGAGATGATGTCAAATTTGGAAAAATAAATAAACAACAACAAACAAAAACAGAAAACATTCTCAATTAATAATATTCCAAACAAAATTTAATACCAAGCCAAAAATTAATATAAGCTTCATCCATATTAAAAAAGAAAAACCAAGAGGTTTGCAAACATCCCATTTTAGAGCGAACCAAGACAGAAGAGATGCATATCTACTTTTAGTACCTTATAAATCCAGTAGGGTAAGAAGGGGTCTACACTGATATTTAGACACATAGAATTTGTTAAATCTAAAAAGGGCCAAACAAATAAACATTTTAGGCAAGAACTTGAAGAAAAAATGTCAAGGTTTCTTTTTTTTTCATTGTTCCTAAACAACAATACATTTTACTTTTTTTAATCACTTTGTAATTTATAAAACTCTTTACATTCTTTAACTAATATGATTTTTACCAAAACCTTTCACATACAAGGAAACTGAGGTCCAGTAAAGTGACTTGCCCAAGGCCAAATGGCTAGTAAGTGGACAAAACAGAATTTAAACTCAGAACTTCTTTGATTAGCTGCTTTTTCCTTCATAAATCCTTTTTGTTCTCAGGAAGAGCTAGATAAAAGGAGAAACAAAGAATAAAGCATTAGAAGTACATTAAGTTGCTTCTACTTTATTAATATGTATCATATTTAATTAATGGTATTCAGGAATTCTCCATAAAGTGAAACTCTATTTTTTTAACTCCCTATGCTGCACAGCAACTACCTGGCTTCTCAGAATTCTTTCTCGAGTACCAAGAATTCTAGCAATGCCATCCTAATTCCAGCCTCAGATTACACTCACATAGCAATAATCATACTTCTTGAAAATATGGTTTGTAATTTACAGGTGTTTGTACATATACCATTTAAACACAAGTAAGTCTCTTTTTTATCTACACTCTTCTCCTAAATGGCAGCTCTATTCATGCGAGTTTAAACAAAGAAACAGGACAATACTATGCATACATTCTAAAATATATTTTAAAACATTTCATGATTACATAAATATATTCTTTTCAGATTCAACCTCAATACTTTCTCTTTGAAATTTTCATATAAAACATACACACTCAGAATATATTAAGTTTTCAAAAGTACAAGCTAGAATCACTTTAAATGTTAGAATGACTCAACATTTTTAATATGTAGTTTTTGAGTGACTCTCTGTCAGGCACTGTGCTAGACACTGAGGGTGTATAGTCATGAACAAGACGGATGTGCTTCTGTCCTTATGGAGCTTACATGCTGCTGGGGAAGTTGGAAATAAATGATTAAGCAAATAAAGAAAGAAAATAAGCCCAGTGCTATGAATAAAATAAGCAGATTTCTATAGTAGAAAATGAGGAGTGACAGGTGGGTTAGAGAACTTTTCTTTAAGTAAGTGCCAGTTAAACTGAGATCTGGGGAAAGAAATGTCAAAGGGTCAAGAGAAAGAGATGTCCAGGCAGAGAGAACAACTAGTATAAGACTGAGTTGGTGAAGGGCTTGGCGTTGGGGAACCAAGAGAAACTAGCATGTCGGGCACTTTGTGTGAGCTATAGGGAAGAGGGCTGAGAGGGCTTCAGAGTCTTGTGAGCTGGGATGACATTGGAATTGGAATTTATAGAATATCAAGAATCGTGGTGTTCATTGTATCCTGAGGGGAGCTTCCAAAGGCCCTGGGAATCCAGGAAATGGAGACGGTGGACTGGATAAAGCACTCCACAAGTCCAGTGGAGCTTTCTGAGCTTTCAGACTCCTTGGCAAGCTTGCCTTGCCAGAACCAGGTGTCCAGGCCACAGCCACAACAGGAGACCTCCGTGGGCTGACATCCAGCATCCCCTGCTACTCCTGCTGGGCAGGGAGATCAAGGGAGGAACTTTTTTCATTTTGTTTTCAGCAAGGGGACTCAGGACAGAAGTCTAGCTCAGGGGCAAACCAAACTATATAAAAACTTAAAAAACTACTGCCTTAGAGAATTTCTCCTTCAGAAAGAAAGAATGTGTATGTTTATAAGAGCTGTGTGTGGTGGCAGAGAATCACTACCCACCCCACCAAGTAGAAATAAACATTACTCTGGTGTCTGTTAAAAGTATTTTTCCTGTGTTAATATGTGAATTGCCACGCATTTCCATGGAGATTTTTAATGAGATTTTTCTGACATATGAAAGGTGATTTGAGAACGATGGCAGCAGTCAGGGCATGCTAACCCTGAAGAAAAACTTTTTTTTTTTCCAGGTGCCCATCGTCATCCAGATCTGGAATTGCTCCCAATGTATAAACCAGTGCAAAGACTCCCTTGTATATGAGTTTATTCTGAACAGCTAAAGATTTGTAACTATGGAAACCAAAGTGCAAAAATAATTAGTGGGCTTAAAAAAATAAGTTATTTATTAATCATATTGTCTTCAGGTAATTTACACACACAGTCTAACTGACCATAACAGTGAATAGCTCTTTATGGTCTCTGATGAAAAGTAAACATAATGACCATGAATTTTTGTTAAAGGCCAGGTAGATTCAGGTGTATTTAATTACATGTCCAGCTCTTAATAAGCTCCACCAACAGAGAAATGAAATTATATGGATAAATAAAATAAAACTATATTTTCACAAATAGCTAAATTCCCTTACCTTTTGTTAGCACTTCCCATCCTCAAGACAAAGGACACAAGCAAAAACCCCAAACCTTTTGCCTTTTTCATAAACCAATTCTAGACTGACTGATTTGAGTTTTCTTTTCAAGTCATTCCCAAGTGTTTTCAGTGAAGGTTTCAGACAACAATAAATCAGTCTGCCATTTAGAAAGCAAAGGAACCTAACATGAGGGAGGGGGGCCGGAGAGGAAAGTGTTACAGTCTTCTAGGGTGTTGTGGCAGGCAGCTTCTGACTGGCTTCCGATAATCACTGCCTCCTGGGACCCACACTTCTGTGTAATTTCCTCCCCTTGAGTACAATCTGGACTTAGGGACTTGCTTGTAAAAAACAGAATGGGGTAAAAGTGTGAGGATGTTGCTTTCATGATTGGGTTATAAAAAATGATGTCCTCCATCTGCCAGCATTGTCTTTCTCACTAGACTATCTCTAGCTCTCTCACCTGCTCTCTCTCTCTGATTGAAGCCAGCTGCCAAGTTGTGAGATGCTCTCTGGAAAGGCCTATATGGCAAGCAACTAAGGGAGGTCTTCAGCTCCTGAGTAACTGAGCCCTCAATCCAACAATGTTCAAAGAATTGATTCCTGCCAATAGCCATGTGGGTGATCTGAGAATCAGATCCTCCCCAGTCAAGCCTTCAAGTAAGACTGCAGCCCTGGCTGAATCTTTAACTGTGGCCTTGTGAGAAACTCTAATGCAGAGAACTCAGCTAAGCTGTGACCAGATTCATAATCCACATAAATTGTATTATAATAAATACATGTTGTTTTAAGCTATGCTTGGGAGTAATGGGTTACACAGTAATATGTAATTAATACAGGAGCTTTCAAATTACTCTAAGTGTGCTCACTGCCCACCCTTTATCCTAGTAACTTGGCACAGCACCATAGATTTTGAAACATTTGACCATCCTCCCTAGTATGATCAACTCTCCCATTCTTATCTTCTATTTATTTGAAAGCCAATGGCTCACCTTTATACTAAAAAAAAAAAATAAGTACTTAAATAATTAAGAATTTATAGTACATGTAGGCCTCCATATTTGTGAACTGAGTTTTATGGTTCAAAATGTTCTAGGTATGTGGCATACTTGTTTACCCTCGATGAATTGTTCTAGGCATGTGGCATACCTATGGCAACTACAATAGAAGAATCGTAATTTGATAAAGGAACTAGGAGAGGTATTAAGACACAACAGTAGAAAGTGGGACAAAACTGGCAAGATAATGAAAAGTGGAAGTGTTGGAGTTAGATAACTCAGGGTTTCAGCATGTTATGAATGTATAAGTTCTATGATTTAGGAGAAAAACATTAAACTTTCAAGGCCTTCAAAGTTTCTCATTTGTATGAAGGGAGATAGGATCAACTGATGTAAATAAGAATCTGGGACTTGGGACTCAGTAAGTGGTAAATTCCGTATTTCTTCCTTGCAAAGACAAGAGCGGAAGAAACTTTCTACATGAATTCACATTCTTTACTTTTCCATCTCATACCATGCTTTGGTTTTTGTGGAGTCTGAAGCTCATTTCTCGTTTTCTTACATCTCAAGTTGACAAGATGTAGTAGTCAATGGATTTTGCATTCATTGTGAAGTCTAAATTTAATCTCTGATGGATGGAAAGTATAAACCATATTTGATTTTAGAAAGTCAGCTATTTTCTTTCCCTTTTCATATAAGATGAAAGTCTCCATCAAGTTGTCTATATTTTGCACCCCTCCTCCCCACCTCTACCTTGTATCTCGGAGGCAAGGCAGACATAGAGGGAGAGCTGACATAACCTGGTCTGTTTCAGCTATGCTGAATACCAGGGCTATATTGTCAGGAATAAACTTACAACTGAGGGCAAGCAAACCTAAATGCATTCACGTGGAAATAGGGTTTAATTTAGATAAAGGAACTTTCTCCCAAAGATGGCTCACTAATTGCAAGCCCAAATCTTATGAGTATATTTGAACATTGGGCTTTTCTAAGTAGTACATTGCCCATTCATCCTCTAGTAACATTCAAGATATGAGTGGATAGGGATGTATTTTAGAGTTTTTGTCAGACCACTCATTGTGTCAGTGAGTAAGTCCTGTCATGCAATGGGACACACTGAACAGTAATAGTACAAGCAAGTTGCTCAAAGTCAGTTGTTTTTAGCTAATTTGGAGAATTTCTTTGCTACAGACATCTTGAGTTTATCCAAAAATCCTTGTATGTTAAGAGCACCTACTTAAGAACCATAGGCTCATTAGTCTTACTTAAGAGACTCTTTTGTCTTAGGATTTGTTTCAGGATCCCCCAGAAGCAGTTCTTTTTTTTTTTTTTTTGAGACGGAGTCTCGATCTGTTGCACAGGCTGGAGTGCAGTGGCATGATCTCGGCTCACTGCAACCTCCACCTCCCGGGTTCAAGCGATTCTCCTTGGCCTTCTAAGTAGCTGGGATTACAGGTGCACACCAACACACTCAGCTAATTTTTTTTGTATTTTTAGTAGAGCTGGGGTTTCACCATGTCGGCCAAGCTGATCTTGAACTCTTGACCTCATGATCCGCCCACCTCAGCCTCCCAAAGTGCTGGGAATACAGGCTTTAGTCACTGCGTCCAGTGAGAACCAATTCTTTTGAATCTGTTTTCTGATAACAACCCTTCTCTTTGGTTTCTGGTTTTGTGAGATGTTTGTTCAGTGGGGCTTGTGTTCAGCTTCCCAGATCTCCTTCACCTGCGTGGTCCCTTCTTTGAACACAGGCCTCCTGGCTGTTTCCAGGCCTGGACTTGGCTTGCCTCTCACCAGGCAGGGCAGAGCTGGCCAAAAAGGGAAATAAAATCTTCCATTCACCAGTTGGCCCAGTCAACCAATTCAGCAGGGTAAGACTACTTATTGCATGTCCTTTGACCGAACGGTTGTCTATTTGCCTTTTAAAAAGGTGGTTTATATTTTTACCCTTCCTGTCTCTCCTGTAAGCTTCTTTAGATCACACCTGATTCATATTTGTGTCTTCCACGGTACCCATCCTGTTTGGATTGTGCAGAGTTTAATATATGTATTTCTTGAGAGTGAGAGAAGAAAAGGAATCAGCATTTATAGGATCCTGTGTGTTAGTATTTTACATATGCTATCTATTCAGTATTAACAAAGATCCTTTTCTTTCATTTATGGAGGAAGAAACAATTTATTCAAGAACAGGTAGCTAATGTGCAACAGAGAAGATGTAGAATCCAAGGCTCTCTGGTACAAAGCCCGTATAATGTCTTTTATTCCTCACCAATGTGGTTTCAGTGTGGCAATCTTGTGAGATTTTTTTCCTGCAATTTTTATCATTGAACCCTGTATAGACCTTTCTGATTATGGGACAATAGCAGTCTGAGAAAATTGCTGGAAGGTTAAAGAGTAGATTTGCAAAAATTTAATTGATAGAAACAATAAATGTATTTTAAATCACTCAGTTTGCATTCTTTCAGTCTATGCTTTCTTGTTCATTTTGATGAAGAATTCTTTGTCATATTTTGGAAATAGTATTGACAATGTATTAGTGTAAACAGGAGGAAAAGATCTAATGATGCCTCTGATTGTAAGAGTTTTAATGATCTAGACATATTCTCATCATTTTATTTTACATTATATTATTCTCATATAAAATAGTAGTATTTAAAATATTACTCCCTTTTAGAAAAACCCAATAAAAATAACCATTTTCCTCATTACAAGTGACAAGTTTTTTAAAATTAATTTTAATTTTAATTTTAAGTTTCGGGGTACATGTGCAGGATGTGCAGGTTTGTTACAAAGGTAAACGTGTGCCATGGTGGTTTGCTGCACCTATCAACCCATCACCTGGGTATTAAGCCCAGCATGCATTAGCTCTTTCCCCAAAGCTCTTCCTTCCCCAACCCCACCCCCCAATAGGCCCCAGTGTGTGTTGTTCCCCTCCCCGTGTCCATGTGTTCTCATTGTTCAACTCCCATTTATAAATTTTTTTAATGAAGAATGCTGCTTAAATATAAAGCGCACTAAAAAGGTGGTAAAAAATAAGAAACTCTGCTAAATAGTTAAAACTGGCATCACTGGATGAAAGTGACTTTCAAATGAAAATGTAAAAAGAAAATTTTAAAAATTAATCTTTTATAAATAGTAAAAGCACTCCAGGATACAGAAAAGTTACTAATACATCAACCAGTAGTTGCAAACGCTAAGTAAAATCTGACAAGAAAAATATAAATTCATGAAGGCATTGCTAAATGAACAGAGCATGCATAATTGGTGGAGAATACATTTTAAAAACTGTCTGAAAAGTAAACAAAAAAGCATTCAAATATTCAAAAAGCACAGTGAAAAACTTTTGAAAAAATGCTAATACTGTAAACAAAATTCAGAATTTACCAGAGAGGAAAAATCAACCCAGCAAAAATAGCCATTTTTAAATGGATTGGTTGTTTTGAACATCTGGCTTAGAGAGTTTTGTTCTTTCTGTGAACATACACACACCTTCCTTGTCTGTCGCCCTCGGTTTTAGTAGAATGCTTCTACCTAACTCACTTGAACCTTCTTCTTTCATATAGACTCATCTAAATTCCAGAGATTTGGCTTTTCAAGTCGGTGGAAATTACCCCTCCCACCTCTGTTACCAATAGTCTACTATTTTTTCATTTAAGCTGTTTACCTCCATTTCGAGGTAATTTTGATAGCATTACTGTGTCCTTCTAATCTTCTTCTTAGCAAGGAACTTCTCCTGTCCTCCCTGACTGTTTTGGGCATGTGGCTGAAAGGGACAGACCTAGTCTTAGAACCTTGTCTCTAGTCTCAGACGTATTTCCATATGACTAGTTCATTTCAACCCTAAAAACCTTCTTGCTGTTTGACTAACTCCATGCTTTTTGCCCCAATCTATTTTCTCTGTAAGGAGTCTCTTAAGCTTTTCACATCTTTTTGAACAATACTTACTTGTAGACCAAAAATCACAGAAAGGACATCATGGTGACTAATCTGACTACTGACCATATCCCATTGCAAACTCCAAACAGCATGTGACTTTTGTAACTCACATTGATAAAACTCTTTGAAAAATTATGGCGTGTTTACTGCAGAATATTATAATGTGGATTTTTTAAAAGAAAACTTGTTTCATCTGATTTAAGGTATATGGATTAAAATAAAGGCAATTGAGAGATGTGATGATTATATACGTCTGGCTCAAACAATTCAGAGACAGTAAGTGAATAATGTCCCAAACAACTCTATTTTCCTTCCCATTGTCTCTCATGATTATAATTGAGCCAGAACTTTTAAAAAGCCCACAAGATTTCTCATGGTTAATATTTCCATGTAAATCTCGTGGGAATACGTATTGAGGAGCATTATTAGAGGAGGTGGAAGGGAGAGAAAGAACAATTCCTCTTCCTTCACTGTGAGGGAGAATGCATAAATACAGCCTAATCTGCCCGAGAGGGAAAATGGAGTTATTGATGCTGGATGACAATTACATTGTACCATTTTGGTTTAAGTAATTCATGAGTCAACATCATTGTGCTAATCAGGTTATTAAAATAAATAACAAAGGAATGAAAAATTAGGCCATTAATTTGTCAAACATATTGCCAATCTGGTTATTATGAGCCTTACAATAGGTACTGCATTTCTAGTAATCATTCTAGATATTTTATAAGCTGATTATAGCAATTCTTGGACACTGAGTTTTCAAGATTTTTAGAAAAAGTATTTTAATAAATAGACATGGGTGATGGGGTTAAATGTTCGTCCAAGTCTTTTTAACTTAATCTGAGCTCTTGACAAACAAAGTAAGGTCAAACATTGATTTATTAAGCATTATATAAATTCAATTAGGTTAAAACTCCACTTCATTTTATAGAGTATTGTTTATAGAACTGGGAAATTGTACAGAGTATATTTTGTTTTATGCCATTTTTTATTCTTTATCCCAGTGATGACCACCGTTTTAAGTGTATATTTTGAGTGAATGCATAACAGTAGAGATTGATTAACAGATTTAAAGTATAATATACAAGTTCGATTTTATCTGGTAAGAAGGGAATGCACTAATTACATGAAAACTGTAATTAACTCAATTAATTTTAAATGTATAATATTGCATAATTGTTTCTTTACAGATTCAGAGTAATCTTGCTTGGCATATTGTTATTATTAATTAAGTTAGAAATCCAAACAATTTCTGGTTTCTTTTTACTGTAGACATCACAAAAAGAGAAACCTATATAATTAAAAAAGCTAGATGAACTATACTATCTGTGTCTCTTAAGAAGAGGGCTTAATCAGCAATTAGGTGCTTATCTTGGAAGAGTTATAGAATTTATCTGGAGATTTAACATGGAGTAAATACTAGTTTTGGTCCAAAATGTTCACTTCCCTGATACCAATATGTAAAGTTTTATTAGATCATAAAATTCAGAGTATTCAGTTATATCAGTCAGGATAGGTTAGGTTATGCTGCTGTAAGGAGCAACACATGCATTTCAGTGGTTTAAGACAACCAGGTTTACTCCTCATTAATATTACACGTCTATCACAGGTGAGTTGAGTATTCTGCTCCATGTCGTCCTTTATTTATCACTTGGGCTAGAACATTGCTGGTCTCCACGGCAGAGGGAAAGCCTAGTGAATTGAGCACTAGCTCTTCTTAATATCTTTATTTATTTGCTGAGAATTTCTATTTTAAAATTTGTTTCAAAAATTTTCATGATTTCTCTCCAAGCATTTTAACAAAAATCACCTTAAAGTCTTTGTCAGGTAATTCCAACATCAGTGTCATCTTGGCCTTGACATCTGCTGATGGTCTTTTTTCTTACGAATTTTTGATGTTCTTTGTAAGTTGAGTAATTCTGGATTGCATGCTGGACATTTTGAATATGTCTTGTTTAAATCCACTGGAGAATGTTGATATTTTTTAAGATTAGGAAAATTGTTAGGTTCAGGCCGTAAGTTCCAATTTTCCTCCCGTAGGCTGTAGTGCCAGTATCAGTTCAGTTTCAAAGCCTTTATACTGCACTTCAGGTGTATCAGGCCATGTCCTATGCAAGGGATAGTCTGTGACTCAGTGGTGGTAGTCTATCTCTTCAGTTCACAGTCTTTGGTATGTGAATTAGTATCAGATCCATGGGTGTGAGGCTCTTAGAGGAGACCTGGAGTTTATAGAAAAGGTTATGGGATTGCTTTTATGGGATCAAACTCTTCCCTGTCTGCTATCTCCCAGCATTTTCTGGCTCCCTGGGTTTCCCCATTTCAGAATTCTGGCCCAAATCTTGGGGCTTTAGTTGCCCCACTTTGCTGAACACTTCTGTGTTTGGGCTACTCTGGGACCAAACCACTAAAGGACAGAGAAGGAAAAAAAGCAACGAGTTGGCCCCATGTTTTTTTAGTCTCAGCTCTTCCAACTGGAGAGGAAGGTCCCCCTCCCTCAGAGATTTGGCTGCTGCCAGCTCCCATCACTGGCCACTGCCACCCCCACAGTGGGATTGCCTGGGGGATGGAGGATAAAAGAATGGAAGACGAGTGAGGAATAAAAGGAGGGATTCCCATGTTCTCTCTGACTGTTAAAAGTTCCCATTTTAGCTCCTCAGGCCAGAATTAGAGGACTGTTCCTGGGGCTCTCTCTTTGCCACAGTGCTTACTTCTATCAAGTCTGGGCTGGGTGATGTTGAAGAAAAAAAAAAAAAGGAGGCCCGTTGCTAGTTTAGTGGGCTTCAAAGTAGTTCAAACAGCACTTCAAAGTAGTTCAAATAATTTCAGGATGATTTAAACTAGTTCACTTCACATTCTTATATTCTTCCCCAACGTATCTGCTGAAATTTGCTTTTCAAAGACCTCAACTAGCTGCTCTACGACTTCTGTTCAGGTTTTATAGTTGCATCAAGTGTGAGAGATGGGTGAAGTGTGCCTTCTATCTTACCTGGCACTGGATCTGGTACTGGCTCTTAACACTTTCAGCCAGAAATGACATGTTACCTCCATTCCCATTTTATTAGCCAGAGGAAGTCAAATGGTCACACCTATCTCCAAGAAGAAGTGCAACACTACTATCTTCCCTAAAGGAATGTCAGAAGTATTTGGTAAATAGTACTCATGGGTACTAGTGCAATCAAATTTTGAGCTCTAGGATGAGGCTTCACTTTGAATAAGCTCAAGCATCAATTGAATATACCTAAGCTAGAGAATTTACAGCTCTCTTGAAGATATGTTTGGGTCTCTATACCATTACAATATATAATTATCTTTGTGGGATTATCTATATTGAAATCTACTTACAGGGAGAATCGGCCGGGCACGGTGGCTCATGCCTATAATCCCAGCACTTTGGGAGGCTGAGGCAGGCAGATCATGAGGTCAAGAGATCGAGACCATCCTGGCCAACATGGTGAAAGTTCATCTCTACTAAAAATAAAAAAAAAATTAGCTGGGCATGGTGGCGCGCACCTGTAGTCTCAGCTACTCAGGAGGCTGAGGCAGGAGAATAGCTTGAACCCAGGCGGCAGAGGTTGCAGTGAACCGAGATTGCACCACTGCACTCCAGCCTGGGCGACAGAGCGAGACTCCGTCTCAAAAAAAAAAAAAAAAAAAAAAAAAAAAAAGAAGAAGAATCCATGATAATATATTCCACTCATATAATCTTGAACCCATACATAGCTACAAGATAAAAGAATATGTTTCATAAATTCCAAAGATAGTATCTATAAGGAAAAATATCTATATAGTTGAATATTAACTAGAAATGCAATATAACTGACAGGACAAAACAGAGTTTAGTGGAAAAAACATTTAATTTAGAGTCATTAGATTTATTGGTACTCAAAGATTATATATGTAATATATACTACATATTTATTAGTATATAGGTTGCTAATTAGAGGCTATTAGCTCCTTAATTTCTTCTTGTCTCTCTTTACTTTGAGAAAAAATATCTGTATTGTGGAAAGAACTAAATGTTACTATCATTATTTTGTTGTACTGAACAACCTTATGATATTATACCTTTGATTCTGTAGGTAGTTCCATGTTCTCCTAGTTTTCTGTTTATACCTCAGAATATGGTGAACTTCATTACAATGCAGCTTCTCTATTTTTCTACAGTTTTTGCAATCCGCTGGGTCATTAATTGTGAAACCGTAATAATAATCAGTGCCAAATTATTCCAGAGCAAATATGGACAAAAACTCCCAAGAAAGGGATATAGGAAAGGAAATAGAAAATAAAATGAAGGCCGGCACGGTGGCTTACACCTGTAATTCCAGCACTTTGGGAGGCTGAGGCAGGCAGCTGACCTGACGTAAGGAGTTTGAGACCAGCCTGGCCAACATGGCAAAACTCCGTCTCTAATAAAAATACAAAAAAAATGAGGCGGCCGTGGTGGCAGGCGCCTGTAATCCCAGCTACTTGGGAGGCTGAGGCTGGAGAATTGTTTGAACCCAGGAGGTGGAGGTTGCAGTGAGCCGAGATCGCACCATTGCACTCCAGCCTGGGCAGCAAGAGTGAAACTCTGTCCCCCCGACCCCCCTCAAATGAAAAGAAAAGAAAAGAAAAGAAAATGAAGGGCAATGGTGATTGACACATATGAATTGTTTTGCCTCTTTTATCATTTCTTGTCTACATTTATAGCTGTCAATCCATGTGGATTGGTTCCAGGACCTCCTGTGGATACCAAAATCCACAGATATTCAACTTCCTTCTATAATATGGCATAGTATTTGCCTAAAACCTGTGCACATCATCTGGTATACATATCTAGATTACTGATAACACCTAATGCAATGTAATTCGTTGTTATACTATATTGTTTAAGAAATAATGACAGGAAAAAATGTATATGTTCAGTACAGATAATTCTTAAAAATATTTTTGATCCACAGTTGGTTGAATCCATGGATGGGAACCCACAGGATATTAACCCATAAAGAGATAATTTAATATAATACATGCTAAGATAAAGGCCTGTAGAGGGTAATATATAATGCCATAATAGCTATGGCTGGGGACATTATCATATCTGAAGAATTTTACATATTTTATCTTAACTAGCTCAATGAATAAAGAAAGAAAATACTTTTATATCCATTTTAAAGATAAGGATACGGAAGTTTAGAAGAGTAAATGACAGATCCATAAATGGAATCTATGTCTTTCAATTTCAAATTCTCTTATCTTTCTACGACAGTCTGCTACTTTAACATATATAACCATTTATAAGCCATCAACCCCTAGCATTTTGTTGAATAGGGAAATATTACAGTCTCATTAAAATTGATTCTAGAAACCTCCAAATCAGTTTTGGGTACAGCTTACCTATGATGTTCTACACCTATCCCACTTAGAATCGTTTGCTTTCCCCATTTGTCTCCTGTAAGTTTCTTCCCCCTTTAAAAGCAGAACTTTCATTTTACTTGACTTTGAGCATAGCATTCAGTTTCAAACTTCAGCACTACTAGAAAATAATTTAGAAAAAGAAAGTTGTTATATAATCTCTCAACAGCCTGGAGAAGGTACGGGGCAAGGACTCAGGTCTACAAAGGAAATATGCAATTCAGCAAGTAATTCTCAGTGAGCTTACAGTAACATGACTCACAACAAGAAAATCATTCAATAAAATATGCTGAATGGGAAATGATTCAGTGAAAATATTATTCAGAACAAGCAATTACTGAGTGAAGGTATTACCCACAGCAGACAATTACTCAGTGAAAATATTACAGGGAGCAGGCAAATATTCAATCAAACATTTGACAAGGAGAGCAATTATTCAATAAACAATCATATAATTGTACCCGATGGAGCAGGGTTGCCATACGGCATACAAATCATTTACAGACACCCAGGAAGAGGTTTTGACTGTTGAAAATGCAGATAATTTATGGTTCTCATTTGTCATTGTTGAGATAATTTCATTTTAGTTTTACTTCCAAGTAAACAGCTTAAAAATGTTTACAACCATTCTAAAAATCAGTTTCTCAAGTAATCCCATTTTAGTTTTTTGTCTCCTCTCTCATATTATTCTCTTGCTTGTTTTTTCTCCCTCTGTTCCTTATTTCCTCCTTCTCTGGCTGCTTCTGTTTCTATCTCATTATTTTCTTCTTTTCCATAATATGCTTAAAGGTAGTGCTGACTACTAAAAACCTATGTTTATTACTAAATCTTCTTTCTGTAAGTCACTCACGAATATGTTTTCTAAGCAGAAAACATCACCAGCACCTATTTATCACACATTGGTGGATTACAGATGTAATTTGCAATGCTAAACCCAGTTAGAATGTAACTACAATTTTAAACAGTATACAGGCTAAAATGGTGACAGCCAATGAATCAATCAATGTATACTTCAACAGACAACATTTATTGTCTGTGTGTTAATGGTCAATCACTATGCCATGGGATACATATGACAATTCCTGCTCTCAAGGAATGTGTAGACCAGTGGTAGAGACTAGCCCCCTATACCAAATATCAACATAATATGGTAAGTGCTGAGAGAGGTATCACCAGGGAAGAGGGGACAAAGAGATGAGTTCCAGAGAAGCTACCTTGAACTTCTGGAGCCTGTACTGAGCGTGGAAGAAACACAAACATTCAGCCAGGTTAAAAAAGGTGGGAATGGAGTCTGAGGCAATGAAACAGCACACAAAAAATATATAGAGGCAGGAACCAGGCGATGAGTGTGGGGCTACAAGCAGTGTGTTGCAGCGAGTGACGTCAATAGACGGCAACTTAATCTTTTTCCTTAAATTGTATGTAAAAGGGTATTGGTATACGTAGTTTTCTTTTTACTTGTTTTCCAGTTTTGCCAGGACGATTAAATATCATTGATGCTTCTGGTCTACAATTAGTCAGAGAAGAGATTAAAAAAATGATGAGTATTCAAGAAGGAAAGTGTTTGCTTTAACATATGAAGAAAAGGAGCTTCAGAGTGGTGATTAACCCCAGAATTGTGTGGAACGGATATGGAAACAAGACCACAGGAGCATCGAGAACTGAGCAGAACTGAAGGTGACATGAAAATCAGCTGCAAGATTCACCTCAGGGTGATAATGGGCTGCAGGTGGCTGCAGGAATCCCGGGACATTCTAGGCACTGCCATATTTTCTTAGGGGCCAGTAAGGATGGCTATCATCAGATGTACCTGATGATACAAACATGGGCTGTCTTGCCTTCTAGTATTCATTCTTGATGATTGCATCCAGAGCTCACTTTGGAGGTGCAGATCAACTCTTCTTCAGGCTCATCCATGCGACTTGAGTGGGCTCTCATCCCCATTCCCAGGGGCTTATGACAATCAAGGTTTCCACTCCTCCATGGTCTCAATGGTTTTTCTCCCCATGGGAAGCACATAATCCCATTAGAGGCCACGGGAAGCTTTTTTGTTGGGCTTTGAGGGAAAAAAGGCTTTTGCAGCCAATGAATCGATCAATGTGTACTTCAACCTGGATTGTATGTATGCATCTCCTAGATTGGGCGGATGATGAAGTGAGGCTGGAAGTGCTGAGCATCTTCCTACCTGGGATGACTGGGCTGAGCAGGAAGCCTACCCCGGGGTTCCAGCCAAGTTGGAGCCTGTGAGTGTGTGGTGTAGTTTAACGCCCTGATTAAATCACTAGGAAGCCATTTCTCTCTCTCCTCCCAGACCAGATCAGACAATATGTTCCCTTATTTCTACTAAAGCCCCAATTGGATTTTGTGTCTTTTGATACTGAAAGAATCTTACCACAAATAAAATAATTTGTCATGTGGCTCCTACATATTTATTCAGTTACATAAACTAACTAAATAAATGAATAAACTGTCAATAATGGTAGTTCCTCATCTATGAATGACTCTTTACAAAGCCTATCTCGCTTAATAGTCATAATAAATACTGAAGTAGATACTATTTATACCTTTTTTTTAAAAGGAATTAAATATTTTCAGGGTTATACAAAGCATGAGTATTGTGGGTACAAATTCAAGCTTTCTAACTCAAATTTGAAGACTTATCCCCAGGATACTTTTACATCTTTAGCTAGTACCATGTATACCTCAAAAGCTTACATTATTTTTCACATGTGTTAGGTTTTGAGGGATAATCAATAAGGAGGGCATACTTTCAGGCTTCTTATTTATAACTGTGAAATTTAGAAATTGATGGAGTAGCAGATTTCTCGGTAGGAGACAGCTGTTTTAAAATGCCCCATGTTTTTATTAAAGTAAAAATCTCAAAAATTGTCTTTTAAAAAGTGGCTCTGGCCAATCTTAGATAAAACATCATTTACTAGACTTAGGAATTTCCTGTAGTAAATTTCAGATTTACTTTTCGGTCTCACATCATCAAAGAGATCATAACCCTTTGTGCAATTATGGTCTTGAACCAAGGCCTATTCTCTAGGTCACTGCTGTCAGGACTTCAAGATAATTGTTTCCATTGCAGGATTTGATTTTTAATTCCCCGGATGTTCTTGACGTGGTTCAGTTCTTCAGGAAATCATCACCCTCATGAGCCCTCCCTGCCACTTGCAGATAGGGCTTTCTCCCGGTAAGTTCTGGAGTCACGGCAGAGCTCAATAAGTCTGATTGGGACCTCCTATGATTATCCAAACTATAGATTTGTTTTTGTTTAAATTGAAACACTGAAGAAGCAGTGCATAAGACTTTGCAGTTAAAAAATAGACAAGTAGGCCGGGCGCGGTGGCTCACGCCTGTAATCCCAGCACTTTGGGAGGCCGAGGCGGGCGGATCACGAGGTCAGGAGATCGAGACCATCCCGGCTAAAACGGTGAAACCCCGTCTCTACTAAAAATACAAAAAATTAGCCGGGCGTGGTGGCGGGCGCCTGTAGTCCCAGCTACTTGGGAGGCTAAGGCAGGAGAATGGCGTGAACCCGGGAGGCGGTGCTTGCAGTGAGCCGAGATCGCGCCACTGCACTCCAGCCTGGGCGACAGAGCGAGACTCCGTCTCAAAAAAAAAAATAGACAAGTATTTTCCTTTTGAATAAAAGTGCAGTAGCTACACATTATGTTATTTAATCATAACTTCAGGAATTAAAGAAAGGTTTCCTGAAGGGTCATTGCTATCTTATGTCAGGAAATTAATAGGATAATTAAATACCCTGTAGAAATGAAATAAGAAGGACCTCTTTTCTCATTTGAACTTGATCTAAGTGTATCAAATTCCAATATAAAAGAGTTACCACAAGCAGTCATAGTACGCTCTATGATATGTTTTGATGATCTTCCTTCACACTTTGCAATGTCACTTAGTCACCCATTTTATATGTTCTTTCTACTCCTAATAAATTGTGACCTTGTGGAAGGCATAGATGATCCTTTAAGAAATCTTATTATTTTATACCTCCCTCCTGAATCCATAGCATAATCCATCATAATATTAGATGCTCTGTATATGTCTTGGAAGTAGATCTGCATCTTGATCCAATGCATTTGCAATTTGTTTTAAAGAGAGAAAATATAAACTCAATTCTAGTGAGATGATGATGAGACAGATAAACATATTGATAAAAATATAACATGATATGAACATATTGGAGAGCAATGTAGCTGTATCTTTCAGAGCCCATAAAAATATTTAAGTGTTTTGGACCCCTCATTATATAAATAAAGATTTTATCCAAAGGAAATAATTTCTCAGTCCTGCTGATAGCTTAATTTTGGCTCAGTGATATTGATTTTGGACTCTTGGCTCAAAACCATAAGAGAATAGAATTCTGTTCTTCTAAGACATCAAGTTCATGGTAATTTGTTACAGCAGCTGTAGGAAATTAGTACCAGAAACTACAGTGTCATCCAGGAAACTATGCTGTTATACAGAAAAAAGATGATGGTGGTTAAGACTAGGATGATAAAAATGAAGATGGTAAAAAGAATTGCATTTTAAAAAGGTTTTAAATGTAGAACAAATAGGATTTTCAGTCAGATCAGAAATGGGATATAAAATAAAGAAGTCAAGGCTAGCTCCAAAATTTTTGCCCAAACAACTAAGATAATTTTGTATCAGTCGAGATTAAAATAAGTTGCATGTGGAGGTTTTTCAAGGGGTAACCAAGAGTTCTGTTTGGGACATTTCTGGGTTTGAGATTTTCTTTTTTTTTTTTTTTAGATATCTAAATGGAGATTTGAGTAGGCAGTTGGATATAAAAGTGTGGAGCTTGGCCGAGAGAGCTCTTTGGCTGGTGATCCAAATTTGGGAGTTATTGGCACATATTTGGCATGAAAAGCCATGAGATGAGATGAGATCATCAAGGGAATAAATATAAATGGAGAAGAGAAGAGAACTAAAGACTAATTCTTTGGGAGCGGCACATAATAGGTTTTGAGAGAAACTTCATATATTAAAATAACCACAGCAACAATATTTATAAAAATTTATATATAATATTAATGTTCAGTGGTAGGAAACTCCTATGTCAATGGAGTTATCTGTTCACTAGAAATGATGATTATGATGACAGTGGAAGCAATCAGGATAAATTACTAAGTAAAAGAAATTAGAACTCAAAATATACATTATAATGTAAGAATGAATATGAAAAGGCATTATATACAATTAAAATAATTGTGTTAAATTTTGTTTTCCTATACTGAGCAGTTTTCAGCTTACATATTCTATAATTCATGAGATTCCATGTGAAATAATATTGATTCATCTCATAGTGCTGGTTTAGAAATAACACAATGGAATATAAATTGAAAAGAATTAAGTCAAATTTAAAATCATATTTTTTTGGAATCACAGTCATTTTAAAAACATTTTGAAACATGGTAAATATAATGCAATTATTTGTTCTCAATACTCATGATTTTTGTAGATAAAGCAATAGAGAGAATGGTAGGTCAACTACCTAATAAACACAGAATTAGAACTACTTCATATTATGGCCTCAGGGAATCTTCCTGGGAGATAGACTTAAAAGAGCTACTTGTTTATGCTATTTTGATGATAGACTTGAATGCCAAATGAGACTGATAGATTATTCTTGCTTTGTGTGTATATTACTTGGTTGCAGAGCTGTACTTGACCTGAAGAGAGCCTCTCTCAGTTCTTTGGGGTCTCAGTAGGATAAATATGGGCAGGAAAACTTAAGTGATTGAAGTCATGATGAAAGGAAAATCTTTGCTGTTCTGCTTTTAGTTGATGATTCATTTTCAGTTACCTTGAAGTGTGAAAATGACTTATCTTTACTCATCAATTTTAAAAATGATAGGGTAAACTAAGAGATCTTTCAAAAAATCTTCCATTACCAGTCCAATCCCTTGAACCTTATTTCCTTTTTTATTTTTTAGAGTCTGTGCTCTTTCTATACTCAGAACATTCATAATATTTATAATTTTTAATATAACACACAAAATTATGTTATGGACATTGAACAATTATATTAATAGAGAAAATTAAATTGTATTTATTAAGTTAAGATTTCATTTAAATGCTGAAAGTCTTCTTTGAAAGGATCAAAGTTCAACTTTCTTGACATTTATGACAATTTTATATAGATTATTTCAAAAAAAATTGACATGTTCTTGTTAAGTGATCCTCTAGATTGCTTCTTTTTTGCTTCTAAACTTTGATGCAGAGAACTTTTATCTTAATAAAAGCCATTTTCTTTGTCAAAAGAGGAAATGAAAAGAAAAATATAAATGTAAGCATCAAAGAATGCAGAGCTATTAGGTAAGGGTGTGTTAATGGAGATTCTCAAGAAAGATGATCAAGTTTTCAAGAAATATGGCCCATTTACTTCTGATTTCTAAGAGATATGAATTTGGGCTATGATAACCCTGAATCAGCTCCTGTCTTATCAGTCACATGGTAAAAATTTGATACTCGATGGAGATGCATTTAGTGTTTTAAATGTTTAAATAACCCATAAAAGAGAGGAAAAAAAAGAGGTCCTCAACTGCTTACATATTGTAATGCAAAACTATCACTTTGTTGATTTTTCACTGATATAATGACATTAAAAACATTTTTAAAATGCCATTGCTTGGATTTTACTTCTCCCACAGCTGATTTGTAACATGTGAACATAATCTTGAATTCTCTTGAAAAAGTGGCTGCAATGAAAATGTTTAGCATCCAAAAGGAACAAAATCATGTTAAGTCTAAAGAAAAGCATGTCCATGATTCATGACCACTTTTAATATTGTAAATCATTATCCATAAACTCAGAAGACTTCTGTAAGTTTAAAAAGCAATGATGGGATAATTCTGCAATTTGAAAAGCCATTATTTGGCATTTCCATTTCTGGCTCTGATGGAGTTGTTTGTGGAAGTCCTGCTGAGATAATCTAGAAAAACCAAAGAAAGTACAAACAATAACATTTCTTTGAAGGCATCAGAGAGCTTCTACAACAAGACTTCAGGGCACAAGATCTTGGGAGAGTAGAATCCACATGCAGAGGTGGGCTGATACCATCTAGCCACTTTTCTTTTAGGGTGTTGCTGATTATAGATGCAAGTCAAAAGGCTGAGAGTTTAATGAAGGGCATATGCAGAGGATTACTGGTGAAAGGCAGAGAAACAATCAGAGATTTTGTCAAGATACAGGAAAAAATAACATTTAGAGACTTGAGATTCCAGGACCTCAATGAGAAGAGATGGGTAAAGAACTGACACCAATACCACTGCTTTTTCCCCTCGAGACATCTGTGTGATTCTAGAGCTGCGTGGGGTAGGAGGCTAAGTAGAGCAAGAAGATAAACAAAAAGCCCTGGAAATGCAGGGAATAGTTGACAGCAGTCATGATGCTGAGACAAGGGTTAGAGTTCAGGACATTCCACGGGGAGGGATTCTAGTGAATGCCCCAGGCTCTCAGTGGGAGGTACTGCAGGGCCACCTCCTATTAGCAGGAAATGAACTCAAGGTAGTGACAATACCTCAATACAGCTAAGCCCCCAGTAGGATTAAGGTGAACAGCCCCATACTATTACCTACCAAAGGAAAAGCCAAATCTTGTATAGAAGAAGATAATATGGTCCTAAACTTCTATAATTTTTCATACATCATATTCTGCATTTAATTTTAAAATTATCAGGTATATAAAGTGATAAGATCGCATGACAAAAAACAACAACAGATAATAGAAACATACACAGGTGATCCAGATATTGGACAGGGACTTTAAAGTCTTTATCATTAATATATGGAGAAACATGTGGAGGGGTAAAGATGAAGAATGCACCAGACAATTAGTATTTATTAAAAAGAGAATCAATTTGAAATTATAGAAATAAATAACACCAGCCAGGCACGGTGGCTCACACCTGTAATCCCAGCACTTTGGGAGGCCGAGGCGGGCAGATCACCTGAGGTCAGGAGACAGAGACCAGCCTGGCCAACGTGGTGAAACCCCGTCTTTAATAAACATACAAAAATTAGCTGGGCATGGTGGTGCGTGCCTGTAATCCCAGGTACTTGGGAGGCTGAGGCAGGAGAATCACTTGAACCCGGGAGGTGGAGGTGCAGTGAGCTGAGATTGAAGCACTGTACTCCAGCCTGGGCATCAAGAGCAAGACTCCATCTCAAAAAAAAAAAAAGAAAAGAAAGAAAGAAAGAAAGAAAGAAATAACACCGTAACTGAAGAACTCAGATGGATTTAGTGGCAGATTTTGACACAGAAGACAGTATTAGTGAAGGTAGGTTAGACAGAGGACAAAAAACTATCAAAAATGCAGAAAACATGTAAAGAGTCCTGTGGGACACAGTGGAAAGATCTCACACAAGATTATATAGTCTGAGAAAACAGGAGAGGGGAAAATGGTGCAGACGTAATATGAGGAGAAAATGGATGAGAACTTTCCAAAATTGATAAAAGATATTAACCTACAAATAGAAGTTATACAAACTTCAAGAATAAGAAATATAAAGAAAGCCATCACTCTTAATATTAAAGGTCTTCATAATCCATGCACATATTTCTGTTACCAAGGCCAACTCATTCTCCTGACACTCAAGGCCACTCACAACCTGGTTCTACTTCAGTTATCTTCTCCAGCCCTTATCTGTTCCTTTCAATTTCCTTCCCTTTTTTGTGGTCCTTTTCACTGAATACCAGAAAGAAACATCTATTCTGCTCCTCACAAATCATATCTATCATTTTAGGTTTCCTATACTCATCTAATACTTTTCTGTCTCTATACTTTATTCAACTTTAAAAAATATCCAACTTAACATTTAATCATTGCTTACACAGTGATGCATATTACAATCCCTAGAATGAAAATGGCCATTGTACTTGCTTTTGGGGACAGTGAAGCAGGGGGAGTCTTGAGCAATAGTTTCTCAAATTTCAGTGAAGATCCAGAATTAATCATGATAGCTGAAGTAATTCCAATATGCCACTTGTTTACAACACAAAGATCTATTTTTCACACTATATGTCCATGGTGGGTTTGTTGGGGTCTCTGCTCTGTATAGTCCCTTGGGAACCCAGGCTGATGGAGGCTGCACCATCTAGAATGCAGCTGGTAGCCACAGTAGAGGAGCAAGAATGAAGGAATCATGCACCATGAGTTTAATGCTTTGGCCAGGAGGGGACACACATCATCACCTCTGCCAGGCCACTATCCAGAACTCATTACATGATCCTACCTAACCCAGGGGCTGGGGGATGAAGGAGAGAAAGGACTCTATGGTGAACGCTATCAGCACTATTATGTCTTTCACAAGCCCCAAGGAGTAGAATGAGTACTGTAAACACCAAAGAGGAAAGAATGGTTGACTGAGTCCTAGGAATCTGTGGAAAGAAGGAGAAGCTAGTGAGTCAGCCTGTGTTGAGAGGATCCTAGGTTTAACTGTAGGGCATCCCAAGTGGTTCTCCAACAGACACAGACAGAGCCTGATTACCAGGAACAGAGGCCTGAAACGTTCATAGGCCTAGGGGATCAGGTTGTCCACAACAGAGATGCCATTCAGTTCCTACCAGGCCTCAGCAAGAGAGCTGAGGTCCGGATAGAGGAAGTCATTGCTCAGAGCTAAGGTTAACATTTGGGATTTAACATCTCTTTCTGAATTTCCCTTTCACAAAATATCTGAAAGATGCAAAAGATGAATCCTTTCTGCCCCCCAAAATCCTAAGAATAAAGAATGAATAATCAACCTAGAGCAATTGTACTAAGGATAAACTTTCTAGTTTCATCTGAAATGTTTTAAGCATAAGCCTGTACTGAAGTTTCAAATGAACTTTTTAAAAAAGTTGCATATATTTATGGTGAACAACATGATGTTTTGTTTTACAAATACATAGTGAAATGATAGCTACAGTCAACCAGATTAACATATGTACCATCCCACAGTTACCTTTTATGTATGTGTGTGTATGTCTGGTAAGAGCACTTAAAATCTACTCTCAGCAAATTTCCAGTATACAATACTATGTTCTTAAATATAGTCCTTATGTTCAGAAACATTTTCTTTATTTTAGAAACACATGACAGTATTTATTTTCATCTTTAAAACTACTCTATTTGCTAGTTACTATTATCCAAATTTTACAGATGGAAAACCAGAGGCCTGAGGAGATTAACTACTTACCCAGGTTTAACAAGTATGACTATCTGGCTTACACGTTTCAATCTGAGACTGCCTGCTTTCTTCATATTGAGGGAATTGTCAATTTAGGCTATATATCCTACTGTCTCTTCGTGCTGATGAGCCAAAATACTTGGGTTTTTCAGCTAATTTTAAAAATGAGTGATTGCGTACCTGTCCTTCATGGTGTGTGCCTTTTGGCCATCTTTACCTTCAAGGAGTTTTGCTGGCTAAGTGCTGGCTGGCATTTGAGAAGTTCCCCAGGCTCTTGTCTTCAGGCGAAGAGATGATTATACCATTTGACAAATGTGATACCTGAACTGAGCACCTAGCAGAAACAAGCTTTCACAATGATAGGACAATTTAAAGATTATGTAGGTGTTCTTATGGGTTGCAAGCAATTTAATACCTGCACCAAAATACTAACTTACATAGATACTGGGCAGTGGCGTAAAGCTTACAGAGAAGGTTAAAAAATATGGAAGCTTCTTCTGTTGCTAACAAATCAAAAGTAGTGAGGACAAATCGAGAAAATGGAAATGGAAATTACTTCTCCTGCAGTAAGCTAAGAAATGGAAATTTTTCTTTCTTCCTTATTTCTTTCTCAAACTTAATTTTATAGCAGTTTTGCTCTGCAAATAAAAAAATACTATTTTCACTTTTGATGTGATTTTTTCCAAGCTTCTTTCTTGGTAGTAAAATGTCCTTACTGTATTCATACTAATCTGTAAAAAGCAAGAGAATTGTCTTTTCTGCCTCCAAGCATAGAACAAAGTGCCTATATTTCTCTCTGACTAACCTAGGATAATGTATTGTACTAATGAACCTAGGCCTGCGTAAATTTCTGTCTCTGGTCCTATCACTGTGACCAGGAGGAGGATCCATTTATACCCAAAGAAAGCAATAGCGTGCGTACCCTCCCAATCCATGCAGCTGCTGTACACATAGGAGGGGATGGGTTCTTAAACCAATGGTCTGGTGTTTGCTGAGAAGGGAGAGGAGGGTCTAGATGGTGTGTGCGCAATGATTACACGTACACTGCACCCAATGACAGTCCTCTCTAGAGTGAAGACATTGTCTTCACATTTAGATAAAATATTTTCAGGAACCATTTCATGGTGAATTGATTTGCAGAATAAAAGATAAATTTATTTTTAAAAAATATTTGTCTAAGCAGGGGATAACCAGACCTCTATACTCCTTGTTGTATCAAGTGTAAGCTATGGGTACATCTGGAGAGAACAGAGCCAGGCAGAGAGAAGAAAGGCCTCTTCCTGGACATGGCAGTATTCCATAGCTTTGGATTTTGGTCTCCTTCCTGGATCACACCTCTCAAAATGTCTCTGGTAGTTTCTCTTCAACTTGCCCACTCGTGAAGTACCAGAAACATCTCTTGTGACTTTTTTTGGATTCTGTTTCTTGGTGCAAGATTCCACCTGCTTTGGTTCCTGAATATTCTGGCTCTGACTCTTCACGTCCCCTAACTTGGTTTTCACCTCTGTCCAACGCTTACTGAATGCAGTAACCTGCTATCCAATAGTGATGATATTCCAATATTGTACAATATGTTGGATACATATGTTCTTGTATAATGTAGAATATTCTATGCAGTCATCCCTGGAACCTGTAAATATGATAATCAATCACTCCTCTGATTCTGTTATATTATATGGGATGGTAGACCTTATGATAAAGAAGTTTTCTGAGCAGGCCTATTAATCACAGGAGTCTTTAAAAGCAGAGGGCTTTCTCTGGCTGGTGGCAAGGAGGAAGGCAGAAGGGAAATCAGAAGGATTCGAAGCATGACAAGGATTTCACTCACTGTTGTTGGCTTGAAGAAAGATGGGTCCACATACAAAGACTTAGAGGGCCTAGGAGCTGTGAATAACTCCCAACCAACAGCCTGCAAGTAGACAGAGACCTTAGTCTTACAACTGCAAAGAACTAAATTCTAAAGTCTTCAAGAAAGAACTCATCTAACACCTTGATTTTGGTGCTGTGATATCTTGAGTATAGAACCCAACCAAGCCCACCCAAACTTCTGCCTGCAGAATTGAGAGCTAATAAATGGGTGTTGTTTTAAGTGGCTAAATTTGTGGTAGTTTGTGATGAACCATATCATTAGACCAAAAGCTCCATGTGGACAACAGCCTCAAGTGGCCTCCTGATTTTGGGTAAGTGAATGGAGCTTTGCATAAGCTGGGCTATTTGGTTTCCATATATGTAAATGACAGAGGTATTGTCAAAGAACAAAAGGAGAAGGTGCAAATGAAAAACTTCTTCAGTTACTGGGAATGGTAGTTTTGTAAGCAGTTAGACACATGGCATCTCTTGTCTTTGATTTCAAATTATTCATTTGATTTACCACATCCAAGTAAAGGAACTGTATTTTTATCAGCATAGATTTTTCCTGATTTGAATGGTCTCTGAATATGAAGGGCTTATTCCTTCCTTTCTAGTTCCTCACCCAATATACATGAATGGTGTTGATCCATTTAGTTTCACTTACCAGGTGACTGTGACCCCAGCAAATCATTCCGATAGCTTCTCTCTAAGGTTGAATCTAACATGCTTCATGAGACACATTATTTTTATTCCATTTTGTCTTCTATCAGAACAGTCCAATTAGCTGGAGCAGCACAATCCCTCAAGAATATTATGTTAATGTCAGCTCTCAGAAACTCCTGACATTTGTAGTTTTAATTCATTTGCAAGTTAACCATCGTGATTACTTTACTCTAAACACATGAAAACATTTCTTAGTAGGAAATTGGAGGAGGTGGTATTTAAAAGCAAAACCTTTTATGCAAAAATTACACATGAGGAGGAAGTTTGCATGAGAGAGAATCAGCTGGTACTAAATAGACCAGCATTCATGGTGCAGAAGCTGTCACAATAAAAGAATAGAAAAAAAGCACTTTGCTTTTCCTTCTTATAGATCTGAGTTTCATGTGCCCTTGCATTTCAACTAGCTAGTGGGAGGACGTATTTCACTTTTGTATATTCTTTCTTTTGCACTTGTGAGCTTTAAACCTTTCTCCTGCAAGACCAGTAGAATTCTTTTTCTAACTTGTTATTATATATTTGTACTCTTTTCTCCATCCTGGAAGCTCATTGTAGTAGTGGATGATAACTTAGGATCCATTATAAGAATACGGATAGTCACAGGTGAGTGTCTTTTGGGAACTACTTCTGCATGCAGGGGTAATTTACATGAAAATGCAGGGGGAAATAGAACGTAATGGGCAAAAATTTCCTTCTCTACCAGTCCTGTGGAGACTGGTACTAGCCTTCAGAGCCTCATGTTAGAGGAAGACAAGGGGCGTAAGGTCAACACTTGATAGCTGGAAAGCTAGAATCTTCTGTGGGGTGATTCAGATGGGATATCAACAGAACAAGAAGGTTTCCACAGTTAGCTTAGCTTGTCCTTTGTAAACTGTAACATTTCAGCACTGATTGGGTCTTTCAGCATAAATCAGCACATAAGACTGAACAGGAAGAAATGAGAATCCAAATCACATAGAAGAAATGCCAATTTTGCCTTTTATGAAAGTCATAGAGTGATTTAAGATAAAAAGAAAATAACAAGTTATGTTTAGTACATAAAATTAGATTTCAGCAAGTTGCTCTAGTAAAAATAATACAAGAAGACCTGGGTTTTAATTCTAATTTTGCCCCCTAACTGGTTATGTGTAATTTTTATAGTGTTATTTAGCCTCATCTGTTTCTCATCTGTGAAATAATATAAGAATAAAATACAAGATCTTCTTAGACTTAAAAATTCTGAATAAATTCTCAAAACCCCCACAAAACTATGATTCTTAAGACAAATGTATAGAAATGGTCTTAAAGCTGTATTGACTCAGGTCTAGAAGTTGTTTTGAAGGCAGATTGTGTAAAGGTTCTGGGGAAAAATATTTTCAATACTGGCATTATTGAGAGATATTAAAATCAGGTACGGAGAGTATACTTGAAATTTTTATGTTTTCTTTAACCTGTTCCTTCAAAATTTAAGTTCAAACTCTGCTTTTAAATGACATATGGCAATGCAGGCCTTCTAGCTTCCCACTGAAATATCTCCAAATGAATAACCATAACAATAAATTGAAAACACATAGCTGTACCCCCAACAAGTGTCCAAATATAGCTTAATTGCAGAATATGGCCAAAATCTGTACTTACGGTGAAACAGACAGGGCTCAGTTAAACTGACTCGAGAAAAAAACAATCCAACTTAAAAAAATATTTTTTTAGAGACAAGGTCTCACTGGATTCAAACTCCTGGGCTCAAGCAATCCCCATGCCCCAGCCTCCCAAGTAGCTGGGACTAGAGGTACGCAACATGGCACCTAGCCCAGTCATTATTTTAGTGAGTCTGAGAACACGTTTAAAAAAGAAAGATAAGTGTCCACTCTTAAAATCGTAAACGTAGTTGAAAAGAGGCAGTGGGAGACAGTTATATCCTGTGTGATAAAATCTTCATATGTGAGACCGAGGTAGGAAGAGCACTGGTAGATGAAATGTGAAATATTGATTTTATAAGTTACTCTCTATTTGAAGACTATAAATCAGCCAGGTAGTATGGAAGGAAACTCTGCTGTCCCAGTACAACAGAGGAGCAGTAGGTGAAACTTTGTTAGAACAAGAGAACTGGACCCTTAGTTCCATCCATAGCAAGGTGAGTGAGTCATACCAAGTGTGGCGTGGTCCCCAAGGTACAAACAACACAACTTATCACCTGCAGTGCCCAGGGTGTCTGCTTTAACAACCCTGGATCTTGTTTCTGGATTATAAGGAGAGCTAACGTGTTTTGAGTACTTACTATGTGCCAGGCATGATTCTACATGTATAACATGCCTTACCCCATTTAATCCTGTAAGCAATCTTAGATGTAGAGTTAACGATTATCTTCATTTCACAATTGAGGAAAGTGAGGCACAAACACAGTAAGGAGCTTACCTAGAACATGCTATCGCAGCTAGCATTCAGATCTAGGCAGTCTGACCTCAGACATGTTTTCAGAGTTGAGATCTGAAGAAACAGTTCTTCCATTCTATAGGCAGACAGAAGGCAGGGCCAAAAGGATCCAAAATCCTCTGTGGCGATAAGTGGCTTCTCTGTCTGAACAAATCCTGCCTTCTTTGAAGATCAGTAAAGAAACTAGCAGCAAAAATGAAGAAAGCAATGAAGAGAATATGAAAAACAAAAACGGTGTAACAAAAGGAAATGGAAAGAGCATCTGGAAAACTTAATAAGAACATACTCCTAAAAAGGCTATAAGCAAGGCTTAAGGGAACATTTCAAAGGACTGGTATCTTTCATAACTTGAAAGAAGATATAAAAATGGAACACAAAGCTGCAGAAGAGAATGAACTAGGATGAAAAAGTTGGAGATGAGGTGGATAAAATAAAGAAACGAGAACTAAAACCCCAAACCAGAGTTCAAACCCTTATTTCAGTCAAGTAGAAGCCTCATGTTCCTGTAGAATGTTGAAAGAATGACAATGCCTCCTAGAATTCACAATGCTACAATGGAATTGATTTTCTTAACTGAACACCATTCTTTCAAGCATTTACTCTAGAATATTTGATCCATAAGAAATAAAATTAAAATTCTCTTTTTCTTGTCAGTTCTTAGGATGGTTGAGACAGCTTAATTTTTTTTGACAACTTTGATACTTTTTGGAAAAAAATATGTTTCTAAGTTGATATGTGAAGCATCGCTATTTCCAGATTGTAGTTCATTTGAAAAGAAATGCTAGGACAGTTAACTGATGCTGGGAAACCTGCAATTCTAGGAAAAGTGAAACAAAGTCATAAAATGTGCCAAACATTATGAAACCAGTTGTTCCACTTCCAGTTTCAGCTCCAACATGTTAAAGAGCTTGGAGTTCATCACCCCTGTCCTTACAACAAGAGAAAATGGAACAACCCGATAATCAATGACTTTTCTTGGACCCATCAAAGAACTGAGGTTTCGGGCCAAACTATCACCTTGAAATCTAGAGGGACAGGGACATTCAGTGAGATACAGCTGAAACCTGCTTCCCTTGGGCAGGAGCTACTCATCCTTGCCTTGCTAGTTATCTGGAGAGTTGCTGGAGGCTGAGTGTGGACTACTGTGAAAATGAGGACAATCACAGAGAGACCTTGTACTTTCATACAAGTTCCCTCCATGATCCCTACCAGGTTCTTCAGGCTGAGGATCCAAGAAAAACCCCCTCATGGCTCTGGCATAAGAAAAGGAAAAGTAGGCATTGTGTAACCTCACCTAATTTTTCTCCATAACAAAGGCCTGTTCTACAGGGAAAATTTCTTCATCACAGGATGAGACTGAAGCCTTATCCCAGCTGGACATGGTTCCAGCCTTCCCGTTTCCCCTAAAGAAAAAGAAAACAATAATCAACAAGGGACAGGGCATCAAGGTAATAGATTTAGAATACTGTAGTCAAGGAATGGAGCAGGAGGTGAGCTGGGAAGAGCAATATTCTAAAGGAAGGAGCAGAAACACTCGAGAAGGCCAAACCCCAAGACAGAGGTCCACTAAAACCCTGGGACTATAGATTGTACAAAGCTTCCTTTGCATCCTACCACCACTTGAACACGCCTCCAGTATAACAACAGTGGGTTATAGCAGAAAGAGCTGCAAGACATAGACTCTCTCAGAGGAGCAAGGAGCAGAAAAAAGGGAAGCCCCACAGCCAACGAGGCAAATGAAAGGTCAGTGGAGAATTTCAAGCCTTTGGTGCCTGTAGCCATAACAAACATCACACACAGCCCAATTCCTGGCCAGATTAACAAAACTCCATTCTCACACAAAAGGTCTGTTTAACCTCAGTACATATTAAAGATACATGTCCAGCTTTCAACTAAAGATTACAAAATACAGTCTGAAGAGATGAAAAAAAAATCATCAGAAACAGACTTAGCTAAAACATAAATGTTGGAATTATTAGAATTTAAAATAACTATGATTAACATATTAAGGACACTAGGGGATAAAACAGACATTACACCAAATAGGTAATGTTTACAAAGAGATGGAAACTGTAAGAAAGAATCAAAAGGAAATGTTAGGCCGGGTGCGGTGGCTCACGCCTGTAACCCCAGCACTTTGGGAGGCTGAGGCGGGCAGATCACTGGAGGCCAGAAGTTCAAGATCAGCCTGACCAACATGGTGAAACCCCGCCTCTACTAGAAATACAAAAAATTAGCCGGGTGTTATGGTGGGTGCCTGTAATCCTAGCTACTCAGGAGGCTGAAGCAGGAGAATCGCTTGAACCCAGGAGGTAGAGGTTATAGTGAGCCGAGATCGCGCCATTGCACTCCAACTTGGGCGACAGAGTGAGACTCCATCTTGGGGGAAAAAAAGGAAATGTTAGATATCAAAACACTGGAACAGAAATGAAGAATGCCTTTAAAGGGCTCAGCAGTTGATTCAGGAAAGAAGAGCAATCTTGAAAATAGGTCAATAGGAACTTCTTAAACTGAAATGCAGAGAGAGAGAGAGAGAGAGATCCAGGAGATAACATTTAGGAATGGTGGGAAAACAAAAAATGTTGTAACTTATGTATAACTGGAATACCAGAAGGAAAATAAAGAAAATATGGGCAGAAGAAATATTTAAGTTAATAATGACTAAGAACTTTACAAAATTAATGACACACACTGCACAAATCTGGAAGCTCTGAAAAAAATAAGCAAGATAAATACCCAAAAAAACCCCACAAAACTAAACAAAATAAACCCCAAACCCCACAACTAGACATATCATGTTCAAACAGTGGAGAACCAAATATAAGGAGAAACTCTTGAAGAAAGCCAGAGGAGAAAAACTACCTCATCTATAGAGGATAAGAATAATAATGGCAGCCATATTATTGAAACCACGCAAGCAAGAAGCGACTGGAATGAAATCTTCAAAGTGTTGAAAGAAAAAAAGTAAAACCTGAAACCCACACTGCCAATCTAGAATTATAAGTCCAATGAAATAGAGGAGAAATAAAAAGTGTCTCTAGCAAACAAATTCATTACGAATTCATTCATTTTTTTCTTGCCTGAAAGAAATGAAAGACTTTCTTCAGACAGGAGATAAATGATAGAGGTTGGAAACTTGGCTCTATAAAAAAAGGAGAAGAAGATCAAAGAAGGAATAAGTGAAGGTAAGTAAAATATTTTATTTTTATTATTTCTAACTGATCTAAAAAATAACAGTTTTTAAAAAGCGATAACAGTAACAGTGTATTGGCTGATTATAGCATATGGGTAAGTGAACAATAGCAATGTCACAAGAGACAGGAGGGAAGAATTGGAAATACTCTGTTTTAAGGTAACTACTATACATGAAATTGTAGCATGTTCTTTGAAGATAGACTTAAATTATTTAATGATATACATACATTTACTATATGTGTGTGTGTATATATACTATATACTATATACTATATATGTATATATACTTTACTATATACTATACATATGCATGTTTGTGTATATAATATACACACTATTATATATAATATATAGCTTATCATATATAATATGCTGTATCATAAAGGTATATAATATGTCTACATACTATATATAATATGCTATATATATGCATTATATATAATATATATATAACTTACTCTGTTATAAAAATTATATGACAACTGCTAAAAGAAGAAAAGAAAGAAGTATAAATGATACACCAAGAGAGGAGATTAAATGGAATAAAAAAATATGAAATCTGCCCCAACTCTTAGAAAATGGGGCATCAGGGAACTTGGACTGGCTCTGCAACCTCGTATGCCTCTCTGTCTTCCATTGTGGCACTAGCCCACTATCACTGTGGGGCTGATGATTTTTATCTTTTATTTATTTTTCTCTTTAGGTGAGAGGAAATAATGTGTAAAATGTATTATTGATTTTGAATACATCCTGTGAAAATCTTTCCCACCCATGTCTGTTCTCTATTTAATAAGTCGATAAGATTAGGAGGTACTAACCACACTCACTGGATCAATTGGACATCTCCCACACTACCATTGCCACCAAATACAGAGTAAGAAGAAAAGGTGAAAGTAATAAGAGAAGATAATAGGTAAGAAGGGTGAGAAGTGGAGGCCTAGGAATAAGTCAATGATATATTCCTGAAAAAACAGCTCACAACAATTGGAATTGATTCAATGTTCAAAGATATCACATGGTTTTTAAAATCTAAAATGTATATGTAACATTTTAATGTTTCTGATATTTGATTGCATCTTATAATCCATATGCACAGAAATCTGCTAGTCTAGAGAGAGGAGTATGTTCCAACAAAATTGTCATTACCTTCACAGGTGTCACTATAATTGTGCATAATCCTGATTAAATATCAGTTGGATTATCTGTAATGATAGCCCACATATGGTTGAATTTTTAATTAAATTTTAGCTTTAATTTTTAAAAAAGTCTTCAAAATTATACAAATGATATTACATTAAAATTTAAAAGCAATACATTTCCAGAAAGTTTTCTATAAAATGCCAGGTAAGTCAATTAAAGCTCACAGATATTGCAAAATCTCTCACAGAATCTTCAAAGGTAGAAATTGACATAACCTATTCATCTGACATAAGGATAGACAGGTTCATAATATTCATCTGTAAACATGTCAAAATTCTTCTTAAAAGGTAGTGTTTTATTTCTAGAAATTAAGAAGAAATAAACAAAAACAACAACTAGACCAACTATGAATTTCACCAAATGGCAATTGAAAGTGAAACTCTAATAATTTGTAATACTGTGGAAAATTTTGCTGTTAGTTCCAAATGTGATGAAGAGGTCAATGTACATAGGAGTTATAAAAACTTTTCTATCTCTGTGCCACTACGCATAATTGGGTGCTACTAAATGATTCAGAAAGTCTGCAGACAGAATATCAAAAAATCTTGAATTCAAAATATGATTGTGTAACACTGAATTGCTAACCAAGGACTACCCTCTGCTGCTGTCTTCAGCCAGATGAGGGAGCATCTTAAACTCTACAGCAGTGGTCCTCAATGTTTTTGGCACCAGGGACTGGTTTCTTAGAAGACAATTTTACCACCTACAGGACATGGGGTTGGGTGTAGGGAAGATGGTTTTGGTATGAAACTGTTCCACCTCAGATCATCAGGCATTAGATTCTCATAAGGAGCAGGCAACTTAGATCCCTCACATGTGCATTTCACAATAGGGTTCCCACTCTCATGAGAACCTAATGCTGCTGCTGATTTGACAGGAGGTGGAGCTCAGGCTAAAGTACTGCTCGCTTGCCTGTGACTCACCTTTTACTGTACTGCCTGGTTCCTAACCACGGCCCAGGGGTCAGGGACCCCTGCTCTACAGGCAGCACAGCCCAGGGGTCTGTCATTTCTTGACATTTCTCCAGTTTTTACATCTTTCCTTGCATCAGGGGCCAACTCTTTTGTGTTAGAAATATATCCAATTTCCTACCATGGGCAAATCAAGTGGGGTTTGGTTTATTTCTTTTATTTTGAGTCAGCTAAGGTTTTGATAGAAAATCAATTAAGAGGGAAAACTTTGGGTCCACATACTGGTACTATATGCTTGCTAACTTATTTTTTCTTTCTTAATAGAGCTGATTAAATAGACTGCTTATTCTCAGTGTAGCTGAAATTTAAAAATAATAGTTTAAGATTAATGTACTTGCTGAGTAAAACATATTTTAAAATTTGTCAGTATAGATCTTAGAATTTTATCTAACATCATACATATGTATCATATCCATGTATGACAGATGAAACATATTTGTCTAAAAACATTAAAACATGCACTTTCAACAGGAACAATAAAATCCCCAAGGTGGCAAAAATGTGTTATTGGGGAAGGCAAAAAATATCTTATTCTTTTAATGTCTGAAACATGTATATGCATGAAATATATAAATATACCTAGCATATCTATTATTAAAATGGTACGAGGGGTTATGATTAGGGGAAAAGGTCTAAAAATGCTCCATGGGAGCCAATGATGAAAGAAAGATTGACACAAATAGCCTTAAACCAATGCCTCTTCTTCCTTCTCAACTCTCACATGCATTATATTTTTGAATATGCAAGAAAGAAGAACCTAAAGTTAACTTAGCTTTATCTGTGATATAATCTGAACTTATAATATGAACACATTCACATATTTGAAAAAGTTAAAAATTTAGCTAATCATCCAGATATTTTATTTTACAAATATCAAACAGCGTCAAGAGAATGAGAAGATAAACCACAGACTACGGAGAAATATTTATAAAAGACATATCCGATAATGACTGTTATTCGAAATATACAAAGAACTCTTAAAACTCAGCAATGGTAAAAAAGGAATAACTGGATTAAAAAATGGGGAAAAGATCTGAACAAATAGCTCACCAAAGAAGATCCATAGGTGGCAAAAATAGATACGCAAAGATGTTCAAACACCATATGTCATTAAAGAATTGGAAATTACAACAATGAGATACCACTGTACTCCCACTAGAGTGGTCAAAATCCAAAATACCAACAACACTAAACGCTGGCAAGTATGTGGAGAAGAGAAACTCTCATGCATTGCTGCTGGAATGCAAAGTGCTACAGCTGCATTGGAAGACAGTCTGGCAGTGTCTTACAAAACTAAACATCTTATCATACGATTCAGCAATCATGCTCCTTGGTATTTACTCAAATGAGTTGAAAACTTATATCCACACAAAAACTTGCACACAGATGTTTATTCATAATCACCCAAATTTGGAAACAACCAAGATGTCCTTCAGTAGATGAATGAATATATAAGACCTGATACCTCCAGGCCATGGTGTATTATTCAGCACTAAAATGAAGTAAGCTATCAAGCTATGAGAAGACAGGGAAGAAAAGTAAATGCATATTAATAAGTGAAAGAAATTGGAAAAGACTGTAAAATTTTAAATATATGACATTCTAGAAAAAGCAAGATTATGGAGACAGTAAAAAGATCAGTGGTTGCCGGGGCTTGAGGGGAGAGAGGGATGAACAGGCACAGCACCGAGGATTTTTAGGGCCGTGAAAATACTCGGTCTGATACCTTTGTGAAAACCCATAGAATGTACAATACTGAAAGTAAACCTTAATGTAAACTATGTACTTCGGGTGATAATGATGTGTCAATGTAGTAGGTTCATCAATCATAACAATGTCTCACGCTAGTGGTGAATTATCATAATGGGGAAAATTGTGTGTGTGGCTAGGGGAGTAGAAGACTATGGGAACGCTATACTTTCAGCTCAATTTTTCTGTGAACCTAAAACTGCTCTAAAAAAAAAATTCTGTTAAAACAATACAAAAACAGAACAAATATCAGCCAGATATTTGAGTACATTGTATAAAATAATTGAGTGACTGGCAGAAATTTTATTCTGGGCATTACAATTGGACGCATTGGAATTCTGTTTCTGAACCTACAATAATTGCTTGACTTGTTTCTGTGTGTGAATATTTGAGCTCATTGACTTTGCCCGCATGACCATGCACACACATTACTGTTTCCCACTTGGAGAAAAGAGGTTATAAACATGTTCAAGGCTATACATAGTCAGAATTGATATCTAACATTACCATGTTTACTTCCAATGAAAAATTATTTCCAGAGCAAGCAATTTTTATTTCTGAGACACTTTTACTTATTATTGATCATGGAAAGACCCAGGAAGACTAATGGATACTAATGAATTTTGATTTTTTTCTTTTATCGTTTAAAGTTTGCATTTTATTTTTTTTCAAAAATAATTTCAATAATATATCTAAAAAGATTGTGTGATATACTACAGAGAATCAGAACTAAGTACAAATGCTGAAGTCCAGTCCTGGTTGCTCAATTTGTACTAGTTGTGATTTTGGTAAAATCACTGTAACCTCCATAATTATCAGTATTACCATTTAAAAGGTGAGTGAAACATCATCTGCTGTTTCTCTCTCTGTGCCAATATTTGTGTGCAAAAAACATGAGAAATATTATATTTTTTACCAAGTAGTATAAGGATTCTTCACAGAAAGAATCTTGTCATGAAGATGACTTCAGTTCTTTGAAAGAGCATGTCTGTACACGAGGTCAGAGGTTTTGTTTTGTTTCTTTTTTTTTTTTTTTTTTTTGAGATGGAATTTTGTTCTTGTCACCCAGGCTGGAGTGCGATGGCGTGATCTCAGCTCACTGCAACCTCCGCCTCCCAGGTTCAAGCAATTCTCCTGCCTCAGCCTCCTGACTAGCTGGGACTACAAGCTCCTGCCACCATGCCGGGCTAATTTTTTGTATTTTTAGAAGATATGGGGTTTTGCCATGTTGGCCAGGTCTTGAACTCCTGACCTTAGGTGATCCACCCACTTCGGCCTCCCAAAGTGCTGGGATTACAGATGTGAGCCACCACACCTGGCCGAGATCAGAGCTTTTGAAAGAGTTGGTGAGATGGCAGGAGGCTATGTGGTATGTAATGGGCCCCTACTCTGGTGGGTATTCCCAATGATGTGTGTGAATAAATGTTAAAATTACTCTTGAAATGTCTTATGTGTATTTATTTTTTGGAAAGAACTAAGTGAAGACTTGGTTCCCTGTGTAAGTTGATACAGGCAGATTTGAGATATCACACACGTACGTGGAAATCAGATAGAGAAAGAAAATGGAAATCACAGTGAGAAAGTAAGCTCTGGGAGTTTGCTGAAAGTGTACACAGACACAGCGTATCTGAGGTTAACATTTCATGGGGCTATGATTGGGGGGTAACAATTGGGGGGAATACAATTCACAAGCTATATAATTGGGGGCTCAATTTAAATAAGGCTTAGCTGATAACTGAGTTATATATGTGAATGTATATGTATAAATGTGATCATTTACACCTTTTGTGTATGCGCATTTGCCTTTTATGAGTATATGTGTGTGGTTTAATATAAACACTCTATATTTCCTGGGATCTTTGAAAAACAAAATATTATATAGCCATAGCTTTAAATATCAGACCCTCATTAAGAGAAATAATTGATGCCTTACTGGTTAACTTACTGACAGAAAGGGTTGGTGTATCATCTTGTTCTTGGATTACTTACCATTAAGTTGAGACATTTGGGACAAATATTTCAAATGAGAAAAAGCATTCTACTTTAGCCAAGCACGTCTAATAATTAGTACAGCTAAGGCTCTTCAGTGGTTCACACTAATACTTTTTGAAGCTGGTCATATCTTGACAATTGGTTCAGAAAGCATGGATTTTGAAGTTTGTGACCTGGAGAAAATTTAGTATTTTCAACAACCAAAAGAATAGATAAGACTAGTCAGATTGAATTGGAATTCATGGTTATGATTTCATCCAGTTATACAGGGAGATGAAGCCACGGAACTGCATCAATGTTCTTGGAGACTAGGAAAGGATACACTGATATGTTAATAGTTTATGTGATGTTTCTTAGCCTTGGGGAGAGGTGAAAAATGCTTACTACACAAGGTATAGTTGATCACGGTAATTTTGCCTTCTGTAGTGATTTCATTAGATAACACTAAGATAAACCTGAAGAAGCTGAGATTGGTATTTTACAGATATAGAGGAGACAAATAAAATTATTTATTTTAGACAGACACACAAGCCAGACCAACAGGGAATTATGATTAAATCACCTTATTTCTTTGCAACAATGCCTTATTTTCCCTTTACTGGATAAAGAATTTGACTGTAAAAATATTAATTACACACCATCTCTCTTTAATGCACATAAAACTTAACACTCCCATTTTTACTGTATATTGAGGAACAAAAATATTCTAGACAGAATAGAACTAGTCTTCAGGTTGATCTTCATAATACTAAAACAACCTGTTTCAAGCTGTCTACTGATGTCAGTAGATAATAGTTTCTGAGAGTCATTTATTTCCTAAAGTTTATTTGATAGCTGCATAATTGACATAAACTGGGCTTGCTATACTTCAGTAGCTGTGCAGATAAATTTATCTTGAATGGAATTTTCCTGGGGCTCTTCATCTGAAGACTGTGCAGACCCAGCTTAGAGCCATGAAAACAGTGACAGATCCTTGTAACAGTGTAGTGTAAAACTGTGTGGATTTAATAATCAAAGGACAAATCTTAATAAACCTGGAAGTTATGCATTTCTACAAAACATTGGGGCTAATCATCATAAATTGCTGAAAGTGAAGTAGGTGATATGCATCACTATTTTATACATGGACACAAGGAAAAAACTTTTATCACATCGTTGTTTGAAAGAGCAAAAACTTAATCTGAAGGCCCCCCAAAAGGAGGATAGATCAATATATATTTATATTTTCATAGGATAGATACTCTTCTGAATTAAAGAAAATAAATATAAGCATTGGCATGACTACATTCCCACATGTATAATGTTAGGTCACACCTATTCCTAAAAGAATACCATTTATGTAAATTTTAAAACCAATAAAACAATAGTGTATATAGTTAAACACATATCTTTGGTTTATTATTCTTATGTAGTAAAATTGTGGACACACAAGAATTTAAATGATATTTACCATGGCCAAGATGGTGGTGACCTTGAGATGGTGTATGGGTTGTCAGGAGTTTTGCTTTTAACAATGATATTTTATTTTTACTTTCAAAATTCAGATGCAAACATGGCAAAAAATTGGCCAAATTTAATGGTGTACACATATGTTTATGTTATTTACTATATTTTATTGTTGCATGAAATGAATACTAATATTGACTGTACTTAAAAATTCTTTTTTTAAAATGAATTTTATTGTATATATTTTAAGTTTATAATTTGATGTTTTGCAATACTATAGATAGTAAAAGGGCTGCTACAGGCATACCACATTTTATTGTGCTTTGCAGATACTGCATTTTTATAAAAATGAAGATTTGTGCAACCTAGAGTTGAGCAAGTCTATTGGCACCACTCTTCTAACAGCCTGTTCTCACTTCAAGTCTCTGTGTCACATTTTGGTAATTCTTTCAATATTTCGAATTCTTTCATTATTATTATATCTGTTTTAGTGATCTGTGGTCAGTGATTAGTGAGCTTCGATGTTACTACTATAAATGTTTTGGGGTACCATGAACTGGGCTCATTTAAGATGGCAAATGTGATAAGTATTTTGAGTCTTCTGACTGCTCCACTGACTGGCCATTCCCCCATCTCTCTCCCTCTCCTAAGGTCTCCCTATTCCCTGAGACACAACAATATTGAAATGAGGCCAACTAATAACCCTACATGACCTCTAAATGTTCAAGTGAAAGGAGGAATTGCACATTTCTCAAATTGCACATTAAATCAAAAGCTAGAAATGATTAAGCATAGTGAGGAAGGCATGTTGAAAGCCAAGATAGGCTGAAAGCTAGGCTTCTTGTGCCAAATAGCTAGCCAAGCTGTGAATGCAAATGAAATGTTCTTGAAGGAAATTAAAAGTGCTACTCCAGTGAACACACAAATGATAAAGTGAAACACCCTTATTTCTGATATGGAGAAAGTTTGAGTGGTCTGGAAAGAAGATAAAACATGACCTTAAGCCAAAGTCTAATCTAGAGCAAGGCCCTAAGTATCTTCAGTTCTACAAAGGCTGATGGAATTGAGGAAGCTGCAGGAAAAAGTTTGAAGCTAGAAGATTGGCTTATGAGGTTTAAGGGAAGAAGCCATCTCCATAACATGAAAGTGCAAGGTGAAGCCGCAAGTACTGTTGTAGAAGCTGCAAATTATCCAGAAGATCTAGCTAAGATAATTTATAAAAGTGGTTACATTAAGCAACAGATATTCAGTGTAGATGAAATTGCCTTATTTTGGAAGAAGATGCTATTTAGGACATTCAACACTAGAGATGCCTGGCTTCAAAACTTTAAAGGACACATTGACTTTCTTGTTAGAGGCTAATGCAGCTGGTGACTTGATGTTGAAGCCAATGCTCATTTACCTTTCTGAAAATCCTAGAACTCTTAAAAATTATGTGAAATCTACTCTGCCTGGATGATAGCATATCAGTTTACAGCATGGTTTACTGAATATTTTAAGCTCACTGTTGGGACCTACTGCTCAGAGAAAAAGGTATTTCAAATACTACAGCTCATTGACAATGCACCTGGTCACTCAAGATCTCTGATAAAGATGTATGGAGAGATTAATGTTTTCACTCCTGCTAACACAACATCCATTCTGCAGCCCAAGGATCAAGAAGTAGTTTTGACTTTCAAGTCTTATTATTAAAGAAATACATGTTGTAAGGCTAAGGTGGCCATAGATAGTGATTCCTTAACAAATCTGAGCAGAATAAATTGAAAACCTTCCAGAAAGGATTCACCACTGTAGATGCCATTAAGAACATTTGTGATTAGAGGGAGGGGGTCAAATGTAGACATTAATAGGAATTTGGAAGAAGTTGGTTTTCTCCCTCCTGGGTGACTTTGAGGCATTCAAGACTTCAGTGGAGGAAGTAACTATAGATATTATGGAAATAGCAAGAGAACTAGAATTAGAAGTGGAGCCTAAAGATGATACTGAATTGGCTACAATCTCATGATAACTTTAACAAGTCAGGAGTTGCTTCTTCTGAATGAGCAAAGAAAGTAGTTTCTTGAGATGAAATTTACTCCTGGTAAAGATGCAGTGAACATTGTTGAAATAACAATGAAGGATTTAGAATATTACATAAACTTAGTTGAGAAAGCAGTGGGACAAAGAGTTTGGGAAGATTGACTCTAATTTTGAAAGACATTGTACTGTGGGTAAAATACCATCAAACAGCATCACATGCTACAGATAAATCTTTCATGAAATTAAGAGGTAGATTTCATTGTTGTCTTATTTTAAGAAATTACCATAGTCACCCTAACTTCAGCAACCACTACCCTGATCAGTCAGCAGTCAATCAACCCTCCACCGGCAAAAAGTTTAGGACTTGCTGAAGACTCTGATGATCGATAGTATCTTTTAGCAGTAAAGTATTTTTAAATTAAGGTATGCTCATTTTTAAAAAACATAATGCAGAAACAGAAAACCAAACATTGTATGTTCTCACTCATAAGTGGGAGTTAAGCTGTTTATAATACTCATTTATTTGGGTATGAGGATGCAAAGGCATAAGGATGATACTTTGGGGACTCAGAGGTAAAGAGTGGCAAGGGGGTGAGGGATAAAAGACTACAAATTGGGTTCAGTGTATACTGCTCAGGTGATGGGTGCATCCAAATCTCACAAATCAACACTAATGAACTTACCCATGTAATCAAACACCACCATTTCCCCAAAAACCTCTGGAAATTAAAAAAATTTTAAAAACCATAATGTTATTGCACTTAGAGTACAGTATAGGGTAATGTAATTTTCATATGCCCTGTGAAAGAAAAAAATCTGTGGGACCCTCTTTATTGTGATATTCACTTTATGGCGGTGGTCTGGAATCAAACCCACTACATCTCAGAGTTATGCCTATATAGTGAAGATAATTAGCATATTTATCTTCTCATACAGTTACTCTTTAGTTCGCAACAAGAGTTAAAATGTACCTATTTAACAAAAATCTCAAGTGCAGTACAATTTTATTAGCAACAGTGCTCTTGTTGTACATGAGGTCTCCAGACATGTTGATTCTGCGTATCTGCTACTTTATATCCTTTGATTTACATCTCCCCATTTTTTTCCCGGCACCCCACCTTTGGTAACCACAGTTTTATTCTCTTTGTATATCTGACCTTTTTACAGTTTAATAGGCTGCATTTTCATTCTCCTGAATGTTTCCTTTGTTGTGCTGAAGTTTTTTAGTTTGATATAGTTCCATTTACTTACTTTTGCTTTAGTAACCTGAGCTTTTGGTGTAATATTCAAAAAAATCACTGCCAAGACCAGTGTCAAGGATCTTTCCCCCTATGTTCTCTTCTAAAAGTTTTATGCCTTCAGGTCTAACGTTTAGACCTGTTATCCATTTTGAGTTGATAAAAAATAAATTCTTACCTCTCTCTTACTTTTATCTTTTAGAATTTATCTTTTAATTTCTGAAAGCACTCTTCAACTTTTAGAGTTTTTCTTTGAATCATCTTGTTAAACTGATACATTTTAAGGTGATATTTGCATTGCTGCTATCTTTTTAAACTGTCTCTGTGTGTGTGTGTGTGTGTGTGTATGTACACACATGTATCTTGTATATAGCTTTCTATATATACACATATGTATCCTATATATATAAAATATATACCGTATATAATATATAATACTATATGTTCTATATATTTAATATATAATATATTGTAACATATACTATAGTAATGTATTTATATATAGTAGTAAAATATACCATATACATGTAGCCATATATACTATAGTACTATAGTATATTTCCATCTTATAGAAGATATCAATTTCCTGTTCCTCTCAGCAATTTAAAAAACTTTTAATTGTGACAAATAACATACACACAGTTGATTTAATGACACATGTAAAGAACAAGTGACCAGCAACAGGGTTGAGCCACTGAGCATCTGTAACACTCCAGATGCTTCCTGTAGGGCCTTCACAATTCAAATCCCTCTTTCATTACCAAGGTAACCATTATTCCTTTTATAGTAGTAATCCCTTCATATTTATTTATATTTTAGCATTTAATTGTGCAAAAATAAATACTATAAGCACCATAGTTTTTTGAGAGAGTTTCTCGCTCTTGTTGCCCAGGCTGGAGTGCAGTGGTGTGATGGCGGCTCACCGCAACCTCCGCCTCCTGGGTTCAAGTGATTTTCCTGCCTCAGCCTCCCGAGTAGCTGGGATTACAGGCATGTGCCAGCATGCCCGGCTAATTTTGTATTTTTAGTAGAGATGGGGTTTCTCTACGTTGGTCAGGGTGGTGTAGAACTCCCAACCTCAGGTGATCCACCTGCCTTGGCCTCCCAAAGTGCTGGGATTACAGGCATGAGCTACTGTGCCTGGCCTAGTATGGCTAGTTTTTTTTTTTTTTTTGGTGGTTTCATTCACGTTATTTTACATGGCTGTGATTCATGTACTTTTGTTTAGAAATCTAATTATACTACATAAATGACCAACATTTATTTAAATATTTTTCCACTGAAAGTCACTGTGTTTAATGTAGCCCAATATCCCTGCAAACACTTGGCCTATCAGACTTTCATAATTAGTCATTTTTGTGATTGTGTGAGGTATCTTCTTGTGCTGTGTATAGGTATGCATTCATTTTTGAGGGTAAACTTACAGTGCACCTTGGTGAACTTTTACATATGTACAAGCCTTTGACATATGATAAAGCCCTTTTACAAGCCCAGATCAACATACTTAAAATATTTCCAGCACTCTCATAATACTTTTACAATACCCCCAGTGGTAACCATTATTCGGAACTTTGTCATGATAGCTTGTTTGTGCTGTGTCTGAACTTCATATTTATATGAATTGCACCATACAGTATAAAGTTTTTGTAACTGGCTTCTTTGGTTCAGCATTTTGTCTGTGATATTATAATTTTGCATGAAATAGTTATGCAGTCTCGTTAATTTAGAATGCACAATTTATCCATATTACTGTTGCTTCCAGTTTTTATCTCATGTGAATAAAGCTGTTAGACACATTTGGGTATGTATTTTTTTGGTGAATATAAACACTCATTTATTTGGGTATAAACCTAGGAGTGGATAGGCTGGGTCATAGGCTATACATATGTTTAGCTTCAGCAAATACAAAGAGAAATATTTCCAAAGAGGTTGTATCAATTTGCACCCTCACCAGCAATATATAAGAGTTCCACTTGCTCCACATCCTTGGAAACACTTGGAATTGGCAGCCTTTATAATTCTAGTTATTCTGGTAGGTATATGGTGGTATCTCTTATATTCTTAATTTGTATTTTCCTTTTAATCTGGTTGGCCATTTGTATATTCTCCTTTATGCTTCTTTAAGAATTTCTTCATTTGCCCTTTTAAAAATATTAGACTAACAATTGATTACTTACATACTTTAAGAAATATTTTACATATTTGAGGGTATAAATCCTTTGTCAAAGATGGATAATGCAAATACATTCTGTGGCTTGTGGATTTATTCCCCTAATGTCTTTTGATAAATAAATGTTCTTAATCCTAATAGATGCCAATTTATTAAACTTTTCCTTTGGTCTTTTCATTTCCTTTACCAAGTATTTGCCATCTCCAAGATCATGAAAGTATTTTCCTAAAGCTTTAGTAATATATAAACCTAAACAGTTTTGTACATGGTGAAAGGGGCCAAGATTAATTTTTTTCAGCATATTGATATCCACTTGGCTCAGTACCACTTATTGAAAAATCTATCCTTTTCCCAGTAAATTTAAGTGTCAAATTTGTCATAAATCACTGTTACTAACTTAATTACTGTCTTTTAATCAATTCCAGTATTTTGCAGTGCAGTCCTCTAGCATCGGCTTTCTTCTTCAAGATTCTATTACCTATTCTTGGCCTTTACGTTTCCACATATCTTTGAATATCAGCTTGTCAATTTCCATAAATATTTTCTGAGATTGAAATTGAATTTCCCGAAACTCTAGATAAATTTGCAGATATTTGACATCTTTACAAATTGTATCCATTAATGCACAAGGTTGGAATCCTCCTTCATTTCTCTGTCTTATTTTCTTCAGTAATAAGTTGTAGTTTCCTGTTTAAGATATATTTTTCATTAGATTTGTTCCTAAGTAGTTGATATTTTAATGCTAATATAAATTAATTTTCTAGTTTATATTTATTGTCTAATTACTATTGTTAGTATGAAGACATAAAATTAATAGCTCGATTAATCTTGTATCCAGAGACCTTGCTAAATTATCTTATTAATTCTAATAGTTTGCGATAGATTCCATGGGTTACTCTATGTATCCAAACATGCTATCTGTAAATAATGATTATTTTATGTCTTCTCTTTCAAGCCTTATATGTGTATTTTTTCTTTTGCCTTGTTGTAATGGATAGGACCTCCAATGACATATTTAGTCAAACTGGTGTGAATGGACAATTTTTTTCATTTCAGATATCAGGAATAAAGCTTTTAATATTTCAACTTTAAGTATGATGTTTGTTACAAGAATTATATAAATACTCTTTATTTGCAACACATATAAATAAACTATTGCTTTTTTTGCAAGTTTTAAAACATAAGTAGGTATTGGATTTATTATAAATATATGTTTTTCTACTTCTATTGAGACCTTCATATTTTCTTTTTTTTCTGTTGCTGTGGAAAGTTACACTGACTGAGTTGGATAATAAAACTATCTTCCATTCCTGAAATAAATGTAACTTTATCATGAAATAGTTTCTTTTTTTTGGTATATCACTAACTGAATTTTATTTCAAATATTATGTTTAGGATTTCTGCATTTATGTTCATGAAAGAGACTGGCTTATAATTTGCCTTTCTTGTGATGTATTTCTCAGGTTTTGCTATTAAGGTTATTACTGCTTCATAAAATAAGTTTTATATCTTTTATATAAATTTAGCAAAATTGTATGGGCTTGGATATTCTTTGTGAGAAGATGTTTAATTTTGGATTTAATTTCTTTTATACATATTTCAAGGTCTTGAGATGAAGCCTGAGGTCATTGGTTTTCACCTCTCTTCTTTTTCTAAGATAAGCATATATAAATTGTAAATGATATTTATAAATCTAACAAGCACAGCTTAAGCTGTATCCCACAGGTTGTGGCATATCTATCCCATCTCCATTTAGTTTAAAATATTTTCTAATTTTCAACATTATTATCTTCAATTTGTAAACATTTTGGTTATATTTTCTTATTGATTCTTACCTTGATATTAATTTCATGCTTTCAGAAAACACACATAATTTGAATGCTTTGAAATGATTTGAGCCTTTCTTTATAATGCAGCAGAAGGTCAAGTCAGGTTAAATATTCCATGAGCAGCTGCAAGGACTTTAGGCTCAGCTAAAAATCATATTTGTGAGACTCAAATAAGCCACACCTGGTTTCCAGGGGCACAGAGCCTGAAAGTTAATAAAGATGAATTTCTCCTCCAGAAAGGAAAAGGGATTTGTTAATTTTTTTTAACAGTAGACAACATATGACCTTAGAACACTTTCACTTCATTTACCCTCCCATATTTTTGTTAATTTTCTTGCTTTTTAATTCTTTCCCTTTCTGTCTCCTTACACACACACACACACACACACACACACACACTTTTTAAAATTGTGATGTAATTTTGAAGCGTCCTCGTTGTCTGGGTTGACACCAGAGGTTCTTGGTCTCATGGCCACTGAGATCAAGGACGTGGACACACACAAAGGGTGAGGTTTACGGCAGAATTTTAATAGGCGAAAGAGAATAGCTTTCTGCTACAGAGAGGGGTCCTGGAAAAATGGGTTGCCGATCCATGGTGAAATGCAGGGGTTTTTATAGATGAGCTAGTGGGGAGGCGGTGTCTGATCTACATAGGGTGCAAAATCTCTGGCAGCCCCCACCCCAATTTTGGTTATGCAGGTAGGCGGCTCCTCCATGTTGCTTCTTTCTTTCTCACTGTACACGTCCTAACAAAAAAGGGAAGGTGGAGCCCGCATGGTGGATATGCCTGGCCCCAAGCAGCCCTTCCTATCGGTGCAGCTGCAGGCATTCCATTGTGCAAGCTTCCAGCTTCCTTATCTATGTTTGCAGCTCGATCTTTCAGGCTGCTCTTTGTTAGAAAAGAAATGATTTCTTGGGCTGCTTTTTGTTACAAGGGACATTCCACCAAGGATTCTTTTGCCCTCATTATCTGCGTAAATAATTTCTTTCTATCTCCTGTATCAATTTCAAACACAAAGAAGTACAAAAACTTGCCATTTATCTCCTACACAAATTCACCAACTGCTTATATTATTACTCTGCTTTCTTTATTGTTTTCTCTATTGTAAGGCTCAATCTATCTGTGGCTTTTCTCTGGTGTAGTTCCCCAGGGTTCCTAACTGAGACCCTGTGGTATTTCCAGAGCCACCTCCTTTCGAGTTTTGAATCCACTTGCTGCTCCTGAGGATTGCGAGGCTGCTTTTCTGACACATGCTGCTTGGCTTCTTAGTGGCCTGCCAGAGCAGCTGAATTAGAACATTCCTGAACTGGAAAACACACTCCAAGAGTAGGTCTCACTTGGCCTCCCTTTTCCAAAGGATCTTAATCCCTCAAGTCTTATTTGCCTTGGGAACCCCAAACTGCACACAGACCTCTGCTGGTTTCTCTGCATTTTAGCAGCCATGCTCAATCTGGCCTCTTTATCCTCTTGCTTTGCCTTATGTTAGCAAACAACCCAAACAGAAAAGCTGAGGCAGTAAACTGAGCTCAGAAAATGTCCTTCTCTCTAGGGCCTGGCCTCTACTTCTTGGCTGCCACAGCAGTATTCTGATGCCATCAAACTGACATTTTTGTATTTTGTATAGTTTAAATTTTTTTTTCAGTAGCAGCGCTGGTCTGATACCTGGCTGGGATCCAAATCCCTTACTTTCATATTTCTAACAAATTTACTTAAAGCTGTTACCTTTTTTTAATCACCTATGTAGTCTACTATTATGTAGACTAATTTCCTATTACATAAAGTGAAGATTTATCTTCTACACTTTCCCCCACACAAAAATGTACACACTTCCCCATTCCCAATGCTGTGTGTGGGGAAAAGCAAGAGAGATCAGATTGTTACTGTGTCTGTGTAGAAAGAAGTAGACATAGGAGACTCCATTTTGTTATGTACTAAGAAAAATTCTTCTGCCTTGAGATTCTGTTAATCTATAACCTTACCCCCAACCCCGTGCTCTCTGAAACATGTGCTGTGTCAACTCAGAGTTAAATGGATTAAGGGCGGTGCAAGATGTGCTTTGTTAAACAGATGCTTGAAGGCAGCACGCTCATTAAGAGTCATCACCACTCCCTAATCTCAAGTACCCAGGGACACAAAAACTGCGGAAGGCCGCAGGGACCTCTGCCTAGGAAAGCCAGGTATTGTCCAAGGTTTCTCCCCATGTGATAGTCTGAAATATGGCCTCGTGGGAAGGGAAAGACCTGACCGTCCCCCAGCCCGACACCCTTAAAGGGTCTGTGCTGAGGAGGATTAGTAAAAGAGGAAGGAATGCCTCTTGCAGTTGAGACAAGAGGAAGGCATCTGTCTCCTGCCCGTCCCTGGGCAATGGAATGTCTCGGTATAAAACCCGATTGTATGCTCCATCTACTGAGATAGGGAAAAACCGCCTTAGGGCTGGAGGTGGGACCTGCGGGCAGCAATACTGCTTTGTAAAGCATTGAGATGTTTATGTGTATGCATATCTAAAAGCACAGCACTTAATCCTTTACATTGTCTATGATGCAAAGACCTTTGTTCACGTGTTTGTCTGCTGACCCTCTCCCCACAATTGTCTTGTGACCCTGACACATCCCCCTCTTCGAGAAACACCCACAAATGATGAATAAATACTAGGGGAACTCAGAGGCTGGCGGGATCCTCCATATGCTGAACGCTGGTTCCTCTGTTCCCCTTATTTCTTTCTCTATACTTTGTCTCTGTGTCTTTTTCTTTTCCAAATCTCTCGTCCCACCTTAGGAGAAACACCCACAGGTGTGTAGGGGCAACCCACCCCTACACTGTGAAAATATATACATAACAATTTTTTGTTAAAATAAAATTTAACTTTTATTATAAATATATTAATATTTTCTTTTGCTCCATATAATGCACTGTGACCACATTTCTTTTCATATATCACCATTTGTTTTTCCTGGACTTAGTAATTATATCCACTTACTTTTATTTCCTTTGATCACTAGCTGTTTTAGTTCCCTATTGTCTACTGTAACAACTACCACACATTTGGTGGCTTAAGACAGTACAGGTTCATTCTCCTACAGTTCTGGAGTTCAGATTTAGGAAATCAGTTTAACTGGGCTAAAGTCAAGGTGTTTGCAGGGCTGGTTCCTTCTGGAGGATCCAGGAGACCATCCATTTCCCTGACTTTTCCAGCTGCTGGAGAACACCTGTATTTCTTGTCTCTGTCTTCTTGCTTCTGTTGTCCATCTCCTATCTCCTTCTTTGACTTTCTTGCCTTCCTCTTATAAAGACCTTTGTGATTACATTTAGGATTCACCCCAATAATCCAGGATAATCTCCACATCTCGGGATCTTGAATTTAGTCCCATCTGCCAGCGTCTTTTGCTACATAAGGTAACATTCACAGATTCCAAGGATCAGGAGATCTCTTGAGGGTTGGTTATTCAGCCTCCCACACTAATTCAACCTCAGACTATCTCATAAAAATAGGAGTCCCATTTCAGTAGTGACAATTACAACTGGAAGGTTTTCAACTTCATTTCATTCTTGTATGCATATTCGATGATATCCCCTGCTTACCAGCTCCATTCTGGATCACTTGTTCTCTCACCCAGCTTTACTATCACTGGCCTGGTCATTAACTTTTTCATCATTCTGGAAATACCCTTTACCTTTCTCTTCTATTTCCTATATCCCATGACTTCTCTTTCCTAATTAGCTCTGTTAGTTTGGTGGAGCAACTCTTTCAGCAGCTTCCTGAGAAAGAGCTCATAGAAATAAATTTATTGTGCCCATATAGGCCTGAAAATGTTGCCAGTGTGCTGGTAGAGCTTTCTAGTGGTGTCCCATATTTAATTTTCTTCTTTTGCCTTAGATGTCACTAGGGTTACAAACCCCAGCCCCCTTGTAGTTAGGTGGAGGCTTGCTATCAGTTTTGGATGATCAACTGTGAGTGGAGGTGATGTGTCACTTTGGGCGCATAACATTTAAGAGCCAGCACAGTCTCCTGACTTTGTTTCATCCACTGTCACAGCTATGCTGGAGGCTACAGACTGAGATGGTAGAGCCGCAAGATTAAATAGCTCTGCCCAAGTCACTGATTCATTGCTCATTAGGAAGCTGCCCTGAAGAGCTGCTGGCTTGCAGTAGATTTTGCATGAGTGAGAAGTAAACTTATGTATTTAACATCTGAGATTTTTGGGGGTGTTTTTTACCACAAAATAACCTAGCCTGTCCGACCAATACAGGTAAGCACTGAATTTTAGATTGGAAATAATTTTCCCTGATAATTGTGAAAGTATTTCTCTATTGTTTTCTACCTTCCAATGTTCTGCTGAGGAGTCCAAAATCATTCAGATTTCTGATACCATTTTTAAAATTATTTTTTCTTTCTTCAAAATAATGGATTGTCTTTTTATAATCAGTGTTCAAAAATGTCATAAGAATCTGCTTTGTTGTGAATCTTTTTGTTTAACTTGTGGATGTTCTATGGGCTCTTTTATCCTAGCAAATCATTTTTCAGTTCTAACGATTTTATTATATTTGAAAGGTATCCTCTCTTTTGTTTTCTTTGTTTTTTTTTTCTTTCTGAAACTTCATATAGTTGGGTATTATACCTCCTAGATTAGTCTTTTTTTTTTATTTGTACTATCCAATTTCCCATTTCTTAGTTATATTGTGTTGAGATAGTTTCTCAACTTGATGTTCCAAATATTCCATCAATTTTTTAAAATTTTAAAAATAATTTTAATTTATGAGCGTTTTCTTCTTGTTTTCTGAATAATTTTTTATTTATAACAACCTCTTTTTATTTTATGGATGTAATATGCTATTTTATCTTTTTGAAGATGTGATATAGTTTTATAATATTCTCATCTGTTCCCCTATACAGTCTCTAATGATTTCTTTTGTTTATGTTTTGTGTCTGAGAAGCTATTTGCTTTTATATTAAAGCTGTTCATCAAATATTGGCTGCCCACTTAGATTTATGAGTAAGGCACTGAAGCTGATAAGAAGTTTCTTGTGTTTGGGCGGGACTTACCCTGTGGCTGGCATCAGTATAAGTGATGAAAGAAGGATTTAGCCACTTTAAAAGATCCCCAGAAAGAACTTTAGGTACTTTTACTGGCTAGACTGTTGGTATATCCAACTATAATTTCCTGCACTAGTGCTATAAGCTGAATATCAGTTTCCTCAGATCAAAGTATAGGAAGATTCTGGGGCTATTAGAATTACTTAATCCTTTTTCAGTAAGACATTCAATGTGTCATGCGTTGTCAAGTCCTGAGTTCTTCTGATTCACCTTTCAGAAAGTAAACATCCAGGCTTTTCCCGGGAAAGAGGAAGAAGTAGTTGTCCTCTTGCCCCAAGGAATGAAGGATACCTCAGGCTCTAACTTCTGAAGCTGACTTTCAACTAATCCTCTTGTTTTTAATTTGTGCTCTTTGGAGATAGCTGAGGCCTCAGATTTCTGACCATGTTGTGGTTCTGTCATGAGAATAAGTATGTGTCTTGGCCTTTTCACACACAGGCCCTCCCTCCTCACTCCTCCCAGCTCTATGTTCTTGGCTTTCAATTTTCTCAGCTTAGCCACCAGTTACTGCTACTTTCTATTTTATTTCTAGCTTCCACAATTTTGTCAACACCACTCCTCAGTTTCAGTGCCTTCTCCCATTCTCTTTATTTCACTGTAATATTAAATGATTGGAGGAAGGTTGGGAGCAGAGATAAAAATCATGTGTTTAATCTGACATGCTTCAGCTGATGCCACCAAATCCCACTCCAAGTTACTCACTTAACCTTTTGAGAATTTGACTATGATATCATCTATCCACCTTTATTCTTTATTTCCTATTCAGAGTGAAAACTTTTTTTTCATTAGAATAAAGCAATAATGTCTTACCTTCCTTTTACACTAGGAGATACTTGCTGTAGAAAAATGTGTAGATTTCTAGGACTCTATCAGACCCTATGCTTTCCCATAGGATGACCTTGTAGCTAGCAGGTAGACTAATAAACACTGACGGGCAGGAGTCAGCGGTCTTAGATATTCACATATAATGAGATAAAATATATAATGAGATGTCTCTTGCTGACCATATTGCTCTAAAAGATAGGCACCTTCTCTTTGTAGTTTCTTTGCTTTTTTTACGAAAAAAATTCATCAATCTCTTACCTCTCATTCCCTATTTATTCAGGATAAATCCATAAAGTGTAATGTGTCTGCATGATTGAGATTTGATTGCACGGACATGGAATAGAGGGTGCCTGGGGATGAGGATAAGAACGTGCTGAAGGGTTTTCTTTTCTGCTCTGGCCTATCTAGATCCTGTCATCTCTGAGCTTGGATCCCATAGCATGGCTAGATGAATAGTTCCTACTGTCTTCATGCTTGCTATTCTGTTAAGAATTCATCCATTTTATTTTTTACTATTTTGTGGAAATTTCTTTTGTTATCTTGAATCTAGTCCTTCTTCAACTTTGTTTTCACGAGTAATTCTGAGGGAAGGAACTATTAATCTGCTAGGGAATCTCTAACAGGTTTATGCTAATAAAGAATAAAAAGATTTGTAAACAAATATAGATTCTTAAGTAGCTTTAACAATAAAAAAAATCATTGCTTTATAGAGCTAAAACCCTTGTCTTCCCAAGCGTAACAATTCCACACAAGGATCACATTAATTCTTGATTAGGTAAGTGATCAATTATTTTCTGATAATCCCTTCAGCCTTCCAAACACCAAGGTAACCAATATTTGTTATTATTTTTGTACACATGACTAAAAGGAGATACCAAATTACTTGTACTGTGAATGATGCAAAGCGACCGCCATTGAATGGAATGGAAACATACGTCTATGCAGTTGATTAAAGATCTCAAAGTGAATTCCAAGTGTTTTGTTGCAAATCATAAGCTTAGCAAAGAACAGATGTAAGAGGCTGGTGTTGTGTAGATTACCATTTTATAGATAGAATTTTTTTAAAAGCATCCATGACACTTTGCTAAGCATGTGGCACCTAACTCCAATAGCTTGCTTGATGTTCTTAAGGTTCTGTAATATAACATGAAATGAGATACATAAGAACACTAACAGAATTGTCATTTGTTTCATGGAAAGGTAAACTTTCAGCTTTCCTGTCATGCAGTAATAGTCCCAATGTGTTTCCTTACAGCTATGGACAAATCACCCCAAACTTTACATGCCTCATTGTGAATGAGGGAGTTGGAAACCAGATCAACCACTTTCTTTTGATTTCTTTTCTTTTCTCTTTTCTTTCTTTTCTTTTTGTTCTTTTCTCTTTTTTCCTTTCTTTTCTTTTCTTTTTGAGACGCAGTTTCATTCTATCACCCAGGCTGGAGTGCAGTGGCGTGATCTCAGCTCACTGCAACCTCTGCCTCCCAAGTTCGAGCGATTCTCCTGCCTCAGCTTCCCAAGTAGCTGGGTTTACAGGAGCACGCCACCACGCCTGGCTAATTTTTGTATTTTTAGTAGAGATGAGGTTTCACCATGTTGGCCAGGCTGGTCTCAAACTCCTGACCTCAAGTGATCTGCCCACTTCGGCCTCCCAAAGTGCTGGGATTACAGACGTGAGCCACTGTGCCTGGCCTTGATTTCAAGTGTTATATTCTTGAGTAGAATTCTGGTAGAGGAAGAAATTTATAGATACATGATAAAATTTGTGTTTTACCCTTGAGCAGAGTTTCCACTGCCTCATCAGGTAAGAAAGATTCCAGTATTAAGTTCATATTAATTTAAATGTCAAGTAAATTTTTGTCATTGTTTGTTACCTTAAATTTCTCTCATGTCTTAGAATCAATACAGTGTTTTCCATGGTACAGTTCAAATACACTGCTTATCAGATATTCCTATTTCGAATAGAGAATTCAAGTACCTTTGAGATAGGAATAGTACTGGATGGTCACAGGAGGATACAAAAACCCAAACAACAGTTAAAACAAGAACTAGGCAAGGAAACCACAGCATAACAGAAAACCCCAAACAGGGAGAGAAAACGGCCAAAACCCGGGTCAGGGTGACATGTCCATGACTCTTCCTGGCAAACTCAAATAAAGGAAAAAGGGGATGGTAACTGGGGGGTGTCCCTGAAATCTCCTCCTTTTCTATCCCCTAATTAAAGAAACACTGATACAATTGGAAACCCAAACTTCATAGTGTGGGACTCCTTCTCACAAGCACATTGCACTTCTCTCTTAAGTGGGTACTTCAGCTTTGCAATAAAAGCTTTCCCCTTCATTCTCACTCTTCATTCTCTGGAAAGTGTCAAGAACTTGGAATTCTTTCTCTGGAGTGTGTCAAGAACTTGGCAAATGGGGCAGGGGTCTCACTGGCATCTGGAGATCCTCCTGAGCCCTCAGGCAACACCTTCAAAGGAATAGTTTCTGAGGCAGAAACCATAGGGTTGGACCCTTTTTATTGAGTATGACCCAGCTGCCTGGCTAAATCAGGCTGTCAGGGTTGAGGCAGGATAAAGAGGGAGAGGAAAGGGAAGGGGAGCTTTCCCAGCTTCTTGTCTGTAGGGCCTGTGGCTGAGGGGCTTTCATCTGAATTTGGGAAAGTGAAGGGGCAAACTTCCACAGGGCAGGATATAAGGGGTGATGATTGTGAACGTGCTTTGAGACAACTGAGTTTAGAGTTCGGAGATTAACATCTGCAAGGAAACAGTGATCTAAGAGGAAAACTAAAATGTTTCAGTTTTATATTTATAACACAGTTTAGTCATTGATTAACTTATCAGAGCTAGAATTTCTTCATTTGGAAAACAAAAAACAACACCTAATTCAGTGTAGTGTGGAGTTTAAATTAGCAGTAAGAAAGCTATAGGCAGTGTATGGCACAAAAAGGCTGCTCCCACCTACTTGTGGCTACCCCGTTGGGGACACTGGTGATCTGGTTATAAGCTCAGACCTTGGAGTCACTTGCTATGTGGCTTTGGGCCAGGCAGTTAACCACTGTGGGCCTACAGTTTCCTAATCTATAAAAAAAAGCACGTACTAATCATGTCTGCCTGACAGAGTTATTTTGAGAGTTGAGAGAAATGCATATTAAAAGTCTAGCAAAGAGCTTGAGGGAATGAGTGCTTCCTAAGTATATTAGCTATTCTAAGGTGTTTAGCTAAATTTGCTTTCAAGAATAAAGTTGTATTGCCATGTATACAGGGAGATAACTGTGTGGATATTGCAATGTTAGATGAACACTATTGACATGAAGAAGTTAAAGGATTATTGACACCATGTACCAGTCTAAATAATAATATGGATATTAGTTTATACTTTTTAGTTCTTAGTAGGTGCTATACCTTGTAATCCTTTAATCTCTATTATGACTCTATGAGGTAGGTATTGTTATTATCCCCATTTTATAAGTTAGTAGACTGAGCTATGACCTTAAGTAACATTTCCAAGTTACACAGAAACAACTAGTAGGTGGTGGAGTCAGGATTCAAACAGGAATATTCTGTCCCAGAGTCTGCATGTTCAAATGCTATACTATATGGCCTCTCAAGAGTGTTTTAATTCCAAGGGTCTGGAACAGATCCTGGCAGTGTACCGAAAAGTATACCGGATGATGTTATGAATGTGGAAAGTCACCAAAATAGTCTGGGGTGAAAGTCAAGGCAAACAAGGTCACAATGTAGTGATGAACAAACAAAAATATTAACAGATTGAGATCCTATTTAAGGTAAAATTATTATGAGTTGAGGAATAATTGCAGTTTCTTTTTATTTGGGTTTAGTGCGGTGTAATTTGTATACAATAAAATTTGCCCTTTATAAGTGTCTATGTGTTTTGACAAACCCACACTGTATTCAAAATAAAACTAGAGCCTCTGGTCCCTCCGAAGTCTATCCTCACACTCCTCTGCAGTTCACACTCGCAGACATCGGGCTTCGGCCGCTGACCACCACTCGTCTGATTTCTGGCTTCATAGGTTTCACTTTTTCAGAATCTCATTAAATCATACGGTATGTAGCCTTTGTGACTGGATTTTTTTCACTAAGCATAAAGTATTTGAGATCCGTCCATGTTGTTGCACATAGCAGGAGTTTACTCCTTTTTTATTGCTGCATAGCATTTTATTCTATGAACACACTAGTTTATTTATTCATTGATTGATTGACATCTCCCCCCTGCCCCACACTTTTCTGCTATTATAAATAAAGTTCCTGTAACCATTTGAAGGGAGTTCTTTGTGTGAAAATATATTTTCATTATTCTTGGATAAATATCTAGGAGTACAATTGCTTTATAGGAAACTGCCACTTAGAAACTGTTGTGTAAGGTAGCCGTAGTATTTTGCATTCTTAACATCAAACTATGAGGTTCCAGTTGATCTGTGTCCTCACCAGCACATAATAATGTCGGTTTTCTTAATTTTAGTCATTAAAATAAGTATGCAGTGCTATATCATTGTGGTTTTTATTGTGATTCTCTAATGACTAATAAAGTTGAACATCTTTTCATGTATTTAACTGCCGTATTTTCTTTAATTAAGTATCTGCTAAGTTCTTTTGCCAACTTTTTTTTAAATTGTTTTCTTGTGATTGAGTTTTAAGAATTCTTTACATATTCTGAATATGAGTCTTCTATTGAATATTTCTTATGTTCCCCAGTCTATTCATTATTTTCTAAATTGCCTAACAGTGTCTATCAAATGAAAAATATTTTTAGTTTTAGTTTGTTCTTTGTATATTCTAAAACATATTTTGCTTAACCCAATATTGGAATGATTTCTCTGTCATATCTTCCTGTAGAACTTTTATAGTTTTAGCACTTGCTTTTTGGTGTAAGAATTTTGATAAACAATTTTGAGTTGAATACGGTGTAATGTAAGTGCTGGGGATCATTTTTTTTTCCATACAGTAACCAATTGTTCTAGCACTGCTTGTTAATAATGGCTATCTTCATGTATCGAATTACCATGGCACTTCTGTATGAAGACCCATAATTGACATAATGTATGTGTCTAACTCTGGGCTCTCTATTCTGTTTCATTGATCTGTGTGTTTACTCTTTTCTTAAATCAAAATGTCTGGATTATTGTAGCTTCATAGTAAGTCTTGAAGTCAGGTAGTTTGCCTCCAATTTTGTCTTGCTTTTCAAAATAATTTTGGCGATTCTATATTCTTTTCCTTTTTGCAGTGGGTTGAATTGTGTCTCACAAAAATGACGTGATTAAGTTCTATACTCCAGGGCCTCTGAGTGTGACCTTGTTTGGAAAAAATGGTTTTGGCTAATGTAACTAAGGTAAAGGTCTTGAGATAAGATTATTTGGATTAGGGTGAGCCCTAAATCCAAAGACAAGTATTCTTCTGTATTAGTCTGTTTTCACGCTGCTAAGAAGAACTGCCTGAGACAGGGTAATTTATAAAGGAAGGAGGTTTAATTGACTCACAGCTCTGCAGGGCCGTGAGCCATCAAGAAACTTAAAATCATGGTGGAAAGATATGTTTTATCTTTCTTCACATGGTGGCAGGAAGGAGAAATGCTGAGGAAGGGGGGAAAGCCCCTTATAAAACCATCGGATCTTGTAAGAACTTACTGATTATCATGAGAACAGCATGGGGGTAACCGCTCCATGATTCAATTACCTCCCACCAGGCCCCTCCCATGACACGTGGGGATTATGGAAACTACAATTCAAGATGAAATTTGGGTGAGGACATAGCCAAACCAGATCACCTTTTAAGAGAAACGAAGGCACATAGAGACACAGAAGGAGAAGTCCTGTGAAGACAGAGGCAGAGATTGGAGTGATGTTACTGTAAACCAAGGAATGCCAGGGATTATTGGCAGTCACTAGACAAGACTCTCCTCCAAATCCTCCAGAAGAAACCAACTCTTCCAATACCTTGATTTTACAGTTCTGGCTTTCACAACTGTGAGAGAATAATATTCTGTGCTTCAAAGTGACACATAGGAGACTAATCAACTTTCCATATAAATTTTATAATCAATTTATTAGTTTCTATTTTTAAAAAGCCTTCTGGGTTTTCTTAATGTGATAGCAATGCATTTGTAGACTAATATTGAAGAGGTGACATCTTAAAAAATTGAGATTTTCAATGCATAAAAAATGATGTGTTTCTACATTTACTTAGATCTTCAATTTCTCTTAGCTATGTTTTGCATTTTTCAGTGTACAATCTCGCATTTTGTTGAATTTATCACTAAGTATTTTATGTTTTGTGATGTTTTATGAACATTTTAAAAATTTATTTTCAATGGATCATTGCTAGTATAAAGAGATGTAATTGATTTTTTTCTCATTGACTTTCCTGCAAACATGGTAAAGTAACTCATCAGACTAGATTGTTTGGGATTTTCTACAAAGGCAATTATGTCATTTATGTATTAAAATGGTATTACTTCCCAACCTAAATGATTTCTATTGTTACTGGTTTTTGCCTTACAGAATTGACTTGAGTTTCTAGGATGGTATTGATTGAGTAAAGAGATGGAAGGAGCATCCTTAACTTGACCCCAGTCTTATGACTAAAGCATTCATCTTTTTATATCAGTGATATAAAGTCAAGTCAAGTCAAGACTTGCATTATCAAGTCAAGAAAAATCTAAGCTATTCACATTTCCTGAGAATTTTATCATGGATATTTGTTAAATTTGGCCAAATAATTTTTAAAAATCTATTCTGTTGATCACATGGTTTGGTTTAGCTTTTGGTCTTATCAGTATGATAAATTCATTGATTTAATCAACCTTGTATTTTGTATCCTAGAACAAATCTTGCTTGGTCAGTATATATTTTTCTTGTCACATATTTCTAGATTTGATTTGCTGGCAATTCAGGCTTTATAAAATGAATCGAGATATATTCCCTCCACTTCTATTTTCAGGAAATATTTGTGTAGGATTAGTATTGCTTCTTAGTTATATGTTTGGTAAAATTCACCAGTGAAGCTACCTGGACCAGAATTTTTCTATCAAAAGGTTTTGAAGCACAAAGTCATTTATTTAATAGTTTAAAAATATAATAAATTTCAAGAAACTTATGCATTATGTAAATTCTTGAATTTACTGGCAACGGATAAAAGCTTGCTTCATTATTGTTCTTTTAACATCTGTGGGAACTCCAGTGATGCCCCTTTTTTTGATTCTTGTTGCTGATAATTTGTGCTTCTCCTTTTCATTTTTGATCAATATGTCTGGAATGTTACTTTTGTCATTCTAAAGAATGCAAAAAACATATAGTTCCTATATTTTAGCTGTTATTATATGCAATTCATATTGGCATCGGAGGCAAATATACATAATGACAATTTTGTGTTCCATCAAGGTTAGTATCAGAGATTTTGGTTTTCTTGTTTTTATTTGTTTTGTTCTTAATTACATTGATTTCTACTCTTGTTTATATTATTTCCTTCTTGCTTTGGCTTTAATTTTCTCTTCATATCTAGTTTCTTAAGGTGGAAGTTGAAATAGTTGATTTGAGTACTTCTTTTTTTTCTAGCTTAAGCATTTCATGCTATAAATTTCCTAATAAACACTGTTTTAGCTACAGGTCAAACAAATTTAATTTTGTAGCTTTATTTCTTTTTAATTAAAAATATTTTCAAATTTTCCTTGTGATGCCATCTTTGGCCCATGAGTTATTTAGAAGTGTGGTTGTAGCAGGCTGAATGATGCCCACCCAAAGATACCAGTCTTAGTCCCTGCAACCTGTAAATGTTGCTTTATAAAGAAAAAGGGTCTCTGCAGATGTGATGATGGTAAGGATTCTGATATAAGGAGATTATCCTGGATATTTTTCTGGAATGCTCTAAATCTAATTCCAGGTTCTTATAAGAGAGAGGCAGAGGGAGATTTGATATGCACAGAGAAAGAGGAGAAAGAAGTCATGGATGCAGAAATTGGAATGATGCAGCCACAAGTTAGGGCGGCCGTAAGAAACTGGAAGAGGCAAGAAAGAAATTATTCCCTCGAGCCTCATAACGAGCCCTTCTGACACCTGGGTTTGGTCTCCTGATACTGATTTTAGATTTCTGGCTTTCAAAACTGTGAGAGAATAAATTTCTGTTGTCTTAAGCCACTAAATTTGAGAGAATGTGTTACAGCAGCCTCAGGAAACTAACACAGTATTGTACTAATTTCCGCAATTGAGGATTTTTAAAAGATACTATTCTCTTATTGATTTACTGTTTAATTCCTTTGTGATCAGAGAGTATATGTTGCATGATTTCTAACTTTTTACGTTTTTGAAGTATTTTTTATGGCCTCAAATATGATCTATCTTCATGAATATGTTATATAATCTTGAAAATAATGTACATTCTGTTTTTGGGTGGAGTGTTTTATAAGTATCAATTAGGTTGAATTGGCAGATTAAATATAATTAACTTTTTGTAACTTCTACTTTTGCCATGCATCCATTAGAGATAGGGAAGAACTGGGACTCTGCTCTGCAATGTGTGGGGAGAAGTGCAAAACAAGTGGCTTTTCCATGATATGATTATAATTACCATGAAAGAGCACACCATTGCATTTCATCCAACTGGTCTGAATGCCAGGATGGATGGTACAAAATAACAGCACTCCTGGAATTCAGATTTGTTTAGAAAGTTGCTCTGATTTATTTAAAGCAATAAACTAAGAATTAATCTAAGAACTAAGAATGGTTCTCTTATTCAATATTGCATTTAACTAAAAGTATTTATTAACTATGTGTAAGGCAGAAAGATTACAATAATTTTAACCAGTTATATAGCTACACATTTGAATTTTTTCAATCTTCATTATCAATACATAAAATGTTCAGGAACTAAATGAGATTTTCTAATATATAAGGGAATGAAATCAACTAAAATTATTGGGAACTTAGATTTTATAAGTATTGGTCTTTCATATTTTTATTTTTGTATCATAGACAATGTTATACAAATATACTATTGCGTGTACTGATGTCGTTTTGTCTTCAATATTCAGTAATATTTGTTACAAGTTTCTATTTTTGGTGTAACATCCTTAGGTTGCTATGCAAAGAGTAAATCACGTTACTCACTTAGACTTTTTCTGAATAAATAAGTAATATTCATTTTATTTCCATTCTTTCAAAAATTAGTTGAGTATCTTGAGACATTTAAACTGTATAAGAGTTAGGGAAAACTAAGACTATAAACATAACCCTAATATTTTTCATTTCCCAGAGCATGGGGAAAGGTCATATGAATAGAATATTTCCACAACATGTGGTGATGATAATTTGATTAAATAAACATCACAAAGCCAATTAAGTCATTTTGAAAGTAAATACATGACTGGGTATATTCAGTACTCCAAAAATACATTTATTTGTGAGCATATATTCTTGCAGTTTAAATAGATTAACGTAAACATCAGGGAAAGGAAGTCGTTTTTCATTATAAAATATTTCAAATATACAAATACAAATAGATAGAATTTTAATAAATGACCATATATCCATGATCCAGATTTAACAAATGCCATTAGCAAAATTGCTGTAGGTTTTTAAAAGTAGTAAAACACTAATAGACCGGAACTCAAGCTGTAACTCTTTTTACCCTATTTCCATTTCTCCTTTTCTAGAGTTTATCATTCTTCTAAACTTAGATATACATTTTTTTTTTTTTGAGATGGAGTCTCGCTCTGTCACTCAGGCTGGAGTGCAGTGGTGCGATCTTGGCTCACTGCAACCTCTGCCTCCCGGGCTCAAGCGAGTAGCTGGGACTACAGACACCTGCCACCACGCCCGGCTGATTTTTTGTATTTTTAGTAGAGACGGGATTTCACCATGTTAGCCAGGATGGTCTCCATCTCCTGACCTCGTGATCTGCCTGCCTTGGCCCCCCAAAGTGTTGAGATTACAAGTGTGAGCCACCGCTCCCAGCTCACTTTTTTTTTTTTAAGTTCTGGGGTACATGTGCAGGATGTACAGGTTTGTTACATAGGTAAACGTGTGCCATGGTGGTTTGCTGCACCTATCAACCCATCACCTAGGTATTAAGCCCAGCATGCATTAGCTATTTATCCTGATGCTCTCCCTCACCCTGCCCCCTGACAGGACCCAGTGTGTGTTGTTTCCCTTCCTGTGTCCTGTGTTCACATTGTTCAGCTCTCATTTATAAGTGAGAACATGGGGTGTTTGGTTTTCTGTTCCTGCATTAGTTTGCTTAGGATAATGGCTTCCAGCTCCATCCATAGCCCTGCAAAGAACATGATCTCATTCCTTTTTATGGTTGCATAGCATTCCATGATGTATATGTACCTCATTTTCTTTATCCAATCTATCATTGATGGGCATTTGGGTTGATTACATATCTTTGTGATTGTGAATAGTGCTGCAATGAACAAACGTGTGCATGTATCTTTATAATGGAATGATTTATGTTCCTTTGAGTATATACCCAGTAATGGGATTGCTGGGTCAAATGGTATTTCTGGTTATAGGTCTTTGAGGAATCAGCACACTGTCTTCCACAATGATTGAACTAATTTACATTCCCACCAACAGTGTAAAAGCATTTTGATTTCTCTGCAGCCTTACCAGTATCTGCTGTTTCTTGACTTTTTAATAATCTCCATACTGACTGGCATGAGATGGTATCTCATTGTGGTTGTTCTCCAGTGATCAATGATGTTGAGCTTTTTTTCATATGTCTGTTGGCCACATAAATGTTTTCTTTTGAGAAGTGTCTGTTCATGCCCTTTGTCCACTTTTTGATGGGGTTGTTCTTTTTTTCTTGTAAATTTGTTTAAGTTCTTTGTAGATTCTGCATATTAGACCTTTGTCTGATTCATAGATTACAAAAATTTTCTCCCATTCTGTAGGTTGTCTGTTCACTCTGATGATAGTTTCTTTTGCTGTGTGAAAGCTCTTTAGTTTCATTAGATCCCATTTGTCAATTTTTGCTTGTGTTGCAATTGCTTTTGACATTTTTATTGTTAAATCTTCTCCCATGCCTATATTCTGAATCATATTGCCTAGATTTTCTTCTAGGGTTTAAAGGCATTCTTCATTTCTGTTTCAGTGTTTTGATACCTAACATTTCCTTTTTTTTTCTTCTCCCAAGATGGAGTCTTGCTCTGTCACCCAGAGTGGAGTGCAGTGGTGTGATCTCGGCTAACTGCAACCTTTGCCTCCCTGTTTCAAATGATTTTCATGCCTCAGCTTCCTGAGTAGCTGGGACTACAGGCACGCACCACCATGCCAGGCTAATTTTTGTATTTTCAGTAGAGATGGCATTTCACCATGTTGGCCAGGCTGGTCTCGATTTCCTGGCCTTAAGGGATCTGCCCGCCTTGGCCTCCCAAAATGCTGGGATTACAAATGTGAGTCACTGCAGTGGGTCCAAGCTAAACATTTTGACATTAATGCAGGAGTTGAACTTTCTTTGTGTCCTGGGACCCTTTGGAAATCTGACACCTATGGACTCTCAGAACAATGTTTTCAGATGCATGCAATAAAATAAGTAGAAATTCTTTGAAATCTTCTCCATATATATATATGTGTATATATATAGAGAGAGAGAGAGAGGGAGAGAGATGTATATTTCTATACATATACGTCTATCTATCTATCTATCATCTATCTATCTATCTATCTATCTATCTATCTATCTATCATCTATCTATCTATCTATCATCTATCTATCTTCCTTCTAGATACAGGTGCGTATCACCATGCCCAGCTAATATTTTCATTTATTGTAGAGATGGGGGTCTTGCTATTTTGCTGAGGCTGGTCTCGAGCTCCTGGCCTCAAGCGGTCCCCTTTCTTGGCCTTTCAATACACTAGAATTACAGGTGTGAGCCACCACACCTGCCCAAAATTTTTAGGAAAGGAAAAGATTGTGAGAAAAGTGTCTTCATATAGTCAAGATAGAAAGTCAGTGTTCAAGAAAATACAAAAACGTCCTTTCTTTTGGAACTTCTGGAAAAAGGCATTCTGGCAGGTAAAAGCTTCTAGTAGGTTAAAAAAAGAGTTATAGTAGGTAAAAGCTTCAAGACCAATGAGAAGATCCAGATTTTAGAATTAGGATTTCTTGCTGTATGCTGAGACTCTACATTTATTCTTACATTAGATGTTCTTAGGTCTATAAGGCACATTGTTTTGCCTGAGTTTATCAACCAATTCTGGTGACTGGTTTTCTGATTTTCCCACTACACTAAATCAGTACAATATCTAAACATTGTGAACTTCAGCCTAAATTTTCTGTGAAAAATTTATGGTTCTTTGTGGAAACCAATTTTAAATTTTCTGTGGACAACTTATTGGCACTGCAGATAAACTATTTTGAAATTAAATTTTTACAGAAAGATTCATGGCAGTGTGTATCTCCCCATCTTTCCCACAGATGTGAAGAGCAATTGCCAAGTGTTAGACTCAGCCATTTGTAGAAGTTTAGGTGCCTCAGAATCAATCGTTGAGAAAACATTTTACATCAAGTATTTTTTTTGGAGATCATCTGAAGACTGGCGTAGGGACCCAAGGAAGTGAGCCAAGGATGTGAAGGCAGCCAATGCAGGGTACATTATCAAGCCAGTACCGCTGCTGGTGATCAGAGCTGAATCCTGTTGGAGAACTCTGGGAGTCAGTGTCTAACATGTGCCTCAGGCTGTTTCCCCATCCACGAGGTAGGGAGTTGGGATGTTTACAGGCCACCCCCATCAAGTATTGTTGGAGTTCGCTCCTGGGTGGCAAGGGAGTCTTATATTTCCCAGTACTTCTGTCATACCATGGAAGGAGAAAGAGACCACTCCACTTTTAGGGAAGATTCACAGTTGAGAGAACTTTGTGTAAGGCTTAAGTGGGTACAGACAGGCGTCAACTGCATTTATTACAAAACACTTTGGGTGATTGCTACATGGACATATTAATTAAGTATATTAAATGCATCCAACAAAATATGAATATAAATACAAATTTAATGTTTCTATTTAGCAGGATGGAATATTCAAGAGAATGAAAATTGTGAAAGGAAAAAAAACTATGCAGCTATAGACATGGCACACAATGCCAAAGCCATATAACATTTTGTTATTATGATGGATGAGGCTAGTTAAAAAATATTAATTAATAATTAGATAATTTAAAAATTAATAGCCCAAAAGCCACCTGAGCTGAAACTATCTGTTGGAATACACAATTATAATAATAAAAAATTTATTTTAGAGGCTCAGAAAAAAGAAAAATCAATGTTTCAAAATGAGTCACTTTAATTATCAGTATAGAGAGGAAGAAGAATTTGTAATAGCAGAGGGCAAATAAGGTAAAGTGTACAACATTCTGCCGACTGAAGCTATCTCATTCACTGAGGGTCAAATGGGAGTAAATGGTGAGAAATGCTTGGGAATTTACAATGTCAAGATGGGGCTGTCAAAAGTGTCAGCTGACTTGCTATCCTGCTAACTCGTTTTATTAAGTTTATAGTCTTACGTATTGCAGACTGTGAAAATATCTGACTTTCCATCAATCACTGACAGTTGGAGGAAAAGGCTGGAAAATTCTAACAATGTGTTAAAAACTTTGTTTGCCAATTTACCTAAAACAACTGACATTACTGTCAGGGCCCTTATGAGGGACACAGTTATTGAGCTAGGGGGTTCCTAATTAATAGTACCCACTTTATTTTTGGTTGAAAAAACAGGTACAACCCAATACAACTGCATAGTGTTTGAGTCACAGATGATTAAAGCCAAGAACATTATTCTTGGACCATATGAGTGGTGGAGAAAAAGGATTCACTTTGATTTTAGATAATTTTATTCTGAATAATGCTAAAATAAAACACTCAGGTCTGGCAATAAGTAAACAATTAATTAAAAATATAGAATCTATAGAGTTGGAAATTGAACAAACTCAATCCCAGGCCAGATATATTATATAAATTAGTAACCAGTTGAAATATAACTTGTGAATGGTGTTCTCTGGGCTGTTGGAGTACCCATATCCAAAAACTGAGACCTTTGTTGTTTTCAAGTGAAATGTCATTATTTTACTGGGATCATAATTTTGCCAGATGAGATGAGATGAGATGCATTTGGCACTCTTCTTGGTAAAATGCAAGAATTCAATGTGACAACTCAAAACTGCTACAGATATTTGTAAGAAAAACAGGTATAGGATACATCAGCAGGTCCTTGGTGCTCCTGCCTCAGTTTGCCAAAACTCTTGACTACAGACACACTCACAGTCTTTCCTTCACCTAGGAAAGCACTGATTTGATAAACTGTCCCTAAAGGAGACAACGCTTGGGTCATTCCAGTTCCAAGATATAATGCACACAAAGCAAAAGAATGACAACATGAAATAGTCTTCATTGTTTTTATCTCCTACTATGTTGTAAGACTTTTTATATACTTTGCTACTTCGTGCTATTTGTATTCTTTTGTTTAAGAACTGATGTTATTATCTTTCAGATAGTCTTTCAGTGTCCCAACATAGGAAAGAAAATTTGTAATTGGGTGTAATCAGTCTGAATTACTAAAGAAGCAAAGATGAAGAGAGGTTATTTTGAAGGGAGAAGCAGCGCCCTGAGTGTGTCCAGGAAGGCTGACTGCAAACAGACCTCTTCTGTCCCCCTCTAATGCTGGGGAAATGCTTGTTGTGCATGGTGAGGTCTGTCGTTCTGCTAGGTTTGTGGAAGTATTCAGGAAATGAAATTGTGTACGCAGAGGAATGAGAACACAGTGTAGGTAATATCTGATTTTTACTTAATATTATCTTAAATTAAGAAGAAGTATGTAAAGGAAGGTGGATCACCTGAGGTCAGGAGTTCGAGATCAGTCTGACCAACATGGCAAAACACCGTCCCTACTAAAAATACAAAAAAGAAGTAGCTGAGTGTGGTGGTGTTCAAGAATCACTTAAACCCAGAAGGCGGAGGTTGCAGTGAGCCGAGATCACACCACTGTACTCCAGCCTGGGTGACAGAGCAAGACTCCATCTCAAAAAAAGAGAAAGAAAAAAGGAAAGAAAACAAGAAGAAGAACTGTGTCAAAACCCTTGTGACTCATGTTTTTCTCTTGCAGGTTTTAGGATTTTATTCATTCACTGCTTTTAAAATTTAACCTGTTAATAAGTTTAGGGCAGGAAAGGAGGAGTGCAATCTCCTTCCATGATTGTTGGCCAAGGATTTCCCCTAAATGATGTACAGTGATGAAACTGCAGTCCTTTCCATGATGTATGCCCATACTTCCAGTTTCCCTACCCTCCAATTTGCAGAGAAGCAATTTAGAGAAACATTTTTACAAGAATCACGTTATGCATGTTGCATGAGCCATTTGAAATAATTCACACAAAATATGAGTAACATACATGAGAAAAACTGAATAATATTATTTTCAAAAATCCCACATTGGTTTTGGGAAAACAACCAACACAGCAGATGTTTTGAAAATAATGAAAAAATGTGAAACCAAGAGGAGTGTGTTTTAAAATAGCGTTGTGTGCAAATGATGTGACAAATTTACTTGAACCCAGCTGTGGACAGAGAACAATAATACAATGAAATGGACTGAAATAACAAAACCACAAAAAAGAAAGGTTAAATTCTGAAATAGTACTTTTTTTCTTAAAAACCAAGATTGTCTGGGAAATCATTCTGAATGAAAGTAGGATAAATGACATGAACTGACACTTCTCAAAAGAAGACATATGAGCAGCCAACAAACGTGAAAGAATGCTCATCATCACTAATCATTAGAGAAATGTAAGTCAAAACCACAGTGAGACGCCATCTCATGCCAGTCAGAATGGCTACTATTCAAAAGTCAAAAAACAGCAGATGCTGACGAAGCTGTGGAGAAAAGGGAACACTTACACACACTTGTGGGAATGTAAATTAGTTCAGCCACTGTGGAAAGCATTTTGGAGATTTCTCAAAGAACTTAAAACAGAGCTACCAGTTGACTCAGCAATTCCATTATACCCAAAGGAAAAGAAATCATTCTACGAAAAAGACACATGAACTTGTATGCTCATTGCTGCACTATTCACAATAGCAAAGACATGGAATCAACCCAGGTGCCCATCAGTAGTAGAGGGGATAAAGAATACATGGTACATATAGCCCATGGAATACCGTTTAGCCATAAAAAATAATGAAATTATGTCCTCTGCAGCAACATGGATGCAGTTAAAGGTCATAATCTTAAAAGAATGAATGCAGGAACAGAAAACCAAATACTACGTGTTCCCACTTATAAGTGGGAGCTAAACATTAAGCACACATGGACATAAATATTGGAACAGTAGACACTGTGGCCTACTAGAGGGAGGATGGAAGGAGGGGACGTGAGTTAATAAACTACCTATTGGGTACTATGCTCACTACCTGGGTGAGAGATCCATACCCCAAACCTCAGGATCATGTTATGGTCCCATGTAACAAACCTGCACATGTGCCCTCTGTATCTAAACTAAAAGTTGTGATTTTTTTAAAAAAAGAAAAATGCCAGCTATATATAGAAAATAAAAATTACTTTGGGAATCTGATATTCATATCCTACACTGAGAACAGAAATACCCAATTCGAAGGCACACACTAAAGCATGTCTATTGTTATCACCTTATCGGATGGAAGCCTAAGGAAGCAGGATTCCAATACAGTGGCACTCATGAGGTGGAGGTAAAAGTTTTAAGAAGACAGTCTGACCATAAAGACATTGGAGGATAGAGGGGCACATGTCCCAGCTCAGACAGGCTTGTTTCTCCTGGGGCAATTGCCCTGAATAATGAGCTGAGTGATAATAATTTAGAGGTTGTGCTATCACCTAGAGCTGAAGCTGGCACAAAATCTGATACTCTTATAGGACTTGGTTTCATAGGAAGTTGAAGGGGACTTAACCTTGCATCTGGTCAAGGGGAAACACAAATGATGTGGTGAATGGGGGGTCTTGGTCAGGTAGGCACTTGATTCTGCCTGTCCATAGATTCCATAACCTGATACTTCTTACTTTTGCTTTTGCTATAGCTGGCTACTTGGAGATACTATCATCCAGGCAGGGGAGAGGAGAAAATTCTGTCCATAGATCTCATAAGCTGATACTTTTTACTTTTGCTTTTGGTATAGCTGGCTCCTGCCTGCTTGGAGATACTATTGGCTTCTATATTGTGTTTGTATCTCCAAGTATTTTACTTATCTTTTATCCTTCTTGGAACCATGCACACAAAACCCAAGGTAATATGAACAGCCTCAAAGGCTATATTACCACAACAGGCATGCTGGCATGATCAGGATACTTGGAAGATGCAGGAAAGCAAGAATTCTTCGTGTTACCCAAAGTGATCTACAGAATCACTGCAATCTCTATCAAGATCCAAATGGCATTTTTAATAGAAATACAAAAAAAAATCCTAAAATTCATATGGAACCAAAAAAAATGCCAGATAGCTAAAGCAATGTTTAAGAAAAAAGAACAAAGCTGGAGGATTTATACTCTCTGGTTTCAAACTATATTACAAAGCTGCAGTAATCAAAACAATATGGTACTGACATAAGAACAGATGCATAGACCAATGGAACAGAATAGAGAGCCCAGAAATAAAACCACACATATATGGTCAACTAATATTTGATAAGAGTGCAAAAAACACACAATATGGAACTAATAACCTCTTCAATAATTACTGTTGTGAAAAGTGGATATCCACATGCAAAAGAATAAAATAAACCCTCATTTTACATCTTACACAAAAATAAACTTAGAATGGATCAAAAATATAAAAACCCATAAAACTCTCAGAAGAAAACATGGAAAATCTCCTTGACATTGGTCTTGGCAATAATTTTTCAGATATGACATCAAAAGCATAGGCAACAAAAGCAAAAATAAACAAATGAGGCTATATCAAACTAAAAAGATTCTTCATGGCACAGGAAACAGTCGAGAAATGAAGACAACCTATAGAGTGGGAGAAAATATTGGCAAATCAGATCTGATAAGGGGTTAATACCCAAGCTATATAAAGAACTCACAAACCAAACAGAAAAAACATATAACCTGATTTAAAAATGATCAAAGGAACTGAACAGACATTTCTCAAAAGAAGACATAAGAAAGGGTGCTCAATATAACTAATTATCAGGGAAATGCAAATAAAACTATATTGAGACATCATCTCACACCTGAAAAAATGTCTATTATTAAAAAAAGATAACAAATATTGGCCAGGGTATGGAGAAAAGGGAATCCTTGCACACTGCTGGTGGGAATGTAAATTATTGCAATCACTATGAAAAACAGTGTAGATATTCCCCCAAAACTGAAAAATAGAACTATGACCCAGCAATTTTACTTCTGGGTACGTATTCAAAGGAAATGAAATCCGTACCTCAAAGAGATATCTGCGCCATACCCCCACCATGTTCAGCAGCATTATTCACAATAGCCAAGCTATGGAATCAACTTAAGTGCCCATTGGTTGCTGAATAAATAAATAAAATCTGATGAATATACGTACAACGGGATATTTGCATTAAAAAAAGGAAATCCCACCGTTTGAGATGACATGGGTGAACCTGAAGGACATTATACTAAGTGACATAAGCCAGATATAGAAAGACAAGTACTGTACAATTTAACTTATATGTGGAATCTAAAAAAGTCAGACTCAGTAGCAGAGAGTAGAATGGTGGATTCCAGAGGCTGGGCCAAGGGTGTGGTGGGAGGGGGATGGGAGATGTTGGTCAAAGGGAAAAACTTTCAGTTATAAGATGACAACGTTTTGGGAACCTAATGTACAGCATGGTGACTAGAGTTAATAGTTAATGCTGTATATAGTAAATAACACTGCATTTCCTTGAAATTTGGTAAGAGAGCAGATTTTACATATCTTTACCACTCCCACCTCTGCCAAATGATAACTATGGGTAGTGATCAATATGTCAATTAATTTGATTGTGGTAATCTATATAATGTGTTTATGGGTGTGTATGTATATAATAATCGTATTATCTGCATTGAATATGCATGATTTTATGTATCAATTTAATGTTATTTTTAAAATAAAGGGAAATGACACACACATAAAATCTCTAAAATCTCCAAGGCTCTCAAAGATTACTTAGTGGTCTTTTCGTATCATTGCCTTCAACATAAATTCAACTCAACCCAGCTTAAGAAAACAAAAAAGGGATTTTTAGAGTCATAATTAGGATATCCTGTGTAATCTAAGTTCCACGATGCATACCAGGAATAGACCAAAAAGGAACTGGAGCAATGTGTGGGACCAGGGATGGCTATTGCTTTTCACATCTTTTGTCTTAATGTCTCTCTGTATAACAGCATATATCGGCTCTAATTTACATATACACAGTTGGCCCTTGAACAATTCTGGGGTTAGAGGCACTGGCCTTTCATGCAGTCAAAAATCTGCATGTAACTGTGAATCACCACACTTAACTACTAATAGCCTACTGTTGACTGAAAGTTTGCTAATAAGAAAAACAGTCAGTTAACACATATTTTGTATGCTATATGTATTACATACCGTATCTGTACAATAAAGTAAGTGAGGGAAAAGAAAATGTCATTAAGAAAATGACTAAGGAAGAGAAAATATATTTCCTCTTCATTAAGTGGTAGTGAATGATGATAAAGGTCTTCATCTTCATCATCATCACATTGAGTAGGTTGAAGAGGAAGAGGAAGAGGAAGTGGAGGGGTTGGTCTTGCTGTCTCAGCAGTGGCAGAGGTGGAAGAGGTGGAGGAGGAGGAAGGAGAGTCAGGAGAGGCAGGCACACTCAGTGTAACTTTTATTGAAAAAACTCCACATATAAGCGGACCCATGCACTTCAAACCCATGTTGTTCAAGGATCAATTGCATATGTGTGTGTTTTTTATTCATTTAATATTTAATGAATAAAAGTGATGTGCTGATACACACACACATATATATATATACAGCGTTAATGAAGTTTTCGAACATAAAACTACAGAAAATATCATATCAGACAACTATATACCCATCACTACTAACATTTAGCTTATATTAGCATTTTGTGGTATCTGTCCAAAACCCAACTCCCATCTTTCTTTACTCTGCATCTCTATGTTGAAATAATCACTATTCTGATTTTTTTTAGATATTATTCTAACACATATATCTATATTATTGTACATAGACTGTTATGGATACCATATCACATTTGGAGACCTTAACTATTATGTAAGTGATGTCACAAAGTTCACATTCATTTAAATTTTCTTCTTTCTCCCCAGGTAGCTTTCCTTGAGTTTTGCTTATGTTGACAGGCACAGCTGTAGTTTATTCATGTTAAATAATTCATAATATTTGTTGCATGAATAGCTTTAGCCCATGTTCTGTTGGTTACCATGTTTTTGTGATTATAAAGGTTGCTGCAGCAAACATCTTTGTTCACCTGTGTGAATGTGTTTTCTGGGGAACATCCTAGAATTTAAACTGCAGACTCAGAGGGTTTGTGCCTTTCATCTTCAGCTTTACTAGGTATCTCTAAATTGTTTTCTAAACAATTGTATCAATTTAGCTTTCTATCAGAAATGTTCGAATTTCTCTGTCTTCATGTCCCCACCCAAACTATTTTTAGTAGGAAATTTGCTTTCTTCTGCATGGTTTCTAGCGAAGTTGAACATTTCACTTTATTTATTCACGAGTCTAATAATGTACCCCCCTGGAAATTGGAAAACATTAACACCATCAGGAATGAAAATATTACATATTAAAATATGTGGGATGGTAGAAAAGCACCAAAGAAAACTATATTTTTTGCTTTTGCTCTGAGTGAACAAAGTCCTCTTCTGAGATTTCTGTCTGCAGGTGCCTTGCATGTGTTTGAGTTTAAAATGAACACTACTCACATGGTTCAGGAACACTGCAGTAGACTAAATGCGTCATGGGAGTGGGAGTAGGTGTCCTTTGGGAGAGTTTGGGATGTTAGACAACACATCATAAATCTCACTACCCTAATCGTGGCCAAGAGTCAAACACCAGATACCCAGGCTCCCCCAGAGATAAAGCTCTAGCATTTCCAGTCCAGCTGTAAGGCAGCTCTAACTCCACCCCTGGTGCGTCCCTCGATGGTGGGCCGAGAAATAGGCAGTTCCCACAAGAGGAGGAGCTTTAGGCACATACAACAAAAAGGCATCCATTGATATCCGAGTTCAGACTTATTCTTTGGGCAACTACACCCAATCATGGATTTAAGAAAAATGGAATGCAAGGAGGCCAGAAGAGAATTTTATGTATGTAATCAGAAAAAAATTCTGTCATTCTTTTTTTCTGTGCCCAGAAGACTAATAATTTTTAAGGGCAGCGTCTGCTCCCCCGGTCCATGCGTATGTCCCATCTGTAATGATTGGTGGTATCTGAGTCTGCATGAAGGAACCCTAAGGCCTATAGAAAATACAAAAGGATGAATGTGCTCCTGCGATGCTGTTCTCACTATCAGAAATTCCCCAGTCCCCGAAACCCCGACTTTCTACAGGTCTTGCTCTGCTCTTCAGTTCCTGGAAATAGCTCCTTTGCTTACCTTCTCTCTGCCCTCACAGACTATTTCTGCTGAGGCTTTCAACCCCACTCATTCTCGTTTTTAAATCAGAACAAAACTCTTAGAATGCTGGTAATAGCCTGCTGTGTTCCTCGGGCTATTATACAATGACTTTGCCTTTTCAAAGCTTTTAAAGTTAGCTAAAAAGATAAGAAAACAACTTGTGTGAAACAAAAAGGAGGAGGCTAGAATTTTGAATAGTTTCAAGAATGACAAAGAGCAACACTGATACGTAAGTTTCAACTTTAGTGCCAGAGCAGGGCAATGGGTAGTGACCCTGTGGATGTGTAAAGTGCACAGTAATTGGTTACAGAGGTTTGTAATAATTGGTTGTTGGAGATGAGGACCACAACAGTAGTGTCATCTATTAGGGGCCAGGTAGGTTACTAGGTGTTTTAATTCACCATTTCATTCAGTCTTCACAACCATCCTATGATATAGACAGTATTACAAGATGCGAAAACAGAGGCTTACTAAAGTTAGGTAAATTGCTCAACTTCATACAGCAATTTTGCCATGGATATGGGAGGGAGGGATGGTACCACAAATGTCATTGGGTTTTCAATTCATTGCAAGAGAAGCTGTACCTTATTGTAGAGGTCGGTAAACTACAGCCGGTGGACCAAATATGGCCTGTTGCCTCTTTTCGTAAATAAAGTTTTATTGGTACATAGTCACACCTTTTAATTTACATATTATCTATAGTTGCTTTCACACTACTATGGTAGAGATTGGTAGTTGTGACAGAGACCATGTGGCCTGCAAAGCCTAAAATGTTTGCTATCTAGCTCTTACAGGAAATGCTTGCCTAGCCCTACCCTGTTGTTCACTTCTTTTGGAGCAAGCTTGTCCAACCTGTGGCCAGTGGGATGCATGAGGACCAGGATGGCTTTGAATGCAGCCCAACACAAATTTGTAAACTTTCTTAAAATATTATGAGTTTTTATGCAATTTTTTTTCTTTTTGCTCATCAGTTATCATTAGCGTTAGTGTATTTTATGTGTGACCCAAGACAATTCTTCTTCCAATGAGGCCCAGGGAAGCCAAAAGATTGGACACCCTGTTTTGGAGGCTTTTGGAGAAATCCTGTTCTAATTTCTTCCTCTTCATTCCTTCATGTTGGATTCTAAGATCCAGCCTACAGTTGGAGGTGGACCATTCTTTCTAGATAATTCTCCAGCGATTTTTAGAATCTCAAGTCTGCACACATGATTCAAGTTTGGCAGGTGCCTTTTTTAATCTGCTTGGTAAAGCTCCTAATATAGCTCCATACTTTTCCCTACAGCTTAAAGCAGAAGTGTATTTTTCTCTGTGCCTTCTAACATAGGGCTCTTTTGTGATTCCAGGGCCTCTGAAAGACAAAGGTTCTCAAAAATCTGGGTGTGTTATTTTGCATTTTACTCACATCATTCTATAGCTCGTCTTCATGTTTTCATTGTGGGAATTATAAGCATCAGTAACCAGTTTATAAAACCCTGCCTTTTTCACCATATTGAATCTGCCTTGCTTGAGTGCATTTTTGGCATCTACTGAGCATCTGTTTTAGCAGGTTTAGACAATTCTCAAGCAGAAAAAAAGCGAAGAGGCAATTCCTCATGAAGAAGGGTTCACACTGGTTTTACGGAGTTTGATACACAGCTCCATGAGGTCAAATATTTTAGCTGTTGTCTTCTCATCTCTGGCCCCAGCATTTAGCAGCCTGGCTCACTGAGTGTTATGAATGAATGAATAAATGAATGACTGTAAAGGAACTCCTCAAGGAATGAGATGACAGAGTTGATTCTTCTTCTATGGTTCCACTAATTTCCAAATTTCTTGTTCAGTGTCTCACTGGCTTCTAGGACCAATTGAACCTCTAGACAGAGTAAATATATTAAAGCACTGGTTCTCTAATTCTGTAGGTTGGCATAATCTCAGATTTGCAATTGGTCTCATTTAAAAATTTTTAGGTCTTTACTATGCGACCAACCACCACCTAGAACCCTATTAAACTACATTTGTAAGAATGGCCATATTTCTGTTTATTAGTTTCTCATTTCTGCTGTAGAAAATTACCATAAACTTGGAGACGTAAAACAATACAACTAATTATTATAGTTCTGGAGGTCCAAAATAGGTCTCATTGTGCTAAAATCAAGGTGTCAACAAGTCTGTGTTCCTTTCAGAGGCTTAGGAGAGAAGCTGTTTCCTTGCCTTTTCCAGTTCCTAGGGGCCACCTGCATTCCTTGGCCCATGGCCTCCTTCTTTCATCATCAAAACAAGCAGTTTAACATGTTCAATCTCTCTCTCTTTCTCCCTCTCTGATCTCTGCTTCCTTTGTCACATCTCCTCTAACTCCATGTGTCCTCTCCCTCTTATAAGGACCCTGTGATTTGTTGGACCCACCAGAATAACCCCCCCATCTCAAGATCCTTTACTAAGTCACATCTGCAAAGTACTTGCTGCCCTGGAAAGTCACATAGTTACAGGCTCTGGGGATTGGAAAATGGACATCTTCGAGAAGGCATTATTCAGCCTACCACACTATCTTTTCCTCCTTATGTAGATGGGTCCTTGGCTTTCTACCTTGTATCCAAAGCATCCCAGAGAACAAAGTGCCAAAAAGGAGGCTTCCATGGGCCTCTGCCTTCGGCTTGCTGCAACTCTCCCGAGGCCCTCCTCTGTGTTCTGGGCTCTGCTTTCTGTCTGCCGCTGAGTCTCCTCATCTCTCTGGCTGTAGTTTTACATGTGGCTACTGCTGAGATCGACATTAAGTAAACAGTATACCATTTTAGGTCTGGTTTCTGCATCCATACATCCATCCACTCTTGGCCCTTACAGAGGCCTGACTGTGGAAATGTTCAGGGAGCAATGATTCATGGACAGAGTGGCTATGGAAGCACTTGGGCCAATCAAATTTGGTAGGAATGGTGATACAGAAAACTGTCAAAATTCTATCTGATACAGTCCACACCTCAAACTTCTTCCTGGTTTTCTTATTGATAACATCTGAATAACCTGACTGTTTCCAGCTTTACTTTACCTCTGGAGTTTGGGTGTTTGGTTTTTTCCTTCACCCTACAATGTATCCCCCTGGATCCCAGATAAACCATGATTCCTAAACATACGCAACCATGATCAGCTTGGCTTGGCCACGACTCTATTTAGCTCTTTATCCAGCTGCCTTTCTCCAATCACACCTGCATTCTGCGAGGAACCAAAGAGATTGCTGCAAGTCTTCCTGGGACCTAAAGTGACTGTATTAGTGATGATTCTCTGCAAGTGTTAAAGATAGAAACACAAGTAAACACGACAAAACTGAAGCCAACTGAAATCTTGGGTACACTTCATTTTCAAGAAAATCATCAAAGAAATCCTTGACAGGAAGATTAACAAGTGAGGATGCTCATTTTAATCACTAGGAGATAAATAGAGCTTTTTACAGCTTGAAAACAAAGACTCAAAAACAAGAACTGATCATGTGTTCAGCTGATTTTTTTTCACCAACAGATTCAAAGCTTGACCCGTCATTAATTATTTTCTTACTATCCACTGTTTTTTGACTTTATGTTACTATCTAAAAATATTTCAAAATCTTTGAAACTAATTAAAACAGAGAGTCTTTTGTTGAGGCAACTGAAGCTAGTGACCTGAAGGCTCACACCAGGCTATCTGGAAGGGTGTTTATTAGGAGAAACTCATGCAAAAGAAGTGGATGCCCCACTACTGTTCATTACATTCTAGGTGGTACATAAGTATCTAACAGGGTCAGAAGTCAGACATGGGGAGAGAGACCTGGCCTAGGCCTGTAGAGTTTTTAAGCTTCATGACTGGAAAAGCACCTACTCCAACCTGGTCTAATCAGGGGCTGGTTCCAGGCCTGGTGGTCATAACCTCAGCAATCTGCCCACACTGCTTGCCTTCAACAGTCGGCTCAGCTGAGCAAGTCTTTCTGGATCTCTGTAGGAGGCCAACTCTGGGACGGCAACATTCAGTACATCAGAGAATGAATCAGAACAAGTTAACCTTACCTGTCAGTCCATCCCTCCACTCCCAAGGAGTACATGGTTCAGGTTGGAAAGCCTCAGGTCTGGTTGTGGGGTTGGCCAGGCAGTGCCTAGCAAAAGAGTGGTATGAAGTTGAACAAGGCTGGCATCTGCAGCTGCAGCATGGGGTCAAAAACTTATGAAATAGGGCAGAATTACATGAGACAGGATAAAGGTAAAACTCTCCCTATTTTAATTCATTTCAAGGATTTTGAAATATTTTTAAATAGTGACATAAAGTAAAAAAACAAAACCAAAAAAATGACTAGTAAGAAAATAATTAATGAATGGGTCAAACTTTGACTTTTTAGCTCTGTTGGTGTGGACCACTGACTGCCAGTTAACAGACAGCAGTATCTGCAAAGTGTGCAGCGTCCCCCACAGTTTGATGGGCAATGTGTTAAGATTTCCCCAGTTGGCCTGGGACAGTGGCTCACACCTGTGATCCCAGCACTTTGGAAGGCTGAGGTTGGACAATCACTTGAGCCCAGGAGTTTGAGTCCAGCCTGGGCAACATAATAGACCTTGTCTTTACAAAAAAATTTAAAAATTATCCGAGTATGCTTGTGCATGCCTGTGATTACAGCTACTTGGACTGTGCCATTGCTTTCCATCCTAGGTAACAGAGTGAGACCCTGTCTCAAAAAAAAAAAAAAAAAAAAAAAAAGAAAGAAAGAAGAGGAAAAGATCCCTCAACTGCCCGAGAACATCATAGTAGAGGAAATAAAAAGAAGTGTGGAAGAGATGCCTAGGATGGAGGAAATTTCATTGATTGGCTGGATGATAGCTATCTGGACATCCCAGTAGCAAATTTCATTTTCACTCTAATGATTGAATCTTTCCGAGGGCAGTGGAGGTCTGGATAAAAGTGGGGAGCTTAAGGCTTTTCAGTCTTCCTTGACTATCCACCCACTAATCCTTGTGCTGACTGACCACTTTACTCTCATTAATTCAGAGGAAAGATGCATAGCTTTGCCCTTTGGGTCCTCCACAGCCTCATCTTCTGGATATTCTCCAGCTTATGTCCTCTGAGGTTCGTCTGATTGTTTCTGTTAAAAAACATTAGTTTTTTAATAAAACAGGAGAGGGACATCATCTATCTGATTCCATCTGACCTGTTGTCTGAAAGCCTGTAACCACATAGCCTAGCAGAGGAGCTTCATCAGGGGATCTCACAGGATGCTTCTCTCAGGTCCATTTATTCCCCTTTGCTGTTATTTCCTTCCCTTTTTCAGGCAGGTGGGTTGTCACTCTGGACAACGCCTTGGTTTTCTTACTCCCTGCTGCATGTAACTGGGCATGTAGTAGTTCTGTGTAATCTTGAACTCACCATTCTGTCTCAGGAAGAGAGTCTGGGAAATGACTTTGCTTTGATAAAATCATCTAGTATTATTCTTGTAAGGAGGTGATTGACATGAGTTACTTTCTACCCTCCTGGGTGCCAGTTTATCTTTTCCTGTAATGAAATCTGTCCCTTCTTAAGCAACTTTCTCCAAGCTTGTAAACAACCTGGGATATTTTCCTAGGTGACAGTCTCTTGTCCTACCTCCTCCTTTCATTTCTCTGGTTCGTGCTGGATTCCTGAACAGGAGATCCTCAGGAATTTCATCAAGAGTTGTCATTTTTTTTCTCTTTCTGTCCTTCTCATCCTGGACAATTCTTTCTAAAGCCACTGAAAATAGCCATGGAGTATAAGTGATCACGAAGAGCAAGTGTAGAACTTCATTGTCGACTGGGGCATATGTGTGCCAGCTCAACCACGGAAGTGAGCATCTGTTTAGAAAATCTTGGAAGTAAGGTATGAAGCTCTTTGGAGCACTCATTGTTTACCGTACTTTCATTTCAAGTCCATTTTTAGTGAGATGGATATCAGAAGGGACTCTGGCTCCTTGGAGGAGGATTCTAGGCAGTTGCAAAGCAAGTTAATTTGCTTTTTCATTTTTTGTTCTTCAATAAAATAGCTTTGAATTTAGTATCCTTTCCCTTCTCTTTCTCTTTCTTTTCCTTCCGTCTATCCATTCTTCCTTCCTTCCTTTTCTTTCTTTTATTATTTTTAACAGAAAAAGAAACTTGTATCCAGAGAGATAAAATGGCTTTTTAAGATCACATACCTCATTAGGAACATAACTGGCACTAGAATCCAAATCTCTGACTTGGATTTGGATTCTAGTGACCCAATCTAATTGGAAAGTGACCAGCATGGCAGATTCTACCCCTGACTTTATCATAGAATACAGTGAAAAGAGGACTGAAGTCAAAATTGGAGTACCCTTTTCTCATGCTAGCTCTGCAACTTAAGAGCCATGCAAGTTTAACAAGTCATTTAAACATTTTAGATTTTAATTTTTCACCAGTATAATATATATAATACCTTCCTTATAAATAAAACATAATACATTTTTGGAATGTTCTATATTTTAAGGGCACTCAATGTTAAGGTGTTATTTGGTGGGGTAATTGGGACCCAAAAGATACTTCTTTGTCATAATTACAGTTTCAATGTAAGGTTTTATTTGAATATATAGATTTAAGGTCTCCGGAACCTTATCCAAGGGCTTTAGAGCTGAGCTTCATTGTTGTGTCTTCTGAGATTTTTGTTTTTCTTATCTATACATTTTCTAATAATGGCTCTCAAAAATGCAAATGAGTCTCTAATGAGTTGCCTTAGGCTATATCCTCATGTATCTCAGGGAAGATGGAAGGTCATTAACAACCTGGATTACCAAACTTCCTCATGCTAATAAAGCCACAGCATGGGGTTTACACATTTGTATGCAGGAAAAGCAAACAGCTGATGGAAGCTCAGGGCTCCTCTGACCTTCAGTGGGCATTCCCCTGAGTACAGAAGAAGCTCTACTGTGAAGATTTAAAAATGCAAGTGCAGTTATCTCACCACAAGGCTTTCCAAGTTGTGCAGATGAAAATTCTGAAAGACATTCTATGAAAAGTTCAAAGTTGACTTCACCTAACTAAGAAGGATAAGTTTCTGCCGCAAAATGGCATGTGAAACCCAACTCTGCTCGTTCTTTTCTCAATGTCTACAGACTTTACTCACAAGCTCCAGTCAGTGGCTGAGAATCAGCTTTGCTCAGCCCTGCTAGGCCTTATATGCTGTTGAGCTACTGGTCATAGGCAGAGAGCCCCTTCTCGGATCACCTGAGGCCAGGAGTTCAAGATCAGCTTGGCCAACATGGTGAAACCCCATCTCTACTAAAAATACAAAAAATTAGCCAGGCGTGGTGGCACATGCCTGTAGTCCCAGCTACTCTGGAGGTTGAGACAGGAGAATTGCTTGAACCCGGGAGGCAGAGGCTGCAGTGAGTTGAGATTGTGCCACTGCACTCCAGCCTGGCAACAGAGTGAGACTCTGTCTCAAAAAAAAAAAAAAAAAAAAACGAAAAAAAAAAAAAAGAAAGAGAGCCCCTTCTTCTCTGGAGGACGATTTTATTTACACTATAATCATATGTTTTCTTGAGCCAAACAATGTTTTTGGCAAAAATAAAACCTCAGCAGGTAAATATAAAAGGAAAAACATAAAAGAAAAAAAAATGAAGTGACTACAGTCATGATGCTAAAAGTTCAAATACAAAGAAGTCAAATTGTGTATCTGGAGGAATTAAACATTAAAAGGCAGTGAAATGAATCTGTGTTATCTGTGTCCTGGGACACAGGCATCATATAATTTTTTATTCCTGGGTTGTGAAGCACTGCAGGAAAAATCGGCAATAAGTCTCTGTCCTCAGCCGCTCAAGTTCACGCCACCTCACTTCACCTTGCTCTTCTCCATTTCATTTTATTCATCTCACATCACTTTTGTTTCCTCGCAAGTTGTTCCTCGTATTTACCATTCATGTCAAGCCAACAATTCTACCCGTGTCTTACTAATCTTAACAGAAGATGTAAAATCCAGTTTCATTAGGAAGAGTAAAGCTGCCTGACACTGACTGCTTGAACTTCTTTTCTCTCAACTGCAAAATTTTTATTCTTACTCATCTTCCCCACGAAGAACATTTTGATCATTTTCTTTATTTTTAAACCCCTTTTCTTTTTTCAAGTCTAGTTATTCTATCTTTGCCAGATCATATCCATTTTTTTAATCTCATCTGAATTTAGTTTCCTAAACTAATTTCCTCTCTTGTTTGAGGAAGTTTCCTTTCAACTAGATTTTTTTTCTCTTTTTAAATGGACAGCTTTGACCACCTTATCCTAAACAAACATAAAATGAAAAAAAAAATTTTAAAAAGTTGCCTAAAAAGATTTCCTTGGCCATTGCAAATCATTTTTTTTTTTTTTTCAAATATGAGATCTTGCTTTGTCACCCAGGCTGGAGGGTAGTGGTGTGGTCCTAGCTCACTGCAGCCTTGAACTCGGGGGCTCAAGCGGTCCTCTTACATCAGGCTCCTGAGTAGCTTGGACTACTGGGACCACAGTACCATGCCTGGCTAGCAAATCCCTCCTTTACTCCCAAACTTCACAAAACTCTATTCTCTACATACTACTTATGCTCTCTCACTGTCTACTCTACCTCAACCCTAACATTCAGCATCTAGACTTTTCCACTGTTTACTTTATTCAAACGTGTCCGTTGCAGGCCAGATAATTTAAGACCAACCTCATATTCCAAAATCAAAGCACCAAATCACATGCAAAAGAAATACCGCAGTCGGATTCAGAATTTTGCAAAATTAGCTTCTTCTTCATCAACACATCCCTTGATCTCTGTTAGATGTTCACCCCTAGTATCTGTGGCTCATTTTGTTACCTGCAGTTAGGATGTGAAATGATGCTAAGTGTAGGTAACAACATTTTATGATCTGAAATCTCACTTTTCTTTGGTGTATTCTTCTTTCTTCTCACAAGACCTTGTCCTGAATCACTTCAGCAGTCTCAGAACCCACATGGGCTGGAGAAGCGTTGCCTGGGCTCTACCCTCCTTACTTAACAATTAGCAGTAGTCCTCATCTCATGACATCCAATGGCTTTATCTTTGTTTGTCCTTCCTGTTTTCTCTACATCCTGAGCTACTTTTGGCTACTTGCTTCTAGATTTTTGCCTTTGCTTGGACTCCATGACTATGATGTTTTTATTTTTTCTGGATTCTTCATCATTGCCTTGACCTCAGCCTTCCCACTCTCCCCCAATGTCTTCCTTCCATTCCCTTCTACCATCTTTCCACATGTTTTCCCTAGGAATTGTTATTTACCTGATGAACTTCAAATATCACTCCAAAGAATGTAGGCCTTCAATTTCTTCTCACATTTTCTCATTCTGAGCATTATCTATTGAGCAAATCCTCTTCAATCATTACTTTTACCTCCATTTCCCCCATCTACTCTTACAACTCAATTTTAGCTCAGGCTCTTCTTAACTCCTCTTTCTAGTGTTGCAATAACTTCCTAAGGAGTCACACTACTTCCAGTGGCTCTCCCCTTCAATTCATCATGATTAGCTGCCCAAATGAACTTCCCTAAGATCATCATTTTGGTTCCAAACTCCTTTTATCATTCATTATCCCATAAATCCTTTAGCCAGTGGGCTTCCCCTCCTATTTCTTCACACTGCACCGTCTCCTACAGTGTTGTCTAAACTAGACACTTTCCTCTCATTCTCGCTGTTGAAGTCTTATCTATTGTCCAAGGCCCAGGCACAATGCCACCTCTTTTATAATGCCTTTCTTAAGATATTAGACTAAAAGGAGTTCTCTCTTTGAACTCCTATAGTTCTTTGAATTATTAAAATGTCAGTTATCATAATGAACCTTGAATTACAAATTTTATGCACATATAAAGTCTGTCTTATTCCTCCAAATCTTCTGCAATGTCTATCAAACTAACTTGGAAATTGTAGAGAATAATATATGTTTCTTAAATGAATAGTAATTACTTATTTTGGAGTGTTCAGAGGCCATTCCTTCATCACAGCTCAGTTGCAGAAGGGAGAAGCATAAAAGCTTTATCATCATTTAAAAAAATCTTCATTCCTATGAGTTAGCATTAATGTATACTGGTTACTACATTTGTTTTGTGTTTGGTTGCAATCTAGGATGACAATTAATCCTTGAAATGTTTGCATGTCTCTGATCCTGCTTTCTCATGATAATTTCATTTAAATACTTGTTTCAACTTGGGTCCTTCCTTATTTTCTTCCTTCCTTCCATCCATCCAGAAATTTAGAGTTGTTGAGAAGCTTTCTTCCTTGCAGTATGCTTAAATCTAACTCACTTACACTCTGAAAAAATACCCTGGGTATTCTTTGGCTTCACTTTGGTTATGAACCCTGAACTTTATTGTCTGTTCACACACTGTGACCTTTGGTTCTGGTAATGAATGGTGTTCAGTGTCCTGAAAAGAGCACACAAAACATTTGCTAATTAAGTCAAGGCTTGTCTGAGGAGTTTTTATTGCTGTCACATTCTCTCAATATAAGCTTAAGAAGCAAAATAAGCCTAAGCTTTCTTGCTCTAAAGTTCAAGTATTACAAATTCAAAACTTGTGGCTATGTTGGGTATATGCCGAACTGTGTAAGAGTTTCCGTTTATTTCCTTTTTGGACTTTAGTTGACTAATCAGGGCTGTTTTACAATTTGCTGTTTTGCATACAATTCAGAATCAGCTTGGGGGAATTAGCATTCACAGAGATAAAAATTATTTTTGGGTAAACCCTTCTACAATCTTTATATAGTCTCCCACACAGGCCAAGACTCCAGTGTGACTTAGTTACTAAAAGTCCTTTGCTGTTTTGTAATGCTGTAATTATACTTAGATATGTATACAATAGTATGTTGTTTGAAAGTTACTTCATGTCCATGGCAACAAGCAGGTATCTGCGAAGTAATAAGACAATGCATTTGGCCATGTGTCAACTGATGTCTTAGTGTCTTTATTGGCTCCGCCTCCTCTTCTTCCTCTACCTCCTCCTCCTGCTCCTCCTCCTTCTGCTTCTGCTTCTGCTTCTGTTTCTGCCTCTTCTGCTTCTTCTTCCATCCTATTTCTAACTTTTCTTCAAAAGATTGTTTCTTTTGCAATGAGGAGAATTTTCAAGACTAAACCATTCTGCCTATTGGATAGGCAGGATGCTAATGAAGCATGTGAAATAATGAAGCTTATGAGAATCCTACCGTGTTTCGGTAAATTATGTTTAATTTTGTTATTCTTTACTATGATTAAAAAATCCTGCTCATTAGAGAGAATTTTAAGAGAATGTAGGTAATAGATAAATAAAATAGTGAAATTACTCATTATGTGCAATCTCAATGCCTGTAAATCTCCATAGCTGTAATCACTGTTAGTATTTTGGTTATATTAAATACATCTATTCCCAAACTTCCCCAAGTCCTCCCAAGACAAAAGAATAATAATTAGTTATGCCCAGTTTCTGTGGCATTTCTCTTACTAGCACAGCTATAGGGAACAAACCTTTTTCCAGCTGTTTTTCCCAGTCTGGTATTCTGGGGGTTCCTAGAGCAGGTTCCCTGTGCTCACACAGTGAGACGGTCACTGCCTTCACTACTCTGTGTTGCTAGTGGGGGTTTTTAGAGCCAGGCCCCATTTCATCATGCCCAACAGCTTCAACTGTTGACTTTTGCACCATTCTGGAGGGGGTCTCACAGCAGAGTTCTTTAGGTTAAAATGTTACACAGATGAGTCACTTTATTTGGGGAAGGGACAGATTTGATAAATGACCGTATTTGTTCCCTAGAACAGTGAGGCCAGCGTATTGCTCCATTGGGAACAGAATCCATTAACATCCATCACTCAAAACTCAAAATCTCTTCAGTCTGGTCTTCAGCCTTCTTGTCTAAATCTGATTTTTATTGGTTTCATCTGAAAACTATTTGATATACTATCTTAGTGGTCATAACCTTTCTTTCCCAACATTTTGTTGCTTGGATGTGCCTCTGCTTCCACAGGCTAGAAGCTAGGTGCTTGGATTAGCCAGTACAAATTCCTACATAATGGAGCTCCTATTGTGAAGGAAGTATAAAGTATGAAGAAGGTTTGTGAACTTTCTTCACAAATCTTTATGAAAAAAATATATATGGGTTTGATGATAGTATATAGTAGGGTTCAGCATTGGTTACCTGACTAGAATGCTGTTGGGGTGACCACTCCCAAAATAGAGAGAAACATATGTTGTGTTGAAGGATCCCATCACCACTTGGGTCTTGATGTTGTTTTTACTGAAAATAAAGACACCAGAGAACACTGGTAAAATTTGTATCTGATGTGAAGCTTTGAAGAGAGGTTTATCCATACCTAAAAGAATGCTGGCAAGCATAAATGTCAAGATCTAACAGGATAACAATGAGTAGGAATAGAATTTTCAGCACATGCTCCAAGGGCAATTTCATAGGCATGAGTCAAAAGAGACATAGTTTGCCAGTAAGTTGACTTGTAGAGAAGGCCTGGAGTATTACTGATTGGTTCAAATGCCTGTAGGGAGTTAAGTGTCACAACACTGGTCATGAAAATCTCAGGTGTTGCCAATGAAAGCACTTTCAAATCAAAAGAGATTACAGTCAAGTTTGCGCTGGACAGATCATACCTAGAATATTGTGTTCTGAACGGGGCTAGCTCAAAACCAATAAATATTAGAAAAAAATGTGGAAGGCTCTGAGCTTGACATAGGAAAGAAATAATGAAGATATTATAGCCGTCTTCCAGCATCAATACATGCTGTCTTTACTCTGCATCACTCCTGAGAGAAAGAGGAGATAAAGAAATAACATGTACTTAGTACCCACCATGTGCTCAGCCTGAGCTAGGCTTGTTTCATGTATATATATATATATATATATATATACACACACACACACACACATATACACAACCCCTGATGTAGCATACATATATACTACATATACATGTGTATATATGTATATATACATATATAAAACATATACATGTGTATATATGTATATATACATATATACAACCCCTATATGTAGCATACATGTATACTACATATATATGTGTATATATACACACATATACTACATATACTACATATATATGTGTATATATACACACATATATACTACATATACGTGTATATATACACACATATATACTACATATACTACATATATATGTGTATATATACACACATGTCTACTACATATATATGTGTATATATACACACATGTCTACTACATATATATGTGTATATATACACACATGTCTACTACATATATATGTGTATATATACACACATATCTACTACATATAGATGTGTATATATATACACATACATACTACATATAGATGTGTATATATACACATACATACTACATATAGATGTAGTATATATATATACACATACATACTATAGATGTAGTATATATATATACACATACATACTACATATAGATGTAGTATATATATACACATACATACTACATATAGATGTAGTATATATATATACACATATATACAACCCCTACTTCATAAAGTTGCTGTGAGATTTTGATGATAAAATTTTTTATATATATAATGTTATATATAATATATAAAATTATATATAATATATTATAAAATTTTATATATATATATAAATTTTTATCAAAATCTCACAGCAACTTTATGAAGTAGGGGTTGTTATGTTACTTTCTAATTGAGAATCCTGAAACACAGAGAACTTTAGAAACTTCTTCAAGGTAACACACCAAGTTAGGAAATATAGAGTTAGAGCTATAGAATTTAGATTATATGGCAAATACCTGTGATTCTCTCAGGACACAACCCCCCTCCCTCCTCATTCCATGTGGTTTGGGAGGCTCTGGACTCCCTTCCTGAATGGAAGGATGGGTAGGACATAGTTCAGTCCTGCTCAATCATGATATGGGTTCTGTATCTCAATGACTCAATCCATGTACATGGGATTCATTCTAAGACCTTTGATAGTGACATCAGGGAAGAGGCATGTTTATCTTTCAATGGGATTCTGAAAGGCTAAGATATAAGCCTTGAGCTGCTGGGAGACATTTTGCCACCATGCGGCAAAATATGGTACCTGACAATGATGCCAACCCAAAGGAATATGTTGTTAAATTTAATCTGTTCTATGTTTTTAAGGATAATTTTATTATCATTCTAGTTTCACAAGGGATAAAACAGAGTTGTTGGCAATGTCAAGTTCACAGTGTTATTGTGGGCAGAGCCAAAATTCATATCCACTTTGCCACATATCTCTGTTTTTACTTGGATCTTAAAAACCAAAATACAACTGAGTACATGATTATTCACAAGCTATTTGTCTCACCTCATCAAATCTGACCCTAATTATAGAATTTTATGTTTTGGGGATAGGTTAACATAGTACCAAATTTAGGTAGGGATGCAAAGTTAAGTAACTTTTCAGAGAAGGTTTCTCTTAGAGTATAACGTGGCCATTTAGATAGACATTTTGCTTTGGTAATTTTGCCATTCGTCCTTGTTTCTACTGCTGAGAAAGCCAAAGGAAATTATATATTATCTGTTTGCACTGCCTCTTGCAGTGGGATGCATAGCGGTTGCCTTTTTGATTATGATTCACTAGTAATCATATGAACAGCTAGGAACTCAAAACAGGTGTTGAACTGTTGCAGATTGCTTGGGAGTGGAGAGAAAGGGAGCTCATAGATTAAAATGATTTCTGAGCTTCTTTCCTGAATCACAGATCTTCAGCTAACAGATTCACACTGGAAAGAAAAATCAGAAATCCAGCAACACAGAGCACAGGTCCCTATGCTTTGCCCAAAAATCATGTCTCTAGATCAAGCTGCAACTCTTGCTTAATGGTTATGAACCTTTAACTGACGGCAAAAGGTAGAAGTAATGGAAGTCTTTATACAATAAATGAGAAATATTATCGACTCCTTTTTCCCATATGACACTGAAATCTAAATGTCATTATTTTAGTAGGTTGTAATTTGTCACATTTTATCAAGTCTCTCTTTAAAAAATCAATGTATTTTAATACTGTGTGGTAGTGAGTGTCCTTACTGATAGTCCCATTCATTTATAAGCCACTAACTTTTCTGGCTTATTCAATAGAGCATTTGAAGTTGAATTAAAAACACCAACATTGACAGGATGTGAACCTTAAAGATAGGTGATATTTAAATATATTACTTTATTATTCATATAGCTCTGGGAAAAATAGAAATATATTATCACAGATAATTGATTTAGAACTGAAGTATGCTATAGCTAACCTCGCTTTTATAATCATTACATTTAAGTTTCCTTCTCTCTTGCCTCTGCCAAATTTGCTGCATCAGGAAGTATTCTCAATTCTCCACTTGCATTTGAAATATACCTGCTTTTTGTTTTCTTTTTTAAAATTATGATTGTTATCATTTTTCCTTCAAACTTAGGTTCAGGGGCTCCATGGGCGGGTTTGTTATATGGCTAAATTGCGTGTCGCTGGGGTTTGGTGTATAAAGGAAGGTGGGAGGAGGGTGAGGACCCAGAAACTACCCATAGGTTACTATGCTCACTACCTGGGTGATGAAATAATTTGTACCTGTTTTTTCTAAATCCTCGTTGCTAACACCTGACAGCTCTTGGCTAGGCTGCTACCGCAGTCTTTAACCTAGTCTCTTAGCTTCTCCAGTGGTCCTTCTATATTTCATTCTTCAAACACCAGCCACAGTGGTGTTTTAAAAAAATAAATCAAGTTACATCATACTCTGCTTAAAATCCTTCTGGGCTCCCTATGGCACTTGTGATAAAAATCCTAAGCCTCTTTATCTTGCCTCCAAGGTCATTTGTGGTCTTGGCTCTGCCTCTTCCTTCCCACTTGTCAGCATGTTGCAGCCATAACAGCCTTGTTTTCGCTCCTCAAACAGACCAAGTTCATTAATGCCTTGGGGCTTTCCATCTGCCTCATCGGCCTGGGATGCTCTTTTCTGAAGCCTTCTCATGGCGGCTCCTTGTCCTTCAGATCACAATGTGTATAGCATCTCATGAGGAACAGGCTTTCTGATTGCCTGACCAAAGCAGCCAGTTCCAGTCCCAGTTTAGTTTTATCATGGCAATCATCACTTCCTCTATTTTTGCTTATTTATTTGTTTATTGCCTAGCTTCCATAACTAGAATTTAGTTTCCACAACAACTTGGAAGAGTGGGTGATCCACGAGGTTCTCAACACATGCTTAGTAAGTGAGAGTTTAACTATATTTCACCGATTTGTCAATATTATACTAGAGGTTCTAGCTAGCGCCAAAAAAAAAGACAGGAAAAAGAAATGAAAAAGGTATGAATTGTGTTCTTTCTCTCTCTCTCTCTCTGTGTGTGTGTGTGTTTGTAATTTGTGTCTGACCAACATAAAAAATGTGTTAGAAGATTTTCAATAAATTTTCATTTAATAGATATACTTGATGAAGTATTGTAAGTTAACCAAGTTTATAAAAAGAGCAGTTATTTTATCAGATTTTGAAGTACTAAATACTTATACTGGTGAACACTTGAATAGTCTATCTGCTCATTTCCAATACTTGCTATTAAATAGTTTTTGAGCCTTTACTTTGTACCAGGCAGTGTACTAAGTAGTTTACATGCATGATTCTTGCTACAGTACTATTAATTTTATTATACAAATGAGAGGATTAAAGAGGATAAGGTCCTACCATGAATAAGGGTAGAGCTGTTATATAAACCCAGGTAATCTAACATATATAAATATCACCCAACAGACAGCACAGGAGCCCAGGGAAAGACAGAAAGAATAAAGGGAGGGGAGGGATCGACAATCTCCACTCAAAGTGGTAAGAAAATCAACTTAAAGAAGTCTGACAACTATGTAAGAAACAGTGTTAGGAAAGAGATTAAGAGTATCACCATACCTTTATTGCTATCTCCATATAGACAAAGAAAAATTTAAAGGTCTTTGAGAATTCAGGATGACTGGATCATGTTTGCTGTCTGTTTATAACATCCCCTTCACCCAAGAAAACTCCTAGAAAATATTCAAAACTTAAAAAAAATTGAAGTTATTTCTAGATTAAAAAGGAAGGGCAAATGTTGCATTCTAAGTCATTTTTGACATTGAATGTATTTAGTAAAGTAGGTGTATGTAAGTAGAACAAATAAAGATGAGTAGACAAAATCCATAGAATTTCAGGAAGAACAAACAAAAAAGAATAATCAAGGACTTCAGCTTCCATCTGAAGAAACCGAGAAGAGTAAATGAAACCAAAAGCAAGCAAAAGGAGAAAAAAATCAGAGCAGAAATCAATGAAATATAAAACAGGAAAAAGAAACAGAAAATCAATGGAACCAAAGGCTGATTTTCTTAGTTCAATAAAATGGATAAAACTCTAGCAAGACTGATCAGGCAAAAGAGACACAGATAGACATAGATACATAGAGATAGATACAGAGATAAGGATATAAGGAGAAAGAGATAGAGAGATGTGGAGAGAAAAAAAGAGAGGGAGAAGACAAATTACTAATATTAGGAATGAGAGCGGAGACATAGCACAGATTCTACAGATGTTAAAAGGATAATAAAAGAATCTTATGAACAACTATTTGCCAATAAATTCAATTAAACAATTTTGATGAAATGTGCAAACTGTTGAACTTAAAGAAAAAACCTGATTTGCTCTGTATCTATTAATAAAATTAAATTTGTAGTTAAGATTCTTTCTACAAAACCAACCTCTAAGTTTTATAGTTTCATTGGTAAACCAAACATTTAATAATAGCAGTACTACCCAAAGTCCTCCACACGATTCCAGAGGATAGAACACTTCCCAACTTATTCCATGAGGCCAGAATTATCCTGATACCCAAACCATGAAGATATATATAAAAAAATTATGGAGAAAATTTTCTCGTAAACATAGGTGCAAAGTTTCCTAATAGAAGTTTAGCAAATAAAATCCAACATTATATAAATAATATATCGTGACCAAATGGGTTTTATCCAGGATTGCAATAATAGTTTAACATTTGAAAATAAATCAATATAACTCAAAGTGGATGAAAGACATAAACATAAAAGCTAAAACTATAAAACTCTTAGAAGAAAACAGAAGAAAAGCTTCATGATATTGGATTTGGCAATGATTTCTTAGATATAATACCAAAAATGCAGGCAACAAAAGAAAAGATAAGTAGTTTCATCAAAATTTAAAACTTTTGTGCATCTAAGGACACTATCATCAGAAGGAAGACAACCCACAGAACAGAAGAAGATTTGCAAATTATATATCTGATAAGGGGCTAATGTGCAGAATAAATAAAGTACTCCTACAACTCAATAACAAAAAAATCAAAAAAAGCTGATTCAAAGATGGACAAAGTACTTGAACTGACATTTCACCAAAGAAGATAGACAGATGGCCGATAAGTATATGAAAAGTTGCTCAACATCACTAATCATCAGGGAAATACAAATAAAAACTGTGAGATACTACCCATTTGGATGATTAATATTAAAAAGACGAAAATAAGAAGTATTGGTGAGGATGTGGAGAAATTGGAACCTGTGTGCATTGCCAATGAGAATGTAAAATTGTGCAGTCATTGTGGAAAACAATCTGGCAGTTTCTCAAAAAAATTAAACACAGAATTACCTTATGAACAGCAGTTTCACTTTGAGGTATATACCCCCAAATAATTGAAAACAATAACTTCAACAGATTTTGTACACTAATGTTTATTACAGCAGCATAATTTGCAATAGTCGAAAGGTGGATACAACCTAAGTGTTCATCGATGAATGAATGCATCAGCAAAACATAGTGTAGAAATTCCTATATGCACCACATGAATAAACCTTAAAAACATAGGCAAAGTGAAATAAACCAGACAGAAAAAAGTACATGTTGTACATTTCCATTTATATGATACTATGGTCTGAATGCTTGCAACCCTTACCTTCCAAATTTATATGTTGAAATAGTAACCCCCAAGGTGACAGTATTAGGAGAAGGGGCCTTTTGGAAAGTGGGTCATGAAAGTAAAGCCTTCATAAATGGGTTTAGTGTGCTTATAAAAAAGGCTCAGGGAATCTTATTTGCTCCTTCCACCATATAAGGACAGAGCTAGAAGGCATCATCTCCTGAACCAGGGAATAGGCCTTCACCAGACACCAAATCTGTCAGTGCCTTAATCTTGGACTTCCCAGGCTCCAGAACTGTGACAAATAAATTTATGTTGTTTATAATCTACTCAGTTTATCATATTTTGTTATACTAGCCCAAACAGACTGAGACATATGCAATACCTAGAACTGTAAAATTTATAGAGACAGAAAGTATGATAGTGGTTAACAGGGACTTGTGGGTGGGAGTAATGAAGAATTATTGCTTAACGGGTGTAAAGTTTTAGTTTGGGATGATCAAAATGTTCTGGAGCCCGGGAGCAGTGGCTTATACCACCAATCGCTATATTTTGGGAGGCCAAGGTGGGAGGATCAGTTGGGGCCAGGAATTCGAAGTTACAGTGAGCTATGATTGCACCACCACATTCCAGCCTGGGAGACAGAGAGAGAGAGATCCTGTTTCTGGAAAAAAAAAAAAAAAAAAGTTCTGGAGGTGCATAATGGTGATAGTTGCATAACAATGTTAACGTACCTAACACCACTGAATTATATACTTAAAAATAATAAAAATGATAAATTTCATATTATGTATATTTTACCACAATGAAAAAATTGACCGTAGACCTACATTTAAAACCTCAAACTATAAAATTTCCTTAAGAAATCATAGGGGAAAAATATGAATGACTTTTAATTAGGCAAAGATTTCTCAGATATGACACTAAAAGCACAATTTAGGAAGGAAAATGATGAAAATTAGACTTCATGAAAGTTAAAAGCATTTGTTCTTCAAAAGAGAGACTAAAAGAAAATATTTGGCCAGGTGCGGTGGCTCATACCTGTAATCCCAGCACTTTGGGAGGCCAAGGCAGGTGGATCATGAGGTCAAGAGATTGAGACCATCCTGACCAAGATGGTGAAACCCCGTATCTACTAAAAATACAAAAATTAGCTGGGCATGGTGGCGCATGCCTGTAGTCCCAACCACTTAGGAGGCTGAGGCAGGAGAATCGCTTGAACCCGGGAGGCAGAGGTTGCAGTGAGCCAAGACCATGCCACTGCTCTCCAGCCTGGCGACAGGGTGTGATTCTGTCCCCCCCCAAAAAAATTAAAAAACACATATCTGTTAAAGGGCTTGTAGTCTGTGTTATATATTACTCTCAAAACACAATAATAAGAAAATGAATAAACAACATCGAGCAAAAAGCTTGAACAGTCACTCCCCAAATATGAGATATAGATGACATAAGATGAAAAAAGCACATCATTCGTTGTTATGGAAATGCAAACTAAAATCCCAGTGAAATATCACTATATTATAGTACTAATTAAATTTAAATTTAATTATTAAAATGGCTAAAATTTAAAAGGTTGAGCATGCCAAGTGTTGGTGAGAATGTGGAGCAACTGGAACTCACACACTGCTTACAGGAATATAAAATGGTACAGCCACTTTGAAAGGAGTTTAACAGTTTCTTAAAATTTTAGACAGACACCTGGCATATGATTTAGTCATTATAATCCTGAGTATTTACCCCCAAATATTATATCATGTACAAGTGATGGCAGCAGTGGGCCATCCGGAGCGACTGCTCCCATTGCGCCAGCTGCAGCGGGAGGTGTTGGGGGGCAGTCGCCATGTGCCCCGGTGTCCCCAAGACATCTGCCCCTACCTTCGTGTGGCTGGGCAGGACCTGGTCCCAGGCCTGGAACCTCCACCACTCTCTACCCTGGCCTCGCATTGTCACTCTCGCCTGCCGCTGCTGCAGGGATGGTGTAGGGAAGAGGCAGACAGTTCCAGAAGCCCACTCCTGGGAGCCCCCTGGAGCCTGCCACTCTGGGGGCCGCGGCAATGGGGCTGGGTCGAGTCGCCTGCCGGTGAGGGAGCAGTGCAGTTGGGAACGAAGGGGCAGGCAGAGAGGGGCTCCAATGTGGAGATGGTCCTGCAGTGGTGACATGCTCCACGGAGCTGGCAGGAGCCGGGAGCAGGCAGCAACTCAAGTCATGGCTGTGGACCTGGGCCTCCCTGTGGTCTTGGGCGCTGGGAGCAGGCAGAAGTCCTGCCCACCCTGGGTGCAGATACAGCCGCCCAGCTGTGGCTGCAGACCCAGGCATCTCTGCACTCTTGGGGCCCAGGAAGGCCCCACTCACCCCTGCATTCTTGGAGATCTCTGCTCCCACTGCCTGGCCTCTCCCTGCTTCCAGCGCCCGCTCTTTGAGCAAGGATGGGGCCAAGCTAGGGTAAACGTTTATGCAGCCCGGCTGGGTGTGTGTGAGCTTGGGACAGTGCTGAAATACCAGCCCCTTGCCTTCTCGCTGCCCCCCGCCTCTGGGGTTTGGGCACCAACAAGCATGGGAGGGAGGTCAAGGGGGACCTGAGGACAGCCTGGCGCTGGCCTACAGGTACCCCTTGGCATGAACAGTCTAGGCATCATGAATGGTGGCAGGAGGCAGACAGACTCCTGGGCAGAAGGGGGTTAGTCCCTGGTGAAGCCCCCACCTTCCAACCACGGAGGGCCTGAAGCCTGGGGGCTAGGCCACCAGTCCCACCGACCAGAGGGGGAACTTGTGCTTTTCTCTGGGCCCACCCACGACTGCCCATGGACAAATCAGCACCCACTTCCTTTCCTCAGAGGCCCATAACCCCCCGCCCCCCCGGACTCAGCCAGACTCCAGCAGAGGATGAAGAGAGGATAGGGAGACAATGGGATGACCACTTGCAGAGAGGTGCTACCCTCTCTGCTGAGAGCTCAACACTCGTGGGGACAATCTGTCTAGCAGAGAGGAGCTACCCTCTCTGCTGAACGCTGAACACTGGTTGGAACCCCTAACTACAGAGAGGAGCTGCCCACTGCAGGTCTCCTCTGAGCTGTTCTATTGCTCAGTAAAGCTCCTCTCATTCTTCCTGGATGCAGGACAAGAACCCGGGACTCACCGAATGATGAGGCTAAAAGAGCTGTTATACAAACAGTGCTGAAACACATCCCTTGCTTGCCACATTGTGGGCCACAAGGAGGAGAGAAGAGAGGAGAAAAGAGCTGTGGTCCTTTGGGAAGCCCAGACCTGGGAGCTCCCTGAGCCATGGCTGTGACTCCTCCTTTGGGGCCCTGTGGTTCCTGGAGTCTCCAAGCTTCTGGGCACCACTGCATTCTCTGGTGCCAGCCATGGAAGCTGCTTGCAGTATGCCTGGTCCAGAGCAGACTCTCAGTGTGTTGGCACCTGGAGCTGCCCACCCCACTGCAGCAGCCGGTGTGCCTGACTGTGCAGTGCCTGGATCCCATGCTCTCTTGCTCATGTACCTGTCACTGCTCCACTCCAGTCTCTTTGGAGTTGTGGAATCCAGGCTGGTAGCACGAGCCAAATGCAGCCTGCCAGGATGAGTGGGCTCAGTGGGCCTGAGCAAACTCCGGCAAAAGTACCACTGGCCACAGAGGTTTCCAGCTAGAAAAGCAACACCCGCTAAGGATCCCGTAAGACAAGGATTTTCATAGTAGCTTTATTTGTAATAGCCAAAGACTGGAAACAACCCACAAGCCCACCAACAGGTGATTGGCTAAACAAATTGTATCTCCACACACACACACAGTAGAATATTGCTCAGTAATAAGGACTGAATTATTGATATTTGCAACAACATGGATGAATCTCAAAATAATTTGTCTAACTGAAAAAGTCAGATAAAAAATACACAGTATCTGATGCCATTTATATAAAACTATTGAAATTACAAGCTAATATAGGGACAGAAAGCAGATCAGTGTTGCCTGCTTCTGAGAAGAGAGTAAGAGAAGGAAGGAGACACCACAAAAGGCCAATAAGAAACTTTTGATGGTGTTAAAATACAGATCGTAAGACTGACAGAACAGTGTCTTTGAGGCAATAAGATACCAATTATAAATAAGACCTAAGGCAAGGGTTAAGTCGTGCACCTCTACACTTAAAGAATAAACTATGTTCTAAAGGCCACAGGGTTTTTCCTTTTTCTGTAGCAGCTAAGCACTGCACTAGCCTTGAGATAAGCAATATTGAAACAATTGCGGCTCACCTATTACCAGACACTGACTGATGCCCCTGTTCCACAAGCCGTAACTACAGCTTCGATTGGACAAGAGACTGATTTCAGTAACCTTCCCCTGATAAGACACCACTGACCATAAACTGGTCCTGGTTGGTACACAGAGGCTGTACACTGAGTACTTTTGTGTCCCTCTTTCTCCTTTGAGGTATAGGACCTAATTATAGTACATTTACATGTTAAGTCTCCACCCCAGAGTGACCATGGGAAGCATGTAACATGCTTGCTTGCGTATTATGCGTGTGCACATGCCTGTCTTTGTGAATATTCATAGCTCGAGCCCTGTAGCCTGCTGAATATGTATACTTGGCCAAGCCGTTCAGCATAAATTCCTGTCCAGCATAAATTCAGCATAAATTCTGCTTTCCAGCTCTCAGGATGGCCAGCCTACATGCTGCAACCCTTTATGAGAAATAAAGCTCTCTCCTCCAAATTTATGAATCTTGAGATTATTTGATTGACAAGGGCGATGAATGTGTTCATTATCTTGATTGTGGTGATGAGTTTACTTGTGTATGCATGTTACAACTGTTAAACTGCCCTTCAAATAAGTACAGTGTATTGTATGTCAATTAGACCATAATAAAACTGTTTAAAAACATAATGAAAGGGAAAGAAAGAAGGAAGGAAGGAAGAAGGAAGGAAGGAAAGAAACAAAGAAAAACAAAGAAAGAAAGAAAGAAAGAAAGAGAAAGACAGAAAGAAAGAGAAAGAAAGAAAGAAAAGAAAGACAGATAAAAGAGAGAGAGGGAGGGAGGGAGAGAGAAAGAAATACATGTTGATGTAACTATTACCCTTCAGTAGTTTGGTTATTACTTAATCAAGTTCTTTTGAGTGTTAGTATTTAAATGTTTAGAAAATATCTTAGTCTTCTTACTTAAAACTCCTACATAAAAGTAATCGTTCTAAAAACAGAAACTCAATCTTGTGTGAAGGAATTTTATTCATGGTTTTGTGACTACTTTGGAAGGGCTTCTATTGATAATGTTTAGGATGAATGAGAAAGAAATTTAATCAAGAATTAATTTTTTAGCTTGCTTTGGAAAATGTTTCCCAAGACAAATACAGCTTCTAGGTTTTCCTTCCCAATTGCACTGACAGACATCCAATTTTGTCTTTTCTCCTTATAATAATATGATAAAATTATTCTTTTAAATAATGTAATAATTCATTATAAAGCATTCTACATCATTTTATTTTAAAATAATCACAACCATTCATAAAGTTAGTGTTAAATGCTTGTCTTTATGATTTTATAATTTTCTATCCTAAAACTTAATACATTTTTATAGAAACAGCCTTGCATTTCACAGTATTAATACATCATTGCTAGCATGTGGGGTGGAAGAATCTCTCCTGCTCACTGTGTTCTCATACTGTGCCATGTTTAGTATTTTCTGATAAGACCATTAGATGTAAAGTAAAGAGTGAGATGTTGATTAAATTATTCATTCCTTAGTTTTTTCCTACTCTTCCTGGAGTGCATTATAATGCTAGCAAAACAGACCATCTCTTTTTTCTGTTTCTTCCTGTTCTTCCTATTCTACATTGATTGAATGATGTACAGAGACATACACAATTTTACACCATATTTTGTATTTAAAAAATGACTTTTATATGACAAAAAGGTGGATGGCTAAACTTTACCACCCAGTATGTAGTCTTTGAAGCTAATTAAAATCTGGTGGCTTGAGTTACTTGTGGGACCCTACAGTGATGGAAATTGCTTGTTTCAGTGCTATTGACTGACAGAACAGGTGATAACTTGTTTTCATCCTTTGAACAAGTTCATTAGTTTCCTATGATGGCTGTTTCGGGTAAATACTCCAACATTTAATTAGCAGACCGTCTTTGGTGAACCCATAAACAATTATAGAACCTTTTCTCTCCTGTTTGTATTCAGGACTCAGATGTTTTTTATGGCCTGTCTGACTCATCTTCAGTCGATAGTTGTATGCCCGACAGATGCCATTAACAACTACTAAAGCAGTTGCCTATATATTTTTCCATGATCTAAAAATAAGATTCCATCAATCTTGAAGATTAACAGCCTGAATAGCAAAAGTTTTAAGCTTCTTCAATCCAAGTCTTCCAGTTGACATCACTTAATCTAAATAATCTACATCACTACTTCATACATTGAAATGACTTGTCAATGTTGAAAATTTCTGTGCTGAGCTCATACAAGTGTTACATTGACAATAACCTGTGCAAGTGAACATTCAGTGTCAACATATATTGAGTACCAGCCATGAGCTTGTTCCTAAGGATACAAGGAGTTCTCAAGACCTAGTTTCTGTCTTAAAATAATTTTTAATACAGTAGAAGAAACAGATAAGCATTCAACCATATTACATTTTTAAAATTTAAGGTTAATATGATGAGATTCAGAGAAGCAAGACTCAGGAATATTTGCACATTGGACAGTAGGACTTTGAGGTAGTTTCTGTTACCACTTGTAAAGGGGGGAAGTAAAGAAGAGAACATCATAACATTGAAAACAGGTCTTGAAGACAGAAGATACCAGTTTTTAAAAAATACTGCTTTGTCACATATGTTTATTGTGGCACTGTTCACAATAGCAAAGACATGGAACCAACCCAAAAGCCCATCAATGATAGACTGGATTAAGAAAATATGGCACATATACACCATGGAATACTATGCAGCCATAAAAAGGATGAGTTCATGTCCTTTGCGGGGACATGGATGAAGCTGCAAACCATCATTCACAGCAAACTAACACAAGAACAGAAAACCAAACACTGCGTGTTCTCACTCATAAGTGGGAGTTGAACAATGAGAACACATGGACACAGGGAGGGAAACATCACACACTGGGGCTTGTTGGGGGGTGGGGGGATAGGGGAGGGATAGCATTAGGAGAAACACCTAATGTAGATGACGGGTTGATGGGTGCAGCAAACCACCATGGCACGTGTATACCTATGTAACAAACCTGCACGTTCTGCACATGTACCCCACAACTTAAAGTATAGTTAAAAAAAAATAGTGCTTTGTGTGAATATCTGGTAAGATGGAGATATCTGTAAAGAGGATGTTAGGAAAGGTTTTGTTAAAATGCTTTCCCTTAAAAAGTGGAAACCTACGATAAATATCTAAATTATTACTCAAGGCTTTTTTTTTTTGGTTGGACTTATTTTTCTCTGGAATGGTTACTATACCCAGATTAACCACTTGATTTAGCTTTATTAGGTGTACATTTTAGAAAGCATCATGTTCTATTTTAGACATAAGGTAAAGATTCAGTGACCTTTTGAAACAATCATTACTCTAGAACTGAACTGAAAGCCCACCTTTGCAATGACCACTCAAATGTTGAAATTAAAGTGCAAGAAATTAGATATTCATAGGACAAAAAGTGCAGCTAGTTTTCCTAAATCTGGAAGAGGACTCTCTGGGATTAGAATTACAAAGTTTGGAAGAATTTGCTCTTCAAGACTGGATTTTAGCTAGGCATGGTGGCTCATGCCTGTAATCTCAGCACTTTGGGAGGCCCAGGTGGAAGGATCACTTAAGCCCAGAAGTTCCAGACCAGCCCAGGCAACATAGTAGGACCCTGTCTCAAAAAAAAAAAAAAAAAGAAGAAGAAGAAGCCGTATATGCATACATGGTGACATGTGCCTGTAGTCCCAGCTACTCTGGGTGACAGAGCAAGACTCTGTCTCAAAAAAAAAAAAAAGACTGGGTTTTATTAAAAGCATAACTAAATTTATTCAAAATTATGTCAACTCACTAAATTATGGAAGGTTAAGCAGCTCCTTTATGAAGTTGTAAACTGAAAAGTGTTTTTTATGCAATAATCTTAGACTCAAAATTCCCTAACAAATTAAGTCTTTCTTGGAGAGAGAGAAAAGGACAATGGTTCAGTTGAAGAATTTTATTTTCTAAGTCATTAGCACCTGAATCTTCAGGGACTTGGCAACTCCTGGGAGATTCTAAGACAATTAGGATTTGGGATTTGAGGTATGGGTTATTTGCTACTGGAGTAAAACAAGACTGCCAGAGGACTTTAAAGCAGCTGTCTCAAATTCAATTCCAACATTGGTCAACATAAATTAATGCAGCAGGCAGGTGTTTCAAGACATAAAACTGAAAAGTACAGGTCCTATCTCTCTAAGGAGTTCAGCCACCATTTGGGTCTTGTGGACTATTACTGCCATGCGGGAGCTAGTGCCTAATTTTTGCCATATCTTCTAAATTTCAGAGAGCAACTGAAATACAGCATTTAAAAAATATCAAATTCCTCAATTTCAAAATATTATATGCCAAAAATGTCACCAATTTTTAGCATACTGTGGATAATCATTATTAAAACCCAAAGGACATCTGTAGGCCAAGTCTTTCAGAAAATTAGTATATACAGTCAATAACCTTTGTTGGAAGATTCCATATTGCAAATTCATCTACTTGCTAAAATTTTGAAACCTCAGAGTCAATACTGTGACACTTTCACTGTTATTTGTGGATATGCACAGAGTAGCAAAAAATTTTAGTTGCCTGAGGCATGTCTTCCCAGATGAGGCTGAACAAATCAACACTCTACTTCCTTGTTTCAATTCTTGTGCTGTAAAGTGCAAGAAGACTGCAATGTGCCTTATGGAGAAAACACCAGTGCTAGAGAAACTTTATTTGGGCACACCATGAGATATAGTGCCTTTGTGTGTTCAGTGTTGATAAATCAACAATATATATTGATATGGTTTGGCTGTGTCCCCACCCAAAATCTCATCTTGAATTGTAATCCCCATAATCCCTATGTGTCAAGGGAGAGAACAGGTGGAGGTAATTGAATCATGGGGGCAGTTCCCACATGCTGTTCTCATGATAGTGAGTGAATTCTCATGAGATCTGATGGTTGTATAAGAGCCTCTTCCCCCTTGATTCATTCACTCTTTCTCCCTCCCACCACTTTGTGAAGAAGGTGCCTTGCTTCCCCTTTGCATTCTGCTATGATTGTAAGTTTCCTGAGGCCTCCCCAGTCATGCAGAACTGTGAGTGAATTAAACCTCTTTCCTTTCTAAATTACCCAGTTTTGGGCAGTTCTTTATAGCAGTGTGAGGATGGACTAATATGTATATTAAATATACATATTATGTCTTTAAACAGAAACACATAAGTTTATATATTGACTGGTTTACAAATATGTTGTGACCAGAAGCTTGCAGGACCCTAGCACTGTATTTCCTCAAGGAGCAATGGAACAGTATTGCTAATTCAGTACTTGTGGTGACTTTTAAGAACATAACTACTGCAAATAATAAGAATCAACTGTAATCTTTTGTTATAGTCACGAGTTACTAAACAAAGCCAAGCTTTATCAAATACTCAGAGTCTCAGTTGGTAAAGCAAGTTGGGACTGAGGAATAACGGATCAACAAGTAAAGCTCTGAATGAGATGCCTGGCAGAGTGGGGAGCTCCGAGTGATCCAAATGCCCCTCACACTCCCAAAGATGTTTCTCCTTATACACATGGTACTGCTGAGAGTGAGGGAGAAAATATTTGCTCAGTCACCTATGAGGAAATCCCCAGAGCTAGCCCAGCACTCAAGTCAGAGATTACCCCTTCTAATTCACTTCCAGAGCAACTGAATTGGTAAGAGGTAGGACCACTATGACTACCTGGGTATTAAGTCTCTGGCATTCCCAGTTCCCATAAGTACATTGAGAATTGAGACATCTTCACATCATTGCACTCGTGAGGTAATGAAGGTATTTGTGGACTAACCACTCTGACAAAGAAGAAGACAGGGTGAATCTTCTACCTTGTTTCCAAACTGATGATATAGACATGGAGGAGCTGGATTGAAATTGAATTCTAACAATAATGAGTTTGTTCCTGTGGACACTGCGAATACCTCAATTGCAAGGTTTATTAGAAGAAGCTTTATGATTGTAGCCAGGCAGACAGATGCACCCCATCAACAGGGAGAGGATTAAACCAACAGAGAGAGGATTCAATTAGCATGCAAAGAAGAAAGGGGAGTTTGGTAGTCAGTCAGAAAAGGCTGAGATGCCTCAAATCAATATTGAGGTTCCTATTTTTACCTGTTCATCTGACTTAGAGTTATGCAATAGCTTTGTTAGGCTGTCAAACAGATTTTTCAGAGGGAAGAGATAACAGAATGGATAAAATGAATGATTTTACTCTGCAAGCTTCCAGACTCCTCCTCTTAAGAAGCAGGCAGATCAGAAATAAATTATATTTCTTGGGGGACTTCCCATGGAAGAGAGGATTGCATGTTAGAAAATCAGGGCTTTAGAAATGGGTGATGAATGAGTGGATGTGAGGAGGAAGGGAGGGAAGGAGCATGAAAACTGGGGAGCAGCATAGCAAGAATTAGAATATGGAGAGCATAGGAGAGATTTCTAGTAGCTGCCATAGAGAAAACTGTAATTAGATGTTAAAAACCATAAATTACTTACTCCTAATTCATCAGTTCAGTCTTACTTATGTCAATAATTAAATCAGTATCATTCAGCTCCATTTGAATAACCATGAAAACACCTGCTTGATTTAAGTTCTATTCTGCAGACATCTCTATCACTGTTTTTTGTTTGTTTGTTTGCTTGTTTGTTTTTGAGATAGGGTTTCACTCTGTTGCCCAGGTTGGAGTGCAGTGTTGCAATCACAGCTCACTGTAGCCTTGACCTCCTGGGCTCAAGCCATCCTCCCACCTCAGCCTCCTGAGTAGCTGGGATTACAGGTGCACACCACCATGCCTGGCTAAGTTTTGTATTTTTCATAGAGATGGGGTTTTGCCATGTTGCCTAGGCTTATCACTGTTACTTTAAAACTCCTCTTTAAATCCCACAATGCAATATTTGTTTCCAGCCTCTTGTCTTGCCTTAATTATATCCTTTGGTTTATCAAGGATTTGTCTCTTGTTCTACCAAGCAACGACTCACACCTATAAGCCAAGGCATGCATAATAGAGGTAAAATTCTGTGGACAGTATCCCTTGCCTTATGATGTGAGCAGGGTCCTCTTCAGAGCCCATTTTTCCTTGGCATTTCAGAGTCACCGATTGAGAAATGACGGTTTGAGAACATCTAAACAATTCACTCCAACATTTTATTTGGCTTCTTGAAGCGGAAGAGACTTCAGAACAGTTGCTCACATTGTTGACTTTGTTATATTTCAGATTTGCTGGGTGGAATACACATGAGACACATGAGACTGCTTCCCATGGGAAGCTACACACATGAGATTTGATTCTGGCTACAAACTGGGTCAATTACCTCTCCCATGCTTCTCCTCCTGTCAAGCTATGCTAGTAGTAATAATAATGTAAGGTCTGCAATGAATTCACTCATAGGTTTTTTTTTTTTTTTTTTTTTTTTGAGGCAGTGTCTCACTCTGTCACCCAGGCTGGAGTGTAATGGTGTGATTAAGGCTCACCTCCTGCGCTTGACCTCCTAGGCTCAAGCAACCCACCCTATAATTATTTTTATGTTACGTGCATCTTCTATTCTTATCTTCTTCCTACTTTTGCTTTTCTTCCAAACTTATATTACTATAGCCTCTAAAACAAACAATTCATTATAAATGTATACACTTAATTTCTTAATCCTCCTCTGAGCTTTTCAACCCTTTGGTAGAAAGGAAACCCTGTGGTTCCTCAAGGCACAACCTCCTGGGTGGCCTGCACTCTCAATTTTGGGCTTATATTAACTCCATATTCCATATACTACTGAACCAAGTAGCAGCCATTTTCACAGTATTCCACTGTGGCCCTTAGGTGGTATTAATCCTCCTTCAAGCAAAACCTTAGCCTTTTTTGAGGCTATGCCCTGCAACCGTACTACCATCATACACTCTTTATTTTTGTCATCTGAGTTGATTACTATTTTCAGAAATTATTGAAGCTCTCGGCCTTTGGCTCCTACTCTTCCTCCATAGAGTAACCACTGCTTTCCTCCTCTCTACTCCATGCCCTCTACTCATCCTGTGATATTTCAAACTCAAAGTGGCTAATATGGCTAAACTGTAGCTTCAAAGTTTTGTGACTTCCTCAATATATGCTATTGTATCTTGTTTAAGAAATCTTTCCCAAAGTTATAGAAATTTTTCTTCTATTGTCTTGTAAAATTTTATAATTTTGCCTTTCACACTTAGACCTTAATTCCACTGGAATTGAATTTCAGGTATTATAAGAAGCAGGGACCTAACTTTGTGTTGTTCTATGGTAGATTCCTAATTTCTGCCACATTTATTGAAAAGTAGATATTTCTTCAAAGATCTGGATTTCCAGCTATGTGATAAAGCAAATTTCATTCTTTATGGGTAGATTTCTTTCTGAGATTTTGGTTTTTATTCTATTGTCCAATTTGTTTATCCTTGTGCTTATACTATACTAGCTTAATTATAGCTTCATAGATATTATTGATATATGTTAAGGCAATTCTCATTATGTTCTTTTGCAAATTTTTTGTGGGGGCAATTTTAGGCCCTTTAATCTACCATATCAATTTTAAAGTCAGCTTGCCAGGCTTCATAAACACTCTGTTGGGATTTTATTGGAATGGCATTGAAACTATAGATCAATTTTCGGAGAACTGATGTCTTTATTATACTGAGACTTGCAATCTATAAACATGGCATATTTCTCCTTTTATTTAGGCTCTCTTAAATGTCTGCCAATAAAGTTTTATGATTTTCTCTGTAGAATTCTAGAAATCTTCTGTTTGACAAATTCCTGTGTAGTTTAGTCTCTGATATTACCTATGATAAATGGTAATTTTAAATTTCATTTTCTAAATCTTTATTCTTGGCATATAGATACACAATTAATTTTTGTGTATTAATTTTAATCCAGATAATTTCATATACTTAAACATGACTGAGGATATACTGGGTCTGATATCCTGACTCATGTAGATTCCTTTGCAGAAAATGACATTATTATTTTTTCCTTTCCTAATTTTGTAATGTTTATTTCTTTTTTGGTCTTCATGTGCTACCGGGATCCCCAGTATAATATTTATTAGAACCTGTGATAGTTCATCTACTTGCCTTGTTCCTTAAATTAAAAAAATTCTTTTGAATTTTGCACCCTTAAATAAAATGTATATTTTAGGTTTTGTATAGTTATTTTTTATCAGCATAAGCCTCTTACGTTCCATTGCTGCTTTCCTAAGAATTTTTACTATATTGTACAGCAAAAGAAGCAATCAACACAATGAAAAGCCAACCTACTGATTGGGAAAAAATATTTGCAAGCCATACATCTGATAAGGGATTAATATCTAACATTTATAAAGAACTCTTACAACTGAAAAAAAATGAACAAACAAATGATTAAAAAATGAAGGAACAAAGGACCTGAATAGACATTTCTCTGAAGAAGACATAAAAATGGCCCACAAATATATTAAAAAATGTACCACCTCACAAATCATCAGGAAAATGCAATTAAAACCACAATGAGATATTGCCTCTCACCCATTAGGTTGACTATAATCAAAAAGACAATAGATAAGTACTGGTTGAGGGTATAAAGTAAAAAAAACCATTGTACACTGTTAGTGGGAGTGTAGATTGGTGCAGTGATTATGGAAAACAGTATGGAATTATGTTAGTTCATTTTGTGTTGCTGTAAAGAATACCTGAGGCTGGGTAATTTATAAAGAAGAGAGGTTTATTTGGTGGCAGGTTCTGCAAGCTGTCCAAGAAGCATGGCATCAGCATCTGCTTGGCTCCTGGTAAGGCCTCAGGAAGCTTTTACTTATGCAGAAGGCAAGGGGGGAGTAACTGTGTCACATAGTGAGAGAGGGAGCAAGATGAGGGCAGAGATGGCAGGATCTTTTTAACAATCAGATCTCATGGTGACTAATGGAGTGAGAACTCACTTATTACTGTGAGGACAGCAACAAACCATTCATGAAGGATCCACCACCATGACCCAAACGCTTCTTGCTATGCCCAACTCCAACATTTGAGATCGAATTTTAACATGAGATTTGGAGGAGACACACATTCAAATCATATCAGTTTACCCCTGACCCCCCAATCTCATGTGCTTTTCACATTCAAAATACAATCATCCCTTCCCAATAGTCCTCCAATGTCTTAACTCCTTCCAGCATCAACTCAAAAGTCCAAAGTCCAAAGTCTCATTTAAGACTTGAGGACTAAGCTCTGATTTTTTATCTTACACAAATTTCTACCATTAGGAATAGGTCTAGGGAGTCATGCCCTACAAGCCACACATTCTCATCAGATGGGTTTTATTTGACCCTATATATTGTGACTTACTTTTCAACCTGACTCTGGAATAACATTATGAGACAAGGAAAAAAAAATTTAACCCCAAAATATATTTCCTTGCCATATCTTGAAATTGCCCTGCAAAGTCTCTTGTGGGAAAAAATCCACATTCTATACAGAACCTCCTTGTCCCTTTTTCTTCCTTCCTTCCCAGATACGGGAGATAATCAACTAAGAGCCAGGCATCCTTTTAAGTGCAATAAAAAACAATTTACAACCTGCTCTCTTTAAAGTCTGCTATCTAAGAGCTTCCTCTGCACAATAAAACTTTGTCTCCACAATCCTTGATCTTAAACCTGAATATTCTTTTCTACTGACCCCAGGTCTTTAGAGAAACTCAACCAATTGTGAACCAGAAAATGTTTATATTTACCTATAGGCTGGAAGCCCCTGCTTTGAGTTGTCCCACCTTTCTAAACCAAACCAATGTATTTCTTGAATGTATTTGATTGATGTCTCATGCCTTCCTAAAATATATAGAACCAAGCTGCACCCCAACCACCTTGAGCACATATTCTCAGGAACTCCTGAGGGCTGTGTCACAGACCATGGTCGCTCATATTTGGCTCAGAATAAATCTCTTCAAATATTTTACAGTTTGACTCTTTTCATTGACAGACTCAAGGCAAGTTCCTTCCACCTATAAGCCTGTAAAACTAAAAACAAGTTATTTACTTCTAAGGTACAATGGTGGTACGGGTATTGGGTAAACGTTCTCATTCCAAAAGAAAGATATCAGCCAAAAGAAAGGGGCGATAGTTCCCATGCAAGTTTGAAACCCAACAGGGCAGAAATTAAACCTTAAAGCTACAAAACAATCTTTCTTGGCTCCATGTTCTGTATCCTGGTGTGAGGGGCGGGCTCCTGAGACCTCAGATAGCCCTGCCCCCATGGCTTTGCTGGGTTCAGCACACATGGCTGCATTTATGAGTTGGGGTCTGGTGCCTGCAGCTTTTCCAGGCTGAGGGGGGCAAGTTGCCCGTGACTCTACCATTCTGGGATCTGGGAGGACAGCAGCACCATTCCCACAGCTTCAATAGGCAGTTTCCCTGTGGGTATTCTGTGTGGAGACTCTAATTCCACACTTTCCCTTGGCACTGCCCTAGTAGAGGCTCTCTGTTGGGGCTCTGCCATTGTGGAAGGTTTCTGTGTAGCCACTGAGGCTTTCCCATACGTCCTCTGAAATCTAGGTAGAAGTTGTGAAGCCTCCTTCACTTGTACAGTCTGTGTATCTGTAGGCTTAACACCATATGGAAGCAGCCAAGGCTTAGTGGTACCCCCAGGCAGTACTGGTGGCCATTTGAGCTGTGGCTGTAGCTGTAGCAGCCAAGATGCAGGGAACATCCTGAAGAGGCACAGGACAGTGGGGCCTTGGGCCTGGTCCCCAGATCCATTCCATTCTCCTAGGCCCCTTGGCCTGCGATGGGAAGGGCTATCTTGAAGACTTCTGAAATGCTTTTGAGGCCTCTTTCTCATTGTCTTGGCTGTTAGTACCTGGCTGCCTTTCAGTCATGCTAATCTCTGTAGCAAGTGCTTGCTCCACAGCACAGCCCACTTGTGTTCCTCTTCTGAAAATGCTCTTTCCTTTTCTACCACACAGCCACATCGGTAATTTTCCAAATGTTTAGGCTCTGCTTCCCATTTAATTTGAAGTTCCAACTTTAAGTCCCTCCTTTGCTACCATATCTGATTACAGACTGTTAGAAGCAGCCATGCCATTTCTTTTTTTTTTTTTTTTTTGAGATGGAGTCTTGCTCTGTCACCCAGGCTGGAGTGCAGTGGCGCGCTCTCGGCTCACTGGCCGTGCCATTTCTTGAATGTTTTGCCACTTAGAAATTTTTTCCACCGGATACCCTAGGTCATTATTCTTAAGTTCAACCTGCCACAGAGCCCTAGGACATGAACACAATGCAGCCAAGTTCTTTGCTAGGGTATAACAAGGATAACCTTTGCTCCAGTTCCCAATAAGTTCCTTATTTCCATCTGACACCTCTTCAGCCTGACCTTCACTATCTATATTTGTGTCAGTATTTTGGTCACAACCACTTAACAAGTTTCTAAGGAGTTCCAAAATTTCCCTCATCTTCCTTTCTTCCTTTGAGGCCTCCTAACTCTTTCAATCTCTGCCTATTATGCAGTTCCAAAGCCTTTCCACATTTTCAGGTATCTTTACATTAATGCCCCACTCCCAGTACCAATTTTCTGTATTAGTCCATTTTTTATCGCTGTAAAGAAATATCTGAGGCTGGGTAATTTATAAAGAAAGGAGGTTTATTGGGCTCACAGTTCATGCTGTACAAGAAGCATGGCACCAGCGTCTGCTTGGCTTCTGGTGAGGCTTCAAGAAGCTTTTACTCATGGCAGAAGGCAAAGGGGGAGCAGGCATGTCACATGGTAAGAGAAAGAGCAAGAGAGCTGGGGGAGGTGCCAGGCTCTTTTTAACAATTAAATCTGGTGGTAACTAATAGAATGAGAACTCACTCATTCCTGTGAGGACAGCACCAAGCCATTCATGAGGAATCTACTCCGATGACCCAAACACCTCTCACCAGGCCCCAACTCCAACATTGGAGATCAAATTTCAACATGGGATTTGGAGAGCACATACATCCAAACAGTATCAAGAGGCTTCTAAAGAAATTAAAAGTAGAACAACCATATGAGCCAGCAATCGTTCTGCTGGATATACACCCAAAGGAAAGGAAATCACAACCTTCTAAAGATATCTGCACTTCTATGTTCATTGCAACAGTAGTCATAATAGCCAAGATATGGAAACAACCTGAGTGTCTATCAATGGTCAAATAAATAAAAAAAAAAAAACTGTGATACACACACACACACAACACACACATAACACACACAATGGAGCATTATTCAGCCTTAAAATTGAAATCCTGCCATTTGCCATGAATGAACCTGGAGGACATTGTGTTAACCAAAATCAGCCAGACACAGAAAGAAATATATTACAAGTTCACTTATATGTAGAACCTTAAAAAAAAAATTTAAATGTCCAGAGATAGAAAATAAAGCAGTGGTTACCAGGGGGTGTGGTCAGGGCAGGAAAATAATGCAAAATAGCAGATATGTAGGGAGGGACAAGTCTAGAGACCTAATGTACAAGAACTATGGTTAGTAACATTATATTGCATTTGGGATTTTTGCTAAATGAATAGATTTTAGCTGCTTTTTCTATAGAAAAAAGGTTACCATGTGAAATGATGGATATGTTAATTTGCTTCACTCTAGTAACCATTTTTTATTATCTATATGTATCTCATAACATCACATTGTATACCTTAAATTTATACAATAAAATTTATAAAAAGGAGTTTTTAATTACAAATGATGTAATATTCCTTCCTTTTTAAAATATGTAAATGGAATGAAGTACATTAATAGAATTTCTGGTGTTGACCTGTTCTTATATCCTTGAGTCAAGAGGTATTATTGGCTTACATATTGTTGGATTTGTTTGCTAATTTATACAGTTGTTAGAATTTTTCATCTATGCTTGTGAGTGAGGTTGAAAAGCAACTTTCCTTTTTCTTAGTGTCTGTACATTAAGAGAAAGATTTTGGTATTAAGATTATTCTATACTGAAAAACGACATGTAGAGTCTTTTCCACGCACTGGGATAATATTTGTGTAAGTTGGAATTATTCAGGTTTTCTCTTTCATAATATCCATGACTTTTGAAGTTATGTATTTTCAAAACTAGAATATATAGATATTTATTTCATCTAAGTTTTCAATTTTATTGTTATAAAATGTTTACAAATTCTACTTCAATGTTATTAGTGTGTTTATGTATGAGTTATATTCCTTTTATTGCTTAATAATGTTCATTTGTTTTCTCTCTGCTTCTTCTCTTTCTCTCTTTCTTGCTCTCTCAAGACACACCAGAGATTCGTAAATTTTATTAGTTTTTATTATGGAACTGACTATTGTCTTTGGAAATTTTATTTATTCTATGCTTATTTTCTGTTAATCTAATGACCATAAAATACAAATGTATACACAGGATATTTACATCCTAACTTGCATTTCCATTTTCTTTTTGGTGTACTTTGAGGAATAGCTTCTAACAAATTAGATTCAGTTAATTTTATCAATCATTTTGGAGATTTTCGTCCTTGTTACCTAGGTAAGAAACCTTTGCTTACTGTAAGATTGAAAGATTTTTTTCCTAGGTGTTCTTTTAAAAGTTATGGATTTTAGCTTTTGTGTTAGGTGTATGATTTATTTTGAGTTAATTTTTGTGTATGTAGTTAGATGAGGGTCAATGTTTATTGTTCTCTATATGGATCACTATTTGTTGAAAAGACTATTATTTCCCAACTCCAAAAAGGCATTGATAACTTTATAGTAAATCAATTGACCGTACATGTCTATTTGTGGTCTCATTATAGTGTTCTATTGATTTATACACTTATCCTTTTAGAAACACTGTGCAGTCTTGATTACACCAATTTTAAATGTATCATTAAAAGTGGAGTCCAATACATGCAGCCAACAAGCGTATTTTAAAAAGCTTGACATCACGGATCATTAGAGAAATGCAAATAAAAACCACAATGAGATCCCGTCTCACATCAGTCAGAATGGCGATTGTTAAAAAGGTAGGAAACAACAATAGGAATAGGAATGCCTTTACACTGTTGGTGGGAGTGTAAATTCGTTCAACCATTGTGTAAGACAGTATGACAATTCCTCAAAGACCTAGAGAGAGAAATACCATTCTTACCCAGCAATGTCATTACTGGATATATACTCAAAGGAATATAAACATTCTATTATAAAGACACATACATGCATATGTTCACTGCAGCACTATTCATGACAGCAAAGACATGGAGTCAATCTAAATGCTCACCAACTAGACTGGATAATGTGGTACATATACAACATAAAATGTGGTACATATACAACATAAAATCCTATGCAGCCATAAAAAGGAATGAGATCATATCCTTTGCAGGGGCATGGATGGAGCTGGAGACCATTATCCTTAGCATACTAGTACAGGAACAGAAAACCAAATACCATATGCTCTCACTTATAAGTGGGAACTAAATGACGGGAACACATGGATACATGGTGTAGGGGAACAACACACACTGGAGCCTGTCAGAGGTTGCGGGCTGGGAGGATGCAGAGGATCAGGAAAAATAGCTAGTGGATGCTGGGATTAATACCTGGGTGATGGGATGATCTGTGTGGCAAACCACTATGGCACACGTTTACCTGGGTAACAAACCTGCACATCCTGCTCATGTACCCCTGGACTTAAAATAAAGGTTGGAAATAAAAAAAAAAATTAAAGTGGGGTCAAATTTTATTTCTCCTTTCTAAAATTTACTTTGCTATTTTATATCTTTTGCATTTCAGTTTAAATTTTAGAATTAATTTGTTGATCTCTGTGGAAAACACGACATTTTGATTAGAATTGCACTGAATCTATAGCTCGGCTTGAAAAAAAATTGAATGTTTCAAAGTATATACATGCCTGTCTACATTTTGTAGAACTACTTTATTTTTCTGAGCAACGTTCTGTCGATCTTAAGCACTTATCTTGCATTTCTCTCAAACTATTTTATATATATTTATACTATTGCAAGCTGTTTGTCCATATTTCATTTTCTAATTGATTATTACTAGTAATACTGAAATAATTTTTGTATATTAATCTTTTATCATGTGCCCTTATTAAGTTTGCTTTATTAATTCTAGTAGTGGTCTTGTAGGTGCTTTCAGATTTTCTACACACATAATTATGTAATCTGCAAAATAAGACAGTTTTACTTCTGTTTAAATCTAGATACTTTCATTTCATCTGGCCTTACTGTACTGATTGGAATTGATTTGAAAACATTCTTCTTTTCTAAAATTAGTAATTAAAGTTATACATTTTTCTTTATCATCTGCAACTCCAAATTCTTATAATGTCTTGGTCTGATTTGGTGAATGTTTCTTATGAATTTGAAGAAAAAAAGAATTCTGCCACTGCTGGATATACTTTATTAATTTCAGTTAGGTTGAATTGATTGACAGCTTTAAGTTCTTCTCTATCCATGCTGATTCCTCTTTACTTGTTCAATATTTACTTGTTCAATCAATTATTAAAAAAAGAAATAATTGAAATCCCTTGCGTTAAGTGTGGGCTTGTCTAATTGATCTTCCACATCTATTGGCTTTTGTTCTATGTAGTTTGGAGCTCTGCTATCAGCTACATTCTTAGTTAGAAGGGTTGTTATGTCTTTGATGGGTTTACCCCTTTATCATTATGACATATACATTTTTCCTAATCTCTGATAATATTTCCTGTGCTAAATTTTTCTATGTCTGATATTAATATAGCATCATTCTAATAATTAAAGTTTTCATGATATTTTTCCTATATTTTAAACTTGTTTTTGTTGTGATATTTCTGTTTGTGGTAGTAGTATCTATATTCCCCTATTTGTAATGTATTCTTTTTCCTCTGGCAGTTTTTCAGATTTTTTTTTTTCCTTTATCACAGTCATTTGTTAGTTTTTTTTTCCCCTTTTAATTATCATGTATGTTGAGTTGTGTTTCTTTTTTGTTTTTGCTTAGGGTTTGTTCAGATTTTTGGAATTCAGGTTTAAGTTTTCATCAAATTTGAAGTTTTTTGGCAATTATTTTTTAAAATGTACTTTCTATCTACTCTTTCCCTTTCTAGATCTCCAATTAAACAGATTTTGGATTGCTTGATAGTGCCTCACACATTTTCATTTTCTTAAGGCTTTCCTTTTTTTAAAGAAAACAACTGTATTTCTCTGAATGCTTTAGTTTGGATCATTTCTATTGTAGTGTCTTTAAGTTAACCAGTCATTCATTTATTCAGCCAGATCTAAACTTCAGCTAAGTCCATTTTGTGGATTTTTCACTTTAGATAATTGTTTTTTTTTTTTTTTTTAGCTCTGGGAATTATTTTTTTTTAAATATGTCCTTCCTTCATTTCCTTGTTATGTTTATTCCTTTAAAACATTACACATATTTAGTATCAGTTTCAAGTTCTTGGGTTTTACTATTGGGCCTTGTGCTGTTTCCTTCCAGGCTTTCTGCAAGCTACTCAGGTCTTGCTAGAGAGTGAGTGTTTATGCGATACCAGTTGATCATGAAGCCTAAGTTTCCTGTAATGAAGTGGATATCATTTTATCTAGCAAGCCATACACATGGGTATAAGCATTAGTGATTTATCACTAAGCGGAAAGGGCATAAGAGGCAATTGACTTAGGCAGGTATAGAAAGTACAAATAAGTTGTGAGTGGGTGACTCAGACTCCTCTATCACCAACTTCTGTTGCATTGCCTCGTCTCAATACAACCGGGAAGTATCTTTTTATTTATTTATTTATTTATTAGATTGAGTTTCTCTCTTGTCACCCAGGCTGGAGCACAATGGCACAATCTCAGCTCACTGCAACCTCTCCCTCCCAGGTTCAAACGATTCTCCAGCCTCAGCCTCCTAAGTAGCTGGGATTATAGGTGCCCACCACCACCCCTGGCTAAGTTTTTTTGTATTTTTAGTAGAGATGGGGTTTTCACTACGTTGGCCAGGCTGGTCTCGAACTCCTGACCTCAGGTGATCCACCCACCTCGGCCTCCCAAAGTGCTGGGATTACAGGCATGAGCCACCACACCCGGCCACCATACGGGAAGTATCTTATGATCAGTTGACTAAAGAAGAAAAAATTCAAAGCTTAGCTTCAGATAGGTAGGTCTGCAAGAAATGCTGATGTCAACTGAAAGAGGATGACTGCAGCGTTTTAGCCCCACTCAGAGGTGATCGTGAAGGAAAGCAGTGAAGGAAAATTTTCCCTGTGGGCAAAATTTGGATGCTTAGTTTGAAGTGAGTTGCCAGAAGTATACTGTTGGCCCTTAAGCAACAAAGGTTTAAGTGTGCAAGTCCACTTGTACAAGGATTTTCTTCTCTGCCACTGCTGAGACAGCAAAAACAATCCTTTTCCTCCTCCTCAGCTTATTCAATGTGAAGATAATGAGAATAAAGATCTTCATGATGGTTCACTTCCATTTAGTAAATGGTAAATATATTTTATCTTCCTTATGATTTTCTTAATAACTTTTTCTTTTCTCTAGCTTCCTTTATTGTCAGGACACAGTATATAATACATGTAACACACAAAATATGTGTTAATTGATTGTTTATGTTAATGATAAGGCTTTCCATCAATAGTAGGCTATTAATAGTTAAGTTTTGGGAAAGCCAAATGTTATACATGCATTTTCGACTTCATTAGTGTCTCTGCCCTTAACTCCTGTGTTGTTAAAGGGTCAACTGTGTGTCTGCAACAGTTTGAGGGCAGTTGCTAGGTCTGGTTGAATGGTCAGTGGCTTGGAAGAAACAGGATTGTGAAATGGGTGAAAAGGAAGTCTGGGGGAGAGGCATGTAGCTGGATTGCTTGGAGTTGGCACAGACTATGAAGATAGGTATGTCTCATGTGAATACCACAAAAGGGCATCTTACTAAGGAGGGGCCTGCTAATTAGAAGGACAAAATGAAGGACTCAGAGGATGTCAGTTAGCCTCTTTCATCAGCCACCCCAGTGCTTGCTCAATGGGCCCATGGACATAGTGGCCATGGTGGCAGCAATGAAGGCTGTGTATGAAATCTACAACATGGCATCCCTTTGTTGTCTGATATGTATGAAGTCTACAACATGGCATCCCTTTGTTGTCTGATTTGGCTGTTGTTACTGCTGAGTGTCTAATCTGCCAAAACAGATACTAACATTGAGCCCCTAAGATGGCACCATTGCTTGTGGGACCTGCCAGCCACCTGTAGGTAGCTGAATACATTGACCTTTCACATTATGAAGCAGGCAGACTTGTCCTCACTGGGACGAACAGGTATTCTGCATATGAATTTGCCTTCCCTGCCTGCACCACCACCTGTGAACTCACAGAATGCCCTGCCCGCAATCTTGATGGTGCTCCATATCGTGTTGCTACTCATCAAGGAATTTATATCAAAGAAAGAAAGTGACTTGGTCACAGTTTAGTTTAATGGTGACACCTTTTTCTTTGTACTCATCAAGGAATTTATATCACAGAAAGAAAGTGACTTGGTCATAGTTTAGTTTAATGGTGACCTTTTTTTCTTTCTAAATGGTTTATAAAATAATAGTCTGAAAATAATCACATATATTCTATGAACATGATGATAAATTCTCTTTACACATTTAAATGACATGTTACATTAATTAAAAATTGCCTTCCTATAATCTCTGTTAAATTGACTTTTTTCTGAGATCTACCTATATGATTCAGAGTAAATGTGGAAACTAAGGCTCAAAGAGGTTAAGTAATCAGCCCTAATGTCACCCAGCTGGATAGTGGCGGAGACAGGCCTAGAACCGATTTCCTTGTCATACAATAGTGAAATGGATTACCACCTCAAATTGCCTGGGCAAACAAACATAAGGAAAGACATCAGATTTCAGAGTTAGAAAGAACATCTTTTTGTCACTTACTTGCTTTATCTCCTTAAAGAATTCATTTAACCACTCTGGAGTTAGTCTCAATTTCCTTATATTCAGTATTAAGCGAATAGTGCCTACATTCACTATAAAGGAAATGTGCCTGGCATATAGATGGGTATGCAGTAAGTAGTTACTGGCGAGTAAAGAATGAAAAATTTTTAAACCTTCAATTTTTGGTACTATTATTGACTATAACAGAGAGTACTTCCTAAGGAATCAATGAATTCCTGACATTAGGTGCCGTCCAACTTGCTGTCCAGCACTAGAAAATGTTTCATGTGAATCATGAGCTTTATATTTTTTAAGCGTATTGTTCGGTTCAGGAAAGAGAGGAAACAACATTAGTTTCATATTTTTACATCTGTGAGCATTTTTTATGTAGGAAAGAATTTTTTCTATAATTGATGCTGGACTGTGCTTTGCTACTAAAAGAATAATTTAACCTCTACTTGGGAAACTAAATTCAGGTCTTCTCTGTTAGTTCTTTCTTTGGACGTAGACATACATATTTCAAATAGGTGGTGATATTAAAAGTAAAGTATCATTTTGCTAGATATTCACTTCATTAAAACTATACACTGACAGCCTGGATGGTCTAGGCTGGTAGTCATTTTATATTGATCAAGAAGCTTTTGTCTCCCGCGATTTCCCTTGGTACTACATATTCTGTGGCTTTTAACAGCTATAGATTGAAACAAAAATACCAAACTCTCAATACACAAGCTCTGGTCATAAAAACCATAGAAACAAAAGAACTATTATTTAGTAGTAGTATTCAATATATCAAGTGGGAAAAAAAGCTCTGTAATATGATATGAGCCCATTTTTGAAGCTCTAATCTTTAAAGCAGGTAACATATCCTTAACTTCTGTGCTGCAGGTTAAATATTTTTATAATTATTGATACAAATGTAAGCACATTTGAGTTTAACTACTTTTCTACTCCTTATCTAAATGCGTGATGTAACCTTCAAATGTGTCTTTTTTTTAACCATTTTTTGGGAGGTATAAAACAAATTAATTAAGTACAAATATATATAATTAAGGTAAAACCCATATAGAATAAATTACTTAAAAATTATTTTAATGTATTTTAGTGAATTAGTAAATACAAAAATGATAAAATAAAATTATATTACATCAAAATTATGTAGTAATATTAATTTTGTTCATGTTTATTTAATGTCATATTTTATATAAAAATGAGATAATCATTCTCAGGAGTTGGCTTCGCTGCTAACCAAAAACCATTTAATGTTTGGTTCTGTATAATAAATAGTGTGCCTCTAAGATTTTATCAACAGAAAAAGCTTTAGACTTGAAGGTGGATATTTATTTCCAGTTCTGGGGTAATAAGGACACTTGGGCAAATTATAATCTGCTTCAACCTAGTTTTCCTTTTTTTAAAAAGATGAAAGAATGAGTTTTGAGGACCCGTTTAACTCTAAAAACCAAGATACTTGATAAAAATGGATTTGATAGCTGTTCAGATCAATGTAGGAAAACTTATTCCTAGCAGCCTATCTCTGTATCCCTCGTTACCTTGTAAATTTTACGAGTGCAAGATGGCGACCCATTTATCTTAGTACGCCAGTGACAAATATGATGTCTAGTATGTATCCAGTGCTCCATAATTGCAGAATAAATAATTAATGCCATTGCATCAAAGTTAAAACCAGAAAATAGTGTTCTGTTGTGACTTGCTAAAATAAAAATCTAGAAAAAATGCACACACACACACACACACACACACTTGAACCTTGTTAGAAGACTTACAGGATAACGTGAGAAGTTTCAGATGGCAATTGTTAAGTTAAATCTTAAACACTGTGACATTATAAGTGGTGCAAACATTCAATTAAAGCTATAAAACCCAAACGTAAAAGATTGTGTGTAATTTATTTGAAGAAGCAGTGTCTTCTAGCTTGATGCAGATTCTTCTTAAATTACTAAAGAGCTTAGACCTTTAAAACTACTTGGCAAGATAGTTTTATTGCTTGCTAATCAGGCTGCACGTTTTTACAACACATTTGTATGTAAAATTGAAAAACTCAACAGCTTTTCAGATATTTGAAAAACAAAGCTCAGCTTTAGCCCTTTTCATTGATTCTCTTCTTATCCTTTCTATTTCAAGATAGTTTGTTTGCATTTAGGGTATGTGGTAACACTGGAAATAACACTAGTCTAATTTTTTCTTACAGAAAAGCTTTCATTTGGGCCTTTTATTATGAGTTTAGTCACTTTTCTTATTGCTTCACTGCTAGGGAATACATGTAATGTCTCCCTGTTCTGTGGAAAGTCAACACATCAAAATATTTGAAAGGATCAATTCAGAATTTAGTACTGCTGTCTTTTCAGGTCCCAATTCCTGTTATTAGATAGGCTGTGGTAAAGTTTTGCTGGGTACAGGGATATCAAGTGGTCCTGTCCCGGGGCCTGTGTTTGCAGTGGCAGACTGAGGGAGCCTGCCCTTGGGCCCCAGGGCAGCACACTCTGGCCCCGGCATTAGCTGGTTCAGGTGGGCTGGTTCTTGGGCCTCCTGGTGTCCTGCTCCTGTGCCAGCAGTGGCAGCAGTGGGCAGGTTCTCAAGGCCTTGGACAGTGGGTGTGGTGTGGGTGATGGCAGTAGCAGAGGCTGAACAAACCTCAGCTCCCACGCTGTCCACACTGGTGCTGGTGTTGGCTGTGATGGGCTGAGAGCCAGTTCCCAGATCACGGGCAGTGGGTGCCAGCTGTGGTGGCAGTAGCAGGTTGGGTGGGCCTGACCTCAGGCCCCTGACAGGAGTGCACAGGTGACACCAGTGGTGGACTCAACTGAGCACTGAGTGGCCCCTAGGTTCCCAGATGGGACAGCATGCTCTGGCACTGGAGGGGCTGAGCTGGCCAGGAAGACCTGACCTTAGGGCCCTCAGTGGTGCATGCAGGGGCTCTGATAGGCAGGGGCAGGGTGATCCCTAGGACCAAGGTGAAATGCAGGGGTGGGGGCAGCAGCAGCTGTGCTGCAGCCCTGCTACTCAGCGGGGTGGGGTTGTTTTCAGTGGCAGCAGCCCTAAGCAGGCAGCTGGGGAACTCACACTTTGGCCCTGGCTCTTGTAGCGGCTCCTGTGGGCAGGGGAATTTGTCCTCAGGACATGTGAAAATGCATGGCATCTTCACTGCTGGGGGCAGTGGAGTCAGTAGGGTCTTTGGAATGGCTCACGCTTCAGCCCTGGCTGCAATAGCACCAGCCAGTCACAGCAGGGGCTGCGGGCAGGGAATGTGGATGTGTGGAGGATGTGTGGGGGCAGGGCTGTTGAGCCCCCAGGCATGATGCCCTTTGGTGGGAACTGGACTCTCTGTATGCACTGTGCTATTAGGGATGGGGTTGTATCCAGCATGCCGTCCTGCGACCTCCAGGCTGTGCCCTATCTTAGTCTCTGGATGGAGGGGCTTCCCTGTGGCTAGGATTGCAGGAGCCTGTGGTGAGAACGTGGACTGCTGGGATCTCACACTTACTCTGTCCTACATTGAGGAGCCCCTCCAGGCTCCCAGTTGATCCAGCCCAGCAGGCTGCCTCAATTCCTTCTTCCTTGCTTTAAGTGTTTCTTGTCACTTCTCTGTTGAATTCCAGTGTTCTCTCAGATGATCTATTCAAAGTGGATAACTACTCACTATGTTGGTTCTTCTGTGTGGAGGTGGCAGTACCAGATGCCTCTAGTCAGCCATCTTGAAGCCCTTCCTCCTTTTGTACAGTTTTGGCTTTTAAAGTATTTGTCCTACATATTAGAAATGTAAGATTAATCAGTAAGCATGGGAAGGAGGAACAATCAAAAACTGAAAGCAATGTGAAACAAATGAACCTACTATACCGCAAATAAATACCACAATCACACTAAAAAGAAATAAAGAGAGGAAAAAAAGAGAAGAGTGGTTGCAAATAAGCTTGCGTGGCTCCTTGGAAGGTGGCAGAGTTTGCTATAGTGGTTCCTCCTGGCCCTGTCAATACTGGTGTCAGGCCCAGCCAGGATGGTGCCTGAAAGCCCGCTGGAGTAGGAACAGAAGGGGACAGGGTAAAGAGTGGTCACCTTCGTGACCCAGAGTCTACTACAGCACTGGGGAGCCAGTTTTAGGAGAGGCACCAGCTTTGACTCTTGGAGCTAGCTGGTGGAAGTGATAGATGAGTATCTGATATTAGCAAGACTTCTACAAAAAGAGGCCCAAGCTCAACGCGAGAATTCACAGAATAACAAAAGAAACCCACAGGCAATGTTGCAACACGCTTGGAATTGTGAAGTGCAGCTTTACATTCCACACAGTTTCAAGAAGAACTGAAATCGGAGGACCTGAAGAAACTGTAACTAATCCTAAAGAATATTTTTACATATAATAAAGAATTTCCATTTGACGTTCAGCCTGTCCCCTTAAAAAGAACTTTAGTACCTGATGAAAAACAGTATTTGGAATTTGAAGAAGATGAAGAACAGGGTGGTGCTGGAGCAGGGTCTCCCGATTCTTTTCCCGCTAGAGTTCCTGGTACGCTACTACTTGTATTAGTCTGTTTTCACACTGCTGATAAAGACATACCTGAGACTGGGCAATTTACAAAAGAAAGAGGCTTAATTGGACTTACAGTTCCACGTGGCTGAGGAAGCCTCACAATCATGGCGGAAGGCAAGAAGGAGTAAGTCCCATCTTACAAAGATGGCAGCAGCCGAAGAGAAAATGAGGAAGATGCAAAAGCAGAAACCCCTGATAAAATCATCAAATCTCGTGAGAGTTATACACTATCACGAGAACAGTATGGGGGAAACCACCTCCATGATTCAATTATCTCCCACCGGGTCCCTCCCACAACATGTGGGAATTATGGGAGTACAATTCAAGATGAGATTTGAGTGGGGACACAGAGCCAAACCATATCATGACTTTATTACCAAAGTTGCTATCAGAACCAAGAGCGGTGTTACTCACTACTAGAACTGAGAACATTGGTCTGAAATATGCTAAGCAGCACATATCACTACTTTATTACCAAAGTTGTTGTCAGAATCAGGAGTGGTGTTACTCACTACTAGAATTGAGAAAATTCGCCTGAAATATGCTATATTACAGTTAGTATCAAGGAGCTGAATGACATAGATTTAAGTACTGTGCAAGATACTCCTGTGGCTTTAAGAAAAGAAGATACATATGTTCATTTTAATGTGAACATTGAGCTACAGAAGTATATTAAAAAATTAACCAAAGGTGAGGCTCTCTTCCTTAAATTCAAAGACTACAAGCCTACAAAAATGTTTATCAGCACTTCATGGAGATGGATGAAATTAAACCTTGGCCGCTTGTAATAGAACTGTACAAAAAACCTACTGACTTTAAAAAATGAAATTGCAATTACAGACCAAGAAACCATTTGATCTTCATTTATTAATACATCAAACTTTGCACAAGGAATGATCCTGACATGAATAACTTGAAACTTTTGTGAATTTTACTACTCATTAGAAACCATCATAGCTCTGTGTATCACATTCATCCTCAGCAGGTAGGAAGCATGCTGTACCCATGCCAGTAGGCCAGAGTTTCCATAAATCTTCTGAAATCTAGGTGAAGGTCCCCAAACCTCAATTCTTGACTTCTGTGCACCCTCAAGTTCAACACCACGTGGAAGCTGTCAAGGGTTGGGGCGTGAACCCTTTGAAACCATGGGCCGAGCTGTACCTTGGCCCCTTTTAACAATGGCTAGAGCAGCTGGGATGCAGGGCACCAGGTCCCTAGGCTGCACACAGCATGGGGACCCTGGACCCAGACCATGAAACCATTTTTTCTTCCTAGGCTTCTGGGTCTGTGATGGGAGGGGTGGCTGTGAAGACCTATGACACGCCCTGGAGACATTTTCCCCATTGTCTTTGGCATTAACATTCGGCTCTTTGTTACTTATGTGAATTTCTGCAGCCAGCTAGAATTTCTTCTTAAAAAATGGGTTTTTCTTTTCTACTGCATTGTTCAGGCTGCGAATTTTCTGAACTTTTAAGCTCTGTTTCTCTTTTAAAATGGAATGCTTTTAATGGCACCCAAGTCACCTTTTGAATGGTTTGTTGCTTAGAAATTTCTTCCACCAGATACCCTACATTATCTCTCTCAAGTTCAAAGTTCCACAAATCTCTAGGGCAGGGCAAAATGCCACCAGTCTCTTCGCTAAAACGTAACAAGAGTCACCTTTTCTCCAGTTCCCAACAAGTTCCTCATCTCCATCTGAGACCACCTCAGCCTGGACCTTATTGTTTATATCACTATCAGCATTTTTATCAAAGTCATTCAACAAGTCTCTAGGAGGTTCCAAACTTTTCTACATTTTCCTGTCTTCTTCTGAGCCCTCTGAACTCTTCCAACCTCTGCCTGATACCCAGTTCCAAAGTCGCTTCCACATTTTCAGGTATCTTTTCAGCAATGCCCCACTCTACGGGTACCAATTTACTGTATTAGTCCGTTTTCATGCTGCTGATAAAGACATAGACAAGACTGGGAAGAAAAAGAGGTTTAATTGGACTTACCAGTTTCACATGGCTGGGGAGGCCTCAGGATCATGGCGCTACTTACATGGCAGTAGCAAGATAAGATGAGAAAGACGCAAAAGTGGAAACCCCGATAAAGCCATCAGATCTTGTGAGACTTATTCCCTACCATAACAATGATATGGGGGAAGCAGCCATCATGATTCAAATTATCTCCCACCAGGCCCCTCCCACAACATGTGGGAATTATGGGAGTACAATTCAAGATGAGATTTGGGTGGGGAGACAGCCAAACAATAACACCTGTGAACCGCATAAAGCTGCATCTGTTGCCCAGAGTGCCTTTTAATGGGAGAGTCCATTTACACGTTTACAATTGATTACAAATTTACAAATTTAGATTGTGATCTATTCGCTTTCAATTCTGCCCTATATTTTTAACTTTATTTTTTGGTCTGGATTTATAGTTTTGTCTTTCCTCCTTTTCCTTTTTTCTTTCCTTTTACTTGAAATCCATTTCCATCCACATTCCATTCTGTTTTATTCTTTAAGTTGTTACTCTACAAGTTTTAGTTTGAATATTTAGCTTAGATTCTAGCCTTAGTAACTAGGTTTGTTCACTTCTCAAATAGTACAAAGGACCCAGTACAAAGACATGCTTTGCCAGTTGGCGTCCAAGGACATCTGTGGTTTATTTACTGAGAAAACCAGAATTGCCAAACTGTTTTGAGGAATCCCCAGTTCAGATCAACTGCCGCATTATGATATCAGGGGATTCAGGAGACACCAATCAAACTGATGTCTGAAGTCATTAATAAAGAGTTGTTTCATTATTTCCAACTAAATATGAAAGAAGACTGCAATCAAAGATTTTGAAAACGTTGTGAGGCCCAGTCAGAATGTGAGAACAGAAGGAGTTTGGGGGTGATGAGCAGGAGAGGCCAGGAGGCACAACTAGGTGAGAGAAACAGAATCAGAAAGAGGGGACCGACACAACAAAAGCAGACTTTACTGATAGCACACTTTGCCTAAGCAGTTTTCACAGAGATTTTGGAATCAAAAGCTTGAGGAAAAATGGGCTGGGCATGGTAGCTCATGCCTGTAATCCCAGCACTTTGGGAGGCCGAGGTGGGCAGATCACATGAGGTCAGGAGTTTGAGACCAGCCTGGCCAACATGGTGAAACCCCATCTCTACTAAAAATACAAAATTAGCCGGACGTGATAGTGGGCTCCTATAATCGCAGCTACTCAGAGCAAGAATTGAGTCTTAAAAAGAAAAAAGCTTGAGGAAAAATGAAATTGTAAGAAGTGGTTAATGTTTTCATAAATTAACCCTAACCCAGAAATGTTAACAAATTACTTTTTGTTGCTTTTGTAAAATCCAAGTGACCTGTAACTGTCACTGGTGACAGGCAGATTTGGTCAGCAATCTCCTTGGGGTCAGCTCATAGATTTCTTTTTTTGTTTAGAAGTTCTCGAAATGGGTGCAGAGGAAATGTCAGACCACAGGTACAATTAGAAAATAAAAGCAACTTCTGTTAATAACAAAAGATAAGTTTTAAAATGTTACCACCACACTTGCTAGACCTTTTAAAGTAAACTATTTGAACCTATGTTAGTTTTCAAGGTAGAAGCTACTTAGGGATGATTTTTTATAGCAATGAGTGGGAGATTTTTTTTAATGAATGTCGCTGTGACTTACAGTTGTATTCATTTTTACCTTAGAAAAATATTGAAAGAACGAAATTATGTATGACTAGGGACATTTACATTTCCGGTAGAGGTTTCTATAAAGCAGATTCCATAATGTGTAAAGGAACAGGATTTGTTATAATATATTTAAGCAAAGATCAATTTTCGCTGCTTCCATCTTGACTAAATAAAGACAGTTGGATTTTCTACCTCAGAGAGGCATTAGAAAGTCTAATTTGCAGATTTGTGATAATGACCTGGGAAATGAAATGATAACTATCGGGCCACTGGCAGTTTTTTTAGATCTACCATTTTACTTCTGACATCCTACTTACTAGAAATGAAGAGATTTTCTTTTAAAAGTTCCTATGCAAGGGCCGGGCATGGTGGCTTACACCTGTAACCCCAGCATTTTGAGAGGCCGAGGTGGGTGAAGCACCTGAGGTCAGGAGTTCGAGACCAGCCTGACCAATATGTTGAAATCCCGCCTCTACTAAAAATAAAAAAATTAGCCAGCCATGGTGGCATGTACCTGTAATCTCAGCTACTCGCAAGGCTGAGACAAGAGAATTGCTTGAACCCGGGAGGCAGAGGTTGCGGTGAGCCAAGATTGCGCCATTGTACTCCAGCTTGGGCAACAAGAGTAAAACTCTGTCTCAAAAAAAAAAAAAAAAAGTTCCTATGCAAGAACTTCGCTATTTCATTAAATTAATCAGGTAAATGTAATGGAATAAATGCTTGCAAACAAACTTGACATAATTTAGGATCTAAGGTTATTAATTGATCTTAAGTATCTGGGCAATTTCCAATTTAAGAATTATAAAAAACATTTTAAAAAAAGTTCTTATTAAAGGTAAAGTATCTTTGTCTAATTCAAAGCTTATTTAAGGGTTATATGTGAAATAAGGTAAAGAAATCAGGAAATAAGAGATGTAAAGAAAGTTAAAGATGTAAAGTAGTATTTCTGGTAAAAAAGAAAAATAATTTTATATACGAAAGAATCTTGTGTGGTAAATTTTTGTCCTAAGATAGAAATAATGAGGTTGTTCAAGAAAGAGGGATATTTAAGACAAAACAGTCTAAACGTGCTGTGAATGAACTATGTCAGCTGTAATAAGGTTAGTAAGAAGGACTTCTTAAAGGATGTAATGTAAAGGAATTGTTCCATTTTGTAGATTGGTATCATTCGGCTTCTTTAAAATAACCACTTTAAGGACAAAATTCTTAACCTTAAATGCTACAGAATGTAAGAGCTTGTTTGAATTAATGCAGGATGCACAGCTCATTACTGAACAATCTCTGAGTATATGCTATCCAAATGCACAGGGGGTTATTCCTGAGAAAGCAATTGGCCTAGTGAGGCAGGTAATGCCATTATAAGATCTGTTTTCCCTGAGAAGGGGACTGCCCAACTCTCCCTATAAAATACCAAGTGAAGTATCCAAGATGAAGCAGCTAATATGTTTCATACGTAAGCCATGTTGGACTAGCCTTATGATAACCGGGATATCCTCCCACCAAATAATGTCTATTACCTGGGTCATGGTAAATTTGGGGGTTAAGGGAGCCCCTTTTACATGGCTGCCCCTCCCACAGAATCATAGGTCTGTTTAAGAAGCCTTATCAAATCTGTTGTCCCTCATAGGTCTTACAGATGCAATTCCCTGCTGGGGACCCAAACCCTTTTCACCAGAAATGGTAAAATGGCCTGGGGGTTAAAAAAAATGCTTCCTGGGACCAGAATATAAAAACACACAGGTTAATAGAATTGTAAAATGTAAGATGTTTAAACAAGCTTTATGTAAGGTAGTTGTAACCCCTTTTACCTAAATGTCTTTTGAAAATGGGCACTATATCTAACTGTGGGATGTTTTCCCCTTTCTAGTACTATAAAACTGAAGACATGTCAATCTGCTCATGTAAATCTTCCACTCAGTAACCTTTTGTGTGCAGCATTTATTGAGGCTGATGGCAAAAATTGTGAGTACTTTTCAGTAACAACGACTGAGCTAGAGAAGTTCTACTTGATGGGGCATCTACTGCCTTGCTTTAACTGACGCTACTCCTATACTAATAGAATTAATGTTTTCCAAAAAGTTCCGTGCCAAAATAAAAATGGTTTACATAGAATCTTGCTACCTAATAAGCAGAGAGCCTTTCTCCTAGGACTAATTGTAAGAAGCTGCTAAATTCTATAGTGCCTAATAGCTCTCAATGAGCTGCTTGTTTGTAAATAAAATTTCCAAGATAAACAAACATCTGGTCTTAAAAGCTGCTGCTCTGTTTAAAGGAGGGTCAGGAAAATCTTTTTCTTTGAAGTTATTTGGGTAAAGTATGTTTTTGTAAGCAAATGTACCTTTCTGCGTTCTCCAAAATTCAGATTGTAATTTTAGAACAGTATAGTTGTCTGCACAAGTTCAATGATAGTTAAAAACGTGACACCTAATACTAGATTTCGGCCGTAACCTTTTAAGTACAGATTAAATCATTATTTCTTGGCTACAATAATCCTCTAGAAGGTACCAGATTATAATTTTTTCTTCATGTTTTTAGTTAGTGCCCTAATGGAATAGGTTCCTTTTTCTGTTCTAACACATGAATTACTCTTATAACTGTCAAACTATAAATGTTATTTATCTCTCCTTGTTTTGCTTCCAAGGAAACCAACATCATGGTATTCTGAAGACCAGAGATATGAATCTCCCTCATTTGACATCCTACTGGGCCTGAATCTGTTTCACTGCTAAAGCTCTGCTGCCAAACCTATACAAGCTGCCTCCCTCTAGGCCCAGGGGCTATCATGGAAGAGGTGGGCACAAAAGATTTTAAGGGCTGGTTTCAAGGGATAAAATCAGGTCAACATTAAACCCTCTGAATCAAGAAAGGGATACAATAAATGCTCAAACAGCTGGCAAAACAAGATTAGTTGCCTTCTAAACTATTATGTGTCACTTTTGCATCCACCCCAACCATAAAAATTTTCTGCTTGGTATAGAATTAAAGGAAAATATTTACTAACAGGATAAAATACCTTGTAACAAAGCCTCCTGGGTATAATACTCCCAATTTTAAGTTGTGAAGATAAATCTATCTATCTACCTATCTTTCTATCTATCTATCTATCTATCTATCTATCTATCTATCTATCTATCATCTATCTCTATCATGTATGTATTTTAAATTACTTTTTAGAACAATGCTTATGTTTTAATTGCTAATTAACAGCTAATTGCTGTAAGCCTGTAACAGAAACCAAGCTTACAGTAGCTCAACACATAAGTTAAAAATGAGTCAGTCTTGTAACTTTTGTCTTTTGGTTTTGTTGTCTTCTTTTACTTAAAATAATAATTTTAAGAAGTTATGAATGCCTGTCTATATCCATTCCTATATGACCTAGACCAATTAATGGGCTATAAGTCTTTGACTCTAAAGGCCCTCAGCCATAGGGAGTCCTGCCAAGGAAAAATAACACTGCAGAATTATATAACTTCTCCTGTGACAAAACCTTTTCTCTCCCAAATACCAATATATGGTGCAATACAAAAGTGGTGGGAAGAATAGATTTGTCTACTGTTAACACATCTATAACAATTTAGACACTGACGACCAGGCGTTTCTTGCGTTTAAATTTTACCCTCCTCAGGATGCTATACCTATGGAGAGAAATTGGCCAGAAGAGAAATTAAGTTTAATAAATTCTAATTTAATGTTGGCCCTACAATTTTTAAGTAAGATTTATCATGAGATTCAAATAACCCTTAATAAGGAGGATAAACACATGGTGAGTCGGATCAAAGAATATGATGATGCATGCAGGGTTTCTCCTGGCTGATAGGGCTGTTTAACTGCCCTCTGACTCTACCTATAACCTTCTTGGACACCTAATCTTTGCTATCTCTTTGGTAGTTGTCACTGTATTAGCATTATATATCTCTTGTAAATGTTATGCCAGATACAGCAAAGGGAAGAAGGCACAATTAAAGACCCAGATTATGATAGCTTGCAAAACAGATATGATCTAAGATTCTTTTTAGACTAAACTCTAGGCCTGACTCTATCTCACCCCTTAAACAATTGGCTATTACATCAGGTCAAACTATGTCCTCCCCCATTATCCAAATCGCTAATATTTAAAACTATATTACCATGAAATCAGAGGACTCTAGGAACAAACCTTCCTAGCACCGTGGGCCCCTGCCAGATGGCCAAATCAGACAACGCTAGGAATGAGCCTTCCTAGCGCCATGGGACATGCTGCTGTTTGTTGGCCTGAACATGCATTCTATGGAATGCTTTTTGGCCAAGAGCGGGGACTGAGGACTAAGCTCTGATTTTTTTATCTTGCCAAATTTCCTACCTAGGGGGTTTAGGGAGTCATGCCCTACAAGCCATAAATTCTCATCAGATGGGTTTTATTTAACCCTGTATACCATGACTACTTTCCAATCTGACTCTGGCATAACAAGGAAGAAAATCAAAATATTTTACCCCAAAAGATGTTTCCTTGCCATACCTTGAAATTGCCCTGCGAAGTCTCTTGTGGAAAAATCCACATCCTATAGAGAATCCCATTTCCCCTTTATTTTCCTTCATTTTTTTCCAGATTCAGGGGATAATCAACTAAGAGCCAGATACCCTTTTAGGTCTAATAAAACCCATTTTACAACCTGATCTCTCTCTGAAGTCTGCTATCTGAGAGCTTCCTCTGCACAATAAAACTTGATCTCCATAATTCTTTATCTTGACCTGAACATTCCTTTCTATTGATCCCAGGTCTTGAGATAAACTCAACCAACTGTCAACTGGAAAATGTTCAAATTTACCTATAGCCTGGAAGCCCCCACTTTTTGTCCTGCCTTTCTGAACCAAATCAATGTATTTCTTAAATGTATTTGATTGATGTCTCGTGCCTCCCTAAAATATATAAAAACAAGCTGTAGCCCGACCACCTTGGGCACATGTTCTTAGGACCTCCTGAGGGCTGTGTCAGGCCATTGTCACTCATATTTGGCTCAGAATAAATCTCTAAAAATATTTTACAGAGTTTGACTCTTTTCATCAACAGACATAACGTATAGTATGAAGACCACAGTTAATAACAATACTGTGTTGTATATGAAACATTTGCTAAGAGAATAAAGTTTAAGTGCTTTTACCAAATACACAAAAATGTTAACTATGTGAGGTGATGCAAATGTTAATTTATTTGACTATAATAATCCTTTCACTGCGTGGGAGAAATATAGATAGTGGTTACTGTATACTCACAAATACATTTTGAATTCTCTTCTTTAGATTGGAGTTGAGGAGTGTATGGATACTCCTACTCCTAGATTCTCCCGCATATGTCTTTTTTTTTTTTGAGATGGAATCTCACTCTGTTGCCCAGTCTGGAGAGCTGTGGCATGAACTTGGCTTACTGCAACCTCTGCCTCCTGGGGTCAAGCAATCCTCCCACCTCAACTTCCCGAGTAGCTGGGATTACAGGCATATGCCACCATGCCTTGTTAATTTTTATTTTTAGTAAAGATGGGGTTTCACCATGTTGGCCAGGCTGGTCTGGAACTTCTGATCTCAAGTTGTCCACCCGCCTCAGCCTCCCAGATTGCTGAGATTACAGTTGTGAGCCACCACACCCAGCTGATGCTCTCATATATATCTTACTATGAGTTTAAAAGAGGCAATACCCATGAAAGGAGGAACTCTCCAAGAAGCAGAGTCTGATTGGGTCTTGAAACGTGAACAGAATTCAGAAAGGTAGTGTTAATGTAAAAAACAAATTATGTAAAACAATTTGAAGCGGTTTATTCTGAGCCAAGACGAGTGACTGTGGCCCAGAGAAAAACACAAACCCAAGAAGCTTGGAGTAAGTGGTCCTGAAGCAGTCAGTTTTCAGTTTAGTTGTAAACATTTTAGGAAGACAGGAGTTACAGGCAAATATATAAATCAATACATAGCAGGTATACATTGGTTCAGCCTGAAAAAGTGGGAAATCTCAAAGCAGTGCCTTGCAAATCATAGGTGGATTTTAGGGATTATTGAACTGACAATTGGTTGAGAGAATTAAGGTATTGTCTAAAGACTTGAAGTCAAGAGAAGGTAATGCTTAAGTTGAGAAAAAGGGGTTGTGGGGGCCAAGTCCCTTGTTATGTAGATGAAACCTCATAGGTAGTAGGCTTAAGAGAGACTAGATGGTAAATGTCTCTTTACAGAATTTTGAAGGTGTCAGACTCTCAGTTAACCTCTGTTAGACTGAGAAAGGCCTAGAACGAGAAGGTCTGACTGCATTAATGGAGATTCTCAGAGACAGATGTGAATTTTCCCCTCAAGAGATGGCTTTGCAGGGCCATTTCAGTCTGCTGGTCCTGTGGCAACCATTTCAAAATATGACAAAGAAATATATTTTGGGGTAAAATATCTTGATTTATCTTAAGGTCTGCTATCTATCATATGATGCTATACCAGAATCAGGTTGGAAAGTAAGTCACATCGTACTGGTTTAATAAAAAAAAAAAAAAATGTTTAATGAGACTTCATGGTTTGTATGGTGTGACCTAACCCTTGCCTTACATAGCCCTAGCTCTTTTTTATAATTTGGTATCTTATCACCACAGTCTGTTTTGTCAGTCTTATGATCTCTAGTTTAACCTTAATACTGGTGGGTTGTGCCTAAATTCCAAAAGAAAGGTGATATAACAAGGTGCATCTGACCTCCTTTCTCATGATCTCCAGGAATTCAATTATTCAGGTTTCTCTAGGGTCCCCTTGGCCAAAAGTGGGTCTGTTCAGCCATTTGGGGGGCTTAAGATTTTATTTTTGATTTACAGTAGAACACAGGGAGTAGAGGCCTGCAGTACAGTGCAAAGTGTAATAAATGAATGAAGACATTGAATTCACCACTCTCTTATGACCAGAGAATGCCCATTATTTTCTCAGAATAAGGTTTTGTTTATTAACAATGGTCTCTTTAATTGAATATTTTAAGAACCTGTACAGACCTTCAGATAAGAGCTCCTGTAACATATACCTTATTTTAATTAAAATAGCTATCATTTTAGTTCAGCCCTATTAGTGCCAAGTACTAAGTGCATTTAATGCTTGTTATTGACTTTAAACCCAGGCCCTAGCGGCTATTGCTATTTCCTTTTTTATTAAAAAGGCCACTCAATTTCAGCTCAGTTTCATAACAGTGACTCTACTGATAAGCAGTACTGCCCTCAGGCAAGTGGAACCTCTACCTGGGGCCGGTGACGGTGCTGCCCCTCAGAAACCCAGTGATTTAGAGTGCCTTCCTGGAAACTCTCTTGAATTCCTACCTGGTGCCTGAGACTTGCTGAGGCAGCAATGCCGTTTAGGAGGGGTTACCTGTGCCTGGCCCAGGACTGGGGCAGGTGGTGGGTGCAGAGGCTAGTACTAGTCTCACCCCTTGTTGAGTCTCTTAGGTTCTATCTCAGGCATAAGATTGACCTGTTATCCTGAGGAGCTCTAAGCTTTCCTGCTATGGAGTAATTGGCCACCCTAAATTCTAGGAGGGCTTCCAGGCAAATACATCTCTCCCACTGGTCTGGGCAGTATTTATTTCCTGGAATTGCGTGATTGAATTGAATTGGGCTACCGGCATGATCTTGGCTTGTTTTGGACAACTCAAATTAGTCATATAGATACAGATCCCAAAACAGATATTTTGCTGAGGGCCTTACACACCCTAGGGGCAACTCAGTCCATAAGCCCCTTGATAAACTGCTTCCTTTAGGTCAATTGTATTGTCTTGAACATGAGGTGCATGAGAAATAGAAAAAGAAGGAAAGAGTGCATGGCAAATAAAAAAAGAAGAAAAAAGTCCTTGTAACTAAAATGTGCAATAGAAAATTCCTTTTGTTCTTAACAATTTAGCAATAACTTAATTTCTTGTTTTGGTTTTTTGAAGTAGCACAATGATGACTCACATGCATGGTGTCATCAGTCAAAAACTTGTCCTCTTAAATAAATATAAATGTTAATAACAAAGTCATTTCAATTTATCCAGAAAGATCCTCTTAGAAAGTATCAATCACACTCATTCTTTATGAAAAATATATTCTTTGAGTTTATATATTCTTTACATATAACTTTGCTCATACAATTCTCTCTCATAGAGGCTCCCAAATGGATGAATGTAAAGGAGGGAGGAGATTATTAGAATGCACTGTGCATTTTTCCTGTGATAAATACATATGTGTATATAAATATATATATATTTATATATATATATATATATATATATATATATATATATATATATATATATATATATACTGTTTCCTCATTCATGCCTTTATCATCCCTCATGGAGACATTCAGATGTCAAGGTCTCCATTTTTCCTGTGTTTTCATCCCTTATTATCTAATTCTACCTAAGGCAGTCATCGTCTCACACATAAACATAGTCGTTGCCTCACCTCTTCAATTCCATTCCCCTAAACTTCACTCAAGAGAATAAGCACAGAGTTTCTTACTGACTTCTTCTTTCCAGAATCTGCAGGGCCTGCTATGGGATGTCCCCAGGAGATGATCCCCACGAGGCCAGTATTGTCCAATAGAATGCTGCATAGATGCTCCCGGCTTCAAGCAATTCTCTTGCTTCAACCTCCCAAGTAGCTGGGACTACAGGCACCCGCCACCATGCCCAGCTAATTTTTGTATTTTTAGTAGAGATGAGGTTTTACCATGTTGGCCAGGCTGGTCTCGAACTCCTCACCTCAGGTGATCTGCCCTCCTTGGCCTCCCAAAGTGCTGAGATTACAGGCATGAACCACTGCACCTGGCCTATAAGTTTAAATTAAATTTAAATAGCCATATGAGGCCCAATGGTTACCTTATTGGACAGTGCAGCTTAGGCCAAGGTCTAGAGTCCTTGGGGTAGATGGAGCTTGTCATCAGGGCTCTGTACTTTGGTCCTCCATCTTCTAAGTCTTCTAATTCTCTCTTATAATTTACTGTAGCCCAGTATAGTCTCATTCTTCACATTGATGATTCCAGGGAAGTGATAGTTAGGGTATCTTCCAGGTCACTGGCTTTCCTTTTGTTCTCTGAATCTCATTCTCCATCCACGCAATTGCAAAACTGATTCTGGAAACTTATATTTGTTTATGTACATCTATATCTTTTCTAAACCACTTTAATGAGGTTAGCATTAAGAAAAACTTTCAGACACTCTGATCTTTAGTCTTAAAATTTTGCCTTTTTTTTTTCTGTTGTGAAATGTTTAGTTGTCCCCTCTGTTGGAATTCTCATGACTTTCTTTTGTGCTTTCTGAGGCAGTAGCCGGGATATAACTGTGAATAGTATCAGCAGTGTATAGGTGACAAGGCAGTCACAGATGTGGATGTGTGGTCTTATTACAGTGTATGACCCTTCTCTCCTGTTCCCAATTTATAACCTATCCACAGCTCAAAGTGAGACCATTCCTAAAGGGTAAAACTACTATGGGACACTAATAAGTCCAAATATGTGTCTTTTAATTGCTAGGGGAACCAGTCAGATCAGGTAAAAGGATACATATAATTAATATGCAAATAGAGGGGAGAATGAAATAATATAAAATACACAATTAATATAACAGAAAATATTTTCTGGTAAGAAAATAGACAAAATAGAACAGGCAGCACAAATACAAAACAAATAATAAGATGCTAAATTTAAAACCAAATATATGAAAAATAATATTAAATATAAAGTAGGCTATCTCATTTTTTTACAAACAGCCTATTCATATTCTTAAAACAGTCCAGAAGAATCTAAATTATTTTTAAAAAGTGAATTTAGTAAGGTCAATATAAAAAGTCAATTTTATCTTTATATATTAGCCAAAAACAATAGCCGAATTAAAAAAATACCATTTACCGTAACCACAAAGTACAACAAATACTTAGAAATAATGTGTGTAAGATTTTGCACTCTGAAATTCTACTGAAGTTGTTCATCAGCTCTAGGAACATTTTGGTAGAGTCTTTAGTATTTCCTAGGTATAGAATCATGTCGTCAGCAAAGAGATAATTTGACTTCTTTTCCTCTTTAAGTGCCTTGTATTTCTTTTTCTTGGCTAATTGCTCTGGCTAGAACTTCCACTACTGTTTTGAATAGGAGTTGTGAGAATGAGCATCCTGGTCTTGTTCCAGTACTTATGTAGAATGCTTCCAGCTTTTGCCCATTCAGTATGATGTTGCATGTGGGTTTGTCAACACAAAGCACCTTACAGTAAACAGAGATCATATCCATACCCACCTCCTTGTGCAGCTGCTGACTCTTACCTGCAAATGCCATCTACTGGCCTGTAGGTTGAAATGCACAGCCTAATACAAAGCCTGCCAACAGAAGTGCATAGGACTACAGAAGAAAACCCAAAAGACTCTACCCAACACAATCCTCCCTAGATGAGAAGAAACCAGTGTAAGGATTCTTCCATCATAAAGAATCTGAATGTTGTGACACCACCAAAATATCACTCTAGATCTCCAGTAGTGATCCCTAACCAATATGGAAACATGGAAATGACAGATAAAGAATTCAAAGCATGGATTGCCAGGGAGCGCAACAAGATTCAAGATAAGGTTGAAAATCAGCACAAATAAACTTCTAAAGCAATCCAGGAAGTGAGGAGATATAAATCTCTTAAAAAATCAATCAGAGCTACTGAAGCTGAAAAGCTCACTTAAGGAATTTTGAAATGCAATTGAAAACTTTATCAATAGAACAGACCAAGCAGAAGAATTTCAGAGTTTTAAGAATGATATTTTGAACTAACCCAGTCAGACAAAAATAAACTGAATTTTTAAAATGAACAAAGTCTTTGATAAATATTGGATTATGTAGGGTGACCAACCTATGAATTATTGGCATTCCCGAGAGAGAAGAAGAAAAAGTAAATGGCCTGGAAAACATATTTGAGGGAATAATTCAAGAAAATTGTTCTTACCTTGCTAGATAAGTAGATATCCAGATACAAGAAATCCAGATAAGACATGCTGGATACTATACAAAACAAATATCACCAAGGATACATACAGTTATCAGATTGTCTAAACTCAACACTAAAGAAAAAATCATAAAGGCAGCTAGAGAAAAAGGGCAGATCACATACAAAGGAAACACCATCAGACTAACAGTGGATTTCTCTGCAGCAATCCTACAAGCCAGAAGAGACTGGGGGCCTATTTTTAGCATTTTGAAAGAAAAGAAACTCCAACCATGAATTTTACATCCTGTCACAGTACACTGCATAAGTGAAGGAGAAATAAAATCTTTTCAGACAAGCAATTGCTAAGGGAACTCATCACCACTAGACCAACCTTACAAGATATCCTTAAGGCGGGGGGTACGTTTCAGGAGTGGCCTCACCCAGTGCAACGAAAGCAGATATTTAGATATACCTGTGACAATTTCTAGAACTATTAATATTTCCCCGGCAGTTGCCTCAACTCTGGTACGTTTTCACGTAAACCCAGCTGCTTCAGCCACCCCAAAGAGAAGCTGACCTTTCTCTCCTCAGTTCAAGGGGTGGCAGCTCACTCTGCTTGGGCTCCCTGTCCCTGCGTTCCTGCTGGAAAATATCTCAAGGCAGGAAGCTGGGCTATCATTGGCTCAACTAGTTTCTTTTTCTTTCCTTAGAGAACACAATATTGCATTGCCTGTGGTACATTGTCAAAAAATAGTTGCTCCAAATATTTATACTTATTATGTTTGTATTATCTATTCTTTTTTTTAAGGTTTTCTTATTTTTTAATCTAAAACTGCATATTCTACTTAATGTAGAATTTAGATCTCTAAAATAAAACAAAATATGGCAGACATGTACATCATGCATTTTAAGTGGAAGCTAAACTCCATTTCTTTATTTTTATTTATTTTTTTATTATACTTTAAGTTCTAGGGTACATGTGCACAACGTGCAGGTTTGTTACATATGTATACATGTTCCATGTTGGTGTGCTGCACCCATTAACTTGCCATTTACATTAGGTATATCTCCTAACACTATCCCTCCCCCCTACCCCCACCCCACAGGCCCCGGTGTGTGATGTTCCCCTTCCTGTGTCCAAGTGTTCTCATTGTTCAATTCCCACCTATGAGTGAGAACATGTGGTGTTTGGTTTTTTGTCCTTGAGATAGTCTGCTGAGAATGATGGTTTCCAGCTTCATCCATGTCCCTACAAAGGACATGAACTCATCCTTTTTTATGGCTGCATAGTATTCCATGGTGTATATGTACCACATTTTCTTAATCCAGGGTATCACTGATGGACATTTGGGTTGGTTCCAAGTCTTTGCTATTGTGAATAGTGCTGCAATAAACATATGTGTGCATGTGTCTTTATAGCAGCATGATTTATAATCCTTTGGGTATATACCCAGTAATGGGATGGCTGGGTCAAATGGTATTTCTAGTTCTAGATCCCTGAGGAATCACCACACTGTCTTCCACAATGGTTGAACTAGTTTACAGTCCCACCAACAGTGTAAAAGTTTTCCTATTTCTCCACATCCTCTCCAGCACCTGTTGTTTCCTGACTTTTTAATGATCACCATTCTAACTGGTGTGAGATGGTATCTCATTGTGGATTTGATTTGCATTTCTCTGATGGCCAGTGATGATGAGCATTTTTTCATGTGTCTTTTGGCTGCATAAATGTCTTCTTTTTGAGAAGTGTCTGTTCATATCCTTTGCCCACTTTTTAATGGGGTTGTTTTTTTTTTTCTTGTAAATTTGTTTGAGTTCATTGTAGATTCTGGATATTAGCCCTTTGTCAGATGAGTAGGTTGCAAAAATTTTCTCCCATTCTGTAGGTTGTCTGTTCACTCTGATGGTAGTTTCTTTTGCTGTGCAGAAGCTCTTTAGTTTAATTAAATCCAATTTGTCAATTTTGTCTTTTGTTGCCATTGCTTTTGGTGTTTTAGACATGAAGTCCTTGCCCATGCCTATGTCCTAGGTTTTCTTCTAGGGTTTTTATGATTTTAGGTCTAGCATTTATGTCTTTAATCCATCTTGAATTAATTTTTGTATAAAATGTAAGGAAGGGATCCAGTTTCAGCTTTCTCCATATGGCTAGCCAGTTTTCCCAGTACCATTTGTTAAATAGGGAATCCTTTCCCCATTTCTTGTTTTTGTCAGGTTTGTCAAAGATCAGATGGTTGTAGATGTGTGGTATTATTTCTGAGGGCTCTGTTCTGTTCCATTGGTCTATATCTCTGTTTTGGTACCAGTACCATGCTGTTTTGGTTACTGTAGCCTTGTAGTATAGTTTGAAGTCAGGTAGCATGATGCCTCCAGCTTTGTTCTTTTGGCTTAGGATTGACTTGGCAATGCGGGCTCTTTTTTGGTTCCATATGAACTTTAAAGTAGTTTTTTCCAATTCTGTGAAAACCCACTTGAGGAGGCAGCCTGTCCATTTTCAGATCTCAAACTCTGTGCTAGGAGAACCACTACTCTCTTCAAAGCTGTCAGACAGGGACGTTTAAGTCTGCAGAGGTTTCTGCTGCCTTTTGTTTGGCTATACCCTGCCCCCAGAGGTGGAGTCTACAGAGGCAGGCAGGCCTCCTTGACCTGCGGTAGGCTCCACCCAGTTTGAGCTTCCTGGCCACTTTGTTTACCTACTCAAGACTCAGCAATGGTAAGCGCCCCTCCCGCAGCCTCGCTGTCATCTTGCAGTTCAATCTCAGACTGCTGTGCTACCAATGAGCGAGGCTCTGTGGGCATGGGACCCTCTGAGCCAGACACGGGATATAATCTCCTGGTGTGCCGTTTGCTAAGACCACCAGAAAAGCGGAGTATTAGGGTGGGAGTGACCCGATTTCCCAGGTGCCATGTGTCACAGCTTTGCTTGGCTAGGAAAGGGAATTCCCTGACCGTTTGCACTTCCTGGTTGAGGCGATGCCTCACCCTGCTTCGGCTCATGCTCTGTGCGCTGCACCCACTCTCCTGCATCCACTGTCTGACAAACCCCAGTGAGATGAACCCAGTTCCTCAGTTGGAAATGCAGAAATCCCCCGTCTTCTGTGTCACTCATGCTGGGAGCTGTAGACTGGAGCTGTTCCTATTCGGCCATCTTGGAACCACCCCCTGTATTATCTATTCTTATGCATAATATTATATATTCTGTCTTGTTTTCTAGTAGTTTGTGGCGACGATGCTAGTACATACCCAGCCACATTTCTGCTTAAGACTTTTCGCTCTTCCTTGGTGCTGCTTCCAATCTAGGGGAATCTTTCCTCTTGCTCTGTTCTTGCCCTCGTATGTCTTCTCCCTCTTTCTTTCCATCATGGGCTAGTTAACATAATGTCTCCAATGTGCCTAGGCTTTTACAGGAGAGAGAAGGTGCTGAATATGATTTCAAACTGTTCCTAATATGTCAAAATTGCTGAGGGAAGATCTCTCCAATGGCTTTGTGCATGTGTTGTGTGTATGTGTGTTGCAGAGGGCCATACATAGGGGTTTTAAAGGCCATATAAAGAGCCATATAGAAATTTTAATAAAATATTCTAACTAGTCTCTCTTTAATTGCTGCACTGGTAATTTGATGTAACCCTTTATTTAATCATTGTTGGCACAGAATATTGTTGAATGTGAGCTTCCTGTAATAGCCAATTTTATGGCTCAACTTGACTGGACCAAGGCACAGGATGCCCAGGTATTTGGTTGAACATTATTCTGGATGTGTCATCTGTGACAGTGTTCATGGATGAGATTAACTTTTGAATCTCCTGCTCTCTCTATGTCACTCTCTCTCTCTCTCTCTGTGTATGTGTGTGTGTGTGTGTGTGTGTGTGTGTATATATACATATATATATATGTGCATATATATGCGCATATATATGTATATATATGTATATATATATGTGCACATATATATATACACACACACACATATATATATATCCTATTGGTTGGGAGAGTTCAGATTAATACAGTGCTTTATTAAGCAATTTCAACTCCGTAGAGTCTTTTTGGCCAACTTACTTTAATCTACTTTCGTGTATCTTAATAATTTGCACAATATTTTTGGGACTGTTCTGATTCACTCACTTCAAGTGAAGGTAGTGTTGTGAATTTGGGGGAAAATAGAAGAGGATTATAAAAGAACAGCCAGGCTTACAGACTGTCATATAGATGGGACCAAGAGCTTTCAAAAGTAGGAGTAAGAGCACATATTACATTTCTCACCAGTATATCTAACACCTGAGTGGAAAATACAATTCACCAATATGCAAAGTCATAGACAACAGAGAAAAAAGGCATGTGATTGGAATACATACTTTACTGTGAATATTCAGTTTAAAGAACTATTTCCCAAACCATAGTTTTAAGAATTTTTGATGGACCACATTTTCCTTACACATGAAGTTTTAAGATATGTTATGTAAATGCATGAGATAACATTTTGTGATCTTCATTTTAAAGTATGTTAGCTTCCTGAGATCTCTTTAATTTCCTAAAATGATACCCCAGTTTCCCTCTATTGAAATCATCTGAGGCCAGTCTCAACTTAGATGTCCTCCTTGTAGCCAGCTTGACTTTGGACTTATATTTTTTAATATAATAATCGCTTTCCTGAGGAATCGGTTTTCCCCATATGCATTTTATATGTATTATTCTGTGTACGTAGGGATAATGTGAGAGTGGAGGGCAGTACGGACAAAAGGAAGGAAACATGAAAGACAATACTTTTTGATATATAAGGACTGAAGGAAAAACACACTGGATTGCTATTATAGGTTGAATTGCATCCCTCCAAATTCACATGTTGAAGTCCTAATCCCCAGCACTCAGAATGTGACTGTATTTGAAAATAGCGTCATGCAGATGTAATTAAGATGAAGTCATACTGGAGTAGGGTGGATCCCTAATCTGGTAAGACTGGTGTCCTTATAAATGTGGGAAATTTGGACACAGACATGCACACAGGGAGAAGGTCACGTGAACACAAAAGCAGAAATGTGGGTGATCTATCTACTAGCCAAGCGACACCAAAAGTTGCCACAAAACCATTAGAATGGAGAAGAGAGGCATAAACCAACCCTGTTGACACCTCAATCTTGAACTTCCAGTCTCCAGAATTGTGAGACAATAGATTTCTGTTATTTAAGTCACCCGGTGTGTGGTACTTTGTTGTGGGAGCCTTAGAAGATGAATACAACTAGAAGTCAGGAAACCCTGAGTTTTGACCTGGCATTTATTTCAACTCTGTGATTTGGAAAATCTTCATCAACATCACTGTCTTTTAGTTTCTTCAGTCAAAAAAATAAATAAATAAAAATAAAGGAATGTGCTAAATTAGCATTTCTCATAATCTTAAAATATATTGAAACCCCCCAAACACTTATTTATGTGGCTTATAGACATCTGTATTTGCTGTAATAAAAATTGAAGTGAGAATTAAAAATATATTTATTTATGTTATTTAAAATAAGAATATTAAAATACATGTTAAAATGAACAAAATATTTATAATGTAGGTATATCTATGAAGACGATATTTTACTACAGAAGCAAATTACAACAAAACTTAGATGAGGGTAACTGTTTTACATTTTTACAAATCTCTTCAGTTTCTGGTTTATTGTGATGTAGCTGGGTCTTATATATGTTTCTGCATTCAATTATTAGCAATATGTTGTTTTTATTTAAGTATATAAAGAAAATTCAGGCTCCCAGAGATTTATAGTTGGAGGAATATTTTGATTGCTTTTCTGAAAAGATATGAATATTCTTTGATTTTTTACACAAAAACTAAGTTTTTTTTTTTTTTTTCTAATAAGTAAGGTGAACTAGGGGATCTGCAACCTTATCAACGAACATTTTAATCTTTGTTATGGTAAAGTCTCCTGACCTTCTTGTGTGTTGAATGGCTTTTTACCCATGCTCGATGCTGTGTCATAACATACTGGTCATTTGGAAAATATTGGATCACTGAGTTATGCAGATGTTCCCAATGTTAACACATTTCACTATTTAATATGGAAAAATTATACTTGCAAATAAAATTGTAAGTTCACAGTTGCAGCTATGTTTTCCTACATTCTAATTTTTGTTTGAAAGCTCAAAACAAACAGTACATTTCTTTAGGAGGAAACTCCTGCTGAATGTTACAAACCTTTTTAAAATTTTTTATATACTTTTCTTATCTGAATGATCAGTTTCATTCACAATTTTTCAGCATTAACATTTAACTCAAAGGAGAAAGTTACAGTTATACTGTGAAAACATTTAATGAATATTTTAATAAAAACATTCACATTCCAAAGTGGAAGAAAATGATTTTCAGTCTGACTCATACATTGAGATTTACTAGGCCTGTGCCCTAAAGGACGTAATTGTGAAATTCAATTACCTTGTATCTATCTACATCCATTGCAACTAGAATCAAAAGACATTTATTGTTGGTAATAAAATAATTTAGTGATGTATATAGAGATTTTTAATGGATCTTTGCTTGAATAAATAAATTACTATCAAATTCAATAAAATTCCATTTGATTTTTGTAGGTAGTATGAATGCTAAGTAGCTTTTGTTCTAAAGTCAAAACTCAAATAATAAAGGAGAAAAACAGAATTGATCCTAAAGAAAACTTGTTTCATATTATTTTGCTTTAATTTTATTGGCCATTCAGTCATAAGCGTTTTTAAGGAGCACTGTACATTATTGATGAAACTATTTCTAATTAATGTTTTAAAGAATTGGCAAATAAATGCATGTAGAGAAGAATTTACTGAAGGAGGCACTGTCAAGGAAAAACCTGTTTATCTCCCTCAATAGATTCTCTTCAACATGAAGGTGCTTAATGATAAGAAACAGAGGTTTCAATTACTAGAAGTATACTATTTTAGAAAGGAGTAAAGGAAGAAAAGAGAAAAAGAAGAAAGGGAAAGAAGAAGGATTTTAAGAGTAATTGTTTCATATTTCTTCATATCTTTCACAATGTCTAGCATAATACTTCAGGCATGGTGGATGTTGGATGTTTCTGCATCTCTCAGTGATTTGAAGAAAGTGACATCACATTATGATCTAGCCCCATTGGATATATTTGTAGTTTAATTTTTAAATGTTATTATTATTCATAATTGTAATAAAACTGCACCACTGACATAAAGATTAGAATCAGAGAACTGATTTAGTTATTATTATTAGAGATAAAAGGTGACTTTCAGAAAGAAAAATAGGCAACAGTGCAAAGGTAGTGAGGGCCAAAGAAACATCAGGGTTCCTCATGCTTTGGGAAAATACAATGTTCTGCAGGGATCCTGACATTTAAATCAACAATTTCAAGCAACTTTAATGTGCTTGGCTTGCAGATTGCCGGAGGCCAGAAAGTAAGACAAATAACAGCTCACCTGCCTGGCTTGTTGGAGCAACAAGAAACTTTAAGAGCAATCCTCCATTTGCCAGGTGAGGAAATGACATTAACAGCTGGAAAGATTAATATGTTGGTGAAGGACCAGGGAAAAGAAAACTGCCAGCTTCCTATACCAACCATAGAGTTAAAGTTTTTGCTTTTTTTTTTTTTTCAGGTTCCTTGGTAATTAGACTTGTCAATAGAACAGATTTCTGTGTCCATAATGCATAAGGTTAAGTAAGGTATGTCGGTATGTTGAGTAAGATCACCACTCAAATGAGGAGAATGATTGTTACAAGGTACAACATATAATGAACAAAGTGGGAAATTAAGAAATTCTTAATTTGTACATTCTGGCCCAGGAAAAAGAAATGCTGAGATTATCTTGGATTGTGTTTAGATAACTGTTTTGTATTTCAAAGTACTTTCAGAATCATCTCATTTTAGCTTTACAATCTAGAAATTTTTATACATATTATTTTCTATTTGAGAATACTGACAAATTTCGCTTAAACAAACTTTAGCCTGACTCCTGAAGCTCCTCCTGTATCTATGTGTGCACTTCCTTGTAAAATCCAGTTTCAGCAAGAACTCTGCTAAATCATTTTAACCAGAACCTCCCACTCTTGATACCGGATCACCTTGATATTTTATCAGGTTCCTCATCTTCCACCTCCAGGGGATGTCTGGTCACCCTGGCCTGTCTTCAGCAAGAACCCTATTAAGTCAGTTTAGCCAGAATCCTCCTTATCCCTGATGTTTCCTCTGAGCAATTTTCCACCCACTGACCCCACCCTATTCCTTGCCTATAAGCTCCCACTTGCCATGCTGTATTAGGATTTGAGCCCAATCTCTCTCCCTCACTGCAAAATCCCATTGCAGTGGCCCCTGTACCAAACATGATGGTCCTGAATAAAGTCTTTCTTGCTCTGTTGTAACAAGTATTATTGAGTCATTTTTCCTTTAATAATACCAGTGGTTTCTAAATAATTCTGGACAAGTAGGCTCTGTTAAGTGCTGATTTTCAAGGATGGGGGAAGGATAATATGCTCCTTTTGGGGGAAGATTTAGCTTGGACATCCCTATCACTTTTGAATCTGTCAGGCAATAATACAAATAGAGACCCCTACTTTCTATGGTTAAAATTTAAAAAGTTATCAAACATGTTATTTGTTAAATACAACATGCTTTGTTCTCATATGTTCACAAATATACCTTCATAATATATTAATAAAATATTTGTGAAAATCCATGGTCTTACTTAATATTATCAAGTCAGGAAACTATAAAAAAACCACTGAATGTATTTATTATCTTTCTACAGAATGGTGATTGAGGAAGAAGACACACATAATTCATAAATTGTTATAAATGTATTTCTTGAAGTGTTTTTCCTTGAGTAAATATCAGCAAAATTTTGTCTTCTAGAGTTATGATAAAAATTTTCACATAACTTGTGGATTATCAGTGGAAATGGCATGTTATGCGAAATTTCCTAAGTTATTGTGGTTCTTAGGTAATTTTCATTAATTTCAATTTGGAGATATTTTGATCTGCTAAGCAGTAGCAACTGGAGTTGTCAATAAGACATCTAATGCAATACTTTGGAAATAAATTAAAATGATTTATTTATTCAAAATGATTTTACAATGCAGGTTCAAAAAAGTGATGAGGTCAAATATGACATATCACCATAACCAAATAAACTATAAACAAATAAAATACAAATTATTTTAATTTATTATATATATTTTTATTACTTATATTGTGATTTTTAATACTTCCTAAATTAATAGATAAATCAGTATAATATTCCTTATGTTCTCATTCTTTAAAATACTTCAATGCTGTAAAATTAAACAAAAATACCACTTTTTAGCTACATTTAATTTTTTTTGAAATTAAGACTATGTATTTGTCTTTAATGACCAGAAACTAATCTTTATAGTCAAGATTATTTGCACATGAATCTTCCACTTTATACTTATACAAATTATTTTGTTTCATATTTTTAATTCATTTAAATTTGGTTGGAATGTCACTTTTGTTTCATTGATGTGGAGCTTCTTTCAAATTAGAAAAATTTTGTGTCTAAAACTCTTATGTGGTAGTTAAGTCATTCTGAAAATTAGAGTAAAATTTGAATTTGTTTTTTGGTATGCTTTGCAAATATTAATAGCAAGGAATATTTTATAAAAATAACTGGATAGCATAAATTCAAATAATTTCATTTTTCCTCAAAGATCACATTTAAAAAAAATTGAGAATCTTCTGTTATTTTGTAAAACTATTCTAATACATCTCACACCTTGTCTAAATAGAGCCGAACTGGTTTCACAGCATTTAGTCATGAATGATTGTAAAGTCTATTTGACTTGTGTTTTGTCAAGTTGTTCTTATTTTTCAAAATTGTATTGTTTATTCTTGATCTTTTTTGTTAAAGTGTAAACTTTCCAATCAGATTGTAAATTTTCACCAAAAACAGTGCCTTCATGAATATTGATTTTGACTGCATTAAAACTACTCAACAATTTTGGGAGAATTAATATAATTTATAATCTATGAACAAAGTATATTTCTCCATTAATTTAGATCTTCTTTGATTTATATCCATAACTTTATGTAGTTTTCTCTGTAAAGGTAAAGCACATTTTTTGTTATATTTATTCTTAGGAATTTGACTTTTTATATGCAATTGTAAATAATGTAATTTTAATACTATTTTCTATTCATTTGTTGCTAGTAAGAATTCAATTTCTTTTCATACACAGAACTAATATCAAGCATTCATCCTAAATTCTACATTAATTCAAATAGTTTGAATAGAGGTCATGGTAGGAGATATCCTTGTGTTCCTTCTTATCACAGGGGAATAATTTCAATCTCTCAATAGAAGATATGTTTTTCAGCACATTTTTGGAATTATGATCAGATCTTTTATTTTTAGTTTATAAATGATTTAAAAATACCATCACCAATAGGCATTAAATTTTATCATGTTTTCTCTGTGTATATTAAGATAATAAGATTTTTTTCTCCTTTATTGTATTAATGGCGCGAGTCACAGTGATTTTACAAATATTGTTGGGAACAGGTCCCCCAAAATCTGGCCATAAACTAGCCCCCAAACTGGCCATAAACAAAATCTCTGCAGCACTGTGATGTGTTCGTGATGGCCATGACGCCCACGCTGGAAGGTTTTGGGTTTACCGGAATGAGGGCAAGGAACACCTGGCCCACGCAGGGCAGAAAACCGCTTAAAGCCGTTCTTAAACTGCAAACAATAGCATGAGCGATCTGTGCCTTAAGGACATGCTCCTACTGCAGATAACTAGCCAGACCCATCCCTTTATTTCGGCCCATCCCTTTATTTCCTGTAAGGAATACTTTTAGTTAATCTATAATCTACAGAAACAATGCTTATCAGTGGCTTGCTGTTAATAAATACGTGAGTAAATCTCTGTTCGAGGCTCTCAGCTCTGAAGGCTGTGAGATCCCTGATTTCCCAGTCCACATCTCTATATTTCTGTGTGTGTGTCTTTAATTCCTCTAGCACCGCTGGGTTAGGGTCTTCCCGACCAAGCTGGTCTCGGCAAATGTCAGAGTAACTTTTCAGCCCTGGCCAAGAAAACAAACACAAAACAAAAACAAACTTGGTCACAATGTATTGTTATTTTTATTTTTACTATATTCGGTTTGCTAATATTTTAGAGGTGCTTTATTCCAAATTAACAAGAGTGTCTGGCATGTACTTTTGTAATATCCTTGTCAGATTTTGGTATCATGGTGATGCTGGCATCATAACCTGAGCTGGAAGGTGTTTTCTTTTTCACCACTATCTGAAAGATCTTGTGTTAGATTGTATTTTTTTTCTTCCTGAAATGTCTGTGAGAATTCACCAGTAAAGCCACCTGTGCCTGAAGTTTTCTTTGTGTAAAGGCTGACTACAAATTTAATATCTTTATGGAATATAAAGATATAAGATATAAGATACTTCAATTTTTTTCTAGAATCAGTTAAAATGTGTTTTACCCAGATTTTTTGCATTTCATCTGAATTTCCAGATTGATTTACATAACGTTTTTCATGAATTAATGTATACGTATATACGTATATAATTCTAAAAATCTGTTTAATGTGTAATGATATTCTATTTTTACCTTTTTGATGTTAATTATTTGTACATTTTATTTTTTTCTTGATCAGTCTTCTTGGTGGGTTTAACAATTATCCAGTTATTGACTCTTGATTTTCAGTTTGTTGACTTCCATTTTATTTATTTTTTTCCTCAATTTTCTTTGGATATAATTTTTCATTCTTTTGCTAACACCTTGAAATAAATCCTCAGGTAATTAATTTTTTATTTTCCTCTTTAATGCCATAAAATTGTTTCTGAAGACTAGCTGCATCCTACACATTTTGACTAGTTATATATTAACTATCCCTCAGTTCAAACATCTTTTAATTTCCATTTTGATTTTTTCTGTGACCCATGGATTATTTCAAATATATTACATATTTTCCATACATTTGTGGGTTTTTACATAGAGAGATACCTGTTTTATTTCACTCCTTTGAAGTTAACTGATATTTGCTTTGGGGTTTAGCATATAGAACATTTTGATAAATGTTCCTTGTATGCTTGACAGGAATATATATGGTGCAGTTGTTGGAGACTGTGTTTTATATGTATATTATTTTACGTTTAAATATTCTATTTCTTTCTTGATATTTTGGCTGCTCATAATGTCAGTTACTGAGAGAGAAGTGCCAAAATTTTCTTCTAAGCTGGTGGACTTATTTTTATCTCCTTTAAACTTTTGCTCTCTGTAGTTTAAGGCTGTGTTTGCGGGTGTATATAAATGTGTATCTTTCTATTGAGTAGAACTTTTTACAAATTTTCTTTCTTATCTGTCACAATCATATGGTGGCTGTGTCAGAACTGACACTAGAAATTCAATCTGTATCAATCATTAAGTATTTATTAAGCACTGTCTATGGGTGGCAGTGGGTCTGAATCTGACCTATGCTGACTCAAACCTTCACTGGAAAATGTCTTAAGAAACTCCAGGCCCAACATTGAGTGGGCATCATTTTTGACAGGAATTTTTCCTATTCTCCATATCAAAGGAAAAAGACAGCCAAGATTAACTAGTATAAATTATTAACCAGTCAGAGGAGCAGAGTTACAAAACCTTAATTTAAAAGGTATGCCTTACGTATTTACTGAATAAACCATTTATGCTTATGTTTTCTCTTACTTTGGAAAATTACAAGTATTCATGAAAAAAAGATGGAGCTTTGAATTAACAGCTGAGCAATATGGATGAGTTGTAAATATAGGCTTGCATATTAAATTATGGATAATTTTTATCACAACTATAATTTTCTTTTCCTTATAAAAAGGGTCATTAAATATTTAATCCTTTGATATTCGCATATTGTTTTGTAATGAATCTTTTAACCACTCATTCAAAATGTATTCCATGCCTACCATGTGTGAAACCCTCATTATAGATTTAACCTATGAGCCCATGCTTTCCAGGTATAAACAATTCTATTAACTTTATTTTAAGAGCACAGAAAGATTACAGACTGAATCTTACTCCCCCAGAAAATAAAAACAAAACACCTAGATGTTATAAAATTGACTTGGCAAAATCTTCCTTCCTTTGGAGACAGAATGTCAATTTCTTATCCCTGATTTTTCAAAAAGTAAAACATATTCAGAAGGTCAAATATAAATGGCTCCCAATTACATTTAGACTCTTAGCTGAATGCAAGAACAGGGCAAAGAATAGGCCCACCAAAACTAGTTATTAATGGACACACTATTAGCAATAGAAGATTTGCTTTTTAGATGGTGGCAAAAATATTTAGAAATATGAAAGAATTGCCTAGCAAAATGTCTATACTTATTTTAAGAATTAGAATCTTTAAATCAGCTAATGACATGGCAGCAAATATGAAGTGGAAGTAATGCAAGATGGCAATTAATTATTTACAGTAGCCTTATCTCTAGTTGACTGAAACCACTATGACATGGGAACAAGAGTGTAACTCCAAATTCCAGAAGCCGTCCCAGATGTCATAGCAAATCTACAAGATAATACATTTCGATGATCATTTCTATGCAAGAGTAACACTTAAGAAATTGAGATTCACTTTCATGTCCATGCATAGGTATCATTCTCGTATCATTCTCTCATGGGGCATTGGAATATCTAAGAGCCAGAATCTAGGAAAACAAATTCCACTCGAATTCTTTTTTTTTTTTGAAACTAGATATCCAAGCATGAAGGCTTGAAGAGTCATCTTTTAAGACCTTAAATAAAATAAATACACTCATGCAAAGTGAATTTCTAGGCATGTCAAGAAAACAACAAAGTTAAAATGCATGGTATATATTGCTAAACTCTTGTAGCCAACAATTACTAAGAAAAATCCATGTAACAGTACAGATTAATGTCTGATTTATATGTGTACAAATTTATGGTTTCCAACCTGAATTTGGTGCAGCATAGCAATCTTTTATATATTCCTATGCTAGTTGATTTTTTCCTCCACATGGGCAGCTCCTAAAGCTTAACATGGTTCCAAATGCTTCACATGTTTTTGAAACTATTTCTACTTTGTTACTCTCAAAAGGTGACTGTGCATTCTATTTCATGGAGAAAATAAAGGTTCCCTTACACATCACCCAACTGGAATATTATTCGTTTTTACATTATTTTCTTCCTTCTTAACGGAAACGTTTATCTTTCTTCTTACTAAGCTATTCTCTTGTTTCCCGAATCTCCCTTCCTCTAATCTACACAACTTCAAATTATCTTCTCTTTCCCCAAACATTCACCTCTTCTGTACTGTTTTCTTCTCATTTTCTGCTTTAAAAGTACTCTCCCTTTAGCCATCCTTTTCATAAAAGTACTTCCTAAGAGCATCACTGATGTCTACTTCCACTTCCTCCAACCCACTGACTCCTTAATCCAACACATTCTGTATTCTGCCTACATTATTCTACCAGTACGATTTCTACCAATGCTTATTGTATCTATCCTCTTTCTCACCTTTGGTCCTATTGAGCTATCCTTTGTTTTCAATCTTTCTACTTTCTTGGACTTACAGAGTTTTCTTACCAATTTCTATTCTTATCCCTCTGTTTCAGTCTCCTGGGCTGGTTCCTCTTCTTGCATTTGCCTTTGAGTAATCGTGTTCCTCCAAGTGCCAATCTTAACCTTGTTCTTCTCTTAATCTTTACTAAGTTATCTCTTCTACACTGATGGTTTTGAAAGCCAAAGATATGTAACTATAGTTATATATTATAGATATTACAGATATATAACTATATATTATATATAACTTTATTATATATAATATATTATACATTTATATATAACTTTATATAGTTACATATTATATATAATATGTAAATTATATATAATATAATATATAATAAACTATATATATAATATATAACTATAGTTATATAACTATATATAACTATTTTCTTGAGACCCAAATCAATCCACCCTTTTAGGGAGCTCCAGTGAGTACTATGTAAACATTTCAAGTTCAGTATGTGAATTCACTAGCTCTTGTCTGAGCCTCAAAACTGATCCTTCTTAATAATAATATAATATCAATTGCTAAGATCTCTTCAAGATTTTCCTAAATGTTTGATCATGATAGTCTCCATTTTCAGATGAACACAATAAGACAGGAAAACATTAAGTAGTGTACCCCAAATTATGAGCCTAGTAAGTGACTGTATGTCCAGGGCCCATGCTGTCAACCATGATACCCATGGCACACTGAGATTCATAGTTCCTCCTTTCTGCCATTTTTGTAGACAGATTTTCATGATGTCTTACTTGATCAAGACAATACCCTCCCAATTGGTCCTCTTAAATCTAGTTTATCCTTCTTTCATTCTATTTTCCACATAGCTGCCAGAGTTATCTTTCTAGAAGACAAATGTGATCTCATTAAAACCTTTCCATGGTTTCCAGATATTTAACATGAATTACAAGATCCCGCAAAGTCTCATCTTTGGCTGTTGGTTCACTAATTTTACTTCTGTTATTTTGCTTGTGTTATTACTCTGAGCGGTCCTTCCCTGGTAGGTCCACTGGGGGAGAATCTTCTCATTTTCAAAGACTTTGCTCAAATGCAAACTTCAAGACCCCCTTACCAGATTATGCATTTCTCCTCTTACCTTCCCATAACACTTTGTACATGTTTTTATTACAGTGCATGCGAAATTGCTATACTTAAACTCATTTACATGTCCCTTTTGCACTAATCTGTAAATCTCTGGTTTGTTTTTGTGTATGTTTTCTCAGCACTGAACATATTGCCTAGCAGACAGTTGGCATTTCATGTGCCTTTTATGTATGGATAGAAGGAAAGAAGGAAAGAAGGAAGGAAGTTTGGAAGAATGGAAGAAAAGAGAGAAGGGAGGGATGAGGAAAGAAGGAAGAAACAATTTTGGAAATATAAATCAATGACTTTAATATTGAATCTGATAAAATTTTATAGCAGGTTGTTAAATACATGTATCTAAATATTTAAAAATAGAAATGATAATCATTGAAATACAACACTAATTTATTAAAATAAATCAGACTATGCTGACATCATTTACTTTTTTGATAGGATTAATAGTTTTATAAACCTACAGTATAAGTACAGAGTGAATCAAAATTTCAGTAAGGCATTTGGTCAAGACCATTGTTATATTCTTACCAGCATGATAGCTAGAACCAAATGAAGTAATAATGGCTTTAAATGGATCCATAGCTGATTCAATTCTCCATCCTAAAATGTTTTGATTTCTCTATTTTTTCACCCTTGGAGGGGATCTTTACTTGCCTTTTATTCTCATTTTGCTGTTTGGCATTTTTATCACTAATTTAAAAAGTTATAGAAGCCAAATATGTCAAATTTGTCGAGTGACAAAAAGCCATAGGACTGTACAATATTGCAAAGAACTATGATTTTGGAACCAGACACATTTAGGTTTAAATCTCATTGCAACATGTAGTTGCATTGTAACTTTAGGTTACAATGACCTAAAGGAAAGCTGACCAACTCTAGCTTTCCTTATCCATAAAAAGAGAATAATATCTAATTCACAGAGTTATTATGGACATTCATTAGATAAGACTTGTAATGCCTGAGAAATTATAGACTCATTAAAATATACCTCCTAATTATTAAGGGTTATGATTTAAAAAAATCATAACCTTTAAAAAATGCTCAGTTAGCTCTGAAACTGACAATATATAATCTAAACAGGATAGTTGTTAACATTAGGTCTTAGTATAAATATTAACTGTCATGCAGTACTCTGATTTATTAGCTATTTATATAAAATCGGGGGTTTTAATCATGTACAAACTCATTAGGCATCAACAATGTAGCGTGATTGACATGCAGAAAAACAACAAATTTAATTTTAGCCTGTATTAAAAGAAATATAGCATCTAGAACAATTTGTGGGAAATCCCCCTTCTTCCCTGCCCCGTTGCCTGATTATATTAGTCTGTCCACAGTAGCATATTATGCTCCATTATGGATGCAAGAGGAATGTGACTAGAAACCATGTTATGGAGAAACAATGGAAAGGTGCAGCTTTAATGGAAATAATAGATACTGGAGGCTCCAAAGGGAGATGTTGGAAAGAGGGTGAGTGTAGAAAGATTACCTATTGGGTACAATAGTCACTATTTGGATGAGGGGAACACTAGAAGCCCACGCTATGCAGTATATCAATGTAACAAACCTGCACATGTACCCCCTAAAATAACATAAATACAATAAAATAAATAAAATAAAATCAATAAAATAAAACAATGATGCAGCTCTAATTCTAGTCAAAGGCAGGCTTTGAGAAAAGTATTTTATATATAGCTGCCTTGCCATTTAAAAAAGAGTGTTATGTGAACTAAGTACTAACTTTATTCACTGTGTTGTGAAAGTAGAAAAGATAGACATCAAAGGAGGAACATTTTTGCTTAATGTAAGTACAAACTTTCTTACCTGAAGGGATTTTCAAACATCGAATGGGCTGTTTTATAACATAGTGTGTTTCTTGTTGTGCCCCCAGGAGTATTCAAACTTGGACATTCACCAGTTAGACCATTGTAGAAGCTTTGATTGCATGGAATTGGAACTGAAATAGATGCACTCTAAGAATGAACGTGCTTTGAGAGCTCACAAATTTTGGAAGCCATACAGAGCCTGCATATTTTTAAACTTGTTTTGTACCTTAGCAATGCATTAGGATATACATCACATATTTATAAGAAGTAGTCGCAGGTCCATGAAGAGAATTGCCCTGGGTTTACTTCTGTTCCTTACTAATCTGTAACATTGGTCAACTTATTAACCTCTCCGAATCTAGTTTTTCATTTGAAAAAAAAAAAAGAGGAAATTTATGGGATATCTGGCAAGATCAAATACAATAGTGCATTTAATGAATATTTTGAGCACATATTAGCTCAATACAGATCTGTTTTGCTTTACCCTTGGTGATGTGGATGGGCACATTAAATTAAAACATTGGAGAAAATCCACTGCCAAATCATTCGTTGACAGGTGGTGAAGCAGTAAGAGTCTGTCACATACATTTTAATACCAGGTGGGAATCTGGAGACAGCTTTGTTTTCATGGATAATATCGTTGGCCTGGGGAAAGAACTATATTTGCAGCTTCTCTGGGGACTGACATAACAATGACATGGGCTACACAGGTTGTGGTCAAAGGCCACATTTTCCCATATCCTCCCAGCATGAAGAGTGAAAACAGAATAAGTTGGCAGAGTAAATCAAGGCAAAAGCAGTGGAGGGATTTTACAATGCTGATGTTCTCAATCAAGAGCAGTGCTGCCTAGGTAACTGCTCTATCACTGTGCTGCGACAGAGTCCATGGCAGTAGTAACAGCACTGTGCAAGCTACGATCTCTGACAGGCTTGAAATGAAGACATCTGCTTTCCTTCAGAAAGTGTGAGACAATGTGGTTGACACAGAGGCACTATTTAAATCTAAGGAATATGCATACTTGAGCTTATCCAAAATTATATGTGATAGTAGGGGATTATTTCATTCTCTTCTCACTCATTTTTTCAAGGTATAGTAAGGCAAATTTAAGCAAGATTGACTGGGAAATCATTGACCCTTTATTTTTTTTTCTGTGTTTAGGTGTCATAAAGCATAAGCTCTTTAAAAGTTGAGCAGTGGGCAAGCAGTGAAAATGAAGACTCGTGTCATTTTCTTAATAATCAAAAGCTAATGGTACGCTTTTAAAGTTCCTAAGGTTCTGCTTAATTTTGGATTGAGCTTGAAGAGGCTGTTAATTGATCTGAGTCCTCATGTTCTTCTCTGTGAACTGGAGCTTATGTGGCCCACATCTTAGAACTGTCATTGTGATTATGAGATAAGCTGTGAGTGCATAAGCACTGCCTGGCTCACATAGCTCCTGGCATCCCATGATCTTCGATGATGGGAAATTCCTTCTTTTCAAGACTCTACCACGCCTGAAAAAGGACTTTAGCAATGGGGGGTTGGCCATCCCTGAGCCTTTCAGTGCTTCTCCAGGTATAGAGACACTCAAATGATCCAGCCTGTGTTCACAAGGCAGGGACGTCAGCATGTTATTGATAGTCCCACGATGAGGGAGGAGAGTATTTCAAGATAACAAGAAAGCTTTTATTTTCAGAAAAAAAGGAAAGTGAGACTGAACAAGCAAAATAGCCCATATCCACTATAACCTTTTGGATTTTTAATCTGATTCCGGCTTTTTCTATAATTAATCTTTTACTTTTTATGTTTTTAAGTTTTAAGGTACACATTTTCTAAGAATTTCTTGTTTTGAAAACGGGAGATCAACCTCAGAAGTGTACTCCTTATTGGGGGCCTCAAATAACGCTACTTTCTTTTTTTTTTTTTTAACTTTTTGTACAGACAATGTCTTGCTATTTTGCCCAGGTTGGTCTTGAACTCCTGGCCTCGAGCGATCCTCCCTCCTCTGTCTCCCAAAGTGCTGGGATTACAGGTGTGAGCCAACCTTCCTGGCCATGTGCTTATTTCTTTTATATTCAAAAATAAAAATAAAAATTTTGAATAAATTTTATAATTTTTTTCTGTTTACTCATTGTCATGTGTTTTCAAACAGATAAGGTATATGAATTGCCTGAGGCCCATTTCCTATTCAATTGGTTTCTGATCTATTATTTTTTTCCATATTGACAGTTGAACCAGAAGTTGATATTTGCAGCTTCCAGACCCTTCCAGAAGATTCAAGATCATCCAAATCTGTGGCATTCTCTCCTACTTCCACCTCATCTCTTTTGGAAATTTTAAACAAATAAAAATATGGAAAACAATGAACAATCCCAGAATATATTGCTACCAGAGCTCTTATACTCTCTTCCTCTCACTACGTCATCTGAGGATGCTTTCCTTGAAGGGGCTATCGCTCAATGTGTTACTACCACAGCCACTTCCTCTACTACCACCTCTACCAGCATCTCCTCCTAAGTCATCACTGTCAATTCTAATACCATACAATTGCTTTCAGAAGCTCTCATCTCTGGGAGGATGAATGAAAAGAAGCAGGGCGGCATAGAAGAGTCAGTTTGAAGAGCAGGATTAGCATTTCCTTTTTGCTGATGCAAGGACAGAGAGTGGGGATGGATTAAAGACCTATTTAATGAGCTGCCTCTCTCAGCCTAATAACATGAATAGCCCAAAGCGAGAAGTTTTAAATGTTTCATTTGCTGTATAGGAAATCACTGCCTTTTTTTGGGTCAAAATGTTGATTCTTGATTCCAGTTTACCTTATTTAATTTTCCATCTTTAGGATGAGAATTAAGAGCATTAAAAGCCAACTAGAACCACTCTATTTTAAACTAGAAGACTGATCTTTTTCATAAATTCTAATTAACAAAAGACAACATATAACGGCATTAATGATCTATGTGTAGTTATTTCTTGGAATATTAAAAAACATGGAAAGTTTCTGAAGTTTTCTTCAAATAATATTAGCATCTAGTTGATGGGTTCTACTTTTGTGTGGTTCTTTAACTTCTTTTATTCACTCAATTCTTTCTTATTTTGACATAAAATAATTATTTAAAATAGTTTTCCTAAACGTTTCTTATTTATATATGTGTATAAATATATATACACAATACATATACAGACATACGTATTAACTTTTATTTCTTAATTCCTAGTAATTCCTACATTTCTCCACTTTTATATTCTTAATGTTTCATCTCATGCATTTTATTCTTTAATTTTAAGGTTTCTTATGTTTTCAGTCTTTCATCTCACTGGAATTTGGCTTTTATTTTTTTAAATAAATTTATTTTAGAATAATTTTAGATTTATAGAAAATTTGCAAAGATAAAGTCGAGTTTCCATACTCCTTTCACCTAGCTACCCCTAACTGAAGACCTTATTATTTAATAATGGAGTCTGACATATCCATGGCACATTTGTTGAAACTAAGATACTAACATTGGTACACTAACCTTAACTAAACTGCAGACTTTATTTGTATTTTACCAGGACTTCCACTGATGTCTTTTTGGTTTGTTTGTTTCAGAATCTAACACGGAATATCATATTTAACTTAGTTTTCAAGTCTCCTTCGTTTATTTTAGTCTGTGACAGGTTTTCAATCTCATTCTTTTTCAGGACATTGATGGTTTTGAAAATTACTGGTCAGATATTCTGTAGGATGTCCCTCAGTTTGGTTTTGGCTGATGCGTTCTCGTGATAGGTGCGACTTAAAAGTTTCTACATGAGACAACACAAAGATGAAGCGCCTCTCACCTCATCATATCAAGGGCTCCATGATATCTACATGACATCACCGATGTTTAATTCAGTCACTTAGTTAAGGTGGTGTCTGCCAGGTTTCTCCACTGGGAAGCAAATTCATTTGCTCTTTTTATACTTTATTCTTCGGAAGTGAGTCACTAAGTTCAATCTACATTTAAGGAGAAGGCCCTTAAACTCCACCTCCTGAAGGGGTTGCATCTACACAATTTAATTTGAAATTCTTCTATAAGGAACATTGCCTCTCCCATTTATTCATTCAATCATTTATTATTGTAATTTGAGTTAAGATCCAATATGCTTTTTAAAAAGTTTTGTTCCTCAAATTGTTGTAGCTTTGGCCATTGGGAGCTCTTTCAGTTTGGCTCCTGTTTCCTTTGGATAAGCCTCATGCTTGTTTCCAGGATATATAAGAATTTACTTTGAATTTATCTATCTATTTAAGCTACATAAATATGAAACAAAAGGCTTGATATTTCCAGGACTTACATGTTGTGCACTTGACTTTTTAAAATTCAGTTAATAATTCTTTAAAGAGGAAATTATGTTCAGGTACAGATTAAGAAACTGAGTCTTTGTCATTAAATAATTTTCACAGTACTACAACTAATAAGTAATAAATTTAGGATGGAACCCCAGATCTGTCAGAATCCCAGGCAATTTGACATTTCTGTAAATTGGGAGAGGCATGATTAAAACAGAGGGTAAATTAAACACAGGTAATCTAGGATCTACTCTTAAAAGAGTTTATGGCAATTTTAGAACATCATTTTGGTCCTCTCATGATTGAGGAATTTCTTTCTTTCCATATCATTTATATATTTTGTGGCAATATGAAAGCTAGATTAATTTATGTCATCACTGTTCTTTCACTGCATTCTCTGAATGCTTCCAATTCATCTCTTGGCCTCAATCCAATCTCTGTTCCTGCTCCTGGCTGTTTTCCTCCTCATTATTTATTATTTCCATACTTGCTATTATGGATTAGCTCTACTTTATTGCTTTCAGTATTTAACTCCCTAGACAAGCAGGGAGATTGCTGAAAACATATTAGCTATTGCAAATACGAAGGAAGGTCTACTTCAGAACATCTTTAGATTTAGAGAAAAATTGCAAGATAATACACAGAGTTCTCATATGTCCCACATCTGTTTATTAACATCTTACACTAGTATAGTATTACAACAGTATTTAATACAATCAATGAACTAGTATTAACACATTATTATTAACTAAAGTCCAAACTTTATGCAGATTTCCTTAATTTTTGTGCAATGGCCTTTCTCTTTTCCAGAGTCTCATCCAGGATACCACATTATATTTAATTGTTATGTAGTCATTTTTATTTTAGTTAGGCTTTTTATCAAATATGACAGTTTCCCAGACTAGCCTTGCTTTTGATGAGCTTGAGAGTTTTGAGACGTACTGGTCAGATAATTTTAAAGTGTTCTTAACTTGGACTTTGTCTAATGCTTTTCTTATTATTGTATTTGAGTCATTGGTTTATAGGTGAAGACCACAGAGGTAAAGCATTATTTTCATCACATCATATCAACTGTACATACTGTCAACATGACTTACTACCATTGGCATTAAGCTTTATCACTAAGGTAGTGTTTGCCATGTTTTTGCACTCTAAACTTACTTCTTTACTCTTTTTTCCCTTTTCCGTTTTATGTTCTTTGAAAGGAAACCACTATGTGCAGCCCCCATTTAATGAATAGGGAGTTGTGCTTGAGGGAAAAGTACTTAATTATTTCTAGTTATTTTGCATTGAAAATTTGTTTCTTTCCCTCCATTTATTTATTCAATCATTTATTTATATCAATATGGACTCATGAATATTTATGTTATACATTGGGTCGTAATCCAATACTACTTAATTTTGTTGCTGAAATTTTTCCAGCTTTGGCCACTGGGAGGTCTTTCAGTTGACTCCTGTGCTTCTCTGATATACCCTCATCGTTGTAAGTTTTTTAGAACATTTTTCTTACATTTTTGACACTATAAAATATTCCAGGTTTATCTTGTATATTTCCTGCCCTATTCCTCCAAGAAGCCTTGGTTCTTTTAACTGGAGAATTGGAAACCAAGATCTGGGCATTAGATGTGCTCATTGTTACTGGGTTGTCACTGCTTCTAGGACCCCTTGACAGACAAAGCAATGAAATATGTGTTTTTACTAACCTGTGTATATGGAAAATCTATAAATATTTCCAAATGTAACCATCTGTATATCTATATTAAGCTAACCTGAGTTCATACTAATGTCTCCAACTATTTTCTATTACAGCACAAATCATTCTAGCCTATATTCTGACCTCCTCCCCTTGTTTATCTCTAAATTCCTGTTAAAACACTAAGAAATCATGCTCCCACTATCTGCCATCCATTTACCTAATTATTTAATTCCATTATACATGTAAAGTTGTATCAGAATTGTTAATTCATATTTCCTTGGGAACATTGTATCGGCTAGGGAACAGTGTTTGTATTCAGTTTCTTTTGCTTAGCCTTACAAACTTGGCTTAATTCCAAAATCACCTAGGTTAGCACCCTTTCCCTCAACTCTTCACTTAGACTGTTTCATACATTTGTACAAAAGCCACTACGCATTATGCATATAACCCTTGCACTCTACCACTGAGCACCTGAAAACCTTAGTTTATCTCTAGAAATTCTGTCATTCATCTTGAGTTAACTTTTGTAAGATCTCTGTCTAGATTAATTTTTTGCACATGAATGTCCCAGTTGTTTAGCACCACTTGCTAAATGACAATACTTTGTCCATCGAATGCCTTTGCTGTTTTGTCAAAGGTCAATTGACTGACTATATTTGTATGGGTCTATTTCTGAGGTCTCTCTTCTGCTCCATTGATCTATATGTTTATTCTTTAGCTAATGCCACACTGGTTTGAATATTGTAGCTTTATATTAAGTCTTGAAATCAGGTAGTATGTGACCAACAACTTTGTTTTTTTTTTCAGGATTTTCATAGCTATTCTATGTCTTTTGTCTTTCCATGTTAAATTTAGAAATAATTTGTTGATGTAAAAAGATGGTTGCTGGATTTTGTTTGGGGTTGTGTTAAATTTATAGACAAACTTGAAAATAATTGGCATATTGATTTCACTGGACATGGAATTCTAGGTCTGTCATTTTTTTTTCCTTTGACACTAAATGTTTCATTCTATATTCTTAATGCTTTCTTAATGCATGATGAGAAAGCTACATAATTCTTACCCTTATCTGTTTATAGGTAAATTGCTTTTATTTTCTCTCTGCCTTTTTTCAAGGTTTCCTCTCTGCCTTTGGTTTTCTGTAGTAAATATGGCTTTTGTAGTTGTAAATTGTTTTGTTATTTATTCCAGCTTGGCCTTCTTGGTGCTCACTGGATATGTGGTTTGTTGTCTCTAATTAATTTTGGAAAGTTATTGGTTGTTATTACTCCAAATACTTTTTATTTTCTGTTGCATTGTCATTTTCTTCTCTTTCTGGTATTCCTCTTACAGGTATATCATAACTACTGAAATTGCCCCATGGTTCTTGAATGTTTTGCTCTGTGTTATTTTTCCATTATTTTTTCTCTGTGCATTTACGTTTGGGAAATTTTTATTGATTTATCTTCAAACTCATTATACTTTACTCTGTCATATCCAGTCTACTGATGCTCCATCAAAGACTTGCTTCATTTCTGTTGTAATGTTCTTGATTTTTGGCATTTTCTTTTTATTCTCTCTTATGGATTCCATCTCTCAGACCACATTACTCTTCTGTTCTTACATGTAGTGTACTTTTTCCACTAGAGCCCATAACATATTAATGATTGTTCTTGTAAATTTTCTGTCCAATAATTTTGACATCTGGGTCATATCTGAGTCTGGCTCTTAAGAGGAAAACATAAAATCTCAGGACCTGCAAACTTCTTCTATAAAAGGGAAGCTTAAGTGCAGAGATTGAGTCATTGCAACATCCTCTTCCAAATGAATAGCTGTTGCTAGCATTATGCATCAGCTGGAACCCCTTGGAAAGGTGAAAGGTATCAGACATCTGGGAATGACTGTCTCATAGATCAATCATAAGTAAATTATTTGCTGGCCTCCCACAAAAAAAGACATGCTAGTTGTAAGTTTAGGTACACAATCTAAGTCTAGCTCCTAAAACTAAAGTCCGTTCAATTCCACACTGATAATGTCCAGTATAAGCTTATATTTCCAGGTGCAGAACAAAGTCAAGACTCATTCCTCCACCCCTCCAGAAACGTCTGCATAGACTCTTCATTTATTCTCTTTTTCCCTTCAGACATTCACCTCATCTTGTGTAAAATGTAGATTTACTGGGCACTAACAGAAGTCTCACAGAAATATAAATATTTGCCTTACCACTTAACTGCCTCTGTTCCTGTAGGCCTTTCTCTACTTCTAAGGAAGTGTATAAATACAAAGACTCCTAGAAACATCTCTAAAAACAACCACAGCTCTGCCTGTGGCTCTCGTTTTTCCTGGATGCGCCCTAAAGCTGGCTTCATAAACCTCGATGATCTGGTGTATGCCTCAGTTACTCATTTCGGTCATCACTCTGATGCTCATTTGTCTCTTTAGACTGTGCTGTTTCTTGCCTTTTAGTATGTCTTGTAATTTTGTTGATGTTGAAAGCTGGACATGAAGTATCAGGTAATAGGAACTGAGAAACATATGCCTTCAGTGTGAGGGTGTATGTTAATATGACTGGGAGTTGTACTGTGTTTAATGTTTGCTGTGGTTGCAGGTGTCAGAGGCTTTAAATTCCTTAGTGCCCTTCTTTTCCTCCTACCTTGGCTTATCTTCTTTAAGTACTCCTGATCAGGGAGAGTCTGCATCTTTCAGCTCCTTCAGCTGTAATCTACTATTATACTGGAGTCTTGTCAGTATGGTGGTGAGTTGTTGGGAAGGTGAAGTGTTCTGTAATGCTGTGATTAAATCTCAGTCTATTAGTGGCCTCTATCCCTGGCTTGTGACCTTCACAAGTGTTTTTCAGTTCCTTCTTGTTTTAGATGAGACAAGAAGTCTAGAAGAGGGTGGAATGGGAAAAATTCCCTTCCCTGGAGGAATAAGGCACTAGTAAAGTCTTTTTCCCTGGGTAGTGGGCTTTTGCTATGGAGAACTCTGAGTATATTTCCCAATGATTACTCTTTCTGTCCCCCTGCCAGAGCCACACTGGGATCTTTCTCAAGTCTTTACTTTGAGAGCCTGTTGGGGTTTCTGGAAGAAAACCTATAAATGTGCAGGTGTTATCTCATACTGTAGCCCCTAAGAGTTTCTCACTTCCAGGGCAGATCACATTCAGTACCTAGAAATTCATCAAAATATGATTTTTGTGTTTTTACCAGTTTATGATTCCAGCAGCTTCAGCTCTAAATAAATTGATATATCATCTGCAATTCTTTGTATTTACTTATCTCTCCAGATTTTAGGGTGGTGTTTTGCCCTGCAACCATAATTTTCTGATTGGTTCCAAAAAAGTTAATGATTTTCAGTTTGTTCAGCTTCTTAGGGTAAGGACAAGAATGGTGACTTCCAAGTTCTCTTGGAAGTTGAAACTGAAGGTTATTAGGATTTGATTTTTGCAATTTTTGAAGCAATTTCGTTTTTTATGTTTCTTATCTTGTTGTATTCATTTATTCATGCTTTCACTGTTTCACTCATTCCTGTGATCCTTATTAGCTCTCATTCATGTGCTAGACATTTAGTAAGCTCGGCATGTGCACTGACAAAAAGTACTAATGTGAAAAGTATGTGCATGTCTCTATACGCACATACACACACAGAGCAAAATTTAGTTTATAAATATCTCCATTATAATGATCATATCTATACATCTATCATCTATCTATCTATCTACCTACCTATCTCTCCAAACAGGACATCACAGTTTGGAAACCAAGAATTGGTTTAATATAGTTATGGTATAAAATGCTAGTTTAGGATATGAGTCTGAAAATAAGGTGGGTTTCATATGGCATGCTAAGGAATTTAAATTTATCTGCAGCACTGAAGTGCCATTAAACATTTTCAAGAAATGAGTTTAAAAATCAGTTTTTGAAAGTTATTTTGACTGAAGTTTTAGAGGTGGGGTCCAAGGCCAAAAATGAAGTATGTGATCAGTCCCTATTATCAGTGGAAAAGTTGGTGCAATTCAGTAAAGATAGAGAAAAGCTAAAAGTTTAATTTAAGAACTCCATAACCCTATATATAGATATGACCACTAATATCTGGATATCTTAAGAATTAAGAATTAAGGTTTTTGTTTTGTTTTGTTTTTTCCTCATCAGGGGAAGATAACTGGAAAGCTGAGCTGGAGTTTGAAAGACAAGGTAATGTGGAGGAGGGAGACTCTTCTAGCTGTGTTCTCATGACCAGTTGCAGAAATATGGATTCTAGCATTTCCATATATTACTTTTCATAATGAATATATTTGCATAAATTTTAACTGCTCTTTAAAATGTTTTAATCTTCTCATTCTTCATTATTTTATAAGGAAGGTGTTGGTGAGAGAGAAGTTTGTAATTTAATTTATTGATTATGGAATATGTACATGATGGTACAGTATTTTTCCTAGGGGAAGAGTAGGTACAGGCAGAGCATCAGTTGTAGATGTTAGAGTTGAATGGAGTAACTGACAAGAATTTAATTTGTTTCGCCTTGAAAAGAAAGTAGAGGGAGTTTTCCATTTCATAGCCCTTTTTATGTTACATTAGGACAAAGTATTTTTAAAATAAAAGTTGAGGAAAAGGATGGCTGTGCATTTGGGCAGTCAAAGAAGTAGATTATGATCAATATTTGCCTTTTGTTGTTTAACCAACTTTCTTTTTATTATTATTATTATTATACTTTAAGTTGTAGGGTACATGTGCGCAACGTGCAGGTTTGTTACATATGTATACATGTGCCATGTTGGTGTGCTGCACCCATTAACTCGTCATTTAGCATTAGGTATATCTCCTAATGCTATCCCTCCCCCCACCCCCACCCCACAACAGGCCCCGGTGTGTGATGTTCCCCTTCCTGTGTCCAAGTGTTCTCATTGTTCAATTCCCACCTATGAGTGAGAACATGCGGTGTTTGGTTTTTTGTCCTTGCGATAGTTTGCTGAGAATGATGGTTTCCAGCTTCATCCATGTCTCTACAAAGGACATGAACTCTTCCTTTTTTATGGCTGCATAGTATTCCATGGTGTATATGTGCCACATTTTCTTAATCCAGGCTATCATTGTTGGACATTTGGGTTGGTTCCAAGTCTTTGCTATTGTGAATAGTGCTGCAATAAACATACGTGTGCATGTGTCTTTATAGCAGCATGATTTATAATCCTTTGGGTATATACCCAGTAATGGGATGGCTGGGTCAAATGGTATTTTTAGTTCTAGATCCCTGAGGAATGGCCACACCAACTTCCACAATGGTTGAACTAGTTTACAGTCCCACCAACAGTGTCAAAGTGTTCCTATTTCTCCACATCCTCTCCAGCACCTGTTGTTTCCTGACTTTTTAATGATCACCATTCTAACTGGTGTGAGATGGTATCTCATTGTAGCTTTGATTTGCATTTCTCTGATTAGCCAACTTTCAGATATAATTCTCATGTATGAAAATACCAAGCTAGGTGGGGTAATGAAAAGGGATAAATTTTTCCTCTCCAAATTTCTTCTTAGGTAGCACTTTGGTTCTTAACTGAAATTGATCACATGCTTCCCATGTAATCTCGCTGTCTAGAGGAAGTAGTGAAGAGAAGACAGAACAGTTCAGAATTCTGTCTGCAGTGGTGGCAGTAGCATCTGTGTCTGTAGGCAGAAGTGCCAGCAGCAACATACAATCGACAGGTCACAACAGCATTGTTGATGACAGTGGCACAGGAACTCCATGGAGGTGTTGGTGGTGGTGCAACCCAGTGTCTCATACACAAAGTGGCGACTGTCCTACAGCAGTGGTGGCATCCAGTATTGCTACTGGCAGTGGTTCCAGAGCCCAAGGCAGTGGTGTTTTCTCTAGACTCACCTAATGGCATGATTCAACTGAAGTTTTAGTTACTTGGGTTCCACCGTGTTTTGTCCACTTTGAAACATGTTTCTTCAGCCTTCCTATTGAGTCTGTGAGATTTCTGAGATTCTTTAGTTAACAGAGCAGTTTAAGCAGAACTCAGACTAGAACAGATGGAAAGAGAATTTCAAAATAAAATCTCAGTCAATAAAAATCCAGAACATACAGGGAAGAAAATGTTTTCAGATATTCCCTGGTCATTCTTCTAATCTAGTTACCCTATGTTAATTTTCCAAATAACTTCTTCAGTTAATCACCTCCATAGTCGTTATGAACCTTGAGCAGCAGAATATTAAATCATTCCAATTGTTTCCCCAGCCTTGATCAAGAGCTGTGGTTCTCATTCAACTTCTACAAGCCTGTGTTTGTAGGTTTTGGGATAGACAATATTTAGTGCAATCTATTTGTGAACAATAAAATAAAAGAAAAGATACACAGTGAGGTTTCAAGTATAACAGAAACTTAATAAATATTGTTCACTGTCAAAATCAGTGGGCTAAAGAAAAACAAAAACCCCAGACTTTAGAATACCTAAGGCACTTAGTGGTGGGAAATTATTTTAGTATATTTTAAACATCCAAAAGGAACTATTTTTTCAATTATGTATTCTTCTCTTACAGATGTATTTCAAACTTCCCTTGAACTTTCTCCAGTAAGTATAATTGTGTGCTTGTTGTCAACCCGGCCTTAGTCCTTGTCATTACAGGTTCAGTAGCTGCAAAGGTGAAATGTTTTGACAAATATTGAACGTCATCTATTTTATACTCTGGATCAGCATGGATGTTTTTTAGCTTCTTCAGACGGCTCTGTAATGGAGTTATATTTGGAAGTTTCCCAGTATGGTGCAAAAAGCCTCATAGAGAGAGGAAGTTTATAAACTGCAGTTCTACGCGAAGAAGAAAGACCAGATGCTCATCCTGCATGACTCCTCCTTGAGCCTTTGTATTTTCCCAGCTAGACCTTTCAGGCTTCCTATTTATACATTTATCTCAAGTATACCGAGTGGTGACAAAGATGCGAATCGGCCAGCACATTTTCACTCAGTGTAGAGAGAAGCCATTTAAAGACTGAGATAACATTTCAAGAAAACAATAAAACCTGACAATAAGGGAAGATGAGAAAAAAGGAACATTCCTGACTGTGGTTCTGACATTCACAATGTTTCCATCTGTTTGTTTCACTGAAATGATGTTCTCCCGTTCCTGTTTGGCTTATTAAAAAGTGTATAGGTTAAAAGATCTGTTAAAAATGGTCCATATCTGTAAAATTGTCTGGAAAGATCCACAGAAAGTTACAAGTTTTTTTCCTCTGGCTGCAAATGAAAAATAACATATGAAGATCGTTTTAAAAAATTTATTCAATTACTTCCAGTGTTATTTTATGACCCAGTTATATATCAATAAAATTAATAGGAAAATTATATCATATAACTTTTAAGAGTCGTTCATTATTTAAACAGAGCAGTCAACATTGGGAAGCTACCAGTTTAAGGAAAAAAGTTACTTAAGGTTATTTCTATAAGTACATTATAGAGTGTATTACTGAGTGTTCTGTTACACTGACAGTTGTAGTGACATTTACAAATCCTAAAGTTAAATTATATCAGTTTTACCTATACATTTGGAGTGATCCATGAGAATGATAGTTCATGGGTGATAAATTCTCTTCCCAATACTGTATGGAGCATATCAAGAGTCATCTCCTATTAACTTTATTCTCCTAATCAAAGAGTGAATTCTACTGTTTAACCCTAAATCTAGCTATATGTGGAATTGAGATATTTTTATTAGATTAGTTGTTATGTTGGTTAGTAGCACTTATTATTTGCCAAGCATTACTCTAAGCATTTCATATATGTAACTATATATATAATAGAGTATTTTATATATATAACTATATATAATAGAGTATTATATATAACTATATATGAGTTATATTTCTATAATCAGTTTGCTTCTCACAACAACCCTAGAAAATAGGTCTGTAACTATTCCCATTTTACAGATGTGAAAATTGAGGCAAAGAAGTGAAGTAATGTCGCTAAATTTACAAAGTAAGTGGCAAAGAAAGGATCTGAATCCAGGCTGTTTCCAGAATCTGTATTCTTAACCACTATACTTCATTGCCTCCAGTTTTTGAAAATTAGCCTTAAGATAATTTTATTCAGTCTTCATGTGTTTCAAATATAATGTCATGTTTTTGTCCAAGAATATTATTTGTTTGTTTTAATCTCAACTTATATCTATACCCGATGCTAGTTTTGTGACATTACACTTCCCTTTAATGGAAGGTACAATATAGCAAAGACAATGTCCAATCCTAGGGATATTAATGCAGAGGACCATTATGTCAATTAGGAGGGTGCATAGCTATGAGTGACAAAAAGCCAAAAGTGATAGTGAATTAAACAAGATGTTTATTTCTCTCTTATGAAAAAGATGACTGGAGGTTGGAAGTTCAGGTCTGATGGAAAAAATCACAGTTTCACAAAATCATCAGGGACCCAAATTCCTTCTAGGCTGCCACTTTGCTTTCCACAGCACTTGGCTTCCATTGCGTGGCTCAGGATGTTATCCCAGTTCCAGCCATCACAGGTAAAACGAGGAAGGGTTGAAAAAAGGCAATTAAAGGCATTTCCCAGAAGTAATACATTCTACTTTTGCTTGCATCCCATGAATTATAAATTAGTAACAGGCACACATCTAGATTCAAGGAAGGCTGGTTATGCATTTATTTACACAGCCGTGTGCCCATCTAAAATTGGGGGTTCTATTCTAGGAGAGAAAGGGTGAGCAGAGAGCAGGTCTAAAGGGACATCTAGTCATTTCTGCTACATTCAGGACCTAACTCTTAGTTTCCATTTTTCACTCTGAAAATGGTGAATTCTATAAACTTCTCTAATTGTTAAATTTCATAACTTAACATTTTATTATCTTAAACATAGTCGATTCCTTTGGTTATATTTTTCCAACCTCCTTCTTCATAAATCCTTGTGCAGTTGAAAGATAATCCGAGGCACAAATCGTCACTACTTACCATTATCGAACAAAGACTTTTCCCTCCCAAATGCTACTAGACTCCTATCATTTACCCTGCCACTCTGCTTTTGAATTGGAGGAACTTTTACAGTTTATAAAATACTTTTTGCCTCCTCCTCTTACCTGAATCTAACATTGCCATGGTCTCTTGATGCCTTGTAAGAAAGTGAACTTAATCAATAAATGATGTGTTTATTCTGACTGCTCCACTGACCAGTTTGTTTCCCCATCTCTCTCCCTCTCCTCAGGCCTCCCTATCCCCTGAGACACAGCAATATTAAGATAAAGCCACATAATAACCCTACAATGGCCTCTAAGTGTTCAAGTGAATGGAAGAGTTATTTATCTCACTTTACACCCAAAACTAGAAATGATAAAACTTAGTGAGGAAGAGATATTTAAAGGTGAGATAGGTCAAAGCTTGGCCTCTTGTGCAAACCGGTTAGCCAAGCTGTGAATGCAAAGGGAAAGTTCTTGAAGGAAATTAAAAGCACTACTTCAGTGAACACACAAATGATGAGAATGCAAAATAGCCTTATTGCTGCTAAGGAGAAAGTCTGAATGGTCTGGATAGAAGATCAACCAGCCATAACATTCCCTTAAGCCAAAGCCCAATGCACAGCAAGACCCTAACTCTCTTCAATTCTCTGAAGTCTGAGAGAGGTGAGGAAGCTGCAGGAGAAAATTTTGAAGCTAACAGAAATTGATTCATAATGGTTAAGGGAAGAATTTATCTCCACAACACAAATGTGTAAGGTGAAGGAGCAAGTGCTGATATAGAAGCTGCAACAAGTTATCCAGAAGATCTAGCTAAGATAATTAACAAAGGTGACTACACTAAGCAATACATTATCAATGTAGATGAAATAGCCTTATTTTGGAAGAAGATGCCATCTAGACATTCTAGGACTCTCTAGCTAGAGAGGAGAAGTTAATGCCCGGGTTCAAAACATCAAAGCACACCCGACTTTCTTGTTGGGAGCTAATGTAGCCGGTGACTTGAGGTTGAAGCCAGTGCTTATTTACCATTCTAAACATCCTAGAACTCTTAAAATTATGCTAAATCTACTCTGCCTGTACTGTATAAATGGAACAACAAAGCCTGGATAACAAACAGCTTAAAGAGTGGTTTCCTGAATGTTTTAAGCCCACCGTTGAGAACTACTTCTCTTCAAAATATTACTACTAACTGACAGTGTACACAGTCACCCAAGAGCTCTGGTAAAGATGTACAGAGAGATTAATGTTGTTTCCATGTCTGCTAACACAACATCCATTCTGCAGTACATGGATCAAGGAGTAGTTTGACTTTCAAGAGTTATTATTTAAGAAATATATTTTGTAAGGGTATACCTGCCACAGATAAGTGATTTATCTGATAGAACTAAACAGTCTATTGAAAATCTTCTGGAAGCAATCAGGCAAGAGAAAGAAAGAGAGAGCATCCAAATAGGGAGAGAGGAAGTAAAATATCCCTGTTTGGAGACAACATGATTCTATATCTAGAAAACACCATCATCTCCACCCAAAAGCTCCTTCAGCTGATAAACAACTTTAGCAAAGTATCAGGATACAAAATCAATATACAAAAATCATTAGCATCCCTATACACCAACATCAACCAAGCTGACAGCCAAATCAGGAATGCAGTCCCATTCACAATTGCCACAAAAAGAATAAAATACCTAGGAATACGACTAACTAGAGAGGTAAAAGATCTCTACAAGGAGAATGACAAAACACTGCTCAAAGAAATCAGAGATGACACAAACAAATTGAATAACATCCCATGCACATGAATAGGAAGAATCAATGTCATTAAAATGGACATACTGCCCAAAGCAATTTACAAATTCAATGCTATTCCTATCAAACTACCAATAACATTCTTCAAATAAGTAGAGAAAACTATTTTAAAATCCATATGGAACCCAAAAAGAGCCTGAATAGCCAAGACAATCCTGAGCAAAAAGAACAAAGCTGGAGGCATCATGTTACCTGACATCAAACTATTCTACAGGGTTACAGTAACAAAAATATCAAGGTATTGGTAGAAAAACAGACACATAGACCAATGGAACAGAAAAGAGAACCCAGAAATAAGGCCACACCCACCAACTGATCTTGGACAAAGCTGAAAAAAAACAAGCAATGGGGAAAGGACTCCTTCTTCAGTAAATGGTGCTGGGATAACTGGCTAGCCATAAATCTACTCCTGGTGAAGACACTGTGAACTTTGTTGAAATGGCAACAGAAAATCTAGAATATTACATCATTGTAGTTGATAAAGCAGTGGCAGGGTTTCAGGATTGACTTCACTTTTGAAAAAAAGTTCTACTGTGAATAAAATGCTATCAAACAGCATCGCATGGTACAGAAAAATCTTTCGTGAAAGGAAAAGTTAATTGATCTGGCAAACTTCACTGTGTCATTTTAAGAAATTGCCATGCCAATCCAGTCTTCAGCAACCCCATCCTGATCAGTCACCAGCCATCAACATCCAGGCAAGGCCCTCCACCAGCAAAAAGATTGCAACTCACCAAAAGCTCAGATGATTGTTAGCATTTTTTTTAGAAATAAAGTATTTTAAATTTAAGTATATACATTCTTTTTTTGGACATAAGTTATTACACACTTAACAGATTATAGAATAATGTAAACATAACTTCTATGTGCCCTGGGAAACCAAAAATTTTGTGTGACTTGCTTTATTGTGATATTTGCTTTATTGTGGTTTTCTGTATCTGAACTCACATTATCTGTGAGATATGCCTGTATATAGGTCTTGATAAAAATGCAGTTTCAACTAAGTTTGAGAAGTTGCATGCTCTACCTTGTAAATCAGTAAAATCCTCATTTGTTCATTAAGAAAAGGACTTAGTTCTGCAAATCTTAAAACCATAGACTGTCAGAAACTTTGATGTTTGATGCCAATTCACTAAGAATGGGACAGCCTACTCTTGCTTGAATGATATGAGTCTCTGGTGCATAGAGGCAGTCTTGCAGAGTTCCAGATAAGTGATTTATGGACACAGCATTTCATATTTATCTCACCATTGTGTTTTCCACAGAACCATAGACTTGAACCTGCCTTTCAGCCAAAGACTGAAATTAACCTCTTTACACACAGACCTGCTTTATTTTAAGCCAAATACTGCCTAATATAATGACCTAAACTCCTCACTTTTCCATCACCTTCCCCTCCCCCTATTCCTATAAGAACCTGATAGAGTTCTTTGTTGGAGAGAGGTATTCTAAGTTTCTTTTTCTGTGCTCTCCTTTATTGCAACATGTCATTAGACCCTAATTTTTTGAGCTACAGTTTTGTCCCCGAGAACCCGTAACAGACAGGCTTTTTAATGCCCTATCATGATGCTGAAATTCTGAGGTCAATAGATGTTATATTTTCTGAGCTGGTCCTATTTAGTTAGTCTACGACCCCAAGGAGTTAAAGCTACCCATCCAGCAAGTCCCAGTGTGAGTAAATGTATCCAGACAAAAATCATAAGTATGGAGAGTGGGGGGTGCTACCGTCAGCCCTTAGAGTTTGGAATTATACAGATGAGTTTCTATCTTGGCTCCAACCATTTAAATTATGTGCAATTGGTTATTATTTTTCCCTTTATTTTTCTCTTCTATAAAGTGGAAAGTATTAATACTTATTCACTGCATTGTTGTGAGGATAAAATGCAATTTATTTATTATAGATTTGAATGAGTGCTAGGTGGGTTTTATTTTTTGGTGTTGTGTGCTTCGTCTACAATGAAAGATAAATAAGGTCAAATATCCACATTTCCATTTATAAGTTTTTTTAATCTTAGGTAAGTTACTTTATCTCACTTTGCCTCATATGCAAAAAGGGAATAAGAAGAGAAATCTGACAAAGTTGGGTTATTAAGTGTGATAACATACTGAACATGTCTAGTATAGTATCTGGCAAGTAGCAGACATTTTATTAATGCTCGTTTTCTTTTTTCCCTACACTTCTTTTCCGATTATGCTTTGAAAAATGTGATAATTGAAAGGAGTACAATTTGAAGAGGACAGTATTTCATTTAACATGTGTCTTAGTCTGTTTGTGCTACTGTAACAAAAAAAGAACACAGTCTGGATATTTATAAGGAACATAACTTTATTTCCTATAGTACTGGAGGCTGGGAAGTCCAAGATGAAGGCACCAGCATGTTTAGTGGTCTGGTAAGGGCTTTTTCCATTGATGGCATCCTCTCCAGGCAGCATCCTCACATGACAGAAGGGGGAAGGGCAATAAAAAAGAGGGATTCTGCCTCTTCTCATGGCAGAAGAGATAGATGGAATGGCCAGTGGAACTTTAGGGTTCTCCCTTCAATCTCTTTTATAAGGTAACTAATTTCATTTATAAGGGCTCCATCATCATGACTTAATTATCTCCTAAAGGCCCCAGCTCTTAATACTATCACATTCAGGATTATGTATCAACATATGAATTTTAGGAGATATATTCAGATTATAGCAATATCCATCTGTTATATGGAAGTTGAGCTCTAGATAATAGGGTTTTCTCCTTGCTCACGTCCACATAATATGCCTCTAGCTACTGTCTACAGCAGTGATTTTTCCTATAGATGAGCAGTCATACGGATGGAACCCTTGCTGAAAGTGTTTCTGAGTCTTCTGATAACTGCACATATGTGTGTGTGGAGGGGGGTGTAGGTAGATGTGTTAGGGGCAGAGGTTGTGCTGATAGTCTCCTTTGCATTCCAGATATCAATTTAATTCCCCCGAGGTGAGAAGAGAAAAATTAGCCATTAGAAATCTTTCAGCAGTTTATATTTCAAGAGTTCTGGTAATAAATATAAATAGCAAAGTAGAAGACTAAACACAGTGCCTGATTAAAAATATTTTTGCTCTTTGCATTGGTTAGAATTTTAGGTTCTTACCTAGGATGTCCATGTGGATGTTTTCGTTTTCTTTTTAGATCCTTTGCTGCATGTATTCTGCCTTCCCTATTTCCAGGGACCTAAGACCCCTCACTCAGAATTAATAAAGGTCCAAGTGCACTCTTTTGTCATCTGTATTACATACACTTTTACTTGTCATATTTTCTGTGACTCAAAGGCATTCATGTGTATAAGTGTATATATATGTGTATACATCTATTAAACATAGCTTGAAATTAAAATTAATTATTATAAATCCTTCTCTTATGATATTTATTTTAAAAGTTGGAGCAAAGGTATCAACATCCTTCTTGAAAACAGAAATCTTATCTATTTTTGTGCCTGAATGCTTACTTTCCATTCTTAGATTTCTTTGTTTTGTTTTGCTTTGCTTTTTTTTTTTAGACTAAGTAAAAAGCAGGAGAACAAACCAACCAACAAAGACATAAGCTTCTGAATCACTTTAGTTCTTTTATTCCCAATTTGTGGAGGCAGTTCTGATTCCAAGATATCTTTTAGAGACCAAAGAAACTGAGAAAAACATGAGAGAAACTTTGGGTATATCACTATATATTATAAAACAGCCACTCTGATTCAAAATAATAGATGGGACCTTCAAGCAAGGTTTTGTGAGACTAACACACAAAGCAGAGAGAGTTTAGTTTATGAAACATCTCCATTTTATACTATAGCTTATGTGATATTTTCCAAGAAACCATTCTTTACGAGCCCATAGATTCTAGGAATCTGTAAGTAATTCTTAACCAGGAACATGCTGGAGAAGAAACTGAGCATTACAGGTGCCTTTGAGAGGATGGTATCTCACCCCCTAGTAATGCAGTTCAATAATTAGAACAAAATCTATTCAATAAAATTGGCCACTTAGAGGCCTCAGGAGGTGCAAATATGTGTACTAAGAGCAAAGTAGACATGTTCTCTGTAATATTGCCTCAAGAGATCCAAAAAAGTTCTCCCCTCTGTGGACTGAAGCTAAAACACGAGAAGGGACTATGCCTCACTCGTCCCCACTCCAAAAATCTATACCTTAGCTTGGAAATAGTCTGTTCTATGAAAAACATGACATCGCTGTCACAGTTTCACTGTTCACAATGCAGACTTATTGAACATTCTTGTCTGTTCTTGGTGCTGAGACAATACAAACAGTCATGAATGATGCAAGATTCAGAATGATGTTGTCCCACGACTTTTGTGTAGCTTCAAGTTTGCTGGCCTTTAATTTCTGCTGCCATAGAAACTGCCCTGAATAGCACAGACTCTCAGTGTTTTCCTGAAGGCAGAGTGACAACATATCTAAGGAGAGTGATACTGTCCCTATTACCATCAATCAATATTTATTGAACTCCAGCAGCCTGTCTTGAGCCACATTAGGAACTCTGTGCTGAGGCTTGCCCCCAGCTTGTGCGTGGTTGACCTGAGACCCAGGCGGTCAGACAGGTGAAATGAAGTGGCTCCAGAATATGACACAGCATTAAGGCTATAAATTCTGCAGAATTAGAGCTTTAGTCACTGAAGCAGTTAGAGCTTGGTGAAGATCTAAAAACACTCTAAATGTCAAGGTACGAACCAAAGGAATTTAGGGCTCATCAGAAATAGCAACATTGGAATTATGTACTTTTAGAGTACATGTGTTTGGCAGCTTCTTCTTTTGTTAATGTTCCTTACTGTGTTTTCTACTGTTTGGTATTTTAGATTCCTATTCTACGAATATCCTTTTGAATGTCTGGAGCCTTTGTTATTTACCAAGTGTTTTACAGAACCTCTCAACTTGAAGCATCTACAAGTCAGGATAAAGTTTCCGGATCAACTCCTTCTGTCGAGATTCATGTCTTAATTATGAATTGCGTCTTAATTATGATTCTGTCATAAGTCCTCTCCCCACATCTTCACTCTGTATTTCTGTATGTGGCCTGATTCCTGGAACAAAGTATCCCTCGGCAGCCTCAAATGTGGCTTTAGTCGTTCTTAAGTTTTTCCTTCTCTGAACTTATATCTCAGCTCTTGCATTTCACAACCCTTGGTTCTCTTGCTTTTTTTGTGTTTCTTCTCCCATGAAAAAATAAAAATTCAAGTAAAACAGCATCAAAACCCAGCATTATTCTCTGCCCATTTACTGTTTCTCTTGTGTATTATTTTCTTTCCTTTACTGATGTTATCTGTTTGGTCCTGACTTTTCTGATTCTATGAGTTAGTTAAATTGCTTCCTCCCCAGTGACGCTTTATCCCATTTCTAATATCTAGTTACTTACTTCCTCCCTTTTTCTGCTATATTTAAAAATATTCAATTATAGCATTTAATCCATTGTATTATATTATTTAAACGTCTCACTGCATTTTCCTGAGACCTCCTTCTTTGAAGTTTCTATATCTAGATCATTTATCCTGAAATCTGCTTTAAGCTCAGTGACTGGTATCAATACAGATATGTTTATTGAAAACAATGAACTGATAAAATATAGGATTTAACAAAGAAAACAAACCGATTTTCTCCAACCTTACTGTTTGTTCTTTTAGAGTAATGTACTACCTTACATCTATAATCTATTAGAGGTTAGAATCTGGATCCAAAATATCACTGTTGTTGACCTTATATGTCAGTGTATGATACCTACCCAACCAATATTAGTTTATATTAGGTCATATTAAGTCAGTTTATAATGTTGAAATTGTTAAACTTTCACAAAATAATGCCTGGATGCATTAAATGGTTCAATGGCTCCAATTCTTGGCAGCAAATAGTGACATTAGCGGAAACTATGAAATACCACTGTTGTATCCAGAAAGCTTGATTGCAAATATCATACCACTGCGTTTTAGTTTTTGTAGAGATATGAAGGTTTTGGCAATGGAGTAGAAGACTTGATATTTTGAGGCATTCTGCTAGCATATGAAGGACTAAAACCTTAGCTCATGGTGAGGTTTTTTGTTGTTGTTTTACCTAGTCCTGTTTCTCATTTTCCACATGGAGAAATCTAAGAAAAACAGGATTGTACATGTGTTCATCTATGGAAACTGTGTTGTTAACATTTTAATGACATTATCACATTATCTGCTACAATTTTTTTTTGGCATAGTCACCATTTCATTCTGACTAGAACAGATAAGGTACACAGCTTGAAGATTTCTTTTTTCTGTTTGAAAATTACATATATTTTTTTCAGGTTGGGACTGTTTGAACCAGAGTCAGACAACATAGAAAAAGACATCACCTTCTTCCATGTAGGTTGGCACTTAGTTAAGTCAAATAGGTAGCACTGTTTCAAGGATGGATTGGGCAATGTAGTAAAAAGACATAGCTTTTCAAAACATCTTATATGTCTTGACTGTGATTTCATCATTTATTGTGAAGTGCTGTGATACTCTTACATAGCTCTCTTACGCTCTTCAAATGTAAAACCTGGGACATTTCAAAGTTAAATAAGAATGGGAAGTTATTTGCTATTTTGGCTTATTTGCACCATTTTTATCCTTCACCTATATAAGTCAACATATTAAATACATTGCTGATAAGACACAAAGCTAAAAACCAGGGGGAAAATCAGAATTAGATATTAAACCTGAGTTTCTAATCTGTTGCCTAGTTACTGAGCCATGCTGTTTCCATAGTATATTTGTGTCACAATCATTAGCTCTAGCATTTACATTTGTAAGCTTATCTTTGTTTTCATTTTTCATAATAGTGCCAAGATATGCAGATTATTGCATTAGACTCAAATGATATCAAGCTCCTGAAATTTTCACTCTTTGTTTAAAAAAAATCCTAAAGTCCTTCCAAAAAATGTTTTAGCAAAATTTATAAATAGAGAAATAATGTTTCCCATGATGCAATTTTAGGTCCTAAATGAGAGGTAACATTTAAAATATGGCTATTGTTGTCAATTTATAAATATATAGTCTTTCAGGCCATTATATCATCTTGTTAAATATCTTTAGGCACTTTGAAATATATATTTTCTGAATGACCATATTTTTGAATATGTTGAAAGCACTCATCACCATATTTTACCAATAGGTTCCACTATGTTTTCTTGCCATGAAGACCCAGCTGCTTCTTTCTCTGAAACCTGCCAGAAGATTCATTATGGAGCCTTTCTTTTAATGCCTTTGTTCCCTTTCAGTTACATAATTCAGTAACAACTGCCATTCTTCTGTTGCCCTAAGGTGGTATTAAGAATTTGATGATTTGAACAACGTACTGTTTTCTCCTCCCCTCTCTACTGTTTTCTATAATGATTACTAAGCAAAAATATTTACATTTCAGGAAAGAAGAATTAATGAAAAATTAAGTACATAAGCCAAAGGGGGAAAATATGACAGTTGCACAAAGAGGATACTAAAAGCCCATTATCATCTTGCTGTGACCGGTAACCAATCATTGTGATTGACAGAGGGGAAAAGAAAAGTCTACCATGGCCAGTTTTCAACTATAAAAATAAAAGCAATTAAGAAAATTCTACATAGAACATTTTCTCTAAAATCTCAATAAATTTTAATGAAATTTATCATAAAAATAATTTCAGCCAAAGATTAAAAGTATGAATAATCCTTCGTTCAATCAGCAAATGCTCAAGAATGCCTACTATGTGTCAGGAATTGTCTTAGATATTGAGTATACAGTACTGAGTGGATGGACAAAGTCTTTGACCTCATAAAGTTTAGTATATAGCTATATTTGATATTATATGGTTATTTTTATGCCTTTGTCAGTATTTAGGTTTTCAGTTGCCATTTTTAAAGAGAACTGGAGTCTAAGAAGGGAAGGAAACATTGACCTACCTCCAATTCACCCATCTTTGATCTTCCAACAATCTCTTGCAATCCCTCGTTTATACAAAATAGGGTTTCCTGTGTCTTCAGCGAAATATTTCTTCTGTATTTAATAAATGAAAATAAAAAAGAAATCTGGAAAAAATGAATAAGAAAAGACTAGTCACATTTACATTAAGTATAATACCGACATGCTAGTGATGAGTGTGTTTTTGTTGGCCTCTGCTTTAAACTCCTAATAATCAAGGTTATTGTTACTACCTTTCTGAAACTGAGAAAGGAGTCCCTCCTTCCATTCTTTCTTTTTAACAATAATTCTGCTGCTATGCAAATTAACAAATTTATAGCCAAATAAGCAAATAAAGAAAAATGATAATAATACCACCCACAGGTATTTGTTTGTCTCATGATGTTTACCTCTATTATTCATCAAAATATTAAAAGAAATACCTGCCCTCAAGACATTCTTAATCTAATTGTGAATTATAATATATATACTATAAAGATACAGAATCCCCAGATGATCTGTATCAGGAGAAAAGATATCAATGTCAATTAATTTGGGTTACTGTGGTCAGGGAATACCTCACTGAAGACATGAAATGTAACCTGATTCTTAAGGGCTAGATAAAAATAAAACTGCTGAATCTTTGAAGATAATAAAATTAGTTAGAAACAAGGTATAAGAATTCACAACGTTCTCCAAGAGCAGTGCAGTAGCTCCCCCCTTATCCACAGTTTCACTTTCTGTAGTTTATCAGCAGCCAACCGTGGTCTAAAAATATTAAACAGAAAAGTTCAGAAATAATTTATAAGTTTTCAATTGCATACTGTTTTGAGTAGCATGACATCGCGTCTTCCTACTTTGTTCTACCTGGGATGTGAATCATCCCTTGATTCAGTCTATCCATGCTGTCTACACTGCTTGGCCACTTGTCACTTAGTAGCTGTCTAGATGATCAGATCGACTGTCACAATATTGTAGTGTTTGTGTTCAAGTCACCTTTATTTGACTTAATTATGTCCCCAAAGTGTAAGAATAGTGATGCTGGCATGTTGCTGTCACTGTTCTATTTTATTATTAATTATTGTTTTTAATATCTTACTGTGCCTAATTTATAAATTAAACTTTATCATAAGTATGTATATATTGGTCTTGGATTTAATATGATCCATGATTTCAAGCATCCACTGGGGGTCCTGAAATGTATCTCTCATGATTAAGGGGAGACTACTGTAAAAAGAATAGTCTAGTATACGATGGGTGGTAGGAATTGGAGTTGAGTGTAGACATCACTTTATAGTTGCTATTGAACTTAAATCTATAGATAACAGAGAATCGGTAAAAGTTGTTGAAAAGAAAATGATGAATGAAAGTGACTTCAGCTCTATAAGATAAATTAGCATATAGCTACACTAAAGGCTAGGGACAACATAGGGAAGTATAACAATAGTTAGGCTGAAGATAATAAATCCAGCATAGTGTTAGTAGTAGTAGAAATAACATATGGGTTTGGGAGATGTTAGGAAAGAAAAAAATGACTGTACTTGACTAATTTGGTAAAGGATAAAGTTTGAAACTGATTAACTGAGCAATATCGAGGATTTACTCAATCAACTAGAAGAAAATAGTAAAACTGCAGTGATCCATTACTTCCTTCCAACAGGTTGTTTCTTTAATGGAATAGTAGAAATAACATCATAGGATAAGAATTATGTTAATTAACATCTCTTTAGCCCTTTCCTGTTTTCTTTACATGTTAGTTTCTTTATCACCTTCTTCTTAATGCAATACATAAGAGTTGGTAAGCTCTACCAAGATTAACATTATTCTTCTGACCTTAAACTGAACATTGTATTAGAAGTGTCTGTTCCAGCCAGTACAATGAGGCAGCTAGATAAAAAAATGATCCTTCTTAATGTTATTGTTCGAATGGCGTACACTCTGGTCTTAAAGAATCATGAATTATCCTTTCTGGAGACAGTCCTGAAATAGTCCTCAAATAAGCCACTCATATTCTAATTAATATGCACAATGGTTCTGACATTTGGTAAAAGCTTTATTTAAGTGGACCACAGTCAGCTGCAACTCAGCCAGGTTGGGGACTACAAGTTCTCATTTGATCACATTTTAAATCGGACATAAATAATGAAAACTCAAATGGAGCCTTAAATGGCTGTCTTTTTATATCAACCCAGAAGTTCATTTTAATACTCATCATATACTATCAATTATCTTGCTAAGATATGAGTGGAGGATTCGTATTCTAAAAGACATGTCTAAATCTTACAATGTATCCAAGTTTGTTAGAAAACAATGCTTTTGTGTATAGAATTGTAAACTAAGCAATGTTAATTTTTTAAAAGTTGAACAACATTTTATATTGTGAAAGTTTAATTTACTTAGAAAGAAAATGCCGCTCTTTTACTGATAATTAAAACAATGAAACAATTTCAATTGCAGAAATGTTGGAAGACAATTTCCAACGAATTGTTAATTAAATTTTCTTTGTCATTGCTCTTTTTTATTAAACTCTGATGTATTGCAGATATCCACACCTTACCAATATTCGAATGTGCATGCTGGATAAGCTTGGACACATCTGGAGTCCATAGGTACATACATTAAAAGTTTATAACTCTGTGTACTAATTTTTTTATTGGCATTTTTCTCATCAGTAATGATTCTCCAAAACCATGATTTTTCCTGGTTACATAATATTCAATTGTATGAATATACAATTCTCCTAATCTTTGTTTTGTTTGTTTGTTTGTTTGTTTTGAGACAGGGTCTCACTCTACCACCCAGGCTGGAGTGCAGTGATGTGATCATGGGTCCCTGGAGCCTCGACCTCCCAGGCTCAGGTGATCCTCCCACCTTAGCCTCGTGGGTAGCTGTGGCTACAGGCATGCTCCACCAAGCCTGGCTAATTTTTTGTAGTGATAGGGTTTCATCATGTTACCCAGGCTGGTATCAAACTCTTGGGTCAAGTGATCCTCCCTCCTTGGCCTCTCGAAGTGTTGGGATTACAGGTGTGAGCTACTGCAACCAGCCCAATTCTCCTAATCTTGCTCATTAGATTTGATTTTTATTTCACTGTTTCTAGTTGTATAAATGTATTCATATATTTTATAACTCAAGAAGTGCATATTATGTAAAACTGTGTTAATTAAATCTTAATATAATAAAATCTTAATATAATACTACCAAGTGCAGACTCTTATCTTTCTCTTTAACAAAACTGTGTACCCAAAACTTGCTGAAGTGTCACAGTGTGGATAGTAGAGGTGGTGGCTGAACCAATGAGCTCTGACTTGAAAGAATGCATATTTCACTAACATGCATCCCTTTATGTGAATGAACTAAAAGCACATCATTATAAATGTAAGGGAGGCATACTGAATGCCTTCAAAGACAGACAGATGGTTGATATAAAGCTATGTTAAATTCAATTGTATAACAGACACATGCACACACACACACACACACACACACACACAATTCTGCAGTGCAACTTCAGGGGAATGACCTTAATTTAATGCAGAGGCTTAAAATACACACATATGTCTCCCCTTTTATTTGGGCTACCAAATTAACATAAAATAATACAATCAGGTTAATTAAATGGTTTTTCTCCAACTTTGTATAGTTTAGAATTGCAAAATTTTGTAAAAATATATTTGAAAATACGGTCACTCCATTTTATAAATTACTTTGCACTAAACATGTTTATGATTAGGTCTCAGAAAATTTATTTTGCAAATCAAGTTATGCATTCTCTATTATTAAAAAAAAGCATTATATAGCAAAAGTTAGTTTTTCTTTTCGTGTTCACTGTTAGAAGTATTAGCCCTTTCAAGATGCAATTGTGGTAATCATTTCATCTCAATGTCTAGTGGTATCTTCTCCCTCCAATTGTTATATATAATTTCTGCTCTGCTCTTATACATATGCCCAAATCTTTATTTTTTAATAAATATATGCAATACATATTTTTCAACAATAAAAAATTTGATTCATATGACTTTTAAAATTGTTTTATGTATAACATGTTATTGAACTTGTTTTAGGCCCTGTGTATGGTCTAATCTGGTGAATAGAATATTTTACTCAAAAAGAAAGTATACTTTGCAGGTGTTGAGTTTGGCACATTGTACATGACAATTAGGTGAAGTTGGCTGACATGTTGTTCTGCTCTTTTATGTACTTGCTGGTTTTGTGTTTACCTGTTTATCAATTACTAAGAGAGACTTGTGAAAGTCCCCAACTATTATTGTTTTTTTGTGTGTGTGTGTGTCTCCTTGTAGTTCTACCAGTTTTTGCTTTCTGTATTTTGAAGCTCTGTTATTAATGTGTAAACATTTAGGACTGTTACATCTTGATAACTTCATCCCTTTACCATTATGAAACGTCTCTATTTCTGACAATTCTTTGATACCAACCTAGCCCCACTAATTTCTTATGCATTGTGTTTATGGGGTGTATCTTTTCCGCCCTTTTATTTTCAGTGTGTCTGTGCCCTTTTATTTAAAGTGGGTTTTTTTTAAGTGTATAGTTGAATGTTGCCTTTTTGTATCCAGCCTGAGCACTCTGCTTCTCAATTGGAGTGTCTCATCCATTAACATATATTAAATGTCATATTAAGACTATTTACATATCTCAATTTGAGCCTCTGTTTTTTTCTCTGTTTTTCTTTTCCTGTCTTCTTTTATTTACTCTATTGAATTTCTGAGGTAATGCCTTGTATTATTTTGGTGGTTGTTTTAGAGATTACTATATGTATCATTATGGCCTATCTGTAAATAACAATAATTGAGCAATGTAATTAACTTCACGACAGTGTAATTCTATTTACCCTCTACCTTCTTGTATGTTCTTGCATATTTTACTTCTACTTATATCATAAACCCAATGATATTTTATCAGTATTGATTTAGACACTCAAGTCTTTTAAATAAATTTAATTGTGTGTGTATAGGTAGAAAATGTAATATCATAAATGTACTATTTTAACCTTTTTAAGTGTACATTTCAGTAGTATTAAATATATTCATAATTTTGTGCAACCATCACTGTCATCCATCTCCGTCACTCTTTCCATCTTGTAAAACTGCAACTCTATCTCATTATACAATAACTCTGATTTCCCTGTCTCCCCGACCTTGGCAACCACATTTTACTTTATGTCTCTATGACTTTGACTACTCCAAATGTCATATATAAGTGGAATCATATAATATTTGTCTTTTTGTGACTGGCTTATTTCACTCAGCATAATATCCTTAAGGTTCATCCATGTTGTGGGGAATGTCAGAATGTCCTTCCTTCTTAAGGCTGAATAGTAATCTATTGTATGTATTTAGCACATTTTGCGTATTCATTCTTCCATCAATGGACACTTAAGTTACTTCCATGTTTTAGCTACTGTGAATAATGCTGCTATGGACGTGGGTGTACAAATATCTCTTCAAGACTTTCTTTCAGTTCTTTTGTGTATATAGCCAGAAGTGGAATTGCTGGAACCTATGATAATTCTATTTGTGATTTTTTTGAAAAATTTTTATACTGTTTTCCACAGTGGCTGTACCATTTTACATTGTAATCAACAGTGCACAAGAGCTCCAATTTCTCTACAACCTTGCTAACACTTGTTATTTTCTGTTTTTATAATTCTGACCATTGTAATGAGTGTGAATTGGTAACTCATTGTAGTTTTGATTTGTATTTCTCTAATGACTAGTATGTTGAGTATCTTTTCATGTACTTATTGGCCATTTACATATTGACACAGGATTCTTTCTGTGCTGTTTCACCAGCCAGAAACCTCCACAGCTGGCAGTGTCTCTGCCTGGACTTTGCTCAGGCCTGTTGGGATTGTTCTGCACACTCAGCCCAGCAGCCTACACTTGGCTTGTGCTACTGGCCTGGATCCCGTGCCCATCATGGTTCTGTGCTCAGCCTGTGTCTGGTCCAGTGTGTCATGACCAGCTTCTGTCTTGGACGCTGGCATCTGGACAATGGGGACGCAAAGATGCCAGCAGCAACCACAGAGCTCCAAGTGGGTGCCATAGCTTCTGCTTGGGGAGTACCGAGGTCTAAGCCACCAGGGAATGCCACAGTTCTCTGTGTGTTATACTCTGGCTCAGGGAGTCTTGAAGTCTGGGCTCCCAGAAGGGATGCAGCTCTTCGCTCCTGTAGTCTGGCAAATGGGAGCATGTCACATCTCTTTTAATTCATGCCACCTGCAGCTCAGTGAACCAGCCAGGAGCACGCCTTTTTTGCTCCTGGGTTATTGTCCCCGACCAAGAAGAATGAGGTACATGGACTTGGAGAGTGAGTGAGGCAGAGAAGAATCTTACTGAGTGACAGAAAAGCTTTCAGAAATGAGAGGGAACATGAAGTGGGTAGCCCTCTGTGTGAGAGGGGTCATGGAAGTGGGTAGCCATCTGTGAGGCTGAGTCCAGGGTTTTTATGGGCTTAGAATGGGAGAGTGCATGCTGATTGGTCCATGAACAGGCCTGGAAAAGTCATCATTCCATTGGCTAAAAGGCATTGAGGAAGTTCTTACTCCAGTCGTGGACTATGCCCAGAACCAGTAGCTCAGTTTTCAGGCTTTGGTTTGACGGTTGGGTTTCACTGGGGACACACTTCTGTCTCCCTAGGAATTTATCTGTCTCCTGTCCCTATCAGTATCTCTTTTGGAGAAAAGCTGATCCAAGTCTTTTGCCCCTTTTTGAATCGGGTTATTTTTTGTCATATTCTGGCTATTAATCACTTATCAGATATATAATTCACAAATATTATCCCTGATTTTATAGTTGCCTTTTATTCTGTGTATATTATCTCTTGATGCACAAAACTTTTGATTTTCATGAAGTGCAATTTATTTTCTTTCTTTTGTCACCTGTACCTTGATATCATAGCCAAGAAATCATTGCCAATTCTTATTTCATGAAGTTTTTGCCCTATGTTTTAGAGTTTTACAGTTTTTAACCTTACATTTAGATCTTGGACACATTTTGAGTTAATTTCTGTATATGATATTAGGCAAAGGTCCAACTTCATTATTTTACATGTGAATATCCATTTTTCTCAGCTGAATTTGTTGAAAATACTTTAAAATGTCTTTTATATTTGCCAAATCTGGTATTTTTCTTTTCTACCTACAGATTTGGGTTTTCCTTAGGTTTCATTTTCCTTCACTCTAAAGAACTTGTTTTAGTTATTTTTGTAGTGTACACTCTCTCAAATTTTGTTTTTCTGAAAATATTTTATTTTGCCTTTTTATTTAAAGAATATTTTGATATTTTGATAAATAGAGGTAGTTAACTATTGATAGCTCTTTTTTTTTCTTTTAGCCTTTTAAAAATGTGTTTCTGTTGCTTTCTGGCCTACATTGTCCCTAATAAGAATTCAGCTATCATTGTTTTCATTGACCTATCTATCTTTCATGACCTATCTGACATATTTCTCTCCACCCTTGCCCCACTTCCTGTTGATTTTAAGATTCACTATTTTTTATTTTCAGCAATTTGACCATGGTAGGCTTAAGAGTGATTTTCTTTGTATGTATCTTGTTTGGAAATCCTTGAGCTCATTGTATCCGTGGGTTGATGTCTTTTATCAATTTGGGAGATTCTTGAGCATTATCTCTTCCAGTGTTTCTTCTTTCACATTCTCTTTCTCTTCTCTGGTATTTCAAGTAAAGAGTATTAGACATTTCATATTGACTTACAGATCTTGGATTTTCCATTTTTATTGTTTATTTTTCCTTTTTAATTTATTTTGATAATTTCTATAGATCTTTCTTCAAGTTTGCTGATTATTTCCTCTGCTGTGTCCCATCTGCTATTAAATCATCAAATATGTGTTTTATTTCTGATATAATTTTTTTTCTCTCTAGCATTCTCATTAGCTTCTTTTTATAGCTTTTATTTTGTAGCTAAAATTCATCATCTGTTCACACATGCTGTTTACCTTTTCTAATAGGTGGACTAATATATGTATCATGAAGTCCTTATGTCATAATTATAAAATCTGAGTAATCTCTACCTTTTAATATTCACCCTTCCGTCTATTGACCATTTTCCTTCATCTTTGTGTGTCTCATAAATGTTTAATGTATTACAGATTTTGTCTGGAAAAAGAAACAAAAAAGCAGTAGAGAAACAAGTAAATAATATTTATCCTCATAAAAATATTTACCCTTCTTTGTCAGTGTGTCTCCCTACACATTCACTAGTACAGTGAGACAAGTTGATTTACTCTACAGTGAAGCGTTGTCTGGGCTTAGGAGATTCAGTTATATTAATTTCACCTCTAGCTTCATATATTTTGACGGGGGGGATCAGCACTTCCCTCAGCAGGGATTTGGATTTGAGCATTGTTGAGATGCCAATGACACCTTAATGTTTTATAGTCTACATACCTGCTTTCTGAACCACAGAAAATGTATTTCTGCTCTTTAACTGGATGTTAACTTTCTAGATTTATGGCATTTTCTGTTCGCTCTGCAGTTCTGTCCATTGCTTTCTTACACCTTGGGAGCATTCTATCTATTGTGCTGCCCTGTCCTGAGGACTTAATGTGGCACTTGTGGCTCAAACTGAAGGCCCCAGGGCCCTGGGATGTGGGGGGATTTCTCTGAGCCTTTCTTCCTGATCTTGATCCTTTAGCAGCCACTGCCTTTCTACATTTCAATGCCTGGGGAGCCTCCAAGTAATTTCTTTTGGTTACTCTATGCTCTACTTACAGGAAGGTCCATAGGTTAGAGATGGTGGGTGTGTACAGAGTCATTTTATGGCCCAGGCTCCTCAGAATTTAAATCCATTCTGCCAACTCACATGTAGCTATTAAAACTATTTTTTAAATTTGGCTGGTTTCTCCATACCCTTGTTGCAGGGGGATGACTCCTGATGAAAGGAGGTTATATGTATTGTTTCCAAGAAAAGACTCATCACCATCTGGATTTTAATCTATTTTGCCTTCTATGCATTTTTACTTCTAATTATAATTTTTAAAATCTTTAATGTGGTTTTGTATGTAGCTTATTCAGCTGTACCTCATTGTTATTGTGAGAATGACAGTCTCTTAGACTACATCCTAAGCAGTGGGAGAAGCCTGTTTGGTTATTTTTGATGAAATATCAGACATTGTAAAAGAAAATTTGTAGTTTAAGGTTTTATGCAATTTATATGAACTTATGTTATAAATTAAACTGCAAACTTTCTGGTTCCTCCAGGTCATAGTGAGCATAATTATATATACACACACATATATATACATATATACATATAGTTATATAATGTATATAACTATATATAACTATATGTAAATATATATAAAATATATTATTTATATATAATATATAAATAATATATAATAAATATATAAATATATAAATATAAATATATATAAAATATATGTAAATATATAGTTATATACATTATATATCTATAACTTACATATATAGTTCAATAGAAAATTATTGAACTTATAGTTCAATAGTTTTCTTTTGGAAATGAAGTCAGTATTTTCCTCTTTTTCTGCTAAAATCCTATGTACTTACTACAATACACCAAGTAGTTTGTAACAAACCAAACAATAGTCCCAAAAGCTGCTCTGTAACAATAATAGCACAGGTGAAAATTATAGGAGTACACTACACACTCTGTCTCCTCTTTGTAGCGTTTAAGTGCAGCTTAGCAGAACAGTCTCCAAAAAGCTCTACGTAAACTAAATTGGTTTAACTTCTTTTCAGTTTTAACCACCTTACCCATAGGGACATTTTATCCTCAAGTATCTTGTTCATAGCTCTGTAAGTCTTAACATACACTAAAAAAATACAGATTATTCCAAACTTTGCAGTAAATTCTTATTGAAACTCAGTTTTTTTCCACATGAAAATTATGTTTGTTAAAATGCACATTATGATTCTGCTACTGGAAAAGGGTCACAATCCAGACCCCAAAAGAGGGTTCTTGGATCTCATAAAAGAAAGAATTCGAGGTGAATCCATAGAGTAAAGTGAAAACAAGTCTATTAGGAAAATAAAGGAATAAAGCATGGCTACTCCATAGGCAGAGCAGCTCCAAGGCCTGCTGGTTGGCTATTTTTATGGTTATTTCTTGATTAGATGCAAACAAGGGGTGGATTATTCATGAGTTTTCTGGGAAAGGGTTGGGCAATTCTCAGAAATGAAGGTTCCTCCTCTTTCAGATCATATAGGGTAACTCTCTGATGTTGCCATGGCATCTGTAAATTGTCATGGCTCTGGTGGGGAGTATCTTTTAGCATGCGAATGTATTGTAATTAACATATGGGCAGTGAGGGTGACCATCAGGGATCGCTTTCATTGCCATCTTGGTTTTGGTGGATTTTGGCTGGCTTCTTTACTGCATCCTTTTATCAGCAAGGTCTTTGTGACCTGCATCTTGTGCTGACCTCCTATTTCATCCTGTGACTTGGAATGCTGTGATGGTTAATACTAAACATCAACTTGATTGGATTGAAGGATACAAAGTATTGATCCTGGGTGTGTCTGTGAGGGTGTTTCCAAAGGAGATTAATATTTGAGTCAGTGGACTGGGAGAGGCAGACCCACCCTTAATCTGGGTGGGCACAATCTAATCAGTTGCCAGTGTGGCTAGAATATAAGCAGGCAGAAAAGTATGAAAGAGAGACTGACCTAGCCTCCCAGCCTGCAACGTTCTCCTGTGCTGGATGCTTCCTTCCCTTGAACATTGGACTCCAAGTTCTTCAGTTTCAGAACTTGGACTGGCTCTCTTTGTTCCTCAGCCTGCAGACAGCCTACTGTGGGACCTTGTGATCATGTGAGTTAATACTTAATAAACTCCCATATATAAATATATATATATATACACACACACACATATATATGTATGTATGTATAAAGGAATATATATATATTCCGTTATTTATGTTCCTCTAGAGAACCCTGACTAATACAGATTTTGGTACCAGGAGTGGTTCTAGAGGAACAGAATATTAAGAATGGATTTTTTTCAGTGGTTTTGAGGTTTCTGGAGTTGGCTGCTTAATATGATTAGACAAAAATTGCAAAGGACTCTCTTTCTAATGGTATGGAGAACACTAATAGTCCTTGGCATGAACTGTTCAGAGAGTTATGCAAAATAAATGCATTTGACACTTCTGATTCATCACTCCTGAGAGGCAAGGAGTTTAGTGACTCTATATATAATACCTTTGATCATGTGTGGAGAACCAAGGAACATAATGAAGCTGGTTGGTTGCTCCTAAGTTCAGCAGACAAAGTGATGAAAGAAAATGATGAATTCTATCTCCCAGCTTCAGAAGCAGATAGTGAGCCTCAAATCTGCTAAGATTGCCCTGAGTGAGAGTCTTATATCCTGTAGAGAAAGAGCTGAAGTTTTGGGAAAACATACATAAGCTCTTATCATGTGGGTGGCTGACCTGCAATGAAAGGTGCATGCACAGCCTCACCAGGTGTCTACTGTTAAAGTGAGGGCATTGATTGGAAAAGAAAGGGACCCTGCAACTTGGAATGGGGGCATGTGGGAAAACTATGATGAAGCTGGGGACACTGAGTTTGTAAGGTCTGATTAACCTTTTTTGCCAGAAGAAACAGCTTCCCGATCCCCGGTAGTAGCAACATCCTCTCCCCAACCCATGCTGCCCTCAGCCTTTCCACATTTGAGGAGATAAACCCTGCGCTGCCTGAGGCAACAGTGATGGCCTTCCCTGAGGCAGTTGCCAGGCCAGATAATGTTGATTCTCCTCAGAAGCCACCTCCAACACCCCTGTTTGCTTCTAGGCCTATAACTAGACTAAAGTCTTGGTGGGCCCCCAGAGATGAGGTTGAGAGTGTGACCCATGAGGAGGAGCACTACAATCGAAAGGAACTGCTTGAGTTTTCTAATTTATATAAACAGAAATCTGGAGAACAGGCATGGGAATGGATATTAAGGGAGTGGGATAATGGTGGAAGGAATATAGAGTTGGATCAGGCTGAATTTATTGATTTGGGCCCACTAAGGAGGGAGTCTGCATTTAATGTTGCAGCTTGGGGAGTTAAAAAAGATTCAATTACTTTATTTGCTTGGTTAGCTGAAATATGGATTAAAAGCTGGTCCACTGTGAGCAAGCCAGAAATGTCCAATCTCCCTGTTTAATGTAGAGGAAGGGACCAAAGGCTTAGGGAGATTGAGATGGTGGAGTAGATTAGTCCAGAAGATATACTCTTGACTAATGCCTTTTGAAATAGACTTGTGAGGGCAGCACCTGCATCTTTGAAGAGACCTGTAATTGCTCTTCTCTGTATGTCAGATTTAACAGTGGAAACTGCAGTCACTCAACTACAAAATTTAAATACAATGGGAATAATTGGATCTCGAGGTTGCAGGGGCCAAGTGGCAGCATCCAAACATCACAGGCAGAGTGAGTGTAGTTACCGTAATGGACAGCAGAAGTAAAGCGGCAGTCAAAATAGTCTGACATGTAGAGCTCTGGCATTGGCTAATTAATCATGGTATTTCTAGAAGTGAAATTGATAGGAAGCCTACTGCATTCTTACTTAATTTATACAAGCAGAAAACTTCAGGTTGAATGGACAGAAAACTAATTTGAATTATAAACACAGAGAATTATGGCCCCTCAATCAATTTCCAGACTTGAACCAGTTTACAGACCCAGAACCCTTTGAATGAAGGGGAGGCTGGGTCCCCTTGAGGAAGGATCCCACTACACTACCAACAATTTATATAGTGAATCTTTCTCCCATCCTTCCCCAGGGAGACCTCCAGCCTTTTGCCAGGGTAACTGTGCACTGGGGAAAGGGAAATAATCAGACATTTGAGGGACTACTGGACACTTGCTCTGAGCTGACGTTGATTTCTGGGGACCCAAAACGTCATTGTGGTCCTCCAGCTAAAGTAGGGGCTTATGGAGGTCAGGTAATTAATGAAGGTTTAGCTTAAGTCAGATTTGCAGTGCGTCCAGTGGGTCCCTGGACTCATTCTGTGGTCATTTCCCCAGAGCCAGAGTGCATAATTGGCATAGACATACATAGCAGCTGGCAGAACACTTACATTGGCTCCCTGATTGGTAGGGTGAGGGCTATTATGGTAGGAAAGGCCAAATGGAAGCCATTAGAGTGCCTCTACCTAGAAAAATGGTAAATCAAAAACAATGTCACATCCCTGGAGGGACTGCAGCGATTAGTGCCACCAAAAAGGACTTGAAAGATGCAGGGGTGGTGATTCCCACCACATCCCCATTCAACTCCCCCATTTGCCCTGTGCAGAAGACAGATGGATCTTGGAGAATGACACTGGACTATCGTAAGCTTAACCAAGTGGTGACTCCAAATCCAGCTGCTGTACCAGATGTGGTTTCATTGCTTGAGCAAATTAACACATCTTCTGGTACCTGGTATGCAGCCATTGACTTGGCAAATGCCTTTTCCTCCATTGCTGTCCATAAGGCCCAGCAGAAGCAATTTGCCTTCCACTAGCAAGGCCAGCAATGTATCTTTATTGTCCTACCTCAGGGGTATATCAACTCTCCAGCTTTGTGTCATAATCTTATTCAGAGAGAACTTGATCGCTTTTCGCTTCCACAAGATATCACACTGGTCCATTACACTGATGACATTATGCTGATTGGATCCAGTGAGCAAGAAGTAGCAAAACACACTGAACTTATTGGTGAGATATTTGCGTGCCACAGAATGGGAAATAAATCTGGCTAAAATTCAGGGACCTTCTACTTCTGTAAAATTTCTGGGGGTCCAGTGTTGTGGGACCTGTTGAAATACTCCTTCTAAGGTAAAGGATAAGTTGCTGTATTTGGCCCTTCCTACAACCAAGAAAGAGGCGCAATGCCTAGTGGGCCTATTTGGATTTTGGAGGCAACACGTGTATTCCTCATTTGGGTGTATTACTCTGGCCCATTTATCGAGTGACCCAAAGGCTGCCAGTTTTGAGTGGGGTCCAGAAAAGGAGAAGGATCTGCAACAGGTCCATGTTGCTCTGCAAGCTGCTCTGCCACTTGGGACATATGACCCAGCAGATCCAATGGTGCTTGAAGTGTCAGTGGCAGATAGGGATGCTGTTTGGAGCTTTTGGCAGCCTCCCATAGGTGAATCACGGGAGGCCTCTAGGATTTTGGAGCAAGGCCCTGCCATCTTCTACAGATAACCATTCTCCTTTTGGGAGACAGCTCTTAGGCTGTTACACTGGGCTTTGGTGGAAACTGAACGTTTGACTATGAGTCACCAAGTCACCATGCGACCTGAACTGCCTATCATGAACTGGGTGCTTTCTGATCCATCTAGCCATAAAGTGGGTTGTGCACAGCAGCATTCCATTATCAAATGGAAGTGGTATATACATGATCAGGCTCGAGCAGGTTCTGAAGGCATGAGTAACTTACATGGAATAACTTACATGAGGAAGTGGCTGAAATGCCCATGGTCTCCACTCCTGCCTTCTCTCCTCCAGCCTGCAGTGATGGCCTCATGGGGAATTCCCTATGATCAGTTGACAGAGGAAGAGAAGACTAGGGCCTGGTTCACAGATGCTTCTGCATGACATGCAGGCACCACACAAAAGTGGACAGCTGCAGCACTACAGCCCCTTTCCAGGACATCCCTGAAGAAGGACAGCAGTGAAGGGAAATCTTCCCAGTGGGCAGAACTTTGAGTAGTGCACCTGGTTGTGCCCTTTCCACGGAAGGAGAAATGTCCAGATGTGCAATTATATACTAATTCATGGGTTGTAGCCAAGGTTTGGCTAGATGGTCAGGGGCTTGGAAGAAGCATGATTGGAAAATTGGTGACAAAGAAATATGGGGAACGGGTATGTGGATGGACCTCTCTGAGTGGTCAAAAACTGTGAAGATATTTGTGTTTCATGTGAGTGCTCACTAACAGGTGACCTCAGCAGAGGAGGATCTTAATAATCAAGTGGATAGGATGACCTGTTCCCAGGCCACCCCTGTCATCACCCAGTGGGCCCATGAACAGAGTGGCTGTGGTGGCAGGGATGGAAGTTATGTATGGGCTCAGCAACATGGACTTCCACTCACCAAGGCTGACTTGGATATGGGCACTGCTGAGTGCCCAGTTTGCCAGCAGCAGAGACCAATGTTGAGCCTTCAATATGGCACCATTCCTTGGGGTGATCAGCCAGCTACCTGGTGGCAGATTGATTGTATTGGATCTCTTCCATCAAGGAAATGGAAGAGGTTTGTCCCTACTGGAATAAACGCTTACTCCGGATATGGGTTTCCCTATCCTGCATGGAATGCTTCTGCCAAGACTACCATCTGTGAACTCATGGAATGCCTTATCCACCATCATGATATTCCACACAACATTGCCTCTGACCAAGGCACTCACTTTATGGCTAAAGAAGTGCGTCAGTGGTCTCATGCTTAGGGAATTCACTGGTCTTACCATGTTTCCCATCATACTGAAGCAGCTGGATTGATAGAACGGTGGAATGGCCTTTCGAAATCACAATTACACTGCTAACTAGGTGACGATACTTTGCAGGGCTGGGGCAAGTTTCTCCAGAAGGCCTTGGATGCTCTGAATCAGTGTCCAATATTTGGTACTGTTTCTCCAATAGTCAAAAATCAGGGGTCCAGGAACAAAGGGGTGGAAACGGCTCCACTCACCATCACCCCTAGTGACCACTAGCAAAATGTTTGCTTCCTTTTCCCACAACATTACAGTCTGCTGGCCTAGAGGTCTTAGTTCTGGAGGGAGGAAAGCTGCCACCAGGAGACACAACAATGATTCCATTAAACTGGAAGTTAAGATTGCCACCTGGACACTTTGGGCTCCTCCAACCTTTAAGTCAGACTTAAGGCTAAGTAGAGGGTAACAGTGTTGTCTGGGGTGATTGACCCAGACTATCAAGATGAAATCAGTCTACTACTCCACAATGGAGGTAAGGAAGAGCATGTATGGAATACAGGAGATCTATTAGGGCATCTCTTAGTATTACCATGTGCTGTGATTAAGGTCAATGGGAAACTACAACAGCCCAATCCAGGGAGGACTACAAATGGTCCAGACCCTTCAGGAATGAAGGTTTGGGTCACTCCACCAGGAAAAAAAACCATGACCTGCTGAGGTGCTTGCTGACAGCAAAGGGAATACAGAATGCGTAGTAGAAGAAGGTAGTCATCAATACCAGCTATGACCTCGTGACCAGGTGCAGAAATGAGGACTGCAATTGTCATGAATATTTTCTCCTTTGGTTCAAAACGTGTTTGTGCATGTATACACTTGTACTAAGAAAATATCTTCTTTTTATTTCCTTTCTTCTTTATCATTTGACATACATTTATTGACTTCACATCAGCATTTAAGTATTGTTAACTTTACGTAATAGTATTTGGGTTGGGGATTGGTGCATTTCCGGTTATATGAAGGATAGTTGTACTATGTTAGGTGCAATTATAACCTTATTATTCTCTTTATTTGAAGATTATGATCTCAGGAGATGTGTATGGGTTCAAGTTGACAAGGGGTGGACTTTTGATGGATAAAACTGAATGGCAACTTGATTGGATTGAAGGATGCAAAGTATTGATCCTGGGTTTGTCTGTGAGGGTGTTGCCAAAGGAGATTAACATTTGAGTTAGTGGGCTGGGAAAGGCAGACCCACCCTTAATCTGGGTAGACACAATGTAATCAGCTGCCAGTGCAGCTAGAATATAAGCAGGCAGAAAAATGTGAAAAGAGAGACAGGCCTAGCCTCCAAGCCTACATCTTTCTCTTCTGCTGGATGCTTCCTGCCCTCGAACATCAGACTCTAAGTTCCTCAGTTTTGGAACTCAGACTGGCTCTCCTTGTTCCTCAGGCTGCAGACAGCCTATTGTGGGACCTTGTGATCATGTGAGTTAATACTTAATAAACTCCCCTTTATATATATATATGTATATATATATACTCCCCTTTATATATATACGTGTATATGTATATGTGTATATGTATGTGTGTGTATAAACTCCCCTTTATGTGTATAAACTCCCCTTTATATATATATGTATATATATATACTCCCCTTTATATATATATGTGTATATGTATATGTGTATATGTATGTGTGTGTATAAACTCCCCTTTATATATATATGTGTATATATATACTCCCCTTTATATATATATGTGTATATGTATATGTGTATATGTATGTGTGTGTATATATATGTGTGTATATATATATACACACACATACATATACACATATATTTCATTAGTTATGTCCCTCTAGAGAACTCTGACTAAGACAAATGACTAACCTCCTGGTAATGCAGCCCTGTAGGTCTCAGTCTTATTTTATCCACCCCCTATTCAAGATGGAGTCACTGGAGTTCAAACACCTCTGACAATTCAATAATACATGGGGACGGGGGTGGGCAAGGCTGGGATTTTGTGTATCTCACATGTACTTAGTTAATGACTGTGCTGCCTGTCCGTGGCTCAGACTAGTAAAAGTCATACATTAGCATGCCCAGTTGCCTTCTCCAGCATAATATCCAGCACCTATTTGGATGCCTCCACTCTCACAACCCCTTAGAATTGTGGAACTGAGAACCTGGCTTTCTGACAGTGACAAAGCTTAGGTATTAATGAAGGCATTATTTTGGCTCATTGTTCCAAGATGCTTACCAGTAATTGGTATTGCTATTGTTATTTTCATTAGGCTGGGGAAAAATTTCTGCAAGATAGGAATTGTATATGTTACCTTATTTATCTCTTTCTTCCTGCCAACAGCCACCCCCAAACTGCCAGATTCTCACAGGAGTGGATTGTCACCTGTCATAGAATTGGTGGCAAGAACTGGAATTTCCCTCTTCATATCTTCCTTCTCCTTCTTTGTGAAAATTATAGTTAGGCATTTCTATGTCTAAGCACCTGATGCTAGCGGCACTCAGTGAAAAGCAATTGTCACTTCCACAAAAGAGGAGCCCAATACTCCCCCTATGGTTGTAAAAAAATGTGTTATATTGGATAGATAGACTGCTCTGTGAGGCTACAGGCCAAAGAACAGTTGAGCCCTTTTAAATAGTCAGGATTCCTAAAATCTACAGATAGGGAACACAGTGCTTGCTTATCAGCCACTGACGACTTCAAAACCTCAAAAACTGGAAAAAGTATGGAAAGTTAGATAACTAGTGGGTACTTTCCCCACTCCCCCATCCCCTCCCCCCAAAGCTGGCTTTTCTTTCTCCTATTGAAAAGAAAAGCATCAGAAAATGAAATTTCCAGCAGATTAAGGAAATGCAGGAGGGCAGCAAGCTACACAATGGCCTCAGTGGATTTTCTTTCTACGTGTTCTTTCTGTGTTCCTCACAGCGGTGGGAAAACCATGCCCTCTGAAATAGAGGCTTAGCTGAAAGCTAATGCCATCTAAAGATGGAGGATTCACATCCCTGTTTGAGAAAGACCCTGAGGCCACCAAGAATTTGCCCAGTTAACAGCTCTGACTTTACAAGGGACTGTGACAAATCCTATAGAAACTAAAACTACTTTCTAGCTTTAGAAAAAATGCTGCATGGAAAAATTATAATTCTTTTTCTCTTACTTGGTTAAAAAAGTAAAAAAAAAAATGCTGCTAACCACTTTACTCCATTCTAACCTTGACTGAGATCTTTCTCCTAAAATTTGTACTGTTCAGAATAGTTTAAATGATACTTGATGATATGAAAACTTCTTGTTCTAATTGCCTTTTGCAAACCTGTATATTCTTATATCACTATTCCTTTATATTCTCTTATACTGAAGATGTCCTAAAAGTTCAAATACTTCCTGGGTATTTTACATGGTTCGTTTTCTACCTGATAACCATCCTTCATCTCTGGGCATTTATGTGGACAATGGAAGTCTGACAGAGGCTTTCATTTTAGGTTGATAAATCTCAAACAGTCCACATCAATCAATTAATTATTCACTGAGCATTTATTGTGTATCTTTCATGTAGGTCGCTATGCTTGGGGTAAAGGTGAGGGGAGGGGGCACAAAATAAAAAGTAAATTATTTCATTCCCGACTCTCATGAACTAACAATCTACTGCTGAAATTAACAGGTAAGTAACAGCTTAGTACAAAGTTCAAGTCTTTGGCATTTCTTGGCTATTCTTTCTTATTTCAACAACATCTATTTTCTTCACAGTTTATATCATTGTTTCGTGTCACCACATTTTGAGCAACCTGGACACAGTTACCTAGTGTTAGAATACTTCTTAACTACTGATGAGATCTTCTCATGCCCCAGTATTTGCTGCAATTTCATTTATGATGCATTTGTTTGCACACGTCATTCAATATAAAAAAAGGCTATTATGTCAAGTTAGCATGCATGATTTTATTTATGCAACATTTTATCTTATTTCTACTGGACAGTTAACATTATCTTGCGTCAGGGATGAATTTTCAACTTTTGTTATGTATGTTTCTACTTAGCTACACGAACAGCTACAGTGAAGAAATTTGTGTGTTACAGGACAGGCAGCTTTTTTTTTTCTTTCTTTTAAAATAAATCAGGACTACCTAGGTATTTTAAATAAAAAAAAGTGAATAAATGTGTTCACAGAATGCTTTTTTTTAATTAAAAAGGAGTTATTTTTTTTTTTTTTGAGACGGAGTCTCGCTCTGTCGCCCAGGCTGGAGTGCAGCGGCGCGATCTCGGCTCACTGCAAGCTCCGCCTCCCGGGTTCACGCCATTCTCCTGCCTCAGCCTCCCGAGTAGCTGGGACTACAGGCGCCCGCTACCACGCCCGGCTAATTTTTTGTATTTTTAGTAGAGACGGGGTTTCACCGTGTTAGCCAGGATGGTCTCGATCTCCTGACCTCGTGATCCGCCCGCCTCGGCCTCCCAAAGTGCTGGGATTACAGGCGTGAGCCACCGCGCCCGGCCAGGAGTTATTTTTTAAGAAAAGAAAGCATCAAAGTGTCTCTGCCTCCAGCTTTATAAACACCAAAATAATTGCTTGGGAATTTTGCAGTGCAGGCAAAGTGTGTACTGTAGAAATGTATCAATCTTGGGGTCATGCTGAACTTCTCTGGAGCCCTACTGCAACCTCTGCCTCCCAGGTTCAAGCAATTCTCCTGCCTCAGTCTCCCGAGTGACTGGGATTACAGGCATGTGCCACTACACCCAGCTAATGTTTTTTTTTTTTTTTTTTTTTTGTATTTTTAGTAGAAACGGGGTTTCACCATGTTGGCAAGGCTAGTCTCGAACTCCTGACCTCAAGTGATCTGCCCGCCTCAGCCTCCCAAAGTGGTGGGATTGCAGGTGTGAGCCACTGCATCCAGCCTCTAGTTTCTTTTCTCATGAAATGTGGACAGTGGTGGCTAACTCACAAGGTTCTGGTACAGAGTAAAGCGTTCAGCTCTTTAAGTCTACTAAGGCCTCCTTAGATTGTGGAAAAGTGCAAAGTGGTCAGAATCCCATAAAATGAGTGGCATGAGCTTATAGTTAGCAGTGTGGTGGCTGTGCTGCTCTGGTCCTCACAGTGCCCACTGGAGACTGGGTAGAGATACACACCCAAACCGAACTACAACTCGGGCTCCCAGTCCCACCTGTCAAACCCTCACACAGGATGAGGCTTCTGGTGCTCTTCCATCTCTCCAAGGAGTGTCCCTGCCCATCCCCTCTGCACTGGGCACCTTTGAGTTTTGGCAATGGATTTTTACTTTGTATGGAAGAATTTCCACCCCCATGCCCTGCTGTGCCCTTCACCTCCCCGGACGGGATTTTATTTCCATCTCCAGTTTGGTCCAAGATGTTTAGTTGATCTGTGTTTCATTAACTGATACAACTATTTTCTAATTCATAATTTTCCTACCCATCAACCATACTTACAAACAGCGTATCTACAGCCATTGTCAAATAGAAAAGGAATCACTACAAATTGATAGAAAAAAATAATTGATAGAACAGAAGGCCTTTGTCATGTTGGGGATTTTCTCCTCGCTGCTGGCCTCCTTAAAGTGGCTGCGGAAATTGCTTGCTGTACAACAGTCACCCAGAGTCCCACATTCTCTGAGGTGTTAGATCTATGGTCGCAACAAGGTAACTAGGGAAACTGACCTGTGGCTACTATCTTTTCCTGGCCTTCCTGTTCCTGCTAAATTGTAGAACCCTTCCTCTTTCCCTGATTTGGGATGAGTTTGACACAGCATGAGTGCAGGAAAGCCTTATTACGTCTCCACAGTTTGTATTCTCTTTTTATTAGGCTACTTTTCTCTCCCTGCCTTCCACCCTCACTGTCTTTATTCCTTCCTCTGAAATCCTTATTTAAAAAGCCATAGTCAAAGTGATATTAAGTCATTTTCTATCATAAGAAACTAAAATATATATAAAATGGGAAGCAAACTCCTTATAGAACTGTACAAGTTATAGCTTTACAGAAAAAAAAACTGAAATGCTGTTTTGCCCTCGCGTAGAAAAATTAATTACATGGATAGAAAGACACGCTTTTGCCTTTCTCTCTCTCCAGTCTTCCCCAACACTCCTCCCTATCTCAGACCTTTAGACAGAAAAATAAAGGTAGAGATCAATGAGCTGGGGAGTTAGCACAATACAAGAATATCTGGAGGTGTTGCAAGTGGGACTTTGACATCATAGGATTCTCTAGAAGAAAACCACTGATGAGATTTTCCTCTGACAAAGTGTCGGGGAGGAAACCAGCCCATTCTAGGGCTCCAGTGTCATTACGTGGCCCTATTTGCTCATAAATGGATGACATCTAAAGGAGAAATCAGTATGTTACTGGCATCATGATGTATGCCATTTTTCAGTAACTAAATATTATTATTTGAGAAATGTGATTTTTCAAAACAAAACTATTAAAATTGAAAAAATATTCTGATTTGGGGTCTGTGAGTCCTAAGGCTAAATGGCAGTAGCACTTAAATTACATTTTTGTGGTTCTACTTTGATTCTACTCAAGAAACCAAGAAAAAAAAAAGCCAATGTCAGATATTGAATCTACATTAATATTTCAAGAGACAAACACAATCATGCATGCCTGAAATTAATGAAACAAAAGAAAATTTGTGGTAAGGAGAGGTAAATTTTAATACAAAGGAAAAACACATAGTAAAAAAAATTTAAAAATTTAAATATGTTTTTTTCTTACGTATAAAACAAACCCAAAACAAACTTCACATTTTGAACACTTTTCATGCTAATGTAAAGGCTAATGTTTATTTGTCTAAACAAGAGAAAGAATATATATATTTTTAACCTGGATGAATAAAATCTGTAAGCCCGGAGAGTTTATAACAATGCAATGCACTTGTAGCACCTGTTGTCATGGATACACACTGTCTCTGATGGGAACAGTAAAAATGACCCAATCACACCGAGAGACCGTGCACTCTTTCTGACCAGCACTTATATACTGTTTATAAGTTACACTATTTTCATACACGATTCGGTTTTGTATGAAAATCTCAAATACAAGTTTCTACCACTCTTAGATTAAAGGATGGCTTTTGCAGTGTAAAATTTAAAAATTCCACCAACACCAATCTTCTAAGCATATAATTTTCACTGACCTAACTATTCTTCATTATTCTCTAATTTTGCTCACAGAATGGTGGTTTTAATGTATTTGTTTTATAAATGACTTTTTTTTTCCAAGTGAGATAACATCATTCTAATGGTTGAAATGCTAAGCACATGATTTAACCTGATGGCTTTGAGAATCAATAGTATGCCTTCAATATCATTTTATCTGTAGTCTTGGGCAAGTTACTTAGCCACTGAGCCTCGTTTGTACAATAAATATAGTAAGGATAATAATATTACCTAACTCTTAAATCTTTCATGAGCATCACATGAGATAACCCATGAAAATGTTTAACACAGTCCCTGGCCCAGGGCAAAATTCAGTCACTGTTTAGTTACTAGTGCATAGGAAGAATCACTGGCAATCACCTTTGTAACACTTTAAGGTAAGCCAAGTAGTAAGCCAAATAAATCATCAGTGGTTATGCATATGAAACATTGAGTCAGCACTGGAAATAATCAGAGATGCCTGTGTTCATTGCCTTAAATATTAGTCATATGACTTCAGTATTTCCCCTGTCACAAATCAGTTTGGACTAATTAACTACTCATCCACACCAAAATATGTGAGTCAACATTGTTAGCAGCACAATCTAAATACACAACTTCTCTTCCTTTTCGTATTATGTCTGTGACCCCGGCTCTCAACACCATGTCTGAAAATTAGGAGCATTGTAAACCTGAGCATGAGGTTCACTGGTGCTGTGGAAAACGCAGGGGGAAAAAGAAAAAGCAGAAATGGACCTGGGCTTGCATCGCAGCTCTGCTTTCCATTTCTGTGTGACCTTGGTCTGAAGTCTTCCCCTCCCTCATGTTCAGTTCATTTTTCTGTACAGTGAAAATAATATCAACCTTGCTAGTTGTGACAAAAAGACATAATGAATATGAAGGTCCTACTAAATAGCAGGTATTTTCTTGAGAAAGCTGGGCTTCTTAGTGTTTTCCGTATTCCTCACTATTGCCTCACCTTTTACCCTAATATTATTTGTAACTCACCTTAAATATTCTCTAACTGTAATTCAATTACATAAAAAAATCTGCAGAGTTTGATCTCAATCTTTCTGTGCCTAATGAGTACCCATATACAATTTTGATTCACTTGTCATTTTTTTCTTCCATTATCCTAAAGGATCACTTACTCTTTTCCCAAAGACTGTGTATGTCTGAACCTTCTCTCATATTAATCTTCTAATAGTTGTTAAGGACTACTTCTTCCCCAGGGAAAGGGGTAAATAAAGATGTAGAGACATGTCAGAATAAGAGGTAAATCTGGCAGGGAATGCATAGGTTTGAAAATATTCAGACGTCTTCCCTTGAAGAAGACCATCCCATAGCCTTTCTCCATCTTTCTTGGTCATTGAGAATTATTGCTCTTACACAGAAGAAAGTTTAACAAACTTAGACTTATGCTACCAGGAAATTGGATGGAAGGAAACTACTGCTTGAGTCTGCTCTTATAGCTTCATAGCACCAGGATGTGAAGATCTTTTATGTCCAGAATACTGCACATTCCACAATCGGGCAGATAGTGTGTGGGAAAGGATGTACTACAGAGAAGGGAAGCTCCTGGGATGGAGAGAATTGAGAAATGGTGTAAGACCTTGGAGAAACAGGATCTTCATAAAGGAATGAGAGTGCTACCAGTGAACAGACTTGTTTGGTAGAAACTTGTGAAAAATGAAGCAAGGATGCAACCCTGAAAGGAGAAGAAGAAAGCTTGTGACTGTGACTGTATGCATTGCAAAATCATAATCTACTAATCGGCTGTAGGACAGCAGTACCCAACTTTTTGGCACCAGGGACCGGTTTCGTGGAAAATGATTTTTCCATGGATGAGTGGGGAATGGTTTTGGGATGAAATTGTTCCAACTCAGATCATCAGGCGTTAGAGTCTCATAAGGATCACACAAACCAGATCCCTGGCATGCACAATTCACAGTAGGTTTCACGCTCCTATGAGACTCGAATGCCTCCGCTGATCTGGCAGGAGGTGGTGCTCAGGTGGTAATGCTTGCTTGCCTGCTGCTCAGTTTCTGCTGTGCAGCCTGATTCTTAACAGGCCTCTGACCGGTATCAGGGGTTGGGAACCCCCGCTATGGGAAACTAAGTTGGTAGCCAATCCTTAGTGAAAAAGCGCATGGCATGCTTCACATTCATTCACTCATTCATTTGTTATTATTATCATTGTTATTATTTGTTATTTTAATACTAGAGAATATGAAGGAATACAGCATCTTTACTCTTGAAGTTATATAGTTGAAAAGAAATACACAATTAACCTTTAAGCTGTGCTAGATTTTTTAGGTGAAAACAGAAAATAACTTCACAAAGAAGACAGCATTTTAGTTTGGCTTTGATTTTCATGTTGATTTGATTTGATTTTTTTCAAGTGAAGGATGGTGAGAAATGTTTTTAGGTCAAGAGAACAACATAATCAAAGTTACAGAGGTATGAAAGTCCATGATGAGCTCAGGAAACCATGAGGGTTCTGTGGTTTCCTGTGTGGTTGAGGGCTGGAATTTATTGGAAAAGATGACAGAGCAGAGTCTGGCCACAAAGGTTGGAGCCAGATAGTGACCGGCATTTCATGACATCCACGCAGTTCAGATTTTATCTCGTATAACAAAGGAGACCCCCAAAATTGAATTTATTTTAGTTTTGTTTTGATTCAAATACAAATATTTTTTATAATGAGTATAAGAGTAAATTATATATATTATGTCCCAGAAAGATAGCCACTGTGGACATTGGTTTATATTTCCTAGAGTTTATATGAATTTATATAGAGAGACAAATAGATAGCTCCCCCTCTCTGAGAAATGCAGCCACGGTAGAACTGCACAGTCTCACTGCTTCCTATTTATAATTGAATAGATAGGAGTAAACGTTTGATCCATGCTCAGATCTCCTCTCCTCAGAATGTGGAAGCTGAGCTCAGGGAATTTACATATTCCGTTCAACGAATGAAGAAGTAAGATAAATCCAGGGCTGTGGCAGCCAAGCCCTATCATTGATGCACCAGAAACAAAGAAAGCTATCAACTTCTCAAATTGACTCAACAATTTTACTTCTGGGAAATTATCCTACAGAATACTTTGAACATATGCAAAGTTATAAAGATATTCGGTGCATCACTGTTTAAAGTAGCAGGAAGCTAAAAACAACTAACTGCTCATTAGTAGATGGTCAATTAAATAAGTTATAGCAAATTCCTAAAATTAATTCCCAGAAAATCTTTTAAAAGCATGAGTGTAGGCATGGAAAGTTGTTATCTGTTATGTGAGACAAATTATAATATTATAACGCTCTACATTTAAATATAGATAACTACATAAAAATGCGTAATGTATACAGTATTCAATGATATAGACTTAGGCAAAGAATGAAACAGTTACAATTTTAAGTTACATGCTACTCATTCTTTGCAAATACAAAATCATGTAACATGTAAAGAGATAAAGTACAATTGTAATTTTAAATGAGGAAGATACTGCTTCAAGCTGGAGGAATCAGGGTGTCAATGAAAAGAGCCAAACTCTGTAAAATATTTGATAAATAAATATTTATCAAATATTCAATATCAAAAATCAAAATATCAAAAAAATCAAATATCAAAAATATATTAAATAAAATAAAGATTTATTCTGAGCCAGATATGAGTGACCATGGCCTGAGGAGTGGTCCTGAGATCATTGGCCCAAAGTGTTTGCGCTACAGCTTGATTTTTATACATTTTAAGGAGGCAGAAATTACAGGCAAGTACATAAATCAGTACATGTAAGGTGTACATTGGTTTGGCCTCGAAGGGCAGGACATCTTAAGGAGGTAGTCAGGGCAGAGAGGGCTTAGAGAAAATATATGGCAAGTGTTTCCTATTTAGACTTTTGAAAGGTGCCAGTCTTTCAGATCAGTTAATCTCTTCAGGATTGGGAGGGCCTGGAAGGAAAAAGATCTAATTATGTTAATAGATATTCTTTACAGATACCGATTTTCTCCCACAAAAGACAGTTTTCAGGGCCACTTCAAAAGTATAGTAAAGAAACATATTTTGGGTAAAATATCTTGATTTCCTTTTTTGTCATGTGATGTTATGCCACAGTCAGATTGGAAAGTAAGTCACATTATATAGGGTTAAATAAAACCTATCTGATGAGATTTTACTGTTTGTAAGGTGTGACTTCTCAAGCCCCTTAATAGGAATTTGGGCAAGACAGAAAAAAGATCAGAGTTTAGTGCTTAGTAGTAAGCTTCGTGGAAAAGGTAGCATAAAAATATGGACTAGGCCAGTTGTGACTGCCCATGCCTGTAATCCCAGCACTTTGGGAGGCTAAGGTAGGAGGATCACTTGAGCCCAGGAGTTGGAGACCAGCCTGGGCAACACAGTGAGACCTCATCTTTAAAATATATACAGACACTGATTCATACACATGCAAGTCATTTGTGTAGGGCTCATGGCAATATACTTTTTAATTGCTTCAGTTTCAGTGTATGTGCTGAGGAAGTGAAGCTTTAAAATACAATGAAAGGACCAGAAATACCATTTGACCCAGCAATCCCATTACTGGGTATATACCCAAAGGATTATAAATCATTCTACTCTAAAGACACGTGCACACGTATGTTTATTGCAGCATTATTTACAATAGCAAAGACTTGGAACCAACCCAAATGCCCATCAATGTTAGACTGGATAAAGAAAATGTGGCACATATACACCATGGAATACTATGCAGCCATAAAAAAGGATGAGTTCATGTCCTTTGAAGGGACATGGATGAAGCTGGAAACCGTCATTCTCAGCAAACTAACACAGGAACAGAAAACCAAACACTGCATGTTCTCACTGATAAATGGGAGTTGAACAATGAGAACACACGGACACAGGGAGGGGAACATCACACACTGGGGCCTGTCAGGGTGCTGGGGGCTAAGGGAGGGATAGCATTAGGAGAAATACCTAATGTAGATGACAGGTTGATGGGTGCAGCAGACCACCATGGCACATGTATACCTATGTAACAAACCTGCACATTCTGCACATGTATGCCAGAACTTGAAGTATATATATAAATACAATGAAAGGTTATGTTTATTCTCTGCAACTGGGATATTCTAAAATTTAAGTAAGAAGTGAGTCTCAAATTGTACCTATGGAAGACTACTTAAAACTTACTATTTAGAATTCATACTTACACACCAACTAGTACAACACCATTTATGGGTGAGGGGTTCTAAATTACTTTATTGTTACATACACATTTTACATTTTAAAATAAATTTTTAGAGTAGTCACTATGTTCCAGGAATTTGAGTAGTAGTCGGATAATTCTTGTCTAATTCATTGTGTTAGGTATACAGCAGGGAACCTGACAGACAAAAATCTGGTGGCAAGTTAGTCGAAAGACTAGGCTTGGAGTACGAAATTCATTCAGTTATGCCCTCCTACCCATTTGGCGCCCCCTTTAAAGGAATTGTAGACCTATTAAAATAAAGAGAAAAGGTAGTGAGTAAAAAAGTCCAACTATTATTAAAATATAATTTTTCAAAAAATTAGAAAATGTGATTTTCATACAAATATAATATGCATGTATGTCAAAGATTGTACTGAACTCATTAATATTAATGAACCAGTTAGATGGTAAAACCAGCCTAAAAAACATTTCGGAAGCTAGGTATTTATAGGCAGAGTAGTAAAGGAATGTCAAAATAAGATAACTAAATTGGATACAAAAATGATTACAATGACTATAATTTTGAGGCTCTCTCTTCCACCATACTGATGTTATTTGCATCTTTACCAGAAAAATCTACAAATTAGCCTGTGCTCCAATGGAATTATGAAATACCTGTCATCATAAAGTTAATCAAAGGCATAAGCCTGGTGCTGACAGAATAATCAGTAATCTTTTCCTGTTTTTGAGTTGCAGATAATTTTTCTCACAGTGGTTTACAAAGCTCCATAACTTTGACCTCAGTTATCCTTTTGGAAGATTATCTGAATATGTTGATTTATATGACTATGTTGATTTATCTCTAGTACAGAATCTTTTAAATATAAATAGCCATCATTCTGGAAGCAAATAATATTGAAAGGCCACAGGCTTGATTTTCATTTTCTTGGATCTTCATGCTGTTATAAGAATCACAGCTTTAGTGAAATGTGTTTGAGAACTTGTTAGAATAAATTCCTTATTCTGCATTTATATTTAGTCAGAAGGCTGAAGACAAGATCTCTAACAAGCAACATAAGAAATAAGATGGAAGTAGCTGAGTTTCTTTTAAACAAGAATTATTTTACTAATTCCCAATAGACCATTTTGCACTGAAAAGTGTACTTTTGAAACTCCTGATCCACTTCACATTGTTCATTCATCAATAGGTTTATCTATCAAACAGTTTTAGGAAACTACTAAGTACAAAGCTACTTGCTGTGGAAGATGTTAACATTTATAACAAGAGTTTATCACTTCTTAATGAGAATATTTTAATATGGTGACAAATGGCATTCACTGTGTATTTGACACAACTGGTGGCATACTTGGTGGCGTGTCCATATTTCAGTCCCCCCAACTTTCCTCTGAAGAGAATAAAGCTGTCTTCTCCTGCCAGATAATAAGCCATATCAAAATGACTAATGAAATAACTGGAGATGAATATTTGTTTTTGAACAGTAGTCTTTTTCCTTGATAACTGATGTTCTAAAATGTAAGTATAAAATCGAGTCTCAAATTCTATGTACAGAAAGCTACTCATGGCTTATGCTTTAGAATTTACTCTTACACAGCAATGAATACAATCTCAATATGTATGAAGAAGGAATTATGAGTTAATCAGGGTCACATAAGCGATCACAGAATATACGCTGAAAGGGCACTATTCAAGGAAAAGCATAAATCACTAGAATATAAGCTTCATGAGGGTATAGATTTTTGTCTGTTAGGTTCCCTGCTGTATACTTAACACAATGAATTAGACAAGAATTATTGTACTACTTCTCAAATGCCTGGAACATAGTGAACAGTCTATACTAAAATACACTGCATTGCGTAAAGACTCAGATTCATTCAACACATTTAAAAGATTCAAAATGAATATACAGTAGGTCATTTTGCAGATATAAAAAAATAGAATGATGCATGTCTGTATCTATGAGATTAAAATTGAATTTGGATTAGAGAAGCACCCAAGCTTGTTTATCAGGAGACAACCAAAGAGTAGCAATCTTAGTAGTTCCAGCAGGAGAGTCTAACAGTGGTGAAGTAGAAAAGTGGACAGATTTACTATGTACTTAGAAGGTCCAGATAAATCATACCTGGTGATTAACTGAATATTGAAGATAAGAAAGTGGCTGATGTCATGGAGGACTCATTGGTGTCAAACTTGGTAAGAGGTTTGATAGTATTCCACTTGCTGAGACATGCAATAACAAAGGGGCATACTTTGGGAAGACCACAGAATCATTCGTACATCCTTGGAGCTTGATTCACATGGAAAAATATCCAAGTGAAGACAGGGCCAACTACATATTTTCTGGGGCCAAGTGCAAAATGAAAATGTGGGGAGTCTCGTTGGAATTTCAAGACACTGAACGCAATGTCTCAAAGCATGCACGGGATTCTTCTGCGCACTGGGCCTGACCAGGTTGCACTCACTGGACAGCCAGTACTGGAAGGGCCTAACAAGACCTTAAGCTTGAATAGAAATTAGGGATTTATTGGAAGAATGGAATTACATGAGCTGCTTCAGGAAAGAACATCACTGAGAAGAAAAGACTCTTGGGTTTAGCCCTCAGGCGTCCTAATTCTGAAGCTGAAGGTCATAAAAGAAGAAGGAGTAACAAAGTAACTGAGAAGGAAGTCACTACTACTTGGGTGAAGGAAACTCAGAAGAGTCTGTTTTTGTAGAAGGCAAAGTGATGCAGGGCGGGTGAGCCCAAAAATTGGGGCTTAGCCTGGGAGAGTTTTTGGCTTTGCCCAGGAAAAAATGTATGGGCGAACCAGTGGTGCTAAAAGCAACTTTTATTGAAGTGGCAGTGTACAGCAGTAGCAGAGACACTAGTGGGTCAGGGCTACCCCACAGGCAGTATGCCCAGAGTGGAAGCTTCAAGGCACCTCTGCAGTTATATTAATACCCACTTTTAATTATATGCAAATTAAGGGGCAGATTATGCAGACATTTCTAGGAAAAGGGTGGCAACTTCTGGGTTGTCAGGTTGTTGTCATGGAAAGGAGCGGTAACATCTGGGTGTTGCCATGGCAACGATAAACTGACATGGCACACCGGTGAGTGTGTTTTATGGAAAGCTGCTTTCATCCTGTCCCTGTTTTGCTAGTCCTCAATTTGGTCTGCTGTCTGAGCCTCACCAATGGATTTGAGTCCTGCCTCCTACCTCAAAGTGAAGGCGTGTTTTAGGCAAAAGGGAACGGTATAATTCTGCCAATATGCTGAGAGGACAAGGACTGAAAGGGGGTCCTTGGATTTAGTGGCCAAGAAGTCACCTCACAAGGATGGTTTCAGTGGAGCTATTGTAACCGAAATCAGGTCCGGACCATTCATCACCTGAAAGCCAAAAACCCAAGAGATGAGATTTGGTGAAAGGAAAGTCAGCTTTATTCAAGAAGCCAGCCACTGGAAGAGGCAGTGAAGGAGTATTTGAAGACCACCTCTCCATGTTGTGCCTCTGGATCATGGGTTGTTAAGGGAAATTATGGGAAATAATGCTTAAAACATTTTTTTGTGTGTGAAATTTGTACAGTCTCAGGCATGCAGTTAATCATTGTTTTATCAATGTGGGGGGCACCCTTCTGCAGGTGGCCTCAGCCTGTCCTTATCAAGCTGGCCAGCCCATTCCCAAAGCTGTTGGTCTGTGCATTTTCTTTCATACCGGTTGAAGGTCCTGTTTTCCTGAGACTGCTTTTAGTGAATAATCTACAAACTGAAGCAAAGCAGTAATTCCATTTAAGTAAGCAAATTCTAAAGTGAAAATTTGGCAGTGAAATCTTCTAATTTTAGAATATTTTTAGGGCCAAGCATGGTGGTTCATGCCTGCAATCTCAGCATTTTGGTTGTTTCCTCATGTTGGCCAGGCTGGTTTCGAATCACGACCTCAAGTGATCTGCCCGCCTCGGCCTTCCAAACTGCTGGGATTACAAGGGTGAGCTACAACACCCGGCCACAAAAAAAAAAGAAAAGAAAAGAAAAGAAAAAAAAATTGGTGCAAAAATAATTCCGGTTTTTGCCTTTTGTTATTGTTGTTTTTTTAAGTAATAGCAGAAACTACAATTACTTTTGCACCAACCTATAATGCCAATTCAATATGGCATTTGCAGTGGGGACCACCTTGGAAAATTGCTACCAGATATAGGTGAGGGAGACTGATCATCTTTGGCTACAGCAACTCTCAGAAGTACTGGGACCAATATGTTTATGACTTTCCTTTGAGATAAGGACCCAAAGCTTGTTTGTAAGAAATATTTTTGGCCCATCAAATGTTAAGAAACATTTCTGAGAATCTTGATAACTCTTATTGAAGCTGTAATGGAAATGTCATTGACACCAAGGTCTTATTGACACCAAGGTTTTATCTTTCTGAAGATAAAAAACTGGATATTCTCTTGGATGGTAAAGGCGTTACAAAGGGTAAAGTCTACTGACTAGTATTTATCAAGATTTATATAGCCATATTTTAAAATTTTAATTACTTTAAATATGATATTAGTAATTATCTTAAAATTTGAATAAGATCTCTGTTTTTCAGATTTTTCCTAAATGTTTAAAATTCATCTTGATAATATCAAGGAAGGTGATAATGATGGTGATCGTGTGATAATGTGCTAGAAACAGTGATGGTGATGATCTCAATATACCTGTGCAGTATTTTTAGAATAGAAAGCGATTCTCACTGGTATTATCTTTTCATCATAGTTTTGTGAGATAGATATTCCTCTTCATTTTACATACGAAAAACTATAGTCCAGAAAGGTAAAATAATTCACATATCATCAAACGTTACTCAAATATTTCTTAACTGAAAAATTAGTTCCTAGTTTTGCAACACACAAAGTTTTCCTTCTATTAATATTATAAAGTATCTAAAATAGTACTCCTACTATCATTTTACATTTCTTTATTGTTAGCAAACATTCAGTCTTTACATTTATGATCTCATATTGATAGTCCAATAGAAGAAGAGAGATTGGTATTATTATCTCAGTGGTATAGGTGAAGAAACTAAGGAAGTGGGGAAAGAATTAATTCACTTGCCTAATGTCACTAAATGTAATAGCATACAAGTATAATTTGGTGTTCTGTGAATTAGTAGCAATGAAGTAATGATAAACAGCTCCACAGGCTTGTTCACTGTACAAATTCAGTAATTTTGATATATAACTCAATGGTTCAGTTCCTGCAGTGTTCTGTTTAAGATTCTTGGCTGCACAAATTTATCACCCAGCAATAATTTAGTTTCTGTAACTGAAGAGATTGCTTAATAGCAATTTCCCCACTTATCACTTTTTGATGAAAAATTAATAAAATAGATTATGATAATTTACTCTCTACCTTAAGCAATGAATAAATTACTATTTGTGTATCACTTTTGAGTTTGTAGTATTACTTTTCAGTTCCAAATATTTATAATTTTCAAAAGAATTTTGTGTGCTTCAACTTTTGGGGAGCATTGTATTACAAAACATTCCCAAATGATTTTATTGTTTATTGTTCAATAAAAATAGACTTTTAAAAGTGTTTTCTTTTCTGTGCAATTGCCTTTACAGTTGTTTGGCATTTTAAGTATTCATTGCATCAAGGGATTAGAGAATTAACAACCATAGGTTGTTAAAATAATAAATCTTAGTGACACATTTTGATTAAGAAGAGTAACAGAGGCTCTAGCACATGCTATATGGTACATTGGCCAATTCCCCCATCTTTATAACTAAGACATTTATTTCTTCAGCTGCAAGTTTGGTTGCTGACAATTCTCAGATCAACTTCTCTCTGGGAGTTGCCTTCCACCCAGAGAGCTTCCTTGTTCAAATCTATGCCTTTTGCTGGGGCACCCTGCATCCAATGACTGGTCACTTTGAGAGTAAAAAAGCCCAGACCCAACTTCAATTTCAGGGCCCTCCCAGCTTCAGAGTTTGTCATGAATATTCTGAGGACCCTGTTGCAAATGCATCATCACAATTTGACTTCTCTGTTCACAGGGCCACACATCTTCATAAATCTGCACATAGGACTCAAGTGTGGATGTTTTTTTCCCAACTGGTGGAATGGTACTGGAGCTCAACTTCTCCAGGTATTTTTTCCTGCCAGGGAGCTCTGTGATAGTCTATAACCTACAAGGTCCCTAGTTGTCTCAAAATCCGACAGTTGGCTATTCCAGAAAACTCTGTAAAGTGTTGACATTCTAAATCCAGATTTTCAAGCACCAAACACTCGTGTGTTTCAGCACTGATGCAACCATTTCCTCATATTTTTAAAAGGAAAACACCCAATGGTGGTAGTGGTAGGGCTTTACTACATTAGAACCTAGTGCAGACTTCCTGGTTGTGACATGAGGGAATGGAAAGATGGGGGACCCATAGGATCTCTGCCTGGTGACTCTTTGTTATGTGAGGTAACCTTTCTCTCACAAGGCCTATTCTCAAAGACATGCCAAGTGTCATGGAATTTATCTGGCTCATTGAACAGAGAGGACCCAACCAGCCTGACCCCTACCTAATTGGGTTATTTTCGGAATTGAATGATAAAATATATTTTAAAATTATTAGCACATGGAACTGGCACATGCTAAGTATTCAATAAATAATTGCTATTATAATTATTATTGTTAGTATTGCGTATGTAATTATTTTATTTCAGATTGAGACAGTTAACTCATTTAAGTAATAAATTTAAACATTGTGGGCCAGGTGATCTTACAGTCTATAGCAGTGAAAAAACACAAAAATCCTTGTTCTTATAGAACTTCAATTTAGTGACAAAGACAATAAACATATGTTAAATAAAATATAGAAAATGATAAGTGGAGATGAGTTCAAATGAGAAAATTATACCTTGGAAAGGGAACACAGAGTGCTTGAGCTTAGATCAGGGAGATACAAAGGGTTGGTTTTTTATTACTAATGTTGAATTTTTACGGGTACATAGTAGGTGTATATATTTATGGGGTATATGGGATATTTTGATAAAGACATGTAATATGTGACAGCCACATCAGGGTAAATGGAGTATCCATCCCCTCAAGCATTTATCCTTTGTGTAACAAACAATCCAATTACATTCTTTTGGTTATTTTTAAATGTATGATTAAATTATTTTTGACTACAGTCACCCTGTTGTGCTAGAAAATGCTGGGTCCTACTCTTTCTAATTATTTTTTGTCCCCCTTAATGATACATAATAATTATTATAATAATTTACTCTCTACCTTAAGCAATGAATAAATTACTATTTGTGTTTCACTTTTGAGTTTGTAGTATTACTTTCCAGTTCCCCATCCCCACTTCCCATCATCATCCCACAGCTACCCTTCCCAGCTTCTGGTAACCATCCTTCTACTCCCTATCTCCGCAAGTTCAATCGTTTTAATTTCTAGTTCCCACAAATAAATGAGAACATCCAAAGTTTTTCTGTGTCTGGCTTATTTCACTTAACATAATGACCTCCAGTTCCACGCATATTGTTGTAAATGACAGGATCTCATTCTTTTTTATGGCTGAATAGTATTCCATTGGGTATATGTACCACATTTTCTTTATCCATTCATCTGTTCATGAATGCATAGGTTACTTTCAAATCTAGGATATTGTGAATAGACCTGCAATAAACATGGGAGTGTCTCTTTGATACACTGATTTCCTTTCTTTTGGATATTTACCTAGAAGTCAGGTTTCCTATTCATATGGTAGCTCTATTTTTAGTTTTTTTAGGAACCTTCAAACTGTTCTCCATAGTGGTTGTACTAATTTACATTATCACCAGCAGAATATGAAGGTTCCCTTTTCTCCACATCCTCACCAATGTTTATTATTGCCTGTCTTTTGGGTAAAAGCCATTTTGACTGGGGTGAGATGGTATCTCATTGTAGTTTTGATTTGCATTTCTTCGATGATCAACAATGTTGAGTTCTTTTTCATAAACTGTTTGCCATTTGTATGTCTTCTTTTGAGAAATTTCTTTTCAGATTTTTTGTCCATTTTTTAATAGGATTATTAGATTTGTTTTCCTATAGAGTTGTTTGAGCTGTTTATACATTGTAGTTATTAATCCCTTGTCAGATGGGAAGTTTGCAAATATTGTCTCTCATTCTGTGTGTTGTCTTTTCACTATGTTGGTTGTTTCTTTTGCTGTGCCGAAGCTTTTTAACTTGATGTGATTCCATTTGCCCATTTTTTTCTTTAGTTACCTGTGCTTGTGGGGTATTACTCGAGAAATCTTTGCCTATTCCAATGTCCTGGAGAGTTTCCCCAATGTTTTATTTTAGTAGTTTCCTACTTTGAGGTCTTAGATTTAAGTCTTTAATCCATTTCAATTTCATTTTTGTATATGGCAAGAGATAGCAGTCTAGTTTAATTGTTCTGCATATGGATATCCAATTTTTCCAGCTCCATTTATTGAAGAGTGTGTTCATTGTATGTGCTTTTCACCTTTCTTCAAAATGAGTTCACTGTAGATGTATGGATTTTTTTTGAGTTCTCTATTCTGTTCCATTGGACTATGTGTCTGTTTTTATGCCATTACCATGCATTTTGGTTACCATAGCTCTGTAGCATAATTTGAAGCCAGAGAATGTGATTCCTCCAGCTTTGTTCTTTTTGCTCAGCATAGCTTTGGATATTCTGTGTCTTTTGTGGTTTCACATACATTTTAGGTTCTTTCTTTCCTCTATTTCTGTGAAGAATGTATTGGTATTTGGGTAAGGATTGCATTAAATCTGTAGACTGCTTTAGGTAGTATGGACATTTTAATAATATTGATTTTTCCAAATGAACATGGAATATCTTTTCATTGTTTGGTGTCCTCTTTAAATTCTTGACTCAATGTTTCATAGTTTTCATTGAGAAGATCTTTCACATCATTGGTTAATTCCTAGGTATTTTACTTTATTTGTAGCTAACGCTAGACCTCACTTGAAGTCAGTACATCTCAGAGTCTCATTCAAGGTCCACGGTATACCCCCTGGGTATTGCTGCTGGTTATTCACGACCCAAGGCTCTTTAGTCAGCAGGCAATGGATCCTGGCAAGACTGGGAGCTTCCTTGCAAGGCAGTGGGTTCTCTTTTGGGCCAGGGTATGTCTAAAAATGTAATCTGGGGAAGGGCATAGTATGGGGGCCTCGTTACTCTGATCAGTGTCCTATCCTTCTGTAACTGAGCTGGCATCCAAGATGCAAATCAAAAGTCCTCCATACTCTTCCCTCTCCTCCTTTCAAGAGGAAGAAAGGGCACCTTTTGCAGCTGTGAGCTGTACTGCCTGGGGTTGGGGGAGGAGTGGCACAAGCTCTCCCTTAGCTGCCCTAGCTGGTGTCATAGTAAGTCACATGTCCCCCAGTTCCAAGTTGCAGTCCTTGTGGTCTCTCAAGTTTGTTTAGGACTGCAGAGCACTTCAGCCCATGGTGGCGAGGCTTGCATGAACTCCAGCTCTGGCCAATGGAATAGGCAAATCCTCTGTGGCTAGATGGTCTAGATGCTTACTCTGCAGGTGGGTGTTAGCTGAGTTCAGCCCAGTTTTACTTTCTGCTATGATAGGGCTATACAAAATCTTACAATTGCTGCACTCTCCCCCACCCAAGTGCATAGATTCTCCCCAACACTACCCAGCTGCTATGGGAAGATGGGGGGAGGGGTGGCATTGGTGCTTTAAGGCTGTCTTTCCTACTTGCTTCAGTGCCTTTTTCAGCAATATGAAATTAAAACCAGGTACTGTGAGTGATCACATGATTTTTGGTTCTTATGAAGGTGCCTTTTTTGGTGTAGATAGTTGTTAAATATGGTGTTCCTGTGGAGGGAACAATCAGTGGAGCCTTCTAGTTCACCATCTTGCTCCCTTCCAGGAGGCATTTCCAAAGGTTGTATTTTTAAGTGGAATTGTCATGGAAGGATTCACTAATGCTGTGATATCAGAGCAACAACCCAATGGTGACAAGAATGAGTAAGGACTGAGGTTATGGATAAGAGGTAGAAGTGCTCCAGGTAGAAGAAACAGAATGCCTTTCACTTGCATGGTTTCTGTTGAGAAGGCTATTGTGTTCTTATCTTTGCCCTTCTTCAGTTACAGGAATTATTTTTTGTTGTTGTTTATTAGCTTCTTTCAAGATGTTCTTTTTGTCTCTGGTTTTGTGCAGTTTGGATATAATATGCCTAGGGCATTTCGTGTGTGTGTGTGTGTGTGTGTGTGTGTGTGTGTGTGTGTGTGTGTGTGTGTTTGAAATCTGTGCTTTGGTGTCTGCATTAATTTTGGAAAGTTATCAGCTGTTATAATTTAACAATTTTTTCTGTTATATTCTCTCTTGCATTCCTTGTGGTATTCCAATTATACATGTGTTACACCTTTTGAGATTGTCACATTTCTTGGATTTTTTTTTTGTTTGTTCATTTCATTTTTTTCTTCTTGCTGTATTTTAGTTTGGGAAGTTTCTATTGACCCACCTTCAAGCTAATTGATTTTTTCTTTAGCTATGTCCTGTTTGCTGGTGAGCTCTGTGAAGGCATTCTTTATTTCTGTTGCTATATTTTTTATTACTATCATTTCCTTTTGGTTCTTCCTTAGAATTTCCATCTCTTTGCTTACAATAACCATCTGCTCTTCCTTGGTATCTACTTTTACATTAGAGTTCTCAACATATTAATTATAGTTATTTTAGGTTTTCTGTCTGATAATTCTAACACCTGTGTTATATCTGACTCTGGTTCTGATGCTTGATTTTTCTCTTTAGTCCATATTTTGTCTTACCCTTTGACATACCTTGTAATTCTTTTTAAATTTAAATAATATGTATTGGCAAATAGAAACTGAGGTAAATAGGTCTTTTGTGGGAGGATTTATGTTGATTGAGAAAAACAGAATTGAGCTGCGTTTAATGTTTGTTGTAACCATCAGTGCCAGAGGCTTCAAATCCTCTAGTGGATGGTTGCTTTTGTCTCCCCTCTTGACTTCAGTTGTCCCTAAGTACCTTCAGACAGACACTGAGCCTTGTGTCTCTTCGGCCATAGCTCACTATTATTATACCATGTGTTTGCTGTTGGTGTGCTGGTAAACTGTGGGGGAGAGGAAACTTTCTGTTGTCTTATGATTACATCTGACCTTTTTAAAAGTGGGTTTATGTCTCTGGGCTATGACTTCATAAGTGTTTATCCCATGGCATAGTGCTATAGCATCCTAGTTATACCTTCTTTAACTGTTCTGTTAAGGGTTACTGTATATTACTAGAATTTAATAATCCTTAACTTACTCCATTCTTTAGGTTTACCACATCCAAATAAATGCTAGGATGTGTGGATACTTTAACTCCATTCACCACTGTCTCATCTATTCTGTAATATCATCATGCACTTTACTTCTTGTGATTATTGGCTTTATGTGCCAACTTAGCTAGGCTATAGCTACAGTTACTCAATAAAACACCAATTTAGGTGTTTCTGTGAAGGTATTTCATAAAGATAATTCACATTTACAATCAGCTGACTTCAAGTAGAGGAGGTTTTCCTTGATAATCTGGATGGGCCTCACCTAAGTAGTTAAACTATTTCTCTCTCTGCTTCTTTTTTTTCTGATACCTTTAGTAAAGACAACAAGAGCAGTTTGCTTTCAGTTGGCAACTCTAGGAAACCACCTTCATTGTCTTACCCCATGGGTATGTCAACTTTCCAACCCTGTGGCATAACTTAGTCCTCAGCAATCTTGATTATAGTTCTCTTCCACAAGACATCACACTGGTCCATTACATTGATGACATTGTATGTGGATTAGACATAGTGAACAAGAAATAGCAACTACTCTAGATTAATTGGAAAGATATTTGTGTGCCAGAGTCTAGGGAATAAACACACACACACACACACACACAAATCAGAGAACATTTATCCAGTTAAACTTCTAGGGGTCAAATGGGACAGAGCATGTTACATCTGGCCCCTATTATGAAAAAAAACAAGGAACAATTCCTGGTGGGCCCCTTTGATTTTGGAGGCAATTTATTCCTCACTGGGTGTCCTACTTTGGTCCATTTCCAACTGACCCCAAAAGCTACTTTTGAACAGGGGCCCAAATAAGAGAAGACTACCATATGCATCATGTTGTCCATCAGATTTGATGATGTGTGAAGCGTCAGTGCCGGAGGGAGGTGCTGCTTGGAGATTTTTAGCAGGCCCCTTGGTGAATAGCAGTGCAGACTCTTCACATTTTGGGGCAAATTTCTGCCATTCTCGGATGATAAATACTCTCCTTTTGAAACAAAGCTTTCAGCTTGATTCTGGCCTTAGCAGAGACTGGATTTTAACAATCAGCCACCAAATTATCAGGCAACCTAATCTGGAGTAACTTTACTCCTAATTTCTCTGGTGTACAATCCAGTTCCTCATATCTATACCTGACTAAAACCTGATTTCCCAGTATCCAGGGCCTGATTGGTTCAATTTCTACAAACATTTCGCTCTAACCTTGGGGGATGGCATCACAGTTGCCTGGCTTCCTGGGATGCAGATGGGAATCTGACTGTCTCTGCCTTTTATATATGAATTTTCAACCAATTCTACTCTTTTGTTAAGTCCACTTCCACACGTCTTTTTTCAGGAACTGATAACTTGATTCTCATTGGAATTCTTTGGCAAATAATTAGACTAACTTTTTCTGCTATGTGATTTTTAAATGATTATTCTTTCCACTCTCTGTCTTCCAAAGATAATTGAAATTTTCCTATGCTCTTATTTCATATCTAATTGTCTTTTTCCTGGGAAGTTAATTTTTTTAATTCTTTTGTGACATTTTTATTGGGTTTGAAGATAAGTTAAATTCATGTAGTCAGTTCATCTTATTTAACAATGAGTCTGCATTAATTTTTTAAATGAGATTCTAGTGCCATTTCCAAAGTTTCCAAAACTTCTAATGATGAGATAATATCAAATGAGATAAATTAGAAAGCTATTAGATTTTTGTGACTAGTATAGTCACAAAAAGGAAAAGGAAAAGAAAGACATTTTCAGTTTTGTCAATGATTTGGAATATAAAAAGGAAACAATCTGGGTATTTTTCTTTGTGCTTTACAACATTTGGGCAAAATTTTCTCTTGGAGTTAGGTCTGTTTTGCTTCTCTTTCAGGATAACAGCCTGATGTTTGCCTTCACAATCAATTCCCATTCCTTTCCATTTGGAGCTGATAAATCTTCACTGCAAATGGCAAGTGAGGTCAAAGACATTCCAGGATAGAAGTCTTCAGTCTTCACCAGATGCAATTTGACACTCGGAAGCCTGGTGAGAAGGATCAGGCAGGAACCAGTGAGGGAATGGGAATCATTTGCTAAAAGTTGTTTGGTGATTTGGTTTAAGATATCGGTGATTTATCAGATCCTTGTCAGTTATAAATCTCCAGGAGCCTAAATGAATAAAAAACCATCTATATAGAAAATCAGAGTCAAGCCTAGAGGGGAGATTCTAGTCTACTAAAAATTTCTGTTTATAAGATCTGTCCAGTACTATGTTTTTATGAGTAACTGAGACTAACATATAGTAGGCGTGTTCTGGCAACATGGAACTAGAAGCCAAGATAAATATGTTTCAGGAGAGAATCAAAATTCATAATATCTCAATATGCTGAATTATGGGAAGAAGCTAAATGTAATAGACACATGTACTATCCTTTATGTTCTCAAAGTTCAAATTAAGAATGTCTACCATTTATCGATAGTAAAATGTTTCCAAGGTATTCCACAAAGCATACACATAAAATGTGTCTTTTAATCACAGCAATCCATTCAATAATGATTTTTTTGAGCACTTACTGTGAGCCAAACACTGTATTAGGTGCTTGAGATACATCAGTGGACAAAACAGATGAATACCTTGGCCATTGAGTAGGCCAAGAGGTGTGTGCCAATACTATTTTTCCCAGTTTTTGGAGGAAGAGGCAAGGTAAAAGATATTATGTAAATTACAGTTCTCAGAGCAGGTGTACTGATGCTAAGTGGATTCAATCATTTTTTTCTATCATGTAAGTTATATTTAACAAAAACAAAATAATTTGTAATGATAAAGAGGCAATGCAAAACACGTGTGAAATAGGCAAATATAATTGACAGTAGATTCAACATATGTTAATGCTTTAATGAGGTTGCCAAGCATCTACAAAGGCAGTAATAAAATAATGGTTAAAAGTATGAGCTTTGAGATTAGACAAACTTGGTTTCAAATCTTGTTGCCTCATTAACTAACTGAATGACTTTGAGCAATTGTTTTGCTTCTCTGGCTTCAGTTTCTTAAAATATAAAACAAATACATATCTTCAATTTTACAAAATAGTGAAAATTAAATGAGATAATATGTACTTAGCTTAGTTCCAAGTACATTATAATTGCACAATAAATGGTAGCTAATAACCTATGCCACACTGACATACGTATATTATGGAGCAAAAGAAGGCCTTAAAACCTTCATTTTATTATGCTGCTTAGAGGTATCAGAGGTTTTACATTTTGTTCTTAAATTTGCAGTTGAAAAGCTGTGAAGATAAATTTGAGATGCCTAAGGGAGAGAGCCTATGATATTGAAGAAAGAATTTGAATACAATTATCAATTAATTATGCAATGATAACAAAATGTATTGCAGGCACTGTACTCAAGACTGTCTCCTGAGGAATATTGTTGTAGCAAAGGTTGGTAAGCCTCAAAGCCCTCTATGAGTGAATATCATTGATGGCTTCAAACAACTGTAGGAGCAGTCATGTGAAAGATTTACCCCTTATGGTCCTAGGAGTGATATTAGGTATAAGGTGTTGAAACCACAGTCAAGCAGGCAATATAAGTTTGAACTTCATATCAGTTAAGTTGTCTAAGGATGAAAGATGGTATTACAAGAGTACATCATAAGGGACTTCTTGGACAGGTAAGGAAATTCAAGCATTAGGCATATGGTAGGCCAAGGTCCTCTTCTGGATCTGAGATGCTATGTTTCTGTGAAACAATAGAAATGTGTACATGTGACCAAGTCTGGCACTTCCAAGTATGATCAGATTCTCATGGACAAGTGCTTCTTGCTCTCGTAGCATGTTATACTTATGCATAACCCTAGCATTGTTCAAATCTTCTGAGAAGAAGGTGCTGAAATAAAAATATGAGTGCAAGAATGTTATCAAGGAGTGAGGTCTGTGAAAGGTCCAGGAGGAGGAAGCAAGATTGAGCATATAAAACTGTTAGCCAACAATGTAAATCTCTGAAAATAAAAGAGAGGAAAGAAAAATAGGCAGAAAAAGTCTGAGATGGTGAAGATCTGACAGTCTCAGCCAACTCAAATGAAAGTTCCAAAACAAACATTAGAAGAGCCCCATGTTGGGTAGAAACAGAAGACCCTACTACTCACCAACACCCTACCTCCAGCCCCTGTGCTCAGGTACTGGCTGATGGTTGCCGGGAAAGAGTGTGGTGGCCTCAGATCGAGCAGAAACAGCCCCTAAAGTTTCTGTAGCTGGAGGCTCCAAGCTAACTTCATTCCTCACTAAGGAACACACACTACTTCTTGAAAAGGGATTCAGGTGCCTTATGTCTATATCATCTACATCCCTATTACACCAGGCTAAAAATTTTGTTTTTACTTTCCTGTTTTCTTAGATGGGCTATAGGATAGTGGAATGTGCACACTGTGTTTAAATCTCATTATCTCCAGCACATATTCAAATGTTTGTAGAGGCTCAGTGCTCATTAAATTAATGCATAAATACAGGCGGAGGTGTTTGGAGAGCTATGAAAGAACTGAAAAACTTGTCATACTCAAAAATAACAACTGATCAACCTCTTGACCTTAAGAAACTTCTGGTAATATACACTTTAAACCAAATTGGGTAAGATTTTAATAGCCAGGATTGCTTATGTATTTAGCTAAGAAATCTCTTTCTACACACATCATCTTCTACTAGAAAGCAGTGCCTTAAAGGAAAGAGAAGCCGGGGAGGTGACAATGGAGACAGGGAACTGAGAGAAGATTGACACTGTGGCTGCCAGAGATGATGGGGGAGGTAGAATGGATCACTGGTGGAAGGTGTAGGATCATAGAATGGCAGACAAGATTTGAGCCAGGTGTCTTTTCTTTTTTGATGCCTCCAGATCACTCCTCGAACCTGTTCTCTGCCCCAGGAGGTTGAGGTGTCTGATCTATAGCCATGAATGCCTGTGCCCTCGACTTTGAGTTGGGCAGTGTAATGGTTATTTTAATGCATCAACTTGACTGGGCTAAAGGATGACCGTAAAGTTGATACAGCATTATTTCTAGGTATCTCACTTTCTTTTTCAATGAGTTCATATTCATTGCTGTGAAGGTCAACACCTTCTGACTTTATCTTTTCACTAAAGTATATCTTTGCTACCTCCCTAGACTAATTTATAGACACCATCTGTTAAATTCTGACTGATACTAAAAAATTAATGGTTGAAAATAAATAAACATTTTCAAATCTCATGGTAATGTCAAATTTTCGGTGCTCTCATATAGTGAATATCAGTAGAAATAAGTGACAGAAAATTACCTTAATGATCTCCTGGTGTCTTCCTGCCCTGCTTGATACATGGGGCATGCGTGATCAAATAAAGAGCAATAGAGAATTCAATAAACAGACCCTCTCAAAACTGAAGCTCATTTGGTCTGTCTGACTGTTATGCACCTATTATGTTAGAAAACATATTCTTTAAAATTTTTTTCTATTCATCAAATGTCATTGAGAGCATTTCTATAAATTATTTACCAGGGAGGAAAGAACAGCTCATTTATTTTTATAAAACATACTTGAAGAGAAATCCTGTGATAAATTTCAGGGAAAGCAGAGAAAATAAAGAGGAAAAAATGTTCATCCTACATGCATACAACCTCAGCTATAATACTTCTGAACAAAAGGCAATTTAATAGGAAACAATAGAATCTTTACTTTCTATCTACTAATCTATGTATAGCTGCCTATACTTAAATATGTGGAGATAAAGCTATCCTAGAGAAAGAATTATACAGATTTTAAGCAAAATTTATAGGATACTCAAGTGAGCTGGGTTCAAAATAAAACAGTTTCTTATCCCTAGACCCCTTCAGTAAAGAATCTCAAATTTAAAAATGGCCTAGGACGCCATCAGTAAGCATAGCCTCAGGATAAAGATTTCAAGGCTGTGGATAAAAGACTATTTATTGAGTTTTCTGAAAGATTTATATCATGCCTATTTGGGCTTCTAAGAGTAAGTATGAGCCTTGTATGTCCTCTAACATAGAGAAGAAGAGATTTACTAAAAATATTAAGAGTGTGGATTACACATATTTTAGACTAGACAAAGAGGTTTTTAAGAATCTTGATGATGTTGTTCCACAAGACTCTGTCAGCATAATCCACAGAACGACTTGTGTTGAAGATTATTTGTGGGGGTGGCCTTTGTCTGACAGAATGTAATGAAATAAGATGCATAGTAAAACTCAAAAATATTTTATTAGAATTATATTGGGAGAACGACCATCGATTTAGAAACATTTTTAAATACAAAGAGCTGTCAGAATCCCCTGGTTCTTACAGGAAGAAGCTCAGATTATTACTTAAATTCAAATACAGCTGTAGTTTCTATGCATTGAGAGTGGAATGTGCTCTATCTTCTTATAAGGACACAAATCCTATTGAATCAGAACGCCACCTGTCTGATCTCATTTAACCTTAATTACCTCTTTAGAGGATTCCTCTTCAAATTAAACCACACTGTGAAGCAGGGCTTGAACATATACATTTTTGGGAAGACACAAACACTCAGTCTATAACAGCTATTATTTTTTATTATTCTTACTTTTTTCCCTCTAAAAAAGTGTTCTAGGTTTGATGATAAGTTACATGATCACTTAAGGTATATGCATACTTAAATTCTCTAAGTCGTGTTAGACTACTCTCTAAATAGACAATTGGACCTTATACACCTATCAAAAGTGCTTGATGCTCTTAGGACTTCTTATCTGACTTTCTAGGTTTGCCATTCTTACAGGTTATAACAGGCATATTTAGAACTAAACCTCATGTCTGTTAATTTATAGGATAGTCCTTTCTGACAATTTCCATTTAGGATAATTTCCATTTAGAGCTGAGTGGTAACGATTGTAGTCATTCTAAGAGTTAGTCTTCTCAGGTATTAATATGAACCCTCCATGTACCAAGTTGTTAATATACTGCACTCAGCAACTAATAAATGAGATCTATTACTATGGTGTAAAACAGAAGAAAACTGTTTTAGTGGAACCAATATCTTGCAACTGTATATTTTGAGCAAAGTACTGTTTATAAGCCTGTGATTTCTGTACCCATAATGAGGGATATTAACATGTACCTGGTAGAGAGTGTTAAATGAAGTCATATAGGGGAGTGCTGATGGGTTACATTGTCCATAAATGTGGATTCTCTAATCTCTGTCTGGAACATCTTTTATTGACTGCAGGAGAATGAATGACAACCTTTAACACTTCGCTTCTGGCTATTCGTTCTCTGATCTTCATTTCCAGATTGCTTTTTTTCCTTGCTAAGAAATTTTTAGTTTTCTGCCTTTAAAAAAATATAGCTTTGATTCATGTTTGTTTTCTTCAATTCCAAGGCAACTTGAGGGCTTTAAATCATGTACAGTTGGGGACTGAGTATGTGGTAAAGGAAACAGCTGCACTGACTGCTCTGGAGCTAAGCTTCTCCTGGGGCTGAACCCTGTCCTCAGACTCAGAGTTAAATGTTTCCTTTGCTATTTGGATAATCAGATGGATCAAACTTTCTTTTACACTTACTGTCAAAAAGACATAGCTTTCTGGTAAACCAGATACCCTTAGTGGTGAAATGAACTGTGTCTCAGGAGGAATGGACAGCAGGAAAGGACAATAGGAGCTGGAAGAAAACGAGAGTGCAGAGGGGTGGCCAATGGGAAGGGTTTCCTCAGGTGCTGTCTGTCACATGCATGTGAAGCTGTGCAAGGACCTCTGCAAAATGCCTTTGCCCACCTAACATCTGGGACCTGGCAAGATTATCAGTGAACTCTTATCATCTCTGTCAAGTGCCTTTCAGCAATCTTAAAAACAATTTTCTCCTGTCGATTTTCATCCTAGTAAAGGGCCTTTGAAATGAAAATGCACAGCTGAAAATTACCACATATTGCTAGAGATGAATGATCAGTTTTAGAAAAACAATGATTGCTTCCTTATAAATTTGTGCAAGCAACCAAATCTAATAATATGGGGCATTAATGGAGATTGGTTTAAACAAAAGTAACAGCTTTGCTTGCCTTAGCTTACCCAATTTATGTTTAGGACCTGCCACATCGACCATACCCACGATTCCACCTTCTGATATAAACCGTTTGTCAGCTTCTGAAAACCCAATATAGAAAAATGATGGTTATTTCCAACAACATGTACATTTGAAGTTTTTTGTTACTATTTATGCCAGAATGAAACACATATGTAACTTTCCTTGTTTTTTCCTCCTTGTACATTCCTGGGTTTTGAAATTTTGAATAAATCACCACAGGAGAAGTTTAAAAATTGCTATGGTTTTAACAGCTTTGCTCTTTTTTCTTTAACCTGATTCAGTTTGTTTGTTGGAACTGATTTATTTGAATTGGTGAGTTTTATTGATTTTTTTCATGCCTGATTTAATTCAATCAAATTGCCTTGTTCCAAGTTGTGTAAATGAGTTTTATTTTCTAACCCAATTAGGAAAAGCTTATAGGATGTTGTTCATGTAAGAATTGGAGAATAACCAATTTGTTTTCTACTAGCTGAAGCTATATATATATATATATATATATATATATATATAAAATCCTCGTGGCACAATCCCTAATGGTACAAATACCTGTGCCTAAATACAAATACCTGTGCCTAAAATATCTCAGAATTAATGATATATTTAGGGAATGGTGAATCATAAAAAATGACTAGTCGAAGTTACATGCATTATAGGATTTACTCTATTGTAAGAGCTAGACATCTGGGTAGTGACTCAAGATATAAGAGTCAGCAGGTCTGATCCTCATCACCATAAAGTCAGTCCTAACATTTTCAGTGCTTCCAAAGGCACAACCTGGATGAAAAGTCTTTTCTGCTTCTTGCCACCCCACAGTCCATGCAGATTCCACAATGTCAACTTTACCTTGATCATGCTCATAGAAAATGTCAGGTATTACAATGCTAGCGGAAAACTCCATTATGATAAAATCTATTTCTGCATCCTATATATGCGGTTTTGTCTGGATATTACATAACAACCTGCCTTTGATTAATGTCAAATGTTTCAAAAAATATTTTTCAGATATTTTGGTACATCTTTACAGCTGGGTAAAATAATGACTTACCAAACTTGTCCTGATTCATATGAAAATTTTTAGTTATGAAACAAGTGTGTTTCATCAAAATGATTTTATTGGATTTTGTGTGAAGGCATGCTCACGGAGTAAATCAGTGAATTACATGGAAACACACTGGGTATAATTTTTTTCTTTAAATGAACAGATCTCTATTATTGTGTAATAACTTCATCTTCTATTTTATTCTCAAAATGAAAGTACTCAAAGAATTTTATATACCTATCATTGTTATAGATGTTAAATATATATATCTATATCACATTGATTTAAGCATCTCTTAAAAACTTTTTGAGCACTTTTAATCAACTGGAAAATGCCAGGGGATTAAATTGTGTATTTCACTAGTAAGTGCAGTGATTTCTCATGAGGTCCTGAAAACCTCTAAATAATAGCCAACATAAATTTAAGATAGAAGGTAAAATGCCTTGCATAAATAATACATTCTTAACAATTTTGTATGAGTCATTTGAAATAAAGTGTGTGCAATGGTATTATTCTCTGATGTAACCGCCTTACTTTGCATGAAACTAAAAATTAAATCATCTATACTGCAATTAACATATCTAAGTCAAATTTCCTGACTGTCATACAGCTCTGCGTTACCAAATTGAAATACATATGTAAAGATAGTCCCCCTTTCTTTAACTAAATATTAATGTATCAATCAATTTCATTGAAATTATTTTCTTAATTGGTGTAAGGTTTATTGACTAAATCAAAAATATGATTGATATTTTTTGGTGCATACAAACTGTATCATACAGATCTCTGCCCATTTTCTTGCTTTCTGATAGGCACCATTCTTTTTCTTTAAGTGTATGTTCTCTTGACCAGTTCTAACTTTTTATTTACTTCTGAAACAAATTTGTTATTGTCTTTGTTCTGTTTCCTGAGTTCAGTCACTTTATTCCCACATTTTTAAAAATTGATTTTCCTTCTTAGTTTTTGAATTTTTAATTCCAAGTGGTTTGTAATACCCTCAAACCCATGTTTGTATATATTTAATTCAGTGTGAAACATTGTCTTCTCTTCTGTCTCTGTATCTGTCCATTTCCTGATTCATGCTTGCTTTTCTAGGGAGAGTTTTCCTCAGTTATGAGTTAATTTTTCTTCTCTGATGTTTTTTGAAATAAGTCTTTATAGATCTACTATTTTCTTATTTATTGTTGTGAAATTGAATCATTTTACATGATTTCCAGTTTCATGGTATCCTCTTCTGTCAAAAAATTTATTTTTCGTTTGTTGATGAAGGGAAAGATTTTGCATTCTTCAAATGTTTTGGTTTTCTTCTGTTTTCGGGCTGCAGAGTTTCCCTCTGGGCTACTTTTTCCCTTCACCATTCTGTTTTCCTTTTGACAGCCCCCCACCCAGGCCCCAAATGTTGTGGTGCAAAGATCATTCGTTCAAAACACATTTATGGATAATTCCCTTTTCTGCATCCTTGTCCTTATTTACCAGGATCCCTTTGTATTATTCTCAGACTTAGGATGGATTTAGTATTTATAGCACTAATTTGAGATCAATTTTGGATGGCATTGCTAGCCTGCTTCTTCTCATTTACTGGCAGTGCTTTTTGTTGATCTTTGTTTGCTGCAAAGTGATGGGCCAATGACAGTTGAACAGGAGCATGAGAGATTATGGATTAGAAATGGTTTTATTCCTTTTTTTACTTAGGGTTATTTGGAATTTACACATTCTATGTCTTTGAATTATTCTTAGGACATGAGTTTTGTGTCATTTAATTTTGTTCTTTACCATTTTGTGTTCATGGAGAAGAAAACGTTGGGAGATGAGGACCTAGGCAGTAGATACTCGTGTCTTCCTAGTAACATTAACTTAAATGGTCTGCTTCTATGGACATTTAGGTGTTTCCTATGGCACAATAGACTCTGACATCGTAACAATTGCATGCATGTGAGTATATCTGTATAATTAATTTCTGGAAATAAAACTGTTGGCTCAAAGTATCTAAATTTGTAACTTTTATAGATACAGGTTGAGCATCCCTAATCCTCAAATTTGAAATGCTTCAAAAATCTGAAAGCATTTTTGAGCATCAACATGGTGCCACAAGTGGAAAATTCCAGACTTGACCTCATGTGACAGATTACAGTCAAAATGCAGGCACACGATGCACAGTTTATTCAATGTCCCCAAATGAAAAAAGACCCTACCAGCCCCTTCATCTGATATACATGTTTTCCAAATGCCTTACAAAGGGTAATTTAAAAAAATCTGTTTCCTGCACAAAATTATTAAAAATATCATATAAAATTACCTTCAGGCTATCTATATAAGGTGTGCATGAAACAAGCATAAATATTTTTGTTTAGGCTTAGATCCCATCCCTAAGCTATCTCATTACATATATGCAAATATTCCAAAACCCAAAAATATTCTATATCTGAAACACTTCTGATCCCAAGCATTTTGGATAAGAGACGTTCACCCTGTATTGCCTAATTGCCCCTTATTGCCAATGGGACAATATATATTTCTACTGGGAAAATATGAAAATATCTGTTTTCACACCTTGCCAATGTACTATGACATTTTGAAACATTTCTCAGCCTGATATTTGAAAGATGGTATTTCAGTACAAATATTTTGTGCATTTCCCTTGTTGTGAGTGAAATTGAACATCTTTTCATATGATTAAGGGCCATTTTTGTTTCTGTGGAATGGCTGTTGATGAATAGTATTCTTAAAAAGTTTAGATTCTTAAAAAATGTTTTCTTAAAAAACATTCTTAAAAAATGTTTATCTAAACATTGTCAGTGTATAGAGACATAACCAGTATACTGAGTTTTTAACGATCAACTTTGATCAACTCTGCTATTATTTCTCAAAGTTGTAAATAGAGTCTTTAGAAGGTCTCTACTGATATCTTTAAATAACGCCATTTTTGCTTACTGTTTGTTTTGTTTTATCTCTATACCTTAAATTTTTGTTTATTCTTCTTGTCTTATCACACTGTAAGGATCTCCAGCAACATAATTAATGGAGTTGATAATACAATTCTTTCATCTTTGTCTTATTATCAACCACAAAGGAAAGATTTTCAGTGTTTTGGTATTAAACATGAAATTTATTCTATTTTTTATAGAAAACTTTTCAGCAGATTCAGGATTTTCCTTCTATGCATACTTTGTTAAGGGATTTTGCCATAAGTGATACAGATCCTTAATGCTTCTTCTGCACCTGTTATAATAATTAAATTATTTTTCTTCTTTGATATTTTAATGTGGTGAATTATATTGTTTTCTTATTATTAATCAACAGGCACAATGGCTACTTGGGAGGCTGGGGCAGGAAGGTCATGTTAGCCCAGGAGTTCCAGGCCAGCCTGTGTAACATTAGAAAAGCATCAGCTCCAAATAAATAAATAAATAAATAAACACACAGTTACATTCACTGACAGAAATAGCATTTTATAAATAATTATAAAATATAAAATTATTTATAATTTCAATAAGAATTATAAAATTATTTATAATTTCAATAAGAATTATAAAATTATAATTTCAATAAGAATTATAAAATTATAATTTCAATAAGAATTATAAAATTATAATTTCAATAAGAATTATAAAATTATAATTTTAATAAGAATTATAAAATTATAATTTTAATAAGAATTATAAAATTATAATTTTAATAAGAATTATAAAATTATAATTTTAATAAGAATTATAAAATTATGTATAATTTTAATAAGAATTATAAAATTATGTATAATTTTAATAATCTGTAAATGATCCACTTATAAATAAAACCTTATTGAAAACAAAGTATTAAAATAAATGGTGATATACTGTGTTTATTAATATTTATATGCTATTCATTTGCTACAAAATGATTACTTCAATGCTGTCCCAATTAATATTCCAGCATTGATACATGTGTGAGTATGCATGTTTCTGTGTGTATGTGTGATAATTGACCAGCTTATTTCAAAAGTATGTAAGCAAAGAAAGCATGCTGATTCTCCAAAAAAAATCATATAGCAGAATAATCAAGTTGGAAGAGTTACACTGCTAAACATCAAAACTCTCTGTAAAGCTACAGTAATCAAGACAGTGTGGTACTGCCATAGGGATACACAAATTGACCAGTGAAACAGAAAAGAGTTCTAAAGAGACCCAGGACAGGTGCAGTGGCTCACACCTGTAATCCCAGCATGCCGGGAGGCTAGGGGGAGGATCGCTTGAGCCCAGAAGTTCAAAACCAGCCTGGGCAAAACAGTGAGACCTTGTCTCTACACTTAAAAAAATTAATAAATACATTAAAAGAGACACATACATATTTTTAAACCAGATTTGCAACAAATGCATTACTGCAATTCATGAGAAAGAATATTATCTTTTCAATAAATTATGTCGGGTCAACTCAGCATCTGTATGGAAAAACTAAACTTCACCCCAACTTATACATAAAAATATTAATTAAAAACGTATCATATCAGGAGATCTTCTAGCATGAGAGTGTGAGGCACCTCACTGAAGTGTTCCCCTATGAAACTGGTTACAATTATAAACAAAACGATTATTTAAAGCTTCTAGAAATAGTCCCAAATGACTAGAAATAGTCCCAAAGCAGCAAATAAAAAAATATCTATTCAAGATAATCTTTGAAAATTCAGTAAGAAAGCCTGGAGCCTGTGGTATTTGGATCAGGACTTCACCCTTCCCCCACCTCCTGGCTTAGCAACATGGAGACTCCACTCCCAAGAACGCAGAATTTCTTTCCTCATCAGTGCAGGAGCCATACGCTCTTGGCCCCCTAAAGATTTGCTAAAGAATCACTGACATGAGGTAAGTTGATTAATAGGAGAAAAGGAATACACATTTATTTAACATGTATACACAGGAGCCTTCAGAATGAAGACCCAACTTCCCAGTGAGTTACAGAAACATGCATACTAGGCCACAAGAAAGAATGCAGATTCAAAAAATGGCCAGAAACAGGTAAATAAGGTTTAGTGGCAACACAGGTTAAGAGACAGAGAAAGGAAGAAGCTTGTCTAGCAAAGGTGGACTTGTTAGATAGATGAAGCCTCCTTTAGAGATGGTAAATGTTTCTTTTCCGATTTTTAAAAGTGTCAGACTCTCTATCACTCCTGGATCTGGGGAAAGGCATAGAAAGTGGAGGAGTTATGGCTGTGCTAATGGAGATTCTCTACTGATGCAAATTTTCTCCACTGAAAACAGCTTTGCAAGGCCACTTCCGCCAGGATGACCAACTGGCAGCCATTTCAAAATATGTCAAAGAAATATATTTTAGGGTAAAATATTTTAATTTCCTTCACTAGATTCCAGTCAGATAACTTCTTTCCTCGGAAGAGTAGGACATCAGCTTTTCTTTTTTTTTTTTTTTTTTTTTTTTTGAGACGGAGTCTTGCTCTGTCGCCCAGGCTGGAGTGCGGTGGCGCGATCTCGGCTCACTGCAAGCTCCGCCTCCCGGGTTCACGCCATTCTCCTGCCTCAGCCTCCCGAGTAGCTGGGACTACAGGCGCCCGCCACCGCGCCCGGCTAATTTTTTGTATTTTTAGTAGAGACGGGGTTTCACCGTGTTAGCCAGGATGGTCTCGATCTCCTGACCTCATGATCCACCCGCCTCGGCCTCCCAAAGTGCTGGGATTACAGGCGTGAGCCACCGCGCCCGGCCCAGCTTTTCTTATCCTACTCTCAGTTACCTATTGCAGAGGCTAAGTCCTGAATGACTGCAGTTGAGAAGTGGAGACTTCCTTCTTTTGCCCAACCCACACTCATGGAATAGAGACTCTACCTCTTGCATGGCGGGCTGAGAATACTGGGGCCCTGCTAGTTGGTTCCATGTTAGGAGAGACAAGCCAAAAGGATCTTAGGCTGCTTCCCTGACTTCCATTGAGTGTGCAGCATCTAGAGCACAGATTTCACTCTGAGAAAAGTGTGCCACTGTCCCCACTCCCAGTTCTATAGCCCTGGTTCAGAAATTTTGCCTATGGGAGAAACAGATCATAAAACATAGTTCCCTATCTCTTCCTAAAAGAACTGTATTTGCAACAGAGCATAAGTAAATTCCAAGCTAAAGGCACTCTTAAGAACAGTGGATATATACACGGTGAAAGGCAATTGGAGAGATAGTCAAGATAAAGGCTAAATGACAGACAAACAAGTTTTTGGGGAAAAATGGGAAATAAGACGACTGAGAGGAGCCCTCCTGGGGTCAGAACAAATATTAGACTCAGAAACTACTTCTTCAAAGGGGCCAGAAGTTGATTGGTTTACTTTGTAGAACAGTTTATGTCCTAGAATGTTGTTGAAAACAGTAGAGCAATCAGTTGGCAATTAGTGGAGTTTAACAGCTGAATGTGGTCAGAGAAAGAGAAGAAAGCCTTACCAAAATTACCACCATATTTGGCTATGGGTATATTCATATTTGTACCTCTCTGAGGAGAAATATCAGAGTCTTTACACTGTGTGCTGGGGTTGGGAATGAGAGAGAAAATAAACTTCACTAAAATAATCCAGATATTCACTAAACAAATAAACAATCAAATAACAATAATACACCCAGAAGAAGGGCAGCAGTATTCCGAGTGGCTGCAATATGCTATTAAAGATGTCGAACTTCAAACAATAACAACAAAATGAGGCATGTCACTCAACAGGAAAGTACGACCCAGATATGGGTGGGGGAAGGGGGCAAAAAGCCAATAGAAACTAATTATGAGACCAATCAAATGTCAGATTTTTTCAGAAAAAGACTTTGAAGTAGTTTTTATAAACATATTCGTAGAACTAAAGAAAACCACGATTAAAGAAGTGAAGGAAGGTATGATGACAATGTCACTTCAAGTAGAAAATGTCAACAAAGAGAAATTATAAAAAGGAACCAAATGGAAATTCTAGAGTCAAAAAGTAAAATAACTAAAACAAATAATTAACTAGAGGAGTTTATATTAGTTTGTTAGGACTTCAATAACAAAATACCACAAACTGGGCGGCTTAAACAACAGAAGTTTACTGTCTCACAGTTTTGGAGGCTAAAAGTCTGAAATTAGGTGTTGGCAGGATTGGGGTTTTTCTGAGTGCTGGGAAGGAAACATGGTTTTGATTTCCCTAGCTTCTGGTTCTTTGCTAGCGATATTTAGCATTACTTGTAATTGTGGGACCTCGACCTCCACTTTCATCTTCATCTGGTGTTCTCCCTGTGTGTGTCTATCTTAGTGTACATGTTTTCTTTTTTTGTAAGGCCACCAGTCCTATTGGATTTAGTCGACCCTAATGAGCACATTTTAATTTAATTACTTTGAATACCTTGTCTTGAAATAAGCCCACATTCTGAGATATTAAGGTTTAGAAATTAAACATATATTTTGGAGAAACACAATTCAACCCATAAGAGAGCTCAGTAGCAGATTTGAACTGAAAGAAGAAAGACTAAGTGAACTTGAAGATACATTGATAGATTGATCAAGATTACACAAGCTGAAGAGCAAAGAGAAAGAAATAAAGAAAAATGAACAGAGCCTCAGACAAATGTGAAAAACCACTATGTGCACCAACATATGCATAATGGAAATCACAGCATTAGAGGGGAGAAAGAAAGGAGAAAAATCTATTCGAATAAATAATGGCTGATAACTTTCCAAATTTATTAAGAAACAACTATAAGCAAATACAGGAAGTGAAACAAAGTCCATTGTATCATTCTTAAGCCTTTGCATCCTCATAGCTTAGTTCCCACTTGTGAGTGATAATGTGATGTTTGGTTTTCCATTCCTGAGTTACTTCACTTAGAATAATGGTCTCCAGTTTCATCTGGTTACTGTGAATGCCATCATTTTTTTCCTTTTTATTTACACCATGGAATACTACTCAGCCATAAAAAGGAATATATATATAATGTGATATAGATCACAATCTTTTATCTAATCATTGATTGATGGGCATTTGGACTGGTTCCATAGTTTTGCAATTGTGAATTGTGCTGCTATAAACATGCATGTGCAAGTATCTTTTTCTTATAATGACTTCTTTTCCTCTGGGTAGATATCCAGTAGTGGGATTGTTGGATCAAATGGTAGTTCTACTTTAGGATATTGTTAACCAAGAATCTTATTTAACAATGCTATCTTTCAATAATAAAGGCAAAAAATAATACTTTCCCAGATTACAAAAAGAGATAAAGAACCACAACCAGAGAATTTGTTTTAGCTGACCTGCGTTACAAGAAATACTAAAAAAAGTTACTCAAGCTAAAAGCAAATGACCCTAGATAGTAATTCATATTCCCACAAAACAACAACAACAACAACAACAAACACAGAGAGCACTGGTAAAGGTAATTCTTCTCTGAATTGGTTGAAAAAGCGATTGTGTCATTATGTGTGTTCTGTGAGGTGTGTTGGAGCAAAGCTGTATTAGGCTGAGGAAATAACTACAGATGGTGTTGTAGTACAGAAGTAATAATTATACAGAAGTACTGCAGAAGTAATAATTATAAGAATTTAATATTGCGCTTGTAACATTAAGACATGTAATATGTGTTAAATATATGTAATATGTATTAAATATAAAACCGTAAAAGGGAGAAAACGAAATAGAATTATACGAGTAGTACCTTTATCATAGAAATTAATCTAGTATAAATCTGAGGGTGATCTGGTAAGTTAAGATGAATATAGTAAAACCAAGAGGAATCACTAAAAGATGACTTAAAAATACAATAAAAATGATTAAATAAATTAAAATGCTACATAAGAAAATGTTCACTTACTGTAAAAGAAAGCAGTAAAGGAGGAACAGAGAAACATTAAAACCATGAGCTAAATAGAAAACAAAAATTGGCAGACACTTTTAACTATATCAACAATAACATTAAATGTTAGAAACATTTGTACACAAATATTCCTAACAACATTATCTGTAGTAATCTAAAGATGCAAAAAACCTAAATCTCCATCAATTGATGAATAGACAAACAAATGTAGTATATCCACATAATGGAATATTATTCAGGCATTTAAAACAGTGAGGTACTGATACATATTCACTCTTTTTTTAAAATATGAGTGAACCTTAAAAACATTATGCTAAGTGAAAGAGCCAGTCAAAAAGACCACATGTGATGTGAATCAATTCATACGAGTAGTTCAGATTAGGGAAATCTTTAGAGAGAGATAAAGTAGATGGTGGAGAATTGGAGAATGGGGGATGAAACATATTTTATAGAGTTATTTTTAGGTGATGAAAAATTAAAATATTGACTATAATTATGGTTGCACTTATGTGTGAATGTACTTTAAAAACTATAGAATTGTACCCTTTATTTTCAATTGTCAGATAACATTATATTTTATCTTCTACAATACAAACTTTTGAAGTATGTATATGTTGTAGAATGATTAAAGCTAGCCAATTAACAAATGCATTACCTCACATAGTTATTACTTTTGTGCTGATAGCACATATAGTACCCACTGTTTTATATGTTTTTCAATACTACTATATATTGTCATTAACCATAGTCACTTTGCTGCACAATAGATCTCTTGAAATTTATGTTCTCTAACTATTATGTATCCTGTGACTAATGTCTTCCCATCACCTGTCCCCTAACTACTGCCACCTCTGATAACCACCATTATGCTAATTTTATGAGATTCGATTTTTTAGATTCCATGTATGAGTGAGTTCATTGCAGTATTGGTCTTTCTTTGCCTGGCTTATTTCACTTAAGATAGTATAACCTCCATACTGTTTTCTGTAATGGCTGTATTAATTTACATATCCACCAATAGTGGATAAGTGTTCCCTTTTCTCCACTTCATTTTAGCACATGTCATCCTTTATTTTATTGATAATGGCTATTCTACTGGGATGCAATGATGTCTCATTATAGTTTTAATTTGCATTTCCTGATGATTAAAAAAGTTGAGCATTTGAAAAATATACCTTTTGGCTATTTGTATGTCTTCTTTTGGAGAAATGTACATTCAGTTCTTTTGTCCATTTTTTAAATTAAGCTATCTATTTATTTATTTATTTATTTATTTTAATTTATTTATTTTTTGCTTTTGAGTTATTTGAGTTTCTTATATATTTTGGATGTCAGATGTATGGTTTGGAAATATCTTCTCCCATTCTGTAGGTCATCTCTTCACCCTACTGATTGTTTCTTTTGCTGTGTGAAAACTTTTGTTTGATGTAATCTCATTTGTCTATTTTTGCTTTCATTGCCTGTGCTTTAGATCCTCATACAAAAAATTATTACCCAGACCTATGTCATGAAGTGTTTCCCCTATATTTTCTTCTAGTAATTTTATAATTCAGGACATATATTTACATCTTTAATCTATTTTGAATTGACTTTTCTATATGGCGAGAGATGAAAGTCCAATTTCATTCTTCTGCATATGGATATGTAGCTTTTCCAACAGCATTTATTGAGACTATTTTTTCTCCAGTGTGTGTTCTTGACATCTTTGTCAAAAATAAGTTGGCTGTAAATGTGTATATTTATTTCTGGGCTCTCTATTCTGTTCTGTTGGTCTACGTCTCTGTCATTTATGTCAGTACCATGCTGTTTGCATTACTATAGGTTTGCAGATATTTTGAAGTCAGGTAGTATAATGCCTCCAGCTTTGTTCCTTTTGCTCAAGATTGTTTTGGCTATTTGGAGTCTTCTGTGGTTCCCTAGAAATTGTAAGATTGGTTTTTCTATTTCTGTGAAGAATGTAATTGGTATTTTAATAGACAGTGCACTGAATCTGTAGATCATTTTGAGTAATATGGACATTTTAACAATATTAATTCTTCCAGTTCAGGAACATGGGATATCTTTCCATTTATTTGTGTCTTCTTCAATTTCTTTCATTAATGTTTCATAGTTTTGATTGTAGAGTTTTTTTTACTTCCTTGGTTACATTTATTCCTCAATATCTCATTTTTCTTGTAGTTTTGTAAATGTGATTCTTTTCTTGATTTTGTTTTCAGAAAATTTGCTATCACATAAGAAAATACTATTGATTCTTTAAAGTTTATTAGAATAGTACACTTTACTTATGTGAATGTATGGTATGTAAAATGCATCTTGATAAAGCTGTTAAAAATGTATCATATCTTTAGGAAGTTGCAAATCAAAGCAACAATGAGATATCATTATATATCCATTAGATGGCTAAAATTTGAAACACTGACAATACCAAATGCTTATGAGAATGTGAACCAACAGGAACTCAAGTTCATTGGCAGTGGGAATGCAAAATAATACAGCCACTTTGGAAGCCAGTTGGCAGTTTCTTTTACAAAGTTAACCATAGTGTTAACATACAATACATCAATCACACTCTGAGGTATTTACCCAACTGATTTAAAAACTTATGTCCATTAAAAATCTGTACACAGGCTGGGTGTGGTGGCTCATGCCTGTAATACTAGCACTTTGGGAGGCCAAACGGGGGTCAAGAGATCGAGACCATCCTGGCCAACATGGTGAAACCCCGTTTCTACTAAAAATACAAAAAATTAGCTGGGTGTGGTGGCAGGCGCCTGTAGTCCCAGCTACTCAGGAGGCTGAGGCAGAAGAATCATTTGAACCTGGGAGGCGGAGGCTGCAGTAAGCCAAGATTGTGCCGCTGCACTCCAGCCTGGGCAATAGAGCAAGACTCCATCTCAAAAAAAAAAAAAAATCTGCACACAAATGCTTTATCCATAATCGCTAAAAACTGGCAGCCATCAAGATCTTTATCAACGGGAAAATGGGTAAACAAATTGCAGTGCATCCATACAATGAAATATTATTCAATAGTAAAAAGAAATGAGCTACCAAGCCGTGAAAAGACATGAATAATATTCAAATGCATAATGCTAATTTAAAAACAGCCAGTCTGAGTAAGGTATATACTGTATAATTTGAATTACATGATGTATTTGTCCATTTTCACACTGTTGATAAAGACATACCTGAGACTTGGAAATTTACAAAAGAGAGCATTTTAATTGGACTTACAGTTCAACATGGCTGGGGAAGCCTGACAATCATGGCAGAAGGCAAGGAGGAGCAAGTCACGTCTTACATGGATGGCAGCAGGCAAATAGACAGAGCTTGTGCACGAAACTCCCATTTTTAAAACCATCAAACCTCATGAGACTTATACACTACCATGAGAACAGCACGGGAAAGACCCCGCCCCCATGATTTAATTATCTCCCCCCTGGGTTTCTCCCACAACATGTGGGAATTATGAGAGTTACAAGATGAGATTTGGGTGGGGACACAGAGCCAAACCATATCACGTGACATTCTGGAAAAAACAAAATTATGTGACAATAAGGGCAGTAGTGGCCAGGAGTTCAGGAAGGCAGGGAAAAGTTTAAATAGGTAAAGCATGGAGAATATTTTGGGGCAAGGAGACCATTCTGTATGGTAAAATAATAGTGGATACTTGGTATTATGCATTTGTCGCAATCCATAGAACTTTGCAAAACCAAGAGTGAAACTAACATATGCAAATTTTAAAATTATGTAGGAGGTAGGAGGATTCCCGGATGAATTGTAGACTGCAACAAAAGCTTTTAAATGTATTACAAATGTGTAAAACAAACTCACTGACAGGAATAGAGTTTAAGGTGGTGATCTAAGTAACTATGGAAATGAATGGAGTTTGAAAACCTAAAGGAAAAAGGAACTGCACATTAGTATTATACTATATTTGATAAAGTGTTTCCCATGCAGGTATAGGTTAACAGTTCTGATACTACTGTACATGTATATAAAAATTGAACAATTGAGTAAATGGATGCTATATGGTGGAAGGCAGATTTCTTTCTAACGCAATGGTAGTTTATATATAAGCAGGGTGAAAGGTTAGAATGGTTCACATAGTAGTGTAGAAAAGTTGGAAACATCAGTATGAACTCATTCTTTGCTTATGTAGATAGAGAAAGTTACAGATAAAATATTTATAGATAAGTATACATGCACTGGTTAGTATGCATACATATATTTCCCTGTTCTGTCAGCTGAAAGGGCCTAGAAATGATGAAACCCCAATAGTAATGAGCATATCTAGCATCTAGGACTTGATATCTCTTAGCAGTCATCTTAGCAAAGTTGATGCAAAAGTAATTGCGGATTTTGCTATTACCTTTAATGACAAAAAAAACGCAATTACTTTTGCACCAACCTAAAAAAGGAACCCTGGCTCCTGGGAGAAATGGCTGACTCTAGAACTAAAGCAGGCAATACACAAATAAGCCTCGAGCATAGTGCTAGAAAATAAGGAAGTCTTTAAAAACAATACATAAAAAAACTACGTTGATGGAGATATGCCAAAGGCACACATGAGGCCACCAAAAGATCACCCAGTTGCTAATGTTGAAATAATTTAAGCAGCAAAATAAATGAGTATGTATTGACCGAACACGGTGGCTCATGCCTATAATCCCAGCACTTTGGAAGGCTGAAGTGGGAAGATCACTTGAGCCCAGGAATTCAAGACCAGCCTGGGCAACACAGTAATACCCTGTCTCTATTAAAAAATAAAATAGACTGGGTGTGGTGGCTCATGCCTGTAATCTCAGCATTTAGGGAGGTTGAGAGGGGTAGATCATGAGGTCAGGAGATCGAGACCATCCTGGCTAACATGGTGAAACCCCGTCTCTACTAAAAATACAAAAAATAAGCCGGGCATGTTGGCACGCACCTGTAGTCCCAGCTACTTGGGAGGCTGAAGCAGGAGAATAGCTTGAACCCGGGAGGTGGAGGTTGCAGTGAGCCAAGATCTTGCCACTGCACTCCAGCCTGAGCAACAGAGTGAGATTAAGTCTTGAAAAATAAATAAATAAAATAAAAAGAAATAAATTAGTATTGAAGTATAATCCAAAATATAAATATCTGTGAGTACCTGTGAGTACATGGTAACATAAATAAATGATAAATAAATGGGAGAATATAGACAAACCTCTTACGCAGAGCAATTCCAAGTGATTTATTTAGTAACTCTGTGTGTGTGTGTGTGTGTGTGTGTGTGTGTATTTATTTATTTATTGAGATAGGGTTTTCCTCTGTCACCCAGGCTAGAGTGCAGTGGCATGATCACAGTTCCCTGCAGCCTCGACCTTCTGGCCTCAAGTGATCTTCCCACTTCAGCCTCTGTGCTCACCACCATACCTGGTTATTTTTAAAAATTTTTTTTTTTTCACAGACAGATACTCCCTGTGTTCCCCAGGCTGGTCTCAAACTCCTACCTAACCTCAAGTGATCCTCCTGTCTTGGCTCCAAATTGCTGAGATTACAGGCATGAGCCACCATGCCCAGCCCTATATATATGTTGAAAACAAATTCTCTTGATAAAATGTGATGAAAAAGCCACTTTACCTTTGTGGTCTTCTCCCAAAAACACATAATACAGCTTAATCGTATGGAAAATATCAGACAAATTATAATAGAAGGTCATTCTATAAAATATCTACTCCTCAAAACTGTCAAGGTCGCCAAGAACAACAACAAAAAAAAGGTAAGACACTGTCACAGCCAAGAGGAACCTAATGAGACAGGACAGCTAAATGTATTATGGCATCTTGGCTGAGATCCTTAAATACAAAAAGAATATTAGGCAAAAATTATGGAAATCTGCAAAAGCTTTCAACTTTAGTTAATAATGTATCAACATTTGATCATTATTATAACAAATGTGCCATAATGATGTTAATAATACAGGAAACTGATTGTGGTCTTTATGAGAACTCTGTACTGTTAAGGTTTTCTTGTAAATCCAAAATTTAAATTTTTTTGTTTTTTAGTATTAGAGATTTAAATGTGAAAAGTAGAATACATCTTCTTCATGCAAACATAGATCTTCATGACTTTTGAGTTGGCAAATATCTTAAGGAGAATTTAAACGCTCTTCATACTAAAGAAAACTTTGATAATATGAACCTTACAAAAAAGGAAAAATTATCTTCATTAAGTCACTATTTTTAAAATTTCAATTAAGAGAATTAAAAGGCAAGTCATCAGTTAGCATATTATATTTCAAAATATATATTTGACAAACTACTAGTATTGTTGTAGGAAGAACCAGGTTCTTGTCACATGACCAGAAAAGCCTAGGCTCGCAGACACTTTGAAGGATGAGGGGTTATTTATCGGGCGGAATTTATTGGGTGTAAAGGAAAAGCAGCACAGCAAAGTGAGAGGGGTTCTTGTTAGGCCCCCATCTGACAGGTTGAATCCCAGGTTATCACCCAGGAACAGGAGAGGCCAGGCTTGTCTCCTCTACAAAGGGCGCCAACTTCCCCAGGCCCCACCCTCTCCTCCCAGTGAGAAGAGAAGACCAGTTGGAGATTCTCCAGGGAGCCCTTTTTACTTGGTTGTCTCAATATTCATAACAAAACAAAGATACTTAAATCCGGAAGAAAAAAAAGTAAATTATAGTAGGCAAACAATTTAAATATACACTTCGTAAAATGGTTATGCCCCCAGTTATATGAAAAGTTGCTCAACAGCCTTAGTAATTGGTGAAATGCAAATTAATACCAAGATAAATTATGACTATACAGTTACTAATATCTCTAAAAATAAGAGGAGTAACAAGTGTTGATGACAATTGGAGGAACTGAAGCACATATATATTACAGGTGAGAGTGTATATTGGTACAATTGCTTTGCAAAATGTTTTGGCAATATTTATTAAAGTTAAGCATATCCTACTGTATAGCAACAATTCTAATTTTAGATATATACAAAAGTAGAATGAACGATATTAAAAGACTGTTTATGACAATTTCATAGTCAAAAACTGGACGAATACTATGTACATCAACAACACCAAAATTCCTCGTATTATACTACAGTAGAAGGCAACTTCCTGAATCTCATCTATGATAGCTATCAAAACTTATAGGAAGCCTCATATTTAATACTGAAACATTTTTTGTGATTATCAGGTCATGTTAATTACTTTGAGTTTACTTACTAAATTCAGAAGAAAAAGACAAGGATGATCTTTAATATTGCTTTGTAATATTTGACTGAAAGTCCTGTGTAACCCAGTAAGACTAGAAAAAGAAATGCAGGTGTACAGTTTAGGAAGAAATAATTGACATTGTCAGTATCTATACACTATATGATTCCTTACTTAAAAAAAAAGTCAACCGAAGTTAGAAAATAAATTGCTAACAGATTTCAATAAAATAACAGTTGCATTATAAAATATTAACAAATTATTAGAAAAATATGATTTCACAAAAATACCGTTATCCACTGCATAGCAACATTTTGGTCAATGACAGACCCCAAATACAACAGCGATCCCATAAAATTATAATGGAGGTGAAAAATTCTGGTTGCCTAGTGACGTCATAGGTCATAGCTGTCTTAATGTTGTAGTTCGATAGATGCAATAGGTTCTTCACACATTTGTGGGGATAGTGATGCTAGTGTAAATAAACCTACTGTGCTGCCAGTGGTGTAAAAGCATAATACATATAATTACGCACAGTGCATAATAGTAATGAGAAATGACTGGTGTATGTATTTACCGTACTATACTTTTTATTGTTATTTTAGAGTATATTTCTTCTACTTAGATATATTTTTTAGAGTTGACTATAAAACAGCCTCAGGCAAGTCCTTCAGGAGATATTCAAGAAGACAACATTGTTCTCACAGGAGCTGACCACTCCATGCCTGTTACTGCCCCTAAAGACCTTTCAGTGGAACAACATGTGGAGGTGGAAGACAGTGAGATTGATGATCCTGACCTTGCCTACTATTCTACAGGCTAATGCATGTTTGTGTCTTCATTTTTAACGAAAACATTTAAAAAATAAAAAACAGTAAAACATTTTTTAAATAGTAAAAAGCTTATAGAACAAGAATATAAAGAAAGAAAATGCTTTTGTACAGTTTTATGATGTGTTTGTGTTTTAAGCGAAATATTATTACAAGAGTCAAAAAGTTAAACAAAAAGTTAAAAAGTTCTTAAAGTAAAAAAAATCATAGATTAGGTTAATTTATTACTGAAGAAAGAAAATTAAACAAAAATTAATTTGATATGGCCTGTATGTACAGCGTCTATAAAGTCAAGAGTAATGTGCACTAACGTCCTAGACCTTTACATCCATTCACCACTCACTAATACAACCACGACGGCTTTCAGTCCCGCAAGCTCCATCCATGGTAGGTGCCTATAAAGGTTCACCATTTTATATCTATTATACCATATTTTTAGTGTACATATGTGTTGGATACATATGTGTTAGATGTTTACATATGTGTTGGATACATATGTGTTAGATGTTTACATATGTGTTGGATACACAAATACTTACTATTGTGTTAAATTACTTACAGCATTCAGTACAGTAACATGCTGTACAGGTTTGCAGCCTAGGAGCAATAATTGGTCATACCATATAGCCTAGATGTGCAGTAGGCTATATCACTACGATACAGTGATAGTCTATCTCACTATATCACAGGGAATTCTGTAAGTACTTACAGACCTATTGCTCCTAGGCTACAGACCTGTACAGCATGTTACTGTACTGAATGCTGTAAGTAATTTAACACAATAGTAAGTATTTGTGTATCCAACACATATGTAAACATCTAACACTTATGTATCTAACACATATGTATCCAACACATATGTACACTAAAAATATGGTATAACAGATATAAAATGGTGAACCTTTATAGGCACCTACCATGAATGGAGCTTGTGGGACTGAAAGCCGTTGTGGTTGTATTAGTGAGAGGTGAATGGACGTAAGGGTCTAGGACATTAGTGCACATTACTCTTGATTTTATAGATGCTGTACATATAGGCCATATCAAATTAATTTTTATTTAATTCTTTCTTCAGTAATAAATTAACCTAATCTACGATTTTTTTTACTTTAAGAACTTTTTAACTTTTTGTTTAACTTTTTGACTCTTGTAACAATACTTCACTTAAAACACAAACACATCATAAAATTGTACAAAAGCATTTTCTTTCTTTATATTCTTGTTCTATAAGCTTTAAGTACTTACGGAGTTCCCTGTGATGACACAACAACGAAATTGCCTAATGCATTTCTCAGAACATATTCTTAAGCAACACATGACTACATACCGTTTACAATAGCCACTAAAAGTATAAGATTTCTAGAAATGATTTTAATAATGGCTATTAAAAATCTTAATGAAGACAATTATACAATTTTATTTAATGAATTTAAACCTGATCTATAATACATAGATACATACAAGTTCAGAAATAGCAAGATGCAGGGTTAAAATTACAACTATTATTCTGAGAGAATTTTGTGGAAGATTCAGGCTTAATCTAAATATTTTGTGGAAGGACAAAAGGTCATGAATATTTAGGAAAAATTTCAAGAAGAACATGTATGTGAGTGGGGCGGGGGTGTGAGTGTGTATGTGGTGGGAGGTGGTAGGGCTTGTTCTTTCAGGAAAATATCTAGTCTTATTTAAATTTAAAATAAGTAAGATTGTGTGGTATTAGTATAATTATGGGAAATTAGACTTCCAAAATCAAATTTTAAAACCTACAAAAAGATGCATGCATATATGGAAATTGAATAAATTATAGAGATGGAAAACATTGCTACAAGTAAAATGGAAAAGAATAAACTACTTAAAATATGCCACTAGGGGAAGTGGCTATCACATGGAAAAGAATTAATTGGAAATATGGATCTTCCGTAAATAATTAATTCCAGATGGATTTAAGAGACAATTCTGAGAAAAGTGAAATTAATGGAAGGAAATAGGTGAAAATATCCTTATGAACTTGGTCTCAATAAGGTTTTTGAAGGATACTGAAAATGTAAAATGTATTAAAAGGAAAGATTTTTTACATTAAAAGTTAAAGTCTGTGTAGGTTAAAAGAGGCACCATGAGTGAAAATCATCTGCACATTGGGAGAAGCTATCTGTACTATGAGATTCCATACACAGACATGCTATTTGTTATGGGCCAGTTGTTCGGAGTTCTGAGGATGCAGCAGTTTATAGAAGAGTGAAAAATGCTTGTCCACAAGAAGCTTACATCCTAATCCTATAGCTGGTGTGTGGTAAAATCAGCACTTGGACCTATTGCACTCACTGTGTAGCTCATGTTTCTATATCACTTTACAAATTTTAAGCTGGGTTAATATGGTTCATCCCTGACAACTGGATCCACTCTCAACTTTAACAGAATCTAAACCTACAAACATTAAGCTCATGCTATGGTGAATTTTTTAAAATAAAAGTAATCTTGGGAGCACTCAGCCTTAACAGAAGACATTAAGTCTCATAAAATATAAAGATACGAATGTCTCAAGAGCTCCTGTACGTCACTTAGAAAAAAAAATTAAGCCTCAAAGAAAAATTTGCAAACCATGGGAACAGGCAATTGATTCATAAAAGAGGAAACACAAATAATGATTAAATGTATTGAATGTACTTTACCTCACTAGCAGTCAGGGGCCTTGGCAATCAAAGCAATATGAGGTACTATTTCATTCTCATCCAACTGGTCGGACTTAAAGTCAGCCAATACAAGTGTTTGAGTAGATGTGGATCAATATGAACTTTTACACACTGCTGGTGAGTATAAATTGTGCATCCCTCGGGAAAGAGCAGATTGCTTATATTTGATAAAGCTGAAGCCACCCATATCACATGACTCAAGAAATCCAATTCCATGTGTACAGCCTAGAGATATGCAAAAATGCTTACTGCAACATTGTTTCTAATAGGAAAAATGGAAAAAAAAACAACTAATTATCTGTTAACAGAAAGATGAATATACACATCAAAGACTATCCATTTAGTGAATAATAAATAGCAGTGATAATGATGGCCTAGAGCTCTACTAATGAAGACGAATCTCACAAACATACTTTGGGATAAAAATATAAACTGCAGGCCAGGTGTGGTGGCTCACACCTGTAATCCCAGCACATTGGGAGGCCAAGGTATGGGGATCACTTGAGGTCAGGAGTTCAAGACCAGCCTGGCTAACATTATGAAACCCTGTCTCTACTAAAAATACAAAAAATTAGCTGGATGTGGGGGTGTGCACCTGTAGTCTCAGCTACTCAGGAGGCTGAGACAGGAGAATCACTTGAACCCAGGAGGCGAGGTTACAGCGAGCTCAGGTTGTGCCACTGCACTCCAGACTGAGCAAAAGAGCGAGACTCTGTCTCAAAAAAAAAAAAAAGAAAGAAAGAAAGAAAGAAAAATATATGTAAATTTCAAAAAGACGCATATACAGTCCCTTTTAAGTGAAGTTTAAAAGTATGAAAAGCATTACTATATATTGATTACAGATTCATGCATATGTAGTAAATATATTAAAAAGTATGAGAAAAACTCTAAATTATTATACTGTTTACCTCTTTGAAGGAGGAGAAAAAATTCAATTAGGGATGTGGATTAAAGAAATTGCATATGAAACATGCCATTTCTCAGATCACTACAATAATCATATACTTGAGTATCACAGACATGAAGGCCAATGAATCAGGTAAGCAAAAAATATTTACTTGTTGATTTTTCTACTTATGCAAAGCCAATATTACATTTTTATAATGTGTTAAGATTTTGAACTATAACTACAGAAGAAGTTTTAAAGAAAAGTATTACTGACTTATAAAACCATGAGAATAGTGTAGAAACACCTGCACAATACTTATTCACACCCACACATTAGTTATTCTTTTTTTTTTTTTTTTTGAGACAGGGTCTGTCTCTGTCACCCAGGCTGGAGTGCAGTGGCGCAATCACTGCTCACTTTGTCCCCAACCTCCTGGGCTCAAACGATCCTTCCACTTCAGTCTTCTTACTAGGCTAATATTCTTATTGTGAGGCTAATCCGGATGGGTATTAATATTGCCCCTGAAGAACACAAGAACATACTCATGGTTATCTAATCCAATATTCACTGCTCCCTTTCAAAATAAACCATTTTATCAGAATAAACCATTTTACCAGCAGTGACATATGTTCTGAAATAATAATTTTATATATGTTTTTAATCTTTGGTACAAAATTGAACATATGGGAAGCTGTTTCAAAATACTTTTGCCTAAACACCATTGGAAACCTACTGAGTAAATAAAACCCCTAGATATCAATTCTAATGATGAATATGTTAAAAACATATTGTCCAGGTGTTTCTAATGTGAACTCCCAATTATGAACAATTGATTAATGCTATCAACATCCAATTAAGCAAAGATTGGATTATCTGCATTTAAAATTGCCTTTGTGTGTATTTCAGGAGGGATTTTTTTTGCTGCACTCAATATCATGACTATGTAAAAGGGCATGTCTAGAAAGATAAAGAGACTGGATAAGTTCAACACATTCTATTTAAACTTTTGGTCTTTTCCCTACATTGCAGCTCCCTGTGCTTTTACATATCAAATATGCATAGAATATACTTCTGAGATGATTTCACCCAAGAATAAGTATGCTTTAGAATTAAAGAGTTGTTTGGCAAATAATAACTCAGTCTGATAATACAGCTATTGATTTATTAAATATTAAGATTTTGTCATTTTTAGTGTCATTACTCATTTTAGTGTCATACAGTGATTGATAGCTTTGTTTTTTAATTTTACAGATTTTAATTTCAGAATCAATAATAAAGTACTGATACATAATTTATGGGAAAAGAAATCAGCAACCTCTCCAGAAGGTGAATATATTAAAGCCTTAAAATACTTACTTCGCATCCCCAGCTGAGAAAAAAATTAAGGACTAGAAAATACATTTTAAATTCATATTAATTATTTAGAATCACCAGAGGGAGGACTACCATTGTCCATTTCACAACTGTCTAAGTTCATAAAGTTTCCAAAGATCTTACAGCTACTTAATCAAGTTCTATCCAGAAGCGGTTTTCATCATGAAGGTAAAGATCTAAGGTGAAGGAATATTATACCTTATTACACTTCATCTGAAAACAAAAATAGACTTCTTTTCCTTTTATCCCTATTGGATGTTTTGTACATCAAATGACAAAAAAAACCTGCTTCATTGAAAGACCTTGTTATCAGTTAAATTTCATTACTGAATACTTATCTGTTTAAGCCACCTCTTTCAGTGATATCATGTAAATAAGCAAATAGAGTGTCAGATACAAAACGATACAACTGCTTAGAACCCACACAGATTAGGAGCTGTCATGTATTCCTCACAACAACCTTGTACTATAGCTTTGAATGTATTATCTTTCTGAGGAGAGATAAGAGAAAAAAAAGTATGCCAAAACAATGCCATCTTTTGAAAGACACATACAATTTAGCAGAAGAAAGGAAAAGAGGTTTTTGCAAAAACAAAAGGCACATAAATGGTCAGGAACAAGAAAAGATAGCTAGGAAAAAATAATGACCTAGAAGTCAGAGAAGAAAGATACAGCATTGAGTCTGGGGATGAAGTAGCATCTATCACAAGGCTACTATGAGCCAAGTGCTTCACGGGCATTCTATCAATTAATCATTTTATCATCTAATTGCTCCATGTGAAAGCTAATTATTTTCTCAATGTATAGATGATACAATTTTAGACAAGACTCTCAAAATCTATTTAAGTAAGAAATATAATGTGTCATTTCATTTCTTTCTCTCTATGCATGTGAGAAAAAACCCCAATGATTAACTAACTTATGCCTCTTCAAAGAAAATTACTTATACCTTGAGAAAAGAAAAGTATTTATACTTTTGAGAAAATAAAGATGTTCATTTAAATATCATTTCAGGACACTATGTTATTGAGTAAAGCAATCAGTTGGAATTACACACCTTAGAGATTAAAGGTTAATTTAATAAGACACAACAGTGATATCAGAAGTCTGGTTTTTTGTTTGTTTGTTTGTTTTACAAAGTCTCATTATTGGGTTTAATTTTTTTAAGACTAATTCTTTGATGCAGATTAAGAGGTAATTTTTTTCTTACCTTCTGTAGCTTTTCTTTTTTTCTTTCTTTCTTTCTTTTTTTTTTTTTTTTTTTGAGACGGAGTCTCGCTCTGTCGCCCAGGCTGGAGTGCGGTGGCGCGATCTCGGCTCACTGCAAGCTCCGCCTCCCGGGTTCACGCCATTCTCCTGCCTCAGCCACCCGAGTAGCTGGGACTACAGGCGCCTGCAACCACGCTCGGCTAATTTTTTGTATTTTTAGTAGAGATGGGGTTTCACCGTGTTAGCCAGGACGATCTCGATCTCCTGACCTCGTGATCCACCCGCCTGGACCTCCCAAAGTGCTGGGATTACAGGCGTGAGCCACCGCGCCCGGCCTGTAGCTTTTCTTTTAAACTAGCAATTAGAAAGACATAGTTTCAAGGCTAAGAACTGAAATTTCATTGGTTAGTCTAGAGGAATAAAAGACGGCCGACTAGAAAACTCAACTTCTATGATATGGAAAGGAAAAAGTCAGAAATGATAGTTAAAAATTGGCATGTGGAGTTAATGGTTTAGTCCTGTATTGCTTTGCATTTACCTAAGAAATCCAAAGTCAAACACTTACGAATGGTAGAACTGTTTGTGGACCTATGTCTGCCTGAGGCCAAAGTTTATACGGGCTCAATTATTCCTTGGCCTTTCTCTCACTTTCAAGAAGGTAATCAGTAAGCATGTAGAATTTAAGATTGATAAAAAAATTAGAAAGGGTCACAAATTTGACACAAAGGAAACAATAGTAGGGAAATAATTTAGATTCATAACAAACAGCAAATTGGAAGAAGAGAAACTGTAGTTTTATGAAAATATCGGAGTATAACTTGAAAACCCACTCATGACCTAAAAATGATGGCTGAGCTAGCAAGCAAGAAAGAAAAACACACAGATGACAGAAATTAAGAAGAAATGAAAACAGAAGTGGAAAGTAAAATGAAGCATTGCTATAATAGACATGAACTTTATCCAACTTGGGAAACTAGAGGCATGAATATGAACATTCTTCAGGAAAGATCTTGAGCCTCAAAGTCATCCATGAAGGTCAGAATCAACTTCTTCCAAACTCCTGTTAATGTTGATATCTCAACCTTTTCCCATGAATCATGAATGGTCACAATGGCATCTGGAATGGTGAATACTTTTCAGAAGGTTTTCAATTGCCTTTTCCAGATTTCTTCAGATGAATCACTATCTATGGCAGCTATAGCCTTATTAAATGTGTTTCTCGAATAATAAGACTTGAAAGTAAAAATTACTCCTAGATCTGTGGCCTATAGAGTGAACCTTGTGTTAGCAGGCATGAAAACATTAATCTCCTAGTACATCTCCATCAGAGCTCTTGAATGACAAGGTGCATAGTTAATGAGCAGTAATATTTTGAAAGAAATTTCCTTTTCTGAGCAGTAGGTCTCAACAGTAGCTTAAAATATTCAGTAAACCATGCTGTAAACAGATGTGCTGTTATCTAGTATTCATTATTCCATTTATAGAGCACAAGCAGAGTAGATTTAGCATAATATTTAAGGGCCCTAGGATTTTCCAAATAGTAAACAAGCATTGTCTTCAACTTAAAGTTACCAGTTGCATTAGCTCTTAACAAGAAAGTCAGCTTGCCCTTTGAACTTTTGAGCCAGACATTGACTTTCTCTCTAGCTGTGAAAGTCTTAGGTGGCATTTTCTCCCTATATAATGCTGCTTCATCTAGTGATGAAGTTTAGTGTAGCCATATTCATCGATGATCTTACCTAGATCTTCTGGATAACTTGCTGCAGCTTCTGCATGAGCACCTGATGCTTCACCTTGTACTTTTATGTTATGGAGAGAGTTTCTTTTCCTAAACCTCATGAACCAACCTCTGCTAGATTTAAACTTTTGTTCTATAATTTTCTTACCTCTCTCAGCCTTCATAGAATTAAATAGAGTAGGGTCTTGCCCCAGATTAGGCTTTGGCTTAAGTAAACGTTGTCGTTGGTTTGATCTTCTATCCAGTCAACCGAAACTTTCTCCATATCAGCAATGCAGCTGTTTTGACTTTCTTATCATTCATGCATTCACTGGAGTAGCACTTTTAATTTCCTTCAAGAACTTCTCCTTTGCATTCACAACTTGGTGGTTTGGCTCAAGAGGCGTAACTTTCAGCCTATCTCACCTTTTGACATGCCTTCCTCACCCAGCTTAATCGTTTTCAGCTTTTAATTTAAAGTGCATTACATGGCACTCTTTCTTTCACTTGAACACTTAGACACCATTGTAGGGTTATTAATTGGTCTAAGTTCAATATTATTGTGTCTCAGGGAATAGGGAGGCCCAAGGAGAGGGAGAGAGGTGGGGAACAGTGGAGCAGTCTGAACATACGTAACATTTATTTATTTATTTATTTTATTATTATTATTTTTTGAGACGGAGTCTCACTCTGTTGCCCAGGCTGGAGTGCAGTGGCGCTGTCTCGGCTCACTGCAAGCTCCGCCTCCCGGGTTCAGACTATTCTCCTGCCTCAGACTCCAGAGTAGCTGGGACTACAGGCGCCTGCCACCACACCTGGTTATTTTTTGTATTTTTAGTAGAGACAGGGTTTCACCGTGTTAGCCAGGATGGTCTCGATCTCCCGACCTCGTGATCCGCCTGCCTCGGCCTCCCAAAGTGCTGGGATTACAGACATGGGCCACCGCGCCCGGCCACAGGTAACATTTATTAAGTTTGCCGTGTTACATGGGTGTGGTTCATGATGGCCAAAACATCTACAATAGTAACATCAAAGGTCCCTGATTATAGATCACCACAATAGATAAAATGATTATGAAAAATTTGGACTATTGAGATAATTATCAAAATGTGACACAGAGACACCAAGTGAGCACATAGTGTTGACAAAAATGGTACCAATAGTCTTGCTTGATTCTGGGTTGCTACAAGCTTTCAATTTGTAAAAATCTCAACATCTGCCAAGAGCAATAAAATGAAGTGCAACAAAATGAAGTATGCCTATATTTTAGTTAAGTCACTACAAAACCAGGTAATAACAAACCATGTCATTATACAAGTTGTCTCTAAGATTCTAAAAAACCTGCTCCATAAGATTAGCACCACATGTACCTAATTTTACAATGCAACTGAAGAAGATACTCTTGTATATTCAACATTGTGAAGATTTAAAAAATTCACTTTAACATCATGTCTTACTAGGAAACAATCAGAGCTATGAATTTCTTGTGGAAATTATTCTCTTTGTATTTTCTTGAATAGCAATAAGAAAATCAACTGCTATCTGCCCTCAAGGAGCTAAAGGGAGAATACACTTGCAGGTGAGATACATTGTCTTCCTTCTGTTGAAATGAAACTGCTATCAGTGTGCTTAGCAGCATATGTAAATAACAGATTGAAACTTGGTCACAGAGAATTTTCTGTTCCCGACATCTGTTATACTTGACAGATGCCCCAGTGCCAACATGGCATCAAGTAAAGTGAGACTACAGAGAAAGTAGGAACTCCCACTGTCTTACTCCTTTCTGAACAAAAGCACCATTAACTCAAAAATGAGGTTCTGAGCTGAATAAACTATATATGATGTCTGTAGTTCGTGGATGTAGAGGCATGTGTGATTTCAGTAATTAAAATATCACATTCCTTGCTCCCTGCTCCTGACAGACAGGTGGTCTGGTTTACTTAATCTTACATTTGAGTTCATAACATTTCAAAATGTTTTCATTTATTCTATCAGTAGGAAGAAACAGAATATCTAAATAGTGTTAAATGTTTAATCCCAGTAATAAGGACAACATCATGATGTTAATAAATGCATATGCAAAAACATGAACAGCAAAATGACTGAAAAGCAAATGCAAATAACAGACATTGTTTAATTTTGCTACTGTTGCAATGATTGCAAATTAAAGCAAAATTGAGGGATAATTTACAAGGCATGCAATTTAAAGTGACATATGTCACCAAAAGCTAGTGATAGTGCATTAAATCTGTAGTGCTGCTGCACAGATTGTAGAATGGCCATTTTCAAAAGCAATTTGGCATATCAAAGGCCATTACAAGTGTTTATAAGACTCACTTGAGGAAGCTGCTGGTTAATTCGGTGATGATAAACAAGCAGAAGCTATTGACTTCCTCCATAAAATCCTATCCTGGAGCAACGGGGGAAACAAAAGGGAAATACGAATGCCAGAAAGAAACCAAAAATCTAAGCAAGCTCTTCAGAGCATGGAGTGTGTTTTGGGCAGTTTATGTCTGGAGTGTGAGTGGCTGAAGGCAGCAAAAGAAGAGGGAAATGGAAGCAGCAAGGACAGGGCTGGCCAGAGGTAAGGTGTTTTGTTTTGTTTTGTTTTGTTTTGTTTTTGGCAGAGTCTTGCTCTGTTGCTCAGGCTGGAGTGCTGTGGCACAATCTCGGCTCACTGCAACCTCCGCCTCCCGGGTTCCAGTGATTCTACTGCCTCAGCCACCTTAGTAGCTGGGATTACAGGCACACGCCACCATGCCCGGCTAATTTTTGTATTTTTAGTAGAGATGGGGTTTCACCATGTTGGCCAGGCTGGTCTTGAACTCCTGACTTCAGGTGATCCACCTGCCTTGGCCTCCCAAAGTTCTGGGATTACAGGCATGAGCCACCGCACGTGGCCCAGAGGCAAGCTTTTATTCTTAACTTTTTACTGAAAAATTGCATGCATATTATAAAACATAAAAAGTATGCAACTCAGCAATCACCAAGGTAAGTACTTTTCAGATCAAGACAGAGAACATTAGCAGCATCAAGGTCCAGGCAACAAACAATACCAACACCCAGAAGCCTTCCTCCTGCCCTAACCTGGGCTACTCTCCCCAGAAAGGTCAGTAATTGACTTTTGGCTGTTTTTGAACTTCCCTACGTAGGTAGAGTCATTCCCTTTTGCATCTGGTATGTTTAGCTCAAAGTTACATGGAAAGATTCAGACATTAGTTCTAAAAGTTATTCATTGTAGTTCTAAAAATTATTATTGATATGTATCTTTATTATTTAATATTTTAGTTATATTATATCATATTTATTATTTATATATTGCTATTGTTTGAAGGTTTGCATCCCTTCAAAATTCATGTTGAAACTTAATCCCCAATGCAATAGTATTAAGAGGTAGAGACTTCCCTAGAAGATTAGATCATGAGGGCTCTGCCCTTATAAGAGGACTTAAGCAAGTCTTTTAGGCCTTCTTTTGCTCTTTGACTCCTTTGCCATGTGAGGATGCAGCAAGTAGCACCACCTATAAAGCAGAGAGCAAGACTACTAGACAACAAATCTGCTGGCAGCTTGATCTTGGACTTCCCAGCACCTAGACCTGCAAGAAATAAACTTCTGTTGTTTATAAATTACCCAGTCTAAGGTATTTTATTATAGTAGCCTGGACAGACTAAGATATGTATTATTTATTATTTTACTGTACATAGCAGTTTATGAAATACTATTATGTATAAATATATCAAATCTTTTTTATCATACTCTTAATGGTCATTAGGGTTGTTTCTAGTTTTTGCTACTATGCAAGAAAAAAAGCTGCTAAAATTTTCTCGTACATATTTCTCTGGTGCAAATATATACTTGTTATACTGGATCTGTGCCCAAAATCATTTAAATTCTTGCCATTATAGGAAGAAAATGAGGATAATGATGTTTAAGAAATCATCAAAAATAAATAAAACAAAATAAATCATATAACTAATATTTTTTCTATTATATATATATATGTCCAACAAAAGAAAACTTGATCAATCAATAGAAAGTGATAATGAAGGAAAAAGAGGACTAGAAGATACAATAGATAAAAAGTGTGAACTAAAATAACAAGAATGATTTTTAAAATAACAATAACTTAAATAAATATAAATGGGTTAAACATCAATTCAAAGACAGTAATTATTTGGTTTTATTTAAACTGCACAAGATACAATAATACCGATGGGACATATTTTGATAAAAAACTATAATAGTGGTTGAAAATCAAATATTGAAAAATTATACCAGGTAAATATAAATATAAACAAAGACAGATGGGGTAACAATCTTATATGACAAAGTAAAATTTAAAGCAAAATACGATATAAATACAGTGTAAGTTGAAAGGATATTGTATATATAAAGAGAGAAAAATTAGAAATAAATATCACAGGATATATGCACAAATTATACATCCTCAAGTCATAGTAAGCATCAACTGATATAATTGCAAGTAGTAATACGTGCATGTCAGTAATTGCTTTGGAAACTTTAATGCAATCCTCTCATAAACTGAAGGTACAAAAAGATGAAACTTAAGCATTAATACTAGGATATCAAATGACATAAATAATAAGTTTAATCTATTAGATATATGTAAAATTCTACATTTAACAGAGAATAAACATTTTTAGCAGGATTAATATATTAACAAAATATATTCTTCGTTAAACCACAAAGAAGTTTCAATTAACTTCAAAGTATGAATAACAGAGCATATGCTTTCTTGCAAAATACTATAAACTTACGTATTAAAGCAAAAAGATAACTAAAATATTCCATAGGTTTTTAAGCTAGAAAATGTATTATTAAATAACTCACTCGCTAAAAAAATGCTAATGGAAATTTAAAAAAATATTTACAAGTGATTGATAACAAAAACACTACAGACCAGTGCTTGTAAGATGCGGCTAAAACAGTAAGAAACCAATATACAATCCTAATCAAGATTTCAGTTGGATATAATGAGAAACTTGATAAACTTTTTCTAAATTAAAAATAAACATATTGCAAAAGAAAACATATGAAAGCCTTCAGAATGTGGCCTATGGGACAGGAATGAAAGAAAAAATACAAAGAAAAATATAGGCATTGCTCTAGCCATTCAACTAATTTAATTAGATAACTTATAAGAAAAATACGTTTCATGTAAATAATTCAGAAAAAAATGTATGCAAATTGATTTGTTATAGTGTTATTTACAATGAGAATATATTTTCATTGTTCTTAACATCCAACAACAGAAGAATAACACACTGGATTAATAAAAGGAAATATTATGCAGGCATTAGCATGAGACAGATTACATACATGTGTCTGCAATGAACTTTTTTAAACAACTATTTCTGGTAAAAATAAACTAGCTTCATAAAATGCATTTAATATGCTTTATGATATTACAGACCCTAATTCTATGTAAACTGGATGATGTATGTCTGAATAAAAATAAGATACAATCAGAGACAATATGAAGTGTTATGATAGAATGAGGTTAACATAATTACCTAATATAACCTTTTAGTTTCTTTAAATATCATATGACACTTTCTTGACAAATTTAGACAAAAACACTTGTTTTAGTTTGCAATCCTAGGGATTTGCTTTAGCATATTTATAAAAGAAAATATGAGTTATACAATGTCAGATGGGAAGTCGTTCAGTTGTCAACTATCTATGCTATGGTGGAATGCCCAAATATGACCATTATATACACGGCAACTTATTTTATCTTCATTATACCTTGTGTTCATTTATTGATTCCATCCTCATGACCTTAGGTTTATTCTGTCTATATATTATTGCATTCAATTCGGTAGAAAGTTGTGGAGAATCTAGTGAAAAAAAGTGTTGGATTAATACAAAAATTAGTCGGGTGTGGTGGCTGGTGCCTGTAATCCCAGCTACTCCAGAGGCTGAGGCAGGAGACTCGCTTGAACTCAGGGGGCGGAGATTGCAGTGAGCCGAGACCGCGGGCCACTTCACTGCAGCCTGGGCTTAAGAGTGAAACTCCGTCTCGGCGGGGTCGGGGGGGAAGAGATATGAGGAAAATTGCTTTTCTTGACACTAGGAGACATTGCTATACTGTAATAATAGTGTGGTGATTGTTGCTGACCTGTTCAGGTGTTACTTTCTCCCCTGTTGTTTTCTTCAAGAATATGACCAAAATACAAATTTGGAAAGAGGGCTGTGAGCCTAAGAAGGATAACAATGGAGACCCTAAATTCATTTTCTTATAATATTGAGCTCCTTGCTGGCCACAAAAAGACCAAACAAACCAAAATAAATCTGGCAGAAACCACACCTACAAACAAAATTAATTACCATTATGACTTTCAGTCCCTTTTCTCTTATAATTTATTAAGCCCTATCTCTATTTTCTCAATTACTAGAAAAACCATCTGTATCCTGTCTACTCAAGACTTCATGGCACTTTTCCATATCTTTAGAGACATCACTATACACACATGTACGCACAAATGCGCGCGCGCACACACACACACACACACACACACACATATACACAGAACTAGGCTGATGAGATATGTGTTTCAAGAAGTCCTTGTCAGCAACAGTCCAGTTCAAAGCATCTGCAAACCTACAGGCAGCCCTGTAATTGTCATAAAGTCAGAGCTTGAGGTGAGCAGCTGGCTTGGAAAGTTTGGGTAGGTGAATTGCTTTGTAGCTGATTTCAGTGGCAAGCACACTTGAATTGTTTATTTCAAGTGTCTTGGGGTTGTCTAGTGGAGACTGTATAAGGGACAAAAGCTATAAACTTCAAATAACCCACTGGAACTACTTACTGGTTAAAATCTCTTCTGTTGTATTAGTTGGATGTCAGATGACCCTTTCAAGTTTTGAACTTTTAGAAACCATTTTGATTTCATAGTAGTCTATATATGTATTAATTAAAGGTAGTAGTAGTTTTAAAATCCATTTCTTTAAGGACATTTTAGTATTCAGAGGAGTAGATTTGGGTAGAGATGCTGAAACCTGACAAATGGTACATTCTTGAGAAAGAAGAAGAAAATACAAGGAAGCCTCATTGCCATTAGTAAGAGAACTAAAGCTCGAAGTTCCAAAAAGACTATGAAAACTTCATCACCAAAGCCGTAAGATGGCATGTATGCACAGAAATATGCTGAGAAGTTATAGAACATTCTATCGCCAAGAAATATTTAGGGCACCCTGAGCAGAAGTCCGAGTGATAATCTCATCACTAGTATAAAGTCATTTAATAATTAATATTATACCTTTTAATTACATGATAATTATAATTCCTGCTCTAAACAAGAAGCATGAACCAAATTTAACCTTGAGAAGTAATTAAATATGTCTGGAGAGTTTCCACATCTGTTGTATAAAGTGGCTGGATTATATTCATGTTCAGCAACAAGTTATTAACAACCTAGGATATACAGGTGTTTTAATGTAATGTTTTAAAACATCTATTTTAACAATGTTTATTAAGTGTCTTCCTTCTGCCTGGCACTGAGAGATGTAACAGTGAACAAGACATAGTCTTTAAGGGAAACTGACAAGTGAAACATTACAAGGTGGAATAATGAGCAGATAAACACAGAACACTGACAGAACTATAAAGACAAATAATGCAGGCTTAGACAATATGGAAACAATTTTAAGAGAAAAGGACATCTATTTACGTTGAGACAATTACGTGTGTTACTTCATCTTTATTAACAACCCTTTAAGTTAGGTAATGTGATCTCTATTTTATAGATAAGATTGAGGTTTAAATAATATATACCTCATAATTAAATATATACATATATAGAGAAAATATTTTATATAAATACATATATAAAGTAAATAATATATATTCATATATATCATACATATATACATATAAATGAGTTAAAATAATATATGCATAGACAGATGGAGTGGTGTTCTTCAAATCTTTATAGTGGTTCTTTGTCTCAGTGGTGCGATTTCAAATGAATTTTAATTTCATCTATATACCTTCCTGCATTTAAAAATGTTAAACGTATTTGCACGTGAAGCTATTTCAAAACATTTTAGGCCGGGTGCGGTAGCTCACGCCTGTAATCCCAGCACTTTGGGATGCCGAGGTGGGCGGATCACGAGGTCAGGAGTTCGAGACCAGCTTGACCAACATGGTGAAACCCGTCTCTACTAAAAATAAAAAAATAGCTGGGCGTGATGGCACATGCCTGTAATCCCAGCTACTCAGGAGGCTGAGGCAGGAGAATCGCTTGAACCCAGGAGGTGGGGAGGTTGCAGTGAGCCGAGATTGCGCCACTGCACTCCAGCCTGGGCGACAGAGCAAGACTCTGTCTCAAAAAAAAAACAAACACATTTTATATAAGTATAAGATATATATATGCATATGTATATGTGATATGGAAATGTTATGCACCATAAATATGTATAAGAAATGAGATATATGATCATGATATATGTGTAGATATAACTTACACACATGCGCAACTTTTTTTTTTCTATTTCTTCTAAAAAAATGGGATACATGTGCAGAACATGCAAGTTTGTTACATAGGTATACATGTGCCACGGTGGTTTGCTGCACCTATTGACCCATCCTCTAAGTTCCCTCCCCTCACCCCCTACCCCTCAACAGGCCCTGGTGTGTATCGTTTCCCTCTCTGTGTCCATGTGTTCTCAGTGTTCACCTCCCACTTATGACTGAGAACATGCGGTGTTTGGTTTTCTGTTCCTGTGTTAGTTTGCTGAGGATGATGGCTTCCAGCTTCTTCCATGTCCCTGCAAAGGACATGATCTCATTCCTTTTTATGGCTCATAGTATTCCATGGTTTATATATAACACATTTTCTTTATCCACTCTATCATTGATGGGCATTTGGGTTGGTTCCATGTCTTTGCTATTGTAAATACTGCTGCAATAAACATACATGTGCATGTGTATTTATAGTAGAATGATTTATATTTCTTTGGGTATATACCCAGTAATGGGATTGCTGGGTCAAATGGTATTTCTATGTCTAGATCCTTGAGGAATCGCCATACTGTCTTCCACAATGGTTGAATTAGTTTACATTCCCACAAACAGCGTAAAAGCATTGCTATTTCTCCACAGCCTCACCAGTGACTATTGTTTCCTGACTTTTTAATAATCGCCATTCTGACAGGCATGAAATGGTATCTCACTGTGGTTTTGACTTGCATTTCTCTGGTGATCAGTTTTTGTTGAGCTTTTTTTCATATGTTTGTTGGCCATGTAAACGTCTTCTTTTGAGAAGTGTCTGTTCATATCCATTGCCCCCTTTTTGATGGGATTGTTTGTTTTTTTTCATGTAAACATATTTAAGTTCCTTGTAAATTCTGGATATTAGATGTTTGCCAGATGGGTAGGTTGCAAAAATTTTCCCCCATTCTGTAGGTTGCCTGTTCACACTGATGGTAGTTTCTTTTGCTGTGCTGAAGCTCTTTAGTTTCATTAGATCCCATTTGTCAATTTTGGCTTTTGTTGCAATTGCTTTTGGTGTTTTAGTCATGAAGTCTTTGCCCATGCCTATATCCTGAATGGTATTGCCCAGGTTTTCTTCTTGGGTTTTACATTTAAGTCTTTAATCCATCTTGAGTTAATTTTTGTCTAAGGTGTAAAGAAGGGGTCCAGTTTCAGTTTTCTGCATATGGCTAGCCAGTTTGCCCAGCACCATTTACTTAATAGGAGATCCTTTCCCCCATTGCTTGTTTTTGTCAGGTTTGTTGAAGATCAGATGGTTGTAGATGTGTGGTGTTATTTTTGAGGTCTCTGTTCTGCTCCATTGGTCTATATGTCTGTTTTGGTACCAGTACCATGCTGCTTTGGTTACTGTAGACCTGTAGTATAGTTGGAAGTCAGGTAGTGTGATGCCTCCAGCTTTGTTCTTTTTGCTTAGGATTGTCTTGGCTATATGGGATCTTCTTTGATTCTGTATAAAATTTAAAATAGTTTTTTGTAATTCTGTGATGAATATCAATGGTAGTTTGATGGAAATAGCATTGAATCTATAAATTACTTTGGGCAGTATGGCCATTTTCACAATATTGATTCTTCCTATCCATGGGGATGGAATGTTTTCCATTTCTTTGTGTCTTCTCTTATTTCCTTGAGCAGTAGTTTGTAGTTCTCCATGAAGAGCTTCTTCACATCCCTTGTTAGCTGTATTCCTTGGTATTTTATTCTCTTTGTAGAGATTGTGAATGGGAGTTCATTCATGATTTGGCTGCTTGTCTATGGTTGGTGTAAAGGAATGCTTGTGATTTTTGCACATTGATTTTATATCCTGAGACTTTGCTGAAGTTGCCTATCAGTTGAAGAAGTTTTTGTGCTGAGACGATGGAGTTTTCTAAATATAAAATCATCTTGTCTGCAAACAGAGACAACTTGACTTCCTCTCTTCCTATTTGAATACCCTTTATTTCTTTCTCTTGCTTGATTGCCCTGGCCAGAACTTCCAATACTATGTTGAATAGAAGTGGTGAGAGAGGGCATATCGGTTTTCAAAGGGAATGCTTCCAGCTTTTGAACATTAAATATGATACTGGCTGTGTGTTTGTCATAAATAACTCTTATTATTTTGAGATATGTTCCATCAATACCTAGTTTATTGAGAGTTTTTAACATGAAGGGATGTTAAATTTTATCAAAGGCCTTTTCTGCATCTATTGAGATAATCATGTGGTTCCTGTCTTTGGTTCTGTTTATGTGATGGATTAGGCTTATTGATTTGTGTATGTTGAACCAGCCTTGCATCCCAGGGATAAAGCCAACTTGATCGTGGTGGATAAGTTTTTGGATGTGCTGCTGGATTCGGTTTGCCAGTATTTTATTGAGGATTTTCACATCGATGTTCATCAGGGATATTGGCCTGAAGTTTTATTTTTTTGTTGTGTCTTTGCCAGGTTTTGGTATCAGGATGATGCTGGCCTCAAAAAATGAGTTAGGGAGGAGTCTCTCCTTTTCAATTGTTTGGAATAGTTTCAGAAGGAATGGTACCAGCTCCTCTTTGTATTTCTGGTAGAATTCAGCTGTGAACCCATCTGGTCCTGGACTTTTTTGGTTGGCAGGCTATTAATTAGTGCCTCAATTACAGAGCTTGTTATTATTCTATTCAGGGATTCAGCTTCTTCCTGGTTTAGTCTTGGAAGGGTGTATCTGTCCAGGAATTTATCCATTTATTCTAGATTTTTTAGTATCTTTGCCTAGAGGTGTTTATAGTATTCTCTGATGGTAGTTTGTATTTCTGTGGGGTCAGTGGCGATGTCCCCTTTATCATTTTTTACCGTGTCTATTTGATTCTTCTCTGTCTTCTTCATTAGTCTAGCTAGAGGTCTATCTATTTTGTTAATTTTTTAAAAAAAAACATCTCCTTGATTCGTTCATTTTTTGGAGGGTTTTTCATGTCTCTATCTCCTTCAATTCTTCTCTGATCTCAGTTATTTCTTGTCTTCTGATAGCTTTTGAATATTTTCCTCTTGCCTCTCTGGCTCTTTTAATTGTGATGTTAGGGTGTTGATTTGAGATATTTCTAGCTTTCTGATGTGGGCATTTAGTGCTATAAATCACCCTCTTAACACTGCTTTAGCTGTGTCCCAGAGATTCTGATACATTGTCTCTTTGTTCTCATTGGTTTCAAAGAACTTGATCTTTGCCTTAATTTCATTAATTACCCAGGAGTCATTCAGGAGCAGATTGTTCAATTTACATGAAATTGTGTGTGTTTGAGTGATTTTCTTAATCCTGAGTTCTAATTTGATTGCACTGTGGTCTGAGAGACTGTTATGATTTCTGTTCTATTGCCTTTGTTGAGGAATGTTTTACTTCCAATTTTGCGGTCAGTTTTAGAATAAGTACCACGTGGAACTCAGAAGAATGCATATTCTGTTGATTTGGGCACAGAGTTCTGTAGACGTCTACTAGGTCCACTTAATCCAGAGCTGAGTTCAAGTCCTGAATATCATAGTTAATGTTTTGTCTCATTGATCTGTCTAATACTGACAGTGGAGTGTTAAAGTCTCCCACTATTATTGTGTGGGAGACTACATCTCTTTGTAGGTCTCTAAGAACTTGTTTTATGAATCTGGGTGCTTCTATATTGGGTGCATATTTATTTAGAATAGTTAGCTCTTCTTGTTGAATTGTTCCCTTTACCGTTATGTAATGGCCTTCTTTGTCTTTTTTTATCTTTGTTGGTTTAAAGTCTGTTTTGTCAGAGACTAGGATTGCAATCCCTGCTTTGTTTTGCTTTCCATTTGCTCGGCAAATTTTCTTCCATTCCTTTATTTTGAGCTGATGTGTGTCTTTGCACGAAAGATGGGTCTCCTGGATACAGCACACTGATGGCTCTTGACTCCTTATTCAATTTGCCAGTCTGTGTCTTTTAATTGGGGCATAATAGCACATTTATATTTAAGATTAGTATTTTTACATGTGAATTTGATTCTGTCATCATGGTGTTATTTGGTTATTTTGCACACTAGTTGATGGAGTTTCTTCGTAGTGCCATTGGTCTTTATATTTTGGGGTGTTTTTGCAGTGGCTGGTACCAGTTTTTCCTTTCCCTATTTAGTGCTTCTTTCAGGAGCTCTTGCAGGGCATGCATGGTGGTAAGGAAATCCCTCAGCACTGGCTTGCCTTGAAAGGATTTTATTTCTCCTTCACTTATAAAGCTTAGTTTGGCTGGATATGAAATTCTGGGTTGAAAATTCTTTTCTTTAAGAATGTTGAATATTGGCCCCCAATCTCTTCTGGCTTGTAGAGTTTCTGCTGAGAGGTCCACTGTTAGTCTGATGGGCTTCCCTTTGTAGGTAACATGGACTTTCTCTCTGACTGCCTTTAATAATTTTTCCAGGAGAATCTGATTGTCAGGCCTCTGAGCCAAAGCTCAGCCATTGTAACCCCTGTGACCTGCCCATATATGTCCACATGGCCTGCAGGAGCCAAGAAGTCTGGAACAACCGAAAAACCACAAAAGAAGTGAAACAGCCAGCTCCTGCCTTAATTGATTGACCAACCTTACGACATTCCACCATTATGACTTGTTCTTGCCCTGCCCCAACTCATCAATCGACCTTGTGACATTCTTCTTCTGGACAACGAGTCTTATGATCTCCCCACCATACAACTTGTGACCTTCTCCCCTGCTAACAATAGATAACCACCTCTAACTGTACTTTCCACTGCTTACCCCAGTCCTATAAAGCTGCCCCCTCCTATCTCCCTTCACTGACTCTCTTTTTGGACTCAGCCCAGTTGCACCCAAGTGAATAAACAGCCTTGTTGCTCACACAAACCCTGTTTAGGTGGTCTTCCATACGGACACGCATGACACTGATGATTATGTGTCTTGGGGTTCATCTTTTTGCGGAGTATCTTAATGGCGTTCTCTGTATTTCCTGAATGTGCACATTGGCCTGTCTTGGTAGTTTGGGGAAGTTCTCCCGGGTAATATCCTAAAGAGTGTTTTCCAGCTTGTTTCCACTCTCCTGGTCTCCTTCTGGTGCTCCAACCAATCGTAGGTTCGGTCTTGTTATGAAATCCCATATTTCTTGGAGGCTTTGTTTATTCCTTCTCATTCTTTTTTCTCTATTCTTATTTGCATGTCTTATTTCAGTAAGGTGGTCTTCAGACTCTGATATCCTTTCTTCCACTTGGTCTATTCAGCTGCTGATACTTGTGTATGCTTCATGAAATTCTCATGCTGTGTTTTTCAGCTCCATCCAGTCGTTTATGTTCCTCTCTAAACTGGTTATTCTAATTAGCAATTCCTGTAACCTTTTATCAAGGTTCTTAGCTTCTTTGCATTGTGTTAGAACATGCTCCTTTAGCTAATTGTAGTTTTTTATTACCCATCTTCTGAAGCCTACTACTGTCAATTCGTCCATCTGATCCTCTGTCCAGTTCTCTGCCCCAGTGGAGAGACATTGTGATCATTTGGAGAAGAGGTACTCTGGCCTTTTGGGTTTTCAGCATTTTTTTCATTGATTCTTTCTCATCTTAGTGAGTTTGTCTAGTTTTGGTCTTTGAGACTGCTGACTCTTGGATGGGGTTTCTGTGGGGGCCTTTTTTGTTGTTGTTGATGCTGTTGTCACTTTCTGCTTGTTTGTTTTTCTTTCAATAGTCAGGTCCCTTCTGTAGGGTTTCTGCAGTTTGCTGGGGGTTCAGTTCAGGCCCTATTCAACTGATTCACTCCCATGCCTGGAGATGTCACTCCACGGAGGCTGGAGAGAAGCAAAGATGGGTGCCTGCTCCTTCTTCTGGGACCTCAGGCCTTGGGGGCACCAACCTGATGCCAGCAGGATTGCTGCTGAATAGGGTGTCTGACAACCCCTGTTGAAGCGTCTCACCCAGTTGGGTGGCACGGGGAGCAAGACCTGTTTAATGAAGCACTTTGTCCCTTTGTGTGTTTTTCTGGGGGGAAACCCATTCATCGGGGCTTCCTGGATTCCTCAGAACTACAAGGAGGAGAGGGTAAGTCTGCTGGTCCTCAGATACTGTGGCCACCACTCCCCGCTAGGGGCTCAGACCCAGGGAGATCTGAACTCTGTCCCTGAGCCTCTGGCTGGAGTTATTGGAGATCCTGTGGGGAAGCCCCACCCACTGAGGAAGGAAGGGTCAGAGTTAGGCCTGAAGGGGCACTCTGGTTGCAGACTGCCACAGCCAGTGTGTTGGGCTGTGGGGACAAGTCTTGGGACTAAGCCATTCAGCCTCCCTGGCTCCAGAAGGAGAAAAGCGCAGCCTGGAGCTATACAAATGGATGTCGCTGTTCCCCCGTCCAGGGAGCTTAGCTTGTTAGGCAGTTGCCAGTCCCAGTGCTGGCTGCTGCCCCTCCCACAAGGAACTCAAATGGCTTAGACACTAGGCAGCCACAGCCAGTGCTGGTTGCCCCTACCCCCGGGAGTTCAGTAGGATTAAGCAGATTCCAGCTGAGAGGCTGTAAGAATCTGTATATTCCGGGGTTAGGATGCTAGGCCACAAGTAAAATATTATCATTTTCAGGCAGGATGGTTGTATACCTAGGTAGTAGGCTGATATTTTAAGTTATCTTTTTTAGTCCACATAAAAGACAAAAAAAAATTCTTAGACTCATTTTTTTTTTCTCTCCACCATGCTACATAAAGTCTTTTCAAATCTGGAGAAGAAGGGGAGTGAGGGGTTAATCAGGATATTGAGATGCCTGTGGTGCAGAGCTCTGAAGAAGGACCCCATTATTTTTGTACTCTACATCTAATAAATGCAAGAATGCTGGTGATAGAATTCACAGAAGTTTAAGGCTCTGAAAGTAGCAGAAGCTTTCACTCTCACATAGAATCTTAGAAAAGAGAGAAAGGTCTTGGAACTGCCCCTTTATCTTAACACTGGACAGAACAGTCTTTTGGTAGGAATGGTGAGATGTTATGTCTAAGCAAAGATCTGAACATTTCCCCAGGTAATCTCTGTGACCTCTGAATGATGTGAAAGAACACTTGAAGGTTGCCAAGGGCTCCATTAAAATGGACTCGGTGTTATCCATAGAGATGTTTTTGTGTACATGGATGGGTTTACAGATGCAGTCTTAGGATGAATAATGGAACTTATATCCAGAGGTTGAATGGGAACATGTATATCTAACGGGATGCTAGTATGGAGGAATGACTACAGTTCAGCAGTAGCTTGGGTCATACATCTCCATTAGTGACAGCATAGGAAAAATGACCAGCCCAAAGTCCACGAGATAATATCCACATCAGAAGATGCCAGTGTGGACAGGTGACTCCTCTCCTAGTGCCATGATGCTAATTAGAAAATGAGTCAAATGCCACTCTCAGACTAATAAAAGATTTTAATAGAGTGATCAAATATTACATATGTATATTCACATTAATTTTTTACATAAAATAATAATAATCTCATTTAACAAGAATAATCAGTTAATGATAGAAATAAGGAAAGAAAAAACTCATATTATTAATAAAACACTCAGAAATACTTTTAAATGGAAGTTTACATCTTCTCTAAAAAGACCTATAGTATTTCACTGACAACTACAGATGAATAATGAATGTTGAGAAGACTGATAGAACAAATGCAAATTCCTGCCTACTTAAAACGTCAGGAAACAACAGGTGCTGGAGAGGCTGTGGAGAAATAGGAACACTTTTACACTGTTGGTGGGACTGTAAACTAGTTCAACCATTGTGGAAGTCAGTGTGGCGATTCCTCAAGGATCTAGAACTAGAAATACCATTTGACCCAGCCATCCCATTACTGGGTATATACCCAAAGGATTATAAATCATGCTGCTATAAAGACACATGCACACGTATGTTTATTGCGGCACTATTCACAATAGCAAAGACTTGGAACCAACCCAAATGTCCATCAATGATAGATTGGATTAAGAAAATGTGGCACATATACACCATGGAATACTATGCAGCCATGAAAAAGGATGAGTTCATGTCCTTTGTAGGGACATGGATGAAGCTGGAAACCATCATTCTCAGCAAACTATTGCAAGGGCAAAAAAACCAAACACCACATGTTCTCACTCATAGGTGGGAATTGAACAATGAGAACACTTGGACACAGGAAGGGGAACATCACACACTGGGGCCTGTCATGGGGTGGGGAGAGAGAGGAGGGATAGCATTAGGAGATATACCTAATGTAAATGACGAGTTAATGGGTGCAGCACACCAACATGGTGCATGTATACATATATAGCAAACCTGTATGTTGTGCACATGTACCCTAGAACTTAAAGTATAATAAAAAAATTCTAAATTTAACACAATTGAAATTAACATTATAATGGGTAATTTATAATTCTTAAAGTTCTTTGGAAAATAAACAAATATCATTTTTAAAATTGTATAAACAAGAGCTAGGATTAGCCCCAACTTTGTAAAGTTTTAATAATTCAATAAAATATATTTAAATCTATATAAGTGGAAAAGTAAAACTAACTTTAACATGACGCTTTTATATATGAAGCTATTTTATGATAAAGGCATGTAGCAGGATGGGTTGTTGGAAAAGGGTTAGAATGTTCACTAAATCCTGTTATGAGAATTACTTAGAGTTTAAATTAGGTTATCAAGATCATATCTCATTTTTTTGATTCTTCTTTTGTATGTGATTATTTTATTCTCAGTTTACCCCGTATAATCACAAACATGACCATGGGCAACTTCAGGCAGAGAAAAGGACATATTCCCCCTCGGGCTGTACAGAAGTACCTGGTTGATTTTCACTGGACTGAAGGCAGATACCCATTCGTGGATAAATTCATTGACTCTGTCCAAGTCCAGGTTACTTATGTACAATAAAGGTCCCTATGCTACTATCCAAGGAAGGTTGACTTACTCCCCAATGGAAAATCAGGATGCTGTTAACAGAGGAAGAGGGAATTAGTTTGATACAGGTAAGGAACAACCGATATCTGCAAGAGTTAGTAATTTAAAAACAAACACAAGCTAACAAATAATTAAATTTACGGATGCATCTAAGGGCAAATTGAAAAAAATCAAATCATAAGAAATATGAAATGAGATAAATATAAATATTTGTTAAATTTCCAAGGAGAGAGGAATTGTTCTGAGCTTAATATTGATGGAGCAATCTATGAAGTAAAGATGAATACATAGAAATGCAAACTGATTTTTCTATATTCAAAATAAATACAGCCACATTCTCTAAAATTTGTCATTTTTTTCAGATTTTGATATTTTTGCTATATAAAAATTTTTATTTTTATTTAACCAAACATGTAGGTTTCTATCTTTTTTCTCACTGATTTTTATACTGAAAAAGTCTATCTCTCACTCATAGCCCCAATTAAATATTAACAACAAATTTTTGCAATAAAATATGAAACAACATAAACAGAAGCATAGAGGGTGAGCTAAAGTGTAATAGATAAGCATGATATAATATTATTTATCCATTGCTAACATTCTATATGTAAAGTAAATAATACTTTGCATAGTGAAAATCTAGAAATAAAAATAAAGGAAGAAAAGGGGTATTGAGAAAGTAAAACTTGAATAAAAATTAAAGTAGGTGAAGGAGCAAAGCATGAGAATGGGTAGAGGAAGAGCCATGGCAGAGGAAACTGCAAGTGAGTTACTTGCAAGCCTGACACATTTGAAGACAGTGTAATAAAGCAAAGTGAGAAACCAGTTTTAAAAATTTAGTAAAAAGAATAATGAATATATTTGTGCACATACACTCTCAATCATGTATAAATATGTATAGAAAACTCCTAGTTGGAAAACTAGAAAATGATAAAAGTAGTACTAAGGATGATTTTGTTCAATTTTTGCTTTTCTGTCATTTCAATTTTTTACAAAAAACATATTTTCCTTTTACACGAGTTTTCCTTTTAAAACTCATTGAACAGGTACAGATTTAGCAACTGAAAGAATTGCACAATTTAAAACCATGAAATGAAACCACATACCTGATATTAATTACCAAATTTCCAATGTAAAAGCATGCCGAGTTCTTAGTCTTGTACAAAAACTGATGAATACAGATTCTCATCAACAAAATGTTTTTCATTCTCTTCCCAGAATTGCTCAGCTAACAAATAACCAGACAAGCAACTTACTGTCTTATGGTGAGAACATCAGCCTTGTGCTTAATTTAAGTTATGACTTCATAGCAACTTGCCAAATGTGAGATAATATCTTCTCATTCCTATTAGTTCAGTGAAATATCTATAAAGGCACATTTGAACCCTTAGAAGATGGCAAGGCTCAGTCCCTGAAATGGGATTATAGTTCCTTCTTTGCCAGAGAGTTGACGGACGGGTATCAATCCCATACCTCCAGAGCACAGAATGTGTGCACAGCAATTACACAGGGACAAATGTGTTTAAAGAGCACACTCTGGTTCTGCCAGCTAGATCAATAAGTGACAACCGAGAGTTGGAATTATCAAGACATGGTGGGTCTGGAAATTGCTTTTAACCTTTGCCTTCATTTATTACTGCCAACTCCTTAGAGGAAACATTTAAAATATGAGTGACCAAATGGCACTATGACATTCTAAGTGGGCTACTATGTATGTAGATGGGTTACCGGAATTGTCGGGTCTTAAGCTGAGTCTCTTTCTCTTCACATATCATCTCCAGCACATCCCGAAGAACATAGGTGGAAAATGTGTGGTCTGAGTTGTTTTTTCACATGCTGGATGCCTTCAGGTAGCCAGAGACATGTCCACAGAGAGAACAGCACATGCTAAGTATTTTGAAAGGGCGATAAAATGCTTAGTATTCAGTTTGCTTTTAGTTTGTACTGAGCAAGGATTAATCTGAGCTGGTGCCTTTGCCCTCAGCTGAACTCAACCTGGAATTATATCACCCTCACAGGTTCCTGTGATCCAGCCAAATGTTTATTTGCATAAATATAGCCAATAATTGCTTCTTTCAGTTCTGTTTATTCCTCGTTACCATTGGTGATGTATTCATTGTTTCTTTTGGCTCTGGGAATCAGTTAGGGTAACATTAGCTGCCATAACCACCAGTGATTAACACCAAAAAAGCTTATAGTGCGATAGTTCCAGTTTACAGTGCAATATAGACATACCTAGCCACTAGGTGAATTTCTTCCACATAATCATTTAGGGATTCAGGCTTCTGCTAACTTGATGTTCTGTCATCTGCTAGAGCCCCCAGAGTCCCCTGCATCAAACCCGTGAGAGGAAACCAGAATGAAAATGCTCCAACTGATTCTTATACACTGTACGTTGAAACCATGTCCTTTCTAGTCTGATTTCATAGGCAAAAAGTAGTCATATGCCCATATGGCATATTGTTGCAGTGGGACTGGGAAATAGAGTTTCTTGCTAAGCAGTTTGTCACTTAAGAGTTTCTGGAAGATGGAATGTGAATTTTTAGGTGAACAGCTAGTTACCTCTGCCAGAGTGACTCTGATTGGGTTCTTGTTAATCTTTAGCAATCTCTAAAAATGGTGTGTCAAAGTGCCAATCCTTTCCCTTCTGGGATCAGAACTTTGTTAGGGTAAAGTTTGGAGGGAGAAAAATGACTGCTGACTTTCTTCCAACCATCTCAAGTCCCAGAGCATAGGGTGGTAGACATGTCCTTCACCTGCCCACACAGTTGGGGAAGGACCTATTGCTGGCTCCCTTAGGCAACATCTAGAGATAATAAACTCTTCACTGTTGGTAGCCTTTCCCAGCATTTTCCTCAATAAATATTTCTTATTAGTAATAATCTTAAAATCTTGAGCTGAGGCAGCCTCATATACTAGAAAGAGCATGGGCTTTGAGAATAAGCAAGGGCAATAATAACAACCTGCTTTTGAATTCCTGTTCTTGTTTACTAGTATATGCCCTTGGGTGATGAAATGAAACTGAGTCTGGAATTCTCCATCTTCAAATTGGCAGTACATCTGGTCTCTCATTGAGCCTGACACATTTTTGGCACTATGTAAACCATGTCTATTTTCCCTCGCAGATAACAGTTAACAACAAATTGTTCAGAAGTAGAGCATTAGAGAGGTAAACTTTCAAGATGTTCTTCTAGTAATTAATATACCTAAAGCCAGTAAGCTATAAGGCTCATCATAATCTCAAGAGAAATATTGATTCTTCGGTATTTTTTTAAAAGGAGAAAAATACTTTTAAGGTCCACTATAGTACTCTTTAGTTTTTCTGGTAAATTAATTTGAAGGCTGAAGAGATGGAGGAATCATAAACCAGGATGAATGTAAATGTTCTCCAGTCATCCTTTGGAGGAGTAAGAGTGACGCTGGAGCCTTGTTTTGTCATGGCTGGCAACATGTCCCCCTTCGGCAGGGCAACAGCTATCATTTGTACTTTTCTGTGAGGTAACATTCAATTGTTCATTACCATTTATTTCTTCCCAGTCCAGAAGTATGGAATGAGTTGTTTCTAGGCAATCTGCTTCCATTCATCCTCCTTAATCATGAGAAGACAGTATTGAGACAATTACTTTATTCTATTCTTAAGCACTGTGTGCTATTTCATGCCAAGCATTGTGCTTGCAATTGTAAATAAGACATCTCTGTATTTTTGAACTGCTTATTGCACAACTCTATTTGGATGTCCCTTGCATTCAACAGGTCCAAAAGTGAACTCCATATCAAGTGGGAGATTTAACCAATAAGGCTCAAACATAAGCCTCATAAGCACAGGTTTCCTCCAATGTCATGGAAGTAATGTAGCAATATGTTCATAGTCACATGGTTTAAATAAGGTGGGCAAATTGCATAAGCTTCATGCTCCACAAAACCTAGCTTCCTCTTTGTTCTTACCAAGTCTGGCCCTCTCCCAGTATTCTCTCCTCAGAGTGCATGGAACTACCATGCATTCAGTTGCTATAGCCAGACACCTTGGAAGACACCTTTTCTTCACTACTCTCTTTTCTTCACTCCCGTCAGACAAATCAACTATTTGATTTGTTCATCATCAACAATGCCACTCTTAACTCCTAAATTCAAGCAGGTCTATTTCTCAATATTCTCAGTAAAAGTATCCTATTCAGACTTTCATTTTCTCACCCACATTAACACAATAGGTCCTTAAGTAGTCCTGGTAGACTGATATGTGAGAAGTACTACTATAAAGTACATTGCCAAGCAGATAAAGAAATTCTTGAGAAATATTAGCAATTATGAATGTACTGAAGCAATTGGAAATTTATTCAACAACATGAGCAAATATACTTGGACATAATAAATTAAAAATCAAGTTTCCAAAGAATGTATATAGAATTTTCCTCATTTCCTGTTTAAAAAAATTTACCCCCTCCCCACTCTTTCTTATTCACCAAAATTGTAGCAGGGTTTAGATTTGGCTTATAGGATTATTAATGATGTTTTTCTTTAGTGTTAGTTTCTATTTTCTACAATGAGTATATATTACTTTTGTAAGTAGACAAGAAAAAGATAGCAAATGCATAGTCCAGAGTGTCTACAATGAAGTCTGCTTATTCATTTCAGGTTTAGTAAATAATATATTATAATCTGGTACACTTGCAAAAGGCCATGGGCTTCTCAGAGACTGGAGGTTCCCAGACATGGAGAAGTAAGCAATGAGAATGCTGACAGGAAAGGTACATTTTGGAAGATACAGCACAGCATTTTGTGCTATGAGAAAGATGGTCCCTGAGATCCCTGTGGCTCTAGTTCCTCACAGAGGAACAGCATCAGCGTATTACAGGCTTCTTGACCCTTTTTCAGATATTTTTATCATTTATATCAGACAGACCTGCTTTCAAATTAGTAACACTTATAGTTCATTTAATTTCTCTGCACCTCCTATAACTCAGCCATAAAATGGAGATAATGAAAGTAGCTATTAACATAAGTTGATTTTGAGTATAGTACCTGCTATGTAGTAAACATGCCACAAATGTTATTAGTTATTAATATTCTTCTCCTTCCTGTTGTAAGAGGAAAATTATTTGCTTCCTTCACCTTTCTGAATTGGACAAAAGAAAACATGAGATTAAATTGTCTTAGTAAATATGACACTACATTATAAAATTGGATATAATATTATTTGTTTAAGAAATAAACACTCTGTAGCCGGGTGCGGTGGCTCATGCCTGTAATCCCAGCACTTTGGGAGGCCGAAGTGGGCCGATCATGAGGTCAGGAGATCGAGACCATCCTGGCTAACACGGTGAAACCCCATCTCTACTAAAAATACAAAAAATTAGCCGGGCATGGTGGTGGGCGCCTGTAGTCCCAGCTACTCGGGAGGCTGAGGCAGGAGAATGGTGTGAACCCAGGAGGTGGAGCTTGCAGTGAGCCGAGATAGCACCACTGCACTCCAGCCTGGGTGACAAAGTGAGACTCCGTCTCAAAAAAAAAGAAATAAACACTCTGTGACTAGCAATCATTCTCCCCCTTCCCCCACACAAACAACCTATCCTACTTGGTAAGACAATATTTATTTTCTGTACAGAATGAATTAACGACCTGTAGTGTTAATGTCATATCTTAAATTTACATTTAATTAATTAAATTTGACAAGTTTTCTAGAGTTTACTAAAGATTTAAGCCCTAATTTTTACATATTCATTTTTTCAACAAGCATTTATTATATATCTCATACTAGCCTAGATGCCAGTGATATTGTTTGGCTGTGTCCCCACCTAAATCTCATTTTGAATTGTAATTCCCACAATTCCCACATGTTGTAAGAGGGACCCGGTGGAAGGTAATTGAATCATGGGGGCAGGTCTTTCCTTTGCGATTCTCATGATAGTGAATAAGTCTCATGAGATCTGATGGTTTTAAAAGGAGGAGGTCTCCTGCACAAGCTCTCTCTCTTTGCCTGCTGCCATCCATGTAAAACATGACTTGCTCCTCCTTGCCTTCCACCATGACTGTGAGGCCTCCCCAGCCACGTGGAACTGTGAGTCCATTTAACCTTTTTCTTTTGTAAATTGCCCAGTCTCAGGTATGTCATTATCAGCAATGTGGGAACAGACTAATACAGCCAGGAACACAAAAATGAATAACATGGCTCCTTCTTGAAAAGGAAACTTTGGCTAGTAGGGATAAAATGGATAATGAAATTATTCTAATACAATGCAACATATAATATTTCAATAATGCCCAAGATAAAAAAAATAGTAGAAAGATTGATCAATTATTTGGTGGTAGTAGAATTTAAGGATGGTTTACTGGAAGCAATGACACCTGAACTAGATTTGAAAGAATGAAGAGATATTTACAAGTGACCAAGGATAAGGGGAAGAACATTCCACGAAGATAGAGTAAAAGAGAAAGTGTCATGAGAGTAAGAAATTACATGGAGCAGTTGGAAAATTATACAATCTGGAATAACTGGAGTTTTGGAGTAGGGGAATGTTGGAAAGTGGGATTAGAAATGCCAGCAGGGCCAATTTGCCTTGAATTTCATGCTGAACTTTTAAAATCCACCACAGTAGTAAAATGCAGTTGTTGATAAAAGTTGTTAAATATGGGAGAGATATTTTAGCTAAATAGCTTGTCAAATATGGAGGATGAATTTGAAATTTATTTAGAGTAAATGTATCATTTCAATAATCTACATATAAGTGGCTGGCATTGTTGCTTACTCAACATGTGACCTTGGACAGTTTAAGTAACCTGTCTGTGCCTTTGTTTCTTTGGCAATAAAATGATCACAATAGGTCCTGTCTAAGAAAGTAATAGTAAAACTTTGGATTACTATATGTAAAGTGCCCAGAGTGGTGCATGGCTTGTAACAAGGGCTCAATAAATAAAAGCTAATAAAAACTGTCTAAATGAATTTATTTCTTAATGATCCACAATTTGATAAATAAAGGTCAGATGAGACCAAAGAGAAAAAAAACAGATTACAGAGGAATAATTTTCCTGAGTAGGATATAAATATATTCATATAAAAATTATAGTGTTAATAGTATTATATATTCTATGGTTTTATTTCCCAGCCAACTGTGTAAACTTTGTGTTTGGCAAGAATATACAAAAAAAGTTGTGCAAACTTTTGAGGAGAAAACTTAGACAACTTTTCAACAGAATGTGACATTCACATTCATTCACTTGCATGGCTAAGTGCAGTTTCATCTTTACAGAAACACCAGGTTACTGTTTGCTCAACAGCTTCGAAATCACCAGGTAGAAAATCAATGAGCACATTTCAAAGTCAAAGAAACAATGAAAAAGGTAAATGAACTTTGTGTAAACCCTCCAACTCTCATGGCACTTTCTCTGGCCTCCTCCCCAGGATGTTTTATCAAAAAACTTAAAAAGCAAGCAAACTCTCATACCTCATGTACATTGAAATTAATGTGCTGAAAAGAAAGAAAATTTGATTTAAATAAGGTGAAGGATGCATCTATTTAATATCTTCAAAGTGATGCAATTCCAGGAAAGACTTAATCTATGAGCTAATTTTTATGCACTTTCAAAAAAGTAATGCTATGTGGATTTACCATAATAAAATCTATTTGTCTATAAAACTAAGAAATTGACAATAAATATATTCAATATAAATATGAACATGATTAAATTTCAGCGTGTCAAAATTTTATTTAAAAGAACATAGAATTTAAGAATTGAGAAACTGGTGGAAAAAAACAACAGTGATCAGTATTTTAAAATAATTTCAAAGATCTTAAAGAAACTTTTAACTCTTTAACTAAAGATGCATAAAATATTGTATAAAATGGCTCGGTGGCTTAGCCTGTAATCCTAGCACTTTGGGAGGTGGAGTTGTGCGGATTGCTTGAGCCCAGCAGACCAGCCTGAGCAACATGGTGACACTCTGTCTCTACTAAAAATACAAAAATTAGGCTGACGTGGTGGTGCATATCTGTGGTCCCAACTATTTGCGAGGCTGAGGTGGGAGGACTGCTCGAGCCCGGGAGGTCAAGGCTGCAGTGAGCCGAGATTGCACTCCAGCCTGTGTGACAATGTGAAGAAAAAAAAAGTTAATAGTTGTTATGTGGTAGAACATTTCTACATTTCTCTATTTCATAAAGGAAAATATTGTTATTTGCATTTTAATAGACGCATAATTTAAAAATGGAAGTGTAATGCAAAGAATTATTTAGGGAAAATCTACTTTAAAATCCAAGATATAAGCATTGCAATTATTACAGAAATTGATTTAAACTCCAATGAACAAAATAGATGTCTAAAATTATGAAGAGTGATTTCTCTCCCATTTCAATAAAGGAAAAGCCTCTAGTAACTGTCTTTTTCAATAATGAAAATTTTGGAAAGAGGGACATCATGCTGAGAAACTGTGCAAGGAATATCAAATTCTGTTTTCTGAATATGTCAAAATCTCAATTTCCATACAGTTATTAAAATGTGAGTGAGCGGCAACTTTTATTTTGCTTGTATATTGTTTTAGTGTCTATTTCTGTGTAACAAATCACCTCAACCCGTAAAAGCTTAAAAACAGTCATTTTAATATGCTTGTGGGCTGGGGGAAATGAGTTGAGAATTTAGCAAAGCTTACCAAGGAGTGGCTTTGCTTTATTCTCCAATCTGCAGCCTCAGCTGGGAAGACTGGGAGGCTGGAGGTAACTGGATGATTTAGATTTCTCTAGCATATAATCTTTAACATGCTTTGTAAATCTGAGCAAAACAGACCATGTGAATATAATTTTCTCATCTGTAAAATGAAGAAAATAATATTGTGTTTTTCCATAGTTGTACATAACATGTACATGTATGGAATGTGTGTGTACATACATATATATGTGTGTACATTCATGATACCTCTTTCTCTACCTTAAGCCACATTTCCTAAAATAAAATGAATTAACCACCTCAATTTACATGGCAGGAAAATTCAGTTTGCTTATTAACATAATTCATCTACCAATGAAAACACTTTAAGTGTGTTATGGTGTTTCCAATGGTGTTAATACATGTTGAGAGGTAAGATATTTATGTATGCATGCATTTTTAAATTTTAATATAGCTTCCATTTAATTATTTTTGGCATTTTGAATAATTTCCAGGAACTGCAGGATTTAATGAGTCAGTGGATGTCAAATTAGTCTTGTCTTAGGTTGGGATTATGTTGGAAATTTGCAATCTTTTTTTTTTTTTTTTTTGAGATGGAGTCTCGCTCTGTCACCTGGGCTGGAGTGCAGTGGCGTGATCTCGGCTCGCTGCAATCTCCGCCTCCCGGGTTCAAGGGATTCTTCTGCCTCAGCTTCTCAAGTATGTGGAACTACAGGCGCGTGCCACCATGCCTGGCTAATTTTTGTATTTTTAGTAGAGACGGGGTTTCACTGTATTGGCCGGGCTGGTGTCGCACTCCTGATCTCGTGATTCGCCGCCTCGGCCTCCCAAACTGCTGGGATTACAGGCGTGAGCCACTGCGCCCGGCCAAAAATTTGCAATCTTACAACTCCTCGCTCTTAACCAAATAAGTCATTTGAAGTAAGAACAATAGCATAAGCAAAGGGATTATTTTATTTCTAACACTGTAGGGCACTTTAAGATAATGATTGAAAGTATTGGCTCTGGAGCAGGGCACGGGTTCAAAAGTCAACTTCACAAATAACTGGCTGAAAGACTGGTTGCCTTCCTTAACCTGTCTACATCTTAGTCCCCACATCTGTAAAATGGGGATAATAACCGTGTTACATTACAGGTGTGAGAAATAGATGAATTCGTACATGTCAGGTCTAAGAACAGTAAAAGGCATGCTGGAAGCAGTAAGTATTAGCTGTTATTATCGGCATCATTATTATTACTACAATATCATTTAAGAAATGGAAGAATAAGTTACAAGCTGAAATTTTATTTCATAGATGTATCATGTTGTTTACAATTAGAACATATATGACTGAGTGGTAATCCTTTCCTGTTCTTTTATTTCTCTGTACTGTCCAACCACCCTTAAAATGCTTTTCATGGATTTCCTGACAATTTCTCTGACATAAGGTGAGGGAAGCGAAAGGAGTTAGATTCCAGATACTTCTCTTTTCCATGCTTAATAAGTCAATTCTTATAAAAACATTTATTTTTTACACACAATGTTCTAAATACAGTGATAGGTCTGGGAGCTGTTATATTAAATAATAAAGACACAGTTCATTTTGTCCATGTATTCTCAGTTTTGTGGGAGAATAAGGTGTTTTAAAAGATAAGAATTCCATAGGGTTATACTCCATGACTAAAGGATCAGCATAATGTTCCAGGAAGGTAGGGATTAGCTTGCTCATTCTCCCCTTCAATCATGTCCACATTTTTGTACTTATCTGGCTACTTATTTCTGTTTCCTGACCCTACATTAAGTCATCATTATTAGCATTATTTGCTCCTCAAACTGTTTGAGTAACTCTTATCCTTTCTTTAACACTTGGCGTATTTGTCACCTTTCTTTGTAGAACTCTGACATCTACAAGCAGAGTTAAAGTTTCTTGTATTCTTAAGCCAACTTTTTATGTGAGAATGGAAATGAAGTTGTAAGTATAATTATAATTTAAAGAAATATATAATGTAGAACACTTACTAAAACATTTTTATTGTAATATCTTTGCTCCTGACACAGTAAGTTTATAAGGAGCTTTAAAAGATATTGTAATAACATCTGGTATATCATTTTTGAGTTGTACTGAGTTTTTAGCCCATGCCAAGTTATAGTCCCTATAGATGTATATTAACATTTTGAAACATCAAAATGAAAGACAGCTTTTCTGGCTTCCATTTTGGAGTTATTTGTGACCTATGCCTAATGAGTAGCAATTGCTGATATGAATTTGTTATACTATCAGAAGCTGAAATATGTATGAATGTTGTAAGAATCATAGAGTATCTCTTGTAATAGCTGTTATAAAATAAAGCGATATGTGTTTGTTCAGCAGGTACACAGTCTCAGTTTGGGATAAAAATTTCTGGAGATGGATGGTGGTGATAGTTGTACAACAATGTGAATTCATTTAATACTACTGAACTGTACATTTAAAAATGTTAAAATTTTATATTATGCATTTCTTATAACAATAAGAAAGTAAAAACAGTGCATTTGAGTCCTCAATAATATTTAAAAACTAGAAAACTGTAGCACATGTGTATACATTTCTATAAATTTGTGTATATTCTTCATCAAGTTTTTAGTCAAAGGCCTGTATTCTTTCATTGAACCTTGAATGATCAATACTGCTGTATTACAAGCTCAAGTGGATGAGGCATTGTGAAGAGAACGTAAAAAACAACTTGTAGCTATTGCTAAGGATGTTACTATAAGGAAGCAAGCATACAAATATTAACATAAATGACAGAATAAAGTAATAGCTATAATTTATGTATAAAAATTTGGGGAATCAGTGGAAGGAAGTATTAATTGTGATCTGGGAAGACTGGACAAGATCATGTTGCAGAAGTGGTATTTGAGCATAGATGTAAATAATTAATAGGATTTGCTGGCTAATCAGTTTAGAATGGTATTTTATTTTATTTTATTTCTTTTTTTTCTTTTTTTATTATTATACTTTAAGTTTTAGGATACATGTGCACAACGTGCAGGTTTGTTACATATGTATACATGTGCCATGCTGGTGTGCTGCACCCATTAACTCGTCATTTTAGCATTAGGTATATCTCCTAATGCTATCCCTCCCCCCTCCCCCCACCCCACAACAGGCCCCAGTGTGTGATGTTCCCCTTCCTGTGTCCATGTGTTCTCATTGTTCAATTCCCACCTATGAGTGAGAATATGCGGTGTTTGGTTTTTTGTCCTTGCGATAGTTTGCTGAGAATAATGGTTTCCAGCTTCATCCATGTCCCTACAAAGGACATGAATTCATCATTTTTTATGGCTGCATAGTATTCCATGGTGTATATGTGCCACATTTTCTTAATTCAGTCTATCATTGATGGACATTTGGGTTGGTTCCAAGTCTTTGCTATTGTGAATAGTGCTGCAATAAACATACGTGTGCATGTGTCTTTAGAGCAGCATGATTTATAATCCTTTGGGTATATACCCAGTAATGGGATGGCTGGGTCAAATGGTATTTCTAGTTCTAGATCCCTGAGGAATCACCACACTGACTTCCACAATGGTTGAACTAGTTTACAGTCCCACCAACAGTGTCAAAGTGTTCCTATTTCTCCACAGCCTCTCCAGCACCTGTTGTTTCCTGACTTTTTAATGATCGCCATTCTAACTGGTGTGAGATGGTATCTCATTGTGGTTTTGATTTGCATTTCTCTGATGGCCAGTGATGGTGAGCATTTTTTCTTGTGTTTTTTGGCTGCATAAATGTCTTCTTTTGAGAAGTGTCTGTTCATATCCTTCACCCACTTGTTGATGGGGTTGTTTTTCTCTTGTAAATTTGTTTGAGTTCATTGTAGATTCTGGATATTAGCCCTTTGTCAGATGAGTAGATTGCAAAAATTTTCTCCCATTCTGTAGGTTGCCTGTTCACTCTGATGGTAGTTTCTTTTGCTGTGCAGAAGCTCTTTAGTTTAATTAGATCCCATTTGTCAATTTTGGCTTTTGTTGCCATTGCTTTTGGTGTTTTAGACATGAAGCCCTTGCCCATGCCTATGTCCTGAATGTTATTGCCTAGGTTTTCTTCTAGGGTTTTTATGGTTTTAGGTCTAACATGTAAGTCTTTAATCCATCTTGAATTAATTTTTGTATAAGGTGTAAGGAAGGGATCCAGTTTCAGCTTTCTCCATATGGCTAGCCAGTTTTCCCAGCACCATTTATTAAATAGGGAATCCTTTCCCCATTGCTTGTTTTTGTCAGGTTTGTCAAAGATCAGACAGTTGTAGATATGCAGCAGTATTTCTGAGGGCTCTGTTCTGTTCCATTGGTCTATATCTCTGTTTTGGTACCAGCACCATGCTGTTTTGGTTACTGTAGCCCTGTAGTACAGTATTTTAGAGAGAAGGAGTAGAACAAACAAAATCACAGAGTTAGGAAGGTGAAAAGTTAAAAGCATAAGATAAGGACAGCACACGCTGGGTGGAGCAATGTATTGCAGTAGTAGACTAGAGAAGGTGGAAAGAAAACCAAGTCACTGAAATAACTAGATAATGTATTGGGTTTTCCTGCAAGTGATATTGTTGAAGTATTGTGCCTAGATGGCTGAGTTGAGCCATTATAGCAGAGAATTGGTCTGACCACTTACATTGAACTTATTTTTGTGTTATTAATATATGAACATCATATATTATTAATAAAAAGGAAAATGGGTAAAAATTTACTTTACCATTTGGTAAAAAGGAAATTGAAACTGAAACCATTTATCTTGAAACAAATAGATAAAAAACATTTATCCTGTTACTTCCAAGGAGACAAGAAGATCAATTTGAACATCTACTATATGCCAGTCACTATGTTAGGCATTTTAAAAATCACATCATATATATTAAGACAGTTCTAGATTTGAGTTCAGTTGGGCTATTTGCTTAGCAGTTTAATCTGCATGCTGTAGTGAAGAATGATAGGAAAATACTTTTAGGTGGAATTTTTACAGGTTCTAGCAATGGATACTCACTTTCTGTTTTGAAAATAAAACTATTCAGGTTAACCCACAGGACTTTATAAAATATTTAATCTTTTACCCAAAGTTATTTAATCCTAGCAATACAAAACTATAAATCTTATTTTAGAGAGCCATATTCTTGTCATCATAAATGCTGTAACTTTGAGTATTCTATTAAATATATGGGTGTATAAATATTTATAAGTTCTTCACTCACTTCTATCACATATTCAAGAATTAAAATTTTCTGATAAAATGCTTGCATGTTTTATTCATTAACACCAAACCTATTTCTACCATGGATTTATATTATAAATTTGAATTATGTTTCTCTTTAAATATTTAGAAATAAACTTATAATAAAAGGTCATAGTTATTATTTCTCATAAAATGTTCAGTAAATTCAGAATATAAAATACAAAAAAGACCATCCTTTTTTCTGCTTTAATGATATTTAGATGCTTAAAATTTTCTAATAAATGTTGAAATCACACATGCTTCATAAAACAACTGTAAGAGCCTTACTGCAGAGAGTGACTATAAAATATGAGGCATGATGAGGCAGTAAGGTAATGATCTTGCCCCTCATGTCAAAAAAGGTTACCAATATTGAAATGTCTTTATTTCTGGTTAAAATGCAATTTTCTAGTAGAGCTTTCATAAAACCTAGTAACATTTACATAATCTCTTCAGCTAAAATGTGAATTTCTCACTCAATCAAAATTACTTTCATACTAAAAGTACATATATTTTCAAACCTGCAGTTCTTCACATTGACTACCTCATATGTGAGAGTTTGGCCACCACAGAGGCTGGAAATATTGAGAGAGAAAAATTACCTTCTGCTCTAGAACAAAAAAAAAACAAAACAAAAACTTCCTGCCATGAGGCCTAGCAAACTGTAATAAACAACACTAGAAATAATGTAAATGAGATAGCTTATTGCACCCCTGGAATGTCTCTTTCCACATAATGCCAAGCCAGAGATGTGGGGCCACAACAACTAAATTTGATTAGTTGGCAGGGAAGCCCAGGAATACCTCACTTTTGTACACAAGTGTGAAGGTGCTCATGATTTGAGTCAGAATTTCAACAGTAGCTTTACAAGACTCTGAATTTGATCCACTTTCTCATAATATCCAAGACAGGAAGAGAGAAACCATCTGTTGGATTACCAAGGTAGAAATCGCATTATAATGTGAAAAATTAGCCATAAGGTCTGAGTCAGTTGGACCATCACTGCAGGTCTGTCACACAGCAGAAAATAAACTCTGACAAATGCACACCATCCTCAGGATAGCAGTCAATCAAATTCAGCCCAAATATGCTCACTTTAAACATACGGACTTAATAAAATTACTAAGTTCTTTTTATGGTGATGCCTGAAATTGTCCAGTGTGAAATTATCCAGTATTAGAGCATGAGTTGCTGTTCTTTGTAACTACAGTACAATGATGTCATCATGTGCTTGACATCAACATGATGTCAACCATGGAAACTGAGTAATTTAAATCCCGCTTTGGGGAAAAATGTGTGCAATGACCATGCTCCCTAGTGCATTAGATCTACAAACTGATGTCTAAATTAAATAAACCATCAGTATAACAAGTAAAAGATATATAATTTTGTGGTACAACATAAGCTAAACATAGATATGGAGTCCAGTGAGCTCTGAAAGAGTGCCATGAATACAGAAATGAAAGACTGATTCAGACCCTTCCTTTTCTTTTCTCCTCAACACACATCTCTGCTCCAGCTCCCTGTGCTCATGAAACTGCTGAAACATCATCTGAAACATTTCTATGCCATTCGAGTCTTAACTATTATTCTAGACTCACCTCATCAACCACAAATGAAGCCTTAGCTATCTCAACTGTACTTATTTCTAACGTTCCCAACTTTGAACACATACAGTTGTTTCTTAGTGCCCAGGGGGAGCTGGTTCCAGGACCCCCATGGATACCAAAATCAGACCATTATCAAGTCCCTTATGTAAAATGATGCAGTACTTGCATGTAACCTACTCATATCCTGCCATGTACTTTAAATCATCTCTAGATTCCTTATAATACCCAATGAAATGTAAATGCTATGTAAGTACTTATTATATTGTATTGTTTAGGGAGCCATGACAAGAAAAAAATGCGTGTACGTATTCAGTACAGACACAACCATCCATTTCTTTTTTCTCTCAAATATTTTCCATCCATATTTGGTTGACTCCATGAATGCAAACCCCAGAGAAATGGAGGGCCAATTGCATATCATTTCTTTGTCATAGAAAGTAACTGCTTAAAGTCACAGTTTGAAGTTACTTTCTATGATATGCATTTCTGTATTTGATCATAACCTATCATATGTTCTGATCAGCTTACACACTACCAACTTTTGAAAACATTCTCTCTTCTATCTCCCTCAGGGATCAGTGCCTCTCCTATGTACTATCCGAGTATTATATTGCCACTATTTATTTTTCTGATAGCACTTTGTATACTGCATTTTACTGCAAGTTCCCTAAAGGAATGCACGTTGTATTTCTCTTCAGTGTATCCCCAGCATCTAACAGAGTATCTAGAACAGATTGCTGCTCCATAAATGTTTGTTGAATGAATGACAACTCATTTTCTAAACTCTAGCAGCTTTTAAGACAAGCAAGGACAAAAGTGTGTCAAATAAATAATAAATCTGGACTTTGAATAAAGAATTTTTCATGAAGAGAGACATTATTCAAAATGATTATTTACATAAGGGGAGGGCCACTATGACAGTAAGGTGAGGGGTGTTTTGCGAAAGGAAGAAAAAGTAGGGAAAGGGCTTTTATGCTCTGACCATAAGGACCATAAGGTCTGTGAGTGCCCCAAAGGTCAGGCAGAAAAACACTTTTCTTTTCTGAAAAGGAATAAACCAGGCAAGAAACAATCAGGGTTACGAAGTGAGATGGGCAATGTTATGATCTGACAGTTAACATTTTTTCCTGAGGTTAGCAGATTTGGGAGGAGTTGTTAAGAAGGGCTTGTTCTGAGTTTTGTTGCTTGCTTTTTCCAATGCCTGGTCAAAGTCCAAGGGCCTAAGGGAAGAAGAAAAACTCACGAAAGTTTGGCCAAGCCAAGTTAGTAGATAATTATTTTGTACGAATTGGTCACTAGGTACAAACAATTCAGTGGATCATTTATAAGGCAAAGAGTGGGAGTTTGGAGAGTGTGTGTCTGATTTCACTATATTTAAGAAAGGGCGGCATCCATGTGTCTTATCTAAGTCATAAGGGGAAGGGTAGTTATTTGCAGTAAGCATTTCCTAGAACAGGGGTCCTCAATGCCCAGGCCACAGACAGGAATCCTTCCATGGCCTCTTAGGAACCAGGGCTCAGAGCAGGAGGTGAGCAGCGGATGAGCAAGCGAAGCTTCATGTGTATTTATAGCCAGTCTCCATAGCTTGCATTACCACCTGAGCTCCGGTGGCATTAGATTTGCATAGGAGTGCAAACCCTATCGTGAACTGCACATGCAAGGGATCTAGGTTGTGCACTCCTTATGAAACTCTAATGCCTGATGATCTGTCACTGTCTCCCGTCACCCCCAGATGGGACTACCTAGCTTCAGGAAAACAAGCTCAGGGTACCCACTGGTTCTACATCATGGTGAGTTGTATAAGTCTTACATTCTATATTACAATGTAATAACAATAGAAATAAACTCCACAATAAAAGTAATGCACTTGAATCATCCTGAAACCATCACCCCCACCCCCAGCCCCACTGCCCTGGTTTATGGAAAGATTGTCTTCCATGAAACTAGTCCCTGGTGCCAAGAAGGTTGGGGACTGCTAGAACACAACAAAGTGGGGTAATTTCTTAACTGTTGCTGCATTCCAGAACATTCAGGCAAAGTTTAACATTGTCAATGTAAAGTGAATATTTGGCCCCAAGTCTTGCCATTTGGCAGGCACTGTGACCATTTCTGAAAACAACACTTCTCTGACTGGTCAGAAATCTAAAGGATAGCCTCAATTTGGTTAATCTTATAATGGGGAGACAACTGTTCAAGTAGAAGGGAAAGCAAGTGTGAAAATCTTGAGAAAAGAAATAGCAATGCATCGCCTGGGAATGAAAAGAATTCTAGTCCCATAGAAAGTATTTTTTTTGAAAGTATAAACAAATTATATAATCTCTGGGTGAAGAAGCTATTTTAAAGATGAAATTGGAAGCCAACTGAAAAAAGTATTAGTTTGGCTTTATGAAAAATAGAAATTTCTAGAAATCAAAGAATATTTGTAGATTCAGTCTTTTCTCTTCTCTGCCTTGCTTAGTGTTCCAGGAGACTGACTTCTGTCGATGACAACACTGGGTTTCCACCCCCTTCTGGCTTCTGGATTACTTGGGCTAAGGGGAGGTACCAGCGGGAGAGCAGAAGGCTCCTTTCCATGGCTCCAGTGCTTGCTGGACTCTGGTAACATCTTTCCCTCTTGTCTCTCTAGGCTTAGAGATGGTAACAGCTCCCTGCTGTTGGTAATTCTTGGGTGTTTCATTATCCGTTGTTTTGTCTCTTAACCCTTCTCATAGTTCTGTAAACTTATTAAACTCTTTTAAATGAAACCTTTGGGTATGCCATCTGTTTTCTGCAGTGATCCAGACTGAAACATCATAACCAAAACAGCAAGTGACAAAATTGGAAAGAAAATGCAACTTGTATTACAGAAGAGTTTGAATCTATTTTATAGGTGCCATGTTGAATTTTATAGAGGAGTTCTTTACAACTGTTACAAAAATAAAAGATGACTATCTAAACAAAAATTAAAAAGTGATCAGAATATTTTTTAAATTAACATTACTAGATAACTAAGATGTCCAAATGCTTGAAGCACAGTAGAATTTAATTTTATGTGAATTGCTATATTACCTGAATTTGCGACCAAAATTATTCTACTTATAAGAAAAATTAACAAATGTGATATAATAAGTAAGCTTCATACAAATATACTTTATACATTTTTAGTAAGATTAAATTCTGCAGCACAGAGGTCACTGATCTGCCACCTTGGGCAACGAGCAGTTTGAATAGAATTGTTAAAGAGGAAGACGTTTTACAGTGGCTTGAGGAGTAAACAAAAGGCACGAGAGATAGCCAGTGTACACCGTCCTTTTAACCCTCTACAAAGGCTACCTTGAAAAATTCACTCCTTATAGAGTCAGTCATTTTCTTCTTGGTGAATATATAGCACCTTGCATATGATTTTAATAAGCTTATTTTTTATTGCTTCCCTATTGTGAAGTCCTTGAGGACATTTTTTAATAATGTCTGGAACAAAATATATATTTAGTAAATGGTTCTTGAATGAATAAGCAAATAATATGGACAGTAAAACAGAGGGAAGGAATGTGAGACTGTCCTCTCTGGGATTCTGGTGGCACTTTAGGTAGTAATTGATTCTGGAAGAGATCTGAAGTCTATTGCATACAAGCTGGAAATTCAGAATCAGAGTCACAGAGTAAGGACTAGTAAGGAAACAGGCTTATGAGCAATATTTAAAGTAGTAAATTTATCATTATCTGAGTTATATCTTAAATTTATTCACATAATTGAACTTCTTTTATGCTTTCTTGGGTAGTCAAAGTCTTATCAAAAAACAAGCACAAAAAAACAAAACAGGATAATGTATATGTATGTGTATATTCTTGAAAATTGTGTACCTAACTGTGAAAATGTGTGTGTTTTGTGAGTGTGTAAGAAAGACAGAGAGAGTGGGAGAGCACTCCAGGGTTCAGTCAGGGTAGCAGAGCACAAGAAGTGCTGTGGGATGGTTGGGATAAGAGATTCATAATAGGAATTGGACTTACACAGTTGTCAAAGGAGCTGGGAAAGTGAATGGTCAGAATGGGTAACTGAAGGATTAGAGAAAAATCATAGCTTGCCAAGAAAACTGAAGAGCCAAGTCCAACTGCCTATGTGGAACTGTGAAGGGGAAGCTCACAGAGAGACCCACGTGCAGCTGTGCCCCTCTGTAACCAGTGCTTCGGTGGGTCCATAGTCAAGTGTATGGTGATGGACCTGACCACTGGATAGCAGGAAGATGAGTTAGACAAAAAACAGAGGAAATAAAAGAGAAGCTGTAACCCTTCATGAACCTCCATGTCTGACAGTCACTATCTCTGATCGTGAAGACCTTCAGAGAATGGTGTCAGCTGCTTCACTTCTTTCCTTTCTTTTAACCAACTCACACTTGGACCAGAGGAGGACCAGCATTCATGGAAATGCAATTCTCATCTTATCCAAACTGACCATACAGCAACCTGGCACAGTGTGTATATAAACTGCCCAACATCTAGCACAATCAGTAACAGCCATTATGATTGTCTTTATGAAGAAGGGTATTGTCAAGTGAAAGAAGATTTTTTAAACTATATTGAAATATTTTACATGACAAAGTAAGCACTCTCTCTCTCTCTCTTTTTTTGAGACAGAGTCCTTCGTTGCCTAGGCTGGAGTGCAGTGCCCTAATCTTGGCTCACTGTAACCTCTGCCTCCGAGGTTCAAGTGATTCTCATGCCTCAGCCTCCCAAGCAGCTGGGATTACAGGCACGTGACAACACTCACAGCTAATTTTTGTATTTTAATAGAGACAAGGTTTCACCATGTTGTCCACGTTGGTCTCGAGCTCCTGACCTCAAGTGATCCACCTGCCCCGACCTCCCAAAGTGCTGGGATCACAGATGTGAGCCACCATGCCTGGCCAGCACAAACTTTTTCACTGATTTCCAACCCTGGTTACAGTCAACTAATTTAATGTTTCCTTTAAGGTAAATTACTTTTGCATATTCAAGAATTTTATGTAGGAAGATTTACATTTTAAGTACTGTTTTGTGTCTGGTTTCTTTTGATCAGCATCATCATTTTAAGATTTATCCAAGTTACATTTTGCAGCTCTTTTTTTTTTATTGTGAGTAGTAAGCTATGTATGGATATTGACTCAGACGTATAACTCGATTTGTTTGTTGATTCAACTATTATGAGTCAACTGCCCATTAATATTCCTATAAAATTCTTCGTGTGGTCATATACTTTCATTTTCTTGGTTAAGTACTTAGGAATGGGATTGCTGGGTTGCCTGGCTTTGAAGAAACTGGAAACAATTTTCCAAAGAGGTTATATCATTTTGCACTAGCAATACTGAAGATATCCAGTTGCTTGATATCTTCCCCAACATTTGGTACTGTAAGGATTTTTTTTTATTTTAATTTTAGACTTTCTAGTGTGTGGCAGGTGGTGTCTCATTGTAGTGAAATTTGCATTTCCTTGATGTCTAAAAAAGAAAGTCTTTTTTATGTTTTTTGTCCATTCATTGTCTTCTCCTGCGAAGTGTTTTCTTCGCCCATTTAAAATTTTTGCTCCTCTTTTTCCTTATTATTGAATTGTAAGAGTACTTATATAATCTTTATACAATTTCTTTGTCCAGTTATGGAGTTTCAGTATTTTCTCCTGTCTATGGCTTGGCTTTTTATTTAATTGGCAGAGTATTCTAAAGAACAAAAAGTTTTAATTTTGACAAGTTGCAATTTAGCAATTTGTGATGGTTTATACTTTTGTTTTCTAATCAAAAATTATTGTAATCCCAAAGTGGTATTCTTGTATATTCTTCAAGAAGTTTTACAGTTTCCATTTTTACATTTAGATGTATGATTCATTTCAAGTTAATTTGTGTATATGGTGTGAGCTAAGGGCTGAAGCTTGTTATGTTTAAATTGGAGATCCAATTCTTCCAGTACCATTTCTTGGATAAACTATTCTTTCCCTATTGAATATCTTGGTACATTTGCAAAGTATTGATTGAGTATTTATATTTCTAAGTTGTCTATTTTTTCCACTGACCAATATCTCTACTCATATTACTACTGTCATGACTACTATAGCCATATAATAATTCATGAAATGAGGTACTCTAAATCCTCAAAGTTTGTTATTTTTCAGAATCGTTTCAGTTATTCTGGGTCCTTTTAATTTTCTATATAAATTCCATCAATGTCAGTTCTTCCATTCTAAGGTTACTATTTTTTCCTTCCCGAATTTAGTCTTTGGAGGTAAATCACTAAGTGTAGCAAATCCTCAAGGGGCTTCAGGGATTAGGTTTCACCTCTCAGAGGGGGAGATTTCTTGTTTGGAATTCTGTAGAGAAGGTCTGCATGCCTCCCTCATTTATTTTTTATTCAATCATTTATTTATATCATCATGGATTCATGTATATTTATTTTATACTTTAGTTGTTCATGCTTAATACAATCCTTAATGTGGTTGGGTTCATGTTTATAGACTACCTTTTTGCTATTTACTTTTCCTCAGTCCCACATTTTGTTTCCTTTTTCCTCTTTTCTGGTTTTCTTTTGATTTGAATGTATTTTATGATTCCATTTTATCACTAATATTTGCTTATTAGCTGAACATGTTTGTCTTATTTAATGTTGTTGCTTTAGTGATAGTGATATATTTATACAAAGATATAGATTGGTATATGTCTAGTAAAATGCATCTTTAACTTATTACAATCTACATTCAAATTATATTATACCATTTCATCTACAATTTAAGCATCTTACAACAGAATATTTTTATTTACCTCCTGTATATTGTGCTAATGTCATATATTTTCTTATAAACCTCAAAATATTATTGATCTTTATAAAAGTATGGTTCACTTTTCATTTTAAATATTTATTTAAAAAACTAAAATATATTTTAAAGGTTGTTTTTTAAAAAGTCATGATATTTACCACATATTAACTATTCCTGACATTCTTCATTCCTTTCCGTAGATCCTAGTTTCTCTTTTTTTCTTCAACCTCAGAGTCCCTTTAGCATTTCTCATAGTGCACAGCTGTTGCTAATGAATTACCTCGGATTTTGTTTGTCTGAAAATGTTTTTATTTCACTTTCAATTTTGAAGGATATTTTGCTGGATATAGAATTTCAAATTGACAAGATTCCCCCCCACACTTTTGCAGTTTAAAGATGTCATTATACTGTAACCTGTTTCACATTGTTTCAAGAAGGAGTCTACATTTTTTCTAATTTAATCTCCTCTCTGTGATATATGTTTTATCCCTAGATGTTTTTCAGATGTTCTCTTCAACCCTGATTTCATTAATTTGATTTTTATATTTCTTCTTGTGTCATTCTTTCTGTTTATACTTCTTGGGTTTCATTGGACTGCTTGGATCTCTGTTGGTTTATAATTTTCATGAAATTCAGATATTTTTGGCCATTATTTCTTTAAATATTTTCCTCTGCAACTCCTGAAACCCAATTTCATACGTATTAGATGTTAGATCTTTTGAAGTTGTATCACAGGTAATTGAGGCTGTCATGTCCTTTTTAAATCTTTTAATGCTGAGCTTCATTTTGTAGGCTTTTTTTAAATTGACAAATTATAGTTGTGTATATTTATGGGGTACAATGTGATGTTTTGATATATGTATACAATGCAGCATGACTAAATCAAGCTAATTAAGATATCTATCACCTCACTTACCTATATATTTTAGACATTGAAATTTATGATATTAGAAATTTACTTTTAGTTTTGAAATATGTAATGCATTATCATTTACCATAGTCACCCTCTTATGCAAAAAACCTCAGAACATATTCCTCCTATCTCTCTGAAACTTTGTACCCTTTGATCATTACTGCATGACCTCACTTATATGTGGAATCAAAGTGCTTCTTTTTGAATAGTTTCTTGCTATTTCTTGAAGTTCACTACCTTTTCTTCTTAACTGTTGTTATGCTTTTCCAGCTAACATTTAACTCAAATACTGAGCTTTTATCTCTAGAATTTCTGTTTTGGTATTTTGCATGTCTTTTATCTCACTTTTTATTATACTCATGTTTTCCTTTAAATCTTGAGCATCTTTATAACAGTGTCTTATTTTACTGCCAATTATGCTGTCATTTTTTTAGTCTGTTTCAATAAACTTCATTTTTGTACTTGTCACAGTTCACATTTGCCTGCCTTTCAGATGTCTAGTAATTTTTCGTTTGATGGTAGACATTCTGATTATTTTGTTGTTGAGTTATTATATTTTGTTGTGTTTCTTGAACCATTTTCAAGCTTTTGCTATTAGGCAATAACACTACTTGCTAATCATTTTCAAATTTTAATAAATTTTTCTTTTTAGATTTGTAAGGACAAATATAGAGTAGCTTTCACCCTAGATCTATTGCAACCCTACTTCCTCCAATACATCACCATTCTTGGATCCCTAATGAATGTCCGAAGTATTCAATGTGTTCTCTTAACTCTGGTTGATTGGTACTCAGATATCTCTCAGCTCTGTGGACTCTAGAACTTGTTCACATAACAGCTTCCTCTGAGGTTTTACTCACTATGTATATCTTAGGATTTGTCAGCAGACTCAAAATAAACCCAATGCATATTTCTGGTGCTCATCTTCTACATAGCTCCTCCTTTCTGAAGAGATTCACTCTATATATGTGATTCTTAACACTCAGCAAATATTCAAGGATTACCTATGCAAATTTTTGGAGCTTTATTTCTGTGTATTTTTCTATTCTCCTGAACACTGCATCACAATTCTCGTTACCTCAACCTCCCATACAGTTCATCTCTATCTTTTCTTTTTTCTTTTTTTTTATTATACTTTAAGTTCTAGGGTATATGTGCACAACGTGCAGGTTTGTTACATATGTATACATGCGCCATGTTGGTGTGCTGCACCCATTAACTCGTCATTTAACATTAGGTATATCTCCTAATGCTATCCCTCCCCCCTCCCCCAACCCCACAACCGGCCCCGCGGTGTGATATTCCCCTTCCTGTGTCCATGTGATCTCATTGTTCAATTCCCACCTATGAGTGAGAACATGCGGTGTTTGGTTTTTTGTTCTTGTGATAGTTTGCTGAGAATGATGGTTTCCAGCTTCATCCATGTCCCTACAAAGGACATGAACTCATCATTTTTTATGGCTGCATAGTATTCCATGGTGAATATGTGCCACATTTTCTTAATCCAGTCTATCATTGTTGGACATTTGGGTTGGTTCCAAGTCTTTGCTATTGTGAATAGTGCCGCAATAAACATACGTGTGCATGTGTCTTTATAACAACATGATTTATAATCCTTTCGGTATATACCCAGTAATGGGATTGCTGGTTCAAATGGTATTTCTAGTTCTAGATCCCTGAGGAATCACCACATTGACTTCCACAATGGTTGAACTAGTTTACAGTCCCACCAACAGTGTAAAAGTGTTCCTATTTCTCCACATCCTCTCCAGCACCTGTTGTTTCCTGACTTTTTAATGATTGCCATTCTAACTGGCCTTCCTTACACCTTATACAAAAATTAATTCAAGATGGATTAAAGACTTACATGTTAGACCTAAAACCATAAAAACCCTAGAAGAAAACCTAGGCAATAACATTCAGGACATAGGCATGGGCAAGGACTTCATGTCTAAAACACCAAAAGCAATGGCAACAAAAGCCAAAATTGACAAATGGGATCTAATTAAACTGAAGAGCTTCTGCACAGCAAAAGAAACTACCATCAGAGTGAACAGGCAACCTACAGAATGAGAGAAAATTTTTGCAATCTACTCATCTGATAAAGGGCTAATATCCAGAATCTACAATGAACTCAAACATATCTACAAGAAGAAAACAGCCCCATCGAAAAGCGGGCAAAGGATATGAACAGACACTTCTCAAAAGAAGACACTTATGCAGCCAAAAGACACATGAAAAAATGCTCATCATCACTGGCCATCAGAGAAATGCAAATCAAAACCACAATGAGATACCATCTCTATCTTTTCAACTCATGAATGGCTTATTGTTCAGCAGCAGACTCATGAGGACCTCTACTCAGAGCTCTGGAACATTTTCTTTAAGGAGGTTCCTCTTCTTTTGTGCTCTGCTTCACCAATTCTAGCTGCCTTAGCTTTCCTAAACTCTTATTTTTGCTGATAAATTAAGCAAGACCCCTTTGCATTTCCTGTTTCCTCCCTTCCTTCACTACTGACTAAAACATGCTTCCAAAAAGAAACTTGGGGTATTCATAGGAAACATCTGGTTTGTTATTTTTTTTTTTTTTGTCTTAGGGATCACAGTGCTGTGCTGCATGTTCACGGGAAACTAAATAATAAGAAAAAATAGTATAACTCCAAACTATTTGAGGGAAATATTATAAAAACAAAATTTTCTCAATCAATAAAAAGTGAAGAATTGAGAAATTTTTTAAGTGGTTTAAATAGAACAAAAGTGTTACGCTAAAACACAACTATGTAATAAATACTGAAAGTTCTAATTAAAATAAAGAAATATGTGATGATAAAAAATCTGATCATATTCAGTTAAGAAGATAGTAACATAAAGATACAAAGTATTTAAAATGAAATAGACTTGAAAACAAAAAAAAGTGTTATTTACAATCAAGAAGGAAAACTTTCAATGAGAAAATGTAGTTCATCAGGAATATACAATGATTCTGAATTTGAATGCACTTTAATATGTCCCAAAAATACATAAAGCAAAATTTGGCACATCCCCAAGTAGAGATAAACAAATCAACAACAGTAGATTTTTTTATACATCACTTTCTGCAGTGATAGTTAGTGGACCAAAAAAAAAAAAAAAATAGTAGGCATGTAGAAGATTTGAGCAACACAACTTATACATATCACCTAAGGAATAGGTATAGAACATTACATCAAAAAATTGTACGGAATATTTCTTTTTTTTTTTTTTTGGATGGAGTCTCGCTCTGTCGCCCAGGCTGGAGTGCGGTGGCGCGATTTCCGCTCACTGCAAACTCCACCTCCCGGGTTCACGCCATTCTCCTGCCTCAGTCTCCCGAGTAGCTGGGACTACAGGTGCCCTCCACCACGCCCAGCTAATTTTTTGTATTTTTAGTAGAGACGGGGTTTCACCATGTTAGCCAAGATGGTCTTGATCTCCTGACCTCGTGATCCACCCGCCTCGGCCTCCCAAAGTGCTGGGATTACAGGCGTGAGCCACCACCCCCGGCCCGGGAATATTTTACTTTTAACAGCACATAGAGCACTTTAATATATTGAGCCTAAAAAATACTGACACATATTTCAAAAGATTGAAATAGTTTGTGGTTTCTGAGTACAACGCAACTATGCCAAAAGTCAGTTACAAAGATATATATCTTTGGAAATGTTAAAGATATATTTTCAAATAACCCATTGGTCAAAATAGAAATGTTAAAAGAAAATCTTTGGAATTCAACACTTATGAGAATACTACATATTATACATTTTTACATGCAGCCTAATCAGTAGTTTTTTGTCAGCAGTCTGTAAGCGTTTTTTTTTTTTCTGATCTAAACTTGCAGCTGAGAAGTCCAATGCAAGTATGACAGTTATCTCTATGTAAGTAACCTGTTGGTTTCTATTTAGAAGCCTTTAAGATAGTCTGTTTATGCTTAAAGATAAAAAAGTCAGAATATGCATCAGGATGTAAAGATTTAGGTCTCTCTTTTTCTTTAAATTCTGTTCAACGTTGATCAGCCTCTTATTTGACAATCAAGTCATCCTTCAAGTTGAAGAAGTTTTCTGCATTTTGCCCCCTTTATTAGTTTTCTTCATTATTCTCTTAAGTGTTTTAAACTTTATACATGTATTTATAATGTCTCCTCCATGACTCATATTTTCACTCACGATTTACACTTTTTGATGTTCCTTACTCTGATAGGACAACACTATTCGACTTTACAGATTCTTGCAATTAGCTCTCAGCAAGTACATTCCTTTTTATTTCCTTTCTTGAATTTTCAAAATGTGGAATCCAATTTTTAGTTCTAGAATATTTTTTATTCCTCAAACTGCATTACTTTGAGATATGTCATTATCAATCTATTTAGATTTCTTTTCATTTTCTTCTACCTCTGAGAGTGATCCATTTGAATAGTGCTGCTTGGTGTATTAATTTGTGGGGGGGCTCTAATTTGCAGTGGGGGATTGTTAAAGATAAAATATCCGGTAGAAGTTTAAATTTTAGTAGTCTCTAGATGCTGTACTTTTGTGCTGGAGTACATTTATTAAGGTGAGGATTTAGTAGGTGTCTCTGATCTCTAGTTAATAAAGATATGAGTGGGATATCGTAATTCCTTTCTTAACACAGTGAATGACAACAGTGCAGTTCTCACAAAATACCACTATTGGGCTGCAACTAGAACAATGTGTGTGTGTGTGTGTGTGTGTGTGTGTGTGTGTACTTTGTATTTATAAATGCATATTATTTGTATTTCTAATAATTATTTATTTAAGATAAGTACTGTCTTATTTTTATTAGATTCTCATTTTTATTAGACATAAAATTGTATATATTTAAGATGTGCAACATGATTATTTGCTATACATACATATTGTGAAATAATTACAGTAATCAAGTTAACACATCTACCAACCCATGTAATTTTTGTGTGTGTGTGCGCATGTGTGTGTGTGGCTGGAATACTTAAGATTTACTCATATTGTGAACTATGTTCACTATGGTATACACTAAATTATCAGACTTGTTCATCTTACAATCAAAAGTTTGTATCCTTCATCAGCATTTCCCCATTTCTCCGATCCCCCAGGCCCTGGAAACCACCATTGTACTCTCTGCTTCTATGAGTTTAACTATTGTAGATTTCACATATAAGTGAGATTATACAGTAGTTGTCTTTCTGTATCTGGCTTATTTTACTTAGTGTGATAATAATAATGATGCAAATCACCGGACTCCCTTTTTATGGCTGAATATTATTTTATTGTGTATGAAGATATATATAATCACAGTTTTTAATATCTCTTCTCTGTCAAAACACACAGGTTGTTGCCGTATTTTGGCTATCGTGAATAGTGCTGAAATAAACATGGGAGTGCAAATATCTCTTCAAAATACTGAGTTCATTTCCTGTGGATACATAAGTAGAAGTGGAATTGCTGTGTCGTATGTTAGTTCTATTTTTCAGTTTTTGGGGAATGTTTGTACTATTTTCCATAATGCTTGTACCAACTTAAATTTCCACCGATGATATATGTGTTCCCTTTTCTTCACATGCATACCAAGACTTATCTGTTTTTTGCCATTGATAATGGCCATCCTAACATGTGTGAGGTGATACATCATTGCAGTTTTCATTTGCATTTCACATATAAGTAATGTTGTGTAACATTTTTTCATATGCCTGTTGGCAATTAGTCTTCTTTGGATAAATGTCTAATCAGGTCCTTTGCCCATTTTAAAACTGGGTCTTTTGTTTTTTCTGTTAGTGAACTGTAGGCATTTTCTAAGTATTTTGGATATCAACCCCTTATTAGATATATGGTTTGCAAGCATTTCTCTCATTCTGTGGGTATCCTTTTCACTCTGTTGATTCTTTATTTTGCTATGCAGAAGCTTTTTGGTTTGATGAAGTTTGACTTGTTTATTTTTGCTTCTGTTGCCTGTTCTTTTGGTATCATTTTCAGTAAATCATCACCAAGGTCAGTATCAAGTAACCTTTCCACTGTTTTCATGTAGGACTTTTATGGTTTCAGGTCTAACAATTTAGGCCTTGGATTTATTTTGATTGGAGTTTTGTGTAGTGTAAAGTATGGATTTGATTTCACTTTTTTGCCTTTGGATATCCAGCTTTCCCAACACCATTTATTGAAAAGATTATATATTACCCACTGTGTATTCTTGGCACACTTGTGAAAGATTAGTTGATCATATATGTGTGAGTTGATTTCTGGCTTCTATGTTCTGTTCCATTGGTCTTTGTGTCTTGTTTATTTTCCTAGATGGCATGATATTTCATGTAGAAAACCCTAAATATGCAACCCCCAAATGACTAGAACTAATACACAAATTTAGTAGAGTTGCCTGATACAAAATCAATGTTAAAATCAATTGTAAGTCTATATATTAACAATTAACTATCCAAAAAAGAAATTAAGAAAACAATCTCCATGAAAACAGTATCAAAAAATAAAATATTTGGAAATAAATTTAACTAAGATGATGGAAGATATGTACACTGAACACTATAAGTAATTGATTAAAGAAATTGAAGAAGACATAAATAAAATAAATATATACCATGCTCCTGGATTGGAAGAATAAATATTGTTAAAATATCTGTATTACCTACAGTGATCTACAAATTCAAGACAATCCCTATGAAAATTCCAATAGCATTTTTTCACAGAAATAGAATAAACAATCTTAAAATTAGTAGGCAACCACAAAAGACCCCAGAGAGACAGAGCAATTTTGAGAAAGAAGAGCAAAGCTGGAAACATCACACATCCTGATTCCAAACTATGTTACAAAGCTAGACTAATCAAAACAATAGGTACTGTCATAAATACTGTCTTACTCTTAAATCCCTGATTTTATTAGCTGCTTTTGCTGAGTGGGGCTTGGTTAACTCTTTTAAATTTTTGTAAAAATGTTTTTCTCTGAGTCTTTTTTGAATAAGAGCTTTATTGAGATATAATTTACATACCATAAAATCTACCACTTTAAAGTGTACAATTCTGTGTTTAGTATATTCACAGAAATTTGCAACCATCACTACTATCTAATTTTAGAGTATACCTACCGATCCAAGAAGAAATTTGTCCACCAAAAATAACAACAGAGAGAGGCAGGCCCTCTGTTGGGGAATAGTAGGGAATTGCAATTTGAGATATGGATGCTATGATGGATTATAGGTACATCTGAGGAGGCTGGGGTATGGAGGAGCATTTAAAGACAAAAGCAAGAAGCACATATAAGTTGTCTTGAAACAAAGAGAACATTGGCATGGGGGCTTCTTGCAGGAGTTGACATCAGTTCATTAGTGGAAAGTGTGTCAAACAAGTGTTCTTGTGCAAGGAGCTAGCTGTTCTTGTGTTGCTAGCTGTTCTTCTCCCGATTTTTAATCAAGTTATTCATTTAACAAATTTTTGTGTTTTAGAAGTTTTGGGTTTGCATATTTTGGAAGATAGCCAAATACTACTAGCCAAGACATCAGATATGTCTTTCACAATCATTTTATCCAAGTCAGGTGGCTTGTCTTCTCATTCTTTTCCTCGCCTTCATTTTTGAAGAATAATTTTGCTGGAAATTGAATTTTAGACTGTTGACTTTTTTTAATCAAGCATTTTAAATACTTCCCTCTCACTAAATTCTTGCTTGTATGGTGTTACCATACAAGCTTCTTGTGTTACCGTAAAGGCTTCTTGTTTGATGTAATTCTTACCTTTGTCCTTCTATAGATAAGGTGTTTTTCTTTAATTGACTTCTTTTAAGATTTTCCTTTTGTTTTTGATTTTCTGTAGTTTGAATATGATATGTGATATGCCCAGGTATAGATTGTTTTTGGTATTCATGCTCCTTTGTGCTCTGATTTTCTTGCATATGTGGTTTGGAGTCTGTTATTAGTTTTGGAAAATTCCTAGTTATTTTTACTTCAAATATTTCTTCTGTTCTATTGTCTCTTTCTTGTCCTTCTGTTATTCCAACTACAAGTATCTTATACCTTTTGACATTTCCTGACAGTTCTTGGATATTCTGGTCTCTTTTTCTAATTCCTTTTTGTCTTTGCGTTTCAGTTTGAGAAGTTTCTATTGACTTATCTTCAATCTCAATTATTTCCTCATCGAGATCCAGTCTACAGATGTTCCCATCAAAGGCATTCTTCATTTCTTTTACGGTGTTTACATTTGCAGCATTTTATTTTCATTCCATTTTAGAGTTTCCATCTTTCTGTGTACACTATCCATCTGTTCTTAAAAATTATCTCCTTTTTTATGACACCATATTAATTGTAGTTAATGTAAATTCCCTTTAAGATAATCCTGAAATTGGCTTCATAATTGAAGTTAGCTCCCATGCTAGCTTTGTTTCTTTAACATGTGTTTGTGTTGCTTTTAGCATGCCTTGTAATTTGATTTAAAGCTTGACATGATGTATTAGGCAACAGAAGCTGAGACAATAAAACTATAGTGTGAGGTTTTATTTGGTCTATATTCCATGCTTGTCGTAGGTATAGGTAGCAGAGGTTTCACTTCACTCTGATACCCTTGTTTTTCTCTCTCCTGTTGTCTTTGGGTTCCATTAAGAACTTCTTATTAGAGTCTGTGCCTTGCAACTCTTTCATTTGTATTCCACTGTTATTTTACTGGAGAACTGTTTAACTGGTGCTAAGGTGTCGAGGAGAAGCAGTTTTCTGTAACCCTAACATTAAATCTCAATCTTTTAGTGGGCTTGTGTACTGAGGCACTGACCTTTACAAGTTCTTCTTAATTCTTTTCCACCTTTCTAGGAAAAAATAGAAGGGCTACAAATGCTGGATTTATATAATTTCCCTAATCCCAGATTGGATAAGACTGTAATATCTTTTCCCCTGCAGAATAAGCCTTTGCAAAGGAGAATTCTTGGGCATACTTCAAAGTGTTTACTTTTTTCCTTCTTCAGTCAGTAACATGACAATTTTTCCTTGGCTCTTCAAGTGAGAACCTGGTAGGGTTCCTGGAGGTAAAACCCATGAATATGGTGGGTCCTCAAAATATTGGGTCCTCAGTAATTTCTCATTCTCATAAGATTCTATATTTACTCTTCAGCAATTCATCAAAATTACCATTTAGGTGTTTCTCTGGTTTATGGTTCTAGTATCTTCTGTTCTAAGCTGACCTTGGCTGTGATTCTCTGTTATTCTACTGTCTCTTCAGATTTCCAGTTGGTAATTTGCACAGTGGTCTCGATTCTCTAAAAGATTTTAGATATATATACATATATATACCACTGTCCTCCTGTTTGTTAAAAAATCTAAATTTAATTGATAGTAACAAAAACCTAATGATGCATTTGCCTTTAATGACATTTATCCTTTCTAAAATTTAGGAATACACTTATCTCAAATACTTGAACATTTTTTAAAGAATGACTAAACGTAATTTTTAAATTAGTGCTGCATTTTCTTCTATAGTAAATAAATATGTATTTTCAGACTTTATAGTGACTATTATGTATTACCAAAATTAATCCATATTACTGGTATAACTTATCATATTTAACACATACAAACCCATGACAAAAATTATTGCTATAAATATCTCTTAATATGTAAATGAGAATTCTACTGATTCAAGCCTTATCAGGTAATTGCTCAGCTGCTTTTAAAGTGTAATTTATTGATCAGCAGTTTGTAAAGATCTTAGCTTGGTTTGCCTCTGTAGGGTATTTCATTGGCTGGAGTTTGGAAATATAATTTCTGTTTTTATAGAAGTGTCAGTCATGCAGTATCATATGTTATTAAATTCTTCTCTGTGAAGTTGCATGCATAATATTGCAGATTCTTTGGTTTTCTTTTTCAACACTTATTGAGATGTTACGCTTACTTTTTAAAAGTAAACAATCAAATTAAAAAACAACAGATGGTAGAAAGTTAAAAGTTATTGATTTAGTTGTACCTTAGAAATTAATATAGTTGTACCTTAGAAAAAATTATAAGATAATTAGTTCTGTTGCTTTCTCTTCTCTTTTTTCTTTTTCTTTTTCTTTTTTTTTTTTTTTTTTCTGAGATGGAGTCTTGCTGTGTTGCCCAGGCTGGAATGCAGTGGTGCAATCTCAGCTCACTGCAGCCTCTGCCTCCTGGGTTCAAGTAATCCTTCTGCCTCAGCCTCCCAAGTAGCTGGGATCACAGGTGCCTACCACCATGCCTAGCTAATTGTTGTATTTTTAGTAGAGATGGGTTTTCACCATGTTGGCCAGGTTGGTCTTGAACTCCTGACCCCAACTATCTGCCTGCCTCAGCCTCCCAAAGTGCTGGGATTACAGGTGTGAGCCACTGCACCTGGCCTGCTTTCTCTATTCTAACATGTTTAAAATGTGCGAGCATGCAGAATTTGGGAACGTGTTAGGAGGACTAGAGAAAGCAAGATATTTTTGAACATCCCACCAGAAAAAAATAAATTAAATAAATAAATAAATAAATAAATAAATAAATAAATAAATAAAATAAAGAAGTAAGACAAAGAAAAGGCAACCAAACTATTTCATATAAATGATTGAGGAAATTACAAATATGGTTTCACAGGCTAGTCATACAGATCGAATGAGAAGTACATTATTTTCACAATCAGTAAAGGAAAGTAATTCTTGCCACATAAAAGAGTATGAGTTAGTATTTTCTAACGTCTTAAACTCTCTACAACAAACTACGTGCTTCTAAATTCTCCCTGAAGAAAAATCTATCATCCAGGTTTTCAGCACACATAACACAATCCTAAAAATTCAAATAAGCACAAGATACAATATTAGTATAAAAGTGTGATTTTTAAAATTTCAGATTCTGCCCTTAAAGGTACTGCCTACATGAGTTTAAATTCCACCCCCCCCCCCCAAAAATAAGGAATGGGTAAAGAAATTAGGTAAATTCTCATGTCAATGCAAATTTTTTTCTTGACCTCAATTGCTTGGGGAAATTAGAATAGACTCCATGAAGTGTCTTCTAAGCAGGAAAGTATGATAAATAATTTTTTCATCTATACAGTGATGTGTAATAACTAATTGAAGGCAACAATTAATAATGATAGTAAAAAGCCAGTAGTATTTAATACAGCCTCCTTATCTTCCTCCTTTTCTTTTTAAACACTTCAGAAAGTATAACTATTTGTCAATGGGTTATCGAGCAGCTGGAGAATTTTCACTCACCAAATCAAGGTAAAACCAAAGGGATATTAGCTACTCTAATAAATGACAATCTACTTTATTGTATCATCTTACTATACAGATAAAAATTTTTCATCCAGATTGTAAAGATTCTCTCCCTCTCTGTCTCTCTCTCTCACACACACACACACACACACACACACACTCTCTCTCTCTCTCTCTCTGTCTCTCTCTTTCTCTCTCTCTCTCTTTCTCTCTCTGTCTCTCTCTTTCTCTCTCTGTCTCTCTCTCTCTCTTTCTCTGTCTCTTTCTCTCTCTGTCTCTCTCTCTCTCTTTCTCTCTCTGTCTCTCTCTCTCTTTCTCTCTCTCTCTCTCTCTCTCTCTCTCTCTTTCTCTCTCTGTCTCTCTCTCTGTTATGGGGACTGTTTTCTGTGGCAGACAGTGTCATTTCTTGAATTAGTTTTTCACATGAATTCATCTTTTATTAGAGCAACTCAGAGGTTACTGGATTGTACCACCAACAAAAAGGAGTAAGAGGAAAATAAAAATAGGAGGCACTTTACACTGGGTAACTTAGTATGAAGGAAATTAAATTGGAACAGTTCAAGGGCCAAAGCATTTTAGAAGTTTTATGCATTTCTTTGTCCATTTATGCAATTGAAGAAAAATTATATATCTCCTTCAGATCATACTTGGGGAAATAATGATAGTAAGAAATTCATGTAGTAGGAATAGGAAATCCTTCCTCAGCCTATAAAATTCACCCACAATAAGGTGCTAACACATGAGAAATACACTTAAAAATTAAGCACATATAGCACATATTTGGCTTAACATTCAGGGGAATACTGTACATCAGCAAGATGACAAAATCGGAGGCTCCAGACTTTTCCTCCCTCCATGGACACACTAAATAAGCAGCTACACATGAATCAGTGGACAGGACCTTCACTTTGGCCACTGAGAATACAGACAGCAAAGCAACAATTTGAAAAAGCATCTGGTTTGAATAAGCATGCAGGCATTTGCCAGATCTCCTCTCCCTGGCCCAGTGCAGAGCAAGTGGATAATAAACTCCACATCTCAGCTTCTCTCTGAGGAGAAAATAAATTGTACCATAAATCTAGAACTCTGACTTTTCTGGCATTGACTTGAGAAACCTGTCTCAGGCACTAATGGGATTTGGCATACTTTAGACTCCTGAGGGCCACTAAGATTGAAGACAGCAGGTTGAATAAGCATAAAGATTTGAGAGGGATGCACAATATCTTGCTGGGCCAGTTGGTGGGAATTGTCTTCTATATGAGGACAGTCTTTAATGATTGGTAGAGGGGGTTGATTTATAATATTTAATGTGCAGACACCAGCACAGAGGATCAAAGAAAATGAATAAACAGAGAAATATGTTCTAAATAAAAATAGCAAGAGAAATTTCCAGAAACTTATGTAATAAAATGAAGATATATAATTTTACCCAACAGAGAATTCAAAATATGGTCATTAAGATGGTTACTGAGGCCATAATAGCAATGCACAAATAAAATGAAAATTTCAACAAAAAGAAAAAATGTAAAAATGTGCCAAATATAAATTATACAGCTGAAGAATATAATAACTGAACTAAAAATATCAATAAAGGGTTCAACAGCAGACTAGATCAAGCAGAAGAAATAATCAAAGGTAGGTAACTGGAAATTATTGAATCAGAGAAGCAAAAAGAAAAAAGAATGAAGAAAGAATGGAGAATGGTAGTGTGGACCCATAGTCCCTCAGGATGCTGAGGATGGGGGATAACTTGAGCCCAGGAGTTTGAGTCCAGACTGAGCAATATGAAGAGAATCTGTATCTTTAAAAAAATTTTTTTAAAAAGAGTGAAGAGACCTCTTCTGAATACTATCAAGCAAAACAACATATGCATTGTGGGAGTTTTATGAGAAGAGAGAGACAAAGGGAAAAAAGCTTCTTCAAAGAAATAATGGCTGAAAATTTTGCAAATCTGGGAAAGAAAATAGACATCCAGATACAGAAAGCCCAGAGGATATCAAATAGGACAAAGACATACACGAAATACATAAGACACATTATAATCAAATTGTCAAAAGCCAATGACAATAAGAGAATTTTGAAAAGAGCAAGAGAAAAGCAACTCGTCACATGCAATGGAACCACCACAAGATCATCAGTGGGTTTGCCGCCCCACTCCACCCCAGAAGAAACCTTGCAAGACAGAAAAGAGTTTGATGACATATTCAAAGCACTGAAAGAAAAAAAAAAAACTATCAACCAGGAATATTACACCTGGAAAAACTATCCTTTAAGAATAAAGGGGAGGTAAGACTTTCTTAGACAAAAAGCTGTGGGAACTCATCATCACTAGACCCACCTTAGAAGAAATGCTAAAAGGAGTTCCCCAAGTTGAAACAAAAGGACAGTAAACAGCAATACGATAGCATATTAAAGCATACGACTCATTGGTAAAGTTAAATATATAGACAAAACCAGAATAGTGTATCACCATAATGGTCATAGGTAAATCAGTTTCAATTCTAGTATAAAAGTTAAAAGATAGAAGTATTCAAAAATAAGTATAACTAAAATTATGTTTATGGGTATTCAATATAAATAGCTATAAGTTGTGACATCAGTAACATAATGTGAGGGAGGAGAAGTAAATGTATAATTTTTTATGCAAGTGAAGTTAAGTTGCTATTAGCTTAAACTAGAGTATTATAGCAATGAGATATTTTATGCAAGCTTCTCGAAAACTACAAAGACAACAACTATCGTTATTACACAAAAGAAAAAGAGATAGGAATCAAACCCTATTAATACAAACAAAAACAACATAAAACAATGAAACACAAAGGAGGACAGCAAGAGACAAAAAGAGGGAGAAAACAACTACAAGACAAACAAAATAGTTAACAAAATGGCAATAGTAAATCATTGCCTATAAACAATTAACTAAATGGATTAAATTCTTGAATCAAAAGACAGAGTGGCTAATAAATTTTTAAAATGCTGTCTACAAGAAACTCACTTTAGAGTTAAGGATGCACACAGGTAGAAAATACAGGGGTAGAGAAAGATATTCCATGCAAATGTTACCCAGAGAAAGCAGGTACAGCTACATTTATATTGCATACACAAGATTTTAAGTACCTATAAATATTTAAATAATCAGGTAGTAATAAAAAGTGAAGTAGGAATTTAAAAACCTCCCAACAAAGAAAAGCCCAGGACTAGATAGCTTCTCAAGTGAATTCTACTAAACATTCAAATAATTAATAACAATTCTTCTTAAATTCATAAAAAAATAGAATAATAAAACTTTTTTTCTTAGTTCGTTTGGGCTGTTGTAACAAAATACCATAGACTGAGTGCCTTATAAACAACAGAAATTTGTTTCTTATGTTACCAGAGGCTCTGAAGTGCAAGATCAAGATGCCAGCAGATTCAGGGTCTGGAGAGGGTAGCATTCTAGTTCCTCACAGCTGTCTTTTCCCTGTGTCTCTACATGGCAGAAGGGAGTGATGGAGTCTCTGGGGTTTCTTTATAAGGGTACTAATCTCATTCATGAGGGCTCTACTCTTATTATCTAATCACTTCCTAAAGGCCTGACCTCCAAATATCCCCACAGTGGGGATTAGCTTTCAACATATAAATTGTGGGGGACGTATTCTGTCTAGGGCAACTTCCAAACTTATTTGATGAGACCAGGATCACCATGATGCCAAAGCCAGACAAATACACCACAACAGAAGAAAACTACTGGGCAATATCTCTAATGAACATAATACATTCAACAAAAATTACAAAATTGAATCATGCAAAAAGGATTAAAAAAAGATGAGAGGATAAAACAAAAAAGAAAAGGAAAACCAGCTGACAAGTAAATATGCAAAAAGAGCTGGGTCAGATAAGAAAAGATTTTAAAGAAACTGAAAAAATAAATTCGCAAAGTATTTTGCGATCTGTAAGAATACACATCAAACTGTTTTAAATTTTTAAACAAAAATATATAAATTAATGACATGAAACCAACCAGAGAAGCTCCTTCAAAATGCAGAAGAGAAAGACAAGGAAATGACACGTGTATCAGAAATACATATGAACATGGCCAGGCATGGTGGCTCACACCTGTAATCCCAGCACTTTGGGAGGCCAAGGTGGGCAGAACACTTAAGACCAGGAGTTTGAGAGCAGCCTGGCCAACACGGCAAAACCTAGTCTCTACTAAAAATACAAAAATTATCCAGGTGTGGTGGCACGCGCCTGTAATCCCAGCTACTGGGGAGGCTGAGGCAGGAGAATCTCTTGAACCCAGGAGGTGGAGGTTGCAGTGAGCCAAGATCACACCACTGCACTCCAGCCTGGGTGACAGAGCAAGATTCCGTCTAAAAAAAAAAAAATGCACACATAGACATTATAAAGAGAAAAAGAAAACATAAAAGTAATTAAAGTGAGAAAAAAGAAAATGAAAGCAATAAAAAAGGATACAGTAGAATAAATGTTTCCCGAAGACAGATATGCTTTGCATTATGAATCACTGAACCAGTACCTTGCAAAACTGATTTTAAAATCTATAGGTATTCTAGTTTGGCTCATGCCTGTAATCCCAGTACTTTGGGAGGCTGAGGCAGGCAGATCATGAGGTCAGGAGATCGAGACCATCCTGGCCAACATTGTGAAATCCCATCTCTACTAAAAATGCAAAAATTAGCTGGGAACGGGGCGCACACCTGTAATCCCAGCTACTCAGGAGGCTAAGGCAGGAGAATCGCTTGAACCTGGGAGTTGGAGGTTGCAGTGAGCCGAGATCATGCCACTGGATTCCAGCCTGCCAACAGAGCAAGACTCCCTCTCAAAAAAAAAAATTAATTTTAAGGACAAAATAGGGATGATAAGCAGCTTACCTATAAAGGAAAAAGAGACTAAAACATGGCTAAGGCTATAGGAAATGAGAGAAGAAAACAAAGAAACACCAAAATATTTTGAAAGATGAAAATAAAAGATTTACACACATACATGCTATACCAAATTGTATTGCTGTTATTGTAGAAAATGACTTAAATGTCTTGAGCTTCAACTTCTAATCTGTAAATGTGATCAATAATAATTTCTTTCTCATAGGGTTGCTGCGAAGACCAGGGTAAGTTCTACACAGTTACTGCTATGGGACTGAAAACTGCTTTCATACAATTTTGGAAAATTATCTCACTGTAAATATCAATTAAAACATCACTGAATAACCCTAAAAATTATGAAGAACTTAGATTATAAAATAAACTTTAAAATAGTCTGAACAATATTAAAATACTCATGATACTGATCATTCTTTCTCTCTTCTTGTTTTTAATAGGAATTTTTGTATGGTTTCACTGTAGACTATATAGAGTCAGATTATTATGTCTTCAATTACATTAATCCTTCCGTACTTAAAATGAGTTAAATTACAGACATATGTTTAAATAAAAATTAATTAAAACTTTTGAGTGTGGAAGTTGTTGAGTTGTGATTTTGAGAAGGTAAAGAACTGAGTTAGCCATTACCCTTAGTTTAGAAAGATAGCAAAATTTACTTATAAAGTAGTTACCAAAAAATTAAATTCAATCTATTCTTATCCTGTATCTTGAGTTCTTAAAACTGAATTTTACAGTAATGCTTATTCTGTTTTTTGTTACCATAAAGGTGAATTCTGGCTACGCTTTGCTTTTTCTTTTAATAATTATCAACCAAGGACCGATAATTCCATGGTGATTGTGACCTTCTCTGATTTACTGCAATCAAATAAATATACATTATTATATACACATGTACATATTTTGGTATCTCTTGTCAAGCAAGAAACAATTAATAGAAGTCATGTTCTTCTGCAGAATTGATTTTATCCAGATAAACATATAAAATTACACTAATTTTAAAGCTTCAGGTAACATCTCATGCTTCCATAAATGTAATGTTAATTCACGTTTAAGAGAAACATCTCTGTCATGTTAAAGGGAGCAACTACATTTGGAGTTGACTGGTAGTTTATATTTTACCTCCAGTGGTTTTAGCATAAATATCACAGTAGAAAGTTGTGGAAGCTGTTTCCAGTTGTGAATTTTCCTGTCCAGTCAGAAAGCCCAAATAATAATTTTGCCTATCCCATTAGCCGCTATTTCTACTTGCTAATGCAGTGGCAGGATGGGCAGGGAGAAACTGTGCAACCTCACTAATTGAGTGTGTTTATATCTGACTTACCTAGAGGGCTGCAGCAGCTGAGATAGGAGTTTGACAGAACTTGTTTCTCAAGACACAGGTCACAAGGACCCCACTGATAAAAAGGATTTGGTAAAGAAGCTGGCCAAAACCCATGAAAGCCAAGATGGCACTGGTCTGTCCTTAGACTGCTTATTATATGCTAATTAAAATGCATTAGCATGCTAAAAGACACCCCCAACAACTCTATGACAGTTTACAGATGCTCTGGCAACTCTTAGAAGTTACCCTACAACATGATCTAAAAAAAGACAGAGCCATAGGTCCTGATAATTTTTTGCCCTCTTTGCAGAAAATTCTGAATAATCTTCCCCTTGTTTAGCATTTGATCAAGAAACAACCATAAAAATATGCCAACCAGCAGCCCTTGGAGTAGCCATCTGCCTATGGAGTAGCCATCCTTTCATTCCTTTACTTTATTTTTTTTTCTTTCTTTTTTTTTTTTGAGACAGAGTCTCGCTTTGTCACCCAGGCTGGAGTGCAGAGGTGTAATCTCAGCTCACTGCAACCTCTACCTCCCGGGTTCAAGAGTTCAAGCAATTCCCTGCCTCAGCCTCCCGAGTAGCTGGGATTACAGGTGCCTGCCACCATGCCCGGCTATTTTTTGTATTTTAAGTAGAGATGGGGTTTCATCATTTTGGCCAGGCTGGTCTTGAACTCCTGACCTAGTGATCCACCCTACTTGGCCTCCCAAAGTGCTGGGGTTATAGGCATGAGCCACTGCGCCCGGCCTCCTTTACTTTCTTAATAAACTTGCTTTCACTTCACTTTGTTGGCTTGCTCTTGAATTCTTTCCTGCATGAAGCCATGTGACACAGCTATTATGGTTTTGTATTTTAATTTTCAACACAGATTCAGATTTTCAGTGTCTTAAATATCTGACTCAAACCCTTCACACATATTAGCCTCTTGCAACAGTGTCTTTGTGAAACAGAGAGCATCATTTATAGCTTTTTCTAGAGAAAGCTTAATTTAATCTAAATATTATCAAATGGAAGACTTAGATGGTTTTACTGATTTCTAGTAGCAAACATGATAATTGAAGTTGATCCAGATAGCTGTATCTGAACAATGGAGGCCTGCTGTGATAGTACCAAGAGGTTTTATTTAAAGCAAGCTAGAAAAAGTTCTGGGCTGAAATAAGCATTTCGACTGCCAAATTCTAGGAGGAAATTAAGTAACAATATGCACAATTGATCTGAGATTAAAATCAATGCTTCAGGAAAATACATATTTTGACTACTCTACTTTCATACCAGGGCATCATTTTTGTAGCTCGTTAAGCTTCTCAATTATAAACCAAAAATACAATTCTAAGCCCTGCAATTGACTAAATGGATCCCTCCTCTTGGCCAAGGAGATTCCAAACTAAATCTGAAAAACTAATTCAGGCTATGATGGGAAGAGGTATCAAACATGCCTCATTATATTCTCCTGCCTTTGGAATTCAGGCACAACTGACCAGCATTAACATTAAAACAGAGATCTTAAGACTGGCAAATGGACTCTTGGTAGCAATAAGATACCAAATTCCAGCCTGACTCTAGTATAGCATCTCACATGACAGATAGCAGGCCTTGAAAGAATTCAAGGCTGGGCATGGTGGCTCACACCTGTAATCCCAGCACTTTGGGAGGCTGAGGTGGGTGGATCACTGGAGGCCAGGAGTTCAAGACCAGCCTAGCCAACATGACAAAACCCTGTCTCTATTACAAATACAAAAATTAGCTGGGCATGGTGGTGCACACCTGTAATCCCAGCTACTCGGGAGGCTGAGGCACTAGAATCACTTGAACCTTGGGGTTGGAGGTTGTAGTGAGCCGAGATGGTGCCACTGCATTCCAACCTGAGTAACACAGTGATATTCTGTCTCAAAAAACAAACAAACAAAAGAGAATTCAAAGTATTTTACCCCAAAATATATTTCTTTGATATATTTTTAAATGGTCATGCAAAACCATCTCTTATAGGGGAAATCTACATTCTGTAGAGAATCCCTTTGTCTTTCCCAGACACTTTTGCTGATCAGGGAGAGAGGAACAGTGGCACCTTTTTAGTTTGATAAGAAATATTACCATTTATTCTCTCTGAAGCCTACTACCTGGAGGCTTTATCTACGTAATGAGAACCTTGGTCTCCATAACCCCGTATCTTAGCCAAGACAATTTTTTTCTACTGATTCCAGGTCTTTAGATAATAACTTAACTCTTTGAACCAACTGCCAATGAGAAACTCTTTGAATCTACCTATGACCTGGAAGCCTCCACTTGAAGTTGTCCTGCGTTTCGGGACCAAACCAATGTATACATTATATGTAGTGATTGATGTCTGCCTATAACTTCTGTCCCCCTAAAATGCATAAAATTAAGCTGTAACCCAACCACTTTGGGCACATGTTCTCAGGACATCTTGAGACTGTGCCTCAGGCCTTGGTCACTCATATTAGGCTCAGAATAAATCCCTTCAAACATTTTGCAGAGTTTGACTGCTTTTTCTTGACACAACAAATGATTTGAAGTGCTTCGTTCAAATACCCATATATATTCATCCATCTCTCTTCTCCTATGCTGAAAAATTAACTTTTTTTGAGAAAATTGTAGCTTGTTGGAATATTTAGCATGTTATATTTCAGTTAGAATTAAAGAATTATAAATTGTAAACCAAATCTTGTGCTTTTTATCTTTAGAAATTTAGTTCCTGAAGAAATTTTAGAAGTATTTATCTTACTAAAATTAAATGCTCCTGGTGATTTTCATTTGAATTTGTTTTTCAAAATGTTTAAGAGAATAATAAATATTCTGCACTTCCATTACATTATAAGGAAAATGGTCACTGATGGAAGCAGGGAATCCTGTTTGATATGTAGCTCAGCTTCCTGCAGGCCTTTCTCGAGGTGGCTTCAGGCAGCCCCTCAGCTCCCACATTGCTCTCTGGTTTGCTGCTGGGAGTCTAGGTTACAAACATTGTTCTGCTAGTGATGGTTGTATCAACTTTGACAAATCACTTTGATTAGTTCTTTTCTTCTGGAAAACATGAAATATAAATCTCAAATTTGGAAATAAAATGAAATAACACATAAAGCAGTTCATAAGTTTTAATTATCACCTAGTATAAGAAAGAAATTATTATTAGGCTACTGTTACTTGCGATTGATGCGACCGGTGAGGGAAATTACTAGCCACACCCTTCAAAAGATGTGAAACCACTCTTCCAGAAAATATTTAAAAAGATGCATAATTTTTCATAAATAACTCAACTGTGTGAGTCTCTTCTACTACAAACAAAGTATGTTCTTAGCAAATGATAATGTTTAAAAACGAAGTATTTAGATCATAAAGTGCATGGTATAAGCTGTTTAAGAAGACACTTAATGGCTGGAAGTGGTAGCTCACACTTGTAATCCCAGCACTTTGGGAGGCCGAGGCTGGTGAATCGCTTGAGGTCAGGAGTTTGAGACCAGCCTGGCCAACATAGTGAAACCTCGTTTCCACTAAAAATACAAAAATTAGCTGGGGGTGGTGGCATGCGCATGTAATCCCAGCTACTTGGGAGGCTGAGTTAGGAGAATCGCTTGAGCCTGGGAGGCAGAGGTTGCAGTGAGCGGAGATCATGGCACTGCACTCCAACCTGGGTGAAACACTGAGACTCTGTCTCAAAAAAAAAAAAAAAGAACAAAAAAGAAAACACTTGATGACTTAAATTACCTTAAATATTTATATCATCAACTAGTAATTAAAGTATAGGCTATAAGCTACAGTATCAAAACATCAGAATTTCCCTGACTGCTTAAACTGGGACATTTAGTCTTTTGCCCTCAAATTATGACTTACACCCTCTGGTTCTCATGCCTTTGAATTCAGCCTGGAATTACACCACCAGCTTTCCTGAGCTTCCAGCTCACAGATGGCAAAGATCTTCTAGTCCTCCATAAATGCATGGGCTAATTTTTCATAATAAATATATTTACCTATAGATAGGGGGTTCTGATACAGGTAACTCTGACTAATACTAGTTAAAGGGACAGAAAATTGGCAACTTTCCTACTACTATAAAGATCAATATTTTTACCTAAGATTGCAATATTTTATACAATCAGTATTTTACTACTAAGTTTTCTATGTATGTTTAAAATGATAAAGGGAATCAATAGTAGTATAATTCTTATTCATGTAAAGATAATAAAGTCAAGTTACAGTATGGATGTTTCATTTCCTTCTAGTTGCTTTATTATCTCTAATAACAGAGATAATAATATTATCTCTAAAATAAAAGGAGAGAGTCTGTTCTCCTTTTGTAAGAAAAGAGTAAATTAAAACAGTTTCTTAAATCAAAAGTTATTTTTCTAACCTTACACTATCATACTCATTTCCTAGACTGCCATATTTGGTTATGAAGGTTTTCACTGAATTTGAGCATTAACACATCTTTCAAAGTCAATTCTACATGTTCTACATATGTTTCTGTTAATACTGATGGGACAACACTGTGTTTAGTATAAAATTAATGAAATTCAAAATTTTCATCTTATTATTCAACATCGATATTTTAGTCATTGTATTTTTAAATAGCAGAAAGAAAACTACTTGGAAGTGTGGTCATAAAAATGATAGTCCCTTTATAAAAATTTGAAACTTTTTGAATGTTTGTGTGTGACACGATGGATTAAAGAATTTATTTAAAGTATCATGCTTAAAATACTTAAATACTCAAAGTGAGCAACTGTTATCTTTTTATACTTCTAAGTTTTGTTTTTTTGTGGAAGTATCTGTATAATTAAAAATAAAATAACTATTAATGATACTAATGTAAGTACCAATCATTACAAGTACAATTATTATTTTAATTTATTTGGGTAATTTTTGATTAATGTTCTATTTTCTCATTCAAATCTAAACTGAAGACTATGGTGTCAAGTGTTTTTCTTGCTCACTTTGTAGCCCTGTGTTGCTGGAATGCTTGTCCCACAGTAGGCCCTAGAAAATGTTGGCTTAATAAAAAAAATTATGATTTTTATGATAAATCATGATAAAAATTAGATTAAACAAATTATTTATAATAACTGTGTTAGTATAAATTTTTCATGATTCTCACAGAAACCCTGCAAGGTGAATGCAGTTGTCCTGTTTAGCAGTTGAGAAAACTCATGCTCAGAGAGATTGTGTTACTTATTCCAAAGTTATGCAGACAGAAAAAATTTCCCCAGTCGATAGTTTCTAGTTTTATTTATTTATGACTTTTTTCCACACATTTCAGAGATGCTCCATGAAAAATCTTGTGAGAGCTGTATCTATACAGCTCTCACTTTGTGTTTCTCTCCACTTTGGTATAATTTTATGAACATTTATACTTTTACCTCCATAATTACCAATGGCTATAAGTCCACATATTCTCCAATTATCTTTCATTCATTCAATAAATATGTATTGAGTTCCTACTATGAGACATGTACTATCCTGAGTATTAGGATATTGTACAAAACGACTCAGATTTTAGCTTTGCCTTCACAGAAGTTACATTTTAAAGGAGCTCAACAAATGCAATGTATTAAAATGCTCCTGAATGATTTGAAAGTCATGTTTATCCCACTAGCTCTTTCTTGGAAATTTCATTATCTTTTCCACAGCAAAGTAGGGTTTTGACCAAACTGAATTTTAAAATTACTTGAGCTAATGAATGTATGGTAGCTGATACACAGTAAATATATAATGATTAGTAGTTGCTTAATTTGGTTCCCATCTAGGTAGATATTTGAGTACAGAGATATAAAATGTCAATGCAACCTACATAGAATTGAACAATAATTGGTTAAGTGGTAGCTATAGGCAAAAGAAATGTGTGTGTGATAGAGAGAATGAAACAGAAACAGAGAGAGGAGAAAGAGGATTGACATTTTCTGCCTAATAGCATAATCTTTCATAATGTTTACTCTTTTAAAGCAATTTTCCTTGTGACTAACCTTGGATATCTCTTCCCATTGCTATTGCATTCAGAGAGCAAGCCAGAGAGTACAGAAAGGCCAAACAAAGAAAAAAACAAAGCCATTCTTGGCATGATCTTAATGCTGTCACAAATTTGATGAAGGAAAACAAGTCCAATTACATTTCAGCATTTAAATATATTTGACAGTAGCCAATATATTTTGTGGGTATATGCTTAAATTGAAGGCTAAACTTCTTGTTAACTATGAGGATTCAGAGACCTCAGTTCTCTGTTATTAGAAAAAAATATCCATTCTGATTCAGTTGAATTTGCATGTAAAACAGAGACTCAAAAGAAGGTCAGTAAATGAAAATGGACCAAGAAAATGAAAAGATGGGTTAACAGAATGAAGACAAAGACCTGTACCAACAACTACTTATCTTTGATAAAGAGATTGGATAAGTTACAATATTAGAGGAGAAGGAGGCAATAGACACTAACACATTAACAATAATAAATATTTATCAAATACCTGCTAAGTGCTATTCATTGCAGTAGTCTCTGCAGGAAGAGATCAGATGAGGAATTCCATCTTCATAGGGCTTATGATCTGGTTGTAGTTTGTCATAAATATGTTTATCTAAAGTAACCTTTTAATAATTTTACCTAGATCATTCCATAGAAGAGATTAAGTTTTTCTCAATTAAACTCTTTCATGGTTTTTATAAGATTTCCCATTAGGAGGGGATCAAGAAGGCTATGCCATATAATAGACTGTCATGTTATCAACACCAGCCCTAAATATATATGACTTCTCAGCTCAGCAAGCCACCATCAACTTACTGCTTTCTGGTCTCATACTTGTAGCTCTTAAAAGAAAAAAACAAATCAACTTGTCTTCTTCTCTATCCACAGTTGTAGCTGGGATCACATAGCATTTGCCAAACAATCAGTGGCTTTGAAAACTAATTAAACTAAAGAGCTTCTGCACAGCAAAAGAAACTACCATCAGAGTGAACAGGCAACCCACAAAATGGGAGAAAATTTTCGCAACCTACTCATCTGACAAAGGGCTAATATCCAGAATCTACAATGAACTCAAACAAATTTACAAGAGAAAAACAAACAACCCCATCAAAAAGTGGGCGAAGGACATGAACAGACACATCTCAAAAGAAGACATTTATGCAGCCAAAAAACACATGAAAAAATGCTCATCATCACTGGCATCACTGGCCATCAGAGAAATGCAAATCAAAACCACAATGAGATACCATCTCACACCAGTTAGAATGGCAATCATTAAAAAGTCAGGAAACAACAGGTGCTGGAGAGGATGTGGAGAAATAGGAACACTTTGACACTGTTGGTGGGACTGTAAACTAGTTCAACCATTGTGGAAGACAGTGTGGTGATTCCTCAGGGATCTAGAACTAGAAATACCATTTGAACCAGCAATCCCATTACTGGGTATATACCCAAAGGACTATAAATCATGCTGCTATAAAGACACATGCACACGTATGTTTATTGCGGCATTATTCACAATAGCAAAGACTTGGAACCAACGTAAATGTCCAACAATGATAGACTAGATTAAGAAAATGTGGCACATATACACCATGGAATACTATGCAGCCATAAAAAATGATAAGTTCACGTCCTTTGTAGGGACATGGATGAAATTGGAAATCATCATTCTCAGTAAACTATCCCAAGAACAAAAAACCAAACACCGCATATTCTCACTCATAGGTGGGAATTGAACAATGAGAACACATGGACACAGGAAGGGGAACATCATACTCTGGGGACTGTTGTGGGGTGGGGGGAGGGGGGAGGGACAGCAGTGGGAGATATACCTAACGCTAGATGACGAGTTAGTGGGTGCAGCACACCAGCATGGCACATGTATACATATGTAACTAACCTGCACATTGTGCACATGTACCCTAAAACTTAAAGTATAATAATAAATTAAAAAAAAAAAAAGAAAATGACAATCTGCCAGAGAAAGACGGTGTGTGTGAATGGACTATTTTCTCTGAAATTTATCAATTTAAATTATATTAAAAATTTTTAGTTTCATCATTCTATAACATAATTACTTTTTAGCTAGTGCTTTAATAAAAATTAATTAATAGAATCCTTCTTGACTTACTTCTTATCATTTATTTTCTTTAAAACACACTAATTGCTTTTGTTTTTAATATACCTCTCTACCATATCGAAAGTTGTTGGGTGTTTGATGCTTTACTCAGTAGAATTTTTCAGTTAGAAATGGATAATGAAAGTACATCAGCTATTAAAAATTCTTTATTGTCTGCAGAACAAAAGAATAAATCAGGTGTAAGAGGCAATAGGGAAAATTCAAGAATAGGTGAGATCAGAAAGAGAAAAAAATAAGAAAGACGTTAAGAGTAAAGAGCAGTCTCCTGAAAATGCATACTATGAGGTTATAAGACTTTAAAAGTTCTTTTTGACCCTTTGCCCTTAAATATATCTGAACTTTAAATTTAGTAACTTTGCTTTTCAGCAGAAACTTAAAAGTTGAAAGGATGGCATGAGTGACTTTGAAGTGGCTACATTATCTGGAGTATATACCCTGGGGTTCGTTGTCGAGTGCCAGGAAAATTTGGGACATGGACACACATGAAAAGTTTAGGAACGGAGACTTAATAAGTAGAAGAAAAAGAAAAAGAAAAAGAAACAGCTTCCTTCATAGAAGAAGGGGTCTCTGAGCAGAAAAGACTAGTTTGAGGAGGCAGTGTCTGATTTATATAGGGCTCATAGATTGGTTCAATCAGGTATGCCATTTACATAGCATGCAGGGAATGCTGGTCGCCCCACCCTAATCTTTGCAAATAGGATTTCCAGTTGATCCCTGCAATCTTGTCTGTTCCTTATAGCACATGTGGCTGGTAGAGAAGGGAAGTCGCCATCTTGAAAATGTAGTACTTAGTTCCTGCTGGCATTAATTGGTGCAAGCTCCCAGCTTGCAGGGTATTCTTTGTTAGAAAATTATTTGGGGCTGCTTTTCATTAAAAAGAAATGTCTTACCGAGGACTCCCATGCCCTTGCTATCTGCCCAAGTAATTCCTTCTTAACTCCTTTATCTGTTTCACAGACACAAAACAGCTTTAAACAATAGGCATTAAAATGCATCTCTTTTCCTTCTAAACTCATCAAGCAGTATCCATTTATATTATTTCATATTTCTAACATTAAATGTTGCAAACTCACTGGATTATAAAATCTTAAAATATATGCGTAAAGGAAAAGAGTTAAGCCACAGATCTAATCTGTTATCAATATTATGTACCAGATCCTCTCTCTTCCAAATTTAACTATTGATTTAATATGCCAGTCAATAGTTGGAACTAAATACCTTAAAACTTTTGAATAGCTTTTCATACATAGACAGACAACAAAGAAAATGTGTGAAGAAACAATGAACTTTTATAGTAAAGAAAATAAGAGAATGGCTAAATAAAATATTTTTAAACGTCACATTGTAATTATGATGGAGATATATAACTATGAGAGTAATACAGTGACTAATTTCAAGTAAGTTCACATTGTAAAGAGCATTCTTTGTTCAAAAGGAGGATTGTTTCATCAAATCAAGGCTGCACAAAATAGTTCAGCTGTTTTCTCACCTAAATCAAATGTCATTGTAGATAATATTTTCATTTATTTCCCTATTCTTCCTATTATTCTGAATGCCTTTTTGGTTTCTAGGCAACCATGCTAATACTTCTCTTTCTAAAAAGTCCTCTGCACAAGAACAGTATTCTTAAAAGAGATGGGCGGCCTTCCAAGAAATTTTAAAGTTAGAAATAAATGCTAATCATAAAATAAGAAAAAACAACAATTATAATAGTTTTGAATACTATGGTGCAGAGAGTTAAAAAATACGTGGCCTGCACACCACAATGAGCTCAACAATGACAAAGAAAGAGAAAGAAGTTACAAGGTAGATTTATTTCCAGGAAAGATGCACAAAGAAACTCCATATATCAAATTCTGGGCAGATGTTATGATATTCATATTTATTAAAGATCTGTTAAGGGAATAGGGTTGGTTCATTTGAGACAGTCATGAATAGAAAACCATTTGAGATGGGAAAAACTAGAAGTATGATGCTTAGCCTGGACAAAAAAAAAAAAAAAAGATCAATGAGGTAAAATGTTCTATTTGTGAATTTGTATAGCATATGATGAAAGAGAGATTAAGTTTGTTTACATTTCTCCTCCAGAGATAGAATAATAATCATTAGGTATAAGTAGAAGTAAGATAATTTTGGCTCAATTTAATAAACTTTTTTAACAATTAGGGTTGGCTCTCAGGGTATTGGGTTACCTCAAAAGATAATAAAATCTGTGACTCTAAGTGTTTAGGCAAAGATGACCAACTTTGTGTACAATCTCACTGTGTTCCAACTCCACTTTTTAGATATTTAATAGGCACCTAAAATTTAGCATGCCACAAATAAACTCTAAATCTTTTCAACCTGCTCTTCTCCTATTTTTCCAATCCCAATAATAATTGTTCAGGCTAAAAATCAAACAATCATCCATAATTCTTCTCTTCTCGGCAAATGCTCAACATGCATAATAAGTATGGATTGTCTCCCCACATTTCTCCACTTTACATTGCTTACACTAATAACACCCCAGGCCTACCTACTACCATCTCTTGGTTGGATTGTTTTGATGCTCTCTGAATGATATCCTTGCATTTACATGTGACCCCTGAAGTTTATTCTCTACAGAGCAGCCAAGGCAATCTTTAAAAAAAAGTATCTAATTTTGCCAGTCCTTCGTTCACATCTTTCTGATAACATACCATTATATCTAAAATAACAATCAAAGCTCTTAGTATGTCTTAAAAAACAGCCACATGTCCTAAAAAATGTTTTAAGTATGTCTTAATCCCCATGGCCCCCCCTTCTCATATTTTTCTCTTTACTGTTCTCTTACCCCTTTCACTTTCACTGCACCCCCGACACCTATTTCCCCGCAGCTGCTATAACTCTGCCACTCTTTGCATGCATGCAAATACTCATTATTGGACAGGGAAAATAATTAATCCTAGTTGTCCTGAGGGCTTGCAGCCACTGTCTGTTGAATTCACTTCACCCATACCGGTATGTCTGATGGGGGTGGAGTTCAAGATCAGGCAAGAGAAAAACATGTAAAGGAAGTCATCTCCCAACTGACTTGGGTACATTAGCACCCCAGCCCCTGCAAAGGACTAGATCTCTCAAAACTACATGAAACCTTCCATACCCATACTCACCTGGTAAGCCTATTTAATACCACCCTCACTGGGCTCCATGAAGCCTCAGAGAAAACCCTACTAACTGTTGGATGTGCCTCCCCCTGTACTTCAGGCCATACATTTCAATCCCTGTATCTTTAACCTCCTTGTTAAATTTGTCTCTTTCAGAATCAAAGCTGGAAAACTACAAATAGTTCTTCAAATGGAGCCCCAGATACAGTCCATGACTAAGATCTACCACGGACCCCTGAGCCAGCCTGCTAGCCCATGCTCCGATGTTGATGACATCAAAGGCAACCCTCCCAAGGAAATCTCAACTGCACAACCCCTACTACGCCCCAGTTCAGCAGGAGGCAGTTAGAGCTGTCATCAGCCAACCTCCCCAGTAGCACTTGGGTTTTCCTGTTGAGAGGGCGGACTGAGAGACAGGATTAGCTGGATTTCCTAGGCCAACTAAGAATTCCTAAGCCTAGCTGGGGAAGGTGATGGCACCCACCTTTAAACACGGGGCTGGTAACTCAGCTCACACCCGACCAATCAGGTATTAAAAAAAGGGCTCACTAAAATACCAATCAGGCTAAAAGCAGGAGGTAAAGAAATAGTCAATCATCTATCGCCTGAGGGCACAGGGGGAGGGACAATGATCAGGATATAAACCCAGGGCATTCGAGCAGGCAGTGGCAACCCCCTTTGGGTCCCCTCCCGTTGTATGGGAGCTCTGTTTTCACTCTATTAAATCTTGCAACTGCAAAAAAAAAAAAAAAAAGCTATTGCATTGCATGTCTGAGTAACTCTCTGACATCACTTTCTATCATTCTCCCCAACTTTCATTCTGTTCCAACCTCTCAACTACCATTGCTGTCCTTAGAATTCACTAATTATAATCTTGACCCAAGGGCTTGGTCCTCACTGTTCCTTCTGCCTGGAATGTCTTCCCTCAACTATCTGCATAGCTTGTTCTCTCACTTCAATTAAAGCCCTGCATAAATATCAGCTTATCAAAAGACTTTTCTCGAGCCTCTTTCATAATGTAGAATACCCATCACCCATCACTCTCTATTTTTTTAACTCTGGCGTAGCACCTAACTTACTATATGTTGTTTAGCATCTGACTGTAATGACTAGACTAGAAATTCCGTGATCTCCTTTATGATTATCCCTAGACATAAAAGGGTGCTGTTCCAAAGAAGAAGCTCAAAATATTTTTTGAATAAATGTTATGGAAAGAATTTCATTGTGCGTAAGAGATTGGAATACACAACTTAATAAGGTTCTTCCTAACTCTGTAATTCTGATATCAAAACCAAGAGATATATTTTATTTGTTCTTCAACTTGGCTATCATTTGGAAATTAATTTGAGTATTCTCTTAACCTTAATTATTTCTAGGTGCATGTACTCTTCCTATTCTAACACCCCCAAACTTCTCATGAAGTTCATGATTTTTATAGAAAATGTTTATGACATACTAGGTTGTTGTTTCAAAATATTAGATTCTTTTCACTTCCCCTGACATTACCGTTTTAACCAGCTAGCTCTCTTCCTGAGGAGCCTTTCAAGCACAATTACAAGAAAGTTGTAATCACTCCTTAGCAAGCACTTTACTAGAAGGATTTCCACTCAAGGCTGTTTGTCACAGCCTTAAGTTTTACCTTAACAAAATTATAAGTGCTATTATTATCCTTCTGAGTTCTTCTTATAGGAGTTATACAAGACTAGTTTTGTTTTTGAAGTTAACAACTTCCAGAGTTTTATGAAGTTAAGACACTGTGTTTTACAAAAATCTCTAAAAACCAATGGAGATTGTTATATAGGTCAGCAAACTGATTTCCAGAAAACTAAAAGTAAGTGTTATATTGTCCACATTATATTTTTAGCACCCAACATGATCTAAAGATATAGGAATGACAGAAAATAAACATGCTAACCATTGGTAAGTGGTACCATTGATTTACTCATCCACTTTTTATTTATTCATATTCATTATAAATTAACATCTACTACGGCCCACACAAATTTCTGATAATACAGTGATTTTTTTCAAAGTTTACAATCTCACTGGGAGACATGCAAATGGTTCCAACATGTTGTGTTTTATGCCATGGTAGCAACAAGTACAAATTATATGAGATGAACAAAGTCATTTTTCTCTACTGACTTATAATTAATGTTTATTTTTCAGCTCTGTTAGAGACATGGAATTATACTTGTTTATAAGCAGGAAGCATATAAATTATTATTATATGGAAAAATGGCAGCTATAGGAAATTTAATTCTCAGTTTGACTCTGGAAATAATTTGCTGTTTTCCTATCTCAATGGAAATAGCTTCTGGTAACATAATTTGACCAATAACCAATGATTGCACACTGAGGTACTGACAACTTGGTCATTGACTTCAATGTTTCTCTGGAGTTGGTAAAGTACCAAGAGTGAACAAAAATCTTAAATATAGCAATGTAGAAGAGTAGAATGAGCAGTCAACATCATGTCAGGGGACTTGAATACCAGTTCCAGCTTCATCACTAATTTACCAACCAATAGCTTACCACCAAATAATAACCCTCCATGGGACAACCTTTCTTTATCTCATTAATGAGTTGGAAAAATAATTTCCAAGCGAACTCACAGCCCATATTTTGTTCTAAAATGTGTTTAAAGGGAAACCAGTGCAATTAACGCAAAGGTATTTTCATTAGTTTCACCCAGACCTTTCAAAGAAAAGCAAACATTCTAACCCCAGTCTTTTGAAAACTCTAGCCAATGCTGTCCAAAAACCTCTTCTGTGATAATGAAAATGTTCTGTATCCACACTGTTTTAAATATGGTAGCATCTAGCCACATTTGGCTATTGAACATTTGAAATGAGGCTGGTGCAATAGAGGAAATAATTTTAAGACATTATTATTATTTAATTTTAATTAACTTAGAGGTAAATAGTTATATAAGGCTAGTGACTAGTTAATTAGGCAGCACAGCTAAAGTCACTGTGTATAATTAGTATAAAATATATCTGATAACAATGTAAGTTTAAAAAGAAGGGACAATGTTTATTGGATCTGCTTTCAACTGTTCCGTTCTGTATTTACATTTTAATGAAGCACTATCATTTGTAGAAATAAACTATTAATGAAAACTTGAATGCTAGTAAAAGAAAAGCACTGAGAGTACATTGTATATAGTGAAAATTATCACTCACAAATGCTATGCTTTTGCCATATGCTTTCAATGGCATTTATATAAATTGAAATGGATCATTTCTTTCATTAACCTTTCTAAGTGAGGTTTTCTGCTCATTTTCCTTGAACATGCAGGAATGTCATTATAACTTAAAGTAGGAAGATATGCTAAAGGGCATGAGATTAGTGCATGGGTAGTACACTTTCCATTTCACTATAGGAAATTATACGTCCTATTTCTCAGTTTTGATCTGCATAAATGTGAATTAAATGAAATAAACTTCGAATAAGTAAGTTAAAAATGACTCCATATTTCACAAATATAAAAATAATATAGAACAACATGGATGGAACTAGAGACCATTATGTGAAGTGAAATAAGGTAGGCACAAAAAGACAAACATCACATGTTCTCAACTATTTGTGGGATCAAATAATCAAAACAATTGAACTCATGGACATAGAGAATAGAAGGATGGTTGCCAGAGGCTGGGAAGGATAGTAGGGGTCTGGTGAGGGTGGTGAGGACAGTTAATGGATAAAAAAAATTGAAAGAATGAATAGGACTTACTATTTGAAGCATAATAGGGTGGCTATAGTCAATAATAACTTAATTGTAGATGTTAAAATAACATTAATAGTGCAATTGGATTGTTTGTAACTCTAAGGATAAACGCTTGAGGAGATGGATACCCCATTCCCCTTTACGTGCTTATTTCACCTTGTGTGCTTGTACCAAAACATCTCACCTACCCCATAAATATATGCACCTGCTATGCACCCACAAAACTTTTTTTTAATTAAGGAAAAATAAAATAAATTAATAATATGGATATTCTTCAATAGCTTTAAAAGAAATGGAAATAAAGTTTTATGGAGAGGCAATTATACACTTAATAAGTAATAAGACATGAAAAAAATACCTAATACTACTGCATTTGTGATTAAACTGGGTGTTGCCATTGTCTTTTTTGCAAAGGTATTGTATATGTTTTAATGCTGAGGTTTGTTCCTTGGCTTTAATCAAATAGAGGAGGATAAGAACCCTGTAAAGGAACATGTGCATTTACAGTATTACCTATAATGTTCATAAAATTAGAATAATTAACAAATCTAGTTGATTAGCTATTCTTATATAGTCAATAAAACATCATGATACAAAATACATAAAAATAAAAGATTCTTATGATATAATGACTATATATTTTTCATTCATTAACAAGAATACCTACCTTGTGCCTGGCATTTGAAAATATAGAGAAAAAGGATGACAGTTTCTGCCTTCAAGAATTTTACGGCTTAGGGAGCAGACAAAAAGGAGTTATTCAATAACAATCTATTGTGATATCTGCCAGGGTGAAGGGTATGCAAAGAGGGACCTGAATGGCTGCTGTGACAATCAGGAAGTTCGAGAAGACTCAGACAAGGCTGGCTCCCCCATGGCTGAATTCTGGTGCTAGAAAGGAGCTGGACAACTAAGCCAACCATTTCTAAAAGGCAGAGTGAGAACTCGTGCAGGCATCTTGAAATGATTTGGAAAAACAGCATTTTTGTCAATTAAGGGAGTTTACCAGATTTTGAATGTCAGACTTCTCAGAGAGCTGAATCTTCCTCATTCTTTGAGGAAGGAGCTAATGAGCCTCCTATAATAATGGGAAGTGATTCCCCATCAGGTATTCAGGATGGTCAAACTTGAGGATCAGGGATTAGTCAAAGTAGAGTGAATATTACCGATGTCCCAACCTAGCTCTGACCCATCTCAATTTCCTCCTAGACTGAGGAAGCTTAGGTTGATTCAGGTGCTCTATCTGTCACCTTCTCTGCATCAAATTTAAAAAAGGGAGAACCTTCTCTATTATAAGATATCATCAAAGTATCTGTTTTATTTACACATGATGTTCAGCATTCAATAAAAGTTTACCAGATATAGAAGGTTGAAAGAAAATATGACCAATAGTCAAAATGAAAGACAGATAACAAATGCAGTCCACAACTGGTCCAGATATTGGCATTAGCAGACAAGGACTTCTAAGTGACTACAATTAATATAGAAAAGAAAATTGAGGAAAAGTAGAACAACATAAAAGAAAGGGTGATATGTTTCAATAAAAATTTGAAATTTATAAAAATGAATTATATGAACATTTCAAAAATCAAAATATGTTATTAAATATTCAGAAATCAATACATATATGGTTTTAAACACAGGCTGGACACAAAAGAAGAAAAGATTGGTGAATTCAGTCAGGTCAATATCTAAACTGAGAAAACAGAAAAAATATTGCGAACAACAGGCAAGCAGATTGCCAAATCATGAATGAACTCCCATTCACAATTGCTACAAAAAGAATGAAATACTTAGGAATACAGCTAACATGGAAAATGAAGGACCTCTTTAAGGAAAACTGCAAAGCACTGCTCAAGAAAATCAGACAGGACACAAACAAATGAAAAAACATTCCATGGTCAGCAATAGGAAGGATCAATATCATGAAAATGGCCATACTGCTCAAACTAATTTATAGATTCAATGCCATTCCCATTAAACTATCATTGACATTCTTCACAGAATTAGAAAAAAAACTATTTTAAAAGTCACATGGAAACAAATAAAAGCCCGAATAGCCAAGGCAATCTGATGCAAAAAGAACAAAGCTGAAAGCATCATTCTACCTGACTTCAATCTATACTACAAGTCTACAGTAAATAAAACAGCATGCTACTGGTACAAGAACAAACAGAACCGTAGACCAATGGAACAGAATAGAGAACTCAGAAATAAGACCACAAACCTACAACCATCTGATCTTCGACAAACCTGACAAAAACAAGCAATGGGGAAAGGATTTCCTATTTAATAAATGATTCTGGGAAAACTGGCTAGCCATATGCAAAAAAATTGAAACTGCACCCCTTCCTTTCACCACATACAAAAATTAACTCAAGATGGATTAAAGACTTAAACCTAAAACCCCAAACTATAAAAACCATAGAAGGAAATCTAGGAAATACCATTCAGGACATAAGGCATAGGCAAAGGTTTAATGACAAAAAAAGCAAAAAGCAATTGCAACAAAAGCAAGATTTGACAAATGGGATCTAATTAAACTAAAGATCTTCTGCACAGCAAAAGAAACTATCATCAGAGTGAACAGACAACCTAGAGAATGGGAGAAAATTTTTGCAATCTATTCATTTGACAAAAGTCTAATAGCCGGAATCTAGTAAACAAGGAACTTATAAATAAGAAAAAACACCAAACAACTCCATTAAAATGAGGACAAAGACATGAACAGACACTTCTCAAAAGAAGACATGCATGCGGCCAACAAACATATGAAAAAAAGCTCTACATCACTGATTATTAGATAAATACAAATCAAAACGACGATAAGATATTATCTCATGCCAGCCAAAGTGGCTATTATTAAAAAAAAAAAAAAACAGATGCTGGCAAGGTTGTGGAGAAAAAAGAAAGCTTTTACCCTGTTGGTGGGAGTGGAAATTAGTTCAACCATTGTGGAAGACAGTGTGGCGATTCCTCAAAGACCTAGAGGCAGAAATACCATTTGATCCAGTAATCCCATTACCGGGTATGTACCCAAAGGAACAGAAATCATTCTATTATAACAATACATGCACATGTATGTTTACTACAGCACTATTCACAATAGCAAAGACATGGAATCAACCTAAAGGCCCATTAGTGATAGACTGGATAAAGAAAATGTGCTACATATACACCATGGAATACTATGCAGCCATAAAAAGGGGTGAGACCATATCCTTTGCAGGGACATGGATGGAGTTGGAAGCCATTATCTTTAGCAAACTAATGCAGGAACCGAAAGCCAAACACTGGATATTCTCACTTATAAGTTGGAGCTGAACACGTGGATGATAATGAGAACACATGGACACATGGAGGGGAACAACACACACTGGGGCCTTGGAGGGTTGGGGGTGGGGGGAGGGAGAGCATCAGGAAGAATTGCTAATGGATGCTGGGCTTAATACCTGGGTGATGGGATGATCTGTGCGGCATACCACCACGGCACATGTTTACCTATGTCACAAACCTGCACATCCTGCATATGTACCTCCGAACTTAGAAGTTGAAGAAAAAAAATTTGTGAGTAGACTGGACAGGTGAGCTTTTATTTTTCCCTATCTTATGGAATAATAAAAATCATGCTAAGGAAAAAAGGAGGGGTAAAAGAATTGAAGATTGCAGATTAAATTAAATTAAAGCAAATTCATTAAGGCCACAAACCTTTCCTATAGAAAAGAGAATGCGTCTTATACCCTGTCCTCATACAGATAGAATAACTATGGTATAGAATATCTTACTAAATTATAAGAGAGCTAGTACAAAGTATTTTATTGAATAAGGTTAGGACCCTGGGACAGCTGAGATGGCCTTCTCAATATGTCTTGGACCCAGAAAGCAGAAGCATGTATTGGAATACTTAAACTTCATACTGGAGCTTAGAAGAGAAAATATTTCAGAGACCATGGAAAAGGAATTAAGAAGTCACCTGCAATAATAAATCATGTAAAAGGACTGAGCAAAGCTTTGCATATTAAGTGCAAATATTTTAAACTCATCATGTAAAGTAGATAAATGTACTAAATATACTACATACAATAAAGCTTTTTGAAAAAGAAAGGAAAAAAAAGAAAAGCAAAAAAATTTAAAAGACAAAAAAATAAGAAAGAAAATAAGCAAGCCAACACAGAAAAAAGTTAGTATGGATGCAAAAGTAGTAAGAATAGGAACAGAAGAAAATACTCCATCTTTTTGTCAGAGGGATATGCAGTAAAAAAGTGGAGTACCCTTCCAAAATTTAATCTCAAGAAAGAAATAAAAGAACAAGAGATTGGGAAGAACAGAGAAAATTGAGGAAATAGTAATCATTGGAAATGAAAAAAAAAGTTTATAAACAAGTAATAGAATGAACACAACCAAAAAAAGTCAAACAACTGACATAGAAGAGAAAATTACAAAAATCAAATTGAAGGCAAAAAAGTCCACAAAAGAACTGGAAACAAGAAAATAATAAATATGAAATTCTGTCATCTAAGAATGATTCAGTATAATGTCAATTGGTAAACTGAAAGGGAGAAGCACAAAATATAGAATGAAAAAAATGTATTCACAGATACAATACTGGGAACAGCTAAAGCCTAAGAAAATCCAAAAAAATCCTGAAGAAAAACAAAACAGAGATATGTGCTATTATGACTATTGAGAATTATTAAAAATATACCAGAGTGAAGAGTGTCACATTGTAATAATTTAATAATCCATTTGTCATGAAGATAGACAATAAAAGAGTTCAAATATATATACTATATAATATATTATATAATATTTAATATATTAGTATATATAATATATAATATTTAATATATTAGTATATATAATATATTATATAATATTTAACATATTAGTATATATAATATATAATATTTAATATATTGGTATATGTAATATATTATATAATATTTAATATATTACTATATGTAAAATATCATATAATAATATATTGGTATACGTAATATATCATATATTTAATATATTGGTATACATAATATATCATATAATATTTAATATATTGGTATACGTAATATATCATATAATATTTAATATATTGGTATACGTAATATATCATATAATATTTAATATATTGGTATACGTAATATATCATATAATATTTAATATACTGGTATACGTAATATATCGTATACATAATATATCATACAATATTTAATATATTGTATACGTAATATATCATACAATATTTAATATATTGGTATACGTAATATATCATACAATATTTAATATATTGGTATACGTAATATATCATACAGTATTTAATATATTGGTATACGTAATATATCATACAGTATTTAATATATTGGTATACGTAATATATCATACAGTATTTAATATATTGGTATACGTAATATATCATACAGTATTTAATATATTGGTATACGTAATATATCATACAGTATTTAATATATTGGTATACGTAATATATCATACAGTATTTAATATATTGGTATACGTAATATATCATACAGTATTTAATATATTGGTATACGTAATATATCATACAGTATTTAATATATTGGTATACGTAATATATCATACAGTATTTAATATATTGGTATACGTAATATATCATACAGTATTTAATATATTGGTATACGTAATATATCATACAGTATTTAATATATTGGTATACGTAATATATCATACAGTATTTAATATATTGGTATACGTAATATATCATACAGTATTTAATATATTGGTATACGTAATATATCATACAATATTTAATATATGTAATACATTGTATAATATATTATATATACAATATATAATACAATATATTATATATACAATATATAATACAATATATTATATATACAATATATAATACAATATATTATATATACAATATATAATACAATATATTATATATACAATATATAATACAATATATTATATATTGTATTACATATATACATATATATGTATACATATATATACATATAATTACAATATATATTGTATATATTGTATATATAATATTGTATATATATAATATATTATATATACTATATAAATAGATAATATATATTTATATATTGTATTATATTTATATATTGTATTATATTTATATATTATATATTAACATATAATTAATTAATTAGTATTTATATAATATATAACTAATGTATATATAATATAATTAATGTGTAAATATATGATATATATTAATATATATTTATATCATATTTATATATCATATTAATATGGCACACTAATATATATTAATATATCATATATTTATAATATTTACATTTATATGTTATATTTATATTTATAACATATTTATAAAATATTTATAATATATAAATTTAGACTATTGGCAAACTGTATGTAAAAATTTTAAAACTTGCCCTCTACCTCAACCTAGAGACAAAAAAAATTAATTCAAAAAAACAATTAAACAATTCAAGGGAATTATACATGTGAAGATAAAGCTAAAAAATAAAACTTTCTAGAAGAGAATAGAAGGGAACATCTGCATGTCCCATTTACACATAAATTTTTAAATGAACATTTAAAAAATGGTAACCATAAAATCACTTCTAAATATAACAACATTAAAATTAAGAATCCCTTTTTATTTTAAGACTCCAAAACGAAGTGGCAAGGCAAACTATAACAAAGAAATGGTGCAGAGAGCTTCAGCCGTAGTCATGAGAGACAATATTTACTCCATTGGCAAATATAATTACATAAATATCTTATTTGTTACACATAAAACAGAGAGGTGGTTCATATCTAGAATCCTCCTACAAGTAAGTTTGAAAAGGATAGGCAACCCTATAGGAAAACGGAGAAGAGACTCGATTAGGAACTTCAATAAGAGAAAAACTAAATGGCTAAAAAGAAAAAAAAAGATGAAAGATTCTCGAACTAACTAATAACCAGGGAAATGCTTTTAGAATTGCAATGGGATACCACTACACACGTGTCAGGACAGAAGGACAGATAAAATCAAATCTTTCAATATCAAGTGTTTGGGAGGAGATGGAGCCTTGGGAACACGCATGCATTGCTGGGAGTATAAATGGATACAAGCGCTTTAGAAAACTGTCGTTGTCTAGTAAAGTTGAAAAAAACATATTACTCATGACTCAGACACTCTATCCTTAAGTATATGCCCTACAAGCAGACATGCACATGTACAATAGGAAACATATATAGCAATGTTTATAGTAGGTTTTATCAGAATATTACCAAACTGGAAATTCATATTCTTCAAGAGGATAGTTGAACTGGGATATCCATTAAATGAAATATCAGTACAGCTATTAAAATGAATATATTTTTTTTTGAGACAGAGTTTCACTCTGTTGCCCAGGCTGTAGTGCAGTGGTGCAATCAACAATCACTGCATGTCAACTTCCCAGGGATTACGCGATCCCCCACCTCAGCTTCCCAAAAAGCTGGGACCACAGGTGCGTGCCATCACCCCCAGCTAATTTTTGTATTTTTCGTAGAGACAGGGTGTCATCATGTTGCCCAGACTGGTCTCAAACCCCTAGCCTCAAGTGATCTGCCCACCTCAGCTTCCCAAAGTGCTGGGATTACAGGCATGAGCCACCACGCCCAGCCCTGAAAATGAGTAAATCTTAATGTAATATTGGATGACATTAGCATAAAGGCCAAAAGGTATTAAAACTAAGTAATGTTCAGAAATTATTATGGATATGGTAAAATTATAAAGGAAAGCAAAGTGTATGATTACAGTTGTTCCTCAGCTTATGCTGGGGTGATATCCCAATAAACTCATTGGAAATTGAATATATATTTAATACCCCAAAAATCCATTGTAAAGTAAAGAAAAATTATTAAGTTGAGTCATCATAAATCTAAATGCTCCTCAACTTAATAACGATGGAGTTACATCCTGCTAAACCCATTATAAAGCTGGAAAATTGTTAAGCCAATCATAATAATTATCTTCAAAATTATAATTGTGTTTTACTTTAAAAGGAAGGACTTTTGATTAAAAGGATCATACTTGTTTGTTCTATAATTTTGCCAGTTTACTATTTCTTAACTTGGATAATTGGAAGGCCTCCCAGGACTCCACATTGTGAACATAAGTAAGCTTTTACTGGAGGTAAAGGATATGGCACAACACGAAAATGAAGCATGCGCAATCAAGTTTCTGCTCTTTCAAGCACAGCTCTATAGAGTCCTTTCTTAGTAGCACAATATGCATTTTGTCTTTGAAACATCAACCACCAAAATATGTGTAAGAAATCATGATTTCAGGTGAGGCTGGGCAAAACTTTACAGCTGGGTCTTTTATGCTCTGCTGGTCATATGGCAAATCTAAGCTACATAACTCGTTGCCAGGCTCAACCATGGATCTATACATTAAACAAGTGTACAAGCTACAGCCAGATTCCAGGTGCTGGTGAGTGGATGGTGGGGGGTGGTTCTGACTTAAAATGACACATCTCCATCTAGCTCATTTCCTTCTTATCACAGCCACAGGTCAATACCAGACTTCCAGATGACCAGCTAGCTATAAGGCAGTCTTTCCTTATGCAAGTGGAGATTCTGAATGTGTACTTAGGCTGTACATGTATATTATACACCATTTTTAAGACAAATAGCCTATCTTTTAGAATAATTTTAGCATTACAGGAAATGTAGCAGAAAGTACAGAGTTTCTATATATCCCTTCTCCTCACTCCTCACCCACCACAGATTCCTCTACTATTAACTTCTTGTATTAGAGTCATAGATTCATTACCACTGATGAATCAATATTGATACATTATTATTAAAGTCCATAATTTACATTAGGATACATTCTTTGTGCTGTAGAGTTCTACGAATTTTGACAAATGCATAATGTCATATAGTCACCATGATAGTATCACACAGAATAGCTTCACTGACCTAGAAATCCCCTCTGCACCATCTACTCAACACTCCCTCTCTATTCTGAACCCTTGGCTACCACTGGTCTTTCTGCTGTCTCCATAGCTTTGCCTTTTCCAGAATGTCATATAGTTGGAATCAAATAGTATATATAGTTGATCTCCATCCATGAATTCAAACAAATATGGATCAAAATATTTTTAAAATAAAATTTTAACATAATACAATTAAAAACAGTACAAATTTTAAAAATACAGTATGACAACTATTTTCATAGCATTTACATTGTATTAGGTATTATAAGTAATCTAGAGATTATTTAAATTATATGGAAGGATGTGCATGGGTTATATGCAAAACTATGCCATTTTATATAAGGGACTTGAGAATCCACTAATTTGGGTAACTGGGGGTCCTGGATGCAATCTCCCATGGATATCAAGAGATGACTGCATTGACTTTTCAGATTGGCTTCTTTTATTGAGGAATACGTATTTAATGCCCCCCACGTCCTTTCATGTCTTCATAGACAATTTCTTTTCATCACTGAACTGAATAATATTCTAATATATGAATGTAGTATAGGGTTTTCAATCCATTCACTTTCTAAAGGTACTCTTGGATGCTTCCAGTTTTGTTAATTATGAAGTAAGCTACTATACATATTCTCGTGCAGGTTTTTCTGTGCAGATAATTTTTAAACTCATTTCTATAAATATCTATCAGTGTGTTTGCTGGATTGCATAGTGAGACTATATCAGATGCCAGCAAGGATGTGTGGCAATAAAAACTCTCATGCAGGCCAGGCGCGGTGGCTCACGCCTATAATCCCAGCACTTTGGGAGGCCAAGGCAGGTGGATCACCTGAGGTCAGGAGTTCAAGAGCAACCTGGCCAACATGGCGATTTCTCCTATATGTATTTACCTACGATACAGTTGAATTTACAAATTAGTCATAATCAAAGATTAATAACAATAACAAAAAATAAAATAGAACAATTATAACTATATATTATAACTATAGTTCTCCAATAATAAACATCCGGGATCCTTGGAGACATGGCTGACTATAGGGCTTGGATAGGGAACACATAAAGTGAGCCTGGAATGTAGTGTACATTCCTTAAGAAAGTTAAGAAGTGATTTAATAAATAAATAATGGATGCTTGCCAAAAGAAGATAGGATGAAACCTGTAGAACTTCCAGTGGTCAAAGTTGGTACAACTTGAGCAACAAAATAAATCAGGATCACTCTAATAACAACGCTAGATGAACATATGACAAGAAAACTACACATCATACTCCTAATAAGCATGGCCATAAAAATGCTTAATAAATATTTGTAAACAAGTCCTGAATGTACACAAAGGTTTATATACCATGATTAGGCGGGTATTATCACAAGAATGCAAAGTTGTTTAAAAATCTGAAAATCAGTTAATGTATTGTATAATATTAATAGAATATAGGACAAAAACAACATAATCATCTCAATAGATGAAACAAAGTAAGCAAAAAAAGCCAACAGTATATTACATCATATCTTTATTGCCTTATTTGTAATGATTCTATTGTTTCATGATTAAACATTTTACTGGTATTTTGTTTCATATATATCATAACAAGGTAGAGAACATATGGATTAATAATATGGAGATTCAAAAAATTTCTACTTGTTGTATTGATGGAGGAACTTATATTTGCAAGTGAATCTCTGCCTGACTAGATTTTTTTTAAGCTCCAGGGACAGAGGAGGATTAATATATAACATTTTCAGTTTCTTCCTTCTTTAATGATAGGTTTACAATTTCTAGCTCTTTGTATATTAGTTTTATTTACATAGTTTTCTTAAAATAACCTGGTTTATTCTTATTCTCAAGATTTATTACCATATAATTTGGCAAATTCATGTCATAAATCTGTACAGATACCTTTCTCTGTTGTTGCTTTTTCCTTTATTACTTTGGATCATAGCTAAGTTGGCTCTATTATCTCATAAGTTGTAGGTATTAATGTTCTAGGTTTATGCTGTCTTTTATATAGATATTCTGTAAAGGAACTATTTCATATACTGGAAAAGAATTTTACAAATGGGCTACTATTGATGGGATTGTTTAAATAAATTTGTTGGCCTTTAAATGGTCTTAGGAGACCATTTAAAACCACTGTTTAAGAAAGTGTTTTCTCTGGGTTCTAAAGAGTAGATTTATAAATAAAAATTAAATACACAATTTTACCATGTTTGATGCTTCTTAAACAAATAATAAAGAAAAATAAAGAAACATTTCATGTTCTACAACATTAATAGGTGGCATTTACTGATTTTTATGTTCTGGATTTTTCTATTTGGACTTCTCCCTCTTGTTTGCCATACTGCTCAAGAATTTGATGCTCTTTTCTCAGTTCCAGTTGACCAGAAGGAGGAGATAGGTGTATCACTGAATAGCTCTAGTGAATACCAGAATAAGCATTATCAAATAAAGTTCAGTGAATTAGCATTTACCCTCTCTTTGCTAACTCTCAGTGTACAATTTTCAGCTGATGGGTGTCTTAAAATTATTATAAATTTCTCTCATTTTACACATTAATGTATAGAGTCACTTTGTGACAAGTCCAAAAATGTACAGACTGGTCTGGGGCTAAATCACAGCTCTTTTGATACTCAGGCTGGTGGCCTACATTATGTAGCAGATCTAGAAAGTGGGAAAGACAGTGCAATGATCATCTAAGTAGCGGGACTTCCACAAAAGAAGGAGGTCTCATGCTCAAATCTGTTTAGTTGACAACAAATAGAAAAGGTCTTTTTCAAGATAGTTGCTTAGAATTTCTAGTCTTTAAGAAATCAATTTGCTCATGGAAAGTCTGCACAAGAGAGGATCAAATATAAAATAATTGATGTAAAGTATGAGGGAAAATATTTCTGAGAGAATTACCTTTTCAAAGTAGCATTCTTAGAAGATAAATAATTTTCAGCAACACATTTATGGAAAGCAAATCAGATTTTGCTTTTTAGGCATTTTGGTGTTGTTTATATTTCCCAAAGATACCACTTAACAAGTAAATTCATATTATCCTAAGTGCCAGAGAATAATTTAATTACATGTAGCACTTTATTGCTCTTGAGGAATGAGTTATTCATACAACTATAAATTGACAGCGAGGATTTGACTAGTCATCAACATTTTTATCCAGTTTTCCTAAATCTTCTGTCACTTGCTTTATAATCTTGGATCAATCTGTTTACTTCCATAAGTTTCAATATCCACATTTGTTAAAGTGGTGGAATCACACAAGCTCTAAAGTTTCTTCTAATTCTAAAATTCTGAGGCCACAATTCTTGCTATACTTCATAACAATCACAAACCAAATAAATATCAAGCTATTAAAAAACTCATTAACCCCTTCTCCATGAGGAGAGGGTCCAAGTCTCTCTTTTTACTGTTGTATTCCTCACACTGAAATAAGTGCTTGATACATAATAGATGCTTGCTCAATGTTTGTTAAGTGAATTAATTAATAAACAAAATAACAGGAACACTGTCATACCTCAATTAATTGAAGAGAGTGGGAAAAGAACTAAATTCCTTCATCTTAAAGCTGGATAGACTAGAGTTGAGCAATTATGATGAACATGTACTTAGTCAAGATTAACAAACATTAACATTATTAGAACATAATCCAATGCTGGTAATACATGTATTCCAGAGAGTTGAGATTTTTAATTAATCTGAGTGACATGTATTTGGAATGATCTGCATGATGTGACAATGAACAGGCCACTTCTTTTATATTAAAAGAACCTCAGAGCTAGAGATCATGTTATTGAGCATGCCTTATTTGACCAGAGAGGAAATTGAAGCAGTAACATTTTTAGATGTACAAGTTATTTAATGATAACTCCTTCTTTAGCACACAGGGTAAATTTTCATGATGCTAAATTTGTTGACAGAGGATCATGCTTGTATTCAAGTCAGAATTAATGTGATCATGTTATGGAAGACATATCCTTGTGTCCCATGATAATTTATTTTCAATCTCTCTGTAAATTTAGGTCACTCTATTGACCACCAGCCAACTCTAAAATATTCTCAAATGCTTAAATGTGACCTCCATTCCAGTAAGAGTAAATTCTGTTAGTATTATTTGCTTAGAACACAGCAACCTAATGTATAAAACAATGCTAGCTATATGATACAGTCATCAAAATGACTATTTTAGCAACCAACAATAGTCTATATTTCAACTCCACATATACTAACAAGTAAAGGGAAAAAATGCTACACATTGCTAGAATCATTTATAGAGAATATTCATATTTCCCAATTGGAGGTACAGAGGCTGAAGTTAGTTCTTGTTCTCAGGCCAATTCTCTATTATTAATATTTTTAATTCCATTTTAAAACAAGCAACACACTAAGATGGTATATATAAAAGCAACAAGCTAGCTGTCTGACCCCTGTGGCACATCTAAATGTGCCCATGACTTAATGAAACACAAGTTGAAATGCTCTGTCCTAGGCTTGTCAATAGACAGGAGAGATATCAATCAATTTACGTATACAGGGAAGGATTCATATATTAATTTATTATACAAGAATATATTGAAGTTTTGTTATGTGCAACACACTGTATTTAAACTGAGTTTAAAAAGACACAAATAAATTGAAAATGTCTGTCCTTATGGAGTTTACACTTGAGCTCATTTGTTCTTTTGTTGTTCATTTTTATTGAAGGACCAAACACCTTTAATTTACTCAATGCTAATTTTAAAATACGCTCAAAATTCTGAGCTCATATGCATGTTTATCTTGGTTGCTGATTGTGTTTTGTAGAGTCATCATTACTGGTCATTATGATGAATCAGTTCACACTAAGTAATTATCAGAATAAATTTAAAAACTCTTAAACTGTATGTATTTGTGGTTTATGTTCCCTTGCTTTTTTCTGGAGAAAGAAACTTAACCCTCCAAACAGTTAATGTCCCTGCTGTAGATCTACAAACATTTTAATGTAATAGGTCTAAGGTCAGCGAAACGCAATTTTTTTGAGTGCCTATAAGTAGACTGATTTAAGCTCTACACTAATATTATTTCTTTTGTGGTAAATCACCATTGGATATTAGATAATTCATGAAAGACAAAAATAAAGATTCTTACTTAAGTGTCTATTCTCAGATTGCAATTTGTAATAGCGAATAAATATGCCTAATGTGTCTATAATTGACTTGTTTTTAAAAGTATAATGTATTTTTAAACATCTTCATCAATATATAATTCACACACCATAAATTTCACCAACTTAAAGTGTACAATTCAAATATGTTTAGTATATTCACATAATTACGTAATGATTACCATAGTCTAATTAGCAGACACTGCCTGTTTCCTGTCCCTAGCCCTAGTAACCACTAATCTATTTTCTGTCTCTATAGAGTTGCCTATTCTGAGCAATTCATATAAACGGAATGATATAATGTGGTCTCTTGCAGCTGACTTCTTTCACTGAGTATAATCTTTTCAAGGTAATTCATGTTGTACTATTCATCAATGATTCATTCTTGTTTTCCTGTTGAGTAGTATTCCATTGTATGGATATACCAGTTTTATTTATTTATTCATTGTTAATGGACATTTGAGCTGTTTCTAGTTTTTGGCTATTATGAGTTATAATACTGTTATAAACGTTAATGTACAAATTTCGTGTAATGTATGTTTTCATTTCTTTTGGGAATGGTCAACCTAAAAGTGGAATTGCTGGTTTATATGGTGACTCTAGGTTTAACACTTTAAAGAACTGCCAAACTGCTATCCAAAGTGGCTGCATGAATTTACACTCTCACCAGCAAATTGTGAAGGTTCCAATTTCTCCACATTCTTACCAACAGTTGTTATTATCTACAGCAATTTTAATGGTGTAAAGCGGTATCTCATTGTGGTTTTGAGTTGTATTCATTTAATGCTTTTTTGCTTTTTCATATTTCGTGAATAAGACTCCGCCTAAACATAGTAATTGAAGTAAATCCAATCCCAGCTTCCAATTCAGTCAAGTCAATGCTGAACTTAAAACAGAATATGAATCCTGAAAACTTAATATTTACAATATGTGCTATCCTTTATCCTGCTGCAAACGTAATTATTGCACATAAGAATTCTCTAGTGCAAATTGTTTGATTCTAACAATAGGTCATGCCTAGGAGATTTTTTTTGCCCTTTTCTTCATATTGTGAATTTCAAATTATGTTATTAAACAAAAATATTAACATACTATTTATAAAATTGTTGATTTGTGTTCTTTTCTGGATTACCTTGTGCTGATGGTTTCACAGGAATAACTTCTTTATAATATTTTCACTGCTTTCAATGAGCATTGCTTCAGATGTCTTTACAATTTACAGATGGCTTTACAAATACAGCTTAACTTTGGAACCTGCTGAATGTGTTTACTGCCCTAGATTCTAAACACCTGTATCTTGAAAGAAGCTGCTGTGCAAGGCACAACCTACTGAGTCATTTTCAAAACACTGAGTACAGGGAGCAGGTGTTCAGTTGTCAGTAATGGAATAAAACAAAGTTACAAACTGGGTTAGTTAGTAATATGAGGTGCACAAACTATATTTCCAGACTTGTAGATAAATTTCTCTATTTAATTTTCAAAATTATTAAAATACTCTACTCTTTAAAGATGAACTTCACCTGAATATAATAGATGTCTCACTGCATATCTGTTAATCTCAACGTATTTCTGATGCATTAAACCATGACAGGTTACCCATTCTCTCTTTATCTTTGAGATAACTAAGATTCCATAAACACTTATTCCAAGAGAAGATTCAATGTGGTCACTTCATAAATCATCACCTTCAAAGACTAGCACAACTGGTCAAAAGAATTTGTAAAGGTGCTATGTTTGACATCACTTTAAGCACAAGAAAAGAAAAGAGAAAGAAGAAAGAAAGAAAGCATAAAGCTCTGAGTAAGCATAAAGTTCATAAAATTTATGCAATCCAACATGAATGTCATTTTCCATAATAGCTAACGTTTACTATTTCTGTAAAATAAGCATTTTGTAGATGCGTTTCATGTATAATTTTTTAATCATTAAAACAATCATAAAATAGTACTCTTAGGATCTGCACATTTTGCAGACAAAGAATCTTCATGAAAGGATTGAAAGATTCAGACGTCAAACAAGGGAGGGGGAGAGCCAGGGCCCAAGCCCAGGCAACCAGTTGCCAGAGTCCATTCTTCTGAACAGCATACAATCGTGCCTCTGCATAAAACTGAAATGTTGATCCTACATGTTCCATTTAAAACAAGCAACTAAATTTAAATACCTTCTCACTCTTTGAAAATCCCAATGAAAATATAGGAAGATGAACAAAAAGGAAAAAAAAAATCTGCACTAATACTGGGAACAAAAGGTCTAAAAAGCAGAGATATTTTTATGAGTATCTGGAAAACAAAAATATATAGAATTGCATCGACTGTGAAAGTAAATAAGGAAATCAATTATCAATCAAATGGAAGGACAAAATAGAAATATTTTTGCAAAATACAAGAACTAAGAAACTGTAGTGCCATGTACCCTCTTTAAAAATATACTTGAAGATATACTTCAGAAAAAAGTGAAAAATGATTCAGAATAAAAACTACTGAGCTTTTCAATATGTATTTTGTGAAAAAAAAGTTTGGGAAACAGTGAAAAGAACTTGATCAGGAAGTTCTAACATTAATATCTGCAACTCCTTAAAATTATAAAGCATTTTCTAATGTATGGATCAATTATCTGCCTCTATTTATTTCTAGGGATTAATAGCAAGAATCTATAAGAATTCTGCAATTGAAGAATAAGTATCATGATCATTGAATTAAAAGTTCCTCATATTTTATGTAGGTTTGGACTCAGCTATAGAGGTAAAAGGGAAAGCATCCAGTGGGCAAAAGAGGGTGGTGTTTTCTTACTGTGATTCTTTTTCTTTCTTTTCTTTTTTTTTTTTTTGAGACAGGTTGTCACTGTGTCACCCAGGCTGGAATGCAGTGGCAAATCTCAGCTCACTGAAGCCTCCGCCTCCCAGGTTCAGCAATTCTCCTGCCTCATCCTCCTGAGTAGCTGGGACTACAGGCACGCACCACCATGCCTGGCTAATTTTTGTATTTTTAGTAGACAGGCTTTCACCATGTTGGCCAGGCTGATCTCGAACTCCTGACCTCAAGTGGTTCATTCTCCTCGGCCTCCCAAAGCGCAGGATTACAGGCGTGAGCCACCGCACCTGGCATGTGATTCTTATATACAGGCATAAACACCCTGCTGCTAGCTTAAATAGGCATGCATAGAGTACAATGTTCTGCCAATGACAGATTGACCTTGACAAGTCTCTGAGACTTCCTAGGCCTTATTTCCATTTTGAATGGAGACACGGGTCTTTTTATTGACTGAGTAATTTGATAGACCAGGCTGATTCCTCTTGGTCCCATTTAAGGAATCAAATACCTACCTAGAGGGTTTGACTAACCACTGGCAGTGGGGAGTGTCGTTAGAACACCAAAAACTTTCTTTGTAACAGGGGTCATGAATCAAAAGCCTTTTAAATGTTTCAACTCACATTGGATGTACAGAAACAATATGATGGCATTTTTAAATTTACTCTTTATTATTAACCATAATATAAGCTCTAAATAAAGCCTTAAGAGTACAGATAAAATATAAATAAACTAAGCCAATAAATACAGAACTATCCTTGATAAATATATGCCAAGTTAATTTCAAAATCTGTTCATGTTTATTTAACAAAGTGTGGTGTTGTTTTATTAAGGGACAAGGACTTAGGTTAACAGTAAATTGATATAACTTTAATATATGCCAAAGGACCATAGACACACCAAGAGTACTGGAAAACAGAAGTTGCTTTATTTACATTCTAGAGAAATCAGAAGTACAAATTCATGGGCACTCAAAAAATATGCAAAAGCCCGACTAATGCTTTAAAATTATTAAATCTGATGTAATTGGGCTCATAACTTTTTGAGTTCAATGAATTGCAAATTTTTTCCAACTATGACTCATATAATATAATGCTGGTGACTCAGTCTCTTACTGTTCACTAACCTCAAATCACACCTGTGCATCTATTACTGAATTTAGAAGTGTTAGAACATTATGTACCCAAGAATGTAAAGGTTTCTGGCAAAGAACGCACTCCCCTTATTGAAGGTCACAGCAGGTACTGATGCAGTAAGAGATCACCACCAGTGGCCCTCTAAAATCCAACTCCATTATGCATCCCAGCTTGCTTTCAAGTGAATGAGCTTCCCTTATGACTATAAAATGAATCTGTATTGTTATCAGGGAATTCTAAAATCAGTCTTACAGACGAATTTTGCAGTTATCTTTGTGCATGAAAGCCAAGTATTTCCTGGAATGCAAACCCCAATCGCATTAGTTGGAACAATTGACCTTCAGAGTCTCCTTCATTTTGGCTCCTCATCAATTTAATATGGATCCATCTCCCTTTACCAAGTATTATCTCAGTCCTTGTGGACATTAGTGATGCTGTTAACAAAGCATCATTACATGAGGGAAATGGAGAATATTAGAAAAACTAATCATTGCCAACAGAAATAAAATTTTTAAAAAATGAATTTGAGTATCCTGTTACACTGTCTTTTAAAGAAGTCAAGATTCACACCTGTCTTCTAATTCATCAGAGGAAATGTGAGCAGGCACTGAGAGCCCAGTGTGGGTTTAAAGATGTGCTGCTTGGCAATTCCTCTGCTGTATGAATATTCTTGAAAAGATGGTATAGAAAACTTATTTTACACATACTTGTGAGAAAATCAAAGTTTTTTGAAAAACTAGAAGTTAAATAATTTTCATTAAAGCCATAACACCAGATTGCAAATATAAATCATAAAGATTCTAATTTCCAAAAATATAATGAAGCAAATTATCCAAAATTAATATGCAGCCTTTAGATAATAACTACAATTGTAATAGGTTTATTTTGCATGTCTTTAGAGTTATTTTGTTTATCTCACAAGGAATTTGAAGCTGCTTACAGCTCCTGATATGAATGGTAGCACCTCATTTATCTGGATGTTTCTTACCTGGATAATTGCACTTATTCAGGACAAAGTTGAGAACATAAAAATAAGCAAAAGCATCCATTAGGAGCCAAAATATACATCTCAAAGTTTATTAATTTGCTGATGAAATAACCTTTGAGGACATATGGAAAACAACGTGCTTTATTTTAGACACAGAATTCACAACTTTGACCCTGATGGAAGCAAACTGGCAACATAAATAAGTGTCAACTGAAACCTGAAATGAACAAGAAAAATAAATAATGTGAAAGACAACCCAAGAACTTGCAAATACAGGCTAATCTATAAAGCCAACATAAAGACCAATAAGATCTGAGGTTTTTACAGAGTACCTGAGACCACACATTATAATTATATCTGAACTCTGAGTCATCAAAAGAAGCATAAATTATGTTTGATATATACCGCTCAAGAAGACTGATTTTTTTTTCTCACTTTGGGAAAAAAATATCAGACACATAAATTCAAAAACTATTTTCCAGAGAATCAATTGTCTAGAAAATTCACATTCCAGAGAGATATGGAGTTACAGATTAAGTAGAATTAGGCACTTTATAATATCCATATGTATGTATGCATGTATGATCCTTATCCCTAAACTGTTAGCTCCTAAAATAATGTATTTTCTGCTAATTTTTAATTTCTCAAAGGCCTAAAACTGAAATAGAGAAAACAGAGAAAAAAGATATGATTAAAAGGCTTTTTGGTGACTTCTGGATTCAGTTTTAACATGCAAATAGCTTAGAAGTCATCACTCCTGTCATTGCAAGGGGAAAAAAAGGGCTGGAGAAAGTTGGAATCAATGACTTCTCTTGGACCCATCAGATTACTGCAATTGCAGAGCAAACTGCCATCTGGAAATCTGGAGAGACAGGTGAACCTAGTCCCTGCTGAGATATGCTTACCTGGAGCAAAAGCTGCTAGTGTCATAAACTTGTAAGAACAATTAAATGGTAACTTTGACAAACTGCTGGAAGATAAGTGAAAGAGCATAAGTGTAAAAAATTTCTGGCACAAGAACACGTTCTTAGGAGGACCCCACAATTTCATGACCTTTATACCTCCAGGAAGACCACCAGGTTCTCATGGTGAATGAAACTAAGGAGGATCCTTCTGGCAGATCATTGTCAAATACACCAAGATCCTTCTCCACAAGAAAATCCTACTCTCCAGAGGAAAAAAGGCTTTCCCAGAGTTTTATCCCACCTAGGAGAAGGACAGTCTTCCCAAACCAGCCTCCTCTAGTCTTTCTCTCTCACCTAAGGAAGAAAAACAGCCAATTAGTCAATAGGGTTCAGAGTTGAAGACTTATATTGTGAACACTTTAGCCAGAGAAGGGAGTACAGAGGGATGGGAGGGGAAATGTTATTCTTTTTTTTTTTTTTTGCAAAACAAATTTGTATCTTTATTTTTTATTTTTTTTTTAAGTTCTGCGATACATGTGCTGAATGTGCAGGTTTGTTACATAGATATACATGTGCCGTGGTGGTTCGCTGCATCTATCAACCCATCATCTAGGTTTTAAGCTCCGCATGCATTAGATATTTGTACTAATGCTCTCCCTCCGCTTTCCTCCCACCCCCTGACAGGCCCCAGTGTGTGATGTTCCCCTCCCTGTGTCCATGTGTTCTCATTGTTCAGCTCCCACTTATAAGAGAGAACATACAGTGTTTGGTTTTCTGTTCCTCTGTTAGTTTGCTAAGGATGATGGCTTCCAGCTTTATCCATGTCCTGCAAAGGACATGAACTCATTCTTTTTTATGTATGGCTGCATAGTATTTCATGGTATATATGTGCCACATTTTCTTTATGCAGTCTATCATGAATGCGCATTTGGGTTGGCTCCAAGTTTTGCTATTGTAAATAGTGCTGAAATAAACATATGTGTGCATGTGTCTTTACAGTAGAATGATTTATGTTTCTTTAGGTATATACCCAGTAATGGGATTGCTGGGTCAAATAGTATTTCTGGTTCCAGATCCTTGAGGATTGCCACACTGTCTTCCACAATGGTTGAACTAATTTACACTCCCACCAACAGTGTAAAAGTGTTCCTATTTCTCCACATCCTCTCCAGCATCTGTTGTTTCCTTGCATTTTAATGATTGCCATTCTAACTGGTGTGAGATGTTATCTCATTGTGGTTTTGATTTGCATTTCTCTAATGACCAGTGATGATGAGCATTTTTTCATACATTTGTTGGCTGCATAATAGTCTTCTTTTGAGAACTGTCTGTTCATATCCTTTGCCCACTTTTTGATGGGGTTGTTTTTTCTTGTAAATTTGTTTAATTTCCTTGTAAATTCTGGATATTAGACCTTTGTCAGATGGATACATTAAAAAATTTTCCCCCATTCTGTAGGTTGTCTGTTCATTCTGATGATAGTTTATTTTGCTGAGCAGAAGCTCTTTAGTTTAATTAGATCCCATTTGTCAATTTTGGCTTTTGTTGCCATTGCTTTTGGTGTTTTGGTCATGAAGTTTTTGCCCATGCCTATGTCCTGAATGGTATTGCCTAGATTTTCTTCTAGAGTGTCCATGGTTTTAGGTTTTACATTTAAGTCCTTAATCCATCTTGAGTTAATTTTTGTATAAAGTGTAATGAAGGGGTCCAGTTTCTGTTTTCTGCAAATGGCTAGCCAGTTTTCCCAGCATCATTTACTTAATAGGAGATCCTTTCCCCATTGCTTATTTTTGTCAGGTTTGTTGAAGATCAGATGGTTGTAGATGTGTGGTGTTATTTTTGAGGTCTCTGTTCTGCTCCATTGGTCTATATGTCTGTTTTGGTACCAGTACCATGCTGTTTTGGTTACTGTAGACTTGTAGTATAGTTTGAAGTCAGGTAGCATGATGCCTCCAGATTTGTTCTTTTTGCTTAGGATTGTCTTGGCTATATGGGATCTTCTTTGATTCCATATAAAATTTAAAATAGTTTTTTTCTAATTATGTGATGAATATTAATGGTAGTTTGATGGGAATAGCATTGAATCTATAAATTACTTTGGGCAGTATGGCCATTTTCACGATATTGATTCTTCCTATACAAGGGGATGGAATGTTTTTCCATTTGTTTGTGTCCTCTCTTATTTCCTTGAGCCGTGGTTGTAGTTCTCCTTGAAGAGGTCCTTCACATCCCGTGTAAGTTATATTCCTAGGTATTTTATTTTATTTGTAATAACTGTGAATGGGAGCTCACTCATGATTTCACTCTCTGCTTGGTGTATAGGAATGCTTGTGATTTTTGCACAATGATTTGTCTCCTGAGACTTTGCTGAAGTTGTTTATCAGTTTAAGGAGTTTTTTTTTGGGCTGAGATGATGGGGTTTTCTAAATGCACAATCATGTCCTCTACAAACAGAGACAGTTTGACTTCCTGTCTTTCTATTTGAATATCCTTTATTTCTTTCTCTTGCCTGATTGCCCTGGCCAGAACTTCCAATACTATGTTGAATAGGAGTGGTGAGAGAGGGCATCCTTGTGCCGGTTTTCAAAGGGAATGCTTCCAGCTTTTGCCCATTTAGTATGATATTGGCTATGGGTTTGTCATGAATAGCTCTTATTATTTTGAGAAATGTTCCATCAAAACCTAGTTTATTGAGTGTTTTTAGCATGAGGGGAGGTTGAATTCTATCGAAGGCCTTTTCTGCATCTATTGAGATAGTCACGTGGTTTTTGTCAATGGTTCTGTTTATGCAATGGATTACATTTATTGATTTGCATATGTTGAACCAGTCTTGCATCCCAGGGATGAAGCTGACTTGATCGTGTTGGATAAGCTTTTTGATGTGCTGCTGGATTCGGATTGCCAGTACTTTATTAAGGATTTTTGCATCGATGTTTATCAGGAATATTGGTGTAAAATTTTCTTTTATTGTTGTGTCTCCGTCAGGTTTTAGAATCAGGATGATGCTGGCCTCATAAGATGAGTTAGGGAGGATTCCCTCTTTTTCTACTGTTTGGAATAGTTTCAGAAGGAATGGCACCATCTCCTTTTTGTACCTCTGGTAGAATTTCACTGTGAATCCGCCTGGTCCTGTGCTATTTTTGGTTGACAGGCTATTAATTACTGCCTCAATTTCAGAACTTCTTATTGGTCTATTCAGGGATTCAGTTTCTTCCTGGTTTAGTCTCCGTAGGGTGTATGTGTCCAGGAATTTATCCATTTATTCTAGATTTTTTAGTTTCTTTGCCTAGAGGTGTTTATAGTATTCTCTGATGATAGTTTGTATCTCTGTGGGGTCAGTGGCGATATCCCCATTATCATTTTTTATTTTGTCTATTTGATTCTTCTCTGTCTTCTTCTTCATTAGTCTAGCTACTGGTCTATCTATTGTGTTAATCTTTTCAAAAAATCAGCTCCTGGATTCATTGATTTTTTGAAGGGTTCTTCATGTCTCTATCTCCTTCAGTTCTGCTCTGATCTTAATTATTTCTTGTCTTCTGCCTGCTTTTGAATTTGTTTGCTCTTGGTTCTCCAGTTCTTTTAATTGTGATGTTAGGTTGTTGATTTTAGATCTTCCCGCTTTTTGATATGGGCATTTAGTGCTCTATAAATTTCCCTCTAAACACTGCTTTAGCTGTGTCCCAGAGATTCTGGTACGTTGTCTCTTTGTTCTCATGGTTTCAAAGAACTACGTTATTTCTGCCTTAATTTAGTTATTTACTCAGTAGTGATTCAGGAGCAGGTTGTTCAGTTTCCATGTAGTTGTGCAGTTTTGAGTTAGTTTCTTAATCCTGAGTTCTAATTTGTCGTCTGAGAGACTGTTATAGTTTCTGTTCTTTTGCATTTTCTGAGGAGTGTTTTACTACCAGTCATGTGGTCGATTTTAGAATAAGTGCGATGTGGTGCTGAGAAGAATGTATATTCTGTTGATATGGGGTTGTGAGTTCTGCAGATTTCTATTAGGTATGCTTGGTCCAGAGCTGAGTTCAAGTCCTGAATATTCTTGTTAATTTTCTGTCTCATTGATCTGTCTAATATTGGGTGGGGTGTTAAAGTCTCCCACTTTTATTGTCTGGGAGTCTGTAAGTCTCTTTCTAGGTCTCTAAGAACCTGTCTTATGAATCTGGGTGCTCCAGTATTGGGTGCATATATATATATATATATTTAGAATAGTTAGCTCTTCTTGTTGCATTGATCCCTTTACCATTATGTAATGCCCTTCTTTGTCTTTTTTGATCATTGCTGGCTTAAAGTCTGTTTTATCAGAGACTAGGATTGCAAACCCTGCTTTTTTTTGCTTTACATTTTCTTGGTAAATATTCCTCCCTCCCTTTAACCTGAGCCTATGTGTGTCTCTGTATGTGAGATGGGTCTCCTGAATACAGCACTCCAATGGGTCTTGACCTTTTATCCAATTTGCCAGTCTGTCTTTTAATTGGGGCATTTAGCCCATTTACACTTAAAGTTAATATTGTATGTGTGAATTTGATCCTGTCATCATGATGCTAGCTGGTTATTTTGCACATTAGTTGATGCAGTTTCTTCAATGTGCCGTTGGTCTTCATATTTTGGTGTGTTTTTGAAGTGGCTGGTACTAGTTTTTCCTTTCCATACTTAGTGCTTTCTTCAGGAGCTCTTGTAAGGCAGGCCTGGTGGAGGACAAAATCCCTCAGCATTTGCTTGTCTGTAAAGGATTTTATTTCTCCTTCACTTACGAAACTTAGTTTGGCTGGATATGAAATTCTGGGTTGAAAACTCTTTTCTTTAAGATGTTGAATATTGGCCCCCACTGTCTTCTGGCTTGTAGGGTTTCTGTAGAGAGCTCTGCTGTTAGTCTGATGAGCTTCTCTTTATAGGTAACCTGACCTTTCTCTCTGGCTGCCCTTAACATCTGTTCCTTCATTTCAACCTTGAAGAATCTGACGATTATGTGTCTTGGGGTTGCTCTTCTCAAGGAGTATCTTAGTGGTGTTCTCTGTATTTCCTGAATTTGAATGTTGGCCTGTCTTGCTAGGTTGGCGAAGTCCTCCTGGATAATATCCTGAAGAGTGTTTTCCAACTTGGTGGCATTCTCTCTGCCCCAATCAATCATAGGTTTGGTCTTTTCACATAGTCCCATATTTCTTGGAGGCTTTTTTTGCTCCTTTTCATTCTTTTTTCTCTAATCATGTCTTCACGCCTTATTTCATTAAGTTGATCTTCAATCTCTGATATCCTTTCTTCCGCTTGATTGATTCGGCTATTGATACTTGTGTATGCTTCACAAAGTTCTCGTGCTGTGTTTCTCAGCTCCATCAGGTCATTCATGTTCTTCTCTAAACTGGTTATTCTAGTTAGCCATTCCTGTAACCTTTTGTCAAGATTCTTACCTTCCTTGCATTGGGTTAGAACATGCTCCTCTAGGTCAGAGGAGTTTGTTATTACCCACCTTCTAAAGCCTACTTCTGTAAATTCATCAAACTCTGTCCAGTTTTTGTGCCCCAATTCTCTGTCCAGTTTTGTGCCCTTGCTGAAGAGGAGTTTTGATCATTTGGTAGAGAAGAGGCATTCTGGTTTTTGGAATTTTCGGAATTTTTGCACTGCTTTTTCCTCATCTTCACGGATTTATTTACCTTTGATCATTGATGCTGATGAACCCTGGATGGGGTTTTTGCATAGGTGTTCTTTTCGTTGATGTTGATGTTATTGCTTTCCGTTTGTTAGTTTTCCTTCTAACAGTCAGGCACCTCTTCTGCAGGTCTGGTGGAGTTTGCTGGTGCTCCACTCTGGACCCTATTTGCCTGGATATCACCAGCTGAGGCTGCAGAACAGCAAAGATTGCTGCCTGCTCCTTCCTCTTTCCAGAGGAGTAAACAGTTCTGTCTCACTGGAGTTCCAGGCACCACTGGGGATGAAAAAAAAAACAAAAAAAAACCCTGCAGCTAGCTCAGTGTCTGCCCGAACAGTCACCCAGTTTTGTGCTTGAAACCCAGGGCCCTGGTGGTGTAGGCACACAAGGGAATCTGATCTGAAGACTGGAAAAACTGTGAGAAAAGTATAATATCTGGACTGGATAGCAGAGTCCCTCATGGCTCCCCTTGGCTAGGAAAGGGAGGCCCCCTGCTCTTTGCGCTTCCTGAGTGATGCGACGCCCCACCCTGCTTCTGCTCACCCTCCGTGGGCTGCACCCACTGCCTAACCAGTCCCAATGAGATGAACAGGGTACCTCAGTTAGAAATGCAGAAATCACCCGCCTTCTGCATTGGTCTCGCTGGGAGCTGCAGACTGGAGCTATTCCTATTTGGCCATTTGGCCAGATCCAGCCAGGAAATGTTATTCTTAGTGAAAAAAATACATTTATGAAGCTCAGCTCAGAGATGTAGGACATTTAGAGATTAAGATCTAATCAGAAAGTTATAGAACGCTCCTCCTCCCTCACACCTTTCCTCCAAATCAACAAAGCTCTAATATAGTAACAGTGAATTATATATGAAAGAGGCACAAGACGCAGACTTCCTCTGAGGAGGAGTACTTAGGGAAGCCAAAGTCAAAAGGAGAAATGAAAACAAATTCACAAGAGGAATTTGAAGATGCTAGTACATCCACCTATAGCAAATGTTAACACAGCAGTGTAACACAAGTTATCTCATTAAAAACCTATTAACTTCAGTCAGTTTCTCTTAGTCAATACATGTCTAGTTTTCAACAAAAAAATTAAACAGCATGCTAAAACACAAAAAAACAATTCACAGTCTTAAGAGAAAAAGATTATTACACATGTATCAGTGAAGTGAATGACAGCAATATCACAAGGAATGTGAGGGAGAAATTGCGAACACTCTCTTAGAAGGAACCCACGTACATGTAAAACATCATAGTGTTATTGGAAAGAGGATTTAGAGCAGTTATAAATGTATATTGTAAACTCTAGAGCAACCACTATATATATTTTTAAAGATGTTTAATTGATTTACTAAAAAAGAAAAGAAAATGATTTCAGAAAATATTCAATTAAAACCAGAGAAGGCAGAAAACGGTGGGGAAAAAACCCAAGAGAACAAATACGATAAATATAAACCAGTTAAAAGGGGAATGTCTATTATTACAACCACGTTAATATTACTTTAAATGTGGGTACAAATGTATTCATTAAAAGACAGCTATTGTCAGTGTGAATTAAGTAAAAAACAAAAACAAAAAAGCAAACAGACCCAAACGTATATTGTGTACAAGAAGCCTACATTAAATATAAATAATCAAATAAGTTACAAATAAAAAGATAAAAATGCACCATAATAAATAATGATGAAATAATTATACATAGTATTAAAAAAAACCATAATTAAAACAATAATTTAAAAAACAAGAGTATATATAACTTCAGAACATAGAAAATATGAGAAACAGAGAAAGCTTAACATCTTTCTTTGATAACAAATCTATTCTTTAAGAAGTCACAACTTTAGATGTGCATGCACCTAACAACAGAGCAGCAAAATACTGAAAATAAAAACTGATGGATCTGAAAAGAGGACTAGAGAAATTTACTATTATATCTGGAGACTTCAACACTCTATTTCAATAGATAAAGCTGGCAGAAAATCAGGAAGGATAGAATTAAATTGAACAGCATCATTAATCAGCTAGATCTAAAAAACATTCAAGAATAATTCAACAGCAAAAATATGTACATTTTCTAAGTTCACATGGAGCACTCACCAGGATAGATGATCACATTCTGGACTACAAAACACAGCTTCACAAATTTAAAGAATAAAAACTATACAATGTATTAATGTGTATTTTTCATGAAACTAACCAGAAGTCAATTACAGAAAAATAACTAGAAAATACCCAAATATTTAGAAATTCAACAACACACTTCTACATTGTATTATTGTATTCTACACACTCCTAAATTGTATTAATAATGAACACTTCTACATTTCTAAATAACACATAGGTCAAGAACAAGTATCAAGCGGAATGTAAACATATTTTAAATTAAATGAACATAAAATACTAATCAAAATTTGGGATATACACTGAAACTGTTCTAAAAGTGAAATTTATAACATTAAATGCATACATTAGAAAGAAAATGTGATCTAAAATTAATAACAGAGGCGCTCACTTCAGGAAACTAGAAAAATAAGAGCAATATATGCCTATATCAAGCAGAAGTAAAGAATAAAAGTTAAAGCAGAAATGAATAAAATTGAAGACAGAAAAACAATAGAGAAAAGCAATAAAACTAAAAATTGATTCTTCATCAATAAAATGAACACATTTATAGTAAGGCTAACCAGGAAGAAGGGAAGGGAGAGAGAGAGAGAGAGGAAGTGTGGAAGAGAGAGAAAAACAGGAGACATAACCTTTCACCAGAAATGAAACGAAAAATGCTTAAAGAAATAGCACAAGTAACACTGTGTTCACAATTTAAAAAATTATATGATATGTACCAATTACATAGAACACACAAACTACCACAAATTAAACCAGGGAATATAAATAACCTGAGTAGCACTATATTTATTAATGAAATTAATCAATAATTATTCCATTGGTAAATTACAGCAAACTTTCCAAGAAGAAATGATGTCAGTTCTCTAAAATCTTTCCAGGAGGTAGAACTCAATTCATGAGTTCATGATTACCCTAATGCCCAAAGCAGAGAAAGACATTACAAGAAAAGAAAATTTCAGACTAATATCTCACATAAACATATATATAAAATTCTCAACAAAATAGTAGCAATTTGAATCTAACCATATAAATCAAGATCAAGTAGAATTTATTCCAGATATGCAAGGCTGGCTCAACATTTGAAAATAAATCAAAACAATCCAACATATCAACAGGCTAAAGAAGACAAATCATATGATCATAGCAACTGATACCCAAAAGGCATTTGACCAAAATCCAACATCCATGTTAAAGATTCTCAGCAAACTAGAACTAGAGAAGGACTTCCTCAACTTAATAAAGAACATCTACAAAAACTATAGGTAAAAAAATTTAATAATGACACCGGATACTTTCCCCCTAATATTGAGAACAAAGCAAGGATGTCCTCTCTCACCAGTCCTTTTCAACATCATATAGAAGTCCTATCTAATGTAATAAGGCAAGAAAAAGAAATACAAGGTATACAAATTGAAAATGAATAAATAAATCTGTCTTTATTTACAGATGACATTGTTGCCTATATAGTAAATCCTAAAGAATCAACAACAACAAAAAAAGGAACTAAAAAGTGAGTTTAGAAAGTTGATAAAAGATTATTATATAAAATTAACTGCTGTCCAATGGCAAACTGCAATTTGAAATGTAAAAGAAAGTATCATTTACAATATCACCAAGATAAATAAAATACTTAAGTATAAAATGAACAAAATATGCAGGTCTATATGCAGAAAATTTTCAACACACTGATAAAAGAAATCAAAGAACTAAATAAATGAATTTATTCTGTGTTCATAAATTCATTGTCTCAATATTATTAAGACATTAATTCTTTCCAACTTGATCTATAGATTCCATTAAATTCCTATCAAAATCTCAGCAAGTTATTTTGTGGATATTCACAAACTGATTTTAATGTTTATATGGAAGGGCAAAAGACCCATAATTAAGCCAACAAAATACTGAAAAAGTAAAACAAAATCAGAGGACTGAAACTACCAGAATGTAAGACTTAATATAAAGCTATTAATCAAGACAGTGTGGCATTCATGAAAAAACAGACAAATAGATCAATGTAACATAATAGAGATCCTAGAAATACGCTCACACAAATAAAGTCAACTGATCTTTGACAAAGATGCAAAGGCAATTCAATGGGGAAAGGATAGTCTTTTCAAGAAATGGTGCTGGGACAGTTGGATATTCATATTAAAATGAAATCTAGACAAAGGAATTGCACCATTCACAAAAATAACTCAAAATAGTTATTAGACCTACAAGTAAAATGTAAAACTATAAAGCTTCTAAAAAATTAACACAGGACAAATCTATACGACTTTGAGTTTGGTGATAAGATATTAGATCCAATACCAAAAACAAATTCATGAGAGAAAAAAATTAATAGGCTAACTTTATAAAAATTAAAATTCTACTCTTCAAAAGACACTGTTGGAAGAATGAAAAGATAGGAAAACAGACTGGGACAAAATATTTGCAAACATAATATCTGGTAAATGACTAATCGAAATATTTTTTAACTTGACAAAAAATATTACTTAAAATCTCCTAAATTGTATTAATAATAAACAAAAGAGCTAATTTTAAAACAAACAAAATATCTGAATAGATATCTTACTCAAGAAGGTTTGCAAGCTGGGTGTTGTGGTGTGTACCTACAGTCCCAGCACTTTGGGAGATTGAGGCAGGAGGATCACTTGAGTCCAGTAGTTCTAGACCAGCTTGGGCAACATAGCGAGACCTGGTCTCTACAAAAAATTTTAAAAAGTAGCCAAGAATGGTGGCTTATGCCTGTGGTTCCAGCTCCTTGGGGAGGCTGAGGTGGGAGGATCACCCGAGCCCAGGAGGCCAAAGCTGCAGTGGGCCATGATCATGCCACTGCACATCGGCCTGCACAATGGAGTGAGACCCCATCTCAAGACAACAACAACAACAACAACAACAAAATCAAAGATATGCAAGTGGAAAACGAGCACATGAAAAGATGCTCAACAGTGTCTTTCATTAGAAAATTGCAAATTAAAACATAAATGAGACATAGCTACTCAAGTATTTGAATGGCTAAAATCCAAAACACTGATGATTCCAATTCCTGTCAGGATGCAGAGCAAAAGAAATTCTCATTTGCTGATAGGAATGAAGAGTGGAAGAAGTTTTGCAGTTTTTCAGAAAACTAAACAAAGACTTACTATGGGATCAAGCAAATCCATTCTTAGGTATTTACCCAACTGATTTTAAAATTTATATCTATACCAAAACCTGCACATGGATAATTACAGCAGCTTTATTCATAATTGCCAAAAACTGGAAGCAATCCCTCAATAGATGAATGAATAAACAAAACAGTACTACATCCACACAATAAAGTATTAATCAGAGATAAAAACAAATAAGCTACCAAACCTTGAAAATACATGGATAAATCTTAAATGCACATTGCTAAGTGAGAAAAGCCAATTTGAAAAGCTTTATTATTCCAATTATATGACATTCTGGAAAAGACAAAACTGTAAAGATCATCAACAGGTAAGTGGTTGCCAGGGGTTTAGTGGAGAGGGGCTAGACAGGGGAAGCACAGTGGACTTTTTGGGATGATCCAGCTATTCTGTATAATACTTGTAATATCATGGTTTATAGATGACACTTTGTGTAGACCAAAACTCAGAAGTTTATAACACAAAATGTGTTCCTTAATGCATATATATTTAAGAACAATCACTTAGGAATTTTGAGAATCAAAGAGAAGACATAATGTGATAAAAGAATCTGTGTTACAAATGTATGAAACAGTCTCACTGAAGGGGATGGGAGAAAAAGGTGCAGACCCGAGTATTTCTAAGATCAGAGAAAAAAAGCACTGAAAATATGCACCGTAATCAGATAATAACATTGTTTCCAATGGATGTATGGCTTTACAGTTATGAAATCACTGCCCACGTATGCTGAAATTCAAGAATGTAATGTAGGTCAAGCATCTCTAATCCATAAATGCAAATTCAGAAATGCTCTAAAATCTGAAACTTTTTGAGCATGGCATAAGGACATGACACCAGAAGTAGAAAATTACACATATAAGTACTTAAAAACTTTTTTCATGCACAAAATTATTTAAAAATAAAGTATAAAATTTACTTTAGTCTATGTGCATAAAATGAATATGAAACATACATGAATTTTGTGTTTAGACTTGGTTCCCATCCTCAAAATATCTTATTATCTTATTATATATGCAAATATTCCAAAATCCAAAAAATTTTGAAATCCTACACACTTATTTTCCCAAGCATTTCAGACAAGAGATACTCAACCTGCAAATGGATAATAAGTGGTGGGAACCAAGACTTTCACTGGAGTTGGAGGTTACAGATAAGCAAGTTAAGGGGTTAGAATGGTCCAAATGGTAATGGATTACAGTTGGAGAATCAGTATGAACTTATGTTTAGCTCAATATAGCTGTAAATGCTTATATATAGAAATATTTATAGATAAATTTATGTATATAGATTAGTCTATATACATCTATTTCCTTCCCTGTTAGCTGAGAGGTCCTAGATGAAATGACCCTCCAGTAGCAATGAAAGGAATCAGGTCTCCTTGGAGAAGTGGCTGAATGTAGGACTGGAGCTGGTAATATACTATCTTGTGATGCTAGAAAATAAGTAAGTCCTAATAAGAAAAGTAAAAGAAAAACACAACAATGGGGGTATGTCAAAGAGACACATATGTAAAAGAGCTCCCAATGGCCAAAGTTGAAACAACTTGAGTAACAAAACAAATAAAGCACTGTTGGATTATAATCGAGAGCATAGACTAAACACTCATGAGTCAATACTGGAATAAACAAATTATTGAACAAACAAATAAATAAATAGGGAAGATGAAACAAATCTCCCATGTAGAAGAATTATAAAAAAAATTAGGTAGACATTTCACCCTCAAAGAGTTAGAGCATAATTCTCCACTTTTTAAGTGTGGCTGTTCATAATTACTTCCTTTTCAAGAGTAGACTGTGGAAATGGGAGGAAAAGTGTAAGTTTGCAGTAGAAAACTTGATAAACATAACACTGGACATGATGTCATGTTGATAGGTTGTACCCTAGATATGATTTGGATGAAAATGACACATTACCTTCATGGTTTTTCTCCCCAAAACCCATAACTTCATGTAATCATGAGAAAAAAATACCAGACAAATACCAATCAAGGGAAATTCTACGAAATACCTGACCAATAGTCCTCAAAACTGTCAAGGTCATCAAATCATAAGTTTCCAAAATTGTCACAGGCACAAGGCCCTTCCGGCACCATGACAATTAAATGTGGTGTCATGGATGGGATTCAAGAATAGAAAAATGACATTTGATTTTTAAAAAAAAGATAAGAAAGAAAGTAATCTGATGAAGTATAAACTTTTTTAGTTGATAAAAAATGTAAAACCAATATATATGCATATATACACACATCCACTACTCCTTCACTACACTACGTCTGGATAATCCTCTTTTTCTCTGGTAGCAGCTGCATGCACTCACATTCTTCATTCACATTGAGAGGGCAGAGATCAGGCAGCACTTCCAGGATAATCAGCTAAGTATTGATTGTGCTTGAATCAGCTGCCCAATCTGAGACCAGTTGTTCATTCTAAACTCTTTTCTTTTTATTTCACCCAGGCTGGCCTCCCTGAAACCTTAAATTCTAACTGTTTATTCCTGTCTGCACACAGGAATTGTATTCTTGTCATGCCTTTCCACTTCTACTGAACAGCAGGCATTAGATGAGTGTGGCCTCTGTCTATGAACTTTGCTTGTCTAGAATTTCTGGACACTGGTCTCAGGTCTCACAATCTGACTTTAACTTTTCCTATTGCCTTCCTGCTGAAGATAAGTCTCAGACACCAGCTTTCTATGTGCCCTTGATAATAGTCTCAGACTCCTTATATGCCACATTCCCCTGATGTAAATAAAGATAACACTAGTTCATACAGCACAGGTTCAAGATTAGAATGAAAATTATGGTCTTAACATACTGCCTGGAACATAGAAAATTTGCAATAAATGTTAATGATCATTATTAGCAATGTTGTTACCTCTCGCTACAAAACTCCCCAGAAACCTGGCCTGGTTTTGTTTTCTAGATTTGCCAACTCCAGGCATAAGGATACCAAGCTCTGGAGAAGCCAGTGTACCTCTACAGTCTGTCTGCTTTCTCAGCCTCAATCCCAGCCATATCACATCATCCCCACTCCTCTCTTTCAACTTTGTAGTAGACACTGGGTGTTAAATCAAGTTTAGCCTAAAGCTACCTCTTTATGTATTTTAAGTTCAGCCTAAAAATTTATCTGTATATTGTGACCTATATAACCTAAATGGAGTTGTATATAGACTGTAGTCTACCCTTGTGCCAATCACCAAGTTTTGGCCAATTAAAGGTGGCCAACTGTTCATACTACGTTCAAATAAGGCAAACATCAAACTGTAAACAATCTGGCTGTTTCTGTATGTCACTTCCTTTTCCGTATGTCACTTTCTTTTTCTGTTCATAAGTCATCTTCCACCACATGGCTGCACTGGAGTCTCTGAGACTACTCTGGCTCAGGAGACTGCTTGATTCAGTCTTCCTTGATTATCATTCTTTGCTCAATTAAACTCTGAATTTGGCTAAAGTTTGTATTTTATTTTAAAGTTTTTATTTTATTTTATTTTAACATTTTAATGGTGTCAGGAGTGGGATCTGAAGTAGAGCTTCTAACAACCCCCAGTTCTGAGCGACCAAGTGAGGTACCCACTGGGCCCAATGTGTCCATTGCTCTCTCAGAGCAGCTGGGGATTGCAGTAAGTTCTCTCTCAGATTCCAAACCTCCACAGATTTGTGTTTTGAACTCTCTGAGTTTCTTTGAGCAAATGTCTGATCCAAATTGCGTTTAAAAGTTGCAATAGAAACTGGACTGTGTCCAGGATCGGACTGGCTAGTTGATCAAGGGAGCCTGAGAGACAAAACCAATATTTGAAGTAAAAATGGGATTCTTAATTTCTGAAGAACTGAGCTCCTTCCAGTTTATATATGCATAAGTATTAGGCCCCAGAAGCAGCAAAGTCTTCTAGAAATGGCAAAATCTTACTAAAGGTAACTACCAGTGGAATGTTCCAAATGAACAACACTGCAGCAGAAGCTTCTAAAAATAATTCAATATGTTCATTTAAAGACTTTACAAAAGGCATATAAAAAGCTGACTAACCGATTTAAAAAATTAAATATGCTAACCTTTTGGCTTAGTTACTATACTACCCCAAAGGCGGATATAGGTGTTTATAAAAGGTAAGCCCTTAGGTGAAATAGGCTTGCTTCTTTTTCAGATCTACCCATGCTGAGTCCAGGCATACAATGCTTTGTTCACCGTGTTCTTAAATAGACTTCACCTATCACTCTGAACTCAGTAATTTTAGCTAAGAAACAGCAGTAGCTATGTTAAAAAGAACACCCATTGAACTAAAACACACCTTTCTGGAATTTAATTGGCTATCCTGAAAAACTCTTTTGTAAAAGAAATTTACATCTATAAAGGCAATCTCCATTTCTAAAGATATCTGCCCATGTACTGTAGAACCTCTTACCATTCTTTAAAAGTTATGTAATAAGTGATACCTTTATTTAACATGTTTTCCTGGCCATGATGTGTTAAGTGACGTTTTTTTTTTTTTTTCTCCTTGGTTTGAGCAAATGATGATACAATATCATATTTCATTAGCTCTGTGCTTATGAAATATACATTATTTTTGTTCCAACTAAAAGTTATCCCTTTAGAAATACAAATTGGTTGCCTAATGTATTAGTCAGGGTTCTCTAGAGGGACAAAACTAATAGGATAGATGTATACATGAAGGAGAGTTTTATTAAGGCTCATTGACTCACATGATCACAAGGTGAAGTCCCACAATAGTCCATCTTCAAGCTGAGAAGCAAGGAAGTCAATCTGAGTCCCCAAACTGCAAAAGTAGGGAAGCAGACAGACAGTGCAGACTTCAGTCATGGCTGAAGGCCCAAGGGCCTCTGGCGAATCATTAGTGTAAGTCCAAGTGTCCAAAAGCTGAAGAACTTGGAGTCTGATGTTCAAGAGCAGGAAGCATCCAGTATGGGAGAAAGATGAAGGCCAGAAGACTCAGCAAGTCTGGTCTTTCCATGTTCTTCTGCCTGCTTTATTCTAGCCACACTGGCAGCTGAATAGATGGTACCCACTCAGCTGGTGGGTGGGTCTGCTTCTCCCAGTCTACTGACTCAAATGTTAATCTCCTCTGGCAACACCCTCACAGACACACCCAGGAACAATACTTTGCATCCTTCAATCAAGTTGGCACTCAATATTAACCATCACACCTAGTTAACAATTGCTTAGGGCAATAAAACCAATAATTGGAAGACTGATAGACCAAATGCGGAAAAGAAAAAAAAAGTTTAAAAGCCATCAAATGAAAATCCTTTATGAGAACTATAAGATCTGTTTCTTATGTTTGTATGTCTCCATGTGTTATGTATATGTGGTATTTGGTAAATAAATTTAGTTTTGAAATTGTTGATAAAATAGAAATGGTTTCAAAATTATCAGTGAAATATAATTAGATTCTTGCTTGATTTGACCGTGAGCTTATGTCTTTGGTTTAGAGTCTCTGGATTCAGGGGTCTAGATAGGCAGTCATGATGAGGTCTGGAGACATGTTCTTAGTGCATAGACCAGCAGCTACAGGCCAGAATCAAGCCCTATATGGCCCCCTTCTTCCTCTGCTTTCCCTGTTTTGCTTCCTATCTATTCTGGGAGGAGTTGGGTCCTCCAGGTATAGTCTTTACTGCTTTGTCTTCTGTCCTGATGGACTCAGACAGGCCCTGGCCTGCAAGTTCCTCCTGGGTGCTACATGGCTACTTGGGACCTAGAGTAACTGAGGGAAGACATTAGGAATGCTACTTGTGTTACAGTTTCCAAATTCTTTCCATTAATTTAAAATCTTAGACTCATGTATGTTAAATTAAGTAATATATAAAGTGTCTGAGTCATCTGTAAGTTAAGATACTGAAATATTAATTATTAAACATGAGTGTCAGTATACAATGACACATTATTTTCATATGGTATGAGAAAGCTAAATATATTTAGATCTGTTAATAATAATTTGAAGAGCAATTTTTCTAAAAAAATTATAAAATAGTTTTTATCTACCAATACTTATATAAAACAGTTCAAAATTACTTTCTAGGGTTTTCACTAGAAATTAGGGTTACTAAAAGTTAAAAACTATGAAAGAAACAATTCTGTATACAGAGAGTATAAACAAAAGCAAAATATGCATTTGATGAAGAAAGTTATAAAAGCATAGAAATATGTGTTACAAATGTTGTCTGGTTTAAAGTTACTAAAAGTTTTCAAATTGAAGAAGGAAAAAGATAGATAAAACACAGAAAATTGGAGAACAACATAAAATGAAGTGTTTATGGAAATTGTGTGGTTAAAAAGTGACTTGAATTTATTTAATAGATTTTATTAAAGTCAGTGTTAGTATTAATAATACACTAATACAAAAGTAAATTTTACACTAAAAGTAAATCATACACTAATACAAAAATAATACACTAATAGAAAAATTTTGTGTAGCATTAATGAGACACAGTAAAATATTTTCATTCACTTTTTGAGTAAATGGCAAACAGAAAAAGAAATAGGAGACAGGAAAAAAGAGACGGATTCTGTCTTATGCTGTCACTTATCCACATATCATCATGGCCACCTATCCAGACCACCTATTCAGGTCTTTTGATGGCTTAGAAAACTGAGTCTCCTTTATCAAAAAGTACTGGTTTTTGCTTTTAAAAATCTTATAATTATTACTTTGCCTAAATGATGTATCAGTCCATTTTCACACTGCTATAAAGAACTGCCTGGGAAATTTACAAAGAAAAGAGGTTTAACTGACTCACAATTCTGTGTGGCTGGAGAAGCCTCAGGAAACTTACAATCATGGCAGAAGGGGAAACAGGTATGTCTTACATGGTGGCAGGTAAAGGAGAGTGTGTGAGAGTGCAAAAACACTACCATTTATAAAACCATCAGATCTTGCAAGAATTCACTCACTATCACCAGAACAGCATGGGAGAAACCACTCCCATAATTCAATCACTTCCCTTCATCAACACGTGGGGGTTACAATTCAAGATGAGATTTGAGTGGGGACACAAAGCCTAACCACATCAAATGAATAAACTATTGTTTTACAAAGACTGTGATCCTGTTTTGGTCAAGTGTTTTAAACCTTTAATATATTTGCCAGGCTTCCCAAAATCAAATTTCAGCTTCAAAATTCAGTCTTTTTGAACCTCTAACTTTGGGATGCTACAGATGGCCCCTGAAGCATACAAAAGAGAGGTAAACAGAATTATTTGACTTGTTAAGTTACATGGGAAGCATTGTCAAAGGCAGAAATAATGTTTAACTTTCTTCAGGTTATATTTTAATGAATGTTATTAATATATGCTCCAAAATCGTACGGCACTTCTAAAATTCTAGTATGTCTGAGTATATGCCATCAATCATAATAATGATTATTATGTTAAGTTATCGCAGATCACAAAAATAACCAAATTTTCTTGTCAATCGTGTCTTTAACTATGATTGCTTAAAGTTATTTCCACAGTTCTGAAAACTTCACAAGCACACAAAGTCCTAGAATACAGTATCTTTAAGGAAGTTCATGAAAGAATGGAAAGAATCCTGAAAAACACTTGAATACAGGTTTCTGATAACTTTAGAATCACATCATTTGGACTGGATAAGAATAACTTTAATGAAAAGACTCACTGGTTTATAAAACTGCTAACCCAAGCAGAACAAAAATTAATTGAATACCACGAAAATATTTTGCCAGATTTCCATGCTATATCAGCCAATACTGAAATTGTTTAGATATACAATTTGAATGAATTGCATGGTCTAAGTCAAATTACCTATGAGAGCCCATCAGTTATCAGTGCTATGGACCTAAATTGGAGTAAAAAAATGCTATTCAAGAGCATGTAAGTTCAACATTAAGCATGGACTTATGGAGAACCAGGACAGCCACTTTGTCCTTTCTGAGTCCATAAACCTTTTGTTATTAAAATGTTGCATTCCATGACTCATGGTGGAAAAGATAAAATTATTTAAATAAAATATATATTGGGATGGTGACTTCTAAATTGTTAAAATAGTTTATGACCAATGTTTGGTTTGTCAAACCCATATTCCTGGGAATACAATCAAAACTTCAAGTACATTCTGCTACCTGATGGGCCATTTAAACATTTGTAGAGAGATTTCATTCAATTGTCATTTTCAATGCATGTTTTCTCATTGTATAAAAGCTTTCCCATGTAAAGGGGCTGATGTTATAATAGTATCTTTTTATGCCACAGGGTATTTTCACTGGGTAAAGAAAGTTTTTCATGGTTCACTAACTGAGGGCAATCAACCCCTTCATAATCTAGAACCCAAAGATTGGATCTTCTGAGAACATTAGAGAAAGACTGCCCTTGACATCCACACTGCAGCAATACTTTGGGACCTTCAACTTTGGGTTCATAATCTCACAACTGAGAAGAGTCCCTCCGTGCTCTTGGAACTATACACCCATTGGAACCCTTAAGGTAAATCTAACTGGGGGAGTTTCTCCCCAGAAGAAGAAGGCATCTTGATGTGAACAGCTTTTCCCCAAGATCACGGATCAAAACTTCTTTACCATCATGAGACTCTTATCTTTGATTTTTTCCCTTTGTTTATGCCTCTATAAAAAATAGAAGTGAAAAGGGTATCTGTTTTATAAACTCATGGGGTATGTACTTTTATTTTTGAAAGATTCTGCAGCCAGCCTTAAACATGGATAAACTTATGCCTTGATAGATAGAAGTATGAAGGCTCAATGTAGGTGAGAATTGTAATGGTACATATGTTGCCTCATGATCAGTCAGAAAGGGAACATTGATCCACTCCTTTTAACCTAAATCATGGGTTAAAGAGAACATTGCCAGGAGGTCTTCACTCTTCTGGAAGGGCATCATTTGTTAGTTCCTTTTTTCATCGTTTGGAGTAAAAGAGGCAATGATTAGCAATGCATCCCTGATGATAGACTCTGTAGCAGAATCTATTGTAAAGGATATGGTTACACTAACTACTTTAAATTCTCTTGTGAAAGTAATACTCAATATTAGAATCATTCTAGATTTCTTACTGGCTAAACAGAAAAGTATCTGTGCAGCTGTTGCCACTTGTTGTTGCCCATGGAGAAATACACTACATTAGGTATTATAGAGATTCAGTTGTACAGGATTAACAAAGAGACTGCTTAGTTAAAGTGAGTAGACTCTTTATCTAGCTCATTCTTTGATCTGTTTGATTTTAGGTGATTTGGGTTATGGGGACACTGGGTAAGGACCGTACTCCAAACTCTTGGTATTATCCTCCTGATAGTTATAATAGTAGTCTCCCTGGTGAATAATATTCTCTCAAGTTTTAAATGTTTGCATGCAGCCATCTCTAGAATGTCAAATAGTCTCTCTTCAACTGAAATTACAAGAGCTGAAAGAAATTTCTGACCATGAGGGCACCGTAACCTATGAATGACGTGCAGAGACCAGAAACCCAAAATGATAACAGAGAGTGGCACGATGGCCCTAAGATTTGGCCAAACTTTCACCTAAGTGAGAACCTGATCAAAAGAGGGGAAACTTTTAAACAAAATTATGGGAAGCCATTGTTTTGAACTGACCTCATGGAGACCCGACCAAACAAAAATAGAGTCACTTGTGCTAAATGTGAAATAATCAAACTAAGATTTTAAGGAAACACATAGATCCTAGAACACACCAGGTTTTGTCTTTTCTCTCATAAACAGGACGTTCTAACATAAGGAGATACCCTCTACTCTAACCCTTAAAAAAATAACCTGAAGTCCTTCTTCCCGCCTTACAAAAGCCACTGTTCTACTGTTTCCCAGAGGGTTTCAAGACCAAATAAATACATTTACAATGGTGAAACTAACATCAATGACTAAAGTTTTGATCATTCTCTTAATTTTGAGAGAGTGACCAAAAGGGGGAAATTATTAAATCAAGTTTAGACTGAATCTACCTCCTTACGAATTTTAAGTTCAGCCTAAAGGTTTCTCTGTACATCATGAACTATAACCTACATGGAATTCTAAACAGACTGTAACTTACTCTTGTGCCAATTACCGAGTTTTGTCCAATCAAATGTGGTCAACTGTTCAAACTGTGTTCAAATAAGACAAACATTGAGCAATAACCCATCTGGCTGTTTCTGTACCTCACTTCCATTTTCTGCACTTCACTCTCCTTTTTCTGTTCATAAATCATCTTCCATCTCATGGCTGTGCTGGAATCTCTGAGCCTACTCTGGCTCAGGAGGCTGCCCCATTCGTGAGTTGTTCTTTGCTCAATTAAACTCTTTTCAGCTGAGTTTTCCTTTTAACATGGGTTTGTAGTTAAGACCTAGTTATTTGTTAGAAAAGTGCCTTATCCACATACACAAGTTCTTCACGTTTACCCTCTTATTCTTCCGTATAGGCTATGATTCAGAAATACTGTCAAAACGGGAGACAGTGTGAATTTCTGAGTTTAGCCAATTAGGCCAATATTTGTGTCTTATCCATGAAGAAACGTGTGCCTTTTTTCCGTAGTGCGAGATGTGTTAGATAATTTTCTTTCCAAATATGAAAATAAGTGGCATAGCTGTTATGAGTACTTAGGAATTTGGCAGCGTTTTGTGATGATGGGGTTATTGTCCATGAGGATGTCTACATATGTTTTATGTCACGTAGGCTAAAATGGGTCTGTTAGTCAATCTGTATTTTTGTTTTGTTCTTGGCGTCACACAGTCATATTACACACTGAAGCAAACATTTTATACTCCCTCTTTTGGTGCACATTAAAAATACTTAATAACCAGTATAAAACTGTCAGAATATGTACCCTCTATACCTCTATAGTCTATCAATATGTGTCACCTGGCCACTAGTGTGTTGAGACTAGCATACATAAAAGGAAAAACCATGTGTTAACCGAATCCCTAGTGAAACCTTCCTTTCATGAAATAAATATCACTCTTTCAATACCTACTGTATACTAGTGTTTGCAGATGGGTATAAATAAATGAATAACTTGGTAACATCACTAATAAAGTATGCTTTAGCCAACAACAGAAATGCTGAAAATGGTCTCCGCAGTTATATCCAGATTCAGCCATCTGTTAGTTTGCTTATAAAGCAAGACGACTTTGTAAAAAAGAAAAAAAAAAAGCAGTCAAGAAATCAAATATACCATGGTAAAACTATAGAGCTTCATTCTCCACTTGATTCAGATGGTCAGACATGGTTGCCCACAATGGGGCTGGTTCCTGAGATTGGCAGGAAGCCCAGGGAAACCCTCTGGCTCAAGCAGAGATCTACTGGTTCAGGCAAGTGATTGGTTTGGTCACTGGGGGCTTTCTTGCATCTGCGCCACATCCTTCTGTCTAGGCCTTAAAAAAAAAAGAAGTTCTGTTATTTTTGACAAACGTCTAGGCATTCTAACTGGATTTTGGATTTTAGTTCCTGCTGCTCAGATTATAAGCTCACATTCTTAAAGTTATTCTTAATAATTTAAAATAATAATTGTGTATATATATATGGAGTATATGTGATGTTTTGATATATGTGTACATTGTAGAATGATTAAACCAAATGAACATATCTATCACCTTCTATACTTTTTTTGTGAGAACATTTAAAATGTACTCTTTTAGCAATGTTGAAATATGCAACACCTTACTATTACCTATGGTCACCATTCTGTGCAATACATCACTTAGAATCACGCCTCTCATCTAACTGAAACTTTATACCCTTTGCTTAACATCTCCTCTTTCCCCATCTTCCCACCCCTGTCCCCATCATTCTACTCCTTACTTCTATAAATTTGACTTTTTTGATTCCACATATAAGTGAGATCATGTGGTATTTGCCTTTCTGTGCCTCGCTTACTTAAAATAATGTCCTCCAGACTCATCTATGTTATTGAAAATTATAGAATTTCCTTTATAAGGCTGAAGAGTATCCCACCGTGCTTAGTATTAATCTGTTAGCGGATGCTTAGGTTGCTTCCGTATCTTGGCTGCTGCAATGGACATGGGAGTGCAGATATCTCTTCCACATAATGATTTCACACCCTTTGGATATATACCCAAAAGTGGGACTGCTGAATCATATGGTAAGTCTATTTTTATTTTTTAATTAATTAATTATTTGAGACACAGTCTCACTCTGTTGCCCAGGCTGGAGTGCAGTGGCACAATCTTGGCTCACTGCAACCTCCACCTTCCAGGTTCAAGTGATTCTCCTGCCTCAGCCTCCTGAGTAGCTGGGATTACAGGGGTCTGCCACCACGCCCAGCTAATTTTTGTATTTTTAGTAGAGACGGGGTTTCGCTTTGTTGTCCAGGCTGGCCTTGAACTCCTGACCTCAAGTGATCTTCCCACCTAGGTCTCCCAAAGTGCTGGGTTTCAGGTGTGAGCCACCACACCCGGCAACTAAGTCTATTTTTAATTTTTCAAGGAATATACACCCTGTTTTCCCACAATAGCTATACTAACTGACCTTCCCACCAACAATACTTTTTCACTCTTGATTAAAAATTTAGCATATAAAATGTGATTAAGTTACATAACTTTGAAATCTATGACATATTTCCCTCTCCAATGCAAACTCTGAATTTCCAGTCTAATAATTTATGTATCCTCTCTCGTAATACACTCTTAATGAGTTTCCCTCCTTTAATCAGATTTTCTTAAATCAGTGCAAACACATACTCCTCCTCCACAAGAATATAACAATACAGTAAGCACAACAAACCCAGAAAGCATTTGAGGTCACATCACATGGCATTTTTACTGTAATTGTAATTTGTAAGTTTTTTCAAATGTTTATCATGTTTTGAGCTCATTCAATAAGAGGAAAATATCTATCTCTGCCAACACATTTTGGTGGTTTTGTCTCTCTTCATTGGAATCTCTAAAGGTTTCCTAATTAGAAGAATTTACAGGAAATGCCAAACATTCTAAATAACTGATATGTTGTAATTAAGTTTCAGCAATTGAGCAAATTAAACTTTACATATTTTTGATGTCAAACTACATGGCAGTTTCCAAAAAGTTTCTAAGTAAGAAATTGAGGGAATTATGAAAAAGTAGGAAATGAAGAAGAAACGTATTTCTGGGTTGTTACTACAGTATTTTATGTGTGCAGTTAAATTGATGCAGTGATCTCTAAGATTAAAAACGATAGAAGAGACAAAATGTTAAATATAGGCACCAATATGTTTTAATTAACGTATGATAAGGTGAAGAAAATATGTACTTTAACAGTTAATGCTCTAACAAAATTTTAAAATGTCAATTTATGCTATGGCATATTAATAAAACATATACAAATAAAATTATCTTGAATGATATTAAAGTCAGATAGAGACTGAAAAGGACACGAGTTGTGAAATTATGGTTAAATTAATCTTTATGAAAAGCTTTATATATTCAGACCAGGGTAGAATTAAATACAGAAATAATTCATGACTTGATGTTTCAGTTTCTCGTCTGATTCATTTAGATTGTATAATAACTTGAAATCACATGTAACTATAAATAAACTGAACAAGGAAAATAACTGATAGTAAAATATCAGTAGTATATGTAGCTAAATAGATGCATTGACATAAAGTTTCTTGTGCCTTTAGCTAAATCAAGTAACTGCAGAAAATAGCTAAAATAGAATGTTGTATTTAATAGATAGTTAATAAAGAGATGATTATTTGCATTTGAATTTTCCTGATTATCTGTCTACTATAAACAGATGACCTTAATGTTTGTGTATTTTAGAATGAGTTTAAGATTTTACAAATAATTTATTAGAAGTAACTCAAAATAATTCATCAAGTTCTACCTAATTCTCATAATATTATCTTATGATATCTCTACTCTTGTTTCGGATTTATATAAACAGCAGGAAAAAATTATGTTGAATACCATACATGCCTTTTTTCTTGTACAGACATCTGAGCAAAATTCAAAGTTCATACTGTTAGCGTGAATTTAGGACAAGAAGTTGACAAGGTAACAAGGCTCTTTCAACTAGTGCACATGAAGCTACAGATATCATACATCTTAAGAATTTCTTGGTCTAAGCATCAATCTGAAGAAAAAAGTATTTTCCTTCTACTTACCTTACATAAAACTCTATACACTTGTACATAAATCCAAACAATTTTATATCTGTTCTAAAACTAACTTTAGGATCATTGAATTTTCAAAAGCCTCAAAATCTTAACTTTCATATATATATGAAACAGCACTTTCTGTATTGGTATTATTTTGATGTTCAAAGTTTGCATGCCACAGCAAACTATAAGAATATAAGCAATGAGGATCATCAGCAAAATATGATGTATTATGTCAAATTCAATTCGCCTGCTACAAAACAATTTGGAAATGGTAATTTTTTGTTAATTTTGGGGGATCTGGGATAAAATGATATGATTTTAGAACATAGGTCAGTGCTTAATTATGGATTGTAGTAGATAATTCATGGGTTTTCTTGAGTTTCTGTGATAGAGAATCGTATCATTTTCAAATAGAAGTACATTTACCTCTTCTTCTCTAATTCTTATGTCCTTATTTGCTCTCATTTAATTTCATTGGCTAATTCCTCCAATATCATGTCCATATTATAATAGTGGGCATTTTTATCCTGTCCCTGACTTTACTGGCAACCAAAATCAGTGACTTGGAATACATTTACATCATGCATTGGGATTTGTGAGTGGTTGATATTTATTTTTGTGCCCTAAATTACCTGGTCATTTTCACTACAATGCTGCAGATGGGAAGTCAGTGTTACAAAGGTGAAACAGACGATTTCCCAGGGTTGTTGACAACAGTAGACAACAGTAGAACTGTCATATGCATTACTTGTTTTTCCTTTTGTAAGTGTTTACTTTTTTAAAAAATCATACCTTGGTTTCCTTCTGTGGACCTCAAGGCTTGCTTGCAATTGCCAATTAATTATAAACTCAGGGGCTTTAAATAAAAATTTCTGCTAAAATTTGATTTGGTTTTAAACTGACACCAATGAGACTTACATATCCTTATTGCATGCAAATGCTTTTCTGTCATATGCCAACTTGTCACTATTTCTCTGCTGATTTGAAAGCAAATAAAGGATACCTTTTATTGATATTTACTTTGGCATTGATGCTGACAATTTGGACTTTAAGTGACAGCATTAATATTGATAGCAGCAACATAAAGTCAATGGATGTCTTGTGATAAAATGTGGATTTAAAATTTATTATTAATAAAAGCTATGAGTGAATATTTGATCTGGGTTCTTTAAGAGATTGAAATAGACCGTAGATAAAAAATAACAAGCACCTCAAAATGAAACTTTTTAATAAGGATACGAGAATTATACTGAAGCATTGTGGAGGGATATTTTAAATCAAACAAGACCAAAAAGAGAACAGAGAATAGTAAAAAGGAGGAAAAAGTGGATGAGAAGAAGAAAAAAAAAGTTGCAGATAAAAGTGACAGCATTAATATTAATAGCAGCAATATAAAGTCAATGGATGTCTTGTAATAAAATATGAATTTAAAACAATTTGGAAAGAATACTGTTGCATTTTCCTTTTCGTTTGTTACTTTTAAGATCTAAAGAACAAAGAACAGCAAATCTCAGTGTTTCATGGATAGTAATGGCTCGTTTTGTTCTTCTCTTCAAACACTAACCCGTACTTCACTCTCTTTTCTAGATCTGACAAAGTATTTCAGCATTTCACCACAGGAGAGGGGCTGTGTAAAAAACGGGACTTTCATATGGAACCCAGTGCTTTCATCAAAATAAAAATCCAAATTTTACAACACTGTTATTTCTTAGGAGAATCATCAAAATATGCTGTTTCTATTGGTAGCGTCACTGAAATAATCACTCATAGAAACATATCTAAAAAACCGAGCATTGACGACCAGAAAAGTACAAAGTTCTATATTCCCTTTGCTGCTAAAGTCGTGCAAAGTGGAAAGAGGCCTGGAGAGCGCAAAGAAATGACTACGCACAGCGCATGGGCTCAGCCTCGCGGATGCCTCATTCCTTGGACAGGCTGTTTTAGGATAACGTGCTAAAGAGGCTAATGCCGTCAGCCAAAGACGTCCACATCCTAATCTCGAGATCCTATAAATGTGTTACCCTACATGGCAAACAGTCTTAGCAGATATCATTAAGGCTATTGAGAGGAGAGATTATATTGGGCTTAATGTAATCACAAGGATCCTTATTAATAAAAGAAGTAGAGAAAGATTCGAAGAAGCTACACTGCTGGCTTTGAAGATGGGGAAAGGAGCCATGAGCAAAGGAGTGCACATAGCCTCCAGTAGCTGGAAAAAGCAAGACAAGGGATTCTCCTCTGGAGCCCTCAGAAGGAATGCTGCCCTGCTGACACTGATTTTTAGCTCAGTCAGATCCATTTCAAACTTCCGATGTCCAGAACCGGAAGAGTATAAATTTCAGTTGCTTTAGGCCACTGAAGTTGGGATAATTTGTTATACTGGCAACAGGAACTGTGCGGACCTGCAATTAAAGAACCACTGAAGAGACCAAGGTGAACCAGTCATCATCCCTAAATTAAGGAGATTATTATGCGGTGGTGAAGATGTGGATATACACAGTGATAACACAGCACGGAAAATATGCATCATTACAACACAATGTGGTAGCAATATGCTTTGGCGGTAGAATATAATAAAGGAAGCATCTAATTCTAGCTGGGAGAGATGAGATAGGTTTTTCTACAAGAAACAATGCTTAACATAAGTCCTGAGAGATGGGTAGTGATGAAGTTCAGGATGCAGTACCCCAAAATACGACACCCTGGCTTTTGAGGAAACAGCAGAAGCAGGAAAGTCACTCTCACCTTCTCCTTGCCCTTCTCCCCTGAAGCAGGCCGTAAAAGAATTCCCTGACCATTTCGAAATGATAATTTTGTGTTAGTATTCTGGGAGCTGGGATAAAACGATACGACTTCAGAACATATAGCTTGATCATTGCTTAAGTATGGATTGTAGTACATAATTCATAGATTTTCTTGAATTTCCCTTATAGACAATCATATCATTTTCAAATAGAAATACATTTACCTCTCCTTTTCTAATCCTTTTTTTTTTTTTCTTTTAGACAGAATCACCCTCTCTTGCCCAGGCTGGAGTGCAGTGGCAAGCTCTCGGCTCACTGCAACCTCTACCTCCCAGGTTCAGGCAATTCTCCTGCCTCAGCCTCCCCAGTAGCTGGGACTACAGGTGTGTGCCAACATGACCAGCTAATTTTTGTTTTTTTGTTTTTTTTAGTAGAGATGGAGTTTCACCATGTTGGCCAGGCTGGTCTTGAACTCTTGACCTCAAGTGATCCGCCCGCCTTGGCCTCCCAAAGTGCTGGGATTACAGGTGTGAGCCAACATGCCCGACCTCTTTTCTAATTCTTATTTCCTCATTTGCTTTTGTTTAACTTCATTGGTTAATTCCTCCTCTAAAGGAGGACATAAAACCTTGATTCCACACGTATCCATCCAATTCAGAGAGGAAAGGAATGTCCTTATCCTCGAAGAAACAGAGATGCCAAGAAGAATCTGAACAAACAGGTCTTGCTAAGCTCTCTCCAGGTTAATATTATCAGATTATTCCCTCCTTGTCCTCCAATCGTATTTCTCCACAAGTATCCATTTCTTCATTAAACTTGACGTAAAAATACACAGGTTTCCCTGTTCCTTTGAATTTTCATTTTTGAAGCTCCCATGTCATGTAAAGCTAAAATACATTTGTATGCTTTTCTCTTGTTAAACCGTCCTTTTTATTTACTTATTTTTTCTACTTTTATTTTAGGTTCAGCAGGTACATATGCAGGTTTACTCCATAAGTAAATCGAGTATTGTTGAGACTTGGTGTATAAATGATGCCATTGAGTGTAGGCTGGACTTAGTAAAATAAATAAATAAATAAATAAATATTAAAAATTAAAACATTAAACTATCCTTTGTTAGAGTTCTCAGCCACGAACTCTCTTCCTCTATAGCTTGATTTTGCCAGGCAAACAAGGGAGGGAAATTCATTCCAGACAAAAAGAAGAAATACCTGCAAAAGTAAAAACACTCAGCCTGGAAAATTCATATTCAAGTGAGTGTGTATTTGTTTATCAAATCTCAATATTCCAGCAAAAGAAACTGAGAGTGTTTATAATGATTAGAAGTAGTTTTGGGGAGAAAATGTTATTTTTATTTAAGTAGAAGGCTTATGGGACCTTTTAGTTCTCATGGTAAAATGGTGGCAATATTCACATATTGAATTCATCTAAGCATATTCTGCATTTTATGCCCTGAACTATAAAATTAACTCCAGTCCCTAAACTAAAAATACAAATAAAATAAGAAGAGTCCAGAGCAAAATAAGAAGGGATAGATTTATACTGGAATACTAAGGGAAATTAGCAGTTGAATTATTGTCACTATCATTTAGTCATTAGTTCTCCGTTAGGTCTGCACTCTTTCTGATCGCAAGGACTGTGTTTTAAATTAATTGTATTATTCCTCTGGTCACATAATACAATGCTTGTACACAGGACAACAATCAATACTTTAAGAATCAAATCATTAACCTGTGCAGTTGATTGCCGTACAGTAAGCATGATCTCAGGTGGTTTTCTCTGACACATCAAAAAGGTTAATAGGTTGAATGGACTCTTAGACTCTTAAACTTGACATGACCATGTGTTGCAATAACTTTTCCTTAATTTCACTAATTGAAATTGAGAATACAATGAAGCTGTGAAACATACACAGCATGTGAATTATGCCATGCAGGAGTACTACCACTTACTCAGCAATTTCTTTGGTCTCAAGCACGATGCTGAGTAAGCTCTTAGGCTAGAGCCAGCACCACTCCCTCCTAAGACTGCGAATTGCAGCTCCAAGAATCTTCTTCCCTATGGTCTGGCTCAGTGTTCATAAATGAAGGAACTCACAAAAGATTTGGAAGATGAGAGCGAAGAAAAAATTATTCTTGAGAGGCAGCTGCAGCCAAGACATCTGGGCAGACAGGAGATCCACAGCAGCTTCCCACCTGCTTTGCCACTGCAGACCGAGACAATTGGTGAGATCCCAGAGTCTCAAGCACTGCGGCAGCTTCCTGGTAATGTGGAGAAGCCATTTGGCTCAGGGATTCCGGCTGAAATCTTTAGCATCAGCTCCTTTAATTTCTGGAGCAACTTCTCTGACCTCTATTCCCCTGAAATACGTCTACAGTAAACTCCTAGATATATACGTTCAAGTACTTATACCTGGAAACACAGTGTGGCTTTCGACTAATTGGGTGCTTACAAGTATTTTCTCGAATATCCTCAGCATCCCTGTGAGGCAGGTGCTTTTAAAATCAGAGAACTAGGCCGGACGTGCTGGCTCATGCCTGTAATCCCAGCACTTTGGGAGACTGAGGCGGGCGGATCACTTGAGGTCAGGAGTTCGAAACCAGCCTGGCCAACATGGTGAAACCCCGTCTCTACTAAAAATACAAAAATTAGGCGGACATGCTTCCTTGAACCCAGAAGGTGGAGGTTACAGTGGGCCAAGATCATGCCACTGCACTCCAGCCTGGGGAACAGAGCGAAACTCTGTCTTAAAATAATAATAAAATAAATAAATAAAAATAAAATGAGGGAACTAAAGTTATTGGATTCCTAACTGGTGGATTGCAAAACTGTAGATGCTAATAAGTCTGACATCAGTCTTTGCTCTTAATTCCTATGTAGTCACATACTTCAATGAACTTTTAAAAATATATATATATATAATTTTTTTTTCATAAGAGAGATGCCAAAGAGAGTTTTAGACACAAGCTTAACCACCCAATTAAGCATATTTTATACTCAGGAACTAGCCTTTTTAAAGACAGTCTTCCAATACTCATATCCAGACTGTCTGAAAATAATCTTGTTTTATTAAAATATTATTGAAATGCTCTTAGCTTCATATATATATATATATATATATATATATATATATATATATTAATTTTTTGTAGAGATGGGGTCTCACTGTGTTGCCAAGGCTGGTTTAAAACCCCCTTGGGAGGCCTTGTTAAAACTCCCTTGGGAGGCCTTGGCCTCCCAAAATACTGGGAATATAGGCATGAGCCACTGCACCCGGCCCCCTTAGATTCCTGTTTTAAAAAATCATAAATAAAATGTCCTTAGCTTCCTAATAAAAATAACCCTCCACTCCACCCTTCACACATACTTCTTTATGAAGAAGACCGAAGCAATCAGCAGAGCAGTTCACATTCCCACTACATCAGCTGGATCTAGCTCCTCTTTCTTACTTTTAGTATGGGTATCCGCCTAAAGCAAAGTCTTCCACTTGCAGTTAGATTTCAAACTGCATTTGCTCTTTAAGGACAATGTTCCAGAAATTCTCTACCCTTTTTCCCACTTCATCTTGTTTTCCCTCTCCACTATATTCTGCCCACCAACATTCAAACATTCCTTTCACTCTATTTATCTCTCCGGTTAATTAGAATGATATGATCATATATCTTTTTCTTTTCTTTTTTAATAATAAAAATGGAGTATAACATATGATGATTTCTAAGTTATTACACCCTTGCAAACCTGGGTAAAAAAATAATCATTATCCACTTTATATATAGCTGGATTTATTATTTTATTATTTTAAAGGAATTTGTTATTCTTTTAGTGAAACTCGCTTCATACAGTGAGTTGAATGCTGTTTTTTTTTCTCTTTTTTGTATGTTTAAAAAAATTTATTTTTTAAATTGACAAATAATTGTATATATTCTTGGGGTACATAGTGATGTTTTGATACATATAATGTACACTGATCAGATCATGGTAGTTAGCATATCCATCATCTCAAACATGTATCATTTCTTTATGTTCAGAATGTTCAATATCCTCCTCCTAGCTACTTGAAAGTATATAATATATTATGGTTAACTATAGTCATTCTACAGTGGTATAGAACACTAGAATCTAGTCTTTTAGCTAGCTGTAATTTCTACAGCTGGAAAAGTTTGTATAAATTCGTAATGTTTTTGTCTTTTAAAATTTGGTAGCAGTCACTTTTAAAATCTTATAGGCTACTGTATTCTTTTTATAATTCTTCTAATTCATTTATGTCTACTAACTATGTTTTCCTTCTACTTTATGTTTTCTTTGTTCTTTCTCTAACTTCTTAAATTGGATACAATTAATTTTTAAACTCTTTTCTCATACTCCAATTAAGGATACAAATATTTCTTTACATAATACTACTACTTCATTCCAGCATTTCAGAAATGTATGCTTTTAATTATCTTTCCATTCTAATACTGGTCTTGAACTCCTGGGCTAAAACAATCCTCCCACTAGGCCTCCCAAAGTGCGGGAATTACAGCCATGAGCCACCATGCCCAGTCATTCCAAGATGCTTTTAGTTTCCCTTTTAAATTCTTATTTAACTGACAGGTCATTTAGAAGTATGTTTTTAAAGTCTAACACTTTTTTTATTTATCTGACTTCTAACTTAATTGCATGAGATCAGAATAATGTGGTATGCATGACTATTTGAAAAGTCTGAAATTTACCACTTGGTAGGTAATCCATTTTTGTCAATGTCCCATGTACATCTAAAATAATCTCCAATAGTTGGCTATTAAATTTCATAACTATTTCTTACATCTACATTGTTACATATAATTTTTAATACTGTAGTTTAATACAAAATTGTAAGAGGCATATTGAAATATCTAACAATGTCAAACAAATTTTTCTTTATTTTGAGTTTATCTGTTAAACAGCTTAATTGAGATACAATTCATATATTATACGTTTTACTCATTTAAAGTACACAATTCAGTGATTTTTAATATAGTCACAGTTATCTACAAATACTCAATTTGAGAATTGACTCAAAATGAAACGGAATACCCTTTCCCTTTAGCTACTGTCAATTCCTATCCCCCATGTCTCTCCACCAGCCCTGAGCAACCACTAATCTACGTTTTGTCCTTCTAGATTATTCCTACTATGGGTGTTTACTGTAAATGGAATAATATAAGATGAGGCATTTTGTGACTGGCTTCTTTCATTTAGCATAATGCTTTCAAGGTTTATTCATGTTGCAGCATGTATCAGTACTTCATTTCTTTGGATGACTGAATAACACTCCATTGTATGGATATACCATCTTTTAAAAATCCATTTATTATCTGAAGAATATTTGGGTTATTTCCACCATTTGGCTATTATGAATAATGCTGCTGTAAGCATTTGTGTATATGTTTTTGTGTGGACATATGTTTCATTTCTCCTGGGTATGTACCTAGGAATGAAATTGTTGGATAATATGTAACTCTATGTTTCATAATTTGAGGAACTACCGGACTGTGTATCAAAGCAGCTGTGTCATTTTACATTCCTAACAGCAATGGATGGTGATTCCTGTTCCTCCACATCTTCTTGTACACTTGTTATTATCTGACTTTTTTATTCTAGCCATCCTAGTGTGTGTGAAGTGATATCTCATTGTTCTTTGATTTATATTTCCCTGATGGCTAATGATGTCAAGCTTCTTTGCATGTAGTTATTGGCCATTTGTATATCTTCTTTGGAGAAATGTCTATTCAGACCCTTTACTCATTTTCCAAAGTGGGCTTTTTGTGTTCTTATTATTGTTATATCAATTTCTCTGTATATTCTTGATGTAAGTATTTTATCAGATATATAATTTGCAATTACTTTCTCACACTTTGTGGGTTGTAATTTTACATTCTGATAATATATGCTTTAAAGCACAAAAGTTTTAAATGTTGATAAAATCTAATTTATATAATGCTTTCTTTTGTGGCTCATGCTTTTAGTGTCATATCTAAAAATTCCTGGCGAAATCCACAGCCATAAAAATGTACCCTTATGCTTTCTTCTAAGAGGTTTGCAGTTTTTGCTCTTACATTTAGGTCTTTAATCCATTTGAGTTAATTTTTGTGTATGATGTTAGATAAGGGTCCACTTCATACTTTCAGTTGCACTAACACATTTTGAGGTAATTTTGTTTGATATATACAAGTTTAGGATTTTGGTAGCTTCCTATTTAACTGAAGTTTTTATTCATATAGAGTCACCCTACCTATCCTTAATTACGCTTTTTGTTAGTAGGGACTATGCTGTTTAGTGCCAATGTGACAACTCATACTTTCTTATATACATCATATTTATCAGATGTATCTTTTTATGCTTTTAATTCCAATTTTTCTGTTTTTTGTATTTTAGTTGTGTCTCTTTTATGTGTTGCTAGATTTTTAATATTCAATTTGAAAATCTTTGTCTTCTCAGGGGATGGGGGGCTAGGGAAGGGACAGCATTAGGAGAAATACCTAATGTAGGTGATGTGTTGATGGGTGCAGCAAACCACCATGGCACGTGTATACCTATGCAACAAAACTGCACGTTCTGCACATGTACCCCAGAAATTAAAGCATAATATAAAAAAAGAAAATCTCTGTCTTCTAACTTGTCAATTTAATGCATTTACATTTATTGTGACTATTAGTATTTTTTAACTTTTTGCCTTCTTTTGTGCTTTTCTATACTTATTATTTTTTCTATGTTCCTCATTTCTCCTTTTTTGGCATTTTTTAGAGTCAATTCATGTTGATTTGTTTGTTTGATGTGTTTTTAAAATTTAATTATATTATCATTATTATTGCTTGCACATTGGTTTTCTTATGTCATGAAGGTAGGATTTGCAAGTCTCATTTACTAAACTATCTCCAGAACCTGAAACAATGCCTGCCACTTGTTAGTTTCAAACAAATATTTACTGACAGATTGTTGCCTAGAAATCACTTTGCTGGGCTACTCAATTGTTGGTTCTATTTCTACTTAATGGCGAAAGTTAGCTTGATGCATTGTTAAGCAATAACTATTCTAGGGTGGATGAGGAAAACCTCGCATTTAAAAAGAAAGAAAGAATAATAAATATGTATTCCCTTATGTTTTATAAATTAGTGTATCTGTATTTTATAGCAGCTTTGAAAATACAGGGTGACAGAAGTGATTATATGTTTAATTGTCCATTCATCCCTTCATTCATCTATTTCCACATAATATTTATCAGAAAGATCCTAACAACTTCACTGTAAATGGACATTATTAATTACATTCCCTCTTTTCACTTCATTCTCTTCTGTGAATGATTATGGCAAACTTTAATATTGAGTGTGGACATCCCTATTACCATCCAAATATGCCTTTTAAAAGATTTTTTAAAATGGAATTCTTTCAATATGTGAGAAAACTGAAACAAAGTGAGGTAAAGCAGATCCCTTACATCATATAGCAAATGCTGGGGTTGTCCTAATTTATAGCTAGAAAGTTTAGTATTAGTTTTTTTTATTGGTTAACTAAGCTGTTCCTTTTTATTTAAAAATAAAATAAAAATAAAACAGGGATGCTGATCTACAATAATTGCAGATGATCTGCTCTGTGGGATCACTGGTGAATATCACCTTCCAAAAATCGTAGTGCAATGATTTCCATGACTTCACCCCAAGCACTCAGAGGATAAAAAGTCTAGTGCTTGTGAAAAAAAAAAAAAAGAGCAAATGTAAATCTCTCCCCCTCAAAAAATAAAAAAACTCCCATATAGTTTTCCATTTGTGCACTCTTGACTTCATTAAAATTGTATACTGATCCAATCACTTGATTTTGTTAATAGCTCCACAGAGGAATAGTAGTTGCTAGAGCATGAACACCACAATCTATTTTTCTCTGATTACTGTTTCGCAATGCTGCTAATTTGACAGCTTTTGCTGAACATGGGCTCATTATTTTGTGTCATTGTTTTGGGAAAAGGAATATCAAGTGAAGAGTAAAGTAACTTACAAAGAAGTATGCAGCTAAAGATAGGTTAGGGGATGAATAATCTTGTCCGGGCATACTGAGAGAATAGCTAAATTGAAATGGGAAGGAATGAACTGCTTGACCCCTGTAAGATATCTATTCATCCTTCAAGACTCAAATTAGAATGACCCAACCCCCATTCCAACCAAGATGAATCTGTCCATTTTATCTTTTGTGTGCTCTAAGTACATATCTGTTTCTAGATCAATGTCTATGTCTATGTCTATATCTACATGTTAATAGAGATATTTTTAGAGTCTCACATATATAGCGCTCTTATGTGTTTATATGTTTGTACCTCTGTTCTAGACTCTGTTTTGTCACCCAATTGCTTTTAGGGAAAAATCAAACAAAAAATCTATCATTGTTCACAAGGTCTTGCAAAATCAGGCTTCTACCCATCTCTCTAGTCTCAATTTGCTGCTTTCCCATTTACTATACTCATCAGCTATACTGTACCTATTAAGGCTTCTCCAATGTGCCATATTATTTCTTATTTAAGGGCTCTGTAGATGCTTTAATCTCCTCATGGCCAGACAGCTATATTGACTTGCCTCTACTTGTTCCTTCTTCCATTAACTTCTATTTATCATAGATATCAGCTTAAAATCTTTTTGTCAGCGAAGTATGTGCCACATCTGCCCTTTTACACAAGATTAAGTCTCCTGCAGTATTTTCCTTTACAATTTTAGTCACATTGCAACTCTGTGTTCAATGTCTAGTGCCCACTAGATTTTATGCTCTAAGAAGTCTGGTGCCCATTAGATTTTGCCCACTTGAGCTACCTGGAGATATTTATTACTGTAAATTTTCTTAAAAAGCATAATTAAAGTATCCCTCAAGAGTTGTATATGTGAAATTAATTTTTTAGAACAAGCTGCTGCCAGTCCTGGTAACAGTCTACTGTCTTCTTCACCCCTGCATTCACAGCGGTTCCCATTCTATCTTTGCTTCAGTATATAATATCTTCCATATATTTTCTCTTGACTGTGTACCTCTGTTTTGTTTATTTCTTCTGCTTAAATGTCCTTCTCCTGCAATTTGATTTTTTAACTTGTCCTTCAAGATCCAGCTCAGGCTTCCCTTTTCTTGCAGTCTTTTGTAACCTCATTTCTCCCTTACCTTGGCTTGTACCCCTCTTCTGTGTTCCCATTGCACACTGTACAAACAGCCCTTCCCAGCCTCTGCCACACAGAAGTGCATCTCTAAGCTCTATACAGCCTTTGCAGAACTCTGGTATCTCATGGACAAAAATCATATTTGTTTTTGCTCCATTATATGATCAGAAAAAAAATGCATCACAGCTGAACACAGCATACATGTCCCAAAATACTGTTGAAAGAATTCTGTTTTTAAAAATCTTTCAAAAGTGATATTTGGATAGTAATAGAGATGCCCTCACTCAATATTAAAGCTTGCCATAATCATTTACAGAATAGAACTAAGTGAAAAAAGGAATGTAATTAGTAATGTCCTTTTACAGTGAGGCTGTTATGATCTTTCTGATAATACCAAGTGAGAGATCTCTCCTCTCTAGCTGCTGATTGAAGAAAGTTACATAAAATGCTTAAAGATGAGATTTTAAAAAATTTGAATTCAATGATGACTTGAAAAGCCTTCAACCAACTGATTAATTCATAAGGAAAGCAAATTTAAAGAAAACAGTGTTCAACAATATTTATGAAATATTATATACGCATACATATATACACATATATATACAAATATATACACACACATATACAAATGGGTTAGTTTTTTTAATCCTTATTTAGTGTTTTTTAGTGTTTTTCTCTACCTTATATATTATTTTTATTAAAATATTAGAAACCAAAATAAACATGTAGAATCTAATGTAAAAGCAAAGCTTGGCCATTTCATTTAGATCGGAGCAGCTCTTGCTGAATATAAAGCCCTCGAGATCCTAAAGCAATGTCCAAGTAAATGAACAGAGGAAATAAAGCCATTGACAGCTCTACAAAGAGGCAGTACGAATGACTTCAGGATTCATGCTATTTGTATCCCCTGATAACCCTGTCATCTAAGTCACAGTGCTTGCTAGGCACTGGCAAGGCAGATGGAAAAGTATTAAGTACAGGGTGAGATATTTACATTCAGTAGACTGTTACTAGGTGACGAAGACTGGCAGCAGCTTGTTCTAAAAAATTAATTTCACATATACAACTCTTGAGGGATAGCTTAATTATGCTTTGTAAGAAAATTTACAGTGATAAATATCTCCAGGTAGCTCAAATGGGCAAATAATATTGGGAAAGGAGAAAAATCCATCTATTTCCACACAATATCTATCAGAAAGATCCTAACAACCTCACTGTAAATGGACATCATTAATTACATTCCCTCTTTTCACTTCATTCTCTTCTGTGAATGATTATGGCAAACTTTAATATTGAGTGTGGACATCTCTATTACCATCCAAATATGCCTTTTAAAAGATTTTTTAAAATAGAATTCTTTCAACACTATTTTGGGACATGTATGCTATGTTCAGTTATGATGCATTTTTTTCTGGTGAATATGTATTCACTTACCTCTTCTTTCCCTTTGAGTCAGACTACAATTCCCTACTCCTCTTTGGAATTAGCCATGTGACTGGTTTTGGCTAAAGGAATGTGAGTAGGAAGTTATCTGAGCAGAGTCTTTAAAATGTGTTTGAACATTTCGGTTTGCCCCTTGGCTTCTGCCATTTCTATGGGTTTGTGCTTCAAATAACTGCTGATCCTAAAATGATATGTAGCAGATCTGAACCTAACCTTCAGTCTGGAGCCAAAGCCAACTGGACCACAGACTGAAGCAGTTTATCAGCCAGCCCCAGCCAAGATTAGCAAAACCTTAGCTGGGCTGCAGACCTATAGGTGTGAGAATGAATGCTCATCTTTGTAAGCCATTTAGTTAGTTACACAGCATTATTTTTATAATAGCTAAATTAATTATACTGTAACAAAACAAATGAACAAGGGCAACGATAACAATAAAAATGAATATTTTAACATTATCTCATTATTTCTAGCTCTTATTTTTGTCTCTCATTTTACTCTCACGACATACTTCTCCATGATTTCCAAATATAGTATTGAACAGTTAGATAGCTTATCAATATATTATGTTCATTCACAAAAAAGACTACATTTTAAAAAAGGTCACATGTTGAAAGAAGATATTTGTTACCCATATAGCTAACAATAGAATACTAAGTGGAATACATTAAGAATTTCTACAAAACAAATAAGAAACACAAAATCTATTCAAGAGAAAATGGGCAAAAGATGTGACCATGTGATGCACACACAGGGGAACATATGTAATCAACACATATAAACATGTTCAATCTCATTAGAAATCTGTAAAATAAAAGATTAAACCATTAGATTAGTAAAACTGAAACCATCAGACAGACCACGTGTTGATGACAGTATAGAATAATGAAACTTCTCATGCTTTCCTGATAGGACATAGCTATGGAGAACAATCTAGCAATCTCTAGAAATACAAATACACACAGCTTAGGATCTAAGAATTCTACTGCTGGAGTGTAGGGCATCTCTTGCATGTGTAAACATGGAGGCATGTTCTGCATTACATAGACACATATTTGGAGAAAACTTAGATGTCAAACAAGAAGCAAAATAAGAAATCGTGGCACTCATACAGTGCAATAGAACAGTATGCCAAATTAAAGAACTAGAGCTGTGCATTTCAGCCCAAATGAAGTTCATAAAAATCTGTGAGCAATTAAAAATATGTTTTCATTTAATCTGAGGTAATTTCCAGATTTTCTGATCCTGGGAAAGGATTACAAAAAGGCTTCTTCACTTTTCTCACAACTAGGCTTGCAATTTGGCTTTGTCAGTCATGATAAAATCTGGAACAATACTTCTTTTAATTGCCTCCTTTAACTTCTAAGGATGTAAGATAGATGGGTGACATATGATATCAGATGGACTGTTTTTAATGAAAAGAATTGACATTTAAAATCATTCAATACAATTGGAATCTCTCATTACGCCTACATTTTCAACCTATAGTAGTTTTCTATTGTGCACCATCTAGGTAAATGCCTACAATTACATACTGCTGTTTTTCTTGTCTTTTGTGCTGAACCATGGGCGTCATTCAACTTAAGCAGGACATGGCCTTTCAGCCCTGATGCTTCTCCTCATAGTCCCATAGATAGCTCTCACAGTAACTCTATTGTAAAGTAAAATGTGCTTTTCTTCTTACTTGTGTGCTGCTTATCAGTACCTGAGCATTGGAGGCAGTTTCTCTCTCCTCTGGTTCTCACTCACCATCAGTTCCCACGTGATTCCCTGTTCCCCATTCTAGCTATCCTGCACATTCTTCTCCCTCATTATCTTGCCTTCAGTTTAAACTTACAGGCTGTTGGTGTCCGGACAAACACATTCTTTCCTGACATTGAGAGGTACAACCCGTCTCTATGCAAGATGTGATCTTTATGTAGTCTTGGCCACAATTCTAAGCCACAGTGCTAGGCACTGGTGAGGCAGATGGAAAAGTATTAAGTAAAAAATGAGATATTTACATTCAGTAGACTGTTACCAGGTGACCAAGACTGGTAGCAGCTTGTTCTAAATAATTAATTTCACATATACAACTCTTGAGGGATACTTTAATTATGCTTTGTAGAAAATTTACAGTGATAAATATCTCCAGGTAGCTCAAATGGGCAAATAATATTATACAGAGTAACCCTTTGCTCTTCCAAAGGCTTCTATCATTAGTGATAACAAATGTTGAGAAGAGCACTGGTGCTACCTGTTCTGAAGATAATTCTCTACTTATTTCAAAAGTATCACCCATTTTTGTATAAAAGAGCAAAAGAATATAGCTATCAATAGTTGGGATAAATCTTGTTAGCCTCCACAGTACACGCCAGGATCATTACCCGGGACAACAGCCCATTTTCCGGCTAGGCCTGTACTATGTACAGCCACGTTTGTATATGCCATGTTGATGAGAACTCCAAGGCATAATTTTATGGCTGCCACTTTAAGGAAGAGAGGAAAGTAGGTAAGGACAGTGGCTTTCAGGAGTAAAGCAATTTTCTGACAGTTTTTGATCAAAGTATTATCACTGTCTAAGATTTTTTTTTTTTTTTGCCTCCACTAGAAATACATACGTTTAAGATGATAGATGCCAAACAGAATACTGTGATGAGAGGGTCAGGGAAAGATCTCACCTAGCAAGAATGTGTGATTAATTTCCCTTCTGAATTTATGAGACAGGGCAGTCAAGGCCATTCTAAAATAGCAACAGGGTGATTAGAAGGTGACTGAGTAAACAATGTAATAACTCTGAGTGGAATTTAATCTCTTCATATGTTCTGCTAAAAACTCCAGTTTTTGAAAGAATACAATGAACCCAGAAGGGGTACTATTGCCATTAATGCTACCACAAGGAAGGAAGAGTGAAAGGAGGCAACCCGGTCCTAAAACACTGATATTTGTTCCATTCATTCGCTATATGTACCTTCAATTGCTAATATGTATGCAGTTTTCCAGGCACTTTGGGATGCGAAGTCAAAAAGGTGATTTCCTTATTTACAAAACTATAGTATGTTTAATGAAGTGTAAAAGATCTGCTAATGCATTTTGTTCTTTTTTTCCGAAGACTTTAAAATACGAATTATTACTATTTATTGAATATGTATTATGTGTCTAGGACTTTACATAGGTAATTTTATTTTTATAAATATATAGTATCATTAACAGGTGATTATTGACTCTGTATATTTTAAAGATTTGAGAAAATAAGACTCAGGTTAAATAACTTGTTCAACGTCCCCTAATTAGTCAGTGCTAGTGCTGGAATTTGGATGTGTGTGAATTGCAAAGTTTGTTTTGCTAAGCAAAGTCCAGGGGCTGTCTGTAAAGAGGGGTCTAGGAGTCTATTATAGGTATACACTGACATTATATAGAACTCAACTTGCGATCAAATATGTCAGCCAACATAAAGGAAACACGTATTACTAAGGTTGATTCTTAAAAGCAACATGGCCTGGGCTTAGGGGCTATACATTCAGGAGAAGTGGCATCTATGTGGTTTATGAACCAAAACAGTATCCTTCAAAGTAAGAATGAATATGTATGTATATGGTCTGCACTGTAGAATGAAGTAGTTCTTTCTGATGGAGCTGGGGATGTGGCCAGAAGGGGATGCATGTGCAACTTTGCATTTGCGACTAACCCCTAGGGGGCGCCGAGTCTACAGAGCTAGGAGAGAAGTTTGTGCTAAGTTCCACGGGATAAACTGATACGCTTCCTGGCTGGGTGTGAAGGAGCGCCTCTTTTCTTGCACATATCCCTACTGTAAATGTATCCCAAATGTTTGATCCTAAATCATACTTCATATCAGCCGCTGTTTATATTATGTTCCAAGCCTCCCCCTGCTGGTTGCCTGAGTGACATTTTTGAATAGAATATGACAGAGCTTGGGTAGAAGGTGAAGGACAACGCTGGCATGCTGATGTAGCCCATGCGTGCTGTTCTGATAATACGGTATCCTTAAATATAGTTATTGTCTCTCCTTCAGGAATAACTACATCTGCAATAACTAGCTCCTGGATAAAGTCATATGAATGAGAGAATTGACTGTCCTACTGAATATAACTGAATCTCAGAATAAAACCCTGCTTTTTTATTGCTTACACGTGTCCATTTGTTAACATTGCATTTGGATAAAACAATGGTTCTAAACCAATTAAATTTAGTGAAAGAGAGGAAGCTTCAATGAATGGAGCTCTTTCTTTTCCTGCCCAGATATACTACCTAGAGAGAGCTTGAAAACAAAGAGAATGTTTATCAACATAGCCAGGTAATATTTCAAATTAGATGTCAGAGAGAAGTTTTCACTTTTCATGAGGAGCTACATGTGTTAGTTAAAGCTTAAAACTCTTCAAATGTAAATCACATTGATGGGAATTTAATTTATTGTGCAGAAATTAAGGCCATTTATGAATAGAATATATTTGATTATATTCTTAGTACTCTTTCAACATGAGATAGGAGTATAGTTGAAAATAGATTTAATTAATCATTTAGTAAGAGCTTACTGTTCTTTAAATAAATAAATAAATACTACCGTAGTCGTATAAGACATAGAGATAATGAATTCATAATCTCAGTTAGCAGATTAGATACCATAGGAAAGAAAATGGAACCATTCATCTGGATATTTCAATACCTTTGTCAAGGGCAATTCCAAAGAGTTCTACAGTTAGCAGTTCTCTTCTTGTTAGCCTTGCCTCCTGAGTGTTTCTTCCCTTTGGCTTCTTTGCTAGAGTCTGATGACTTCTTGAGAGGTGGCCGCTAATTCTGTACACTAAGTCCACCCAACTCAATCATTCCCTCATTCTCCAAATTTTATCTTGGGCAAGCCTAATATTCCTATACCTACTCTAATGCAGCTCTGAGTGCCAGCCACTTCAAGAAGGGCTGATAGATAAATTTTAGGATAAACTCTTTTCCTTATGGAAATCTAGGCTTAGAGTTCTACTGGGAATACCAAGGCCATAATTTCCTAAATATCTTGTGTGCAACAAAAATGTATTACAAAAATTTGGGTCCAGGAGTCAATTAAATTTTGGAAAATCTGCAAATCATATTTCCATCTCAAAAATGTACAAAACCCTTTAGCAAACGAAGCATGCCTAGAAGTGGTGTAGTAATGAAGCCTGGTGTTTACCAAACCTATTTGAACACCACGTTTTAAAAATAACTATTTAATGGCAGTTAGGGACTCAACAGACTTGACAATAACCAGAGAGTTGACTTTGCTAGTTCCAGAAAATTGTTAATTGTTAGAATAGAAAGCTTTGTCTTTGAACTATATTATACTACCTGGCCCACATTGTCCATGAGTCTGAGTGGGATGGGCACATCTCCCTCTCTGTTCCAGAAATTCCCCCTTTGCCTTAAAGAGGAGGGCTTGGTTCTGTCTCAAGCAGTCCTAGAGCTGGCTTATTCTGGTGGAAAACCAGCCAGTCTTTCTTCTCCTGGAGGAATACAATTGGAGGTGCCCAAGCAGTGGGTGGCCCAAGTATCAATCTTTTATGAAAATTTGTGTCTTGCTTGTGGCATAAGCAAATTAATAAACATAAGGCAATGATTGTTACATGGAATATAATAACACATAGAACAAAACATGTTTATAACTTACTGTCTTTATCTGCCGCCTACAGATTTAATAATGTTTATTATCCAGTTCTAATTCTAAAAACAATACTTTAGTGTTTTATAAAAATACAGAAATTAAATCTACCATAATTCCAACACCTAGGGAAAAATACTATTAACAAATGTAGTGCCATTTCTTACTAAATGTCTGTGCTTTTAAACATTTGTCTTATACTGTATAATTCCATCTTTTGCAAATTTCATTTAACATATCAGAAGTTTCCCATATCATTCAATACTTTTTGATATTGCTGATTTTATTGGCTACATAATATTCCTCCCTGATATCATTCCTTTAACCTTTTCACTCTTATTAGACACTTAAGTGTTTTCTACGTTTTCATTATGATGATATGACTATGTTTTCAAGACAATTCTTTCTAGTTGGGAATGCTTATTGATAAGTATGGTAATCATATTATCATTATAAAAACAGCTAATTTTAATTGAATGTTCATGCTGTGCATTTTCTCATTTAATTCTTTCAACAACACTGTGAGGTAGGTGGTATTACTATCTGCATATTACATTTAATAAAAAGGAGCATAGAGAGGTTAGGAATCTGACTAGGACTAGACCCTGGTCCTCAGTTTTAATTCCTTGCAGTTTTTCTCCAGATTTAACTACAGTATATTGCTATGTACTGTTCTTATTTCCATTTGTTTAACTGTATGCTGTCTTTTCTTTCTGGGAGATTTTAAAATCTGTTCTTTTCTAATTCTAAAGTCTCAGAATAAAGTGGTTTGATGGGTATCTTATTGCATTCATTGATTTCAACAAAAAATGGACCATTTAAATTTGAAAACTGCTCTTCTTTCATTATGGAATAGTTTATTACTTTATTCAAAAACTGCATTATCTCCATTTCTTCCCATTCTCTCTTTATGGAACTCCCATTATGAAGTTTCTATACCTTCTAAGAAATATTTAATTTATTTTTATCTTTTTCTTTCTATCAACCCTTTCATTGTGTTTTTGTTCTAATTTCAGGAGAATTATATTGAAAATATTCTAATGCCTTCTATTAAAATTTTTAAAATTTTGGCTTCATCATTTTAATTCCCATGAGTTTTTTTTTAAATCACATATATTCTCATTTCAAAGATGTGCTATTCTTTCAAATTATGCTTGTTAATAATAGTTTTCATAAAGCTTGCTTTGGGCTATTTATCTTCTTGCTCTAAATAATTCTTTTCCTGTTTATTTTGGGCTTTGGCCCTGATTTTAGAGACTTGTTGAAATAGCTTGTGACCCTTGCCTTCAAATGCTCCTTTGAATTAAAGACTCCATGGGAGATCCAGGTGCAGGGCCAGGACTTTCCAGTTGATAAACAGCATTGTAAAGTGATCTAACAGAGTCACTTCTCTCCTTAGGCAACTCCAAATGTCAGAAGTAAGAAATATCTTTCTCTAGAGCAGTCTTTCCAGAAAATAATCTTCCACGTTTTTGCTTTGGTGACTGAAAGGGCATACATAGTCCTGATGGCCCCGGTTCTTGGAGGAATGGGTTTGAGAGTCTCATGATTCATGTGCCTATTTTCTCCGAATCCCAGCATCTTCAATCAACCTCAGCCCTACCCTCTAAGTATCTTGAGTTTAACTTCCCCAGAGAATAGACATCTGCCACCTTCGGGGGTGGAAGAAAGAGCGCCATTAGGCTGCTTGCTTAATGAGACGGTGATCTGACGCTTCATCTTCACTGTAGACAGCCTACCCTCACTTAGATTTGAAATCCAAGCCTCAGCCACCCTCACTTGCCTCTTGATGCATCCACATTTTAAGTTGTTTTGGGACCCTTTGGAGTAAATTGAGGCTTTTAGCATGATCCGTCTCATCAGGTATTGTTTTTAAGCTTTCTCCACTCTGCTAGCTAGAAAAGAAGTTATTTAAACATGGAACTACTATATAGATTATTTCTTCTTTTCTAATAGTTAGAGGAAGAGATCAAAATGTGTTTTAAAATGTAATTTATATTCTGAACCATAAAAACCCTTTGCTCCAGAGTTCATAGGGATTTCTACTTACTGTTGCATAGGCTTGTTGCTAAGACAACCCCACCCACTCCATCAATCACCCTTTGACCAGATAAACTTTGGAAAAAGAAAAGAGAAAAAATGCAGATTGTATACTCTGGTGAGAATTAACAGAAATGTAATTTTGTGGTTGAATAGGAAGAGCAAAATTGAAAAATGAAAACTGATGAAGGAAAGACACTAATGATAGGAAACTGTATTTTTCATGGCTTTACATAGCGTAGTTTATAGCTGGATGCATAGCTGGCCTTTAACAACATTAAGAATTGGTCAAACATTATTAAACAACCAAGTCAATCTATTTTTCCCTGCTTTCTCTTAGGCCTGTTCTGAAGCACGTACTAAAGACTATCAAAAGCCAAAGTTAGCCCTGACCAGCACTTCAACAAAATTTTTAAAGAGACAGGGAACAAATCTATTAGCACACTGAAGCCTTTCACAAGTGGCTAGAGAACCCATCTCTATATCATAATACATAAAAACCATTGTGAAGTGTCTGTGTTGCAATGATTTGCTGGCTAAAGCATGTTAAGTGACAGCATTTCTCCAACTTTACTTTGAGTTCAATTTATATCCCTGTAACGAGAACAGGTTTTGGAGCCACAAAATTGTATAAAGAGCCAAATTCTGCTGCCACCTAGAAGTGCTGTGACTCAGATTAATGATTATTTCTGAGCTTCAGTTTACCTCAAGGTGGTAAATGAGAATAATAACAACTTTGCACTGCATCCTCTGAATTTCTTACTCCAGCAACAGCACACCCTCCTTCATCCCCAACCCTTTCACTGGAAGTTCCCTCCACTTCCTTGCCCTAACTGAATGCCAGCAAATCCCCTGTGAGCACTTGCCATCAAGCAGAAGGTATTTATTTTCACACATTCTTAAAAGCTCACACCTGGCATGTGAAGTGGGCAACTTCCTGCTTTCCACAGGCGCTACACGCGTCATTACCTCTCCGTTACTCCTCTAGAAGGTTTCACTACTTGAGATCCATTCCATTAACATTTAACACTTTGCTCCCTCATCATTACTGGCTTTTACTGAACTCCTTGTCATTTCCTTTCTGTTATTGATGTTTTAAAGACCTGGGTCACGATCTCCTCATCACACTTTTCATGACAGGATGTTGAGTTATTTTAATATTTACAAGAACAGTCCTCCGATACTCTGACTTCTCAACCCCTTGAGCCCTGTCTCACTCCAACACCATTTTGATGAATCTCTCAGGATGCTTTTAATTGCTCTTTAGCCCAGCCAGAAGAGAGGCTAGTGCTCGAGGAAACGTGGATGAAAGCCAATGACAGTCACTGCTTTTTGCCAAAATTTACGTGTTAAATGCAGGAAAAGATTCCAAAAGTAAAAGTAATTTCAAATCAAGATTTCTTTCTTCAACTACAAATATTCTATTTTTGATAGGTCCTACAATCTGAAGGCGGGATTAAGAACTGTCTGCACCCACAAAAATGTTTAACCGTGAAAGGAAACCAGTGTCTTTCTGTGAGCAGAAAACATTTTGTGAGGTTTTATGTAGACCCAAATTTGTCTCTTTAATTTCTCTTGGAATGAAACTGTATAGAATGTTCTGAAGTTAAACTAAATATATGTACGTTGCCTTACGAATTTCTCAAAACAATTTAACTCCAAGCTGCAATCAAGTCAAACAAAGATAAATGATAAAAAATGAATGCAGGCCAGGTGCGGTGGCTCACGCCTGTAATCCCAGCACTTTGGGAGGCCGAGGCAGGCAGATTACCTGAGTTCGGGAGATCGAGACCAGCCTGACCGACGTGGAGAAACCCTGTCTCTACTAAAAATACAAAATTAGCCGGGCGTGGTGGTGCATGCCTGTAATCCCAGCTATTTGGGAGGCTGAGGCAAGAGAATCACTTGAACCTGGGAGGCAGAGGTTGTGGTGAGACAAGATTGTGCCATTGCACTCCAGCCTGGGCAGCAAGAGTGAAACTCCGTCTCAAAAAAAAAAAAAAAAAGAATGCAGCATTTCCTTGGCATCTGTAAATCTGTAAATTTAATGTCTCTTGTTTTGATTCATCAAGTCACCTACAAAGTCCATAATATGTAATATTAATTAATTTGCATGGTGGTTAATGACACCTACCAAATAGAGCTGTTGTAACAATTAAGTGCAATAATAAACATGAAGAGAGTTGCCAACTTTTAACTTTGAGTATGTCAGGTAGTTGTGCAGAAGTGGTCTCTTGAGGTTGAATGAGCTGAGCAAATCACCAAGAGCCACTTCTCAAACACCTCTCAAGAACCCAAGAATTCCTACATTTTACCTTCAAATTATACCTGAATTCAATTGCTTTTTCTTGCCTGTAACACAACTGCCCTCCTATAAGGAGGAACCTGTATCTCTTGCCTGGACGGCTGCAGAAGCTTTTCAATAGGCTTTGTCTCCTGTTCACAAAATGTCTGTTTTCCAGATAGTAGCTGTAGTGATGCATGTATAAATATAAATCTGATTATGTCACCACACACACACAAACACACACACTTCAAAATCCAGCAGTCACATCCTACCACAAAAGAAAAAACGTCAAGCTCTTTATCCTGACTGAGAACTTCTACCTGATCAGGCCTCTGGCTACCTTTCCATTCTTATTCCCTGTCACTTGTCACATCTGACGCTTTATTTTACATATAAACATACATATATATTGTGAATCCTGTCATAGGAGAGATATATAATATAAATTTTATATATGTAAAATAAAGTGATATTATACACACACACACCACGTGTGTCATCTCTCTTATCCACTAGAATGTGAAATTCACTGGAGCAGGGAGTTTTTGTCTGTTTTTTTACTGCTGTCAATCTATTGCTTAAAACAATGCATGGCACACAGGAAGCACTCAAAACATAAGTGTTGAATGAATGAATGAGTCTCCTGGGTCCATTTCCTTTCCTGTACCTCAGCCATATTCTCTCATGGTTACATTCTGGGTCTAGCTATCACCAGAAACTATCTCCCTTCAAAACACAAATGTCCTATTTATATTGTTCATTTTCTCAAATAGTCTCATAGAAACACTACTTCAATCATTTTCAGACCCTCAATCCATTGACCCCACCACTGACTCCAGATCTCACTTCCTCTTAGTCCAGCTTCAATTTAAAGATGCATCACTATAATGACTCCTTTGCACCAACCTGCAAACCTTTCATGCTTCCATTACACGTCCAGAAAATCTACAAATTGAGAGATAAACTTTTACTTTCTTTGTATCTGTATTCAGGCAGTGAAGTTTTGCAAGAAAAAACTTGAAACTGACCAGATTGGTATCACAACAAATTCATGATCTTGAACTGCAAATGGGTGCTCAATACTTCCTGGAAATCCCATGCTTTTTTTTTTAAGTGTACTTTTATACTTTTAGAAATGAATATTTCATGCCTCTTTCTTCCCCGCAAGTCTGCTGCTCTCCTTAACCCCCTTTCCACTCCCAGTTCAGAACATTGTGTCATATCCCACTGAAATACTGAAGGCCTCACAAAAGAAATATGCCACCTATTCTTTTTTACTGTATATGTTTAAGGTGTTCAACATGGTGTTCTGATATACTAAAACATAGCAAAATACTTGCTGTAGTCAAGCAAATTCACATATCCATCATCTCAAAGTTATCCATTTTTTTTGTGGTAGGAATACATGATATCCACTCTTAGCATGTTTTCAGTACATAATGCAATATTATAATTAGAATTCACACTTGTATGTGCACTCTAAAAAAAGTGAAATATAAAAAAATAGAGAATAAAATGGTACTTACGAGGTGTAGAGGCTGGGAGGAAATGTGGAGATGGAGGTCAAGAGGTCTAAAGTTGCAGATATGTGGGATGAGTAAGTTCTATGCCCCACATACTCATGACTAAATCTATAAACCTAACCTGAATTTGCTTCCATTTTCTCCTTTGTTCTTGTCCAAAGGAGAGATGTCCTGGCAAGTCCAATATTCCATATGCTCTATTACACCCTAGATCACCTCATTAAGCGCCTTACTTCTGTGGGCATCTCCTCTCCTGCCTTACCACTCTTATTCTACAGAATTACTGCCAGAAGTACAGAAATCTACTCCAGAATTTTCCAGATTTAAATACAGCTCTTCTTTCTTCACATCCTTTTCTAACTATGACACCATTTATCTACTTCCCTTCTTGAATTTTTGGAAGCATTTTCTACAAACCCGTTGCCTACCACTTCTCCTAATCACTGTCCCATGCTCTCCAATGAGAATTTGGTCCTTATCAATCGACACAAATTATTCTTGCCAAGATCGTATCTACTATGCTAATTCAACTGGATATTTTCCAGTGCTTATCCTGTTAAATAATCTTGTTCATTCTCTCATACTTCACTTTTGTCTCTTGTATTCTGTGAAACTTTCTCTTCTTATTTTTTACTTGGCCACTTCTTTTCTCTTCTTCAGCTCATTCTTTTACATAAGGAGTCCTTCCCTACTAATAAAACCCTAAGCACTGGAATCCCTAAGGAGTTAGCCTATACTTCATTTCGTTTCAATATCTCCTTCAATTTATCTTTTTAATTTCACTTCCTGTCATGGCTTTAAATACTATCTATATGCTGACAATTCCAAACTTTTCTCTCTAGCCTGAACCTCCCCATGACTGCTACTATTAATTGCTTATGAGAGATCTGTAACTTACAGGCTTCTCGAAATTAGCATGTTCAAAACCAGAGACAAATTTGTCTTTTTGTTAATACTTACCATTTCTGTAAATAGCAATATCATCCACCCACACTAATTCGTTAAGCCAAAATTCCAGGAGTCATTTCTGAATGTATAATTTTCCTCACTGACTACAACCAAACAACTACTATGAACTTCACCTTTAATGCTTGTCTAAACTCTCCCTTTGTTTTCCCATCTCTGCTTCTATCACTGTAGTCCAGGTACAATCATCTCTTTCCTGCACAACTGCACACAGCTTCTTATCTCCCTGCCTCTGTGTCTGATGTCCATGGTCCATTCTGCATGCAATAGACAAAGTGATTCTTTAACAATGTAGACAGAATCACATTGCTATTCTTGTGAAAACTCCTTTAATTGTGTTCTACTGTACCCATAATAAAATTGAAACCCCTTGCCATGGTACAAGGGGCCTATACATAATCTTGTTGGGCTAGTCTCACAATCTTCATCTCAGATTACCCTCATCTATGCTCACTAGCCTTGGCTCCATGTGAACTTCTTTCTGTTTCTTGAAAACTCTGCTAATTCTAGCCTTAGGATATTTCCCTTGTTATTCACTCTGCCTGGAAGACTTTCTCCCAAATTCTATGATGGCTAGTTTGTTCTTGTTATTCAGCTACCAACTAAAACATCAATCCCTTAAAGAGTATTCCCTGACCACATAAATTTCTTTGGTATTAAATCTTGAGAGTTTATAAGTTTCCAATATCAGGGTCATCATTTACTTTTTCCTACAAAATCTAAAGTTCAATTACTGGCTTAACATTAAGCTTTTGTCCACAACATAATAAGAACAGAAATTCGCTCAAGTAGTTGAAAGCTCCAGTTCTAGAATATTTCTGGTTATTATTGCCATTTCTTGCTTTATCAATGAAACATAATTGGATCTTGACAACATGATTATAATCAAAGGATTCACACAAGTTCACATAATTGATGCAGCTGAGCTTCTGGCTCTTGACCACATTCAAGAGATATTGATGAAAAAGAACACGAGGTTCCACTGCATTTTGACCAACATTAAGCAAGTGCAAATTAGTTGTCTGTTTTTTTTTTTTTTTTTTTGTCATTCTTATGAGCAGCTTGGTTCCAATTGTGTTAAAAGTCATCTTTGATCACCTGAAAAACCATGGTACATTGATAAATGAGTTTCAGCTTGATGTTATTTTGTATAGAAACAGACTAATTTGTAAAACTTTAGACATCACAGATTGTTCATAGGGTAGTAGACTAGTTTAATTACCTTTCAAATTATCAATCAGAAACACAAACCAATATGAAAAAAATGGGAAAATGAGAACTACAATGACAGCAATTATGATGTAACAGTGAACTCAGTTGTCCCAAGCCAGTTTAACAAACAAGACTGGTTTAAGAGAGGATGATAAGCAAAATACTCGTAATTTCAAAAAGTGGTCAGACGCAAAATAAATACTCAGTGACTTTTCCACTGCCTGAGAGATTGGTTGTCTGGAGAAGAATCTTATGCAAGCACTATGTAGTGTGGCGTTACGCCAGAGAAGAATGCTGTGAAATATACTTGCAGACTTGTCATGAGACTTATTATTTGGCCAGTTAAGGTAGGAGAGTTTTGTTAAATGTCTGTGCATATATATTTGTGTCATTCTTCTAAAGAAGCATTAAAATTTTTTTAATGGTACTACTCAGAGGAACAAAAAAAACTGACTAAAGTATAGTATTCTTTCTATGTAATTGAGAAAAACAATCAAGAGTATCAGGTGTAATGAAGACATGGTGATGATGTGAGTGCTCTCAAAACTCTCATACACCCTGCTCAGGTTGTAAGTTGGTTAGACTTTTAAAGTTTTAGGCTTCAGAATTAAAACTCTCTGTCTCTCTCTCCCTGTCTCTCTCTCTCTTTCTCTCTCTCAAACACACACACACACACACACACATATGCACACACACACACGGCACTAAAATCTACCATTATAAGTACATTTACATGTGCACAAATATTCACCACAATATTGTGGTGACAACACAACACTGGAATAGAAATGTCCACCAAAAACCAGTAACTGAGAATATGGTACATCTACTGAGTGAATTGGTAAGTGGGAAAAAAAGGAGATGGGGGAATAGTAATCCTTATAATATAAATCCTTGTATCTGTGTAAAAAATAAAAGACTAGAAAATGACCTGTAGGCATATTTGAATGTACATAGGTAGTGAGAGAAATGATGCTAGGGAACAAATTGCTGTATGGTTCAACCTATGTCAAAGATAAATAAAGCTGGATACTAGTTTAAGTGGTGAGGACAGATTTTACTCAGCAATAATTACTGCAATAGGGAAAAGAGTCCAGCGTGAACTGAACTCATCTTCCATTTACATAGAAGTGACCGAGCATTTTAGGGGGAGAATGAAGAATTAGGGAGCAGGGTGAGCAGGGGCTTAGTGGAGTCAGGGAAGTGTAAAATTACAAAGAATTACAAAAGGTTAGTCAGTGTACATCCAATTAGGTCAACTGTGTCTGTGAGGTGGCAATTATTGAAGTTAGGATTCTGTCCTCCCACAAGGACTGGGAGAGAGAGACTCCATCCTCAGGCATTGGCTGAAACAAAAAAAATTCTTTTTGGCAGCCTTGAGTTTTCTTAGGCAGGCACTTGAAGGTGGGGTAGGCTCATCTTAGGGATGTTGCTTTGATGTGTTTTACATGCGGCCTTCCATGAGGTTTAGTTGGTGGAGGAAAGGTAGAATTGTGCAAATTTTAGGATGCCTCACGTAGAGTTCCTCTGAGAGAATACAAAAGCCTCCTATTCCAGAGCCCACTCCATGAGGGCCTTCTCTTAGACAAATACCGCAATAGAATTGGATTTTAATGCTTCTGACAAAGACTCTACACCAAAATTTAGAACTACTAAGACTGAGGCTACTGCGGACTGAAGGGCCTTCTCCCAGCTCCCCTCACAGTGGGGTCACACTCTGAGCTGCCCCAAGGGAGGCTTGATGTGGTGTTATCTCCTTTACCTCTTCACAGTCACCACCCACACTCAAGAACCAGAGTCATGGCAGTCTGCTCATGAAATAGGGAAAGGAAAGTTAGTTGAATAGTTTTCTTAAGTCACAAAAGAATGTTTTTTTTTTGTTTTGTTAATTAGCTGTTATTACATGAGGAGTTTTTTTATTTAACTGGAAATTGAAATTCTCAATAAACATACCCTACAACAACTACCGCCTCTCTCTGTAAAATAAGTACATGGCCTAGTCAGAAAGAGAAGTTGGTGACATCTGCTTGCCAGGAATAAATAAAATCTCCCATCTGGTGAAAGGCTTTTGAGTTTCCACTTCCTATTCAGATTGTCACTATAACTGCAGCTGGATGACAATGCCCTGCATATTATAAGCAACCTGCCTGGATCAGTTTGGCGTAGCAGCATCATTCAGTTGCACTGATTAAAAATAGATGTATCTTGCTATGCTGAGGTCTAGTCATCTTTATTTCACAAGGTGATGATTTATGATATACCAGATGGATAAATGAAAATACTTTAGGTAAGGACAAGGTGTAATCAACTGTCCTTTTCTCTAAAATATATTTTATCTTATCTATTCATTATTTACATTTCCATGAAAGAATAGTGAAAATTTGGGTGGTAACAACCTTATTAAATGTAAAATACAGTGTGAAAGTACTCTAAAATAGAATTTGATGTTTAAGGGAAAAGTGATATTTTTTCAAGTATAATTTATTTAATTAATCATGTTTATCCACTTTTACTCTGACTTTTCTCTGATATGAGATATTGTACATTGTCTAAGCATCTGTGTAGATGTTTCTAAGTCCTAAGAGAGTTGCTGGGAAGTAATGACATTACCCTCCTCCCCACCAGCAAATAAATGGAAACTTGCTGTTGTATCCTTTGATTGAATCAAAGGTTAATTAACTTTGATGAATGGTTGCACTAATAGGTGACACATTCCATTTTACTATTTTTCCAGAACTAAATATTTGAGAAGTAAACAGATTTTAAATGACTGAGCAGTTGCTAGATACATACAACTACAAAAAGATTTCTATATGTATTTAATTAAATTGACCTTAAGCCATCCTGTAATGTTTATTTCAACAGATAGCTCACTCTGTGATCACTTTTAGAATATTTGTATGACCTGAAACATCTTTTAGGTACAATCAGCATTCAAACCATCATTAAACTTTACTGTTTGTGTACCATTAGTGTCTGTAAAATATGTTAACACTGGGCAAATGATACCAAAGAGATTCATTTCACTTATGTTGCTCCTATCTCATATTGCCAATTACCAATAGACTACATGAATTATTTATCTTCTCATGTTGGCTTTACATCAAATATTTTACCACTTCCATATATAACAAATCTCAAGGGTAGTTTTACAAATATTTTCTTCTTTTCTTGAGCAAAAATTTTTGGAGACTGCTGACAAACTTCTTAAATAAATACAAAGCAAAACTGAGATAAAAGGAAATCATACCAAATAGATTATTAAACTATTTTGGAAAATGACAGAGGGCATTTCAATCAAATGTTGAAGATTCTGTAGTTCTACTGTACATGTAATTAACTAAAGAAAATTTAGGGCTTTTACGTTTGTTGGAAATGTTTGTCTCCTTTTCACATATATACTTAACCAAATCAATATAAGTGGATGGGGAAACGTTAGCAGGAGCTCACTTTGGCTTCAAGATTTTTAAAGGACGGGGAAATAAGTCTGTAATAGGACATAGAAATGACACTGTCCCATGTCTTCAATGTACCTCTCACATCAACTTTATTAAGAACATTGTTTTCTCCTGTAGGAATGTACTTAAATATACTCGTTTGTGAATTAAAAAGTAAATGCCATTCTTAAGTATTTTACTGAATATCGGTTGTTCATACAAAGTAAAAGATTTTCAAATAAAACAGGAAGAAAGCTTATGTGCATTAGGACAGCATTTGAGTCTCTGTCATTCACACACTGATCATCCAGCCTGAATTTTCCTTGCCCTTTTCCATGTTTCCTTTTTTTCTAAACTAGCTCATTTAATAACTACTGAGCTCTCCATTAATTCTTGCCTGTGGCACTCAAATCAAATTTCACCATGCATAGAGCTAAGTGGAAAGCTTCGTTAAAAATATGGATTTGTTGGTTTCAACTTCAGATATTCTGATTCAGCAAGTTTTAAGTGGAGTCCAGGAATCTGACTCTTTTGAAATAAGCATCTCCAAACAATTTTAATGAAATTAGAAGATAGACCATACATTGAGAAACACTGAAATTCAAAAAAAATTAAAGAAATCCAACTTTGTATTAATCCCAGTTTAAGACTTCCTAGCAAACTTGTACTAACATGTAAAGTAAAGAGTGTACAACAACGTCTAATGGAAACTATCTGTTTTGATCGGGTTGGAAACCATCAGTTTTTATTGGCTTGGAAACCAGGAGATCCAACATAATCAGTTATGGATTTTTCAATTTTAATCAGACTTTGGTTAAAATATCTTTTTTCTAGAATTCAGACTGATACTATTGACTAAAATTAGACACAAGAAAATAATTTTAGATACAAAGAAACCACTAAAATCAAATTTTATAAAGAAAACGAAGTGAGAATTGACTTGTATACTGTATTAGTCAGGGTTCCCTAGGGGGACAGAACTAATAGGATATATATGTATATACACACGCACACACATGCATATATATATATATATATATATATATATATATATATATATATGGAAGTTTATAGGGAATATTAAACTCACATGATCACAAGGTCCCACAGTAGGCCATTGGGAAGCTGAGGAGCAAGGGGCCAGTCCAAGTCCCAAAACTGAAGAACTTGAAGTCTGATGTTCAAGGACAGGAAGCATCTAGAATGGGAGAAAGATGTAGGCTGGGAGGCTAAGCCAGTCTAGCCTTTTCAAGTTTTTCTGCCTGCTTTATATTTGCTGGCAGCTGAATAGAAGGTGCCCACCCAGCTGGTAGGTGGGTCTGCCTGTCCCAGTCCACTGACTCAAATGTTAATCTTCTTTGGCAACACCCTCACAGACACATCCAGGATCAATAATTTGCATCCTTCAATCTAATCCAAGTTGACACTCAGTATTAACCATCACATATATTTTATATATCCAGTAGGCAAATTGATTAACACGCACTAAGGAAAAATATGTACAGGCTAGTTAGCACTGTCACATCATTTGTTTGCTTTAAGAAACACATGCTCATCAAATAATTTGCTTTCCAGTGTAGAGCCTCAATGGAAAACACTTTATGTTCAATTTTAAAAGTGCCGGAATCTATTGTAGAAACCAGCAAGTGGGGGTTCTTCATATTTGTTATTTTCAGGAACAAAGGAAAAATTTCCAAAGTTGTCTTTATCAGCTCAAACTAACTGAATAAATATGTGAAAACTTTCACTAATGGACTAACACATGTTAGTGTTAACAGGCTTTGTTTCCAGTTAACAAAAATAACTAGAGAAAATATAAACTGAGGATTATCAGACGATGAAGAAAATTGTAGCCCTAAGCTTCAAGAGGGGATTTGTGTGTCCCAGTATTAGGGAGAAGTATAAGTAGGAGAGGAAATTTGCAAGACACATTTGGTTAATTGTGAAATAGTGCCAGAACAAGCCCTGCCGAGACCTGTGTCTTATTATCCAATACTCTGAATTCTCTCCCTTAACTTCTGCTTCCTCCTCCCATGTACATTTCCCATACTGAGTTTGTTCCCTTTTTTCTACTTACAGTAAGAAATTATCTTAATCATCTACATAAAGACAACAAAATGGGATAAATAAGAGTTCTTTTCAAAGCACTGGGAACCTATAGTATCACAGGACAAAGTTTAGGAGCTTCTGTTTCAAAATAATTCATTTACTTCATGTGTGAAGTGATGCACTGAGATTCAAACCCAGCCCATCCTGATGACAATGTTCACAATATTCCCACTTCCCCCATCCCTGAATACCTTTCTGGGTGTTATCAAAAGGTCTGGTTTTATTACATTTCGTGGAGATATAGGACTACTTAAGTGGCTTCATCTCTTTGATAGCTAACTTGGGGTGCCCCAAATCTAACAACTTACTGAATAAAACGGAGTCAAACCAACCAGGCAAGGTGGCTCACGCCTGTAATCCCAGCACTTTGGGAGGCCAAAGCGGGTGGATCACGAGGTCAGGAGATCAAGACCATCCTGGCCAACATGGTGAAACCCCGTCTCTACTAAAATACAAAAAAATTAGCCGAGCATGGTGGTGCATGCCTGTAGTCCCAGCTACTTGGGAGGCTGAGGCAAGGGAGTCACTTGAACCCAGGAAGTGGAGATTGCAGTGACCCAGGATCACGCCACTGCACTCCAGCCAGGGCGACAGAGCAAGACTTGTCTCAAAAAAAAAAAAAAAAAAAAAAAAAAAAAAAAAAAAAAAAGGAGTCAAACCAGTTGTTTGTCATAAACTAGATGATAAATTAGGTCACTTTTAATAAATTTCATTTTCTATTAAATCAATCAAAACATGATCAACTTTAATATGCTAGTTAGTTAATTGCTTGATAACATGTGAGCTGGTTAAGCATAATTATCCTATTTCTCTACTGATATTTTTATCAGTGGAGATATTTGTATCAAATAATCTTTGAAGTTCTCAGATGTAAAACAATATAAAGAATAAAAAAACAGAACAATAGTAACAGATAGTATCTATTGTGTACTTTTGGTTTGACAGTCACTGTCGTAAGCATGGATTAATTCTAAACCTCACAATGTCATGGAGCAAGTACTAGTTTTTTTTGCAGCTGAGGAAACAGAAGCACAAAGTAAGTGACCTGCCCAGTGTTTAACTATCAGGAACAGTAGACGCAGATTTGAAAACACCTACTTTCACTCCATAGCTCACACTCTCGACTCCTGAGCCTAACCAGAGGTACAGCTCTCCCTCCATGAGTTCATCACTGAATCTTCCTCTTAACGAAATCTCCCTCAAATGAATTAACGAGAGAAAGAGCTGATATTTTACCATTAGCCATACCAGGAAATGACCAGCCCCAATTCTCAAATACACCAAAGTTTTAAAAATAAAAAACTCTAGAGGTTTTGAAGTAAAAAACGTATAATATTCTGCAAGAACTGTAAATAGACCTCATCAGGAGATTCATTTGTGCCCCCTTGCTTCTTGTGCTGGCATTTGATTGCCATCGCTAACAGTGTCAGAGCAGTCTGTGCAACTGAAACACAGAAGGCTTGGAAAAAACACAAAATGAATAATTTCACAGTTACTCCAAATCACTGTCATGGTGCTTAAATCAGACACAATCACGGCATCACCTTGTATATCTAGCATAGGCAGGGAAAGAGATAATCCAAATACAAGAAATAGGGAGACATAAGAGGTGTCGACACCTTTAATTACAAAGTCTTGCAATTAATTCTTAATCATAGTATTTTGATAGTAATCAGACATTCTCATATACAAATTCTGATATGTGTATACATACATATGTTATACATATATACACATATATGTGTTTTTCCCCCAGAGTATAATAAATGCAAGTTAATATTCCCTAAGTAACTTGAGTTTAGCTTAACATTAGTCATTCCATGCTTCTGTGTAACACAGTGATATTCTTCATAAGCACTAAGGCATTGATTGTTTCACCACATATGCATTAGTTCCCTACCCTGTACCAGAAACTGGGATGATAAATTTACATTCAAACAAAATAGGCTTTGTTTCAAAGAGCTCAGAGATTGGTTGAGGAGACACAAAGTCAGCTACCTGCTATAGGAGCTGTGGTCATTCATTTAACACACATTTATTGAACATTTGTTATTGAATAATTGAACAATTATTGAACATATATTGAACAAATTATTATCCAGGAAAAACGATGCTAGGAATGCAAAGGTGATTCAGGCACAATCCTTGTTTCCAAATTGCCCACAAGCAGGTCGAAGGTCTAAGGGACCCTGGGAATTGAGTCGCTAATTCTTGAATTGTCACTGGAAGGATCCTCAGAGGAAGAGTTGCCTGAGCAGAGCTGGGAAGATAATTAGAAACTTTCTTTTATTATTATTATTATTATTATTATTATACTTTAAGTTTTAGGGTACATGTGTACAACGTGCAGGTTTGTTACATATCTATACATGTGCCATGTTGGTGTGCTGCACCCATTAACTCGTCATTTACATTAGGTATATCTCCTAATGCTATCCTTCCCCACTCCCCGCCACAACAGGCCCCAGTGTGTGATGTTCTCCTTCCTGTGTCTAAGTGTTCTCATTGTTCAATTCCCACCTAAGAGGAAGAACAAGCGGTGTTTGTTTTTTTTTGTCCTTGCAGCAGTTTGCTGAGAATGATGGTTTCCAGCTTCATCCATGTCCCTACAAAGGACATGAACTCTTCCTTTTTTCTGGCTGCACAGTATTCCATGGTGTATATGTGCCACATTTTCTTAATCCAATCTATCATTGTTGGACATTTGGGTTGGTTCCAAGTCTTTGCTACTGTGAGTAGTGCCACAATAAACATATGTGTGCATGTGTCTTTACAGCAGCATTCTTTATAATCCTTTGGGTAGATACCCAGTAATGGGATGGTATTTCTACTCCTAGATCCCTGAGGAATCGCCACACTGACTTCCACAATGGTTGAACTAGTTTACAGTCTCACCAACAGGGTAAAAGTGTTCCTATTTCTCCACATCCTCTCCAGCACCTGTTATTTCCTGATTTTTTTAATGATCGCCATTCTAACTGGTGTGAGATGGTATCTCATTGTGGTTTTGATTTGCATTTCTCTGATGGCCAGTGATGATGAGCATTTTTTTATGTATCTGTTGGTTGCATAAATGTCTTCTTTTGAGAAGTGCCTATTCATATCCTTCACCCGCTTTTTGATGGGGTTGTTTTTTTCTTGTAAATTTGTTTGAGTTCATTATAGATTCTGGATATTAGCCCTTTGTCAGATGAGTAGATTGCAAAAATTTTCTCCCATTCTATAGGTTGCCTGTTCACTCTGATGGTAGTTTCTTTTGCTGTGCAGAAGCTCTTTAGTTTAATTAGATCCCATTTGTCAATTTTGGCTTTCATTGTCATTGCTTTTGGTGTTTTACACATGAAGTCCTAGCCCATGCCTATGTCTTGAATGGTATTGCCTAGGCTTTCTTCTAGGGTTTTTATGGTTTTAGGTCTAACATTTAAGTCTTCGATGCATCTTGAATTAATTTTTCTAGAAGGTGTAAGGAAGGTATCCAGTTTCAGCTTTCTACATATGGCTAGCCAGTTTTCCCAGCACCATTTATTAAATAGGGAATCCTTTCCCCATTTCCTGTTTTTGTCAGGTTTGTCAAAGATAAGATAGCTGTAGATGTGTGGCATTATTTCTGAGGGCTCTGTTCCGTTCCATTGGTCTATATCTCTGTTTTGGTACCAGTACCATGCTGTTTTGGTTACTGTAGCCTTGTAGAATAGTTTGAAGTCAGGTAGTGTGATGCCTCCAGCTTTGTTCTTTTGGCTTAAGGATTGACTTGGCAATGCGGGCTCTTTTTTGGTTCCATATGAACTTTAAAGTAGTTTTTTCCAATTCTGTGAAGAAACTCACTGGTAGCTTGATGGGGATGGCACTGAATGTATAAATTACCTTGGGCAGTATGGCCATTTTCACGATATTGATTCTTCCTATCCATGAGCATGGAATGTTCATAAGGCAAGTCCTTAGAGACCCACAAAGAGACTTAGACTCCCACACAATAATAATGGGAGACTTTAACACCCCACTGTCAACATTAGATCCACGAGACAGAAAGTTAACAAGGATATCCAGGAATTGAACTCAGCTCTGCACCAAGCGGACCTAATAGACATCTACAGAACTCTCCACCCCAAATCAACAGAATATAAATTCTTCTCAGCACCACACTGCACTTATTCCAAAATTGACCACATAGTTGGAAGTAAAGCACTCCTCAGCAAATGTAAAGAGCACAGATTATCAGAAACTGTCTCCCAGACCACAGTGCAATCAAACTAGAACTCAGGATTAAGAAACTCACTCAAAACTGCTCAACCACATGGAAGCTGAACAACCTGCACCTGAATAACTACTGGGTACATAATGAAATGAAGGCAGAAATAAAGATGTTCTTTGAAACCAACAAGAACAAAGACACAACATACCAGAATCTCCGGGACACATTCAAAGCAGTGTGTAGAGGGAAATTTATAGCACTAAATGCCCACAAGAGGAAGCAGGAAAGATCTAAAATTGACACCCTAACATCACAATTAAAAGAACTAGAGAAGCAAGAGCAAACACATTCAAAAGCTAGCAGAAGGCAAGAAATAACTAAGATCAGAGCAGAACTGAAGGAAATAGAGACACAAAAAACCCTTCAAAAAAATCAGTGAATCCAGGAGCTGGTTTTTTGAAAAGATCAACAAAATTGATAGACCACTAGCAAGACTAATAAAGAAGAAAAGAGAGAAGAATCAAATACACACAATAAAAAATGATAAAGGGGATATCACCACCGATCCCACAGAAATACAAACTACCATCAGAGAATACTAAAAACACCTCTATGCAAGTAAACTAGAAAATCTAGAAGAAACGGATAAATTCCTCAAAATATACACCCTCCCAAGACTAAACCAGGAAGAAGTTGAATCTCTAAATAGACCAATAACAGGCTCTGAAATTGAGGCAATAATTAATAGCTTACCAACCAAAAAAAGTCCAGGACCAGATGGATTCATAGCCGAATTCTACCAGAGGTACAAGGAGGAGCTGGTACCATTCCTTCTGAAACTATTCCAATCAATAGAGAAAGAGGGAATGCTCCCTAACTCATTTTATGAGGCCAGCATCATCCTGATACCAAAGCCTGGCAGAGACACAACAAAAAAAGAGAATTTTAGACCAATATCCCTGATGAACATCAATGCAAAAATCCTCAATAAAACACTGGCAAACCGAACCCAGCAGCACATCAAAAAGCTTATCCACCATGATCAAGTTGGCTTCATCCCTGGGATGCAAGGCTGGTTCAACATATGTGAATCAATAAACGTAATCCATCATATAAACAGAACTAAAGACAAAAGCACATGATTATCTCAATAGAGGCAGAAAAGGCCTTTGACAAAATTCAACAGCCCTTCATGCTAAAAACCCTTAATAAACTAGGTATTGATGGGATGTATCTCAAAATAATAAGAGCTATTTATGATAAACCCACAGCTAATGTCATACTGAATGGGCAAAAACTGGAAGCATTCCCTTTGAAAACTGGCACAAGACAGGGATGCCCTCTCTCACCACTCCTATTCAACATAGTGTTGGAAGTTTTCGCAAGGGCAATCAGGCAGGAGAAGGAAATAAAGGGTATTCAATTAGGAAAAGAGGAAGTCAAATTGTCCCTGTTTGCAGATGACATGATTGTATATCTAGAAAACCCCATCGTCTCAGCCCAAAATCTCCTTAAGCTGATAGGCAACTTCAGCAAAGTCTCAGGATACAAAATCAATGTGCAAAAATCACAAGCATTCTTATACACCAATAACAGACAAACAGAGAGCCAAATCATGAGTGAACTCCCATTCACAATTGCTTCAAAGAGAATAAAATACCTAGGAATCCAACTTACAAGGGACGTGAAGGACCTCTTCAAGGAGAACTACAAACCACTGCTCAATGAAATAAAAGATGACACAAGAAAATGGAAGAACATTCCATGCTCATGGGTAGGAAGAATCAATATCGTGAAAATGGCCATACAGCCCAAGGTAATTTATAGATTCAATGCCATCCCCATCAAGCTACCAATGACTTTCTTCACACAATTGGGAAAAACTACTTTAAAGTTCATACAGAACCAAAAAAGAGCCCTCATCACCCAGTCAATCCTTAAGCCAAAAGAACAAAGCTGGAGGCATCACACTACCTGACTTCAAACTATACTACAAGGCTACAGTAACCAAAACAGCATGGTACTGGTACCAAAACAGAGATATAGATCAATGGAACAGAACAGAGCCCTCAGAAATAATGCCACATATCTACAACTATCTGATCTTTGACAAACCTGAGAAAAACAAGCAATGGGGAAAGGATTCCCTATTTAATAAATGGTGCTGGGAAAACTGGCTAGCCATATGGAGAAAGCTGAAACTGGACCCCTTCCTTACACCTTATACAAAAATTAATTCAAGATGGATTAAAGACTTAAACATTAGACCTAAAACCATAAAAACCCTAGAAGAAAGCCTAGGCAATACCATTCAAGACATAGGCATGGGCTAGGACTTCATGTCTAAAACACCAAAAGCAATGGCAACAAAAGACAAAATTGACAAGTGGGATCTAATTAAACTAAAGAGCTTCTGCACAGCAAAAGAAACTACCATCAGAGTGAACAGGCAACCTATAGAATGGGAGAAAATTTTTGCAATCTACTCATCTGACAAAGGGCTAATATCCAGAATCTATAATGAACTCAAACAAGTTTACAAGAAAAAAACAAACAACCCCATCAAAAAGTGGGTGAAGGACATGAACAGACACTTCTCAAAAGAAGATATTTATGCAGCCAAAAGACACATGAAAAAATGCTCATTATCACTGGCCATCAGAGAAATGCAAATCAAAACCACAATGAGATACCATCTCACACCAGTTAGAATGGCAATCATTAAAAAGTCAGGAAACCACAGGTGCTGGAGAGGATGTGGAGAAATAGGAACACTTTTACACTGCTGGTGGGACTGTAAACTAGTTCAACCATTGTGGAAGTCAGTGTGGCCATTCTTCAGGGATCTAGAACTAGAAATATCATTTGACCCAGCAATCCCATTACTGGGTATATACCCAAAGGATTATAAATCATGCTGTTATAAAGACACATGCACACGTATGTTTATTGTGGCACTATTCACAATAGCAAAGACTTGGAACAAACCCAAATGTCCAACAATGATAGACTGGATTAAGAAAATGTGGCACATACACACCATGGAATACTATCCAGCCATAAAAAATTATGAGTTCATGTCCTTTGAAGGGACATGGATGAAGCTGGAAACCATCATTCTCAGCAAACTATCACAAGGACAAAAAAACCAAACAGCGCACGTTCTCACTCATAGGTGGGAATTGAACAATGAGAACACATGGACACAGGAAGGGGAACATCACACACCGGGGCCTGTTGTGGGGTTGGGGGAGTGGGGAGGGATAGCATTTGGAGATATACCTAATATTAAATGACTAGTTACTGGGTGCAGCACACCAACATGGTACATGTATACATATATAACAAACCTGCACGTTGTGCACATGTACCCTAAAACTTAAAGTATAATAAAAATTAAAAAAATAAAACAGATTTTCCCTTTATCTCAATCTTTCAATCATTCACCTGTACTCCTTGCACGTATTATCAATAAATATTAATTCCAGTAAATTCACTATTGATTTGCTGTAGATTACTGGTTATGCCACATCTTGTTTCAGTTATAAGGTCCTAAAGCAGCAGGAGATACACTCAGAAGAAGATTTAAATAATCCCGGTAGTACAAAAAGAATACTTCATGGTTTTAAACATATATATTATATTGGCATCTGGCTTTTCAACCAGTCTTGTTCTGTGGAGTTTACTTTCACACTGAATTGGGTTTACACTTAAGGGCTACAGATACACCTTAGGGTGGTCATCCCTTATTCAGTGACTTAGGACTCTCTCTAGGAAACCTGGCATATCTATCTGCTCAATCAAACATTATCAGATATATATTAAGTGATTGATAATTGATTGTGAGCAAATATTCCTGGTCTAAGAATCTGAGTAAACTGTCTTCACAGAATTCTTTCTTTTAATCATTTTATTTGTTCATCCATTCCAGTTTAGATCAATCATAATTTTGAGTACATATTATGTACCAAGCACTATACTGGGAATAAAATGTAAATGAATACAATCCCTGTTCTAAAGATACAATAAATCTATTCGGGAAGAAGCATCTACACTGGAATCATAATAAAATTTGTGGATAAGAAGAGATTCCGTAGAGTATTGTGGGAATACAGACAAAGGTTGCATAGTGAAAGGCTCAGCTGGTAGATGGGCTGTTTAGTGAATGCACAAATCATTGCTAAGGAGTGAGAAATTGTGGGGAAATTTTTTTCTCTAGGTGGCAGCCTGTGGATTTTCTTCTAGTCATTCCAGACAATTCTTGCAAGTAAAACAAAAAAAGAAAATGTGGGGTCGGGGAAGCAGGGAGGAGGAAAGAAAACAAAGGACAGGAGAGAAGAGGGTAGGAGAGAAGAGACCAAAGAGAATGAAAGGAAAATGAAGTGTCGAGTTCTGTCACTATTATTGCATGGGAGTCAAAGTCTCTTAGTAGGTTTCTAAGAACTTGCTTTATGAATCTGGGTGCTCCTGTGTTCTCCTGGGTGCTCTGTGTGCTCCTGCATATATATTTAGGATAGGTAGGTGTTCTTGTTGAATGGAACCCTTTACCATTATGTATTGCTCTTCTTTGTCTTTTTTGATCTTTGTTGGTTTAAAGTCTGTTTTGTCTGAAATTAGGGTTGCAATTCCTGCCTTTTTCTGATTTCCATTTGCTTGGTAGATTTTCCTCCATCCCTTTATTTTGAGCCTATGGGTGTCACTGAATGTGAGATGGGTCTCTTGAAGACAGCATTCCATTGAGTCTTGCTTTTTTATCCAGCTTGCCACTCTGCCTTTTAAATGGGGCATTTAGCTCATTTACATTCAAGGTTAGTGTTGACATGTGTGGATTTGATCCTATCATTGTGTTGTTAGCTGGTTATTATGACAGCTTGTTTAACAGTGTCACTGGTCAGTGTATTTAAGTGTGGGTGTTTTTGTACTGGCTGGTACCAGTCTTTCCTTTCCATCTTTAGCGCTCCTTTCAGGATCTCTTAGAAGGCAAGTCTGGTGGTAATAAACTCCCTCAGCATTTGCTTATCTGAAAAGGATCTTGAGCAGGACCATCTCCTTTGAACAGCTTCTGGAAAAACTTGACAGCTACTGTATCTCTAGCACGTATATCTGCAGTCCCCTCCCTCTTTTTGTTACCACCTCATGGTAATAGTATCATCACAAAACTAGCAATTTTGATGTGATTAGACATTAGGTCTCCCTTAAACCACTTTCTAACCAACCACACTGGCAATGATTGACACTTCTGCCTTCTGATTCTGACAGGCCTTTGCAGTACTGCTTCTTTGCAATGGGGTTCACCTGCCCTCACTGTCAGACTCCACCCAAACTCACTGGGGACAGGGACAGACTCCCATTCATCCCTGTAGAGCCTATTACATGGGAAGAATTTTTCAATTGGTTGCCTCCTGAAATTGCTTCTGGAAGGAATGACTTATTCTAATTTTAACCCCAAACTGTAATTTTGCCAGCCTCACAGACAAAAATCCCATTCTGGGCTTTATTTATTTCACATTCTCTCTCATTGCTCATGTTCTGCCTGGAGTTTCCTTTCCTTATACTATGTAGAGAGCAGTATCCATACATACACTCTTCCATCTCTATTACATTTAAACCTGTTTCTCCCAAACCTCATAGTCACAGCAAATGTCTTTTAATCTTGTGGAATAGCATTTCTCAAAATGTGTCCCATAAATAGCAGTTTGTTGAAATGTTTGGAGAACAAGGCTTACGGTCAAATAAATTTAGAAAAAAAACATGCAAAGTATCTGAACAACCATGTATTTAAAGAAATTGTTTTAACATCTTTCAAGGTTAGTATTCTAAAGGTCAGAGTAACCTGGGTAGATTTTTAAAAATACAGATCCACCGGCTCAGCTTAGACTTGCCAAGTCAAAATGTTTGATAGTAAGTCTGAGAAATCTTTGTTTTTTGGACTGTCTTAGTATTTATTATGTCACCATCCAGGTCTGAATTCCAGAACAGTGTTTGAGAGCCTCTATTCTATAAAACTCTCCAAGACCCTTTTACTGATGATCTGACAACACCCCAGTAGCCCTTTATTCACCAACTAACTGTTCACAATGCTTCATAATGCCATTTATTGCATTCTTTAAAAAGTCTATAACTATTTGGTACATTTACAAAGATGAAGGAAACGAGGAGGTGAGTAGCCCCTCGAAGGAAGCCATTTTAGATTTTAATTCTTGACTACTCTCATTCCTATTTGCTTTCTCTCCCAAACCACTCTTTCCTCAACTTAATGTTAGTTGTGTATCCATTATTTCTCAGAGCCTTAGCATTCATTCTTTGTGCACTAATGAGAAATGGTAAAGCACTGTGGACATCAGTGTTAATAACTTCTGCATACAGCAATAAATCATTAACATTTTCTTAACAGATTCATAAAATATATTTTGTACTGTTTAAGCTACTTAATTAAAAAATATGAAAAAATTTTCATTATTTTAAAATTGTTTAGAGTTTTTATCTTTATTTTCATTTACAAAAAATGCTTTGAAGCTGGTAAAAACTAAGTATAAAATGTATAACAAGTATTACAAGTAATCAAAATGTGAGTAATAAATTACAGCCCAGTGTACAATTAACAGCACAAAAAATAACAAGACTGGTTGTCAACAGGATGGCAAGTCAATGAGAAGGCATGTAATACAGATTAATTTTTAACTGAAAATAATATTTGTTTCACATCTAAACTGCAGTTTCCTGAAAATTATCATAAATTCAAGGCAGTGAAAAGATTTTTTGAGGTGTTTTTAAAATGATTTGTTTCCTTCTTTATAAATTTACCCTCAAGATCATTTAGACACAGCATTTCATAATCTCATGCTTTCTTGCATGTCAATTTATCCTTTTAATTAAAGACACACTACATTTCTCTTGTAATTATTGTTTTATGGACATATCTCTGACATGTAATACTTTCTCATATATTTATTGGCTACTTGTATTTATTTTTATCTCAATTACAAGTTTGACTATATATATACTTGTCTTTTTTGTTTGATTGTTCACCTTTTTAAATTAATTTTCGTTTGTTCTTTGTACAAGTATTAATGTTAGAAATCTGTGTCTATGTTGCAAATATTTCTTCTTCACCTTATATAAAGAAGCAATGAAAAGTATATTCCATCTGACTCGTTCCTGCTCCTGAAATAACTTCTGAGTTTACTATAATACTTTCTTTTGTTTTTCTTTTTTTGGTAGTAAAGAGAAGCCCATCTTCCTGCTTGGAGAAAGGGAGAAAAGAAATCTATAAATCAATGTTAACTATCCTAACTACTTAATTTTTTCCCCCACAGGCGAGCTCAATTACATGAGCAACTACTGAAGCTGAGAGGTTATTTGTTTCCCCGAGTAAATCATGCCAGCAGCAACCCTCATCCAACAAGTTACCTCCTGCTTTTGACATCTATCAGATTAGCTGCTCTATCAGTGTATAAGTCGTCGTTGCAATAGGTTTGTTCCACATTCCCTGAAGGTAATTTTAAACTACAAATATAGCAATCTTTCCCTGAAAAAAGTGATAGTGATTCTCTTTATAGATCTTCGAAGTCAAGAAGAGAATTCTGCTCATCTCAAGACACTAAACAATAAGCAATATTATCTGAAGAAAATATTAAAATATTTGCTTAGAATAAAAGTGTGGCATCTGGAGTCATTTAAATTTTTTCTTTTGTTCTACTCATCAAAATAAACAACAGAATTTGAATATAATTTGATTAGTTGTGAAATATGTATACTACCTTGAAATAATCACCATAATTGGTGATGAACATAGCCATCACACCCAAAAGTTTCGTCTTGTCTCCGTATAATTTCCACTCCATGGCCAGACAACCACTGATAGTCTTTACCAAAGTTTCTATTCAAATATTTTGCCCAGCTTTTTCTTCATATTAAGTTATGATAATTCTTTATAAATTCTGAATACAAGTCTTTTATCAGATATACGCTTCGCAAATATTTTCTACCAGTCTGCTGCTTATCTCTTCATTTCCTTAACTGCATCTTTCAAAGAGCAGAAGCTTTTATTTTTTATGAAGTCCAACTTTATCATCTTTTTTCTTTTATATACACCATGGAATATTATGCAGCCATATAAAAAAGGTTGAGTTCGGCAGGGCGCGGTGGCTCACGCCTGTAATCCCAGCACTTTGGGAGGCCGAGGCGGGTGGATCACAAGGTCAGGAGATCGAGACCATCCTAGCTAACACGGTGAAACCCCGTCTCTACTAAAAAATACAAAAAATTAGCCGGGCGTGGTGGCGGGCGCCTGTAGTCCCAGCTACTCGGGAGGCTGAGGCAGGAGAATGGCGTGAACCCGGGAGGCGGAGCTTGCAGTGAGCAGAGATCGCGCCGCTGCACTCCAGCCTGGGTGAAAGAGCTAGACTCCGTCTCAAAAAAAAAAAAAAAAGGTTGAGTTCATGTCCTTTGCAGGGACATGGATGAAGCTGGAAACCATCACTCTTAGCAAACCAACACAGGAACAGAAAACCAAACACCGCATGTTCTCACTCATAAGTGGGAGTTGAACAATGAGAACACATGGACACAGGGAGGGGAACATCACACACCGGGACCTTCGGGAGGTGGGGGACTAGGGGAGGGATAGCATTAGGAGAAATACCTAATATAGATGATGGGTTAATGGGTGCAGCAAACCACCACGGCAAGTGTATACCTATGTAACACCTGCACGTTCTGCACATGTATCCCAGAACTTAAAGTATAGTAATAATAATAAATAAATACGCAGAATAGGCAACTCTCTAGAGGTTGAAGGTAGATTGGTGGTTGCTTAGGGATGGTGGGTAGTGGTGGGAGAGTGGATTGATATCTAAGGGATATGGAGTTTCTTTGTGAAGCGATGAAATGTTTTAAAAATAACTGTGGAGGGATGGTTGCACATATATTTAAATATGTTAAAACCACTGAATTGTATATTTTAAATGTATGATCTATATGGTAGATATACCATATGGTATATGAATTGGTAGGTGAATTGTATCTCCTGAAGGCTTTTCAACAAAACAACACTGCTCTAACTTAGACCAAACCAAAGTTTGTGTCAAATCCTGCTATGTAATATTGGTTAAATTTTATAGTATAAAATCTAAGCTTTATTCATGAGGATACTCACTTCATTGCTGAGATGTGTCAACAAAACGTATTAGTAAATTTATAGGAACAAAATATTAGACCTATTACTGAGAAAATACAAAACCTGGAAATAGGAATATATCTTTAAAAAGAATCTTATTTAGAGTCAAGGGAAGTTATGAAATATATCAAGGAAATTAGTAGTTGCTAAATATTGAGTTAATATGTTAGACATTCCTTCTCAGTGATTACAGAATACTTATATCAAATGGAATTAGATTAGACATGTATTTGAAAGGTAGACATCCAAAGTAGAATAAATTTATCATTTGGTATCCTAAGTAATAGAATTTCTTTCTTGCATTTACTTTCAATCGACAAAATAGTTAAGTGCTCTAGTGCTACTACTTTGTTTTAAAACCTCTTTGTACATCTAAATGTAACTTTAAATTATTTTTATATAAATTGTGACTCTTAAAATAAAAAAAGAGAATTCCTTGCTCACCCAAGGTCTCAGATATTTTCCTATATTTTATGCTAAAAGTCTTATAGTTTTAGTTTTTATGCTTAGTCCAATGATTCATTTTGAGTTAATTATTATAAATGGTACAGGATATGGATCAAAATTTGTTTTCATTGTTTTGTTTTGTTACATATGGTTTTCAATTTGTTTGAACAGCATTTGATGAGGAGACTATTCTTTCTCCACTGAACTGACTTTCCTTGTCAAAAATCAGTTTTCCATAAATATATGTGTCTGTTTCCGGACTTTCTATTCTGTTTCTTTTATTTATTTATCTGTCTTTGCCATTACCCATACTGCGTTGATTACTACAGCTGTTAGTAAGTCTTAGGTAATATTTGTCCTCCAATTTTCTTCTTTTTTTCATAAATTTGTTTTGGCAAATCTAGGTGATTTGTGTTTCCACATTAATTTTTAATCATTTTGTCATGTTTCACAAAAACATCTGTTGAAATTTTTTTTTTTTTGTGGGAGCTAAAAATTAAAACAATTTAATCCATAGGGAAATGGAGAGTAGAATGACAGTTACCAGAAGCTGTAAAGTGTAGTAGAGGGGGTAAAGGGTTATGATAAATGGGTACAAAAATATAATTAGATAGAATGAATAAATTCTGGTATTTGATAGCACAACAGGATGACTACATTTAACAATAATTTATGATACATTTATAAATAATTAAGAGTACAATTAGCATGTTTGTAAACATAAAGAAAGGAAAAATCCTTGAGAAGATGGATACCCCTTTTACCCTGATGTGATTTTTTTTTTATTATACTTTAAGTTTTAGGGTACATGTGCACATTGTGCAGGTTAGTTACATATGTATACATGTGCCATGCTGGTGCGCTGCACCCACTAACTCGTCATCTAGCATTAGGTATATTTCCCGATGCTATCTCTCCCCCCTCCCCCCACCCCACAACAGTCCCCAGAGTGTGATATTCCCCTTCCTGTGTCCATGTGATCTCATTGTTCAATTCCCACCTATGAGTGAGAATATGCGGTGTTTGGTTTTTTGTTCTTGTGATAGTTTACTGAGAATGATGATTTCCAATTTCATGCATGTCCCTACAAAGGACATGAATTCATCATTCTTTATGGCTGCATAATATTCCATGGTGTATATGTGCCACATTTTCTTAATCCAGTCTATCATTGTTGGACATTTGGGGTCGTTCCAAGTCTTTGCTATTGTGAATAATGCCGCAATAAACATACGTGTGCATGTGTCTTTATAGCAGCATGATTTCTAGTCCTTTGGGTATATACCCAGTAATGGGATGGCTGGGTCAAATGGTATTTCCAGTTCTAGATCCCTGAGGAATCGCCACACTGACTTCCACAATGGTTGAACTAGTTTACAGTCCCACCAACAGTGTCAAAGTGTTCCTATTTCTCCACATCCTCTCCAGCACCTGTTGTTTCCTGACTTTTTAATGATTGCCATTCTAACTGGTGTTAGATGGTATCTCATTGTGGTTTTGATTTGCATTTCTCTGATGGCCAGTGATGCCAGTGATGATGAGCATTTTTTCATGTGTTTTTTGGCTGCATAAATGTCTTCTTTTGAGAAGTGTCTGTTCATGTCCTTCACCCACTTTTTGATGGGGTTGTTTGTTTTTTTCTTGTAAATTTGTTTGAGTTCATTATAGATTCTGGATATTAGCCCTTTGTCAGATGAGTAGGTGGTGAAAATTTTCTCCCATTTTGTAGGTTGCCTGTTCACTCTGATGGTAGTTTCTTTTGCTGTGCAGAAGCTCTTTAGTTTAATTAGATCCCATTTGTCAATTTTGTCTTTTGTTGCCATTGCTTTTGGTGTTTTAGACATGAAGTCCTTGCCCATGCCTATGTCCTGAATGGTAATGCCTAGGTTTTCCTCTAGGCCAGGGCAATTAGGCAGGAGAAGGAAATAAAGGGTATTCAATTAGGAAAAGAGGAAGTCAAATTGTCCCTGTTTGCAGACGACATGATTGTATATCTAGAAAACCCCATTGTCTCAGCACAAAATCTCCTTAAGCTGATAAGCAACTTCAGCAAAGTCTCAGGATACAAAAACAATGTACAAAAATCACAAGCATTCTTATACACCAACAACAGACAAACAGAGAGCCAAATCATGAGTGAACTCCCATTCACAATTGCTTCAAAGAGAATAAAATACCTAGGAATCCAACTTACAAGAGATGTGAAGGACCTCTTCAAGGAGAACTACAAACCACTGCTCAAGGAAATAAAAGAGGATACAAACAAATGGAAGAACATTCCATGCTCATGGGTAGGAAGAATCAATATCGTGAAAATGGCCATACTGCCCAAGGTAATTTACAGATTCAATGCCATCCCCATCAAGCTACCAATGACTTTCTTCACACAATTGGAAAAAACTACTTTAAAGTTCATATGGAACCAAAAAAGAGCCCGCATCGCCAAGTCAATCCTAAGCCAAAAGAACAAAGCTGGAGGCATCAGACTACCTGACTTCAAACTATACTACAAGGCTACAGTAACCAAAACAGCATGGTACTGGTACCAAAACAGAGATATAGATCAATGGAACAGAACAGAGCCCTCAGAAATAATGCCGCATATCTACAACTATCTGATCTTTGACAAACCTGAGAAAAACAAGCAATGGGGAAAGGATTCCCTATTTAATAAATGGTGCTGGGAAAACTGGCTAGCCATATGTAGAAAGCTGAAACTGGATCCCTTCCTTACACCTTATACAAAAATCAATTCAAGATGGATTAAAGACTTAAACATTAGACCTAAAACCATAAAAACCCTGTGAAATTTTATTGAGATTGTATTAAATCCTTAGATCTATTTCTGAAGAATTTATATCTAAACAATATTGAGTCATTCAACCTATAGATAGTATATTTCTCCATATATTTAGGTTTTACATTTCTCTCAGTAGTATTTTATATTTTTCAGTTATAAATCTTTAACATAAGACCTTAAAGTTCTCAGAATTACCTATACATATTTCACATGTTTGTATTATTGTAGATGGTGCTTTAAAAATTTCCATATCTATTTTGTATATAGAAATACAATTGACTAATGTATATTAAGCTTGTAATGTGTCCTTTGATAAACTCACTTTATTAGTAGTAGCAGATTTTCTTGTAGATTTCTTTGGATTTTCTACATAAACAATCATATAATCTGTGAACAAAATCAGTTTTACTACTTTCATTACAATCTAAATATATCTCTAAATACACATTATTTATTTGTGTTGGGAAGATTTACTATCCTCCTTCTAGCTACTTAAAACTACATAATATATCATTGTTAACTATCATCATCCTACAGTTTTATAGAATACTAGAGTTTATTCATCCTATCTAGCTGTAATTTTATATCCTTCAACAAATATTTTCCTATGCCTCTTTCCCCCTACCCTTCCCAGTCTCTAGTATCCTCTGTTCTACTTTTTATTTCTATGAGATCAACTTTCTTTAGTTTCCAAGTGAGTAAGAAAATGCGGTGCTGAAATTTGTGTTCCTAGCTGACTTCACTTATCATGTCCTCCTTTTCCATCTCTATTGCCATGAATGATGGAATTTAATTCTTTTTAATGGCCGAATAGTATTTCATGGTATATACGTCTGTGTGTGTGTGTATATATATGTATATATGTGTGTGTATATATATATATAATATACCTTATAATTTTCCTTATATGTTCATCTATTGATAGACACTTAGGTTGATTTCACATCTTTCTATTGTGAATAGTGCTACTATAAATATGGGTGTTCACGTATCCCTATGATATACTGATTTCATTTTATTTGAATAAATACCCAGAAGAAGGACTGCTAGACCATACAGTTGTTCTATTTTCTGTTTTGTGAGAAACCTCCATATAGTTCTCCATGATGGCTATGCTAATTTACGTTCCTAACAACAGTGTGCAAGTGTTCCAGTTTCTCCATATCCTCACCAACACGTGCCTTTTGTCTTTGATAATAGCCATTCTGACAAATGTGAAGTGATATCTCATTGTGATTTCTATTTCCATGTCCTTAATGTTTAGTAACATTGAACAGCTTTTTATATATCTGTTTAGCCATTTGTATGTCCTCTTTGGAAAAATATCTATCCAAGTCTTTAGCCCATTTTTAACTAGGTTATTATGAATTTTTTGTGCTATTAGGTGATAAAAATACCATATATATTTTGGAGATTAATCCTTATCAGATACATGGTTTGCAAATGTTTTCTCCCATTCTGTATATGTTGCGTTTTTCCTCTTGACAATTTTCTCCTTTGCTGTGAAGAAGCTGTTTAGTTTGATGTAGTCCCGTGTTTTAATTTTTGATTCTGATGCCTGTGCTTTTGATGTTGTATTCATTAAATCATTACCAAGTCCAATGTCATGAAACATTTCCCCCATATTTTCTTCTAGGAGTTGCACAGTTTCAGACCTTATGCTTAAGTCTTCAATCTATTTTGAATTAATTGTTATGTCTGATGTAAGATAAGGGTCCAATTTCATTTTTATGCATGTGGATATCTAGTTTTCCCAACACCATTTGTTGAAAGACTATCCTTTCCTCCCTGTGTATTCTTGGTACTCTTGTTGATGATCAGTTGACTGTATACATGTAGGTTGATTTCTAGGCTCTTTTATCCAATCCATTGGTCTATATGCCTGTTTTTGTGCCAATACCAGACTGTTTAATTTACTGTAGCTTTATAACATATTTTGGAATTACCAAGTGTTCTGTCTCCAGCTTTGTTCTTTTCTTTCAAGATTATTTTGGTATTCATGGTCATTCATTCTCTATGATTTATAGAATTATTTATTTCTGTTAAAAATGCCTTTGTGATTTTGATGGAGGTTGCATTAAATATATATATTGCTTTAGGAAGTATGAAAATTTTTGTAATATTAAGTTTTCCAATCCAGAGAGAAAATGTCTATTTGTGTCTACCTAATTTTTTCATCAATGTTTAGAGGTTTTTATTGTACAAATGTTTCACTTCCTCAGTTTATTCCTATTTTACAATTTTTGCTGTTATTGGAAATGGGATTATTTTTGAAATTTTCTTTCTAGATAGTTCATTGTTCATGTATATAAACACAACTGATTTTTGTATGTTTAATCTGTATCCTGTAAGTTTACTGAGTTCATTTATTAGTTTTAACAGTTTTAGGGTTGAGTCTTTAGGATATATATATAATATTCATATATATATTCATATATATATTCACATATATATTCACATTCACACATACATTCACATATATATTCACATATATATTCATATATATTCACATACATTCACATATATATTCATATATATTCACATATATATTCATATATATTCACATATATATTCATATATATTCACATATATATTCACATATATATTCATATATATTCACATATATATTCACATATATATTCATATATATTCACATATATATTCACATATATTCACATATATTCACATATATATTCACATATATTCACATATATATTCACATATATTCACATATTCACATATATACATATATTCACATATATACATATATATTCACATATATATTCATATATATTCACATATATATCATATATATTCATATATATTCACATATATATTCATATATATTCACATATATTCACATATATATTCACATATATTCACATATATATTCATATATATTCACATATATATTCATATATATTCACATATATATTCATATATATATTTATATATATTCACATATATATTCATATATCTTCATGTCATTTGCAAATGAGAAAAATATTCTTTCTTTCTGATATGGATCCATTTTGCATCTTTTTCTTGTCTACTTGCTCTGGTTAGGAATTCCAGCACTACGTTGGATATAAATGGGAGAGTGGGCAAGGTTGTCATGTTCCTGACCTTAATGGGAACACTTTAATTTTTTCATTTTTGATTATGACATTAGCTATCGGCTTTTCATATACAGCCTTTATTATGTTGAGGTACCTTCTTTGAGGCTCCTGAGCTTTCTGAGAGTTTTTATCAGGAAGGTATGTTGAATCTTGTAAAATGCTTTTTTTTTTCTGCACCTAGTGAGATGATCATGTAATTTATAGCTTTTATTCTGTTAATGCAGTGGATTACAAAAATTGATTTGCATATATTCAATGATTCTAGGGATAAATCCCAATTAGTCATAGTATATGATGCTTCTAATATGCTATTGGATTCAGTTAGCTAGCATTACATCGATAATTTTTTTTTTGTATCTGTAGTCAGGGATATTGGCCTATAGTTTTCCTTTTTTTTTTCTTTGTGGTATCTTTGACTTTGGTATCTGGGTAAGGCTAGACTCAAAACGAGTTTCAATGCCTTCTCACCTCTTCAGTATTTTGAAAAACTTTGAAAAGATTGGCATACGTTATTCTCTAAATGTTCAGTAATATTCGCCATTATGTGATTATTACACATTGCATGCCTGTACCAAAATATCTCATGTACCCCCACAAATATATATACCTACTATGTATCCACAAAAATTAAAAATTTCAAAATTTAAAAAATTTTCATGGCAACATTTTTAATAGCAAAAAATTGTAAACCCACCCAAAGTCTATCATCTCATAAATGGACAAGCAAAATGTGGCATAGCCATACAATGGAATACTACTTGACACATATAAATTACTGACTCATGCTACAATATGAATAAACTTTAAAACCATTTGCTAAATGAGAAAAGTCAGTCACAAAAGATTGCACATTGTATGATTTCTTTTATATGAAGTATCCAGAGTAGCTTCATTTATAGAGATCAAAAGTGGTTGCTTACTTATGGAGTATGGAGAGAATGAGAATTGAGAGTGACTGGGCATAGGGTTTCTTTGATGAGGGATGTAAAATTTGTTAGCATTAGGTTGTGATGGTTACACAATCCTGTGAAAATATTACAAAATTTTGAACTGTACATTTCACATGGGTGAAATGTATGGTATGTAAGTAATATCTGTGTAAAACTGTTAAATTTCTGCTACATTTTAAACTTTTGTTCCCTTGCAGGTAAACTATCTTTTTGTCTGGGATGATTTCGAGATTTGGTTATTTACTACTGGTGTTCATCAATATGGTGGAGATGAGTGTTGTTTCCTATATGTTTCTTCTGCCTAGGTTTATTAGCTTTCTTTAATTTGTGAGCATATGAAACACATGAATAAGAGGTATTTAATGCCTTTTCTGTTAATGTCATCATATTTGTTACTTCTGAAAGGGTTCCTCTTCATCACTTTTTCTTCTTGGTTATAGCTGACATTTTTTGATTCTTTGTGTATCTAGTAATTTTTATCTGGATTCTGGACACCTTATTTTATTATGTTAAATTCTGGATTTTGTTGTATTCCTTTGAAGTGTAACTTTTTCTTTCAGGCAATTCAGTAATTGATAGATTGGTTTATTATAGTTAAATTTTTTAAGGTTTTTAAAAAGACTTGTATAGAGTGCTCTTTATTATAGGGCTAACTTGGTCCCTACTTTGAAGGCTTAGCTCTCCTGGTATGTCTACTGAATTTTCTATGATTTTAATGAGGTCTCTCATTCTGATTGGAGGGAACTCAAAGGATTCCCAGTCCTGTGTGAGCTCAGAGAATTTTTCAGCTAGTAGAACCCCCACAATTTTTTCTCCTGAGGAAGTTTTCTTGTCTGACTTTTGGGGGTTTCAATCTATACATTGACAGAGAGGTACTTAGCAAAAGGTTCATGTCAACCACTATCCTAATTTCTGGACCTGTTGTTTAATGTAGCTGCCTTTTCTGTGGTTTTCTGCTCTGAAAATACCAACCATCTTGGCCTCCCTAAACTCAAGTACCTTAGCCTCTTCTTATCAGATGTTACAGGCTTTGTTTGTATTCCCCTTCTTATACCACTTTCCAGAATGCAGAAAACCTAGAAGATGATAGGTCATATCATATTTACTTCTCTCAGGGATAGGATCTTTGTTTTCTGTTGCCCATTGTCTGAAAATTACTTTTCCCTCAATTTGTCCAGTTTTCTACTTTATTTTATTTTATTATAGCAAAAAGACAATTCAGACAACTTATTCCCTTAGGACTAGGAACAGATTTCTTGACATATTATGTTCAAAACAGAAAGGAGGGGGTAGAAATGACTGTTGCCGTCTCATAAAAAATAATTAGGGTCGGAAGACCATGGAATGACCTTTTAAAAGTGCTTAAACAAATAGCTGTCAATCTAGAATTCCTTATGTAGTGAAACTATCCTTCTAAGAAGTGAGATGAATAAAAATGTTTTCTGATACAAGGAAACCTTAAGAATGTATTGCCAGCACAACATCATTACTATTAATGCTAACATAACTTTTCCTGACTGAATGTCACCAAAACCAGATAGTAACTATGACCTACAGAAAAAATTTATAGATCAAATGATTGCCATATACATAAGACGGTAATTATCTTATTTCTTTAAAAGAAAGATAGTGTTTAAATAAAAACTTTATAACCCAAGTGTGATATTTATAAAGTATATTACAACAATAGCACAAAGAATGACACGTAAATAGAACTATACCATTAAAGATTCTTGGCCAGGCAGGATGAATTATGCCTGTAATCCCAGAACTTTCAGAGGCTGAGGTGGAAGGGTTCCTTGATTCCAGGAGTACGAGACCAGCCTGGACAACAAAGCATGACCCCATCCCTAAAAAATATAAATAATTAAAAAAGGAAAAAAAAAAAGGTTATCATATTTTATGTAAAGTAGTACCATGTTAACTACATGTTCATTTTGATAACTTAAAAATGCATATTATAAACCCTACAGCAACCACTAAAAAAAGCTAAATGGTATAAATAAAAAACAACTGAAGAAATAAATAGGTAGAAAAAAGTTTAACAGGAAAGAGAAAAGAGAGAAAAACACTGATGATTCAAATATGATATAAATGTAAGTAGAAGTAAGGCTGGGCACAGTGTCTCACACCTTTAATCCCAGCACTTTGGGGGACCAAGGAAGGCAGATCACTTGAGGTCAGGAGTTCGAGACCAGCCTGGCCAATGTAGTGAAACCCCGTCTCTACAAAAAATACAAAAAAATTAGCTGAGCGTGGTGAGGCGCACCTGTAATCCCAGCTACTCAGTTGACTGAGGCAGGAGAATCACTTGAAACCAGAAGGCGGAGGTTGCAGTGAGCAGAGATTGTGCCACTGCACTCTAGCCTGGATGACAGAGCAAGACTCAGTCTCAAAAACAAAACAAAAAAATTGTAGAACTAGACTCCTAACACTCCCAATTACAGTCAGAGATTGCCTGACTAGATATATAAACAAGACACAACTATATGCTGCCTACAAAAAGAAACATTTTAATTAAAAAGACACAAATAGTTGCAAAAAAAAGATGGAAAGACTATACCATGCAAGCTCGAATAATAAAATATTGAAAAAAGTATATTAGTATCAAACAAAATAGATTTCAACGCAAAGTATTAAAAAACTTTTAAGGTTATGCATATCCTACCTAACCTTCATAGCACATGAAGCAAAAACTGATGGAACAAATAAGTGATATAGCCAAATTTATAATCATTAAGAAATTAGGTACCCTTCTTTCAATAACTGAAATAAAAATTAAGCGAAATAATCAGTAAAGGTATAGAAAATCTGAATGAGTCTATGAACCACTCTGATTTCGTTGACTTATTTATAGAACATGAGACCAAATAACTATAGAATAAACACAATTTTCAAGTGTACATGGAATATTCTACAAAATAGTTAACAAGATAGGCTGTGTCACAAAACATATCCCATCAATATTAAAATATTAAAATCTTATACAGTATATTCTTTGACTATAACAAAATTAATTCAGAAAGTGATTATGAACTAAATTTTAATTATAAGCTAGTTGTAAACTGAAAACAACAAATATCTAGATTATTTTCAAGAAGGAAAATTTGGAAAGAAAATAAACAATATTTTAAATGAATGATAAGAAAACAAGAACATATGTAGATTGAAGTGTTTGGAAGTCAATGTAAAGCTGTACATGTTTATATTGCAACAAAAGTAAAACCTCAAATAAATGATTTCATCATCCACCACAAAAGCTGCTAACAGATAAAGGATAAATACAGTTTAAAGCCGTAATCAATAAAGTAAATACACAGTAGAGAAGAATGTAAATAATAAAGTAAACAAAGTCAAAATTGGTTCTTTGAAAATATTAATAAAATTGGTAAATCTTTAGCGAGATGGATCAAGGAAAAAGAGAGAAAACAAATTATTAACACCAGAATTCAAAGTGAGAATATTGCTACAGATCTCATTGATAGCTATGGTAAAATAAGGAAATGTTATAAACAACATTATGCTAATAAACTTGACCACTTAGAAGAAATGAACCTTACGAAGTATTACCAAAGCTGAACCAAGAAAAAGAGATAAAATTTGAACATCCTTTTATCAATTAGGGAAATTAAAATCATAATTTAAAATCTTCCCACAAAGAAAGCCCTAGTTCTAGATAAGTTCGCCAATAAGTTCCTTCAAATATGTAAGAAAAAATAAAATCCAACTTCACAAACTCTTTTAAAAATCAAGGTATAAAAAACACTTGATTTGGACCAACAGAATTCTTATAACAGAAACTGACAAACATACTATAAGAAAAGAACATTATAAACACATTATAAACTAATACCTTTATAAACAGAAAACATGTTAAAATTGTGAAGAAAAAATATGAAGATAAAATGTGTGAAAAAGCATATATCATTAAGCATGATTTCTCCCGGGAATACGCAGTTAGTTTAACATTTTGAAAAACTAATCAGCAACGAATATCCACTTGTAAATTATGAATTTGTAAAAATATGAATTTCAATTTTACCTCACATCATACACAAAACTTAATTAAACACTTACCATAAACCTAAACAGAAGCATAACAATTCTAATAGCTCTAGGAAGATAGGAATGAATCTTCATGACAGTGAGTTAGGTAAAAGTTTCATAAATAAGAGGCCAAAAGCACAAATGAGAATAGGAAAAATGGATAATTTGGTTTTATCAATATTAAACACTTTTGCTTTCATAAGATAGCACTATAAAATGTAAAAGACAGATATATTCTGGTGTAAAATATTTGCAAATCAAATATCTGATAAAGCAGAACAAAACATCGCAGATAGAAATTTAAAAGGTCCAAATAAATGCTCATGGATATTGTTAAGATGTGATGTAAATTCTTTCCATATTAATTTATAGATTCAACATAATACCAACCTTACAATCCACAAGCTTTTTAAAATATAAATTACAAATTGATTTACAATGTATATAAATATAGTCAAAACAATTTAGGGAAAGTATACAGCTAGAGGACTTACACTCTAAGTCATTCCACTTGAAAGCACCAGGATGACTATTTTATATCATTACATTTTATAAACTATTTTCTACAATAAACCTCATAATAATGGTATAGTGAGCTTTTAGATGTTAGCTAATGGCATTTTTAGTATGTTCATTATATATTCTAGTTTGCCTAAAACACTATGGCTTTATGTTTGTTGCTTCTGTTTTAATATTTGTTTCAAATCTATTTTTAATAGACTTTATACTTTAGAAATAGTTTTAGATTCACAGAAAAAAATTGAGAAGATAGCACAGAGAGTTCTTATATACCCTACCCTGCACCCAGTTTCCCCATTACTGACAGGTTGAAGGAGTATAATACATGTTTTATAATTTACAAATGAATATTGAAACATTGTTATTAATTTGTCATTGTTTATTGAGATTTGTGTAGTTTTAACTTGTCCTTTTTCTGTTCCAAGATTCCATACAGAATACCACAGCACATGACATTTAGTTATTATGTTTGCTTGCGTGAGAAGACCTCAGACTTTCATTGTTTCTAGACTGACAGTTCTGCGAAGTACTAGTCAGGGATTCAGTCGGAGAGCCTTAAATATGTATGATGTATTTCTCTTAATTATTCTGGGATGATGGGTTCTTGAGAGGAAGGCCATGGAGGTGAATTGCCATTGTCATTACATAATTTCAAAAGTAAATACTACTAGCATGATTTATGACTGTTGATGCTGGCCTTGATCACCTAGCTGAGATAGTGCATGTCAGACTTCACTGTAGCATTACCTTTTTTCTACTCTGTACTGTACTTTTTGGAAGGAAGTCACAATGTACTTAAGTGGTGAGGAGTTATGCTCCTTCTCTTTCCTGTTTGTGGGCAGCATACCAACATAAATTATTTAGAATTGTTTGGCTCTGGAGATTTATCTCCTCTCCCCATTTATTAAATCATATAATCATTTCTTTATAACAGTATGGACTTATGAAAATTTATTCTATACTTGGGTTATAATCCATTACTGCTTTTTAATAATTGATTGATTTTTGCTCAAATTGTTCTAGCTTTGGACACTGGGTGATCTTTAAGTAGGCTCCTGTGCCCTTTGGCATACCCCCATCATGTCATCAATTTTTTAAGCACTTTCTTACTTTCTGACACAGTGCTTGAGGCTCACATTATATATTACCCTACCCAGTCCTAAAATCATTCATTTCTCCAAAAAATCTTTGTTTCTTTTATTAAACAACAATGGAAACCAATTTCTGTGCATTAGGTGTGTTTTTGCTACTGAGGTATTGTTGTTACTTTTAGACTCTGTCAACTGACAAAGCAAGGAAATATGTATGTTACTAATGTATACACATATTTATAAATATTTCTATACATAATCATTTCTGTCTATACATAGTAAAACTTGAATTCATAGTGATGTTTCCCATTCTAATCAAGTACCACATAGATCGTTCCTACCTCCTCCATTTGTTTATCTATAAAGTCCCACTTCAACAATGAGAAACCAGTCTTCCATCATCTACGACCAATTTACTTAATTGTTCCATTCTTAATGTTCATGTATAGGAGTATCAGAATTGTTAATCCATCCCCTTTGGGAAACAACTTTATCAACTAGAATATAGTGCTTTTTTGCAGTTGCTTTTCTATTAGTCTTACAGATTCTGCTCATTTCCAAAATTATTAACATAAGCATCTTTTCACTCTTCTCAGTGAGGTTGCTTTATACATTTGTAGTACAGTTGGATTATCTTGTCCTACTCTGCATTTCTTTCTGGGATTCCTCCAACTTTCTAATAACTGTTTGAATTGGTATACATTAAGATAAACTGTTTGTACTATAAATTTCTGGATTTTGTCAAATGCCTTATGTTATGTATTTTCCATCAAAGAATAATAGAGAATAGTTTTACTCCCTTAAAATTCCTCTGTGCTTTATCTATTCAACCCTTCTCCCTCCCTGTAGACCTCTGGCAATCACTTACCTCTTTACTCCCTCTATAAGTTGCCTTTGCCAAAATGTCATACAATTAGACAATACAGCATGTCATCTTTTCAGATTAGCTTCTTTCACTTAGCGATATGCATGTTTTTATGGCTTGATAGCTCATTTCTTTTTTAATTACTGAATAATGTTCTATTATCTTGATGTACCACAGTCTTGTTTATCCATTTACTTAGTGAAGGACATTTCAATTGCTTACAGCTTTTGGTAATAATAAATAAAGCTTATAAAAATATCCAAGCGCAGATCTTTGGGTGGACATAAAGTCTTGAAATCAGTTGGGTAAATACTCAGGAGCTCATTTGTTGAATTGTACAGTAAGTCTATACTTAGCTTTTAGCCAGACTGTCTTTCAAAATGACAGTACCATTTGACATTCCCAGTAGCAATGAATGAGTTTTTGTTGCTCTGCATCCTTGCTAGTATTATGTAGTGTCAGTTTGTTTAGATTTTAGCTATTACAATAGGTGTGTAGTATTATCTCAATGTTTTAATTTGATAATGTTTTCTGTGAAATAAATTGTGTAGATGAAGTATGAATAGCATTTATCTTATTGCTCTGTACATTCACTAGTGCCATAAAAATAGTCCTAATTATATGTCATTTCAAAGACCATAGAAAGACATTAGTGTCCCAAGAGTACTTTCAGAATCTGATAATTGATTTAATGTTGATAGGTCTATGTAGTATTAGAAAATCATTCTTGTATTTTAAGATTCTCGTCATGTTAAAATAGAAACTTCCCTAGGAATTATTGAACTACATTTTTAACCTTATTAATTACTTGTATTTCACTTCAGTCTGCAGACATCTAACATGTTCTTTTTTAATAAGACAATGTAAGAAGCATTCAGATTGAAAAATGAAGTTTCTTGACCCTTTATTTGGAAAACAGAAAAGATGAAAACTTGAGATACCAATGATGAACATAATTTAATTCCAAAAAATTGGAAAGGGCTGCACTAGTTAGCAATAACAGCACTAGTCACTTAATAAAATTATTCAAAGAATATATCTGTTCTCAGAGAGTGGGGGCTGTTTATTGGATTCCTGGGACAGTTTTAAGTATTTTCATGTTAAGTAACCAGGACATATGATTTCAGCTGTTGCTTTCCTATGTCCTTGCAATTTAGTGACCCTGTGATTCACTAGACAGAATGTAGGTAACAAAGCTATTTGTTCAAGTGCACTGAGAACTCGGGTTCCGCAGTCTTGCCGACAGGATGGTCTGAACTTTGGGAGTGGTTCCTACACACTTCCCTGGCAGTTGAGACCCAAGCATTTTACTTACTCCAGTAAAGTTCAGTTGCATCTCCCTGTTGAATATTTTATTAGTTCTACATAATTCCCCCCAGTCTCCAAGGGTCCATCATCTCCAGAATACAGACTGTTTTTTGTTTGCTTTTTCCTTATCGGGAAAGGTTGTTCTAGAAGTATGTGTCTTTGGGTTATTTTTACATTTGAATTAGAGATTTGGCTCCTTTGTTTCTTTCATTTTACACTGTTCACCTTCTCAAAGAGTAGGTGATGGATACCTACTCTCTGAAATGTACGGTGATGGTGGTGATAGGGGACAGGCCCTCAAGCACCAGAAAAGAAATTCATTGGCTGTTTATAGATGAGTGGTTTATCTCAAACATCCCTGAGCTGGTGCTGTTCTATGTCCTCTAGTAAACATCCACCAAATAATATTAAATAATTAAATAAATTGACATGAATGAACGAATCTATTCCTATGAGGTTTCATTTGTTTGTTTGTTTTAATCTTAGGTAATAAGATTACTTCTGTCAGAGACATTCGAACATGAGTGACTCCATTTTGAACAGGCTAGGTAAAATAAGGCTGAGACCTACTGGGCTGCATTCTCAGAGGGTAGGCATTCTTAGTCACAGAATGAGATAGGACGGCACAATTTACAGGGAACAAAGACCCTGTTGATAAAACAGTTGCAGTAAAGAAGCTGGCCAAGACCCACCAAAATGAATATGGTCATGAAAATGACCTCTGGTCGTCCTCATTGCTCATTACACGTGAATTTTAATGCATTAGCATACTAAAAGACACTCCCACCAGCACCATGACAGTTTACAAATGTCGTGGCAATATCCTGAAGTCACCCTACAGGGTCTAAAGGAGGAAAAAAACCCCAGTTGTGGGAAATCCCTGCCCCTTTCCCGGAAATCTCATGAATAATCCATCCGTTGTTTAGCACATAATCAAGAAATAATGGAGTAACCATTCTTTCATCCCTTTACTTTCTTAATAAACTTGCTTTCACTTTACTCTGTGGACTCGCCCAGATTCTTTCTTGTGCGAGGTTCAAGAACCTTCTTTTGGGGTCTGGATCAAGACCCTTTTTCGATAACATTTCCTCTGAAACCCAGAATGTCTTTTACATGGAATTCTCTTAAAGCCATTTTTAATTGTGTAAACTTTTCCTACAATGGCGGGAAAACAAATGAAGGGTATGTGAATTATTATAATGAATTCCAAGTCATAAAATTGATAGCCAAAAAAAAAACAAAACAAAACTCAAAGCAAACAAATCTGTATAGAGGAACAGGTATAGGAAAAAGCCTTTTCATAGGTATAATATAAGCGTTGGTATGACAAAAAGCATATTCACAACTTCTTTGAAATTACAGTAAAAGGAGATCCTAGAATATTTCGCAAAAATTGTCAAAAGAAAATATTTCAGTATTAATACTTCAAGTTACATTAAGTGCTATTAATATTAATTCCATTTAATGTGCTGCCCCATCACACTCAAAATAAATCCAAAGTTGTTAATGTGAGACACAAATCCTAACTGAGCAACTTCTGGCTTCTTACCACATCTCTCCTACCACTCTCAAACTAGAGAACTGCTCTAGCCACAGGCCTTTTTGCTGCTCCTCAAACCCACCAAACATTTGGCTGCTCAGTTACTAATTGCATCTACCATTGCCTCTTTCTAAATTGTTCTTCCCTCAGATATATGCATGGTGTGCTTCCTGATTTCATGCACGTCTCTGCTGAAATGTTTGCTTCCTGATTTCATGCACGTCTCTGCTGAAATGTTACCTCCTGATAGAAGCCTGCCTTGACTATGCTATCTAAAATAGCACCACACAACCCCACACTCTGTATTTCTTTACTTTTCTTTTTCTCATAATCCTTATTACGACCTGTGATTACTATGTAATTATTTACTTTTGTCTGTCTACCCTGACTAAAATGTCATGCCAAAAAGTAATAACTTTATTTGGTCATGTAGGCTATATCTCTAACGCTTAAAACAGTGTCTAGCATATAGAAGATGCTAAATAAATATTTGTTAAATAAGTAAATGAGTAAATAATTGAATGCTACCTTTATTGTCTCATTTTCTAGATGGCAACATATGTGTAAGAGTTTTATAAGTTAATTTGTAATCTTGGTCTATCAATATAATTTTCCCAAATGATTAGTTTTTAAAATTAAGGTAAAATGTTAACATAAAACTAAAACATTTTAAAGTGGGCAATTCAGTAGTATTAATTACATTCACAGTGTTGTACAACGAATATCTATATCGAGTATCGAGTTCCAAAACAGTGTCATCACCCCTGAGGAAAACCCTGTAGCCATTAAAGTCACTCCTCATTCTCTCTTCCCCTCAACGCTAACAACTGCCAACACATTTCTGTCTCTATGGGATTACCTATTCTGGATATTTCGTATTAAATAAAATAGAATGATACAATATGTAACCTTTTGAGTCTGTCTGCTTTTACTTAGCATAATGTTTCCAAGGTTCATCCATGTTGTAGCATGTTTCAGTACTTCATCTCTTGTTATGGCTGAATAATATTTCATTGTGAGTATATACCACATTTTGTTTATACATTCATCAGTTGGTGAATATTTAGTTTGTTTCCACCTTTGGAATACTTTGGATATTGTGAAGAGTGTGAGGTAGGGATCCAACTTCACTCTTTTGCATGTGGAAATTGAGTTGTCTCAACACCACTAGTTGAAGAGACTATTCTTTTGCTTATTGAATGGTCTTATAATACCCTTTTCAAAATCAAATGGGTTTCTTTCTGGACTCAGTTCTATTTCATTGGTTAAGGGGTGTCTATCTTTATACCAGTTCCACATTGTTTTGAATACTGTAGCTTTATAGTAAGTTTAGAAATCAGGAAGTGTGAATCCTAAAGTATTTTATGCATTGTGATGTCTTCTTTGATCCAATGCTTGTTTAAGAATATGTTGTTTAATTTCCACATAATTGTGAATTTTCCAGTTTTCCTTCTGTTAATGATTTCTGATTTTATTCTATTGTATTGAAGAAGATACTTTCTATTATTTCAATTATGTCACATTTATTGAGACTTGTTTTGTGGCCTGACATATAATTTAGAGAATGTTCCATGTACACTTGAGAAGAATGTGTATTCTGTTGTTACAGGATGGAGTTTTCTGTATTTGTCTGAGGGGTGCAGTTTGTTTATACCGTTACTAAAGTTCCCTATTTCCTCATTAATATTCTATCTAGTTCTATCCATTATTGAAATTTTGGTATCAAAGTCTCCAACTTTTAATGTAGAATAGTGTGTTTCTTCCTCAATTCTGTCAATTTTTGCTTTAAATATTTTAGGGCTTTATACTTAGGTGTGTATTTTTTTTATAATCATTATATATTCTTGCTGGATTGTCCCTTTTATCAATATTTAATGTCGCTTGCAATGGTTTTGACTTAAAGTCCATTTTTTCTGATTTTAGTATATCCATCCTAGTATTCTTTTGGTTACTATTTGTACGGAATATTCTTTGCTTTCAACTTATTTATGTCTTTGGATCTATATTGAGTCTCTTATAGACAGCATATGGTTAAATGACTTTTAAAAATTGATTTTTACCAAGCTCTGCCTTTTGGATAGTTTAATTTATTCACCCTTCAAGTAATCAATAACAAGAAAGAGCTCATTTCTGACATTTTGCTATTTGTTTGCAACATGTCATTTTTTTTGGTTCCTTCATTCCTCCATTACTGCATTCTTATGTATTTAATTGATTTTTTGCAGTTTATCATTTTGATTATTCTCTCATTTCCTTTCTGTGTATATTTTAGTAATCCTCTCAGTAGTTCCTCTTGGGATTACTAGTAACATTTTAAACTTATAATTAAATTTTAATTAATATTAACTTGGCCTCAATAGTGAAAAAAATCCTCTGCTTCTATACAGCCCCAATAACTAGTTTCCTTTATGTATTGTTGTCACAAAGTATATCTTTACACATGTCTGCCTGTTAGCCCAGAAGTACAATTATTATTTTATGCATTTTTATTTAAAACCTTATATTTTAAAAACAGGAGTTAAAAACCAAAAATACAATACTGGCTTTTAAATTTACCATTCTCATTACCTTTATCAGTGTTCTTTATTTCTTCATATATCTTCAAGTTATTGTCTAGTGTCATGTCATTTTTGCCCCAAAGACTCTTATTAGCAATTCTTATAAGGCAGGTCTATTAGCAATAAACTCTTCCAGCTTTTTTGTCTGATAATATTTTAATTTCTCCCTCATTTTTGAAGAACACTTTTGCCAAGTATAGAATTCTTGGTTGAGTTTTTTTTTTCCTTTCTGTATTTTAAATATATTATCCTACTGTCTTCAGGTATCTATAACTTCTAATAAAAAATGGCTGATATTCTTATTGAGGACTCCTTCTAGTGACAAATTACTTCTCTCTTTTTGCTTTTAAGATTGTGTTTGGCATTCAATAGTTTGATTATAATACCTCATTGTGGGTCTCTCTGGGTTTCCTTTATGGAATTCTTTGAGTTTCTTGGACATAAAAATTAATGCCTTTATTAAAATGATAATGTTATAATGTTTTTAGCCATTCTTTATTCAAATATGCTTTCTTCCCTGTTCTCTCATCTTTTTCTTGGACTCTCATTATTCATATGTAGATCTGCTTGATGTTGTCCCACAGGTTCCTTAGGCTCTGTATATTTTTCTGCATTCTTGTTCTTTCTGTTATCAGACCAGATAATTTCAACTGATCTATTTTAAATCCACTGATTCTTTTTTTACAGTCTTCTCATCTGCTATTGAGATCCCCTAGTGGATTTGTCACTTCAGTTATTGTACTTTCTAGATCTAGAATTTTTATTTTTAAAAATAATTTCTATCTCTGTTGATATTTCTATATATTCATGCATTGTTCTACAGATTTTCTTTACTCTTTGACCATAATTAGTTTCTTTTAGTTCCTTCAGTATACTTTTAAAAGTTGACTTAAATTCTTTATCTAGTAAGTCCAGTGTCTGTGCTTCCTTATGAATAGTTTTTAATTTTTATTTCTCTTTTGAATGGACCATGCTTTCTTGTGTCCTTGCATGCTTTGTAATTTTTTGTTGAAAACTAGACATAGTTAATATTATAATATGGAAATTCTGTAAATTAGATTCTCCTGTATCTCAGGGTTTGGTTTTGTTGTTTGCCATGGGTAATAGTTGTTTGTTCACTTGGTGACTTTTCTAAACTAGTGTGTGTGTGTGTGTGTGTGTGTGTGTGTGTGTGTGTGTGTGTGTGTGTGTAGACGCTGTATGATTTGCTGCATATGGTCTCCAAAGTCACTATTTCTTCAGCTTGTGGTAAACTAGTGTTTGGACAGAGATTTCTTTTAATCCTTGAAACCCTTAAAAAGGGGGAAAGAGGGAGAGCTTAACTAATTTTTGCAAATTGGCCCTGTTTAGATGTACTCTTTCAACACTTAGCCATGTCATTTACAGCTCAACATTAGTCTTCACTTCCTGCTTGCATTAAGCCAAATAGCCAGAGATCAAAGAGCAGAGCCTTCTCAGCTTTTTTCTGAGCATGCATCCTGCTCTGAGTGTGGCTTTCTAAATTCCCCTGTATGCACAAGAGTTTTTCTGTGTTCTAATTCTTCAAAGAATATCTCCTCCAGAATTTCGTGTTTTTAATTTTTGCCTTAACTGTTTGTTTTGTTTGCTTGTTGTTTGTTTCCCCAGGTAGCAGATAGTTATTAATTTGTCTTTTAATATTTTCATGAAATGACCTCTGCATAGCCACTTTTGTACCCTGAAAACTTTGCAAGTTAGATGAAACAAAGGCTATCACCTTATGTCAGTTTCTCAGGCAGCCCCCAGGCAGGTCAAAAATGATAAACACAGTTGTTTGAGAACAAGGTGTACTCTGCTGCAGGGACCAGGGTCTCACATCGGGAATGAAGGCATCTGATTTCAAGACCATCACCATCCCAGAGTGGAGATGGAGCAAAGGCAAGTAAAAATGCAACAAAGCTTTCTTATCATTTTAAAGTTGCCCCTTTCTTGAGTCAGCATTTGCTTGGTTGCTGTAAACCTTTTACTATTTTCCAGACAAAGTTGATTTTGACAGGTTTTGCTTTTTTCAGTATTTTTGTGGAGGGATAATTTTCTCTGACATCCTACCAGACAATCTTAAGTTATTTGGCTTTAAATTTTCCTACCACAGAAGTTCTCTTATGATGACAATTGGAAGTTGAAAATAATACCTTTCTGTATTCTTTGTAAGACTTAGAATGCTATTGACCTTGGGGGAGATTCTTCATAAAATACTGAGTAATTGATCAAACTCCTTATTGTACAGCTTTCCCTTCAAGTTATAAAGTTAGTGGAAAAAAAAGTGTATTGCTATTTTGCTTGTTCGTTTTTTCATTCTGGAAGCCGCATTTTTTTTTCAATCATTGGTCTCATCTTTGAATAATTTCTGCACAGTAACGTTAGGAAAATTTTATATTAAGGCCCAGATATTAAATATTTTAGACATTGTGGACTACACGATCTCTGTTACAACTCTCCAACTTTGCCATTGTAGTGCAAAAGCAGCCATAGAGAAAAGCATAAATTAATGAGCATGACTTTGCTCCTATAAAGCTTTATATATAAATTAGGTGGCAGACTAAATGTGGCATACTTGCTGTAATTTACCAACGCATGTTATAGCATATAGACACCAATGTTTCCAGTTAAGTTGATGTTTTAGTCCTGATCTACTGGTTCACTCTCCACCATATCAAGTTAAATTTATAAACAGCAACAGCAACAAAAACAAAAACAAAAAACAAAAAAACAGAAACAAATTCTTAAGCAGAGAAAAATGAGAAAGTTGCTGAAATTCTTTCTCCCTTGTTCTGTTTAGTAACTCTTATGTCACAGTTGCCTCCTACAATCTGAAAAGAATTCTAAAGTTGGTAATAAGAGTTTGAGTACTTTCTCACATTTTATAGACTTTAAAAAAAATTTTTTTAATCTTAAAAATAGGATGATGTTTATCTTTTACAGATATTTATTCTGAAAAACTTTCACTAAGTTGCATGTATGTGAAATTTGAGACGAATTTAACTATGGGAAGCCTATTTATTCAGAAATAATTTAATTTCACAGAAAATGTTTATAAGTTTTTAAATGTTCAATCTTTATATATTTTGAATCACTTCAGCATTATACATAAAATATAAATTCTCATTCCACCTTATATATTCACATAAAATTTCAAAGACAAAATTTCCATGCAAACATTGTTAAGCATATTTGACTTATACTGTGCTCCTAGGGTAAAAAATATGAATTCTTTTAAAAACACTTCTTATTTCAGAATGTATTAATTCAATTCTAATTAATGAAATATGAAGGTTATAAAATAAATACATCAAGAATGCCAGAATTAAATGCACACTGAAATAGGCAACTATGCATTGCATATATACTCATACTGTAGATGTCTATTCAACTTCATATTTTATAGCTTCATAGCTTAAAGCCTTATAGGTTTTTGTAAGAAGGCAGGTTGCAGGGCATTTACATGTTAGTTTTCTACAGAGGAATGTTAGAAGTTTGACTTCTTTACTTTTTTTTTCTTTTCCATTTCTAGGAAACCTGAATGGGAGACTTCGGTTTCAGAATATCTCACAAAAATAAGATTGTTGCTTCCATATGCCATAACAAATTAGAAGACTGTACACGACATCTAGAAACACACATTGAAACTTAAGGTTAAATCCTTCAGCAGGACTTCTTATTTTAGTACAGAAAGCATCATAACTAAGAGTGTGATTTTTTATAGAAACTGCTCTCTGCGATGTGTTTGAAGTTGTGCATGGTGAAAATGGTATTACTGAACTATAAGTCCTTATTCTCTTTTCCCTATTAACAGCACAGCTAGTAGCCTTCAGATCTCTGTATTCTTCCAACTATTTTGTGAGGTGTCTTTCATCCCACTACAAAGAACAGATAAGGCAAGAAAAGAGATATTTTCTGCAGGGCTTAATTGGAAAAGGTATAGATTTCAAGAAGAGAAATGAGGGTAGCTCTTTTCAACTAAATCGGCTTTCTTTTTTGATTTCCAAGACTCCTCCACAAGCATGCCTCAAAGTACTCAAAGTAGGCTCTGCAAACTTAAAATTTTCAATACTTTGATGTATCAAGGAAAGCTTATTCTAACACTATTATTTTCATTTAAATGAAGACTAATTTACTCATTGAGTTGAATATTAAAGAACACGAAATACATAGTTTGATTATTAAACAAGAACCAACACTAGTTGTTTATATCTCAGAAACCCTGAAAACTCCTTGCTTGCCCCTCTTTCATACCCCATCTGATTCCCTCTCACCTAGCATCCCCTGGTAGAATAGCTTCTAGATTTGTTCTCATGAAAGCCTGCCCACAACTTGTGATACTTCCTAAACCCTGTGAACCATGAAAATCTGAGACAGGTTTCAATTAATTTAGAAAGTTTATGTTGCCAAGGTTTGAGGACACGCACCCATGACACAGCCTCAGGAGGTCCTGACAACATGTGCCCAAGGCAGTAGGGGCACAGCTTGGTATTATACATTTTAGGGAGACATGAGACATCAATCAATGTGTGTAAGATGTACACTGGTTCAGTTTGGAAAGGTGGGATAACTTGAGGTGAAGGTGGGACAACTCGAAGCAGGGAGGGGCTTCTAGGTCATAGGTAGATAAAAGACAAATGGTTGCATTCTTCTGAGTTTCTGATTAGCCTCTCCAAATGAGACAATCAGATATGCATTTATCTCAGTGAGCAGAGGGATGACTTTGAAAAGAATGGAAGGCAAGTTTTGCCCTAAGCAGTTCCCAGCTTGACTTTTCCCTTTAGCTTAGTGATTCTGGGGACCCGAGATTTATTTTCCTTTCATGACCCCAATCTTCAAAATGCCTCGTGTTTTATTTATCACTAGGTGATAGCTAATTAATTGATCAAAATAGTTGGTGTTCATGGGAAACACTCAGCAGTGCTTTCAAAAACAGCCTTTTACATAACAAACGTGATTTTATTGTTGGGTACTTGGCAAAATCCAATGAATGAAATTTAATGGAGAAATTAGTAAGCACTAGAGCAGATGACAGCTAGAGTTTTTAAAATTGTTCTGTTAAAGAAAACAACCCAGATGGCTAACCCATTTCACCACAGAACTGATATATTAATAATCTCTTAAAATTTTTTCTCCTGCAGATATATCTCAATTTACTCACTTATCATATTCAGTTTACTCACTTATCAAAAGCTCCAAAGATGAAAAGATTATTGTATTGTGAATATTTGTTTGCTGAAAACATATGAGAAGAATATGTACTCCTAGATCAGTAAATAGCATGAGCAAAGAAGTAATCAATTCACAGAGAGCCAAGCATATTAAGACAATTGTCTAGTAATATTGAGACAATTTCTAGTAATATTACTGGGTTACATACTGTTAAAGCAAACTACATATGGCCTGAGAAGGACTCCGTACTTCTATATTTGAGTTCTGGAGGATAAACTGTAACCTAGCTTAATAGTCAGACAGAATTGAAAACCCAACTTAATAGTATACACCTAAACAATAGCTGAGTGTTGGCCAATCCCAGTGGCCATACTTCCACCACTCATAGACTGCTGAATGTTGAAACTTCATTCAAATAAGGCAAACGCCAAGCTGTAACCAATCTCGCTCTCTCTATACCTCACTTCTGATTCCTGTATGTCACTTTTACCTTTTTTGTCTATAAATTTGTTCTAGCACAAGGCACCCCTGGAGTCTCCGTGAATCTGCTGTGATTCTGGGAACTTCCTGATTCGCGAATTGTTCATTACTCAATTAAACGCCTTTAAATATAACTCGCCTGAAGTTTTTCTTTAACAAAACAAAACTGGTGAATGTTCCACAGAGCACTCTACCATACAGAAATTATTCACACCTCAACTGCCCTAAAATCTACCATTTAACATGTAACTTTGTTTAGTTTGAGGCTTTTAATCAAGACTCTTAATAGTCCCCCCTTTCCTTGTGATCACAGTAACCTTCAAGAATTTTTAATGTTTCCATTAAAAAGGCTGGTCCCATCATGTGTGGCCTAATTATTTATTTAGGTACATCAAGAGTGTTAATACTAATAGCTTCCTTGAGTTTGTTCTGTAACTCCTAAAGCCAAATAACTAACTCCTGTCTAGATTTTCCTCATAATCTTGAATTGCCCTTCCAACAGCCTCTATTATTTGCTCTTCTATCCCATGGTTATAAAACCAAGCCCAAAACACTCTTTCCACAAGACTTCACCTGCAGTACCTGCATATTTTCATGAACCTTCTTCAGAGTCAATGAATTTGCTATGGTTGCTAAGTTGCTAGAAAGTGGCCCCATTGCCATCTCTGAGACTGGGACCCCATTAGCCAGCTACAAAGCCCCTTTTCTCAGAAGAGCTCTACAGAAATTGGCTCCACATATAAAAATCAACCATTTTTTCTTAATAGCAGGCTGGGCTTGGCATATCTAATTAAATGATAATCACTCTAAAGTACGATTCTCTAGTAGATGTGGCCTCAATTGTGCAATTAGTTTGTCCAGTTATATCCTGGTTAAAAGGAGAACACATTTTCACATAACCTGTGCAAATAATGTGTTACATAAAAATGAAGGGAAATGAACAAACATATCTGTTCCTAAAATCTGGAGGGGGGGGCAATGAAAGTTACATATCATTGAAATTGTTTTGTTTTATTTCATGAAAAAAAAATCTAGTAACTTAAAGGTTAAAGATGTCTTAAGAAGAACAAAAATTAAAAATAAATTAAAATTTTAGAAAGTCGGCTTCATCTCCGAGATGCAAGGCTGGTTCAACATGTGCAAATCAATAAACATAATCTATTGCATAAACAGAACCATTGACAAAAACAACATGATTATCTCAATAGATACAGAAAAGGCCTTCGATGATATTCAACACCCCTTCATGCTAAAAACACATGTTCTCACTCATAAGTAGGAGTTGAACAATGAGAACACATGGACATAGGGAGGGGAACATCACACACCGGGGCCTGTCGAGAGGGCAGGGGGTTAGGGGAGGGGTAACACTAGGAGAAATACCTAATGTAGGTGATGGGATGATGGGCGCAGCAAATCACCATGGCACATGTATACCTATGTAACAAACCTGCATATTCTGCACATGCACCCCAGAATTTAAAGCATAATAAAAAAAGAAAAATATCTTAAGAAGGAAAGACACTATTTTGAACAAACAACCCCAATAAAACACTCGATAAACTAGGTATTGATGAAATATATCTCAAAATAATAAGAGCTATACATGACAAACCCACAGCCAATATCATACTGAATGGGCAAAAACTGGAAGCATTCTCTTTGAAAAACGGCACAAGACAAGGATGCCCTCTCTCACCACTCCTATTCAACATAGTGTTGGAAGTTCTGGCCAGGGCAATCAGGCAAGAGAAAGAAATAAAGGATATTCGAATAGAAAGAGAGGAAGTCAAATTGTCTCTGTTTGCAGAAGACATGATTATCTATTTAGAAAAACCCATTGTCTCAGCCCAAAATCTCCTTAAGCTGATAAGCAACTTCAGCGAAGTCTCAGGATACAAAATCAATGTGCAAAAATCACAAGCATTCTTATACACGAATAACAGACAAACAGAGAGCCAAATCATGGGTGAACTCCCATTCAAAATTGCTACAAAGAGAATAAAATACCTAGGAATATAACTTACAAGGGATGTGAAGGATCTCTTCAAGGAGAACTACAAATCACTGCTCAAGGAAATAACAGAGGACACAAACAAATGGAAAAACATTCCATGCTCCTGGATAGGAAGAATCAATATCATGAAAATGGCCATACTTCCCAAAGCAATTCATAGATTCAGTGCCATCCCCATCAAGCTACTACTGACTTTCTTCACAGAACTGGAAAAAAAACTACTTTAAACTTCATGTGGAACCAAAAAAGAGCCTGCATAGCCAAGACAATCCTGGGCAAGAAGAACAAAGCTGGAGGCATCACACTACGTGACTTCAAACTATACTATAAGGCTATGGTAACCAAAACAGCACAGAACTGGTAACAAAACAAATATATAGACCACTGGCACAGAAAAGAGGCCGCAGAAATAACACTACACATCTACAACCATCTGATCTTTGACAAACCTGACAAAAACAAGCAAATTTCTATTATTAGTTCATCCAGTTGTTTCATTCATTCTCCTTCTGCTCAATCTTGAGTCAGAAGTCTGCTTTCATTAAACATGTCAGCTTCAGGAATGACAGGATCCCTGGAACCCTGAATTTACAAAGAACTTTATTTACAATCAGAACATTATTCAAATAACGTCAGCTTTCAAGCTGGTACTCAAAAGCCATTCTATTTTTATCTCTGGGGATGCCTGAATATTTGTGGAATTTTTGTTGTTATTGATTTTTTTTTTTACTCTTGGCCAAGATAAAGACAGTGGAATTAATAATATGCAGTTTAAGGTTCCAAACTCCCCTGGCCACCTCAGGTTTAGTTTCTTCACTGAAGATTTGGAACTGACCTAAATGATTTGACAAGTCTTATTTGATTACTTAAAAAATAACTAAACACTTTTTCAGTGAGCTGTCCTGTAATCAACACTTTTCACACAGATGTTGGCAAAATAAGGCAGATATTCAGCTGGGCCCTGTGTGCTCAACGAAAGGGCCCCAGGAGAACTGGAGCTGCAGAAAGTCCCTGGGACCCCCGACACTTGCCTATATTCTTTTCCTCTCACGCACCACTGCACCATATCTTTGCTTTTAAATAAAAGCCTCCTGTGAGTATGTCAAGTGAGTCTGTTGAGTATTTTCAAATATTCAAACTGAAGAAAATAATATATTCTGTATACTATTTTTCTACATAATTTATCTTATGGAAAGCTGAACATTTCTTCTGATTTGACCTTTCTAGTATGTAACTCTACATACGAGCATTCCAGTGGAGTTGAACCAATTATGACATATGGAGCATGCTGAGAGCACCAAATTATTTCTAGCATCCCTCTTTTAGAAAGTGAAATATGCCTATTTTCCAGGGACCCTTTGGGAATTTCAAAAATGTTTTTAGGTGTAAAAGACATGATGAATATCTTTTTCTGATTTTAAGGCCTCATCTTGGGAATGCAAAAGAATAACCAAACAAGATTTGGTTATTTGATTAAAATAGAATCAATACTGGTTACTTATTTAATCAAGGTATCATAAAATATTTAAAAATAAAACACAACATAATTATCTCTTTGTAAAGAACACTGGCTCTTTCACAACTGCAGAAAGTTTTTTCTTTAATAACTAAAACACTTCAAAGTTTACTCAGAGAAAATTATTTTAGTGCGATAGAGAATCTTTGTTACCTATACTGATTATACAAAATGTAAAGAATAGTAACTCAGTATCTTTAAGAGTTTGAAAGCTAACTCATAATTTTAATAAAGGGAAAACAAAATTCTAGTTTTACATCAATATTTGGTAGTATAAGTTTTAGACTTTTCCTCTCATTCTTAAAAAAATTATCTTAGACTAAGCCTGTCAAACTCAGCAAACATAATTGTCATTATTCCTCTGTTAAAATTATCAAAATTTAACATATTTCTTAGTTTCTCTTTTGATTTAGATATTATAAACTGAAGTAAATTTTATTCCCTTTCCCCATATCCTTTAAAACTTAGAACAAATATGGAAGTTTTGCCCTTCAGTATTATCTTTCCTGTTCTAAAACAAACATACTTTATTTAGGCCAAACCTATTCTCTGATTTTCTGAAAAACAAACTCCCATTCGATAACTTGAGAAGATGGTTGTAATGTTCTGTCAATATTGCTTAGTCTTGGCTGGATGCAGTGGCTCATGCTTGTAATCCCAAAACTTCAGGGGGCCAAGGTGGATGGACTGCTTGAGCCAAGGAGTTTGAGACCAGCCTGAGCAACATAATGAGACACCATCTCTGCAAAAATAAAAAATAGTTAGCTGGGCCTGGTGGTGCAGGCTTATAGTCCCAGCTACTAGGGAGGCTGAGGTAAGAGGATCACTAGAGCCCAGAGGCAGAGGCTGCGGTGAGCCCTGATCATACCACTTCACTACAATCTGGCCAATAGAGTGATACCCCGCGTCAAAACACACACACACACACACACACACACACTTGCTTAGTCTCAAATAACCACATTAGTTATTATTTTTTACCTAAGTACTAATATTTCACAGAAAAAATGAGGAAGGTAATTGAAAATTTTCATACATAAACATTTTATTAAACTAGAAAAGCTCACAATTTTCTAGAGCTACACACCCCTTTACACCTTCTTAAAATAGGGAAAATGAATACATTTGTTATTATGTTCCATAGATCTACCTGTACATAAAAAATGCCTCTGTGGTCAGAATCATTACTTGGACACTAGGTAGCAAATGATTAGCCATTAATTCAATTTAATATTATCCCAGGATTTTAAGATACCTAAAGGTTTTGGACACGATGTTCAAAGTCATATGTAGAAAACATAATCACAGTAAATATAAAAATTTGTCAGAAGTATCATTCAATTTAGTTGGACACAAATGTATATTTTTCAGAATTTTAACGGTTACACAAGATTAGTCTATTTTATGAGTGAACCATTGTAAATAGTAGAAAAAATTCAAATTAACTCATAGTTTTATGAGAAAGGCCCAAATCTTATTTTACCAGTAATAAAATATATTCTAATTTAATATTTTTTACTGTTAAAAATCAAGGGAAAAACATAGGCATCATTCATTTAACCAAAATTATTATACTACCATAATTTGGGCAATGAATCATCGTAACTTTATGATGTTGTGCCCTTGTATTAAGACATTTTGGAGCCAGCAGTTTTCATAAATTTTTAAATTTCACATGTAAATTATTAGAAGTTCAAATTTTTTATTTTTTATGGGTTTGAGGGATATTAGATTTACATAAGTAACTATTTATCATTACAAATCAATCAGAATAGAGCATTTTTAATTTGAGAGATGTTTATTAATATTCTCCTGAGAGAGGTGTTAGTTATTATAGCTTAAAGAATTACCCCCAAATTTAGTAGCCTTAAAACAACAAACCTTTACTACATCACACAGTTTCTGAGGGTCAGAAACGCAGAAATGGCTGGGTGGCTTTGCTAGGATCTCTGATGAGGTTGCAGTCAGACTGCTGTCCAGAGCCGGAATAATCTCAAAGCTCAACAGCTGCTTCCAAACATACTCACGGGAGGCTTAAGCTGATCCCTGAGTGTGGGCTTCAGTTTCTCATCACATGAGTCTGTTCATAACATTTCTCACAACATGGCAGCTGCCTTTCTCCAGAGCACGTGATGCGAGGGAAAGGGGGAGTAAGAAAGCATACCCATGATGGAAGTAACCACCTTCTTTTATATCCTAATTTGAGAGACCACATGACTACAATATCCCTCAGAAATTGTTAGCCACCCAGACCAACTCTGGTATAATATGGAGACAACTACTAAAAAAAAAATAAATAAATACTAGGAGGCAGGGATAACCACGGTCACCTTGGAGGCTGGGGACCACAGAAGAAAAACATTTTATACTCAGGGAGAGGAAGCCAGGACTTCATTAATTACAGACACAAAAAGACAGACACAAAAAGACAGACACAGATGCACAGAGAGCTTGTAGATTCAGTTCTGCATATCCAGCCATAGGATAAACGTAAGCACAAAAACAGAAACTCATCAGTCAGTATCTCAAGGAGCTGCTATGAATGAAATTCTTAATTGATTGGGGTCATAAGTAGACCAAGAGACAAACAAACAAAAAGACCACCTAATCAGATTCCCAATTATCTCTTACTGAAAGGAGAATAGATCTTCATCATTCATCTAACAAAAAATTACCAAAATGATCAGGAAAAACAACGTTCTTAACCACTACTGCAGACAACAGAAAACAATTTATTGGTCATACATGAACTGATGACAGAAACAAAATCACAAAATCAGGAGGGAGGAAAAAATAAAATATAGAGAAATAGAGAATCACAAAGTTGAAATTGCATTGCAGCTCAGGAGTTACCCGGACCAAGGTTCAGCAGCCTATGAGGGACACTTCACAAGAGACATAGTTGATTGTCTCTCCATCCTATTAGTCCACTTGAGCATCTAAGAGAATATCCTCCCAAAGTGCTGAAATGTAATTTTTAAAAGTTTTTAAGACCTCGCTTATAAAATAGAAAATGAACACATATCACAGATTTATATGACTACACTTTTAAAAGAAATTTAATAAAGGCAAGTTAGAATAAGTTTGCTGCATTGGATTCAGAACTGATTAATGTCCTACAGGGCAATAAAGTATAATATTTGATTTAGCTACTTATTTGCCTAGTCTCTACTATGACTAACAGTAGAAAACCCCTGCCAGGCGCGGTGACTCACGCCTGTAATCCCAAAACTTTGGGAGGCGGAGGCAGGCAGATCACCTGAAGTCAGGAGTTCAAGACCAGCCTGGCCAACATGGCGAAACGCCATCTCTACTAAAAATACAAAAATTAGCCAGGCTTGGTGGCATGCACCTATAATCCCAGCTATTCGGAAAGCTGAGACAGGAGGATCGCCTGAACCTGGGAGGCAGAGGTTGCAGTCAGCCAAGATCCCGCCACTGCACTCCAGCCTGGGCAACAGAGCGAGACTCCCATCTCAAAAAAAGAAAACAAACAAACAAACAAAAAAAAACACACACACACAAAAAGAAAACCCAAGAAATCTGCCTGATATCACAAGTACAGTCTGAGGTTTGGAAATTGAGTCTAGATAACAAGCACAAGCCAAACTGAACATATCATGTTCATATGACCATGAACATATCAGGTTATCAGGACCATCATTTAATCAACTCAAATAATTTAATTTAAACAAGAAAATACACAAACCTTATGAATGAATTAAAAGTATAAAAAGCAAGCTAAAACAATAAGAAGAGGATTAAGCAAATAATTTAAAGGTTACTCTAAAAAGCTTCTTTAGTTTCAACATAAATAACAATCTCTAAGTTACCTGTTGAGGAAAGAGGATCGGCTACTACATGAAGTTATAAAAAGACTATCATCAAAAATTTTCAGCAAGTGTCCTGTGCATATTTTGTTTCATTACAAGAATGTTTAGAAAGATATATTTGTTGTAACTAAATTGTGTGAGTATAAAAACTATAAGCTTTCATATAGTACAATTACTGATTCACTATAGAAGTACCCATGGAGAACTGAGCTCATGGTTGAATTTTGGCAGGAGTGTAAGAAAGGAGATGCAAGAGGTGAGGAAGCTAAAGAAACAATGACAAACATCAATTATAAATGAACTTTTAGAACATATGGTAACTAATGTAGCATTAGATGAAAGTAACACTAAAATGTCATCTGGAGCACAGCAGTATTAAGATACTTCAAGCAAGAAGTTAGAGATAACAAATTCTTATTCCACAAAGCTTTCTTAAAACTCTAACATTCCAGCTAATATTCCTAATGTCGGAGTACTGAACTTATTATGAAAAAAAAGAGAGAAAAAGATAATATGTGTTACATTTAAAAAGCTGTAAACTATCACCACTTAAATTTAAAGAAAGGGAAATAAGTTTTTCATACCATGTAGTGCTAAACTCTCAACTAATGAACAAATAAGTTGAGTTTGAGAAATGAAGAGGCAAACTCAATAATTCTCAAAGATAAAAATAGTAGAATGAGTTTACAAATAACCAGAATCGTATTCCCCTATAAGATTGCCAAGAGTTTGTTCCAAGTGCCATAAAAAGCCAACCAGCCAACAGTCAACCAGTGATAAACTATCTAACAGTCAAGCACATAAAAGGGCCTAAGAATTAAGAATTCTGCTCTTAATTTTGGAAGCTAAAGCAGTATATGGAACTGAAGAAGTTGTTCTATGACAACATAAATTGAATAGACAAGAAGAAAAATTTAATATAGAGAAATAAATGTACTTTAAGCTCAAAATCATGTTTTATCTGATATTCTGGGTTCTTTAATACATAAAAATAATATTTTCAAAGACTATGAGCACATTTTTCCCCCAACTTAATCAGACAAATAATATTTCTACCCCTTTTAGATGAAAGAGTATGTAAAATGAACATAGGCAATATGGTCCAATGAAGAGCACCTCTGATCTACAAACTCATTTTCATATCTGACCTTTATTTAAGTTCCAAATCTCTGTGTTTGCAAATGTATTTGACATCTCCTCTTGAATGTCTCAAAAGCATCATAACCAAATTTTACATCTAAACCTCTTTCAGTATTATCTAAATCAGTCAATTATACTGCTATGCATTTTATTGTACAAATTAGAAACCAAGAAATCATCTTTGATAATTAACTCCCTCTTCACCACCTGTGTGCTGATCCAGCCACAAAATTGTGTTGCTCTTATGTCTCATAAATCTTTTAAGTTCTTCCATTTCTCCACCTATCACCACCACCCTAGTCCAAACTAACATATAGGGTTACTCTAACAGCTTCCTGAGTGGTCTACTAATGTTTTGGTGGGTCTCTCCCCTATCCCTTCTAAATTCTGTTACCAGAGTTATTTTTTGAGACACAAATGACCATGTCTGCACCTCTTTTCCGAATGTTATGATTATTTCTTGATGTCCCATTCCTCTGAGGGCATAGTCAAATAGACTACAGATCCTGGAGAGCCTCTTCCTTAACTCCCACACAAGCTTCACCTGCCAAAGACCTACCCCTCACTGTCTGTCTTCCAGACACACTGGTCTTGTTTCATTTCCCAAAGTTGCAATAGCAGCTCCTGAAACAGGGCCTCCCCTCATGCTATCCACTGTGTTTACAATACTCCCTCCTGTATTACCCTCAGAACCCCATGTCACTATCTCTTTTACCAAGGCAACTATTATAATCCCATCAGGTATCAGTTCAAACCTTCAGGAAATCCTTCCTAATTACTTATGCTGTGTTTAGCATGCACGCGCGCACACACACACACACACACACACACACACACAGGTACATATATATCTGCTGCACTGTTATCGCAGTTGTTATTTTAGATATTAATGGAGACTGTAAGCTCCCTAAGGAATTTAAAGTTTGTCTTTTTTGTTTGTTTTGTTCACCAGCATATCATCTAAGCCTACTAGTATATAGTAGACGCTCAAGAAATATTGGTTGAATGTATAAATACATGAAGAAAAGGACAACGGGTAAGAAGAGAAGACTTGAGCCCTTACACCCAAAATCCCAGGCTTTATCTCTTCTGCTCACACTTGCTTTCCAGCAGCCTCTTTCAGCAAATCATTAACTGGAGGCAAATCACTTAAAAATCTCTATAACTTATATACTCTGTGACATAAAAGGTGCTACATGTTATACTTGATGATTCGCATGGTTCCTTCCAGGTCATATATTCTTTAAGTCTGAGAATTTACTAAAGGGAGCACCAGTCTAGTACTTAGGAAAATGTTTATGCTATTGTTGGTACTGTAAAATGCATGACTTCAGAAAATGTTGGGTGGTAACTAAAGCATAAATGTATACTTACCAAGAGTTTTTCTACAGCAGAATTACAAACACAAACTGTGACTGAATTGCGGATGATTCCATTTACTGAGGATCATGTTATGTGAGGCATATGAAAAGAATTTTGCTGAAATATCACTTCAAAATGTACTATCCCATTAAGCTATATTTTACTTCAATTATACCAACATGTATGACCTTATTTAAATTACCTTTATCTATATTAAGAAACAATCCTTCTAAAACTGCTAAACAAAAGACAAACTACCTTGGCTAAAATATTTGTATATTATGTTGAGAGTAGTCTTACTTAAAGTCAACCTAAACAAAGGATTAAATTTTGTCAAATCAATAATACTTTACCTGACACACATTATCATTAGTCATATTTTTTTCTGGAGCTATTTTAGATATAAAGAATTAAGGGAGAAGGACATATAAAAGCTTTTTTGTTAGTTCTAATTCAATTTAATGTTCAAGATGCAATGTAATGCTACGAAATGTTAGAAATGTACTTTGAGTTTATTGCAGTAGAAATATTGCTTGGTGCGCACTTAATAAGTGACTACCAATGCTTACAAATATATACAGTTTATTACCTAAACTCATCTATTCTCCTACAAATGCCAGATCACTAAAGGGGAAATGAATAGACTTTTTCCATTTATTTTTTAATGTTCTCTAAATCCTTGATCTATGAAAAGATATTTCTAAGAGGTTTCTTTAACTCATTGTTCTGGTCCCTGATTTTCCCAATAAGCCTTCAGGATTTTTCACTCTTTTATTCTACTGGAAGGTTTAAGAAACAGCTGAGTCCAGAAGTTTGTGGGGTCAGGGAGTAGCATAGTTTTATTTCTGTTACTTCCCTTTGATTTTGCTAGGATAGATCCTGCCAGTAATGAATTTCTGAGTATACATATATTTTTCTTTTTTAGAAATAAAACTTGAGTTATTTCAAGGAACATGGTGTTATTACTTTCCATTTCAATGATACTTATTTTCTCTGGTTTTCAGTATCTTGTCACAAATTTAACTTTGTTGATTCTTTTTTATAACTTACATTTCATTTTTTCTGTCCACTTTTTTATAGTGATAATTTCATGGTAAATGCAAGCTTATGGCCCTCATAACCTTTTCTACATCAGAAAGTGTTTCAACAAATTCAAATAAGCAAAACTAATATTTCTACGAAGAGTCATTTTCTTATATGAAGTATACCACTAACTTTATCTTGAAGTTTAATCTAATTTCCTGTTCCAGGACAGAAAGGAGACGTTAGCAGAAGAATGTAAAAATAAGTAAAAAGCTGCAAGACCTCCCTTCATCTATATCAATGCCCTTTTTCAGGTTGTTTTTGGATTTCATGCCATTTAACATAGGACAGAATCCAGAGGGGGTGAGGAAACTACAAATGTAGCAGGCTCCTAATACGCCTATTCCCAACCTTTGGGAATGACCAGTATTGCAGCCAAAGGGTCTCTACACAACCCCAAACTCACTATATCTATGTTTTCTGGAGTTTATCTGGAAAATTGGTTTTGAGTGTGAACCGTCTCTGTGAAGATGGTGTTTGAGAGAGAAAGCAAACCTGACTGTGAGGAAACAGTTTTCTCATTACTGTTGGTTGGCATTGTATTATACTTGACGTATGCAGGCAGTTAATAAACTTTAAAAAATAATAATGAACAGTGCTAAAAAGGACCAGAAGCTTTCTGTGATATTCATTGTCAATTGATTTGAGAGGTATAGAAATGTTATAATTAGGCCCACTGTGGTCTTCCCAGTAATCGCTCTATTTTCTTTTTTATTTTTATTTATTTATTTATTTATTTAGAGACGGAGTCTTGCTCTGTCACCCAGGCTGGAGTGCAGTGGTGCGATCTCGGCTCACTGCAAGCTCTGTCTCCTGGGTTCACGCCATTCTCTTGCCTCAGCCTCCTGAGTAGCTGGGACTATAGGTGCCCGCCACCATGCCCGGCTAATATTTTGTATTTTTTTAGTAGAGATGGGTTTTCACCATGTTAGCCAGGATGGTCTTGATCTCCTGACCCTCATGATCTGCCCGCCTCGGCCTCCCAAAGTGCTGGGATTACAGGTGTTAGCCACTGCAGCCAGCCAATCGCTCTATTTTCTAAGGATGGTTTCACATCAAATTCTTTTAGACATTTTAAAAATTATTTAATATCTGTGTCTAATCTAAAAGGATGCATAATGACATGAAACACTCACCAACTGATATCTAAGGCCCAGAACCACAATAAGAAAAGCAATTAGAAAGTAACTTCTGGCAAATATGTGGAAGGAAAGGAGAAGAAAGGAAATTGTGAAAATGTAAATATAAATACAAGAGTAAGACTCCCAAGGTCTGGCTCATTGAAACCAAAATGAAACCATAAAAATATCCAAATGTTATAAATATAATTACTGAAAAGAAGAATTAATCATGCACAATTTGGAATGAGAACAAAATATCAACAGTCTGAAATGAGAAACACTGAGAAAGAGGGGGTTGTAGGGATCCAGAATGAGTCTTAATAGCTGTGTCTTAGTTGTGAGTGTTGTACAGGTCCTAATGAACACTATGGTCAGATATGATAAGATTTACTGAGAACAACTTAAATGAAAAAGAGCTCACAGGATTCTCTGCCTCTGTGATTGTTTTGTAGAGAGGCATGCTTTGATCCTTTTAGCTGACTGCCATGTAGAACATTCCAGTAGGAGGAACTCTGCCTCCACCCTATGGATATTTACTAGTCTGGCTAAGAGCATGTAAAGGTACCTAGTTTTCTGGGTAATAGAGATACTTCTGGCCCAGTACATAATCTAGAAAAGTTTCAGGAGCTCAGCTAGAGAGTTGGAATACCAGACTGGCCAGTATCACCAAAGATCTCACTGTACTTCTTTGAATAGTCTTAGCTCTGCCAGTCTACTCTGCCAAGCATCTTGGAAAGAAGGACACATGGCCATTAAAGATCAATGTTTGTCTCTCCCTAGCCTACTAATAAGTGCAGATACAGGAGATATTTTTAAATGGTAATATACACATGAATGCTTGGAAAATAATAAAAGATCAATTTTATAGGAAAATATAAATTCCCAAAATAGAGTTCCAATCAAGATGTTATGTTGAGCAAGCATGGGCAAGTTTTCATTTCACTCCAAATACATAAAATTAGAGGATAAAATATTTTAAACCATGTGTAAAGTAAGTAACAGTGGTTGAAAATCACAACTAGAAATTATCAGGTGTGAGAAAGAAAGAAAAGACTGATGATAGTCCTGGGATTAGAAACATATCTTAATGTTTAATGCTTCTATGGGAAAGAGGGCTGTGGCCATACATATTACGCACACTAGAAATGGGAAACTAATCTCCCAGTTAAGTACCAGATTACAAAGAAGCAAGCAGTTTTTGGGAATGGGGAAAAGGAAAATCTGCATCCCCTAGCCTAGATTAATATTAGCATATGAGTCAGGACCCCAGGTTCATGAGCAGGCTATACACTCTATGCCAGCCATGAGGATGTGTCTTGCTGATATCCAACTACATGGGGATTAATTGACCCAAGGGTCAAGTAGCTGCATCCTGAAATCCATCACCATGTTTGCACCAAGGCCACACCTCTTAGCTGCTCTTAGTCAATGATTGACTGTGATTAAGATACTGAGGCAGAGCTGTTACTCAGTGACTGAAGACTCTTCTGATATATAATTGGCCCAAAAGACAGGTCATGCCAAAAAAAAGACTAAAGCTATCACCCCAGAGCAATATTGTCAATGTGTTATTAATTTAATTACTTTAAAGGTAAATTATACAAATATTTTTATCATTAAAAGACAAAGAATCTACAAAACAAAATTAACAAAATTTTATGACCTGGGAAAAAAGAACTGCTATATTTGAAGGAAATACAAATATATATTCTAGAAATTAAAAATATATCTAGATATATTCTTGAATATATACATAGATAGATACCTCTTGCATATATATGTGAGAGAGAGATAGGTTGAACAATAAAGTAGCAGTAGATGAAGAGAGCATTGGTGAATTGGATGATAAGTTTAAAGAAATCATACAAGAATCAAAACTATGAAAACATATATATACAAAGCTCCTTCAAGTTAAGTATAACTGAACATATTTTGGAATTTGCAAACATTAATTTTTAAGCCCCCTAAATATATTGTTTAATTCTCCAAGATACCATCAGATAACCTATAAATAAATCAAAGTTGTATTCATTAAATTTGTCGCAGTTAGAGATAATGTTACCTTAATAGTCTTAATCATATGTCAGAGGGGGAAGAAAAGGGAGAATATTTATAGGATTTAGAGTCTAGGCTTAAGTAATTTAAGGTATCTGTTAAGATGGAGAACTGAAATGAATTGAACAAAATTTGTGCTGTGATAGTTTAGGATTGGTGGGCATAGTGAGATGAGGTTCTTGAAGGAAATATTGATAAGTAAAACTGCTTCATAAGAAAGCTGTTTGCCCCAGTGAGCAGACAATTGTCCCAGATAAATTAATTAGCAGGAATATTCTCAAGCAGATGTTTAAATTCTCATCTTTCTCATACAAAGGACAAACAACCAAGCTTTACTGATACATGTAGTCTCAGTTCTTAGTTCTAATAGCTATGTTATAACTGATACAGGTAGTCATGTTCACATTATGAAACAAAATATAATTGAAACATAAAGAAACACTGATAAATATACAATAATACTGGGAATTTAAATAGAATCATCTCAGAAACTGATATACTAAGCAAACTAATAGCAAGGCAGTAGAAGATCTAGGCAACATAATTTACCTTGCTAAGTGTATCATATGAATCATAATAAAACTAAGATCAAATTGGAAAGAACTCTTTTCTTTTGGGATTCTCCCCAAATCCTTCATACGATTCTAAAATTTATGAGATGAAGCAAAATAGCAAAGGAAATCAAAGAGAATACATATTCACCCTTCTAGTTTCCCTCAGTCATTCAGTCATGTATTAGGAGTTAATGCTCTAAGAAAATAATCCAGTTTTATTTTAAGACATAGAAGCAGAACAACTGTTTATAAAAAAAAATGGAAGGGTGTTTCAGATAACCTAATGGAAGATTTTAGGGGGAGTAGTGCAGTATAAGATTATCTCAGACGAGAATATACAAAGGCCAGTGTGAAGATGACAAATCTGATATTGAACAGATCATCAGCTTACATTTATGTCAGTGACAAAGTGAAACAGGAAGATGAGGCATTATGAAATTAGGACTCTCAATCACTTCTAAAATGCTGACTATGTGATTTTATTGCTGCAAAGTCAAAACTTTTAATGTGATATTGCAGCTTCCTGGGTGGCTGCTCCTTCTGGCTTTCTGTTATCTACCAAACACTTTGAAATAATATTTTCTCTTTTTGAAATCCAAATCTTCACTAATCTCTCACTCATGAAAACCAAACATGCTTCTAAAAGTATCCTCCAAGAAATCACATCTTGATTTCTCACCAATGCAATGGGCAATTCTCAGTTGTATCTGCAAGTGGTTTATGAGGAGTTTTAGTAACTCATTCTTTGATTTTTATTTTTTAATATTCTACAGAATGCTATTCAATGCTAATTTAGGAGAGGAATTCTAGCTACTCCTCCCAACCAAAAATATAGAGAAAAGACATCACAAAGTTCATTTTACTTTCCAGAAATAAAAAGTTTAATCCACAAAAATGTACCTTTCAAAAGATGATATACATGTGGTTATGACTATTTCAAAAGTGAATAATTTGGACTTATTTTCCATTGTACTTTATCTAAATAAAGAGACAACGAAAACAAATAATTAGATTTTAATGCATATATGTGTTTATGAAGTCATGCTTAGAATTTTTACAATTTCTACTCTGAGCTTCAATATTGAAATATGAAATATATGGCTCTCAACAGTTTTATAATAAAACTAATTTCTTTTTTCTTTCAATTTTTATCTTAAACCTCAAAAACCACTGTCAAATGCAAGAATAGACACACAGATCAATGGAACACAATAATAGAATGGACAGTCCAGGCATTGACCTACGCAAATATGATCAATTGATTTTTGACAAAGGTACGCAGGCAATTCAGTGGGAAAAGGTGTTTTAAACAAAATGTGCTAAAAAATTGGATATCAACATACAAATAAATTAACTTCAAATTATACTTTGCAATGTATATAAGATGGCATACACTCATAATTTCAAATGGCAAACATCTCTTAGTTATACCACTAAAGACATGATCCCTCAACATGAAAAGAAAAAGATAAATTGGACTTCACCCACTTCTCTTTACAAGTACATTGTTATGAAAATGAAAAACTATGTCAATGACTGGAAAAAAACACTTGCAGTATATCTGTATATTATAACATATGTAACATATGTATTCTAAATATAGGTACTTTGAGGGACATATATGTATAATATGTACAATATACATGTATATATGTATATATGTGTAATACACATGTATATATGTATAATATACATATATATCCCTCAATGTTTATACATATATATCCCTCAAAGTACCTATATCTAGAATACACAAAGAACTCTTATAATTCAATAAGAAAAAGACAACAACCAAACTTTTTAAGTGGGCAAAGATTTGAACAGGCACTAACCTCAAAATATATATGAATGTCAAATAAGCATATAAAAGATATTCAACATCATTGTTCATTAGAGAAATAAAAATTAAAATCAAACTGAGATGCCACTATACAACCACTGGAATAACTACAGTAACACACACACACACACACACACACACACACACACACACACACACACACACAATTTATACATACCAAGTCTCAGTGAGTATATGCAACAACTGTAACACACATACACTGCTGATAAGTATGTAAAGTGTACAACTATTTGGCAAACAATTTCACAGCTTCTCGAAAGTTCAATATATGATTCAGCCATTCATTAAACCCTGAGGCAATTATTCCAGATTAATGTAAAGATAGGTCCACTTAAGACTTGTGCAGAAATGCCCCTAAAAGCTTTATTTTTAACAGTCCAAACCTGGAAACAACCTAAATACTCGTCACAGATAAACAGATACACAAATAGTGGTATGTCCTTTTATTGAAATCCTACTTAGTAATTAAAAATAATTGATTAAATAATTAAAAGAAACTATTGTGTGTGATACAGTCAACAATATGGATAAATCTGAACATAGTTATGCTGAATCAAAACACCAGACAAAGCAAGAGCATGTATTTTATGTCTGCTTACAGAAAATTCCTCAAAGTGCAAACCAATCCATGGTGAGTAACAGTGGATGAGTGGTTGCCTGGGGACAAGGGGTGGACCACAATTAAGCAACAGAAAAGCTCTGGGGTTGGCGGAAATGTTCATTACCTTGATTTGGCAATAGTTTCTCGGGTATATTCATATGCCAACATTCATCAAGTTGTATGCTTTAAATATCTACAGTTTAGTACAATAGCGTCTTGACAAAGCTAGAGAAAAAGACAATGCCAAAACTTTGCCCACTGCACTGGCTTTCAGGTCCCTTATCACTTTTCACTTAGCAATATGCTTTTAAATCTTTTCATGGGTTGATAACAGTGATTTTTCCCCATTTTTTATTGTGGTTAAATACATGTAACAAAATTTACAAAAATTAACAATTTTTAAGTATACACAGTTCAGTCATCTTAAATACATTCGCAATGCTATGCAATCCTCACCACCATCCGTCTCCATAACTCTTTTCATCTTACAAACTGAAACTCTGTACCCATTAAACAACAGCTCCTGATATTCCCCTAGCCCGAGCCCCTGGCAGCAACCATCCTACTCTCTCTCTATGCTGTTGACGGCTCTAAGTATTTCATATAAGTGGAATCATACAGTATTTATGTGTTTGTGACCTGTTTATTTCATTTAGCATAATGTCCTCAAGGCTTATCCATGTTGTAATATATGCCAGAATTTCCTTTCATAAGGCTGAATAATATCCCATTATATATATACCTATTCTATTGAATGTATATACCATATTTTTCTTATCTGTTCATCTGCCAATGAACATTTGGGTTGCTTCCACATTTTAGCTATTGTGAATGATGCTGCAAGGATGACTATTTAAAAAAATAAAACAAAACAATGAGTAGTTGGTAAGGATGTGAAGAAATTGGAACCATCATGCACCATTAGTGAAAATGTAAAATGACATATAGGTATTTAGAATGGTGGAAAACAGTGTAACAGTTTCACAAAAAAAGTTAAAAATATAATTAACTTTAATAGCAATTCTACTTCTGGTTGTATACTCAAAAAAATGAAAAACAGGATCTTGAAGAGAAATGTGTACATCCATGTCCACAGCTGATCTCTACAGTTCTTCTTTGCATCTACTCAAGAACAACTTGGCCATTTCCAAGTTTGGGCAATTATGAATAAAGCTCCTAAAATATTCACATGCAGGCTTTTCTGTAGACATAGTTTACCAACCAAAAAATTGGGAAAATTTCAAGAAATGCAGCTGAAGATCTTACGGTAAGAGTAGACTTGGTCTTATAGCAAGCTCCCAAAGTGTTTTCCAAAGTTGCTGTACCATTTTGCAATACCTCTAGCAATGAGTTCCTCTAGCAGCAGAGTTCCTGTCGCTGCACATTCTTGCCAGCATTGGGTGTTGTCGTTGTTCTGAGTTTTAGCCATTCTAATAGGTATGTAGTGGTATCTTGTTATAATTTGCAGTTCCCTAATATGTGATGTTGGGCATCTTTTCATATGTGTATTTTCCATATATGTATATTCTTTGATGAAGTATCTGTTCAGATCCTTTGCCCATTTTTAAAAATACAGTTGTTTGCTTTCTTATAGTTGAGTTTTAAGAATTCTTTGTATATTTTATATACTAGTTCTTTATCAGGTATGTTTTTTGCAAACATATTTGTTCAGTCTGTGACTTATTTCTTAACAGTATATTTTGCAGAGCAGAAGTTTTAGTAAACTCTAACATCAATTTGTTCTTTTTAGATTTTACTTTTTATATTATATCTAAAAAGTCACTACCAATACACTGTCACCTCGATTTTCTCCTATGTTATTTTCTAAGAATTTTAAATTTGTGTGCTTTACATTTAGGTCTTTTATCCATTTTGAGTCAATTTTTGTGAAAGCAGAAAGTCTGTTTCTCAATTTATTTTTTATATGTGGATTCACTTTATTATTTTTCAAAAGTTACCTTAAAGCGTTACATCAAAAATTCTGGGGGAAAAAATCTTTGACTCTAATACTAGTCTCCTTTATTAAAGGTATTTTCCATCTACTTGTTGGTAGAGCTTCAATTTTGTTAGTCTTCTGCTAAGCTAAAAAGCCAGCAAGAATTTAATATAAATTCCAGAATAATACTTGATTAACTTGCACAAAGGGCAGTAAAGTGAGGATAAAGATCAGAGCGGAGCAATAAAAAACAAATAGCAAATAGCAGATTTAAACCAAACCACATTAGTAATTATATTAAATACAAATGGACTAACCATTCTAAACAAAAGGCAGAGATTGTGAGTTTGAATTAAAAAAACACAAAAGATTCTACTAGATGCTGTTTATAAGAGATACATTTAAAAATTAAATACCCAAACAGATCGAAAGTAAAATAATTGGGAAAGATACACCATGCAAGTGGTGATTATAAGTTGCTTCATAGTTACAAAAAAAATCTGTTAATACTAAATTAATCAGACTATAAGATAGTTAATTGAGATAATAATGGTCATTTTATAATAATGAAAGTGTAAATTTGTGAAAAACTACATATAAATTCTGCATACACGTGCATATGCTCTTGATCATAAGGATTCAATATATAATATGAAGCAAATTTGACAGAACTGAAAGGGGAAAGAGACAAATCTGCAATTATTTTTAGTGATTTTAACTCTTCTCTCTCAGAAGCTGATGCGACAACTGGACTGAAATATCAGCAAGAAGATTAAAGACATGAGTAACACTTATCCACTAACTTGAACAAATTGATATTTGTAAAATAATGTAGGAAGCAATTGCAGAACACGTATTATTTTCAAGTGTATGTAGAACATTCACCAAGAAATATGCAGGCCACAAAATAAGTCTCAATAAATTTTAAAAGCATTGCACTTTTCCAGAATTTGTTCTCCAAACATAACATATTTAAGTTAGATATGCATAATAATGAGATACCTAGAGATTCCTCAAATACATGACATTTATCAACATATTTCTAAATAACCCATGACCCAAAGAAGAAATCACATGGAAAACTAGGAAATATTTCAAACTGAGTAATAATGTAAGTATAATATATATAGGTATCTGGTTACTGCCACTGCATACAAACCACTTCAAAACTAAGTGGCATAAAAATAATCATTTTATTGTACTCATGGATTCTACGGTTCAAGAATTCAGACACATGGGGATGACATGTCTCTTCCACAATGTCTGGTCTTCAGCTGGGAAGACTGGAACAACTGGGGCAACTAATGACTGAGACTAGAATTGTTGGGTGGTATCTTTGGCCCCTAGGCTTAGGATGACCATAGGCTCAGCTCATTGAAGTCACTGAACAAAACATCCACAAACGGCCTCTCCACATAGCCTGAAATTTCTCATACTATAGAGGCTTCAAGGCAGCCAAACTTTCTTCATGGTCTTCCTGGGCTACAAAAGTGAGTGTCCCCTCTAAATATTGGTAAAGATAAGAACCAAATGAAGCTCTTTGCTGATGGAACAACTGCTGTATAAAACTGTCTGGCTTTTTTTTTAGTAAACATACATATGTACAGCAATATAGATAAACTTCAAAGACATTATATTAAATGAAAGAAGTTAAAGACAAAATAATATATGCACACATGATTCCATTTATATGAACAGGCAAAACCAATCTAGTGTAATGGAAGTCAGAAGAGCAGTACCTTATGTTGTGCCTCAAAGACAGCACAAAAGAACTTTCAATATTATTAAGTAAATAGAAATTATTACAGGTGTGATGATAGTATTGTGCTTATGTAGTCAAATCCCTTATGGTTGAAATATGCACGCAGCAAGTGTCATGATATCTATAAGTCACTTTCAAATAGCTCAGCAACATTTCAAATACCTCTGTATAAAGAGAGAATGAAAAATGACAGATGCATAAATAAATAAAATGAGATAAAGCAAGCACAGCAAAATGTTACTAATTAGTCAAACTCACTGGAAGTGTATATGAGTTTTCATATACAATTATTTTACCTTTTCTTTTTTCTTTTTTTTTTTTTTTTTTTTGAGACAGGGTCTCACCCTGTCACCCGGGCTGAAGTGCAATGGCGGGACCTCGGCTCACCGCAACCTCTGACTCCCAGGCTCAAGCGATTTTCCTGTCTCAGCCTCCCAAGTAGCTAGGACTACAGGTGCCTGTCACCACGCCCCAGCTAATTTTTGTATTTTTGGTAGAGATGAGGTTTCACCATGTTGGCCAGGCAGGTCTTGAACTCCTGACCTCAAATGATCCACCCACCACGGCCTCCCATAGTGCTGAGATTACAGGCATGAGCCACCGCGCCCAGCCTCACCATTTCTTTAGATTTGAAAATTTCAAAAGAAAAAACGGTTGTAAAGTACAGTAAGTAAATTCTGAGAGATTTGAAATTTATTAAGTAGAAAACATTTCCCGAGTAACTCTTATGTCAGATTTTTTTTTGATGGCTCAAATATCACTATTGTTTTATTATGTCCAGAAATCTTGCTAATTAATTTTTAAGAGTATTTTCTTTATTTCAAACAAGTTTAAATACTTTTAGAAATAAAAGTTTTAAAATAAATGAGAAAATAAAACTATATAACATCATTTTAAAGTTTTAATCCAAATTATAAGAAAGATAAACTAAACTGAGTAGAAAATCATGAAACTTGTGTTCAGACAGCTACAAATAATCTTAGCGAAATTATTGACACAAAAGTAAAACAAATTTCCCCACAGGAACAAAGACAGTAGCTAACAAAGTAGAAAGTCCAGACACAGCTCAGTGGTAGGAGTATATGTTTTTCTCCAACTTGTCTAACTTGAGGAATCTGGGCAGTATTTTCACTCACAAAACCAAGGCTGTCTATGGCAGTTTACTTTATTATCTAAAATGGCATAAAGTGCCAATAATATGGGCAATCTTGGCAGGGCGTGGTGGCTCACACCTGTAATTCCAGCACTTTGGGAGGCTAAGGCAGGCAGATCACGAGGTCTGGAGTTCAAGACCAGCCTGGCCAACATAGTGAAACCCCCTCTTGACTAAAAATACAAAAAATTAGCCAGGTGTGGTGGCGGGTGCCTGTAGTCGCAGCTACTCGGGAGGCTGAGGCAGGAGAATCGCTTGAACCTGGGAAGTGGAGGTTGAAGCAATCCCAGACGGTGCCACCGCACTCCAGCCCCCGTGACAGTGCGAGACTCCATCGCAAAAAACAAACAAACAAAAAAAGGGTAATCTTACATATAAGATGTAGCAAATACATTCTCCATTTAGATAAAAAGTATTTGGAAAAACTTAGGGAACAGTATGCCTCTGTTGCCTCTTGGAAGAATAAATTATCATCACCCTTTATTCATAAAAGCCACCAGAGAAATAGCCACTGTTTCTCATTATGATTCTCTTACCTTTAGTAGCCAAGTTTTAGAAGTGAATGGTTGTGAGAAAAATGGTACATAGTACAGGAATTCATTATGTACAAAGCTTAAAATTTAACCTGGAAGTAGAAATTATAATTTAGTTTTTTTGCAAATTATCTCATTTCATTAGATTTTTTTACTAGGAGGTGATTTTTGTGTCTTTTTTTTTTTTATATTGAATTTTCTTCTGATCTCCTATGGCACTGAAAAAGAAAAAGAAGAATCTATTGCCCATGATAAGGTGGATATTTAAAAGCCTCCCAGAAAATTTGAGGTAAAAGACTAGCTTATTTTGAAATAATAAGTAATGCCCACCAGGATAGCAGAAATGTGGCGTTCTTGGTTCTTTTCTGCCCATTCCTCTTCTCTGGGCAAAATATATCAGGCTATAAAGGATAGCATGGAGAAAAAAATAAATTTTAAAAGGAAGAAGAAATACAACAAAGACATAATATACAAATAGAATTAAGTTTGAGAAATATTCCATGCACAAGAAAAATTGAGGAAAATAAAATGCGAAACAAATTGAATTCATTTGATGAATTTGCTCCCAGCAAATTGGCAGCATTACAGAAAGCAATAAAAGAACATTTTGAGGTAATGGTTGAATTTAAAGCCCAAACACAGAAACACTGGCAATTTTTTGTTTCACAAATGCACATTTAATAACCAAATAATTATATTATTTCTCCATTAATTCAAATATTCATTTCTACTATATTTTTGTTTCTATGTTACCTATCAATGGAAATTGAGTTCTTTGGTTTTTCTTTTTGAAGATGTAAGATATCTTGTCACACCAAGAAAAACAGAGTAAAACGTTTGGGAGACATCATAAAAGAACTTACATTTTATTTTATTCATGCATAAAGAAAGGAATCTAAATTCAGAATCACCTTTAAAATTCTGTAATCCTACTTTATAGTCAGCTCTAGGCAGAGTGGAGTATGAATAAGATGAACAATGACTTCTGATATGTTTTGGGGGAGAAAAATCAAGCTCACAGAGGAATTGAGGAACAAGGGAACTAATTCTGAATGTCAGAGCCGAGCCAAATTATTATGCCCCATAGTCTTTGATTAGTACCTTTAAGAGTATAGATGTGCATATTGTTTTGGCTTCCTTAGAAAGGTCTTCCTCATTATTATTTGAATATAATTAGAAAATCCAGCAATGAGAAGAGAAAACCTTAATTAAAAATTGCACTTAAGGCATATAAAATTCTAAATGCCATCTCTGGTTTATTTTGTGTCAATCTATCTGAAACATCAGAATTACAGTATTGTGCCTCTTAAACAGAAGTAATCAACTATTTTGGTTAAAAAAGGGTATTATTAACTGAAAAAGACAATTAGGAACTGAAAGTAATATTAATAGATACACATAATAATGCACCTTATTTCAAATGTAAATTTATGTAGAGCATTTAAACAGTGTTCATTTTTAAAAGACCCTATAATAATGCTCATAATTGTATTGCATTACTTATGTCATTAGAGGAATTCTATTCTGACTCATAAAAGCCAAAACTGTCATAACCTGTCAAAGCACCTTCATATATGAACCATACTGCAAATTTCAGATCAAAAAATTACATTTTAATATAAACCATACTTATTTATGTATCATATAGAAAATAAGAAAATATCAAAATTGATATATGGCCTGTCTCTTCAAATAAAAGGGCTACAGAAGAAAAGCATATATCCAAAAGCATACTGTCTAGAATTTAAACTTCAAATGGCATTATAAAAATATTGTCCTCAGTTTAATTTTCATCTGAACATCTACCAATCACTTTTTACAGTTTACATCTGAGACAAATTTCAATACACTACTAACGCGTAAGCTTTAACATTCTGAATTAAGGTTTGATACACTGCCACCTAGTGATAATTTGAAGAAAATTCAAATGTATTGATGTAGTGCTGAAGGCTCAATCCCGCACTTAACTTGACGGAACATTGGGCAGGAACTTACCACGCACTCATTTATCTGGCCGAAAAGCAAGCTGGTTAAAGGTAATAACAGAAGAGTAGATGGTAGTTCAAATCTCTGCTCCATTTATGTCGTGACCTTGGGAAAGTTATTCTATATCTTTAGCTAAGCCTTGGTTTACAATTCTGGAAAGTGGAAATTATTATATAATTACCTCAAATAATAAATTATTTAAGGTTAAATTACTTTATTCAAATTCATTTAAGAAATGAACGCGATGAGGGTATATTGCTGATCATAGCCCGTGCCATATCACAAACCCTTTTAGTAGTCATACAATTATTTGGCAAAACTTTTTTCTAAGTGCTTGCATGACCAAACTCAATTATAATTTTCCAAAATACTGCTAAAGGTATTCTTGCTCCTTCAGCAAAAACAAAAAGTAGCTGATTTACCATGGAAGAAGTGATATTTACAGTTGTTGCTTCAAAATGTAAAAACACATGAAAATTCTAAGTTTGGATTTTATTTCTACCATTTAATAGTTCCATAAGCCAATCAAAATACAGTCTCGACTTAAATCCCTACATGTACTTTCTTCTAAGTTAGCAGCTGTGATAATGTCTTATATTCATTTTTATACACCAAATACATATAGTGCCTGCACATAATAGATGTCCAACAAATATTTTTGTAAGATCTGAGCATACTATCAACATACTATGCTTAGTTCAATGGGCATTAAGTTCCTGTTATAATTCAGTAACTGACATAGTCATTACTAAAAAGATGAATGAAAAAACCATTCCAAATTAGTAAAAGATAGAGCCATACAACTAACAAGAATACAAGTGAGAAGTATATGAAAATTACATCAGATTTATAAACAAAGAAACAATTTTTATCTGAGGGGCTTAGAAAAAGTATACAGAAGGAGGCAAAATAACAATGTAAAAAAATAAAGGAAAGCACTCTGTTTCTTTGCTAGACATTTTCCCCCTTGTATTCATTAGCGATTTGTATGGTTCATTTGGCAAAAGTAGGGAAGAAGAAAGTGAATTTGCATAAGCACAATTAATGACTTCTTAAAAATTCAGCAGAATTGCAATTAAATCTGAGTGGATTCCAGTTCCAAAATGTCCTTCTCTTACAGTAAAAAACAGTAAAAAACTACCTGAAAAGTTTTCACCATAAAACTGTGCCTCACGCTTTTACATTTTTAAAGGAATATTTAAATCTTATATGGTTAAGATCAGATACATTTTTTATCAAAGAACAGGGCAACTGCTTTTGTATTACCATGCCTAGCACCATGAAATAAAGAGGCAAAGGCAGCCTGAAAAACCTTCTCTTTTTCTACCATATTTATGAAGAGGCCAGTGCCCCTGAGTCAATAGATCTGGCCATAAATGGATTTTGATAGTAGAGAGAGGACAGTAGACAAGGAGACAGATGAGGAAAGAGTCTAAATATGTCAGTGAAATTCTCACCATAGCCAAAAAATATCAAGTGGCTGTCAGAGTACATCTTGATTGATGTTATTAAAACCTAGTTGAATCAATAAAAATTGCTTTCAGGTCACAGTGTGGCTCCCAATTCTACAATTCTACTCTTAGACTTGATGTGCTATAAATTGTATCTAAGTTGAACTTTACTAATTCTTCTTAGATGTTCTGTGATATATAGTGCAAAATTGTTCCTGAAGGAGAAACACCAACAAGCAGCATGATATGCAGCCTTTTCAACAGTGCCTGCTGCAAGGCAAAGGAGAGCAGACAGTAATCCTTCATATACTCTAGAAAACATTCTTTTGCCAATAATCAAATTAGTGATTACCCAAATACGGACAATTCAATAGAAGATACATATTAGGAGGTGTCCATTATGTATAAAAATGCACAAAGTTGTTGTGGGAGCTAAGAACATGTAATATGCATATATCATAATTTCCGGTTAACTTGAATGATCAGAGAGAAAATATAATAATATAGAAGGCAATGCAAGGGAACAATATAAGGAAACCAATGAGAAAATAGTGACTTTTCTAGGCATTAACTGAGGACATTTGCAAAAGAGCAACAGACATGACCAATGAGGGGAGATAAGAGTCATGCTTTTCTCATTCACTTGTTTAACACAAATGTATTGTCTACTTCTTGCCAGGTAGGCATTGTTGTGGGCTCCGGAGATATGGTAGGGAGCACAGCCAAGGAGTTTACATTTTGACAAGAACAGATAAAAATGTAAAATGAAAATTATGGAAAGGACAACTTTATGATGTGAGGAGCACTAAGGAAAAAATAAGTAGAGTGAAATGGCCAAGCATGATGTGCAGGGAGGACTAATAGCAATGCAGAATCAAGGAAGCACTCTCCAAGGAGTTGGTGGTTATGTTGAGTCCTGCCCAGTGGATGGCTCCAGTCCCACGACAACCCTGGGGAAGAGTATTTCAACCAGAGGAAGGTGGTCAATAGATGGCCATTCCTGAAGCAGGTCGATGCTTTCCAGAAGCCTGAAGCTGGAGCTGAAGCACACGTGTCATGAGATTGGGTCCAAGAGGCAGAAGCTAGAGCATGTTGAACCTTCAAGGCCATGTTGAGGTATATGGGTTTTATTCTACGTGAAATGAAGAGTTTTAAGAAAGGGGGAAACTGATCACAGTATAAAAATTGAAAAAGAATTTTGGAAATGGATTATGGTGAGCCTGAAACGACGAGTTGAAAGGTTGAGGACTTACTTGTGAACAATGAGCATCTGAGGACAGAACAAGGAGTTTCCACAAGCAGAACTATGGGAAGATGGATATGATACATATATAAAGCAGGAATACCATATCAAATAAACAAAAACAAAGCAAAAACCGCACTTATTTGGTGTATATGCCCCAGTGGCAAATGAGATGGGGGGTCTTCATTATTTCACCCCAGCCAAAACTACGTGTCATCTGGAACATTCATCAAATGTCCTTGTGTCCTACTGAAATTCTTCCCTCAACCTAAAGTCCCCATGACTTTAGATTACATATGAGCTTTTGCTCATTCTTTAAGAATGAGTTTAAATGTGACCTTTTCTGTGAAGTCTTTCCTTGTGGTTCAACACTGCTCAGAGCTTACAGAATTTTCTCCCTGCTTCTATAAGCTTTGAATGTATCTCTCTTACATCAATTTCATATTGCATTCTAACGTTGGGTTTACATCTTTTCCCTGTAGATTTTGCTCTTTAAAGATATATGTGGTCACGTTCACTTTAATACCATCAGTGCCTAATGCAGTGCCTCCCTCATAGGAGGACCTCAGAGAATGTCTGTTGGAAGAATGAGTCTCAACAGATCAAGCATCAGGGGATGAGGTCCAATGACACAGGGAAGGAGCAAACCACTCCCTTCTCACCTAACATGAACCCTACAGAATGCTCTGTGTGTAGCAGACAAATGTCCTCTAACCAGTAACAACGGTATTATTGGTTGAGTTATTGCCATAAGCTAATCATCTGGGAGTGTGTGCAGTTATTATTTTAAGCTTATGGTTAACCATTAGAAGAAACCTGCCTCATAAAATCCTATAGCTACATGTTACATAACAAATTCTTTGAAACAGATTTGTAACCATGGTGACATTTTACTTTCCTGTGCTTGTGGAAGATATTCTACAGTACAGACAATGCTCCAACAATACGTATAAATATTAATTGACATTAGATACTTGACAGAAGTTTATTTCACTTGTTAAATGATAAACAGTGGATGATACTCTTTGTGTAAAAAACTGAAAAAAATTATCTTTTTTCCAATGTGAATAGGATTATTTTGGTAGGCAGAATTATAAGATAGCCCAAAATTCTCTCTCCATAAAATATATGCCAACCTTGGAGTGTTCACTCTGAATTTTATGGGTGAGCTCTCCGTTGATCATGTGACATTATATGGCAAAAGTGAAAGGATTTTGCAAATGTAATCAAGTTCCCAGATCAGTTGATGTTGTGTTAATCAAAAGAGAGATTATCTTGATTGGGCTTGACCCAATCAGGTGAGCCCTTTAAAAGAGGGTCTATAGGTCAGAAATGAAAGAAATAGCCAAGATGCTTGTTTCTTGCCCTTGAAAAAAGCAAACTATAGCTGGCTGAAGATAGGTCACATGGCAGGGAAGAGTACACAATCTTTTGGGGGTGAGGACTTCAGTCCTATACCCACGAGACTAATTTTTTTGATCAAGCAGTGACTGTGGAAGAAGACCTCAAAACTCATGATACTGCACTTCCAGCCCACACTTAGATTGCAATTCTGTGAGACCTTGAGCAAATGACTCAGAACCTGTGCCTAGACTTCTAACTCACAGAAAATGTATGTTGTCTGAAGCAGCTAAGCTTATCATTTATTATGTAGCAGTAGAAAACTAATGCATTTATAGTTTTGAGTAATGCCAGTTTGGAACAGAGTAGCAAAATAGCATTATTGAACTCTGAAACAGGTCCTTTTAGCAACAGCTACAAGAATGCACTTTCTACATATGCAGAGTCAGGAAAGGTCATAACAGTGCTAGGAATCTTGCTTTTCAACTCACTTATTTGATAATTGCAGAAACTGAATCTCAGGGAGAGTAAATAATTTGCGTTTGGGTAGCATAGCTATTAGCTGGAGAATAAACACAGATTTTAGGGGAGAATACCATTATGGATATGGAAGCATAGGCAGCAGTAAAACCAAGTAGAAGGGGACTCAGCATCAGAAAGGAATAGCAATAGAATCTACACACCAAAACTGCTAAAATTCGGAATAGAATTAGCCCCGGAAGAACTTGTGCCAATATTTTAGGGCCTATTTTTGGAAGCACTGGAATATATTCAAGCGGCCAAATGACAGCATCAAACATTGAGGAGTAAGACACTGATCTTTTTACCAGAACTGCAATATAAACTGCGAGCTTCGTCATACAACAAAAGACTGATTGCTAGGACTGAAGCACAAATTCAGTGAAAAGTAAGCACTGAATTGAATGACAAACTTTGGATAGGGATTTTTAGGAATCCTCATGCTTAGGACCTGTTTAGCCCCGAAAGAGGGGAGCAGGACTGAACAAATCAGGTAAGAGGTCTTAGCAGTGAGATTAGGAAGCTGCATGACCCAAAGATGGACTGCATATCTCCCTCCCTTCCCCATCCCCAGTGTGTCTTTGGCAAGCGGCAAAATGGCCTGCCTATGAAGGAATCACCCTTATAAACTAATAAATATCTTCATTTTTTTTCATCCTCCTACATACCTCTGGAATTTTATCTTTCTTTTTATTAAAAAGAAGAGGGGGATCACTTTTGGGCAGAGGGCTCATTCAATGAACATTAATTAGAACACAGCAGGGTTGTCACAGAGTACATAATGTTCTTTGCCCTGGAACATTGGCTGTTTATGACTCACTTCTCTGGGGGGTACTTCCTTTGATCCCACTGGGTAGCAGACTAAAGAGGTCTCTAATTATATTTTGGGCTAAAATTAAACTTTGTTTTAATCTCTAATTTACAAAAGAATTTTTCCTTCACAGGAGGTTTACATAAGAGGTGAGGTTTCCTGGAGCTCTAAATTACCTTTCTCCTGCCCATCACAGAAATGGTTTGCATTTTCAACATACCTTTAATGATTTCAAACAAACCAAGGTTAACAGATACTAAATTCTTGCTTACATTAGTACCTGAGTATACCCTTAGGTGTAACTTGAATATAGCCTAAGTTACATATCCTCACACTTGTTTGGGCATTGCTCTGACCCAAACTCTGATAAAGCATAATTTTTCATGTTCATTACCATGGGGCTGTTGTTGCATGTTTCACAACCTGTACAAGAGAAGTGCTTCATTTTTTTTTTCCTGCCTTCTGTTCTATTCCTACTTGGAAAAGAATGAATATTTAAGCAACATTAAATAAATAAATAAAAGCATGAATGAGGTATTATTACTGGGAACCATACAATTCCATGTGTAGGGATGGTTTTTAGCAGCAAAAAGGCATAGGTGGGTCAACATGCTAAGCACTTTTCATGAGTATTGATGTTCTTTGACCCCTGGCTAATGATTCCCAAGACAATTACTGTATATATTTTACATTGCATGACTTTTCACCAACGGTTTTGGCATAAAACAGCATTATATTTATACACAGGGCATTTTCTAATGGCAATTCAGTGATGATGACAGTTTAATCCTTTTCTGTCTTCTTTTCAGTGTATCAACAACCATTACTTACAGGGCATTTTCTCTAGCAATGATTAGTCTCCAATAGTTTCTCAAAGCAAAAGGGACCTTCACCAGGGTTTCACTCTCTACTCAGGTTTCAAACATCTACAGCAGTTCTTTTTATCACAGGTTTAGCGAGAATTTCATTCAGGAATGACTTTGACAGGATGGGTTCAAAGTCCTAAATAGAGGTCTTATCCTTGTAGTTATAATGGTGCTTCTGCAATTAACATCACTGTTTCCAAACATCAAATCCCCCATCTAATACCCTAGTTCCCATACATGGCTCCCTGACCTGCCTTCCATGATGAAATTCCAGATATGCATCTTCATTTGCTCTGAGAATAAAGTGCCCACATGAGTCGCCTTTCTTTTCAACATTTGTTCTAAAACGATCATATCTTCTCTATAACCTCAGTGTTAGAATTTCATTTCCCCTTTTCATAAACATAAGTTATAAAGATTGTAGACCTCTTTGAGACTTCAACACTAGGCAAGACTGAAGCTAGGACTAACTAACCGAATTGTGAATTTGGTTCACAATTCAGTACCACCCCCTGCTTCCTGTCCAACCATATTTATGACAATCAGTCAAAAACTTGGGTCTCAACTAATGAATGGTAATGCAGCAGCAGAAACCTCACATTTTTAACACGGAGTATATCATCATAGTCCAGCTGCCAGGAGAAAAAAATTGGGTAGGTTGTAGGGATTCAGTTGGCCCTCAACTGGATTCTCAAACCCCAGAACATAGATGGAGACTCAGAAGAGAATTGGAATATAAACAAAGAATCAGGGTAGAACCCCAGTTAAATTGACTTGGAACACCCCAGGTAAGATTACAGCTTTGTAGTTACATTCCTAAGAGCCTAGGGAACTAATATGGGGCAAACCAAGAGCCAAGAAAAGGATAACAGAGTAACGCTTGTATTAGGGCATTCTTGCACTGCTATAAGGAAATATCTGAGACTTGGTAATTTATAAAAACAGAGGCTAAATCTGCTCATGGTTCTGCAGGCTGTACAGGAAGCATAGCAATGTCATCTGCTTCTGGGGAGGCCTCAGGAAGCCGGCACTCACAGCAGAGGGCAAAGCGGGACTTTCACGTCACATGACAAAAGCAGAAGAAAGAGAAGAATGGGTGGGGGGAGGTGCCACGCTTTACAACAACCAGATCTTGTTGAGACTCACTCACTATCAACAGGAGAGCAACCAAGCCATGAGAGATCTGCCCCCATAATCCAAATGCCTCTCACCAGGCCCCACCTCCAACACTGGGGATTACAATTCAATATGAGATTTGAGCGGGACATCCAAACTATATCAACCCTTCACTTAGCAAAGAGTTGTGATGGGCAATGTCCTAATAAAGCATCATATTTCATTTTAATCAACTCAGGCTCTGCAAGTTCAAAATTCAAACCCAATTCTCCTGATCTATAAGGTAATTTTTATTACTCCATACAATCAGCAGATGCAGAAAAGGAAATGGATATATTTATTGCACAAATATTGGATATATAGTTCTACAATTGGAACTCTTTTGAGTAGTACGGACACAGCGATAAGGAAAACAAAGCTTCTGCATTAAAACTGGCAGTCTTGTAAGGAAGATAGAAAAGTAAACAAGCAATTACAGTACAATGTGATAACACATGCAAAAGGTGGTATGTGAATCCAGAGGTGAATAATATTTACATAAAAGTTTTAAAAACTGGCCAAGTGTGGTGTTTCAGGCCTGTAATCCCAGCACTTTGGGAGGCCAAGGTGGGTGGATTGCTTGAGCCCAGGAGTTTGAGACCAGCCTAGGCAACATGGCAAAACCTTGTCTCTACAGAAAATATGAAAGTTAGTTGGACATGGTAGCACATCCTGTAGTCCCAGCTACTTGGGAGGCTGAGGTGGGAGGATGGCTTGAGCACCGGAGGTCGAGGCTGCAGTGAGCCATGAACGTGCCACTGCACTCAGCCTGGGCAAGAGAGTGAGACCCTGTCTCAATAAAAAAAAAAAAAAAGTTTTAAGAAAGAAGGTGACCCACAGTGATTCTTGAAGGATTACTGGGAATTTAAAAAACAATATTGTCATTATTATTTTAAAAGTCATGGTAAACTTATACTAGAGGGAAACTTCCTTATTTTGATAAAGAATATCTATTCAAAAACTACAGCAAACATCACCTTTTTATGAAACCCAAGAAATTAGGATGATTATTATTGCAATACTCTGTAAGAGTTTTCTAGAGGACATAACAAAATAAAATAAAGCATGACTTTTAATGGAAGAACAAAACGCTACTATTAGGTGACGTAATAGTCATCTTAGAAAACTCTTAAAGCAAGTCAGTCAGTAAAATGGCCACAAACATGATAGGTGATATATTTAAGAGTTTTGGCAAAGATGGATCGGAGAGTCAGGGGAAAGAAAAGAATATGGAAAGAACCCATTTTTTGTTGTGGTGGTTGTTTCTTTTTTCTTTTTTGTTTTTTAATTTCAGAGAGGATGTTCACCTATGGAACGGGTATATTTGAAGTAGGTAGAAGGAAGAGGACGAAGAGAATGAGCCTGATTTTGAATACAATGTTTTCAATATGACTGATGCATTTTAAGGAAGATTCCATTTATGTATTAATAAGGATAAATTACACTATCCTGTAATAATAGCTTCCAAATCTTGGTGGCTTGTACCAAACAAGACTTATTTCTTACTCTCAAAAAATACAATGCAATTTTGAAAAGTAGCCACCTCCCTTATCTTGCAACTATGCTATCCATAAGCAGAGGAAAAATGAACTGGCAGGTAGCATCAGATGTTTTTAAGGACAAAGTCTAGATATATCTTACATCATTTTCACCCACAATCCATCAGTCAAAACTCTATCTCATGACCCAAACTAATGGTATGAAAGCCAGGAAAAGTAGTCTTTCCATTTTCCCAGAAAGAGGAAACAGTACAGTAAAGACAGAACAGCTTCTATGCCAAAAGAGGACTGACAGATACATAAGTTTTAAGCTTAGGGATGAGATTTTCATTAAATTTATTTGCTGGGTACTTAATGAAGTTCTACATTAAAACTTTACTTTCTTTATAAGGAAAGTCAGTACAATAAGGTCTGCATTATCTACTTTATGAGGCTATTATAATAAAATTAAATGATTATGTGGAAGAACTAAGCTCTAAAGTAGTACATAAAACAACACAAACATATATTTTAGGTACATTTGGTACCATACTTACTCTAGAAATATAGGCCTACACAGAAAGGAAGGCAGTTACTCTCTGCTCTTGTTTGATACTTGCTTCCCATGTAGTGTGTTTCCTAAATGAAAGTGTGTGTGTGTGTGTGTGTGTGTGTGTGTGTGTGTGTGTGTGTGTGTGTGGTAGTTGGTCATCTTTTCACAATTGAGGACAGCAAGGACTACCAGACAACTTCCAATACCTAGGAGTTGTCAAATATTTTGTGTAAAAGGGCAGATCTTATATATTTTAGGCTTTGTGGGCTATAAGGTCACCACAGAAGTCTGTCACAACTACTCAGCTCTGCCACTATAGAGCAAAAACAGCCACTGACCATAGGAATGGACATGATTGTGTTTCAATAAAACTTTATTTACAAATATAGATAGGATGCTGAAGACAACTGATTTGTCCAAAAGAGTTCTTTCTGCATTCGTAAGGATTTAAATATCAGATCGACTTTGATAGTATATATGTGGTACTTGAAGGCATTTTCTTAATCCTGCAACACTCTTATTTTTAGCCCCTAAAATAGTCAATACCTATCATTTTTACTGGATAAGCAAAAAACGCCTTCTATTGCTTCAGGATAGGAACTGGGATCCATAAATAAACTTATATAGAAACTAATGGAATGTTTTTAATAGAGAAATAGTCATAGATATGATTACACAGTAAAGACAAAACAGATCTTTGTAATGGAAAACAGATTGAGTATCCACAAAACTTAAACAATGGACAATGAAAAGCTGGAAATGTCAAGGCCCTAAGTAAGGCTCAGGGAAATCAATTCATTCTCAAAACTATGTGTTTTAGCTGAGAAATCCTTATGTGCTACTAGCCTTCCTTGGATAAGAGAACACAGTAATTATAATAAACTAATAAAGCAACATCATTTGTAATTTTTGATGCTCAAGAGCTAATAAACAGAGTGCTTGTCAATGGTCTAATCCATATTTTCTTTAGCCAGTAAACACCCAACGGTCAAAATATTTATTTATGAAAAGACTTCATATCTACCATATCTGTTATTAATGTTTTTCTTTCCACTTTTATAATTTATACCACACATTTATACAATCCTCTGCTGCTTTGGGAATGATATAGTAGTCTGAAAAATAGTAAATTCTCTTCCAGTTACAGTATGAAAGAACATAAAATTTAGCCTTGACAGACAATTTTTTTAAGAAGGTATTGCTGCGAGATGCCTTGATTATCTTTACAACAGCTGCTGAAGGAAGGTCTCAGTCCAAAGAGTATGTTATTGGGTTAGAAAAAAAACTCTCTATAGCTGCAATAGTCTGCGCTTCTACTTGCTGGCTAACACAGGTTAACACAATAGAAGCTAATTATTCTGTCGGGTCAGAGGCTACTGACAGTAAAAAGACAGCCTGTGATCAGGGAAGAACCTCTTTTCACCTCTCTACTACCCTGTCCATAGGGTGCTGAGTGATGTGAGCTCACTCTGATCATATTAAGACAATTCTATCTGCAATGGCTTCATACCTCATTACTATTATCAATGATAAAAGGATATGTGGAACTGAATCTTTGCATATACTTTCTCATTTTCTCACCTTTGATTATTGCCTTCTTCACACCTGCTTATTGAGCTTATACTAAATCCCTTGACAATTGGAGGTCTGGAATCTCACCTGCTAATTACATTGGCTGTGGCTCAAAAACAGACCCATGCTACTGAAGCACCTGTAAACTTTACTTAATGGACATGTTATGACATTTAAAAGCCCCCCTTTCCCCCCTTTATTGATAGCTTTCTTACAAAATTTAAGTCAGTTTTTCTGTAACCAAGTTTATAAAGACCTTGCATTATTAAATTTAATGTAAACCTATTAGTCTTACATTTACTTATTTAATGTGTTATTGTAAATCTGTTATCTAGAGCTATAAATCCAATTCCTTCATCAAGCATTTACCAATTACCCACTATGTGCAGAGGATTTTAGTAAGAACAATGACAGATACAATGAGATGAGCTGTAAGGAACGAACTTGTGGTTAGAAAGAACTATACAATGAAGTATGAATGACAAGGACTGTAACTGAGCTTTGAAGAAATTCTACAGGAGTATAAAAGAATGAAGAGTAACTAATTACATCAATTATTAATGTTGCAAAACCGAACTTGGGTCTGCCTGCTCAGTGCAGCAAAACTGAACAATAATATCAGGATTTGCAGCAAGATAAAGTGAAGCATGGGGAATTAGGAAGTTAACACTTAAGACTCTGAACTCTCCAATGGCGTACATGTTAAGAGTTTTTAAAGGCAGGGAGGTTGGTTATAGGCAATGCATGAAGGCTATACATTAGTTTGCCTAAAAGGCAGGCCATCTTGAAGCAGGGACTTACAGGCCACAGGTGGATATACAAAGATTCTCTGATTTGTGATTGGTTAAGAGAGCAAAGCTTTATCGAAAACTTGGGGTCAGCAGAAAGGAATGTTGAGCTCTGGCCTGTGTACATGACTTAGTCCAGGCCCCTCAGGAAGAAATTTAGAAAAAAGAACAGTGGCCAGAGTTCTGACCACAGTTCCCCCTTATCTGAAGTCTCCGTGCCAGTGGACAGCGTTTTTCATTTGGTGGGGGTCCAGGTGTTTGAAAAACAACTCAGGGACATATGTTAATATATTATCTTTAGTTTCTACGGGAACCAAACATTTTGTGACTCAAACTTCCTTGGCTATTGTTTTAAGCTATTTCTACCTTCTTCCTTATCAGGTTGCTCATTTTCTTCTCAGGGCGTACTGGGTGACTGGAATTTCCCTCGAAGGAACTCAATAAGTTTCCTTTATTTTTATGATTGATGGGGTCCACAAGGCCTTTAAGAGGGGTCCCTACTCTGCCTCATTAATCTAGAAAGTAACCAAAAATCAAGATTTGGCAGAATATCCTCCCTAAAAAATGTTCTTGCTATCCTGTCTTATCAGTTGCTATTCTCATCATTATCCACTCAGTCATCCAGATCTGAAACTGGGAATTGCCTTGTATAATGAACAAGTCTAGGACTTACATTGAGAAGACCTGGACTCACACCATACCTTCCTAAATTACTAGTTGTGTGGCTTAGGGCAAGTTGTTTAATCTTTCTGAATCTCAATTTCCTCATAAAAATTGGGAGCAATTATTCTTAATTCTCTCACTGGCAAATGGGGAGGATCAAGTAAGATAAAATGAATGAATGTTTATGCATCCACATAACTCTTTATAAATGTGTTTCTTTTTATCTTTTATTCTCCTATTATTTATAACACTTAGAAGATATAGTGATTATTATTTTAATTTAGTAAATTTATAATTGAAGACCTCAAAGAATGGTGATGATTAAAAAGCAGAGTTAAAATCAGCCTCAGAGTCATCTACAAATCGTCAAAGAAAAAGAATGTTTCTTCAAAATGGGAACATCAAGTATGGGAAGAAGAGAAGACAGATCATAGATTACATCAAGACAGGGCTCAATTACAGGGTGATAGCAAACACTGGTACTTAGGAAAGCGAGTGTGTGGGCTCTTTCATAGCTTTTTCAGGAATTTCAGCCAGGATGCTGTTTTATAAAAGCTCTGACAAGTTACATTAAGAATGCAACCATTGCTTGGAAACTAAATTGTATCAATCGTACCGACAATATTTTTATAGCAATATTTGTCCCTCTAGCAAATAATTCAATCCAGGATTATACGATAAATTTTGCTTTCCTGTCTTTTGGATCTCCTTTATTCTGGGATCATTTCTCAGCTTTTATCTTTATGATATTGAAATTTTTAAAGAACATGGGCTGTTTACTTAGAGAATGTCCCTTAATTAGAATTTGCTTGATATTTCTCTAGATTTGACTCAGTTTATGCATTTTTAGATAGAAAACTACATGAGTTGTATATTTTCCTAGTTCATCACATCAGGAGACAGGTAATGTCTGTTTATCCCATTATTTGTGAGGTTAACTCTCGTTAAATTGGTGTATACCATCCATATTCCTGCAACCTTAAGTTTTTACTTTTCATTTTGTGATTAAGTAATTTGTTATATTTGAAACTATATAAATATTCTGGTCTTCATCAGTGGTTGTTAACTGTTGCATCTATTGATGATTTTTCCCTGAATCAATTATTATTGTGATGGTTACAAAACCATAATTTTCTGATTCTTATTACTTTTATTAAATGTTATCCAACTATAGAGAAGACATTTCTCTTATCTCCTATGTATCCATTAATTTAGTCATTCTTGTCAATATGAACTCATAAACTGTTATAAAATTCAATGAATTATAATTTATTATCTAATTCAGTTTAATTTTGTCGACTGTCCTTCATTTGGATGATGGGAACCCTTCCAATATGGCTCCTGTGTCCTTTGGACCTAATTCCTTTGTTTTATATTGTTAGCCCTGCCTCAGTTTCTTCAGAATAAGGTATTCTAGCATTCCAAGCTCCTACTATACATTGGCACAGAAAGACAGATGATAGATAGGTAGGCAGATAGACAGATAGATAGATAGATAGATAGATAGAATAGACACACAAATACATAATAGACAGATATAAAGATAGATTAAGGATAAGAACAAAGTTTACAAAATATTAACAATTGATAAATCTGGGTGAAAAGAATGTGGGAGTTCTGTGTACTTTTCTCGAAACTTTTTATCTAATTACATTTTTTTCAAGCCAAATTTTTTTTAAATTAACAAAGCAAACCAACTCATTTTATGCCTAACTAGACTTTCTGAACTAGTAATTTCCCTGTGAGTTACTGACTCCTGGGGAGATGTGGAGATAGTATCCTACTATTAGGAATATGCATGTTTTATAATTTCTTCAGGTGTCTAATCATCTTAATTTTTAGGTTCAACTGGAAAACAACTTTCAGAAATAAAAAACACTCTATAAACTGTCATTCTATAAGCTATATATGGCCACTTATTTCTCCAGATTACTGTTGTCATAAATCTTCAGGCTAAAGAATGAGAAATTTCAGTGTAAGAATTCTTCTCTCTCTGTTCACATTTTCTTGGTGATCTCGTGTCATACTTTTATGAACTGTACACTGTCAGATCTTAAATTTGTATCTCCATTCTAGACTTATTCCCTGAACCGAAGCCTTCTCTTTTTGAATGCTGGTAATACATTTCCTTCAATGTGACTGGCCCAAAATACAACTCCTGACATTCTCATGACTCATAAACTCATTCTTCAAATCTTCCTTCCCTATTTTATTCTCCTCCACAGCATTTAGCTACTTCTTGCCTCCAACTTAATTTGTTTGTATAGTTCCCAATTAGAATAGAAGCTTCATGAAAAGAAAGTTTTGTCTTTTTTCACATTTACTTCCCAATGCCTAGAGTGCTTGCCTGTGTAAAGCCCTCAAATATTTGTTGAATAAGTGAGTATGATGGTTCAATATGTTGCTTTAACTCATTCTTTCAAATGAAAATAGATTCTTAAGTCCAAGCAAAAAAAATATTTTAAAGTAGATTTTCTGGAACAAGTATAAAGAGTGAATGAAGATAAGTATAAAGTATTGCCTACATTGGGGACCTTATTGGATCACTATAGGGGTTGTAAGAGAGAGAATTAATAAAAATCATTCAAACAAACTAAGCCTAGATGATTGTAAGTCAGTATTGTGTTGCCACTGATATTAACGTAAATTTTCTTAGGAAGAGGTGGTAGTGTCAGAGAAAGAAGTCATATAAATTGATAATGTAGAAAGTCAATACAATTTAGCCAGCAGAATATTAAGAGATAAAGTCTCTGGAGAAGAAAGAGAAAGAAAGAAAGAGGGAAAGAGGGATGTTTTCTATAAAACTGTTACACGTCCCAAATGTAATACTTCCCAATTCCCTCAAACACATCTTCCCTTCAACACCCCACTTTTCTACACTTATGTTCTGGGGGGATGGGGGCTAAGTATAAAGAAAATATTAACAGTATTGACATTTCAAGGAAACATGGTTTAGCACGCACAGTGCATTGGCCATAACTATTACCATGACCCATATTCTCATTAGTATGTATGTGTGCATGTGTGTGTTCTCATATGACCACTGTTTTTATTTTAAATAGAACACATTAATATAAACCTCTATTTTTGGTCCTATTTCCTTCTAGTTCCTGGGAAGTTATAGTGAATAGCACATTAGCTGCCCCATAAAAATTACATTTTAAATAAATTCTGATCATGACTGGCCTTCATGCTTAGCCAAAGAAGTGTTGTTGTGGCTCTCGTATCAAAAATTTGTCAGATATTGAGAGCAACTTGGTTCTTATGATTCTTCTCTGTATTTCTCATTAGAATTTGGCTGAAGAAAACCCTGGCCTGCCTCTTCAATTGTTTCATAACATCTAGACAGTAAATAGAAAAACTGTTGAGTGCTTTACTTATAGCACAAGGTAAAAGAAATGTGCGGAGGTTAGTAAATAATAAAAAGAGGCTTATATAGATTTAGCTAAATAAACTTAAGAAAAACGGATTCGGTGTTCAGTATTCTGCAATAATGTCCTGAAAAATTTTTTTTCTTATAAAAATATCATTCACGTATTTTAAAACATAATTTCATGCGAGACTGGAATTGTTCTTTCTAAATGCACTTTGATAAATTTAACAAAATAAAATCAGGAAACAATGGCATTTGAAGGTCATCTTTAAAAATTAAATTCCAGAATAATAACTCAGTAGGAACCCATCAGTGAAGTTCTTGCTTTGTTCTCGCTCTTAGATAGTCCTGTTCCACTTGCTGGTCCTTAAGGCTTCAAAAGCAAGACAGAGCCTATCTAGATCCTCAGAATACAAGCACTGACATATGAATAGAGGGGGATTTTGTAGGCATAGGAGTTATCTACACACACTGACCCACAGAGTTTGACATCTGGGACAATATACCTTATTGGAAGGAAAAGAAATTGGCATTTGTCTTTCCAGAAAATGCTACAATTCCCAATTCCACAGATGGAGTTGAATAAAGCATTTAAGAGAAAAAAAGAATCAAGGAATAAATGTACATTCTCAAACTTTTCCTAGTATGCTTTCTTCTTAATAGTTCCAAAGTGAAAACAACAAAAATGCTCATTGATAAAAGAAAGTCTAAACAAATTGGGGCATGTTTATACAATGGAATGCTACACAGCAGTCATGAAAAATGAACTACTGACATAAGCTACAACACGAACAAATATAAAAAACATAATATTGAGCAAAATAAGTGAAAAATAACATTACATAGTTTAATTCTCTATTTATGTGTATTTAAAGAATAGGCCAAACTAATCTATGGTGATAGGTGTGAAAATAGCTAACGCTGTTGACCACAAAGACGGGACAGTGATAAACTTTCTAGGGAGCTAGAATGCTCTGTATCTTATATGAGGGATGATCACACAAATGTTTGTTATTGTATAGAATCGTAAAAAGTTATAGACAGTGTGCACTTGTAATTGGTGTATTTTGCTCTTTGTTAATTATAATTCAATGGCACACATACGTACAACATATACATATATACACTCATGCGCGCACGCGCGCACACACACACACACACACACACACACACACACATATATATATATATAGTGCATAATGACTCATCTTGTAAATGCCCTAACCAACAGGAAAACAGTGAGACATTACTGGAGGCAGAAAAAAAATCAATATTACTTACTTTTTTTTTGTAAAAACCTCTTGTGCCCTTCTACCCAGTGGTGTGCTGGTAAGTGGTTAACAATGGTTATATACACACTCACACACTCACAAGTTTATTGTAAGTTTGATTGATAAATTCTGGGTAGCACACAACTTACAAATAATAATAAAATGTGCAATTTTATTTATAGCAAATTCTATATAACCACTTGATTTTACCCAATGTTTTCACTGACTTTTTAAATCTTATTTTTTATTCTTCCACAATGCACTTGACATTTATAAATCAATACTTCAATATAAGTTCTTTCATTGATCGTTGAACTCTTATACCCATGGCTAACCTGTGGCTGCACATGGTGAATTAATGCTGTTCTACCATGAATACAATTGAGAAGTTTGTTTTCATGAATAAGATGAAAGTGAAACAACAAAGACACATGTCATAACTCCAAATATTGAAAAAGTGTTTCCTCAATTTTTGTGCTATCTCAGTACAACAGCTATAGACACAGCAGACATTTTAACTTTAACCTGCTTTATTAGCACTTCTTTATCACTTTATTGTTTAGACAATACCATATCATGTAATAATAAAATATAGACAACAAAAAGAGCATAAATTAAAAAATCAAGCACTCTTCTGTAGTGCTTGCATTTTCAAAGTTTAAATTTTCTCACCAGGCCAGGAGTGGTGGCTCACGCCTGGAATCTCAGCATTTTGGGAGGCTGAGGCAGGCAGATCGCTGGAGCCCAGGAGTTCAAGACCAGTCTGGGCAATGTGCCAAAATCCTGTTTCTATCAAAAGTACAAAAATTAGGTGGGCATGGTGGCACATACCTGTAGTCCCTCTACTCAAGAGGCTCAGGTGGGAGGATCGCTTGAGCCTGGGAGGTTGAGGCTGCAGTGAGCCATGATTGTGCCACTGCACTCCAAACTGGGCAACAGAGCAAGAGCCCATCTCGAAGAATAAGTAAATAAAAATAAACCATTTCATCATAGTCAAGTTCAAGCTACTGCTGTGACATACTAAATGTGAAGTTGGGAAGAGATGAGCAGTTGCCACACCATTATGCAGAATTCCCACCACATGGGTACAGTAAATGTAAATAATTTCAAGAACATATAGAGTAGTGAAATGTAGTCAAATAATTAGTGATGAATTACAAGAAATTATTTTATTTATCTCTAACTGTTTATTTAAGAGTAATTTTTAATAATGACTATATTTAGTGACTGGGTCTCAAATTCCTAAAAAATAACAATGAGTTCTTGAAAGCCAGTTTGAGGTGGCTCCAGATCACCACTGTTTCTGTGAATATTCACATTTAGTATACTATATATAGTAAAAATTTCCTCAAAGCAGAGCTCATATCCAACCCCTTCCCCCAATAGCTTCTTTTTTCTGTCTAAGCAACTTGACGTTGTACACCAGCACTTGTTGTGGTAGGACTGATATAAACACACTATCTTCTCTACTCGCCTGCAAGCTCCTTGCAGTCAGCCTTCTGTCCCAGAAAACCCCATGTGTTCGAACAGGACACGGAAGAGTAATGGGCACAAATAGATCACCAATAAATATAGAAATCCACTTCCTCTGACCACATTAATGCTCCACTCTTAACAGATTTGTTTGACCAATACCCAAATTATTAGGCATGCTTATTATGGTTATAAAAGATAGAAATCCAGTTCAGAAGAGCTCAAGCAAAAATGGTAATTTTTGACCCACATAATCACAAAGGACACTGGGTGGCTCAACTGAGAATTACAGAAAGAAATGCAGGAAAACCATGAACTCAGAACCAATGTCTCTAGAATTTCCTTGGGTCTTTGCTTGAAAAACATAATCTCTTGCATTGTAAATAGATTTACGGATTCATTCAACAAATATTTATTGAACATCTGCTATATGCTTGGTACAGTGGCTGATGTTAACAGCATTGTGAAAAAGACAGATACAATTTCTACTCTCATAGTCAACCCTCTAGTGATGACGGTATCAATAAATCATTGCAATGCAATGGGAAAAGCAATCTGCAAGGGGAAGTCCAGAGATCTCAGGGACTTATAGAAAGAGCACCAAAATTAGCCTTAAGAAGTAAGAAAAATTCCAGGAGAAATATTGTCCAAGCTAATATCAGAAATATGATTAAGGGTTAGGCAGGTCAATTTCATTAAAGATAAATGTATCTATTGAATCTAATTTTATGTTCTTCATCCTGGGAAAATATTGCTCACATTTTTTTTAGATTTCCCATGAAACTCCAGACAGGAGAGATTTAAGCTTATAAATATGACTAAACCAGCAAAATTTTACACTCATGTTAGCTGGAAAGGAGTCAAAGAATTGAATTCACTATTCTGGTCTAAAGAAAGTAAGAAATATTTTGACTTACTTGCCATGAGGAGAAGACAGAATAATAAGCACAGTAGAAAGGTCCAAGCAAGCACTTCATACTTCTTCTCCTCCTGAACATAAAATCAATTCAAAAGAGATTAAGTTAATAATAGTGAAACATAAATTAACAAGTTCACCTTATAAACCATGTTTTTTGGGGAAAACCTGGTCAGCATTAAACTACTTTCCAAAAAATAAAATATCGTATACTTTTATTTACTAAAACACACTTAAAGGAAGAATATTTCTTAGACTCTTAACATGTGGAGGGGGAAATCTTTTATTTTTTAAGAGCCACATGCATGGATTTTTGCTCTAACAAATTAAGTAATTTATTAATTCTCTTTGCTCAGCATTATCATCTTCTAGGTCCGAAAGGGGTTGAAATGTGAGGGAAAACGATTCTCAGAGAGAGCCTTGGACCTGAATAAGCACCAGTTTATTCACTCCTGCTGAGGAAAGATTAGAAATTTGACAGAGTTTCTTCGTGAGGAGAATGAAAACCCCATACAGAGGATTAACTTGATATAACAGCAGTTTCATCAAACTAAGTATAAAATACTTGTGAGAGAAAAGCAAAACCCAACTACAATCTAACAAGCTGAGCAAAGGAAATAGACATTATATACTGAAGCTGTGAAAACTGGCCATATTCTCCCCTAATTAATGCTATTGGATCAAGTTCAAGTACACTCATGACATCATGCTGTCTGCTAAATTTGTGACCGAAAAATTGTGACCAAAAAATTGGCTACTATAGGTCAGGTATGGTGCTTAGCCATCAAAACAATTATGTGAGAAATATTATTATCCTTATTTTTACAATTAGGAAAGCAGTGATACAGAAATAACTTATTCAGTTTTTAAAAACAGTGCTGCAGATAGGGTTCAATTCTATTGAGAAAGTCAAGCCTTTTCTATTTTCTCTACTACTCACACAATAAAAATGGAAGAGATGAATAAACATGTAATAATGCTTTAAATAATAGTTTTCTATGCACTGCCTCTTCCTAAGAGTATTTTCTGTGAATTGCCTACAAGTAATCAGTCTAATGGTATTTTGCCAAATGGATGAGAGCTCCTTTCCTAACACTCCTAGGAATTTCTACATTATATGACTCCCCCATCACAGTAAATATGTATAGTTGACATAAATCAATATATAAGACATACATACAGATTACAAGTTAGCTCTATTATAGAAAATGATCATTTCTGGGTCATGTTACATTGAATCAGTTACCTTATCACAATATTAGCTAATATTCTGTTGTCTTAAACTGTTTATGCTGCTATAAAGTAATATCTGAGGCTGAGTAATTTATAAAAAAAAAGGGTAAAGATTTGGCCCACAGTCCTACAGACTGAACCAGAAGCATGATGCCAATATCTGCTTCTGATAAGGGCCTCAGGAGAATTCCAACTTTGGTGGAAGGTGAAAGGGAGGGGGCATCACAGAGCGAGAGAGGGAGCAAGATAGAGAGAAAGACATGCCAGGCTCTTTTTAACAATCAGCTCCCATGGGAACTAATAGCGTGAGAACTCACTCATTACCATAAGGATGGCATCAAGACATTCATGAGAGATCTGTCCCCATGACCTAAACACTCCTCTTTAGGCCTACAATATTGGGGAGGAAATTTTAACGTGAGATTTGAAGGGTATAAATATCCAAACTATGTCACCTAACCACAGTAATTTCATATGTTAAACACAAGGATGTGCTACTTCTTATAAGTAGGGCATTTATAGATTTCCAACTAGTGGGAAATTTCATCAGCTGCAGTTGTGTCTTCTTCCGTCTACAAACCCAAAAAGGACGCTTATTAATCAGGGTCTATTACAAACCCCTGTCTCAGAAATGCTACCCTCGCTCTAGCAAAACACATGTCATCCAGGAGCTGGCAGAAAAATCCTTTTGGTCCAAGAACCTCCAGAGATTTACTTTCTGCTGACTGCCCAGCCTTGTACCTCAACCCTAGAAACCACATTACAAAAGAAAGCCGTTCATTTTATTCCCCTGAAGTACTCAGGTTCCATTGCTTCGACTGCTCCACGTCATTCCTCTGCCCCATAGTGTCATTTTCATCCCTTTGGGGCTCATTTTGTTTCTCAGCCTGGCTTTTAATGCCCGCCTTCTTGCTCCCCTTCCTATTGATACATTTTTGAAAAAAGGAGGAACAATACAAAGCAGTTTTTTTCAAACAAACATATCTGCACATATGATAAAACCACACTTTGATAGATGAGCTTAAGAGTAGAATATAGGACAGAAGAAAGATGCCATGAACTTGAAGATAGCATAGGAGAAATTATTCAATCTGAAGAACACAGAGCAAACGTTTTTTTAAAGAAATGAACAGAGATCGGGCAACCTGTGTGACAATATTCAGTTTTCTAATGTATGTGAAATTTAAGTCCTGGAAACATACAAGAGAAAGCATCGGGTAGAAAAAAGTTTTTTTAAAATAGAGAGACCAAAATTTTTCCCCAAGTTTGAGCAAATACGTAAATTTTTCAGATTCAAGAAACTCAGTGAATTAAAAGGGAAATAAATATTTTTAAAAATTATGCATAGGCCCACAGTAGTAAACTGCTGGAAAACAAAGAGACTTTTTGAAAGTAGCCAAAGAAAAACATGTATGTGTGGAAACAATAATTCAAATGAGCAGTAACTTCCAATCAGAAACTACAGAGGCCAGATATAACAGCAGGAAAGTACCCTTAAAGCACAGAAAGAATAAAACAAAAAAGAGTAAACTCCAAGTTCTATTCACAGTGAAAACATTATTTAAAAATAAAACAAAAGTAAAATCATTTTAAATAAAGGAATGTTAAGAAAATTTGTGACCAGCAGATCTGGATAAAAGGGAATACCATTATAAGTTCTTCTAGTTAAAGGAAAATTTCTTATAAAATGCATGGAAAATAATAAATTTCTTAAAAATAAACGGTTTTAAACTTGCTTTGTGGGGCTTGAAATATGTATAAATATCATACACATGACAAGAACAGTAGAATGTATGGGGCAGTAAATGGATTAATATTTTGCAAGGTTTCCTCATTATATGAGATGAGATTCAATATAAATATAAGCAGAGTATACAAAGGTGTGAGATATATTTTATATCCCTAGTAAAACCACTAAAATTAATGCCCAGGAATATAGTTTAAAATCCAATAGACAAAAAGTAAGTCTTCTAAAATTTCAAGTTATCCAATAGATGCTAAAAAAAAAAAAAAAAAGATTGAGAGAAACAAAAAGCAAAGAGGAAAAAACAAAAAAAATAAAATGGTAGACCTAAATCTATCTATGAGATCACTTTAAACATAAAGAAACAGAGAGCTTGAAAGTTAATGGATGAAAAATCATATACCATGCAAATAACAAAGTTAAAAGCAGGGATTGTCTATATTAAAATCATATAAAATAAACTCCAAAACAAAGAGTATTAACAGAGACAAATAAGCATATTTCATAAGGAAAAATGTCAATTTATCAGAAAGACACAAAAATCATAAATGTATTTTCAAGAAAGGAACAGTGAAAGTGTAAGATTTTGCCCTACTGGAAAGGTAGTAGGCTAGCCCGTCACAGTCTGATAGATAACAGCAGAAACCCAAGGCTTTTGGTTCAGACAAATGGAAATGTATTACTCACAGTAGTAACAGTAGACAGAGTGACATCCCATGCCATTTTGCTAAGCCCGGATTCCACAAGGTGATGTGATGAGAGCTAAGTGTTGTCCCTGCAGTGAGATGAATAACAGGAGAGGAACCCTGAGGTTGGGCATCGCTAATCTCTTATGCCCATTCTTATCACTGTTTCCTGAGTGACATTATCTTTATTTCCATGTAATGTAAGTAAATATGGAATGTGGAGAGGAAGGAGACATCCCTATCATTACTATTCTGGAACATAAACAAATCTACTCTGGGGAGAAAGATGTAGGCATCTATAGCTCTATTCCCTGGAATATGAGGCATCTCTGTCTTTCCAATTCTGCCTGATTACATTAACATTTTAGTGAAGATAGCCTGGAACAAGTTGGTTATTAATGCCTAAATTTGCAGAGATGTGAGAGACTCACTGAGAATTGTTTTCCAACAATTCCACTCTTCATTCCTATAGGCTTAGATTCTAGAAAATCTTCCCATGTTTATGCTACACTATTGGCCACTCTGAGTAATCTGACTGACAAAGGCTGGGATTATATTCATTCAAGTTGTTTCATGCATCATTTAATTAAAGCGTCTATAAACAGAATTCCAGACTGCAGAATGTGGCCAACCTATAGTACTGACTCCAGTCAGGCCCTGCAGGGACCCAGTTCTAGACAGCTAAAGAAACTGGAAAAACAATAAGGGTGGCTTTCTCCTTAAATTTCTCTAAAGAACCTTCCACTGGGCCAGTGGCATTGATCCATTTATAGCAGGATGCGTTACCAATTGTACAAAGTCTGCATTAATCCTCAAAGACGAAGTTTGGGGCAATTCAGTCTTCAATAACAGCACTTGCTAATGTGTTGAGGCTGATCTGAATGCCTACCAGGGTCAAGGTGCTGTCACTGATCGCTTCAGTTAAATTCAGAGGCAAATTTCATACCACCTTTCTTAGTCCACTCAGGCTACTATCATAAAATACCATAAACAGCATGGCTTATAAACAACAGAAATTTATTTCTCACAGTTCTGGATGCTGGGAAGTCCAAGATGAAGGTGTCAGCATATTCAGTGACTGGGGAAGGTCTACTTTCTGGTTCATAGATGGTCATCTTTGCACTGTGCCCTCACATGGCTGAATGGGTGAGAGAGCTCTCTGAGGTCTCCTTTATAAAGCGCACTAAAATACCCTTGTTATTGCCCTTGTACTTAATACCTTTGCATGAGGGCTCACCTTTATGACTTAATCAATTCCCAAAAGACCCACTTCTGAGTAACATCACATTGGAAATTGGATTTCAATATACAAATTTTTAGGGGGAAACAAACATTCCGTCTGAAGCACCATCTTTTCTAATCGAATGACTCCCATTGTAAGTTAAACAGATCAAAGGATGTGCAGGAATAATCAGTTCATTATCACTTCAGAAAACACCCCCACATAATAAGGTATTACCTCATTTGTGGAGATCTACGCACTCATCTGAAGCTACATGACCTACAGCTGTTGTTTCCTTAAATACATGAAGATCTCATGTGGCCATTGCTAAAGTGAAAGTTACTATATTTTCAGGAGAATGACAAGGTTAATGAAAGGCTTCCACACAAAAAGTGCAACCCCAGGTGTGTACATGGTGACCCTGGAAATAAAATGTGGCTAACAATATTTGGGGCTTTCATGTGAGACCTACATTACTTGAGGGCCGTAGATTGATAGTACCTCCCTCACTATCCACAACATGGCCTCTCACATGTGAATTCAAGCACAAAGAGAAAAATCCAAATCAAAAATTAAATTCAAGCATGTGATGTTAGAGAAGAAATGACTGAAGATAAGCATCATAAACTATTTTGAAAAATATTAAAGTTTTTCTTAAGATGACTAGCTAGGAACATTGGATGCCAATTCTCCTCAAAAGAACATCAAAGTTACACATGAATGGTCATGATCCTAATGGAAAGCTGAGGAAAGAGAGCCAGGACCTGTCAGCAGATGCACAGGAAGAAGCTGAAGTGCAGAAAAGGAACACAGCAAGAGTCTGGCAGAGATTGATTCCCTAGGAACTCAGAACCCTGCAAAAAGGGTATGTGGGGGTGCTTATCTGTTCCCCTCACTTCTGCAACAATCTGCTCATCTCCAAAGTGTTGGGGAGCCCCTTTGCCCTTGCGACCCTGGGCAATGCTGTCAGTGGAGATTTGGGAGACAATCTCTGTCTGTGGAGACAGAGAGCTGGGTGGCCAATTTGTGCAGATGTCCCACTTCCCTCAGGCCCAAACCGAGATAGTGGGCATTATTCCGGTTGTGGACCTATTGTGGGCCACTATCCTTCAAGGAACCTCAGCCCTTGAGTCACATCACTAGATCCCCTGCAAACATAGCCTACAACCAGTTTTGACTTTGGCAACCGCAGGGAACCAGCAAGTCCCCAGGGAGCTGTGGGATTCCCAGAGGTCAAGCCCTTGGTGCAGGCTCCCTCACCCCAGGTCGGGGGAACACAGCCCTGCAAACCACATCTTGGGACAAAAGTAATGCAGGTGCAGAACCGATTGCTGAATGGGTGGCACCAGCAGCTGGGAATGGATGTGGAGATGGGGTCATCCCTCTCTCCCCTCATCTACTGTTGCCAACACAGCAGAAGCTCTCCCCAGTGGGGGCCGACATGTATGCACTTGGATAAAGGCTTTCCAGAGCTTTTGGTGGTGGCTACACCCCTGTTGAAAGTGAGCCTGTACCTCACAGATTAGTTACCATGAAGGGTGAAGCCCATCCCTCCCTACTTACACAGAGTGGTAGTGTCCCAGCAATGGAGGGAAGACAAGCCATAGAGCTGTCTGCTCTGAGCTGGGAAAAGAAGTTCTGTCCTGAGCCCATTTTGGTGGTGGCCTCCAGAGGGGCATTTCCAGTGTCCCCAGCCACAGCCAGGAGCCAAAGGATAATGTCTAAATGAACTGAAAGTCATGAGCCCTGTGACGGGGTGTAATAGGAAGTGGATCATGTTACTGCTTTCCCAGGAGAAGAAACTGGTACACTACCCACCCCCTACCCCGAGACCTCAGCACACCCTCACATGATCTCCTCCCACCTCCCACATGAGGCCAGGTGTCTCCAGTCACCATCAGGCTTCCTGAGGGTGAGCTGGCTTTTAATCTTAAGTGCCACCTACTGGAAGGGAGACTAAACTGGAGCACCAAATAAAAGATCTACTGTCAGAAGGGCATAGTGCCAGTGCACACAAGATAAGGTTCCTGAGACCTCTGCACTCTTCGCCCCAGAGGAATTAGTGTGTTGGCTTATACATCCAATATATTGCTACAACAAGCAGTATTTGAGAAAACCACCACACAAAATCCATCCGCAACTAAGGAACACATACAGAGCTTTGACCCCAATAAGCACCCAGAAAAAAGGCCAAATGATAATACAAAAAATAGACCATAGTCATACCCTCAGGGGAAGAAAGAATAAAAAATTAAAAAGTCCCTTCCAAATGATAGCAGATTAAGAAATAAAAAGTGATGGCTCCCTCAGGTGAGAAGGAATCAGTACAAGGACTCCAGCAGTACAGAAAAGAAAGAAAGAGGCCAGGCGCGGAGGCTCACGCCTGTAATCCCAGCAGTTTGGGAGGCAGAGGTGGGCAGATCACGAGGTCAAGAGATGGAGACCGTCCTGGCCAACATGGTGAAACCTATCTCTACTAAAAATACAAAAAATAGCTGGTCGTGGTGGCGGGAGCCTGTAGTCCCAGCTACTCGGGAGACAGAGGCAGGAGAATTACTTGAGCCCGGGAGGCGGAGGTAGCAGTGAGCCCAGAGCGCGCCACTGCACTCCAGCCTGGCGACAGAGCAAGACTCCGGAAAAAAAAGAAAAAAAAAAGAAAATGTTTTGACACTTCCAAGAACACACTTGTTCTGTAGCAATGTATCCTAAAAAATGAAAATTCTGAAAAAAAGCAAGACCCAACCATCTGCTGCCTTCAAAAAACTCAGCTAATGAGTAATGATATCTGCAAGCTCAAATTAGAGAAAGGTATATCATACAAATGGAAAACAAAAAGAGTAAGGGCCGCCATTCTTGTTTCAGGTAAAGTAGACTTTAAAACAAGAACTGTAAAAGAAAAAAAGACAAAGACCATTGTATAACGATACAGCTCAATTCAACAAGAATATTTAACTATCCTAAATATATTCACACCCAACACCAGAGCACCAAGATTTATAAAATAAAAACTAACAGATATAAGAAAAGAGATAGATGGCTATACAATAATAGTTGGGTGACTTCAGCATCCCACTGGCAACACTAGATAAATTATTGAGGCAGAAAACTAACAAAGATATTCTGGACATTAATTGGATTCTTGAGTAAATGGACCCATTAGGCATCTACAGAATATCGTACCCAACAACTAAACAATATATATTGTTCTCATCTGCACATGGAACATTCTCTGAAACTGACCATATTTTGGTGACAAAACAAGTCTCAATAAATTTTAAAAATTCAAAATAATATCTAGTATTTTCTCAGACCACAGAGTGGAATAAGATTGGAAATAATTTCAATAATACTAAGAGGAACTCTCAAAACTACATAAGTACATGAAATTGAAACAATTTTCTTCTGAATGACTTTTGGGTTAACAAAAAAAATAAGAAAGAAATCAAAAAAATTATTTGAAACAAATAAAAATAGAGAACAACATACCAAAACCTTTGGGACATAAGAGGAAAATGTATAGGGCTAAATATATACATCAAGAATATAAAAGGCTGGTTGCAGTGGTCCATGCCTGTAATCCTAGCACTTTGGGAGACTGAGGCAAGCAGATCACTTGAGCCCAGGAGTTTGAGACCAGCCTGGGCAACATGGCAAAACCCCATCTCTCCAAATAAATCCCCAAGGATTAGCTGGGCATGGTGCCATGTGCCTGTAGTCTCAGCTGGTTGGAAGGCTGAGGTGGGAGAATTGCTTGAGCCCAGGAGGTTGAGGTTGCAGTGAGTCATGATCACACCACTGCCCTCCAGCCTGGGTGACAGAGTGAGACCCTATCTCGGAAAAAAAAAAAATACATGAATAAAGAAAGATCTCAAATGAATAATCTAATTTCACACCTCATGGAACTAGAAAAATAAGAAGCTAATTCTAGCAGAAGAAAAGAAATGACAAAGATCCCAGCATGATTAAATGAAATTGAGACCAACTAAATTATACAAAAGGTCAACAAAATGAAAAGTTGGCTTGTTGAAAGGATAATCAAAATTGATAGACCACTAGCTAGATTAACCAAGAAAAGAGAGAAGATTCAAATAAGTCCAATTAGAAATAATACCACAAAATACAAAACATCATTATAGGCTACTATGAACATCTCTGTGCACAGAAACGAGAAAATCTAGAGGAAATGAATAAATTCCTGGAAACATACAACTCCCAAGATTGAACCAAGAAGGAATTTAAATCCTGGTTAGACCAATAATCAGCTGTAATATTTAATCAGTAATAAAAAAGTCTCCCAACCAAAAAAAGCTTCAGACAAGATGGATTCACAGCTAAACTCTACTGAACATAGAAGAGCTAATACCACTCTTACTGAAAATATTCCAAAAATAGAGGACAAGGAAAACCTCTCTAACTTATTCTACAAAATTGGTGTCATCCTTACACAAAAATCTAGCAAGAACACAACAAAAACAGAAAAATACAGATTAATATCCCTGAAGAAAATAGATGCAAAATTCCTCAACAAAATGCTAGCAAATTGAATCCAGCAGCACATCAAAAAGTTAATTCACTACAATCAAGTATGCTTTATTCCTGAGATGCAAGGTTGGCTCAACATATGAAAATCAATAAATGTGATTCACCAGATAAACAATTAAAAATAAAAAGCATATGATCATCTCAATAGATGCAGAAAAAGCATTTGATAAAATCCAACACTCCTTCATGATAAAAACCATCAACAAATGAGATATTGAAGGAATATACCTAAAAATAATAGGAGCCATCTGTGACAAACCTACTGCCAACATCATGTGAATGGGGAACAGTTGAAAGCATTCCCCCTAATAACTGGAACAATATGAGGATGTCCAGCGTCACCGCTTCTATTCAACATAAGACTAGAAGTCATGGCCGGAGCAATCAGGCAAGAGAAAGAAATAAAAAGCATTCAAATTGGAAAACGGGAAGTAAAATTATCTCTGAATGCTGATGATATGATTCTATACCTAGAAAACCCTAAAGATTCCTCCAAAAGACTGCTAGCCCTGATTAATAACCTCACTAGCATATAATGATATACAATTGATGCATGAAAATCAGTTGCATTTCCACCAACAATGCAAAACCAAGAACTCAATCCCATTTACAATAACTATAAAAAATAAAATACCTAGCAATACATTTAACCAAGGGGATGTAAGATCTCTACAGGGAGAACTTTACAACACTAATGAAACCAATCATACATGACACAAACAAATGGAAAAACATCCAATGCTCATGGATAGGAAGAATTAATATTATTAAAACAATCACAATGTGCAAAGCAATGTACAGATTCAATGTAATTTCTATCAAATTACCAACATCAGTTTTTACAGATTTAGAAAAAGAAAACTATTCTAAATTCATATGGACCCAAAAAACAGCCTGAAAAGCCAAAGCAACTGTAAGCACAAAGAACAAATCTGGAGGCATCACATTGTCTGACTTCAAATTATACTACAAGGGTATAATAAATAAAACAGCATGGTACTAGTACAAATATAGATGCATAGACTGATGGAACAGAATAAAAAATCCAGAAATAAAGCCACATACCTACAACAAACTCATCTTCAAGCAAACCCCACCCCCAACCAAAAAAAAATGTAAAATATTGGAGAGAGGACACCAAATTCAATAAATGGTGCTGGGAAAACTGGCTACTCACAAGCATAAAAATGGAGCCCTATTTCTCATCATATACAAAACTTAACTCAAGATGGAATAAAGATTTAAATGTAAGGCCTCAAATTATAAAAATCCTAGAAGAAAACCTGTTCTGGACATTGGCCTAGGCAAATAATTTCTGACTAAGACCTCATATGACTAAAACTTCAAAAGTAAAAGCAACAAAAACAAAAATAGACAACTGGGGTTCAATTAACCTAAAGCGCTTCTGCACAGCAAAATAAACTGTCAATAAACAGAAAATCTACAAAGTGGGAGAAAATATTTGCAAACTGTGCATCCAACTAAGGACTAATATCCAGAATCTATAAGGAACTTAAATCATCAAGAAAATAAAAAAACAAATAACCCTCTTAAAATGTCAGCAAAGGACATGAGCACACACTTCTCTAAAGAAGACATACAAGCAAGCAACAAACATATGAAAAAATTATCTACATCACTAATCATCAGACAAATGCAAATCAAAACCACCATGAGATACTATCTCACACCAGTCAGCATGGCTGATTTTTAAAAGTTAAAAAAATAAGAGATGCTGATGAGGAGATGAAGAAAAGGGAATGCTTATACACTATAGGTGGGGATGTATATTAGTTCAATCCCTGTGGAAAACAGTGTGGATATTTCTCAAAGAACTAAAAATAGAACTGTCATTAGGCCCAGCAATCCCACCACTGGGTATCTACACAAGAAAAAAAGATTGTCTTATTGAAAAGACACCTACACTCGTATGTTTACTATAGCACTATTTATAATAGCAAAGACATGGAATCAACTTAAGTGTTCATCAGTGGTGGATTGGTTAAAAAAAAAATGTAGTATATATACACCATGGAATACTGTCCAGCCGTAAAGAAGAATGAATACATATTCTTTACAGCAACATAAATGGAACTGGAGGCCATTATCCTCAGTGAAATAATGCACAAACAGAAAGTCAAATACTGCATGTTCTCACAAGTAGGAGCCAAACAATGGGTTCACATAAACATAAAGATGGAGATAATAGACAAAGGGGACTGTGAGGAGGTTGGGAGGTGGGTGAAGGTCGAAATACTACCTATTGTGTAACTGAATCTAAAAACAATAATAATAATAAAGTAAAATAAATATTACAGAAGTAAATACAATTATAGATTCCCAAGTAAAAAGAAAATGTGATGTCAATGTGCCAAAATAATTATTTTAAATATTTCAAAATTTTATGTATAATTAAATGAAAAAAGCACCTTAGGTTTAACATTATTATTTGAATCATTGGCCTTTGAAACCATAATAAGTTTATGGAAACCTAGAAAATGAGAGGAACGAAAGCTTGAAGTAGAAATAATTCAATTATTCTTCACACGAGTTAGCATTAAAAGTTAATATTTTAATTTTTATGTAAATTATTACATGAGTATTGATTTGAAATAAAAATTTCCACTGAAATTAGGAAGTTATTAGATATGTGGAATTAATTTTGGAAAATTGTAAGAGTGACTAAGAAAAATTTTTAAATATTTAATGGTGAGATAAAAGATAAAAACAATCTACATTTCCTTCAAATCATGTAGATGATAAAAGTATGCAAAACACAATTTATACTACCAAAAAAAAGTAGAAAGGCATCCAAAATGACTACAAAAGGAAAAAAGAGAACTACAACAAAACGCACTGTCAGATGTCATAATTAACACAATATTTTGAAAAATAAATCAACACAATAGTTCTTAAATTTAAAGAGTTTTAGCTTGAATTCAGAATAATAATCAAATTGGCATAACAAGCAAAATAGGGTACAATAGAATTATAGAAAAAGAAACACAAAAATTAAGCCTAAATTGGCAACATTAAGACCAGGGCATTGAATTGAAGCAAAGGAAACCTTAGTAGAACAAGAACAGCTATGTTAACATGAATGTGGAAATTTGAAAACATAAGTGAATGGTGTAGAATTGGTAGGGTTTTAATGAATTTTGGATATTTTTTAAATGTCCTGAGAATATTTATTAAAATTGATAATGTAATGGATCACAAAGTGTATTTCAATAACACTCAAGAAATAGTATATTGCTCAAGCTACACTTTCCTAATAAACATATTTTTAAGGTCCCAATTATATTTAATGTCAAATAGGTTCTGTTCGTAGATTAAGAAAGTTTTAAATAATTTATTAAAAGACAAATAATAACATCAGATCAAATCCAGGACTGAGGAATTCATGTCTAAAAATGTTAGAAATAAATTAAATAAATAATTTTAGATAATATGAAAATGGGAGGCGTTTCTTTTTAAAATGCCTTTACAAACCTATCTTAAATGTAGAGCACACAAATGTACACAAATCAAAAACATTAGTCAGTGAATCTTCACAAAGTGAACAAACTTAGCATCTGCTGAACCAGATGATGAAAGAGAACGTTACCAGCAAGCCAGATGTCCACCTGACACTTCCATAGTTACAACTTATCTTAAGGGGAATAACTATCTCAAATATTCACTTCTACCCATCCTTTTCACTCAACATCATGTTTTTGGTAATCTACGTACATCTATGATGTAACATGTAACAGTGGTAGGTTCATTTTCATTGCTGCGTAATATCCTATTACATGAATACATCAAAAATACTTGTAGGTGGTTTGGTTTCAGATTTGGCTACTGTGAAATAATGCTACTATGAAAAGTTATAAACACACATACATACAAACACCATGCACACATTCTTTAATTCATATATATATAATCACTTAATTATGGGGGAGCATATACCTAGGAGTAGAATTGCTGGTTCAAGAGTATATGAATGCTCAGCTTTAATAATAGCTACCAAGAACTTTCCAAAGTAATTGTATCAACTTTGATTCCTACCTACACAGTGTAAGAATTTTAGTTATTCTACATTCTTGTCCACAACAGGGTTTGTCAGACTTCTTAATTTTTAACTACCTGAGTAAACAGTGTTACCTGACTATGATTTTAATTTGCAATATCGAGTTTGAGCACATTTTCATAGGACTACTGGTCAAATGGATATCCTTTTCATAAAGTGCCTATTTAAGTCCTTTTCACCTGTTTCTATTTGGTTGTCTGCCTTTTTCTTATCATTTGAGGGAATTCTTTTTATATTATTTATATATTTGTTGAGTAAATTTATTGAAAATAAATTATCCAGTCTGAAGGCTGCCTTTTCACTGTCTTATATTTTTTAATTAAAAGAAGTTCCTAATTTTTATATATTCCAATGCATCAATCTTTTCATTTATGGCTAATGCTCTTTAATAATCTTAGCCTATTTAATAAATCTATGCCTATCCCAAGATCATGAAGATATTTACCTGTGGAGTATCCCAGAAAAATTATTTTACCTTACATATTTTGAGCTATGATCTGCTTTTTTCCCTGCATGTTTTCCTGGCATCTTGACGTAGTCAAGAATCTTTTCATTTCTCTGTATAGTTATCCAGTTCTCCCTCTCCTTTGCCACTGCTCCACAGAGCTTTTTGATAAATCAGGTGTTTCTATAAATCATGTATGTTTGAGTCTATTTCTTGATTTTATATTCTGTCTAATTGCTCTTTCCCTCTGAACATCCTTGGATCAATAGCACACTGCCTTAATTATTATAACTTTACAATATATATTGATATTAGTGTAAGTCCAATTTTGTTGTTCTTCAAGGTGATCTAGAGTTATCTCTTTGCATTTTCCCTATATATTTTAGAATTAGCTTGAAATTTTCCACCAAAATGTCCCTCTGGGATTTTAATTGTGGTTCTGGGTAAACTATAGATCAAATAAAAGAGACTCATGGCTGGGCGCGGTGGCTCACGCCTGTAATCCCAGAACTTTGGGAGGCAGAGGAGAGTAGATCACAAGGTCAGGAGTTCCAGACCAGCCTGGTGAAGATGGTGAAACCTCATCTCTACTAAAAATACAAAAATTAGCCAGGCATGGTGGTGGGCACCTGTAATCCCAGCTACTCAGGAGACTGAGGCAGATAATCACTTAAACCAGGGATGCAGAAGTTGCAGTGAGCTGAGATCGTGCCACTGCACTGCAGCCTAGGGGACACAGCGTGATTCCGTCTCAAATAAATAAATAAATAAAATAATAATAAAAGAGACTCATTTGCCAGCCTTAGAATATTGGGTCCTTGAAATGAGAAACATGGTAGAGTCATCATTTATTTAGTTCTTTATTAATTTCTTTCAATAATGTTTTATAGTTTTCTGCACAGGTGTCTTTCGTGCCTTTAATTTGATTAAGTCCTGGGTACTTGCTATGTGTTATATTATTGTAAATTGTATCATTTCAAAGTTTCACCTTCTTGTTAATTGATATTTACAGGAATACAGTTAATCTGTATATGTTGACATATCCAGTGATATTTTCCTATGTTCAGCTAGTTTGTAAATTCTTGGGTTTGCTACATTCAAAATCATGTTGTCAGAAAATATTTGTCATTCTTATATTTCCTGCATGTGTCTCTCCCTTATTATTTTGGCTAGGATCTCCAATACAATATTGACTATATGTGGGACTAGTGGGCCTTTTTGTCTTGTTAACAGAGTCAGAGACAAAACTATCAATATTTCTTTATAAAATACAATGTTTGCTGTAAATTTTTGTTGATGCCAAATTACCAAATTAAAAAGGTATTCCTAATCCATTACCAGTTGTGTTAGTCCATTCTCACACTGCTATAAAGAACTACTTATGACTGGGTAATTTATGAAAAAAAAAAGAGGTTTAATTGACTTACAGTTCTGTAGTCTGTACAGGAAGCATGGTTGGGGAGGCCATAGAAAACTTACAATCATGGCAGAAGGGCAAAAGGGAAGCAAGCATCTTCTTCATATGATGGAGCAGGAGGAAGAGAGAACAAAGGGGGAACTGCCACACACTTTCAAACAACCAGATCTCATGAGAACTCCCTCACTATCACAAGAACAGCAAGGGAAAAAATCTGCCCCCATGATCCAATAACCTCCCACCAGGCCCCTTCTCCAACATTTGGAATTACAAGTCAACATGAGATTTGGGTGGAGACACACAGCCAAACCATATCATTCCATTCCTGGCTTCTCCCAAATCTCATGTCCTTCTCACATTGTAAAATACAATCATGCTTTCTCAACCATCCCTCAAGTCTTAACTCATTCTAGCATTAACTCACAAGTCCAAGTCCAAAGTCTTATCTGAGACAAGGTAAGTCCCTTCCACCTATAAGCCTGTAAAATCAAAAACAAGTTAGTTACTTCCAAGACACAAAGGGGGTACAAGCATTGGGTAAATATTCCCTTCCAAAAAAGAGAAATTGGCCAAAACAAAGGTGCTAAAGTCCCCATCCAAGTCCGAAACCCAGCAGGGCAGTCATTAAATCTTATGTCTCCAAAATAATCTCCTTTGACTCCATGTCTCATATCCAGGCCACACTGATGCAAGGGTTGGGCTCCCAGAGCGTTGGGCAGCTCAGCCCCTTTAGCTCTGTGGGACTCAGCTCCCACGGCTGCTGTCAAGGGCTGGTGTTTAGTGCCTGCAGCTTTTCCAGGTGCATGGTGCAAGCTATTGGTGGATCTACTATTCTGGGGTCTGGAAGATCATGGCCCTCTTCTTACAGCTCTACTAGGCAATGCCCCAGTGGGAATTCTGTGTGGGGGCTGCAACCCCATATTTCCCTTCCACACTGCCCTAGGAGAGGTTCTCCATGAGGGCTCTGCCCCTGAAACAGACTTCTGCCTGGACATCAAGGCATTTCTCTACAGCCTCTGAAACCTAGGTGAAGGCTCCCAAGCCTTAACTCTTTCCCTCTGTGCAATCACAGGCCTAACACCATATGTAAGCCACCAAAGCCTTGGGGCTTTCACTATCTGAAACAATGGCCTGACCTGTGGCTCCTTTTGGCCACAGCTGGAGCTGGGGATGCTGTAATGCAGGATGCCATGTCCTGAGACTGCACAGAGCAACGGAGCCCCGGGTCTGGCCCATGAAACCATTTTTACCCCAGGCCTCTAGGCCTGAGATGATAGGAGCTACTACAAAGGTCTCTGGAATGCCCTGGAGACATTTTCTCCATTGTCTTGGCTATTAACATTCAGCTCCTCCTTACTTATGCAAATTTCTGCACCTGGTTTGAATTTCTCCTGAGCAAATGGGTTTTTCTTTTCTACCACATGACCAGGCTGCAAATTTCCCAAACTTTTATGTTCTGCTTCCCTTTTAAGTATAAGTTTGAGTTTCAGGCCATTTATTTGTTTATGCAAATGAGCACTGGCTTTTAGAAGCAGCCAAGCTACATCCTGAATGCTTTGCTGCTTACAAATTTCTTCAGACAGATACCCTATAACATTTGTCTCAGGTTCAAAGTTCTACAGATCTCTAGAGCAGGGGCAAAATGCTGCCAGTCTCTTTGCTAAAGCATAGCAAGAGTGACCTTTACGCCAGTTCCCAATAAGTTTGTCATCTCCATATGCCAGTTCCCAATAAGTTCGTCATCTCCATCTGAGACCTCCTCAGCCTAGACTTCACTGTTCACATCTCTATCACCATTTTGGTCATGACCATTCAACAAGTCTCTAGGAAGTTTCAAATTTTTCCACATCTTCCTAGCCTCTTCTGAGCCCTCCAAACTGTTCAACCTCTGCCAGTTACTTAGTTCCAAAGTCACTTCCACATTTTCAGATATCTTCACAGCAATGCCCTGCTGCTCAGTACCAATTTTCTGTATTAGTCTGTTCTTGCTTTGCTATAAAGAAAGACCTATAAAGAACGAGGCTGGGTAATTTATGAAGAAAAGAGGTTTAACTGACTCACAATTCCACAGGCTGTACAGGAAGCACAGTTGGGAAGGCTTCAGGAAACTTACAGTCATGGTGGAAGGGCGAAGAGGAAGCAAGTACCTTCTTCCTGGAGAAGGAGGAAGTGCTACACACTTTCAAACAACCAGATCCCATGAGATCTCACTCACTATCAAGAGAACAGCAAGGGGAAATCTGCCCCAACGATCCAATCACCATCCACCAGGTCCCTCCTTCAACACTGGGAATTACAATTTGACATGAGATTTGGCTGGGGACACAGAGCCAAACCATACACCAGTTAACTAAGAATTAATGGGAGTTGAATTTTACTATTTTTTTCTGCAACAATTGATTGACCAAATGATTTCTCTCCTTTATCACTTAATGAGGTGAACTCCATTGATTTACCTTGAACTACATTAATTGTAGCAAATCAGAAACTGTTCCCTCTTTTTCTATTCTCTGTAAGAGTTTGTGTAAGATTGACACTATTTCTTCCTAAAATTTTTGTAAGAACTCACCAATGAAGCCACCTATGCTTTTGTGAGAATGGTTTTAATTTCAAGTTCAAATTACCTTTGTCAGCAAAGGAATATTTCTAGTTCTGTTTCTTACTGTGCTAGCTGTGGTAAGTTGTTTTTTTTCCCTAGAAAGTTGTCCATTGTTATTCCAACTGACAAATATATTGACCTAAAGTTAATAGTATTGTGTTATAAACATCTGTAAGATTTATAATTATGTAACTATTTTCAATTCTGAAAGCGGTTCCTTTTTTTCTCCTTTTTTCTCATAGAAGTGTTGTAGACATAGTTTCATAGAATTGAAATGTGGCTCCTATCAGGTAGGACTTTGTTTACACTGAAGTTTGGAAAATTCATGTCTGATTTTCCCTTCATGTCTGGTAATGACGATATTTCACTCATCTCAAAGATATAAACTAAAACCTAATGCTCACAGAGCTCACACTGGCTAATGTGTGTGAGAAAGGAAAAAGCAAACATCCTGGTTCTGGAAAGAGGCTCTGAGAATTATTTTAAATTAATGCTTTAGGGAACTGATGTGGTATTACCTTGCTGTGATGGATACACACAGTTAATAAGAAGATGGGCAAATAAAGCAAACTCCATGCCCAAAGACTATAAGGCTGTGGTATATGCAGGATTCTGTGATCTTCAGACCACAAAGAAGTATCACTCAATAACAGTATCCCTCAAATATAGGATCCTCAAAAAATGTAGCATACTCTTGGGCATGATTGTTCCACCTTCTCTTGTTTTTCTATGGACTCATCATAAGTGGGTGATTAAAATTATTATATCAATTGCAAAGAATTACTTAAGTTTTAACATCACATACAGAGGTTAATTTGAGAGAGGCTAGATTTGGTAGACTTATAACCAGCTTTCAAGCATTAAAGCACAGTATCATGAGTTGTACATGATATAAAGAAAAAAAATAGTTCCTGTTATTACTGAAAACTTGAATAAAAACAATGCTTGGCTTCAAAAGACAAACAAGATATTAGATGAAATTGAAGCCTGGCAAAGAGAATAAACCTGCCCAGCCAATCTTGAGTGGTAGAGAAAGTGAGAGTGATGTTAGAATTCATTTAAGAAGGACCACAGAATAAAACCTTCTATTGTCTTAAAGAATAAAAGATTACAGAAGCCAAAGTATACATGCATAATTAGAGGTGGGCAGGCACAATCTGAAAAGCAAGTGTGAAAGGTGGAGATGTAAAGGTTCAGATATATTAAGTGAATATGATTCTTAAGAACCAAAGGGAGAATAATGACAAGCAAAGAAAGAGGAAGAAAATATGGTCACATAAGGAATTAAGTTTACAGCAGAGGGTAACTGGGGAGACAGGTTGGGAAAGGCACAAAACATCTTTTTTAAGTGAAGATGGCTGATTATTATCTAATTCAGAACAAATATATAAACCTGACTTGTTGCTTATATGGAATAGCTAAAAGCCTTCTCTTCTCACATATTTATATGATTTCTATGTGGAAGGCAGTGAGTTAATATCACTGAGCTGGTGAATTATACAAAGGTTACTCAGCCATGGATCCTGCAATCAACAACTAAAATTTAATGGGTAAGGTTGAACAAAAGCTTTATTTGAGTGACACTTTTAAGAACTAGTCTCTCACAAGCATGTCTCCCAAATGTTGCTGACTTATTTTTATAAAAATTTTTAATTGATTGATTTGTTTATTTTAAAATTTTCTCATCTGGGTTATATTCCTAATTGGTGACCCTTAACCTTTCTCCTGGCTGAAAGTCCACCATGCCTAACTCATTAGGAGGCTTTTGTTATAGCTTTGCTACAATTCTAATATACTTGTGGAAAAAATGTATGATCATAAATGGTATATGAGATTTACTGTATAGCTAAAAATCATTGGTAGGACACAGGAAAAAGGGATTCTTTCCCAGTAGAGGAATCAGAAAAGTCTCCATGAGGCATAACTTGTGTCTTTAAGATTGAATAGCTTCAGGGCAATGAAAGACAGAAAGAAGGTGTTCAGAGCACAGAGAACACTTCAGCCAAGAGAGGACACACACAAAAGCCCTGAAGTGAGAGGAGGCACAGCCAGCCATGAGGGTCTGACAGAGGCCCCTTGAACCAGAATACAAACACAGAACTCAGTCCATGATGAGGATGCTGGGATAGGCAGGCATCACACCATGCCTGGCCTCTCAGAATGGTGGAAAACAGCCTCCATGTAGCTTCAAATCAATGAGAAGACACCCCCTGGGTTTTAAGGAAGGCTGGTGCCTTATTCATATTTGTGTTCTGAAAATACCATTTAATGTAAAAATGTAATGTAGAAAACAGGAAGGGATTGAGAGTGAACTACTAGAACTACTAGAAAAAGCAAAGCAAATTACATATGCAATTTAATTATTCAAGATATATTTGAATATGTACCAAGGCCAAGTCATGTGCTAGGTGTTACCAGAGTTATAAAAGAAGGAATGTATTTACACATACATGTGTGTGTATGTGTGTTTATATTAACATATATGTGGATATACACATATACAGATACTTAAATATACTTACACAAAGGAAACAACTTACACAATACTTAAAGGAAATAGCTTACATAAAGGAAATCTTAAAAATGATATGTATATTTGTGAGTGAATAACAAAAAGAATAGTATAGATCACAAAGACTATGAGAATATAGTAAAAGGGAGCATCAGAGTGTGCTAAAATATTTGGCCAACGCCTTATCAAAGAGATGGGATTTAAGAGTGAACTTCAAGAGGTTAGCAAACGTTCCAGTTACCTATTGTTGCATAACAAGCCACTCCAGAACAATATCAATCATTTCTTGTACTCATGATTCTGCAATCTGGGCATGGCTCAATAAAGCTGGTTTATCTTCAGCTGGGGAGAGTCCACTGGGCCTGGAAAATCAACCTCCAAAATAGCTTAATCACATGGCGGTCAAGTGGCTGTGCACTGTCAGCTGGGGACACAGATGGGATATTGGACAGTAGTCTTGTTCCCTTCCTCATGGACCTCCATACTTGGTTTCTTCATCTTCCCCAGAGTATGTTGGCTTCAGAATAGTCAGTTATGTCACATGGTGACTCAGTCATTCAAGAGCAAGTATCTGAAGTAGTTAGGTGTCTTAAGGTTAACCCAGAAATTTATGTGGCATTATTTCTGTCATATTCTATCAGTTAAACAGTCACAGAGGCCACTTCTAGTTCAAATGGAAGAAACAAATCCCCACCTCTCAATGGAAGGAGCATCAAAGAATTTGCAGCCATCTCTAATCTACCATAAGAGAATGCACACAGATTAGATGGATATAGAAACTATTCAAGGTCAGGGCACAGGAGATGATTTCCACAATCAGCAATAATAACTGAGATCCAAGGAGTAATTAATATTTGCCAGACACGGTAAAATATGCTTTGTAGGAATTATACAATTTATTCATTACCACCATCTTATGAGGTAAGAATTAGCATACTCATGTCACAGATGGAGAAACTACAGCTTAGACAGAAGAAGGAACTTGTCCACCATCACAGACCTGATAAGGAGCAGAGCCTGTGTTTGAAATGAGAGTCTGACTTAGAGTTTTAATGATTTAGTCACTATGTCATGCTGATTGGTTAAAATGGAACAAAAATTTGAAATCTTTTGTGAGATAGGTAAATATTTTCACCTATTAACTACATACTTAAATTGAAATCACTGCATGTGTCAGCATTTGGGGAAGTAATAAGACTCTCTTAACAATGTAGAATTGCCTCTGACAATTTCATTTTTTGATAGTTAGAAGCTTATTGATTTCAATATACAAGTTCATTGAATTGTAAATAGATGTTTATAACCAGCATTGCCATATCAATAATTCCATTATAAGTTCATAGTTTAACTTCATATTTGAATAAAAACAATGAGTTCTTAAGCTTAACTAAATTAGATTTAATGTTAGTATTCATGTGACTCAAACTCTTTTGAATACAAATTACACAGGACACAGACAAAACCATTATCTTTTTACTCTTTATCATTGATTATTTCAACACAAATGTGGTAACTTCAGGATAGTTCTCCAGGTAGCCTTAGACTGGCCCAGCTCTCCCCAATTTCTCACTTGTAGCTCTCAAAAATAACTGTAGAATATTCTAAAAATCCCACATCCTGAGATAAGGAAAAACTGGCTAGAAGAGCTCAGGCTCTGTTCTAGTACCCTCTCCCCATGCCCCACTCCCAGATACAGGATTTCTTTCAGTGCTTTAGTCCAGAGTGTCTTAATGCCCCAGGATATAAAACCCGGGGCAGGTTGCTTTTCTGGGTCCTTCAGTTGCAGTGCAAGTGTCACGTGCCCAGAGGAGACTCCATCTGCCGTGGGCAGGTTTCCTGAGCCTTGGACTGGCTGGCAATGAATCCTAGGCTCCTGTGTCCCTTGTTACCTACCTGTAAGGAAACTGCTTCATGCAGCTTGTTATGTGTGTAGGTGTTCTGTCTTAACAAACTCAAACAACTTGGTAACCAGCACACAATACTGGTTTACAGTAACCACTAATTTCCTCAGAAGCAGTAAACTTTTAGAATTTTTCAATTTAATTATGGTAAGAATAGACATGTAAAAACAAAGTGTAATAATAAAAATATGACTAAAATATAATACATGTATAGTGTTTGAATTGTATATTCTTAACATAAAAATATTATTTAATTGTTAGCTAAATGTGACATGGGAGCTAAAAATGTTTCTAATAGCTATCAACTCACTTTTTTGTTGTCTTTATCATTATGGCTTATCTGAGGGACCCTAAGAAATTTAATCCAAAATAGAAGTGTATAATTTTAGACTGACATTTGTATTCTATTCTATTTATTAATACTAAAGCACCTCCTGATTCACTTCAGAGGACAGTAACATTTTGATGGGAAATTCATACAGCATGATTCTTAACTTCACTCTGTATTTTATCTATTTGGTGATATTAATATTTTGTAATAAAATGGCATTTCTAACACTAAGATAAATCATATTTCCAGCTAATCCTCAGAACACTCATTGGAGCCAGCTTTCTGATAAATATAGGCTTTCAATTTCTAAAAGAAAAGAACAGAGAATTTAAGCCATTGAACAAAGATGGTGACTAATACCTGTTCTGTTCTTAGGGCATCAGATAAACTATTCCAAAGGTGAGGAAATGGAACCTTCAGGATGGTTTAGGAAACAACTCTGGTAGGGCAAATTTGAGTCTCTTTCATTTCCTTCAGTCTGCCTGTGAAACACTCATACAAACTCCAATTTGAGAAGGACACACTGCCAAGCATGACCTAGAATCCTCTGGAAGTAAGGGAAATATATTTTTGGCTAACAGCCATTTAGTTGATTATCATGTTTATTACGTATAGCCCTTGGCCAAAATAAGCTAATTCTCATGTACCTACCTCATCTTTTTAAAGATCCAACATTCAAACTGATATAAAAATAAAGCACAGTGGTGTGTGTCTGTAGTCCCAGGGACTGGAAAGGCTGAGGTGTAAGGAAGGATAGCTTAAGCCCAGGATTTTGAGGCTGCAGTGAGCTATGATGGCACCACTGCACTACAGCTCCTGTGACAGAACGAGACCCTGTCTTTTTTTTTTTTTTTAAACAGAGTGTTTCCTCTGTCGCCCAGCCTGGAGTGCAATGGCGCTATCTCCGCTCACTGCAGGCTCCGCCTCCTGGGTTCAAGCGGTTCTCTTGCCTCAACCTCCCGAGTAGCTGGGAAATTTTTGTATTTTTAGTAGAGATGGGGTTTCCCCCTGTTGGCCAGGCTGGTCTCGAACTCCTGACCTTAGGTGATCCACCCACCTCAGCCTCCCAAAGTGCTGAGATTACAGGCATGAGCCACAGTGCCCGGTTATGAGAGAGAGAAAGAGAGAGAGGAAGAGAAAAGGAGGAGGAGAGGAGAGGAGGGGAGGGGAGGGGAGGGGAGGGGAGGGGAGGGGAGGGGAGGAGAGGAGAAGAGAAATTCCACCATATGAAACCTGTAAGCTCCAATACAAGTAACTCCCACAGATGTGATACTTGTGGGCAGCCATCACTGCAGTGGTCTTGGTACGACTAAAAGCAGCCATAATAAAGACTACAACAAAAAGTAATGACTCAAGTGAGAATAGGGACCTACCCCTAAGTCTTTATGAAGGATTATTAGTGATGGTGTCTATACAGATATGAGTATAGACACAGTGCTCTTGTAGCTTAATATATCATTGGCCTCAGTGGAGCCTTTAGCATCTGCCACACTGGGTTAACTCAATAGGAAAGGAAGGTAATTTAGAAAGCAGTAGAAATCTCTATATTGTTGCTGTGTATTCTCCCTTTCACCCCCCAAAATCACACAGACTATGAAGTCATCTGTGGCTACCTAGATTCTGCCAAATTCTTCTTTAACTCATTTATTGCTAAAGAGGAGCTAATCTAATTGCAACTCAGATGACTTGGAAAGAGAAGCAAGAGTCATTCTGCATCCAGGAGATGGTAAATAAGAAGATCACAAAGGAGAAATTAAGTGATGAGAAAATAAATGTATACTCATGCAAAACAATGCGTAAGAACAATGAATTAGCCAGTCTTTTGTGGTATACTAGATGGCACACAGGCTTTGAATTTAACGTTATTTATTTTTGTAAAAATCATATGATGTCCTGGACTAGGCATGCAGGAGCATTAGCTTCAGTGAGACAAAACAAGTGAAAGAGCTTCTTTCCCAGGAGATGTTTGTGTTGTTGTTGTTTGCTTAAGTCTGTGTTTATCTCAGAGGCTCCAGCGGGAGAGAGGAGAGCAAGCACGAAAGGGAGAATGATACGTGAGGAATTCCTTGCATTTGAGGAAGATGAGGTGGCCAAAGAGACCTGAGCAAAGAGCAGGTTAGTCACCTTGAATCAAAAACTTCTATTCCAGTCCGGCGTGGTGGCTCACGCCTGGAATTCCAGCACTGTGGGAGGCTGAGGCAGGAGGATCGCTTGAGCCCAGGAGGTGAAGGCTGCAGTGAGCCGTGAGTGTGTGATGCACTCCAGAGCCTGGGCAACAGGGAACAGGGTGAGGCTTTGACTAAAAAAATAAAAATAATAAAATAAAAAGCAAGCCCTCTCCTCCTAGAAAAACCAAAACATAATAGAAACAAGCTTTTCCTATTTTTTTCTTCCTTCTTTTTTTCCCCCATATATTGGACTTAAATTTCAAATTCTCTCTATTTTCCTTGATCCCCACAGAGCTTAACACAGCCCCACAGACCCACAGGTGGAAGACTTGCAATGTACACTGAGAGATGAGTAGAGATTTTTGTTTCATGGAAAGTTATCATGTAGGTTTCAATTAAAAAATAATAAGCGGCCGGGCGCGGTGGCTCACGCCTGTAATCCCAGCACTTTGGGAGGCCGAGGCGGGCGGATCACGAGGTCAGGAGATCTTGACCATCCTGGCTAATACGGTGAAACCCTGTCTCTACTGAAAATACAAGACATTAGCCGGGCGTAGTGGCGGGCGCCTGTAGTCCCAGCTACTCGGGAGGCTGAGGCAGGAGAATGGCGTGAACCCGGGGGGCGGAGCTTGCAGTGAGCCGAGATCGCGCCACCGCACTCCAGCCTGGGCGACAGAGCGAGACTCCGTCTCAAAAAAAAAAACAAAAAAACCAAGCCTATGTTCCTCATAATCTCATTCAATTATGTCTTACGGTTTCCTTTCATGGAGAAGACATCTTCTGTGGCACCTCTTGGTGTTATGAATTAATGTAATTCACTCTCTGTTAAATATGGTAGCTTCAAGTTGAAAATGTATCTCTAATGGCATATAATTTAGTCTCTCAAAGCCTATGAAATACCAAAGAGGGGGAAACTGACCCTCTGCCCTGCTATTGAAGAAAATGCACACTATTTGATCAGCCAGAGGAGAGTGCAGCATTTATTTAGTGACCTGTGAACCTCTCTATTATCTGCTTTATTTTAAGGTGGAAAAACCACAGCTTACTTTGGAGTTCTTTATAGCTAGAGTTGGCCTGCCCTAAAGCACTAAATTCCTCTGAACTCACTGTCCTTATATGTCAAATGGAATAGACTGCAGGGTTGATTATAAATATAATAATGTATCTGGAATACAGAGAACCATGTAACATGGTGAGCATTTGATAGATTTTTGTGGTTGGCATTATTTCTCTTCTATTAGTTAACTACAATGTTATCAGGGAAATGAAAGAAAGATAATCTTATTTGTATCTCTTTGTTTCTTCTACTCAATAATTTTGTATGCGTGTGTCTGTACATGACATGTCCTTCCACCCTACTCTACCACCAGCCTGCACCCCATACGTGTCTCTTGTTAAAAATTAGTATTCAGAGCAAAGTGAACACACTCATTTATCAAGAACCACAGTTCACACTCCAAAATAAATAGAAGAGTAAAGTCTGTAGGGAGAAAGGGAAGAAATGAGGGTTTCAATCCATCTCCCCTGAGCAATAAAATTTCATCTATTAAAAAAAACATATTTACTACACCATGTTGTCAGGAAGATCTAGCTATATTATTTTTCCCATGACATATGCATCAAATCTTGTGAAACAAACATTTTTATATAAAGTAAACGTATCAGTAAAGTACACTAAGTATATTGCCATTGGTATTAGTCAAGATCCTTGACCCATTCTTTACCTACTGAAGAAATGTTTTCAAGATAATATTCAACTACTTTGAAGATGTCTGACAAAAATCTATTGAATTAAATTCTCCCAGTTATGTTCATTGAGGTCCTTATCTTAATCTTAGTGCTTTATTATAATTGTATAGCTACAAATCTGACTACAAGTATAGTTTCAGACAGACTATTTCATTTTGGGAAAGCAAATGATAAAATTTATACGATTTTATTTTTAAGTGCTTCTGCCTATAGATTTACAATATATTAGCTTTCCATGAGTTTGTAGAAAACACTTAATTATGTATATAGTTCCCTGAGAAAGTTCGTTGTGATTTTTCGTTCATTTTGGGTAGGTTATATGATTTTTATTTCTCCATGAAATGGACTGGGATCCTCTCACTCAGATGTCCATGATTTATTACTGACTGAAGCAGCTTAGATTGGTAAGTTCACAAGCTGGTTCTCTTTAATATCCTATTGTGCATGCCATATGGGCCTGCTGTTTTCCATGCAATCCAGTTTTTCAAATATTCCCTCACCTATTTTTTTAAAAGATATGCTGCTATTTTAGTAAGCTCTTCATTACCTCTGATTATTGTTTTTGTGTTTATTTTCCTTGTTATAAGATATAGAGTAGAAAAATAAAAAGTCTAAATCAATATCCTAGACATTTTCAAGCAGTATCATTAGTTTCATTGATTTATGTTTAGGGACTAGTTTATTTCCTTCCATGAAACTACATCTCTAGAAATACTTTGATAGCATCCATGGAAGTTACCTTCCTACCTTCTTGTTCTAACACAATTAGAAATAACAAATGGTGTTTTCTATTTTCTATGTCTAATGCAAACTACTTTTTGCTTATAGACTAATGGACACAGTGCTCAGTCCTTGAGTCAAAAGATAATACTCCATGTTCTTACACTCTCATTTGTCATAGTGGCTAGTCTATGTTGCTCACAAGAAAGCTGAATATAGTCTCACAATGCCCCAGCCAAGTTCCATTTCCAGAGCAGTGAATCATTTCTATTCCTTTCACTATTACCTTGAAATATATAATAAATAGAATAGAACAGAATAATATAATACTTCTGAAGCCATGACCAGTCTGAAATCAGTATCAAATTTAAAGAATTATACCTCCCCAAATACAATTCTACCCTTTAATTCACATTTCACCAGCAGATGTTTCACAGCCACACATATTAAAAATGGTCTAACTTTTTGATTACCTAATATCCCCACAGTCTGTGGAAGCATCCCATTCTGTTTACAACACTATTCTGTCTCACCATTGTGCACTCTTGGGCTGTACCTTCTTGCCTAATAACACCCTAAAACATCAAACCCTCTCTTCCCCTGCATACCTGTGGCATGTAGATATTCTAGTTCATCTTTAACTCTTATCAATTATTTCATGAAAATAAAACTGTTCTCTCCACTCTTTGCACCACCAAAAAATAGGTGAAGTAGTGACATCAGCAAGATGGCATAATAGGACTTTTCAGCACTCCTCTCCGTGCAGAAACATCAATTTGAACAGCTATTCATGTACAACAATACCTTCACAGAGCTAAGAAACCAGGTAAGAGATTACAGCACCTGGGTATAGCACAGAAATAAGAAAAGGCACACTGAAGAGGGTAGGAAGGACAGTTGCACATTACACACGTCAACCCTTCTCCAACCTTTGCAGCATAGTACAGAGAGAAATACCTACTTTGCAGGAAAGAGGAGGGAAGTGAGCACCCAATTTTGCTCAGACCATAACACTAGGCTCACACCAGTGAAATCCAGAGCCAGTCAGGCCCTCATGGCCCAGGTTCCTGGTTAGCACTTGTAGACTGAGTGACCAGGCCCCTACAATGCCAGGCCAGAACCTGGATAGCTATTTCTCCAAAGAAGACTTAGGGAACATCACACACCCGGGCCTGTTGGGGGGTAGGGGCAAGGGGAGGGATAACATTAGGACAAATACCTAATGCATGCAGAACTTAAAACCTAGATGACGGGTTGATGGGTGCAGCAAGCCACCATGGCACATGTATACCTATGTAACAAACCTGCACGTTCTGCACGTGTATTCCAGGACTTAAAGTATAATAAAAAAAAAAAAAAGAAGAAGACTTAGAAATGGCCAACAGGTATATAACAAACTGCTCAACATCACTAACTATCAGGGAAATGCAAATTAAAACCACAATGAGATGTCACCTCACACATGTTGGAATGGCTATTATCAAATTATCAAAAAGACAAAAGATAACAAGTGTTGATGAGGATGTGAAGAAAAGGGACACCTTGTACACTGTTGGTGGAAATGTAAATTAGTATAGCCATTGTGAAAAACAATACAGAGATTCCTCAAAAGATTAAAAATAGAACCACCACATGATCTCACAATACCACTACTTGGTATCTATTCAAAGTAAAAGAAATCAGTATATCAAAGGGATCCTTGCGCCCTGATGTTTATTGCAGCACTATTCACAATATCCAAGATATTGAATCCACTTAAGTGTCCATCAATGAATAAACAGATAAAGAAAATTTGTTATATACCCACAATGGAATATTCAGCCTTACAACACAGCCTCCCTTTCCATCCCAGTTCTTACACCCTCTATTATTTACAGGACCTCATTCCTAGCCATTTGTCAGCAAATCCCAATTTATCTGTTTGCTGATAAGATTTAAGATGTTAGGGGCAGGGTGTGGTGGCTCACGCCTGTAATCCCAGCACTTTGGGAGGCCGAGGCAGGCAGATCACGAGGTCAGGAGATCGAGACCATCCTGGCTAACATGGTGAAACCCCGTCTCTACTAAAAATACAAAAAATTAGCCGGGCGTGGTGGTGGGTGCCTGCAGTCCCAGCTACTCGGGAGGCTGAGGCAGGAGAATGGCGTGAACCCGGGAGGCGGAGCTTGCAGTGAGCAGAGATCGCACCACCGCACTCCAGCCTGGGCGACAGAGCAAGACTCCGTTGTAAAAAAAAAAAAAAAGAAAAAAAAAAGATTTAAGATGTTACCATCCCAACATAATATGAAACTCTTAAAGTTCATGGAGACCCCTTCAGGACCCAAAGATGTTCATTTTTGATGGTGGGATATTAAAAATCATAGGTATGAAGGGAATATGGAATTTCAAAGCTGGTCTGTTTCACGACCCTCTTTTGATGCATTAGAAAAATTAAGATCCAGAGAGAGGAAGAGGCTTGATCAGATCCACGCAATAAGTCAGTGACTGACCAAGGCCACTACACATGTCAGATCCAAGGGCTCCTTGCCCATTCAGATCATAACTTATAGATGCCCATGCAGTCAGCTTGAAAGTTAACCTTGACCCCAGAGGTCTTTGTGATGCTTGGCAAACATACTGGCTTGCCCTCTAAGCTGAGGGGATAGGAAGCAGGTGTCGGTTTTGTTAATATTGTGAGGGATCCCAAAGGTTATATGAACCAATTCCATAATATAACAACTTTCTGAGAGGAAGTGGTAGGAGAAAGAAAGTGAGGAAGGTTAAAGATACTTGTTCCTAAATTTGTATTTAAAACCAGTGAGTTTCAAATCTGGGCTATGACTCAGAAACACCTGTAACTATATTCACAAACTAGGGTAACTAGGGGAATTACTTTAAGGTGGGTTATAAACATAAAAGCTAAAACTATAAAGTCTCTAGAAGAAAACACAGGACAAAATCTTTGCCATCTGGGGTTGGCAAAGATTTCTTAATAGGATGCAGAAACAGACAGCTCTATGAAAAAAGAGAAAACTTAGACTTAATTGTACTTATCCAAAACACTATTAGGAACGTCAACTGGCAAGCTACAGAGGAGGAGAACATATTTGCAAAACATACATTTGACAAAGGACATATCCAAGATGTACAGTGAACTCATAAAACTCGAAAATATAAAGAACAGTCTAACTGAAACATGAACAAAAGACTTGAGGAGACGTCTCACAAAAGAAGGTTGCCCAGTAAACACATGACCAGGTGCTCAACATCATTAAATATCAGGAAAATGCAACCAAATTCTCTTATATAATTAGTGGGAGTGTAAGGAAAATAGCACAGCCATTTTGGACAAAGGCTTGGCAGTTTCTTGTTTAACAGCAAACAAATAAATAAAAAACTACCCTAAAATCCAGCAGTTCCACACCTAGGTATTTGTCTAAGAGAAATGAAAACACATGTCCTCAAAAAGACTTGCACAGAAACGTTTGGGTTTTTGTTAGTTTTTTATTAATTGAAAAATAAATGTAAGGAATAGAAGTCTCTCAATTTATTCCACTGACATTTTATCCCATAAATCTAATCTTTTTTTTTTTTTTTTTTTGAGACAGAGTCTCTCTCTGTCACCCAGGCTGGAGTGCAGTGGCTCGATCTTGGCTCACTGCAAGCTCCGCCTCCCGGGTTGACACCATTCTCCTGCCCTTAGCCTTCCCAGTAGCTGGGACTACAGGCGCCTGCCACCACACCTGGCTAATTTTGGGATTTTTTTTTTTTTTATTAAAGTCTTAGGGTACATGTGCACAACGTGCAGGTTAGTTACATATGTATACATGTGCCATGCTGGTGTGCTGCACCCATTAACTCGTCATTTAGCATTAGGTATATCTCCTAATGCTATCCCTCCCCGCTCCCCCAACCCCACAACAGTCCCCAGAGTGTGATGTTCCCCTTCCTGTGTCCATGTGTTCTCATTGTTCAATTCCCATCTATGAGTGAGAACATGCGGTTTTTGGTTTTTTGTCCTTGCGATAGTTTACTGAGAATGATGATTTCCAATTTCATCCATGTCCCTACAAAGGACATGAACTCATCATTTTTTATGGCTGCATAGTATTCCACGGTGTATAAGTGCCACATTTTCTTAATCCAGTCTATCATTGTTGGACATTTGGGTTGGTTCCAAGTCTTTGCTATTGTGAATAGTGCCGCAATAAACATACGTGTGCATGTGTCTTTATAGCAGCATGATTTATAGTCCTTTGGGTATATACCCAGTAATGGGATGGCTGGGTCAAATGACATTTCTAGTTCTAGATCCCTGAGGAATCGCCACACTGACTTCCACAATGGTTGAACTAGTTTACAGTCCCACCAACAGTGTCAAAGTGTTCCTATTTCTCCACATCCTCTCCAGCACCTGTTGTTTCCTGACTTTTTAATGACTGCCATTCTAACTGGTGTGAGATGGTATCTCACTGTGGTTTTGATTTGCATTTCTCTGATGGCCAGTGATGATGAGCATTTTATCATGCATTTTTTGGCTGCATAAATGTCTTCTTTTGAGAAGTGTCTGTTCATATCCTTTGCCCACTTTTTGATGGGGTTGTTTGTTTTTTTCTTGTAAATTTGTTTGAGTTCATTGTAGGTTCTGGATATTAGCCCTTTGTCAGATGAGTAGGTTGCGAAAATTTTCTCCCATTTTGTAGGTTGCCTGTTCACTCTGATGGTAGTTTCTTTTGCTGTGCAGAAGCTCTTTAGTTTAATTAGATCCCATTTGTCAATTTTGTCTTTTGTTGCCATTGCTTTTGGTGTTTTAGACATGAAGTCCTTGCCCATGCCTATGTCCTGAATGGTAATGCCTAGGTTTTCTTCTAGGGTTTTCATGGTTTTAGGTCTAACGTTTAAGTCTTTAATCCATCTTGAATTGATTTTTGTATAAGGTGTAAGGAAGGGATCCAGTTTCAGCTTTCTCCATATGGCTAGCCAGTTTTCCCAGCACCATTTATTAAATAGGGAATCCTTTCCCCATTGCTTGTTTTTCTCAGGTTTGTCAAAGATCAGATAGTTGTAGATATGCGGCGTTATTTCTGAGGGCTCTGTTCTGTTCCATTGATCTATATCTCTGTTTTGGTACCAGTACCATGCTGTTTTGGTTACTATAGCCTTGTAGTATAGTTTGAAGTCAGGTAGTGTGATGCCTCCAGCTTTGTTCTTTTGGCTTAGGATTGACTTGGTGATGAGGGCTCTTTTTTGGTTCCATATGAACTTTAAAGTGGTTTTTTCCAATTCTGTGAAGAAAGTCATTGGTAGCTTGATGGGGATGGCATTGAATCTGTAAATTACCTTGGGCAGTATGGCCATTTTCACAATATTGATTCTTCCTACCCATGAGTTTTTGTATTTTTAGTAGAGACGGGGTTTGACTGTGTTAGTCAGGATGGTCTCGATCTCCTGACCTCCTAATCCGCCCGTCTCGGCCTCCCAAAGTGCTGGGATTACAGGCGTGAGCCACCGCGCCTGGCCCCATAAATCTAATCTTTTAAAAATTAACTATCAGTGAATATTTTATCACAAGAACTAGCAGATAAAATATGAATTAATGAGTAGCAAATTAATGTTAATATTAATCTAGAAGTAGTTGATCATACTAAGATGCTTATTCTTTTTCTGGACATATGTTTTTATTAATATAATTTAATGTTATATACATATAACACAAATATATAATATATAATATAGTTATGCCATCAAATATATAATATAGTGATGCCATCAGATTTGTTTTGGTCCAAAATTAAATATGTCAATAATGAAAATGGATTTGCAGAAATTCTAATTCCACAGTTTATCCCTGAGTTTCAGCTCTTGTGTAGGATCAGATTTTTACTGTATTATTTTAATTATATGTACCTAAAATGGAACATGGGACTTAACAGAATACGCAGGAAGAGGTTATCAAAAATCAGAGACAAGACCCTAAACTGAACTCAAGGACTCCTGGCTGCACTGGGGCTCAATAGATGGCTCTAGGAGCCACTCCAGACCATCAAGGTAAGGGTGGAACCAGCCCAATGAGACACAACCAGCATTAACGATGAGCTCAGGGAGGAAGCCTATTGATGCCCAGCAAGGTATGCAGAATTAGAAAAGATAAGGTACTGCCGTTGATCACTTCCCAAAGAGTGCAACAGATAACGCAGAAGACCTGAGGCAACACCAAAGGCTACACAGTAGCCATTTAAAATTAAGTAGATGAGTTGCTTTGGCTTCAGTTTATTGGTCAACAAGCTGGGATAATTATATTAATATTTTCTGTGCCAAAAACAAATGGTTGTCATAAAGATGAAATAACCCAATGAATTTGAAATTTTTAATATTTTTTATGAAATTGATAATAGGAAGAATAAGAATAAATGGGACTGCCTAACAAAGAAGAGTAATTAAGCTAGAAAGCAAGGAAGAGATTCTGTGTAAAGCTATGAATTATTCTTTATGCATTGAATACCCATGATTTTGTACTTATCTCAAGATTATTTTAGGAATCACTGTCTCTTAGGGTGTATTCTCATGAGCAAGGGTATTTAGAAGTAGGAATATGATATTTTATCTTCACAAACAATCTATAGCCCTTGAAAAAATATGTTAAAGGATTTTGTTTCTTTCTAATGAAGAGTAGACTAATGACTCTGAAGTAGGTTTGTGGCATGATGAAAGAGGGAATACAGATCTTTAAGATGAGCAATGTAAAAAACACAAGAGTAAATAATGACTAGTTTTGTGTAAGAAGAAAAAAAGAGAGATTAATAATTTACTTCATTTTGTTTGGTTTAATAAGAAAAATATCAAAACATCACATCAAAGTAGTCGTTTCAAATCCAACTTCACTTCAAGCACTGATAATAATTTATAGGCCAGAGGAAGAGTTATGAACTGCATGGATTATTTAAAAGGCACAATATTTTCTCTTTGCTTTCCTACTCAAAAACAAGGACAGTTTTCAAAGAGAAGAGAGAAAGAGTTGTAGAAAATGCTATAACAAGACAAATTGTAAAACAAAAACAAAACAAGTTCTACTCAGTTATTAAATAAAATTTAAACCAACCAAAAAAAATATTTAAAATGACCTAACTCCCCACCCTCCACCACTGGTTTTATAAAATTATATAGCCTACATTTCTTTGACAGTCCATCAAATGAATAAAAATATGCCTCATTTTAGCAGAAGAAAATTCTAAAGCAGTACATAATGGCATTTCACTGCATGAATTAAGTAGGATTATAAAGTCTTTACACTTTAGGAAAAGCCCTTAAACACGTGGGATTCCCTCAGTTAACTGGAAAACTAATCTCAGGGTCTATGCATGAAATCGCCTTACTAATCTCAGCTGGCCCTTTCTCATTGTTCCTAGACCAAAAATATTTAAATGTGCCTTGTTTTACAATCAAGTTTTGGCTCTGCTTCTACTGGGTTATTTGCTCCCAGCTTAGCTGCTGCTGTTCTCTTGCCGCAGTAATAATGCTTGTAAAATTTGTAGAAAGAAAACAGGACCACAATTTATAAGATTTAGTCGATAATTTCTATCTACTAGTAAGGCTGTATGTTGTAGCAGAAAGAGTGAATTTAAATTATGGTTAGACTATTTATTACCTGCATGAACTTGGGAATTTACTTAAATTCTCTGAACTTCATTTCCACATCTGAGAGTTGCTGTAAGAATTAGAAACAGTATGTTCAAATTGTCTTATGCAATGCCTGGTGCATTTTAGGTATAAAATAAATGGTTTCATTATATTTTATTGTATTTCTACAATTAAGTTAAAAACTCACAGTTTGGAACTATTACGTCTAATTAAAATTATGAAATCTTCAAACTTTCTAATAGAGCACACTAAAATATTTTCACATTCATTATCACTATTGCTTCTCACAAAACAACCTACAAGGCAGACAAGATGGGTGTTATTTAATTAACTTATTTATGTTTAGAATTGTTGTTAAAAATTTCAACTTTTATTTTAGATTTAGAGGGCATATGTGCAGCTTTGTTACATGGGTATATTTCATGATACGGAGGTACCGGATATGCATGATACCATCACACATAGAATGAACACAGTACCCAACAGTTAGCGTCTCAACCCTCGCTTCCCTTCCTCCCTTCCCCATCTAGTAGTCCCCAGTGTCTACTGTCACCATCTTTATGTCCAAAAGTACCCAAAGTTTAGCTCCCACTTATAAGTGTGAACATGCAGTATTTGGTTTTCTGTTTCTGAGTTATTTTGCTTAGAAGAATGGCCTCCAGCTGCATTCATGTTGCTGCAAAGTACATGATTTAATTCTTTTTAATGGCTGCATAGTATTCCACAGTGTATATATACCACATTTTATTTATCCAATTCATTGTTGATGGATACCTAGGTTAATTCCATGTCTTTGCTATTGTGAATAGTGATGTGATGAACACATAAGTGCATGTCATTTTGATAAAATTATTTATTTTCTTTTGGATATAACCTAGTAATGGGATTGCTGGGTTGACTTATAACTCTATTTTAACTTCTCTGAGAAATCTCTAAACTGCTTTCCATAGTGGCCAAACCAATTTACATTCCCATCCCTTTTCTCTGCAGCCTCCCCAGCATCTGTCCTTTTGTTGACTTTTTAATAATTGCCATTCTGGCTGGTGTGAGATGGTACTGCATTATGGTTTTGATTTGCATTTCTCTGATGACTAATAATGTTGAGCATTTGTTCATGTTTGTTGGTTGCATGTTTGTCTTCTTTTGAGAAGTGTCTGTGTCCTTTGCCTACTTGTTATTGGGTTGTTTGTTGTTTACTTATTTAATTGTTTAAGTCTTTATAAATTCTGCATATTAGACCTATTTGGCTCTTTTTTGGTTCCATATGAATGTTAGAATAGTTTTTTCTAATTCTGTGAAAAATGATGCTGGTAGTCTGATAGGAATACCATTGAATCTGTAGATTGCTTTGGGTAGTATGGCCATTTTAATGATATTGATTCTTCCAATCCATAAGCATAGAATGTTTTTCCTTTTGTTTGTATAATTTATGATTTCTTGTGTTGCTCTTATAAATGGGAATACACTCTTGATTTCGCTCTCAGCTTGAACATTATTGGTGTATAAAAATGCTGTGGATTTTTACATCTTGACTTTGTATCCTGAAACTTTACTGAAGTCATTTATCAGCTCCAGGAATGTTTTGGTAGAGTATTTATCATCATATCATCAGTGAAGAGAGACAGTGTGACTTCCTCTTTTCCTATTTGGATGCCTTATATTTCTTTCTCTTGCCTGATTGCTCTGCATGGATTTCCAGTATTATGTTGAATAGGAGTGGTGAAAGTGAGCATCCTTGTCTTGTTCTAGTTCTCAAGAGGAATGTTCCCAGCTTTTGCCTGTTCAGTGTGATGTTGTTATTTCATTTTAAGAATAAGGAAACGAGGATTCAATGAGTTGTTCAAATAGCTGGTATATAGTGGATCAAGGAAGTAAATCTATATGTATGGCATTGAGCTTACTGTATTATGTTGCTGGGAATAGGAGAAAGCTAAGGGTTTTATGGTCTTCTCCCCTAAAATTGTCCTCATGTTAGTTGATGGCAACTCTGTCCTTTCATGTAGCCAAAGTCAAAACTTTTGGAGTTTTCATTCTTCTCTATCATACTACCTTATCTCACATTATCTCAATCAATAATTTTGGGGGGGTTTTCTTCACAATATATTCAGATTTGTACTAATTCTTACTACCAACACTGGTCATCTTTCTCCTGAATAACTCTCACATTTCTACTACCCTATACCCTCAACCACAGTCAATTATCAACACGGCAGCCAGAATGACTCCTTGATAATATAAGATGATGTAACTCTTCTCTCAAAATCCTCTGATGACTTTCCATTTGCCTCAGAGTAAACAGCAAAGTCTTTATAACAGTCCACAAGACTACATGTCCTGACTCCAGATAATTATTTGCTCTCCCTCTCATGTTCTCCACTACAGTCCCACACCAATTGAACTTACCCTGAGAGCTCACATGAGGCACTCCTGGGATACACTTTCCCCAAACAGTATCATGGTCAATTTCCTTACCTTCTTCAAGTCTTTGCTAAAATGTCACCCCTCAATGAGGCTTATCCCCGACCTCCCAATTTAACATTAGAAATTATCTCCCAGTACTTCAGATCTTCTTACCCTGATCTATTAATCTTTCTTTCCATCATATCTTTTTTCTTCTAATACTCTGTATAATTTGTTTATTAATTGAGTCCATTACATTCTTGCTCCCCCTGCCATTAAAATTTAGGTTCCATGAGGTTAAGGAATTTTTGCCTAACAAGTGCAAACAGCATAGACAAGTGCCTATCACATAAATATGTGTTGTCTAAATGAATCCTGCCTTCTGCCTGCCATCTCACTTTAGAACAAAACCTTGACCACTTCCTCCCTAAACACACCACATGTACACATATACATGCACATACACATGCACATATACATACAAATGCACATGCACACACACACATGCATATACACATACACATATGCATACACATACACACATGCACACTCACACACAAATGCACACACACATCCACATGCACATGTTTGATTGCTTTTAACAGATCTACTCTTCCTGGCCAGTACACTATGGCTCAGTGTTTCTCAAAATATTGTCCATGTATCATGAGAATGAAATTTACAAAGGATTGTTGATTAATAGCATAGATCCCGAGCTCTCTCCTAGAAATGCAAAGTTAGAATTTCTGGGGCTGGGTCATATTAGTAGGATCCCTTTGCAGACTAGAATTGAAGAAAATTGGCTAGTCTTTTCTTTTTTCCCCTTTTTCTTTCCTCCGTCTGAGCTGTAGTTTTCCTTGAAAAAAGAAAAAAAATCTGTGAAAACAAACATCCCCTAAAGCGCCAGTAATTGAAACAGGGGAATGTGTTCTCACCTTCTGTAGGCCACTCTGGAAAAGAAAAAGCACTGATATGAGTCAGTGTCAAGATGTTAAAGTTGAAATATTTTGTTTCATGACAGAGGTTAAAAATGCAGCCACCGTGTCACATGGCCTTTTAAAGTAATTTGTTTGCATTTCTCTTGTTTTCTGTCCTACTTGTTTGGAGTAACTCTGTCTCATGGAACAGATAAGAGTTATCTGACCTCCTCTATCCCTCCCTATTGTCATAATCACCGAGGAAAACCTACAAGGGGATTTTTAGGCTAGCTCTGCTCTAGACATTGGGAATAAGCCTTCTCTTTGCTTGGCATTGATACTCCTCGCTTCATCTCACTACTATCCTGGTGAGACATGATAATATGATTAGGAGCTTGTCCTGGGTGAAAGGAACCAAAGATTAACTTAGTTTTAGACCAGAAGCATACTTGTGGTCTGATCTAGCTTACCTGTTCTGGTGGTGCCATATAGGAAAAGAGGTCTTTAGCTCACACCAATGGAAGAGCTTTAGAGGGTCCAAGAATTCCCTAAAATTATTTGCAAAATGCATTTGTGGTATTCAATATTTTTATAGAAATAAAGTACTAAACTCTCCTTAAATTCTCAAAAGTTTCTGAGCATCAAAGGAGATTAAAAGCCTCTTCCCTTAGGATTCAAGGTTTCATTAGAATTAATGTCCTCATAGAAAATTCTCTTTGTATAAACACATAAGTAAATTATCTGTTTACATTTGCCTTGCAATAGTGTGGTACCGAATATATTTAATTCTAATTCTGATCATTGTTAACATCCATCACTACTCTAAGAAAACATGCAGGCTTTTAAACATTTTTTAGGAGGAGGGTCTCTCTATGTTATCCAGACTGGCTTAGAATTCCTAGGCTCAAGGGCTTCTCCTACTTCAGCTTCCAAAGTATCTGGGACTATAGACTTGAGCCACCATGTCCTGCAATGCATACATTTTAACTTGTTCTTTCTGTGACTTACTCCTAAGGTATGAACAACCAGAGAATCCCAATGTCTTTGAACAGGGATTGAGCTATGCCCATATTGAGCAATGCTTTGGTTTGGATCCCAGAATCTATCATCAAATCTTCAAACAGCATCTATCCTAGAAATGGTCTTTTAAACTTAATTCAGTAATGAGAAAACACGAGACATAATTTTTCAAAATCAAAATCTAACTTAAATATATACATCCACACTTCAATTCTTAAAGGAAATTTGAGTATTTTACTTCATATTCGTTTATTGTTAGGACATAAGATTTAAAGTATTCTGGGATTTATATTAGAATTAAAATATTTTCATTTGAACAGGAATTTGCAATTGACTTCATTTTCCTCTTGTTTTAATTTAAAGTCAAATACATTTTTATATTTGAACATTTAGAATAAATCCAATAACAAATTATCATTTTTCTTTTTTGTTTCATTTATTGGGAAATGTTTTTTAAGCTCCTATATTGTTCAAGATACAGTGTGGGTTATTTAGAAATATTAAAAAATGTGAAGATGTATATAATCTCAGTCTGGCACTCCATAGGCTTATAATCTTAAAAGACTGATGAGATGCACACACCTATAGCTACAGAGCAAAGCACTAAAGGGTGTACATACATTATAGATAGTAAGTCACACGGGAGTTCAGCTGAGACAGTACTCTGTTGGGGTGTGTTAAAGAAATGTGCCACCAGTTATTTACATGAAAGACAAATGTTAGCCTATTATAATCATAGAGTTCCATATTCAATTTTATCATTCAGTATTGATCAGAATCATTTCAAAAATATGGGTAAATTCAAAATATACTTTCAGAATGCATTATGTATACCATAGCAAATAGACGCTAAAGGTTTTCAGTAATGATTCAGTCAATTAATCCACTCATAGAGTTGAAACACCAGCCCTCTGCACAACTGAGAAATGAATGCTGAGAAATGAATGAGGGACGAAGGCCAATAATTTGACATAGATCGGCTCAAATGGTTCAGTGTCCACTCATAAAGAAATAGTTCCAGGAAAAAAGAAGAAAGTTTCAAATGAGCATTGTGAGTCAGGAGCTCTGGGAAATCCATTATTATGCAAATTACTCAGTCTTCTTCAATTCCATAAAGGTTAATCTCTTGGTTCAGAAATTTAAATTCCATGAGAAGTCTACTGATGAATATTGAATAAAAGTACATCTTATTTTTCTGATAAGTTATTGTAGTTTTTTAGATCTCCTATTTGGGGGGAATAGAACAAACATTTTTATTTGGAAAGTGTGCAACCACATAATAAAATTTTAATCAACTGTAACATAAAAACAGCAAAACATTAAATTCTAAATAAGTAGAAAGTATTCACTTATTCCAGCATAAAAATGTCTTCACCTCAAAACAATTCTAGGGATCAGTAATTCTGTATAGCAACATTCTTGAGAACAATCTATAATCAGTAAAATGTACATTTTAATCTTTATAAATATTTACAAATCTTAAAGTTATCAATTAAATAACAGTACTTCCAAACATATTTTTTGAATATAGTTATTTTTCTGTCTATATGCTCTGTATCTAAACACTTAGCAATTGTTTCATAACAAGTAAGAAAAGATAACACAACTCAGCAGAAAACAAATATTCTGACAATAATGTACTTAGTGGTACTTGACACATTTTAGCCAGCTCTTAAATGCTCTTTCTGAGCATTAAATCAATACAAGAGAACCAGTCATCAGGCAACCATAATGTTGTCCCTTTAAATGTCCAGCATTCTATTGGTAAAGAATAATCAACCATTATGCTATTATAACTCTATCTATACTATATGGTGTTTGCTAAACATTTTAAGGGAAGTTTCAAAAGACTCACTGTTGCTGGTTCTCAGTAATGGAAATATAATGCTCCCTGGTCAGCCTTTCTGGCCACTCTCCTTCCCTGGCTTCCAGTGCCTGACCCATCTTCTTATCGTGCTCATACTGATCTCTTCAGTAGCACTGATTAGAACCTATAGGAATCCTAAGTTCCTTTATGCCATGGAGTGAAGTCCTTTACCCACTATCACATAATGAATTATTGATGTTAAAAGCACATGGAATAAAATATTTTATTTTATGAACTAATAACAAAATTCCAGAACATTTTTTTTAGTGTCCTTCAGAACCTCTTGATCCTATAAGACTTTACCTCAGTTTTACTGAGAGCTTATAACTTGCCAGGAAATGAGTTAGGGGTGTATAGTCATTTAATCCTCATCAGAAACTTTTAAGATAAGAGACAATATTGATGTAACTGAAGGTTAAGAAAGCTAAGTACCTTGCCCAAAGTCACTAGCAAATCAGAGGTGCAATTTGAACACAAGCAGTGTGACATCAGAGCCTATGAATTTAAGTACCTATACTATATTCCTTCTCATAGGTAGAAGGAAAGATTCTGTGACTTATAAATTGGTTAGTACTGCACACGATAGCCCTGGCAGTAGATTAACAGTGTTCACTGGTATTTAGAATGCATTTTAGTAATTTCTATGTTCTGTGAAGCCCTATGGTTTAATTTCTTGGTGGACTATATGAAGTCCACCTCTCTGTGGGACCATCTATCTGCCCTACTCTACCCTACCTGTCTCAAGGCTGGGCCATGAAAAGATGTGATGAATGAAAGATGAGCAGAAGTGATACGTGTCACTTCTAGACAGAGGCTTTAAGAGTCTGTGGGTGCTGTGCATGGTGCATGCTCAATTCAACCTTTGCAACAGCAACATACACGACGCCACATGTGGCTTCTCTGTCCAACTGGCTCCCAGAGTCAGGTCAAGAGCAGTGACACAGAGCCGAGGCTGCAGCTAACCCACAATGGGTGGGAAATAAGTTTTATTTGTTTTAAGCTACTAAGATGTATTGATTATTACCTAGCTTATCCTGGTTAATTTTTTACCATATATTTTTTTTACCCTAGACCCTGTCTTTCACAGAACACCTATTAATATCTAATGAGATACTAGTTTAACACAGAAGACGGCTGGAGAAACTCTTCCCCCATACAATATTATCGAAAGATGAAAACAGAATTATTTTGGAGACAATGAGAAAGCCTTGCTCTTGTCACAGCGTGACTAAAGGCTAAGGGAAAAAATGCTTAAAACTGACAGTTCTTTTTATTATGTTCTCCCCAGCAACAACTTCACAAAAGTACTTGTGCCTGATACAGCTGTCCCCCAAGATTCTGTTTCACTCAAATCTATTAATTAGTTCATTCAATAATTATTTTCTAAATGCTTGCTAGGTGCTGCTGGTCGGTATCAGGTGCCTACCCCCAACCCAACATATGGCTGTGTCCTTAAAGTGCCCAGTGATGATGTAGAAAACTCTGACTTCCCAATCTGACTGATAGAAGGTTTGAATATGTTATTAATCTTGTTGTAAAAATCTCATGATGTTTTTGAAATGTCAGTTTGGCTAGGATAGAGTTCCCAGTTAGTCAATGGAATATTTGCCTGAGTGGGCGTGCTGTGAAGGGATGTTGCAGATGTAGGAGTCCCTAGTCAGTTGACTCTAAGCAAGGGAGATTATCTGGATCTCCTCTGGATGGGCCTAACTTAATCAGTTGGAAGTCTTGAAAAGCTGAGGTTTCCCTAACAGAAAAAATTCCACTGTGGCTTTTGTCCGTTGGCCAAATAAATGTTACATGTTGTTCTGCAACTTCTTTCAATCAAAATAATATTTTGTGAAAATGCATGCATATTGATATAGATAATTTTAGTTTAATTTTATCCTTTTGATGTTCTCCCATTATATGCACATATCACAAATAATTTACTCTCCTGTGTACAGACATTTATGTTTTTTCAATAATATCGCCTTCACATAAAAAGCTGCCATTCTTATGCATATCTCCACATGAGCTATCTCTATCTATTCCATTCTTATGCATATCGCCACACAAACATGTGCAAGAGATGCTTTAAAGTACACATCTAGCGGTAGAAACAGAGTACCATGTGGTGAAAGTTTCTGCAGCCTTACCAGCTATCACCAGGACACTCTACAAGATTATTCACAAGTTTAAAGTACCACCAGCAGCGTACAAGTGGTACCCTTATTCCAGACCCTCAACCATACAGCATTTTCAGGCCTTGTCATCTTGTTCAAGTTGATGGGCCTGAAATAAAATCTCATTTTCATTTTCTTTCTTTCCAATGGAGTTGAACATCTTATTTTTATTAGATATTTGGTTTTCTTCTTCTGCCAACTACCTGCTCATTTCCTTTCTATGCTTATCTATTGAGTATTTTGTACTTTTCTTACTGATTTTAAAAATTCTTAATATATTCTGAATAATTTATTTTCAATTATGATAACTTGATATATTTGCTTCTGAATCTCAACATTTTTTCTACGTGTTAAAAGTAATATTTTTGTAGACATTTCTAATTTTAATGTATTCAAAATTATCACTGGAATTTTTTACAGTTTGCTGCTTGATGCCTACTCAGCCTGGTCCTCTAGGTTCCCACCAGTGCTGTGATCCCTACATGTCATTTCAATTTCAACACATGTCTGTTGGTTACAATTGGCCAGAGACATTCTCTGCTGCTTTCAAACTAACTGATGTAACCTTAAAATCATATTATGACTTTATCTAAATGGAAACTAAATTTTAGGCAGGAAGATCAATGCACAATAACACAAAATGTCTTGTTCCCTGAGCAAATTTCTTATCACCTCTTGAAAATTTGAGATCAGATAGTAGACATAACACATGGGTGAGGCTCACAGTGTATTTATACTTCTGTTTTATATAAGCTCATACACAACCATAAAAGACATCCATGTGCATACAGAGTATTTGAAAAAAAATCAATTTAGATTGTTAAATGTAGTGTGGAGAGGTTTTCACGTTGCTTCTCATTAACATGGAACTTTCTGCAAGTTTCTGTGCACCCCTGCCTTTTGTAAAGTTGACTTTAACTAAGGAAACCAGGTATGATTAAAAGAGAATAGGATAGAGGGAGGAGCCAAGATGGCCGAATAGGAACAGCTCCGGTCTACAGCTCCCAGCCTGAGCGACGCAGAAGACGGTGATTTCTGCATTTCCATCTGAGGTACGGGGTTCATCTCACTAGGGAGTGCCAGACAGTGGGGGCAGGTCAGTGGGTGCGCGCACCGTGCGCGAGCCAAAGCAGGGCAAGGCATTGCCCCACTTGGGAAGCGCAAGGGATCAGGGAGTTCCGTTTCCAAGTCAAAGAAAGGGGTGATGGACGGCACCTGGAAAATCGGGTCACTCCCACCCGAATACTGCGCTTTTCCGACAGGCTTAAAAAACAGCCCACCACGAGATTATATCCCGCACCTGGCTTAGAGGGTCCTACGCCCACGGAGTCTCGCTGATTGCTAGCACAGCAGTCTGAGATCAAACTGCAAGGCGGCAGCCAGGCTTGGGGAGGGGCGCCCGCCATTGCCCAGGCTTGATTAGGTAAACAAAGCAGCCGGGAAGCTCCAACTGGGCGGAGCCCACCACAGCTCAAGGAGGCCTGCCTGCCTCGGTAGGCTCCACCTCTGGGGGCAGGGCACAGACAAACAAAAAGACAGCAGTAACCTCTGCAGACTTAAATGTCCCTGTCTGACAGCTTTGAAGAGAGCAGTGGTTCTCCCAGCACGCAGCTGGAGATCTGAGAACCGGCAGACTGCCTCCTCAAGTGGGTCCCTGACCACTGACCCCTGAGCAGCCTAACTGGGAGGCACCCCCCCCCAGCAGGGGCACACTGACACCTCACAAAGGTCAGTGTGAATAACAGGCAGGGTATTCAAACAGACCTGCAGCTGAGGGTCCTCTCTGTTTGTTAGAAGGAAAACTAACAAACAGAAAGGACATCCACACCAAAAACCCATCTGTACATCACCATCATCAAAGACCAAAAGTAGATAAAACCACAAAGATGGGGAAAAAACAGAACAGAAAAACTGGAAACTCTAAAAAGCAGAGCGCCTCTCCTCCTCCAAAGGAACACAGTTCCTCACCAGCAACGGAAAAAAGCTGGATGGAGAATGACTTTGACAAGCTGAGAGAAGAAGGCTTCAGACGATCAAATTACTCTGAGCTACAGGAGGACATTCAAACCAAAGGCAAAGAAGTTGAAAACTTTGAAAAAAATTTAGAAGAATGTATAACTAGAATAACCAATACAGAGAAGTGCTTAAAGGAGCTGATGGAGCTGAAAACCAAGGCTCGAGAACTACGTGAAGAATGCAGAAGCCTCAGGAGCCGATGCGATCAACTGGAAGAAAGGGTATCAGCAATGGAAGATGAAATGAATGAAATGAAGTGAGAAGGGAAGTTTAGAGAAAAAAGAATAAAAAGAAATGAGCAAAGCCTCCAAGAAATATGGGACTATGTGAAAAGACCAAATCTACGTCTGATTGGTGAACCTGAAAGTGATGGGGAGAATGGAACCAAGTTGGAAAACACTCTGCAGGATATTATCCAGGAGAACTTCCCCAATCTAGCAAGGCAGGCCAACGTTCAGATTCAGGAAATACAGAGAACGCCACAAAGATACTCCTCGAGAAGAGCAACTCCAAGACACATAATTGTCCGATTCACCAAAGTTGAAATGAAGGAAAAAATGTTAAGGGCAGCCAGAGAGAAAGGTCGGGTTACCCTCAAAGGGAAGCCCATCAGACTAACAGCGGATCTCTCGGCACAAACCCTACAAGCCAGAAGAGAGTGGGGGCCAATATTCAACATTCTTAAAGAAAAGAATTTTCAACCCAGAATTTCATATCCAGCCAAACTAAGCTTCATAAGTGAAGGAGAAATAAAATACTTTACAGACAAGCAAATGCTGAGAGATTTTGTCACCACCAGGCCTGCCCTAAAAGAGCTCCTGAAGGAAGCACTAAACATGGAAAGGAACAACCGGTACCAGCCGCTGCAAAATCATGCCAAAATGTAAAGATTATCAAGACTAGGAAGAAACTGCATCAACTAACGAGCAAAATAACCAGCTAACATCATAATGACAGGATCAAATTCACACATAACAATATTAACTTTAAACGTAAATAGACTACATGCTCCAATTAAAAGACACAGACTGGCAAATTGGATAAAGAGTCAAGACCCATCAGTGTGCTGTATTCAGGAAACCCATCTCACGTGCAGAGACACACATAGGCTCAAAATAAAAGGATGGAGGAAGATCTACCAAGCAAATGGAAAACAAAAAAAGGCAGGGGTTGCAATACTAGTCTCTGATAAAACAGACTTTAAACCAACAAAGATCAAAAGAGACAAAGAAGGCCATTACATAATGGTAAAGGGATCAATTCAACAAGAAGAGCTAACTATCCTAAATATATATGCACCCAATACAGGAGCACCAAGATTCATAAAGCAAGTCCTGAGTGACCTACAAAGAGACTTAGACTCCCACACATTAATAATGGGAGACTTTAACACCCCACTGTCAACATTAGACAGATCAACGAGATAGAAAGTCAACAAGGATACCCAGGAATTGAACTCAGCTCTGCACCAAGCGGACCTAATAGACATCTACAGAACTCTCCACCCCAAATCAACAGAATATACATTTTTTTCAGCACCACACCACACCTATTCCAAAACCGACCACATACTTGGAAGTAAAGCTCTCCTCAGCAAATGTAAAAGAACAGAAATTATAACAAACTATCTCTCAGACCACAGTGCAATCAAACTAGAACTCAGGATTAAGAATCTCACTCAAAACCGCTCAACTACATGGAAACTGAACAACCTGCTCCTGAATGACTACTGGGTACATAACGAAATGAAGGCAGAAATAAAGATGTTCTTTGAAACCAACGAGAACAAAGACACAACATACCAGAATCTCTGGGACACATTCAAAGCAGTGTGTAGAGGGAAATTTATAGCACTAAATGCCCACAAGAGAAAGCAGGAAAGATCCAAAATTGACACCCTAACATCACAATTAAAAGAACTAGAAAAGCAAGAGCAAACACATTCAAAAGCTAGCAGAAGGGAAGAAATAACTAAAATCAGAGCAGAACTGAAGGAAATAGAGACACAAAAAACCCTTCAAAAAATTAATGAATCCAGGAGCTGGTTTTTTGAAAGGATCAACAAAATTTATAGACCGCTAGCAAGACTAATAAAGAAAAAAAGGGAGAAGAATCAAATAGACGCAATAAAAAATGATAAAGGGGATATCACCACCGATCCCACAGAAATACAAACTACCATCAGAGAATACTACAAACACCTCGACGCAAATCAACTAGAAAATCTAGAAGAAATGGATAAATTCCTTGACATATACACTCTCCCAAGACTAAACCAGGAAGAAGTTGAATCTCTGAATAGACCAATAACAGGATCTGAAATTGTGGCAATAATCAATAGCTTACCAACCAAAAAGAGTCGGACCAGATGGATTCACAGCTGAATTCTACCAGAGGTACAAGGAGGAACTGGTACCATTCCTTCTGAAACTATTCCAATCAATAGAAAAAGAGGGAATCCTCCCTAACTCATTTTATGAGGCCAGCATCATTCTGATACCAAAGCCAGGCAGAGACACAACAAAAAAAGAGAATTTTAGACCAATATCCTTGATGAACATTGATGCAAAAATCCTCAATAAAATACTGGCAAAACGAATCCAGCAGCACATCAAAAAGCTTATCCACCATGATCAAGTGGGCTTCATCCCTGGGATGCAAGGCTGGTTCAATATATGCAAATCAATAAATGTAATCCAGCATATAAACAGAGCCAAAGACAAAAACCACATTATTATCTCAATAGATGCAGAAAAAGCCTTTGACAAAATTCAACAACTCTTCATGCTAAAAACTCTCAATAAATTAGGTATTGATGGGATGTATTTCAAAATAATAAGAGCTATCTATGACAAACCCACAGCCAATATCATACTGAATGGGCAAAAACTGGAAGCATTCTCTTTGAAAACTGGCACAAGACAGGGATGCCCTCTCTCACCACTCCTATTCAACATAGTGTTGGAAGTTCTGGCCAGGGCAATCAGGCAGGAGAAGGAAATAAAGGGTATTCAATTAGGACAAGAGGAAGTCAAATTGTCCCTGTTGGCAGATGACATGATTGTATATCTAGAAAACCCCATTGTCTCAGCCCAAAATCTCCTTAAGCTGATAAGCAACTTCAGCAAAGTCTCAGGATACAAAATCAATGTACAAAAATCACAAGCATTCTTATACACCAGCAACAGACAAACAGAGAGCCAAATCATGAGTGAATTCCCATTCACAATTGCTTCAAAGAGAATAAAATACCTAGGAATCCAACTTACAAGGGATGTGAAGGACCTCTTCAAGGAGAACTACATACCACCGCTCAAGGAAATAAAAGAGGATACAAACAAATGGAAGAACATTCCATGCTCATGGGTAGGAAGAATCAATACCGTGAAAATGGCCATACTGCCCAAGGTAATTTACAGATTCAATGCCATCCCCATCAAGCTACCAATGACTTTCTTCACAGAATTGGAAAAAACCACTTTAAAGTTCATATGGAACCAAAAAAGAGCCCTCATCACCAAGTCAATCCTAAGCCAAAAGAACAAAGCTGGAGGCATCACACTACCTGACTTCAAACTATACTACAAGGCTACAGTAACCAAAACAGCATGGTACTGGTACCAAAACAGAGATATAGATCAATGGAACAGAACAGAGCCCTCAGAAATAACGCCGCATATCTACAACTATCTGATCTTTGACAAACCTGAGAAAAACAAGCAATGGGGAAAGGATTCCCTATTTAATAAATGGTGCTGGGAAAACTGGCTAGCCATATGGAGAAAGCTGAAACTGGATCCCTTCCTTACACCTTATACAAAAATCAATTCAAGATGGATTAAAGACTTAAACGTTAGACCTAAAACCATGAAAACCCTAGAAGAAAACCTAGGCATTACCATTCAGGACATAGGCATGGGCAAGGACTTCATGTCTAAAACACCAAAAGCAATGGCAACAAAAGACAAAATTGACAAATGGGATCTAATTAAACTAAAGAGCTTCTGCACAGCAAAAGAAACTACCATCAGAGTGAACAGGTAACCTACAAAATGGGAGAAAATTTTCACAACCTACTCATCTGACAAAGGGCTAATATCCAGAATCTACAATGAACTCAAACAAATTTACAAGAAAAAAACAAACAACCCCATCAAAAAGTGGGCGGACATGAACAGACACTTCTCAAAAGAAGACATTTATGCAGCCAAAAAACACATGAAAAAATGCTCATCATCACTGGCATCACTGGCCATCAGAGAAATGCAAATCAAAACCACAATGAGATACCATCTCACACCAGTTAGAATGGCAATCATTAAAAAGTCAGGAAACAACAGGTGCTGGAGAGGATGTGGAGAAATAGGAACACTTTGACACTGTTGGTGGGACTGTAAACTAGTTCAACCATTGTGGAAGTCAGTGTGGCGATTCCTCAGGGATCTAGAACTGGAAATACCATTTGACCCAGCCATCCCATTACTGGGTATATACCCAAAAGACTAGAAATCATGCTGCTATAAAGACACATGCACACGTATGTTTATTGCGGCATTATTCACAATAGCAAAGACTTGGAACCAACCCAAATGTCCAACAATGATAGACTGGATTAAGAAAATGTGGCACATATACACCATGGAATATTATGCAGCCATAAAAAATGATGAGTTCATGTCCTTTGTAGGGACATGGATGAAATTGGAAAACATCATTCTCAGTAAACTATCGCAAGAACAAAAAACCAAATACCGCATATTCTTACTCATAGGTGGGAATTGAACAATGAGATCACATGGACGCAGGAAGGGGAATATCACACTCTGGGGACTGTTGTGGGGTGGGGGGAGGGGGGAGGGATAGCATTGGGAGATATACCTAATGCTAGATGATGAGTTAGTGGGTGCAGTGCACCAGCATGGCACATGTATACATATGTAACTAACCTGCACAATGTGCACATGTACCCTAAAACTTAAACAAAAAAAAAGAGAATAGAATATAATAAAAAATTCCAGTTATGATTTTCAAGTCATCCTCAAAATTAGACAAACTAAAATCACTTGCAAAATGATTAGAATAAACATAGGAATGTAAAAATCTCAGAGGCTCATGAGAACTAGGATGTTTCATATCCACTAGGATTTGCCCTTAGTCATCCAGCATTAAAAATAATGGCTATTCTTGGAATCTCTCAAAGGTCAAGAGATGAAACCAAAACATTTTTCTGAGACAGCTAGAAAACACTAAGGAGGTATGACCCATCAATTTAAAGTTCCATCTTACTGAAAAGTTCATCAGGAAAATTACAGAAAAATTAGACAAGATATTTAAATAGTTTTGCTCACAATCTTGAGATATATATATATATATATATATATATATATATACATATATATATACATATATATATATATATATATATATATACATATATATATATATATACACACATATATATACATATATAAAACCTTGAGATATATATATATATTTCTAAGTGATACTGAAGATTTTCTTTTTTCCTGTCCCAATATCAATCAGTGCCATAACTAATTCCATGAAACTGAATTTCTGTGATCTCAACTTCAAGACATGTATTTAGCATCTATACACCGATCAATGAATATATTAGTCATGTGTGTGAGTGTGTGTGTGTATGTGTGTGTGTGTGTTTGTGTATGAAAATATTTGTTTAGCCATGACCCAAATTCAGGATACAATATAATATAACAAGAAATCCCAAGATATAGGATTACCATTTGGCCTTTTCACTCAGTCCTTTTGGAGACTTATTTCTTCTGATCCATGTGCCAAAAAGTTCCGATAAAATTAATGATTTGAAGAAGGAAGTTCAGAAGCAGAGAAGTAGAAACCAACCAAACCATGGCCTAAGGCTTAGTTTGCCAAAGCTCAAGCTGAGATGTAGTCTTGGGCATGTTATTACTAGCACAATTGCCTCTTTCTTTGCCTAGTGGCCTTATTGTACTTGTTTGGATTTACAATTGAAAGGAACCCTAAATGCCAAGCCAGAAGTCAAGAGGAATAACTGTTAAATTAAAGACAAATTTGAGTGAGTTAGGAAAAACATGTGAATCTTCATTAAGCAGATTTTGGGAGTCATTGACATCTACTGCTGTTTAATGGCTGGGGAGGGAGCAGTAACTTCCACACCTTCCACACCTGGATCATGAGTTGCCTAAATTATCAAAGGCCTCCTTTGTTCACTCATTCATTCTCTGAGCAAACAGGCATTTTACCTCTACTGTATGGTAGCTCTGACATACAGTAGAAAGAGACACAGCACAGACTATACCCTCAAAGAGCAATACAGTTTAGTGAAGAGCATCAACAAGCAGTAAGAACACTCTGGCAGAAGAGGGACAACCATTCCAAGGAAAGGTTTGAAGAAGAGGGAAAAGTAGAAGTTACTAAGCAAGAGAAGGTGTGAGTGGGGAGGAGACCCGTAGAGTCAAAAGAAGAAGGAGCAAGAGGCATAAAAGCAGGGAAGCTGAAGAAAGCGTGGAACATTTGGAGAAAGCAAGTGGTTCAGTGTGGCTGGAGCTCAGGCTCTGCAGGTGGGAATATTCAAAGACGAAATGTAGCCAGGATCCAGGAGTCAGAGAAGGAAAGTCCAGAGTCTAGGGTAAATGTCGACACAGAAGTTTATCATCACAATAAAGAGATGAGATGGAAGCAGAGCCAGAAATTATGGAACTCAAAGAAGGTCTTGTCTTTAATTTTGAATTATTTTCTTCCCTTAAAGTGAAGGAAGAATAATCTGAGCTTGAAATAAAGACTTAGAATATAGATCACCGCCTGCAACCTTCTCACTCAAAATTAGAAGACATTACTGGATAGTTTCAAGGGAAGTTATTAACTTGAGAAAAACCCAGAAATAAGGTAAGGCCAATGATAGGGTTTGAATCTGTGTCCCCACCCAAATCTCATGTCGAAATGTAATCCCCAATGCTGGAGGTGGGGGCTGGTGGGAAGTGATTGGATCATGGGGGTGGTTTCCAATGCTTTAGCACCATTCCCCTAGTGCTGGTCTTGTGATAGAGTTTTCGCAAGTTCTGGTTGTTTACAAGTATGTAACAACGTTCCCCTCTCTTTCTTCCTCCTTCTCCAGCCATGGAAGATGTGCCTGCTTCCCCTTCACCTTCCACTACGATTGAAAATTTCCTGAGACCTCCTCAGAAGCCGAGCAGGTGCCAGCTTCATGCTTCCTTTACAGCCTGTGGAAGCGTGAGCCAATTAAACCTCTTCTCTTTATAAATTACCCAGTCTCATGTATTTCTTTATAGCAATATAAAAACAGACTAATACAGCCAAGATACAGCATTTTGTGTGGAATTTCATAATTAAAGAGAATTTTTTTTTCTTTGTTCCTGCTTTTGGCATAGTTGGACTCTAGAGGGCATAGTGGAAAGAGATGAAACAGAAAATTGGAAGGAATGAGTCATGAAAGGGAAAATACAGAGTGATACAGGAAAGATAAGAAAAGGCTTGCCAGAGTGACAGTTTCCAGAGATGACAGCAGAGATGTTCTGTTCTCACTAGCCCCATCATTTAGAGTGACGTTCTCTACACATTACATGGGGATTGTAAGAATCTGGCTGGACCCCTGACAGTCAGGGCAGGCATTCCATAGAGTGACCTCTGATAACTGACAACATCCATGGGGTAGAGCCATTTCTTTATATGTGAGGGTCATGAGGTACCATATATTCCAGGGATCAAGGATCAACATCAACTTTCATTATCACTGAAAACTCACCAACCTTCCTTGGATTCATTTGTACTTTCCTATAACACCTTTCCTAAGTGGCTTCTAATCTAATTTGGATAAAACACCATTGGTGTTTTTAATACTTATTTGGTTGTCTGGATGTGTTTTGTTTGTGTATGTCTGAAGTAACTAATCCAAAAGGAAGAGTCTTTCTCTTGTTGCTCTCATTTGGTTTTCATTTTCTTGATAGTGTTCCTTTGCATAAAGAATGATCACCTTACCGAAAAATGTCATCTTAATCTCACAAGTGGTAGGAATTCTGTAAAAATACTCAATAATAGATCATACCTAATGGATGGTACCTAATGTTCTTTCATAGACAGTGTATTTGCTGTTTATAAACAGTAAAAAAGAAAGAACAATATTAACAAAGATGAAAAATAGCCCTCTCACAAATCCCCCAAATCATTTTATCTGTAATTAATCTGTAGTGAGAACAGGCAGTTGACATAAAGTGAAAAAGATCGTCCTGACAAGACCTCTTAGTTCAGTAAGAGTCTTTTAATTAAAATGAGGGATTTCTGAGTATGTGTTGTTTCCAAGCAGTGGGAAATTATGTTAGCATGCAACATTATTGAGGAATCTAAAAGCAGACTGGAAAGAAATAGGAGAAACTGACAAATGTAAGGTCCCTGGTTGCACTCACTCTCATTGTAAATGTTGTATCTTCCCACAGTGTATACTGCAGCAAATTTTCAATCTCACTGGAAAAAGCAAAGCCATTGAAACTTTTTAAACCATTTTACACCAGTTTTGAGTGCTCATATTTTACGGTCTTTAAAAATAGTACATATATTAGATTGTTGGTATAGATATATTAAATAGATTTTTCATTTTTATTTTATAGTCCACACTTCAGAATAGTCTTACCCCCAGTGGAATTTTGGGGCTGCATATTTGGCAAAATAGGTATTGGTGCCTCATTATAAGAAACACACTTCTAACAGAGTTAGTTACACACATAATTAAGAAAAGAAAGATCTGTTCATTATTTCCTTCCTTAGAGTGGAGGATGTAAGGCTTTGCAATCAAATAAAGCTCTACTGGGACAGCAGAAAGTGAAATATTTTCACAATAACCAGGATAGTAAATATTTGCCTTTTTTTTTTTAAGAAAAGAGAAAGCACCCATCTTCGTTGGCAGCATAGCGTAGTGAAAGTGATATGCGTCATTTGCCCTCTTACTTACAGGAAGTCTGTCATTCTATCTTTAATACCAGGACAGGCAGTGACAACTCAGTCTTTCTGTCTTGGCATAACTGCATGCCCCAAAAAGCTTCCATAATTTCAACTGCTCTTTTCAAATGATTCCAGAACAAATTTGGGTTTTGAGAGGTGACTGTTAGAGTAAGGGAAGGGAGGAACATGACTGACCAGAGGCCAGCACTCGCCTCCACCACAAAACAGCCAGCTCAGCCAAGATTGGCTCAGAGCCAGGAGGAACTCCCTATTTCGGGCAAAAAGTGAGAGATCCTCAGCAATCCACATTCCCCCACAGACTCCTGGAATCCTAGTCACGGGAGAGCCCCTCAGCACTCCTGGGCCCTGAGACTAACATTGGGAGCTGCCTGGAGTCCACGTGATGGCACTGTTGCAAGTTACCATCAAGTTGGTGCTGGGTCCCATGTATTCCACAGGACACAAGCAGCTGCATCACCACACCATTATGGGAGCCCAACTCCTACCAGACAACATGCTATCCCAGGGCCCAGCAGCTCCTGAATCCCAACATCCTTGAAGCCCAGCTGACACCCCCCCCCATGTCCACCTAGAAGGCTGCAGCATTGTGATGCCAGCTGGACCCAGCAGTGAGCCTAGGTGCCTAGCACTCTAGTGTGCCACACAGTATGCTGCATCCCTGGGGAATAGGCAGTGTGGCATACCAGGGAAGCTTTCTTCAAAAGAAAGGCAGCCAAAGTTTGTGCTCCTCAGAGCCTGAGAGCTGCCTGACAGGACTGCTGCCTTTAACAGCAATTCCTCCCCGCCCAGCAGCAGCAGGGATGCCACATACTCATACGTGCCTTCAGCGGGACTGAGGATCAGCCTGCCAGTGCACCATCCTGGGGTCTGAGAATAGGCCTGTCCTACCCATTGCCACTATCAGCCCATGCCTTTAAGGGCCTGAGGATATTCCTGACCTGCTTACAACCATCATTCATGGTGCCTGAGCTCACTGTCTGGGGGCCCAGAGATTGACGTGCTCCACCCACAACTAGTGGTACCTATAGTCCAGGGGCCTGAGGAGAAACCCTCCCTGACCGCCACTGCCAGAGCCCTTGCACACTTTTTGACAGCCTGTAGTTGGGCATGGTCTGCCTGTCACTGCTGTCTGCCTGTGCTGCACACTATTCAGGAACATGGGGACCAACCCACCCTGCCTACCATCAGCAGTGCATGCACATACCATCCAGGGGCATAGTGACAAGCCTACCTTGCCCACTGCTGGTGCCTACATGTGCTTCCCAGCAGCCCAAAGACTGGCCTGCCCCAGACTGCCACCACTTTGCTGGTGCCCACCCCTACACACCACTCGGGAGCCTGGGGAACAGCCTGCTATCACCACTGCTGGTGTCTGCATATGCTACTCAAGGGCCTGAGGGTTGAGCTGCCACCACTGCTGCCACCACCAATGCCATGCATGCTGCAAGGATCCGAAAGACCTGCCTGCCTAGCCCTCTGCTGATACCACAGCACCTGAGCATGCTGCCAGGAGGCCTGAGGACTGACTCACTCAGATCCACCACTGCTGGTGCCCGTGTCCACTGCACAAGAGCCCAAGGACCAGCATGCCCTGACTGCTGCTGCCACTACTGGTGCCTGAGGACCAGCCCACCTTGCATTTCCATCCCCAACAAAGCCTTGCTACAGTCTCTACTAACAACTGAAGTTAAGGCTGTAAGGAATGAACAGACACTACTGACATTGATTACAGCCAGAGAAATTATATAAAGACTACACTCCCACACCCACCAAAAATCAAAGGCAAAGCACCCTACCCAACCAACACTATAAATACATCTATTAAATAAGGAAATTTTTAAAACTCTGTGATACAAGAGAACACAGAAAAACAATGGAAAGAAATCAGAAATAAAAGTGATTTGAATGAGAAATTTAACAAAGAGGTAAATATAATTTTAAAAGAACCAAACAGGAATCCCAGAACTTAAGAATTCAAAAAATAAATTTAAAGAACACAATCATGAGCTTCAACAAGAGACTAGATCAAGCAGAAGAAAGAATTTCTGAACTTGAAGACAGGTCTTTTCAAATAACCCATTTAGAGAAAGAAAACTAAATAAAGGAAGAAAGCTTATGTGACATACAGAACACCATAAAACAACTATATATATATTTTTTAATTTGGGAGTTTCAGATGCAGAAGAAATGGACAAAGGCATAGAAAACCCATTTAATGAAATAATAACTGAAAACTTCTCAAGTCATGCAAGAGATGTAGAAACACAGATACAATAAGCTTAAAGACCCCAGAGAGATTCAATCTAAAGAGGTCTTCTCCAAGGCATATTGCACTCAAACTATCAAAAGCCAAAGACAAAGAGCAAATTCTAAAAACATCAAAAGTATCAAATCACATACAAGGAATCCCTATCAGAATAACGGGTATTTCTCAGCAGAAACCTTATAAGCCACAAGAAAATAGAATGATACATTTAAAATGTAGAAAGAAAAAAAACAGCCAGCCAATATACCTTACCCAACAAAGCTATCTTCCAAAAATGAAGGAGAAATAAAGTCTTCTCCAAATAAGCAAAAACAGGAAATTCATCACCACGAGACAAGCCCTATAAAAATTCTTAGGGGAGTTCTACATCTGGAAGTAAAAGGAAGATATTTACCCTCATGAAAATACACAAAATATAAAGCTCACTTGGTAGACCAAATACAAAAATGAGAAAGAGACTGAAATCAAATGTTAACACTATACCAGATCACCAAATCATAGTGGTAAACAATAAAAGGGGAAGAAAGGAACAAAGGATATGAAAAACCAGAAAACATAAACAAAATGCTGGGAGTAACTCCTCACCTATCAGTAACAATCTTGAATGTAAATAGCTGAAATTTCCCAATTAAAAGATGCAGACTGCCTGAATGGATTTTTTTTTTAAAGACAAATATTTGCTGCCTAAAAGAAACTTACTTTGGGCCGGGAATGGTGGCTCACGCTTGTAATCCCGGCACTTCGGGAGGCCGAGGCAGGCAGATCACAAGGTCAGGAGATAGAGACCATCCTGGCTAACACGGTGAAACCCCGTCTCTACTAAACATACAAAAAATTAGCCAGGCATGGTGGCGGGCGCCTGCAGTCCCAGCTACTCGGGAGGCTGACGCAGGAGAATGACGTGAACCCGGGGGGCGGAGCTTGCAATGAGCCGCGCGCCACCGCAGTCCAGCCTGGGCGGAAGAGCGAGACTCCGTCTCAAAAAAAAAAAAAAAAAAAAAAGAAACTTCATTTGCCTGTAAAGACGCACACAGACTGAAAGTGAAGAGATAGGAAAAGATATTCCACATGACTGAAAGTGAAGAGATAGGAAAAGATATTCCACATTAACAGAAACCAAAAGTGTGCAGGAGTAGTTAAACTGAGATAAAATAAACATTAAGTCAAAAGACATAAAAAGAGACAAGGAAGATTATTACATAATGATAAAGAGATCAATTTAGCACGAGGATGTAAGAAATTTGCACGTGTATATATATTCGTAGTCAGGGTTCTCTCGAGGGACAGGACTAATAGGATTGATGTATATATAAAGGGGAGTTTATGAAGGAGTGTTGACTCACACGATCACAACGTGAACTCCCACAATAGGCCATCTGCAAGCCGAGGAGCAAGGCAGCCAGTCCGAGTCCCAAAACCTCCAAAGTAGGGAAGCTGGCCGGGCACGGTGGCTCATGCCTGTAATCCCAGCACTTTGGGAGGCCAAGGCAGGTGGATCACGAGGTCAGGAGTTCAAGACCAGTCTGGCCAAGATGGTGAAACCCCGTCTCTACTAAAAACTACGAAAATTAGCCGGGTGGGGTGGTGCACACCTGTAATCCCATCTACTCGGGAGGCTGAGGAAGGAGAATCGCTTGAACCCGGGCGGTGGAGGTTGCAGTGAGCGGAGATGGTGCCATTGTACTCCAGCCTGGGCAACAGAGTAAGACTCCGTCTCAAAAAAAAAATAAATAAATAAAGTAGCGAAGCCGACAGTGCAGTTTTCAGTCTGTGGCCAAAAGCCCAAGAGGCCCTGGCAAACCACTGGTGTAGGTCCAAGGGTCCAAAAGCCAAAGAACTTCGAGTTCAACGCTCAAGGGCAGGAAGCATCCAGCACGGGAGAAAGATGGAGGCTGGAGGACTCAGCCAGTCTAGTCCTTCCATGTTCCTCTGCCTGCTTTTATCCCAGCAGGTGATTAGATGGTGCCCACCCAGATTGAGGGCAGTTTTTCCTCTCCCAGTCCACTGACTCAAATGTTAATCTCCTTTGGTAATACCCTCACAGACACACCCAGGAACAATACTTTGCATCCTTCAATCCAATCAAGTTGACGCTCAGTATTAACCATCATATACAGGTTTGAGCATTATACCAACATCTGAGCATTATACCAACATCTGAATACTTACCTCTTTAGGTTCTAATTCTATAATCTTAAATGAAAGCTCCAGAGAGTCCTGTTGATTAATATTTTGTCTGACCTGGCATAAATTCCAGGTTTTGAAAGATGATAAATTATGAAAATTGAATTATGCCTAGAGACAGTTTTGTCCATAACATCACAAACTCCAAAAATTAACTGCACAGGGAGTAACAGGAAACACCAAATACAGTTTACTGGATGTGAAGCCATCCAAAATTATTTTGGTTTTCAGAAATGTAATTGCTGCAAGAAGTAGCTTGAAATATAAATTGGAATTCATTTTTTGTTTTCCTATTACTGTCATGGGAGGGAGGGATAAGGAGGGGTGAGAAGGGGTGACTGAAGGTTCTTGAAAATAATTCTCATATTTGACTTCTCAGGTTAATTTCTTCTTATTGTTTATGTCTTGTTGAAGTGTAATACTTTTAATTCTGAAGCTAGAGGGCCACAAGAAATACATGTTTACCAAGTCCATAGCAAAAGAAAATAGTATCCCATGATGATCTCTTTGTCTTTCAATATTTAACTGCTGGTGAATTGTGGAGTAAGCAACCTGTCACATACATTAGTCCTGTGAGCTATGGACCATTAGACTAGAGCAGTACTTGATGTAGCTTTATCTTCTAAGATGGTTGTTAATTTCTTTAAAGTAGCTTTGGGACTTGAAAATCTTTGGCACAGTTTGGGGAGCAGAAATAAATTTGTTGCCTTTCTGTGTATTACTGAAAATTGCTCAGGGTGGTACAAATTTTCATTTTATCAGGCCATATTACAGGCTGAATTATGTCCTTTTAACAATGAACTACCACATACTTATGAAAATAACTTCGTAAATATTAATAAAGCCTTTCCCCTCAGGCTAGCCTATGGGTGTTGCTATGAATAAACAGAAGTGGACTGACTGGAATGCTACCCTATTAGGAATTATCAATGTTGAGAAATGACCTCTTAAATTTTGGTTTGGAGGTCTCTGCTAAGACTCTACCTTATTTTTTATTATAATGTGGTTTTCCTGTATACCATATTCTAAATTATTTATTAATTGGAGTGGAGCCTAACCACAGTATCATTAATAATTAATTCTTCTTTTGGATCTGTGTGCATTCATGTGATTAAATGCCTGTACTTTAGCTTATGGAACCCACAATCTGCTATTTTGCATTGATTAGAAGAAATGCACAAATAGCAAGCACCCATTATGGAATTCCCAAAGGATATTCTCAGTAACCTTCTCCTGAGTGTTTCTAACCTCTGATGCACCATTATGTGAAAAGGGAAAATCAAAGTCTTCTACCCACAGTTTGTTGCATTTGAAACAGCGCGTTTGTGGGTAGGTAGAGCTTTGTGCCTGCTTCTTCACCATTGTTCTTTTAATACTTATTTTTCCTCAAGAGCAAAGAGATGGGTGAATAGGATAGATAAGCTACATGAAGTGTCCTCAGCAATATGTAGGAAAATGAAATAACATTTAAAAAGATATGCTTTATACAGAATTTTCAGCTTTACCAAACATAACTGATTTCATCTTGATAAGCTAGATCCTTGTTTTAGGGAAAAAAAACACTCCTCCCAGCCCAGACCTCAGACGCTTAACATAACAAAGGTTTACTTTTTACTGTGGGTTCACACCCCATGCAGTTTGGCAGAAGGCACTGTTTCACACTCCCTTTCAGAAATCAAGCCTGGCAGAGGGCTCTCCTCCTATTACTTGTTGGTCTGGAATAAAAGGCATGTTTGGTCTGCACACCAGGGAGAGAGAGGCTGCAGACCACACCTGGGCTTTTCATGATCTCAGAGTGAGACATTCAATGATAAATTGAGTCATGGAGGTGATACATTGCTCCCACTCAGAGTTCACTGGCCATGACCAGTCACATGAGTGGGAATTCGGGGAAATATAGAAATTTGGGGGAGCATTACTGTCTATGGCCCTGTCTATCCTTCTAGTCACCAAATATCCTTTTGTTATTTTCTCCCAATATATGGCTCACATTTAATAGCTTCCCAAAGGAGGACCCAAAAAAATTCCATCCAGTCACAAACTCAACTTCAAGTCCAGGGTCCCTGGGTGATGTGCAGTCATCTCTATGTTAAACCCAAATGTGACTCCAGCAGCTCTAGGTCCAGAAACCTGTAGACTAAAAGGACCTGATACTGCCCTCTCTAATGAAAAAACAAAAGAGAAAAATAGGGACTGACAGTAGTGACTTATTTGTATCAATTCCCAAATTCCACTGAACACATGTTATTAAGGACACTCTCTTTGGTGGAAACGGATCTTGATTCCTTAATTCTGACTCTCCTTGGCCACACTGATTCAGGCATTGAAGAGTATAACCTTCTTCCAGGCTATGCAACTTTCTGAGCTCAATCCCTTCCAATAGAACATTAGTACCCTGTCATAAGCCTCATTATTATCAATATTCACTTCCCCTCCTTGCAAGAGGATTGTATGTCCCACTCTATGTTAACCTCTGAGTGTTATATAATTTTTTCCAAAAAGCAAAATCATATAAGCAATGGAATGTATTATGTCTAGGGTAGCACGTGTTCTCCATGATGTCTTTGCCCTCTGCCATGCTAATTTGCAATGTCAGATAGGACCTAGAGAAAAGGAAACGTGGAGCAGAGCCACAGCCAACCTGTGATGGCCATGGCCCTGTGGTGCAAAGAAGAAATGAGCTTTGCCTGCTGTAAGCTACTGACATTTCACAGTTGTTGTTGCTGCAGCATGAACTAATAAGTCCATTCAAAGGCCACATCTCTTTTAGTCTAGTGGCTTTTTTGGCAATATAACTGTTTCAGAAACTTTATAGAGCTTCTTAAATAGTCTATGCAAGTTAGTCTGATGTGCTAATAAATGTATCTAACATTCTCTTTGAGGCATGATTCTCATCTATGAAATGTGGGTTTGCTTTCTTACTCTTACAACTCTCACTCTCTCTAAACTTAATATATATATTATATATTTATATATAATAAAATACATTATATATAACATAATAATATATATTATATATATATATATATATATATGTTGCTCCTATCCTTAGTTTAGTTTTGCCCTTAAGCATTTAAATTACTTGAGGTTGTACTGAGTATTTTTCTCAAAAAGGCTTTCTTAAGCCTGTTACTGCCAGGTATCAAAGCAGTTGACTCTTCTAACTCAAAGGACTAACTGTCCTCATTCCCTTTTATTAAGCTGCAAATTGACAATTTCTTTACTGAAATTATCTGTTTCTTGCAACGCCTTGTAAATACAACTAAGTAGAAATAAAAATACTATAACTGCTCCATTTTTCAACCTCTTCCCATAGATACGCTACATGATCTACTTTGCAAATTATCACAGGCTCCAGTTTCACAAAATATTTCAGCCCTGCAAAAAGAGATTGCTAATGTAAATCTAAAAACACTTCTAAAATTTAAAAGTTTACTTAAAAACTAGGTTGTTATCTTTTTAGTTGGATAACCACTTCCTCAGTGGCCACTAAACCATTGCCATATACTTTAGTGTTTTGGTTTGTCTGTTCCAGGAGCATATCTCTCCTGGTACCAGTTTCTGTATCAGTAAGGAAAGGTTAGGTTACACTGGGGCAATCAATAATTTCCAGATCCCTGTGGCTTCGCATACCAAAGATGTATTGGTCAGTCTCAGTACATGTTCCCGGGAGATGGTCACAGCCTCTGCTCTAGACAGCCCGGTGGAGGGCCCACTATCTGGCATCTGTACTAGTTGGCCTGGCGGCAAGGCTTTACAAAACCTCATCCTGGAAATGACCCATGGCTTTGCTCTGGCCAATGTATTGACCAGAACTGGTCTCCAGGACCCCACCCAACTTTTGTAAAAGTACTAGAAAAATGTAGAGAAGTAAATGAAATCTTTGGGGGATATTGCTATCTCTACAAAAATTATGTAATATACCATTCAAATTAAAAAGAAGGAAGCGACTGTAAATATGAACAAAATGACAGGAAAAAGAAAAAATTTATAATAATATCCAGGCACAGTAATTATGGAATAAATCAGATTTCTGGCATGCCTGTTTGTATGACAGCAAAAAAAAAAAAAAAAAAAAAAAACCACAATCATTTCTGACTTATTCAGAAAATGACTGTCTAATTTGTATTTTTTTATCTCTTCCTTGCTTATCTTTCCCCCTCTGGTAATTACTATTCCTTAATACAAGATGAAAAACCCAAACTAGGATATTTTACATCTTACAGTTGCTATGGCAAAAGGTATTAACAAATAACAGTAACGAGTATTATCTGTACAACTTGCAATCTTAATCAATTGTGTGGCCATATAATGTATTGCTCAAAGCAGAACATTTCGAGAGTGAAAATGGGTGATATTAAATATACAGAGAGATAACTCAAACAATTTTATTTTTCAAAATGTAAAGATGTGTAAAATAGTTGCGCAAAGATTAAGAAACTTATTTGAGGTTGTAAAATTAAAAAGCAGGAGAAACATGCTTAAATTTGAGCTGCCTAATTCCCATATCTCAACTCTTACTCACTGTGCTGTCTCAATTACCTCCTCCCTTCTCACTAGAGAGTCATTAATAATAAATTTCTCAAACTGGGATAAATATATAAAGAACTTCAGAGAACATAGGAAGCTTTGTGTCATATTTACTTGTGATGATTCCACATTAATCAGGAAAGAGCAAGGGAACCGTTGGGAAATATTAAATAAAAAGAGCCCAGTTCTGCCATAATTTTTGCTTACATGTGGAGGGAGGTGAAATTGGTTGAGAGGTCATGGCAAAGTCTTAAGGGACTCCAGAAGACTGGCTCAGTACTTTGAATAATAATGTATTAATGTATATTATTATTATAATTATTTGAACAATAATGTATATTAAAATTATTCAGAAAATAATAAAATGGGTAATATCCAGTTCAGTGTAAATGACTAGTATTTACTCAGATATAGAGCACATTTTCCTTTCTTTCTCTGTATCCTTCATAAGTCATAAGAATATCTGCACATAATCATATATATGGTGTTAAATTACTCCACGGAAGTTGCTAGACAGCATAACCTGATGGAAGAAACAGAAAACGTAATAGAAGTGAAATCAGTAGAGAAGTTAACAGAACTTAGAAGCAATGATGCATTTCATTTTCACAGTATGCCCTATGGTTTTTCATTTTATTTTGTTTTGAGCATTGTAGCTTTTAAGACCATGAAACTATTTGTTAATTTCCATGCCCACTGCCAATCAAAGTTCATGGATATATTTTGCAGGAATATGTAGCACCCGTCAAGCATAGTGTAAGTAGTGATTAAAGGGGCAGATAAAGAAACAAGGTAAAGAGAATGAATGAATGAATGAATGATACAAGGTTTAAAATAGATAATTTTGTCACACGACAGCCTCTACTCCTCAAGGATATGCACTGAAAACTAGACAGGCCATTCTCTCTTTTCTACTCCATATGTGATGTTGGCCCCAAAGACTAATACAGTTTCACAGTGGGCAAGGCAGTTACACTCATATAAAGTGGTTATTGAGCATTTTATGACATCCCAAAACATTTTCAAAAATAACATTTGCCTGTAAAATTGACAGTCTCCACTCACCTTTACCAAAGTTTCCCTTAGAAAGTCCCTTATTGATTAGGTATGGATTAGGATAGCCTTAGTTGATAATTAACAAGGTCATTTGCAGGTTGCCCAGTCTGGCTTAAATTTAAATTTAATTTTTGGATTGATATTGGAACTTTGATGTCCCTTAGGGAGATAGTATTTCTTGTGTTAGCCAATTTATATACTTTTTGCTTTGGAAAATTGTTTTAAATGACCCATAAACTGCCAGAAATCAATTTAGATTTTGCTATAGTGTTTCAACCAGACAATGAACACAATTCAATTAATCCTTAATAGTAAGTTCTCTGAATATACCTTAGTTATTTTTTATTGCACGTGGGATGATTATTCATGATTGTTTGTGGCACTACCAGCAAAAGGAAAATTGACCATATTCAGAGATAAACTACATGTAATTATGTAATTACACTTGACATAAATTTAAGGATATTGAATGTACCAGGAAATCTGTAATCTGGAAGTTTTATTGTCTAATTCAAAGATCTAGCCAATAAGCTGTGTAGATTTTTCTTTTAAGTAGCTAACCACAAATGAGCTAATGACTGATGGTTTTATGGTTGCAATATCAGTGTACATATGACAAAAATTGCTAATGGATTTAGTTTATATATCTATTTGAGAGAAACAGATGCTCTGGATCTTAGAGAACAGTTAGCCTCTGTTATTTCTTTGCTTTGAGAATAATTTAGAGCCCTAGTCTTCTAGCAGGATTCTTAATAGGTCTGGAGTCCCAGAAATGCTGAACGGGGACCTGAACCCTCATTAGGCATATCCAGACACAGCTCAGCAATTGCTGGTCTTTACAATCCCAACTGGTCAGTGGCCCTGAGGCCCTAACTCTTCTGCTGGTCTCCTCACTCATTCCCAAGGCTGTAGGTACCCAGTAAAATATTAGCACACCTTCCCTGTCCCCACTCCTCTCCATTACCCTCCTTATTGAAACTTGTCTTTTCAGCTTCTGTCATCAGACTAGTCCCAAGTTTCCTGGCCTCCAAATTCAATGTATTTATAAGATGCTGCCCAAAATAGTATTCCCATGGCATAGCTCCTGAGAAGAAAGTATCACATCCTAGGCTCCACCTAGGATTTTGGAATGCCTCACTCTGACCCTACCTTCTGTGCCCAGAAGTAAGCATTGGATTCCTTACAAAAGGTAAACCCAGGAAATAGGGTTTACCAATAATTGAAACACAGCCAGCAACAAGGCAAAAGTATTTAACAATAAGTGGTCAAAAGAGACACGGAGACATAATTGAGCATCTCCCTCATGAGAACCAGCGTGTTCTGAACTAAGATCCTTCAACATCTAAACATTCCCAAAGTGTTAGTTCTGCTTCCAAATGCTAGCCAAAGGGAGAGAAAGCTAGTGTTATGTAATAGTGATACAGGGTTATTACTGTAAATTATCTCTTTTTTAGAAAAAAAAATTCTCACTCTGTCACCCAGACTGGACTGTAGTTGTATGATCTCAGCTTACTGCAATCTCCACCTACAGAGTTCAATCAATTCTCCTGCCTCAGCCTCCCAAGTAGCTGGGATTACAAGTGCTTGTGACCATGCCTGGCTAATTTTTGTATTTTTAGTAGAGACAGAATTTCGCCATATTGGCCATGCTGGTCTTGAACTCCTAGTCTCAAGTGATCCACCCACTTCAGCCTCCCAAAATGCTAGGATTATAGGCATGAGCTACTGTGCCTGGCCTGTAAATCATCTTTTATGGTTCGAAGGAGACGGTCCATTTTTTGTCATGATCCTGTGGCTAGTCAAGATCACTGCAGAGCTGCAGTGATGCCTCACATTTTTGTTTCAAGTTTATAATTCTGAATGTATTTAGCCCATGCTTCCATAGGTTGGCCACCCCACCAAGATGGCAGAAGCAGGAGAAACTTGCATCCTCAGCCAAATAATGTTCAGCCACCTGATGCAGCCCTCCATGTGAACTCCGGTGCCCTTCTCTTACTCAGGTTTATCAGCAAAGGGTCTCGCATCCCTTGGGAGAAATTCTCCTCCTCAGGGACCTCAAAGCTTTTTCCAGTATGTGAACTTCTGTCTGAAGTATCTCATTAACCTAGTTGGATCGGGGAAGTTCTAGCAGCATTTAACCTCAGAAAGGCAGGTATAATTTCTGCAAAATCAAGATCCCTGGGGTATAACAGCTCAAAAACCTTCCTATGGTAAATATATTGAGACTATTTTATAAGACTGTGCCCTATTAAAAAGTCACACATGCAAAACACCTCATAAAAGTGAATGGATAGGATAGAGATTGCAAAATGCAGTAAACATCTAGTTGGTCTATCAGATTTTCTTCCGATCTGCACCCATTTTTTCATAGGTATTCAATCCAGCTCTCTCGATTATTGTTAGTTTCCAGTATATGCAAAATACCACCTCAACTACATTTACATTATATTTTATATTTTTATAGCCATGTTGCATTTCTTATTTTGAATTCTATATAACAACTGAATATTTTAAATCAGAGAATATAATATGTCCTTGTATATTTTTAAAACATGATCATAAATACAGTTAGCAAAAATATTTATTGAAGTAACAATATTCTTTATGATGTGTTTGAATTGTTTTACCCTATCACAATTTAAACATAAGTTGAGGAACAAATATGACCTCTAGGTGGCATCTAACAATTATTGAAATCAAAAGTTTCCTACAATGCTCTGAAGGTTTGAGAGCCAATTCCTGCCTGGGCTACCATTATCTCAGCACTTCCTGTAGCTGACACATTTTTAAGGAGGTTCACAACCCTAACAGCCCCACAATCTCCCAGTACTAGTATGCCCTGTGGTGAAAGTTCATGGCAAACAGTAACAACCCAATTCTGGAAGGACTGCTAATGGCCCAGAGTCTTCAGTACTGAAGGTTTGAGTCACTCTACCAGGTACAAAACCAAGACCTGCTGAGGTCCTTGCTGAGGGTAAAGGAAATATGGAATAGATAGTGAAAGAAGGTAGTTATAAATACAGCTATGACCACATGACCCATCGCAGAAATAGACTGTAATTATTATAACATATCCTTATTATGAATATGTCTGCATATACGTATTTGTACATAGAAAGTGTTCTTGTTTTCTTCTCTCTTATTTCTTTGTCATGTAACATGAGATAAATTAACTTTATACCACAGTATTTTAAGCATTGTGAACTTTTCATCATAGTATATAAGTAACAGAATATCAAGGAGAAAAGTAAACATTACTGAAGGATTTTGCATCCTCTTCTGGGGAAAGGGTAAGTGCATTTCCAGTTGTATATAGGATAGTAGTATCATGTTTGGCAGAAATGATACTTTGTTTTTGTCTTTATTTGGATATTAAGTATGGCTTATAAAAATGTGTATAGGTATCAAGTTGACAAGCAGTGGACTCTGATGATTAATTTATTGTTCAACTTGGCAAGGTTGTAGTCCCCAGTTACCTGGTAAAATACTAGTCTAGATGTGGTTGTGAAGGTATTTTATATATATAATTGACATTTAAATTTGTTGACTCTAAGCAAGCAGATTACTCTCCATAATATGGGCAGGCATCATCTAATCAGTTGCAAGTCTTGAGTAAAGACTGAGGTTCCCCAAAGAAAAAGGAATTCTTCCTCGAGACTGCAATGTAGAAACTCTGCTTGTTGGCCCTAACAATTTTGAACTCAAGATTGCAACATCAACTGTTATCTGAATTTTCACCCTGCCTGTCTGCCTTATAGCTTTCAGACTTGCCAGGAACCATAATTATTAAGTGAGTCAATTCCTTAAGTAACTAAATTTCTCTCTCTCTATCTGGAGAACTCTGGCTAATACACATACCTTTGTTTCTCTTCAATTTGTTTCTTTAAGCCTGCAGCTTAATAAATCATTTAAGCCAAACAAAATCAATGAAGAAAGTATTGATTTGAAGCTTTTGCTCTTAACTTACTATCCAATACAATAAAAATTTAATAAATCATATTGAAACATTTCTAACCTACAAAGCCAAAAGTTACACAAAGTGTAAAGAATTCAACAGTGACTTTTTGAAGTAAACTAGCAAAGCGTAATACAACCTTTTCTCCTCCACACAGACTAGACCCATCCTTGGAAACAGAACACACCTAATTTCCAACTGCTCTGAATGAAAATATTGTGAATTAAAATTCTATGTTTTTTTATTTCAAAATGGCTGGCTATGGACATTGGATGCCAGGTCTCCTCAGAAAGAAGATCAGAATTACCAGCAAATACACAAGTTCCAAATGGAAAACTGAGAAAAGAGAGCCAGGACCTGTCAGAGTGTCCATGGTAAGAAGCCAGGGTACAGAAAAGGAAAGCAGCAAGAGTCTGGCAAAGATCAGCCCCCAAGGAACTCAGAGCCCTCTGGGAAAAGTAGGTGGAAGTGCATCTCTGCTCCCCTCACCCCTGTGACGATCTGCTGACTACCAAAATCTGGAAACCCTCTGCCCTTGTGACCCAGGGCAATTCTATCAGTGGTGATTTGGAGACTACCCAAGAACAGAGAACTGGGTGGCCACCTCATGCAGGTGTGCCCGCACTTCCCTCAGACCCAAACTGAGACAGCAGCCACCATACTGGTTGTGGGCCACTGCTTTGCCCTGAAATTCTCTTCCCATGTGTCAGCACACCACCAGGTTCCCCATAAACATACCCCACAGACCTACTCCGACTTTAACAAGTAAAGGAAATGGGTCCCTGAGGAGGTGTTGGGACCCCAGTAAGTATAACTCTTGGCATGGGTCATCTCTAAGGGAGGGGGGAGCACAGCCAGCCAAAAACTCCTTGGGACAAAGGAAATATGGGTGCCGCGGCAATCACTGAAGGAGGCAGCACTAATGCCTGGGAAGAAACATGTAGAGGGGGTCATCTTCTGCTCACTCATCCACTATTGTGAACACAGCAGTGTTTCTTTGGAGGAAGCATATTTGCAATTTTTGCAATGGCCCCACCTATACTGAAAGTGAGCCCAGCCACTTGACTGTACACAAAAGCTGGATGGCAAATACCTCTCCCTAAACAGAGTGGCAGCATCCCAGCAACAGAGAATAGACAAGCTGCAGAATTGCCTGCTCCGAACTGGGAAAGAGGCTATGCCCTAAGTGCCCATTTTGGTGGTAGCCATGAGAAGACTGTATCTCTGGCCCACAGCCACACTGAAACCAAGAACCAAAGGACAAAGTGTTTATGAACTGCTGAAGGTCATGAGCCCTGTGACAAGGGCACGATAGGGGAGCAGATCAGTTCCTGCCAGCTCAGGATGAGGAGCTGTGCATCACCTCTCACTCCTTCCTTCAAGACCTTGGTGCATCCTAACATGATCTCTTCCCTCTACCCTCTCTCAGAACAAGTTCTTTCACAGCTCATCAGCCCGCCTGAGGGCAAGCCTGCTCTTACTTTTAAGGGCTACTACTTAATTGCAGCCTGAAGTGCACCATCAAACAGAACAAAACAAAAATTGCTGCCAGAAGGGCTTAGCGCTGGTCCCGGAGACAAGCTTCATGAGATCTCCACACCCTCAGCCTTGCAGGGGATAGTGTGTCAGCTCGAAGACTTAATACATCGCTGCAACAAGCAGCGACTAAGAAAGCTGCAGATGCTATCCACAACCATGGAACCCATAAAGAGCCTTGGCTCCCTGAACGCACACAGAAACAAAACAAAATGATCATACACATATATCACAGTCATACACTCAAGGGAAATATAAAAACACGAAAAAGTCCTATCCAAATGATAGCGAATTCAAAAAATTACAAGTGGCACCTCTCTAAGATGAGAAGGAATCACTACCAGAAATCTGGCAGTACAAAAAGCCAGAGTGTCTTGACACCTCTAAAGGATGGCACAGCTCTCCAGCATTGGATACTAACCAAGCTGAAAATTCTGAAATGACAGATGAAGAATTCAAAATACAGGTTTCAAGGAAACTAAATGAGATCAAAGAGAAAGTTGGAATCCAATACAAATAAACCATAAAAACGGTTCAGGACATGAAACACAAGATAGCTATTTTAAGAAAAAACCATATAGAACTTCTGGAACTGAAAAAGTTGCTAAAGAGATTTTAAAATAAGTTGGAAGCTTTAACAGTAGCCTAGGCCAAGCAGAAGAAAAATTTCATAACCTTAAGACCAGACATTTGAATTAACCCAATCAGACAAAAATAAAGGGAAAAGGATTTTTAAACCGAACAAGGCCTTTAAGAATATGGGATTATATAAGAACAACAAAATCTCCAGCTTATTGGCATTCCTGAGAGAGAAGAAGAAAAAGTAAGCAACTTGTAAAACATATTAAGAGAAACAATTCAGGAAAATCTCCCTAATCATGCTAGAGAAGTCAACATTCTGATACAAAAAAATTGAGAACACATGCAAAATACTATACAACATGACTGTCCCCAAGGAATATAGTCATCAGATTAACCAAAGTCAATGCAAAAGAAAAAAATCTTAAAGGCAGTTAGAAAAAAGGGTCAAATTACCTAGAAGGGAAATTCCATCAGACTGACAGCGGACTTCTCAGTGGAAACCTTACAATTAACAGGCGATAGAGGCCTATTTTTAGCCATTCTGAAGAAAAAAAATCTGCCAGCCAAAAATGTTATATCCTATCACACTAAGCTTCATAAAAGAAAAATAAAGTCTTTCCCAGACAAGTAAACACCAAAGTAATTCTTCAACAGAGCAGTCATAGAAGAAATGCTCAAAGAATTTCTGAACATGTAAACAAAAGAATGATACTTACTACCATAAAAGCACACATAAGTACAAAGTTCACAGAATCTATGAAGTAATTAGACAATTGAGACTAGAAAGCAACTCGCTAATGACACTAAGACGGGAACAAAACCTCACATACTAATATTAACCTTGAAAGTAAACACTCTAAATACCTCACTTAAAAGACATAGAGTGGCAAATTGACTAAAAAAAAGTAAGACCCAACTTTCTGATGCCTTCAAAGACTCATCTGATGCCTAATTACACCCACAGGCTCAAAGGAGAGGGATGGAGAAAGATCTATTATGCAATAGAAAACACAAAAGAGCAGGGGTAACTATTTTTGTATCAGATAAAACAGTCTTTAAACTACCAATAGTTAAAAAAAAAAAAAAAAAGGCAAAGAAGCCAGGCCCACTGGCTCGCACCTGTAATCCCAGCACTTTGGGAGGGAGGCTGAGGTGGGCAGATCACCTAAGGTCAGGAGTTTGAGACCAGCCTGGCCAACGTGGTGAAAACCCATTGCTACTAAAAATACAAAAATTAGCCCGTCGTGGTGGCAGGTGCTTCTAATCCCAGCTACTTTGGAGGCTGATGCAGGAGAATAGCTTGAACCCATGAGGCAGAGGTTGCAGTGAGCCGAGATCGCACCATTGCACTCCAGCCTGGACAACAGAGTGAGACTCCATCTCAAAAAAAAAAAAAAGACAAAGAAGGCTATTATAAAAATTAGAGAACCCAGACTCATAAATACCACTAGACCTAACAAAAGGGATAGACAGCCATTTGATAGTGGGGGACTTCAACACTCCACTGAAAGAACTAGACAAATAATTGAGGGAGAAAACTAACAAAAAATTTCTGGACTTCAATTGAACCTAATATACATTTACAGAATACTTCACCCAACAACCACAGAATATACACTTTTTCTCATCTATATGTGGAAAATTCTCTAAAATTGATCACATGCTTAGTCATGAAACAAGTCTCAATATAATCAAAATAACCAAAATCATATCAAGCATTGCCTCAGACCACAGTGAAGTGAAATTAGAAATCAATACCAAAAGGAACTCCCCAAACCACATAAGCACATGGAAACTAAACAACTTGCTCCTGAATGACTTTTGGATAAACAATGAAATTAAGGTAGAAATCAAATAAGTTATTTGGAAAAAAAAGATAGAAAGCTCCCAAATCAACAGCCTAATGTCTCACCTAAAAGAACTAGAAAAACCCAAACCAAACCCAAAGCTAGCAGAAGAAATGACAAAGATCACAGCAGAACTAAATGACACTGAGACCAAAAAGACCCATACAACTTTTCATTTTGTTGATTATACAATCAAATTATTGATTATTATATCAATAATTTATATAATTTATTTGGATAATAACAAATTATTATAAAAATAATCAGCAAAATGAAAAGTTGGTTCTTTGTGTCCAGGTGCAATAGTTCATACCTGTAATCCCAGGACTTTGGGAGGCCGAGGTTGAAAGATCACTTCAGCCCAGGAGTTCAACACCAGCCTGGGCAACATGGTGAAACCCCATCTCTATTTTTTTTTAAGTTGCTTTTTTGAAAGAATAAACAAAACTGATAGACCACTAGCTAGATTAACCAAGAAAAAAGAGAGGCAATTCAAATAAGCACAATCAGAAATGACAAAAGTGGCATTACAACTGATACTGCAGAAGTATGAAAGATTCTCACGAACTACTATGAACATCTCTATGCACACAAACTAGAAAACTAGAGGAAATGGATAAATTCCTGGAAACATACAACCTCCCCAGAGTGAGCCAGAAAGAAATGAAAATCCTGAACAGACTGATAATGAGTTATGAAATTGAATTCGTAATAAAAAATCTACCAAACAAAAAAACCCAGGGCCAGACTGATTCACAGCCAAATTCTACAAGACATACAAAGAAGAGATTCTACCAATCTTACTGAAATTATTCAGAAAATCTAGGAAAACATGTTCCTCCCTAATTCACTCAACAAAACCTGTATCATCCTGATACCAAAATATGGCAAAGACAAGAAGAAGAAAGAAAACTGCGGGCCAATATCCTTGATGAATATAGTTGCAAAAAATATATAAAAATATTAAAAGATAATTCATCATGAACAATTGGGTTTTATTCCTGGGATGTGAGGATCAACACATGCAAATCAATAAATGTGATTCACCACATAAACAAACTAAAAAGAAAACCATATGCTTATCTCAATAGATGCAGAAAAATCACTCAATAAAATGTAACATCTCTTCATGATAAAAACCTTCAACAAACTAGTCATTGGAAGAACATACCTAAAAATAATAAGAGTCATGTATGGCAAAACCACAGCCAACATCACGATGATGGGCAAAAGTTGAAAGCATTCCCCTGAGAATTAGAACAAGACAAGGATGTCCACTCACCACTTCCATTTATCATAGTACTGGAAGTCAAAGCTACAGTAATTAGCCAACAGAAATAAAAGTCATCCAAATAGGAAAAAAGGAAGTCAAATCATTTGTTTGCTCATGACATGATTCTATACCTAGAAAACCCTAAAAATTTCTCCAAAAGACTCCTAGATCTGATACAACACTTCAATAAAGTTTCAGTATATAAAATCAATGTACAAATATCAGTAGCATTTCTAAACACTAGTAATATTCACACTGATAACCCAATCAAGAACCTTATTTCATTTATGACGGGCACAAAAAGGTAAATCACAGGTGCAACAAACAAATGGAAAAACACTTCATGCTCATGGATTGAAAGAATCAATATCATGAAAATGACCATACTGCCCAAAGCAATCTATAGATTCCATGTAATTCCTATCAAATTCCCAGTCTCATTTTTCACAAGATTAGACAAACAATCCCAAAATTCATTTAGAACCAAAAAAGAGCCTGAATAGTCAAAGCAATCCTAAGCAAAAATAACAAAGCTTTAGGCATCACATTATCTCACTTTAGACAATACTACAAGGCTTTGGTAACCAAAACAACATAGTACTGATACAAAAATAGACAGATCAATGGAACAGAATGGAGAACCCAGAAATAAAGCCACACGTCTACAATGAAGTTAACTTAAACAAAGTTGACAAAAGTAAACAATGGGAAAAGAATACTTTATTCCATAAATGATGCTGGGAAAACTGGCTATTCATAGGGAGAAGAATGAAACTGGACCGCTGCTTCTTGCCATATACAAAAATTAACTCAAGATGGATTAAAGGCTTCAATGTAATACCTGAAGCTATAAAATTCCTAAAAAGAAAACCTACAAAAAACTCTTCTAGACCTTGGCTTAGGCATAGAATTTATGACTAAGACCTTAAAAGCAAATGCAACAAAAACAAAAATAGACAAATGGAACTTAATTAAACTAAAAAGCTTCTACACAGCAAAAATGTTTTAAAAATCAACAGAGTAAACAGATAACATATAGAATGGGAGAGAATATTTGCAATATGCATTCAACAGAGGACTAATATCCAGAATTTATAAGGAATTTAACTCAACAAATAAAAAAACCATTAAACCATGGGCAAAGGAGATGAACAGACACTTTTCAAAAGAAGACACACACACAGCCAACAAATGTGAAAAAATGCTCACCATCACTAATCATCACAGAAATGCAAATCAAAACTACAATGAGATACCATCTCATACCAGTCAGCCAGGCTATTATTAAAAAGTCAAAAAAAAAAAAACCCAAAAAACAACAACAACAGATGCTGATGAGGATGTGGAGAAAAGGAAGCACTTATACGCTGTTGGTAGGATTGTAAATTAGTTCAACCCCTATGGAAAACAGTATGGAGATTTGTTAGAGTACTAAAAATAGAACTACCATTCCACTCAGCAATCTCACTACTGGGTATCTACCAAAATGGAAAGAGATAGTTTTATCAAAACAAACAAACAAAAAAACCCACTTGTATTCATATGTTTATTAAATCACTATTCACAATAGCAAAGTCATGGAATCAACCTAAATATCCATCAACAGTGGATTGGATAAAGAAAATGTTGTTAATATACACTGTGAAATACTACGCAGCCATAAAAAAGAATAAATCATGTCCTTTAAGCAGCAACATGAACAAAGCTGGAGGCCATTATACTAAGTGAAATAACACAGAAACAGAAAATCAAATATTACATGTTCTCACTTATAAGTGGGAGCTAAACAGTCAGTACACATGGACATAAAGATGGAAACAATAGACATTGAGAACTCCAAAAGAGGGGAAGGAGAAATGGGGTAAGGGTTGAAAAACTACCTATTGGGTACAATGTTCACTACTTGGGGTATGGGTTTGCTAGAGGTCCAAACCCCATTATTACACAATATATCCATATAACAAACATACACATGTACCCCCTGAACCTGTAATAATATAAAAATAAATAAATCATTTATTAGTTATAAAATAAAAAATTTCTACATTAAAAATACATTGATTGCACAACTCAGTTCAAATGCTTACAAAAGGTATACTATACTCAGGAAAGGTCCTTGCTCTAGAAGAAATTATAAACACAAATCTTTTCACCTAAGTTTTTCTCTGTTACAATGAATTAATATTCTCTGCCGTCAGGTATCTTAAGCATAAGCCCCATAGGCAGTTATCAATTATCCAGGAGCCTGGGGAAAGGACATAAGGCAGCACTATGACTATAGGAATAACAGACATTGGCCTCCCTCATTCCCACCCTCGAGTTCTAGCTCCAGCTCCCCTAATAACAGTGCAAGTGATAGATTAAGCTTGGAGGGCAAGAGTCTTTAGGGCTTTGTAAGATATTATAGCTCTTGAAGTATACATTGAAATTCTTTGAGGGCAAAGGATTTGAGTCACCTAGCTGACCCCTATAGTACTTTTTATATAATAAATTCTGATAATATCCATGAATAGAGGTCCAGTTTTGTGAAGCCACTCTCATTCTGAGAAGTAATAATATTTACTTCCATTTACTTTTGTGAACACTATATATATTACTTTAACATAATTTGTGTTCTGCAAAAAGATTTGCTTAGCAAAACTTTTAAAGCACTACATATATATTCCAGAAAATGATCTTGTCCTTCCTGTGTCCATGTGTTCTCATTGTTCAATTCCCACCTATGAGTGAGAACATGTGGTGTTTGTTTTTTTGTCCTTGCGAGCACATATACCCTAAAACTTAAAGTATAATTAAAAAAATAAAAATAAAAAATAAAAAAATTTAAAAAATGATCTTGTCAAAAAAAGGGAAAGAAGAACTCTTAAAGTCTAAAGACACATTGCTTTCTGCATTCAATAACTTGTATAACAGAAAAATTAAAAAAAGAGACAATAACTACCTTCTCACTCATACTATATTTTAAAGAAAATAAAAAAAGAAGGGGCACTACTTCCACAATACAATCTACAGCTATAATTAAAACTCCATCACTTTTGAATTTTTCTAAATATTGTGGTTAGAGTCCTTTCCTCCATGGTTGAAATTACTTTCTTGACTTAAGTTTCATTATGCAGCTTGCTTGCTCAAAACTTTTCTTAAACTTTTCATTTTCTGCCACTACCCTTTTCTCATTATTAAAATCTTACCTGCAATCCTTCTTTAATCATATGAATTCTTGTAGAATAACTCATGTATAGGGGAATGTAAGAGGAAAAGTGGGCGTGCGAAGAGTCCCAAGCAGGCTGGAAACTATGACACTATGTAATGTATGAAAGATTAAGGTCCAAGCACTTTGAGAGGCTAAAGTAGGGGGAATACTTGAGGCCCGCAGTTTGAGACCAACATGGTGAGACCCTGTCTCTACAATAAATACATAAAAAATAAATAAGAATTAGCCAGGTGTTGTGGCATGCACTTGTAGTCTCAACCATTCAGGAGGCTAAAGTGGGAGGATTGCTTGAGCCCGGGGGTCCAAGGTTACAGTGAGCTATGATCATGGCACTGCACTCCAGGCTGGATGACAGAGCAAGACCCTGTCCCTAAAAAAAAAAAAAAACCCATAAAATACTTTAAAAATTTAAAAACAAAAAGACAAGAAATAGTAAAAGAAGAGGCCAAGTGACTGCCAAGGTGAACAGCACCTGGAAACTCACCTTCACCACTGAGATCTCAATTGCTTGTTCAGAAACTCAGTGGCATCAGTTCACCCAGGGATAGTTAAATTTCAGTGATGTCTACCCAATTCACAAAATGAAATTGGCAGGGAGCCAGCTATTGGATAAGGTGCCAAAATGATTACCTCAGTGGGGATCCAGCTGACTGGAATAAAAGGCTAAATCAAGCCAGGTTCAGCTAACACATAATAGTAGTGTTGAATGAATAAGCAACAAAGCATACTGGGTCATGGAGACAAGTCAAGGTAAACAGCACGGTTGAAGTCAAGAGTGGGTATACAATGCAAGTGCCAAGCATGAAATGAAATCAGATCCCATTGGATTAAGGAACTTTCCAGGAAGGGTAAAACCAAAAGGGGCACTTACAGGCTCCTCTGTGAAGTTAGTTAAATAGCACATGGCTTTAGCACAGTAATTTTGAAGTTTAAAAACACTTTGCCTATGACTGTAACTTGTCTACCTCAAGCAGCCATATTCACTGCTAACATGTGCCTGTCTTAGTTTCCTATTGATGCTGTAACAAATTATCACAAATTTGTGGCATAAAATAGCACAAGTTTGTTGTCTCATAGACTGCAGTTAGAAGTTTGGTTTGGGCCACAGGTTTCTCTGCTTCAGGTCTCATAGGCTGACGCCTATGGGCTCTGGGAAGAACCGCATCCAAGCTCATCCAGGTTGTTGATAGAATCCCATTCTTTACTGTTGTAGGACTCAGGTCTCCGTTCCCTTGCTGACTGACAGCTAGGGGCCTCCACAGCTTTAAGAGGCCTCTTTCTATTTCTCACACATGGCCCCTGCATCTCAGGACTTCCCTTTCTTCCACATCTATCTTCTGCTTCGTCTTCCACACTATCTCTGACTCCAGCCAGAAAATGTTCTGTGGTTTAAGGACTCATGGGTTTAGATTAGGCCCAACCAAATAACAAGGACTTCTCTCTATTTTGAGGTCCTTAACCTTAATTACACGTAGTAAAGTCCCTTTGCCTTTTAAGGTACTGTATTCCCATATCCTCCGTGGCTTCAGTGGCCGCCACTCCCTCTGCCACTATCTCCAGGGAAAGAAAGGCTCTGCCATTTGGGAAGGTGGTTTCTATGTCACTGGACATAAGTTCTGAGAGTCAATTTGAGAACTCATTCGTGAACGTGCTTTGCTCCCTCTCCCCTGCCCACCGCACCTTACATTTAATAAATATGGCTGTAATTTTCTTAGGGTGTGGATATTAGGGGGGCATTATTCTCCCTACCACATACTCATACTTTATTATTATTTTCTTGGCCAGATTGCCCATTTTGTAACATTTACTGTTGCATATGCCTGAGAAGCTCACAGTTACCCTGTTTCTTAGGAAATATTAAGACTAGAGGTTTGCTGAGCAAAAATCCATGGTCAGAATACACACAGGTCTTGAGGCATATTATCAGTGAGTTTTGGTAGTGTGATGAAATAACCTTGTTTCTTGAGATTATTCCTATGAAGGTTACTAAATACTACTGTAACCCTGTCATTGTCACAATGTGCATTTGTGCAGGTTGTACCCTGCATAAGCATGCTCAGCGGAGGGACTGGAATCTGGCCAGCATTCCACCTAGGGCTCTATGTCCTGCCATCACCCAGAGAAAGCAGTGCCGACAGGTTCCCTCCAGCCCTGGAACTTTCTCTGCTCAATAGTGTTGAATGACAGTCTGACACATTCTTATTCTCCAACTTTCTCTTTGCTCAGCCTTGAGATGCCCATGTCTCTTCTCTTTCCTCTTGTCATTCAATTACTGTCTTTCTCATTTCACCAAGAAGCTGTAAAATACATCAATTCCCCACAGTAGAGCATTTTGTTTTCACTGGTTACATTCTAGGTTGGCTTTTTCCTGATACCATCTAAGTAGTCACTGTGACTGTAACAGTAATATTTCTTCACACCGCATTTTAGGGTAGACTCTTTCTGGGAAGATATCTTCAAGAGAGTTCATTTTTTCCATCCTGTGAGAATTCCTATAAAGCTCAATCAAAGAACGGGGCTATTCTTGGTCAAAATACCTTACCCATTTCCTTTCTGGACTTTTTAAAAACTGTCACAATCCAGCTTAGTCTTTAAAGCTGTATATTGCTAGTAAATGTAATTTTAGTTCTCCAATGTTTATTCGTATGATCTCGGGTAATCATGGGTAAGTTCACCTCATATTAACTAAACATTAGGAGAGGTCATTTATAAATGCAGAGTATAAATAAAATTAGTAATTCCTTTTTCAGCATTGGCCTTTTTATTTTTGTCTTACTGTCAAAAATGTTCGATTTTTTTTTGTAAAATTTTTAAAGATTAATCATAGATCAGCAAGACTGGGGGAAAAAGGTTGGCACAATTCTTTTTAGTAATTTTGAAATCTAGAACCTTGAGACTTTGACTAGAGTAAAATTTCATACCTTCACTACTCTCCACACCTGAGCTGCTCTTCCTACACAAAATGTAGCTTTCGCCACCTGCATGTTTGTGTCATTCTTGCAATCTAAAATGCACAGCCACCACCACTTTTCCTTACCTTGTCAATTTTTCACCTCTTTACTATTGCAATTGAAAACATTTTTCAAAATCTGGCTGCAATTCCATTCTCTCTCTGAAGCTTTCCTCACTCACTCCACCTAAAAGTGAGCTCTCACTCCTCTGTACTCCTTTTACTCCTTGGTTCTTTCACTTTTATAGTGTTGATTATAGACAAAATTGTATCTTTTTTTTCTGAGCATATTGTATGTGGGTTTCTCCAGATAACGGATAGAAATACCTGCGGTAGTTTTTCATGACTACATGAAAGATTTAAGAGACTCATCGACAGATCTATGTGAGTATGCAGGTTGTCAGTGGCAGATTTCAGTGTGACTACATGGAAAATTGACTTTAGGTTACAAGTTCTTTAAGGCCGAGAATTAAATCTTGTTTATCATTTTTCTGTACAATGGTCAGGATATTGTCATTTACTTGGTGGGTGTGCAACAAACATTTGCAAGGGATTAATAATACAAAATATTTTTAATTTATTTTGAAACACATTTTCAGAGGGGAGAGATTAACGTACTCACAATATATTACTATTAATAGAACAAAATTATAATTGTGTTCAGTGTCCTTAAATGATAGCAGTAATGCCCTACTATTAGTATTACTAGTAGTTACAGTGAGAGCAAATGCTTATACAGTGCAGGCAATGTGCAAGGCACTGTTCCCAATTAATATGTATTAATATTAATATATTAAAATATAATGTTATATATTAACATTAATATATAATGTATTTTATATATTAATTCATTCAAACCTCATATAAATCCTAGGAAGGTGTTATATTTGTTATCCTAATTTTAATAAGATAAAACTAAAAAAAGAGACATTAGGTACCTTGCTAGAGGTCAAGCAGCTAGCAAATGACAGAGCCAGTTAGTATTTGAACCAGTCTGTTTCCAGATACTATGCTCTTAAAAACTAGACTATATACTAAGTGGAAATACTTTTTTGATGTATGGAACATTTTTAGCATTCAGGAACCATGGACTGGATCTACATTTAACAATGAGTTTTGGTGTTGAAAGTAAATTCTGAGTAGCTGAGAGCTTTACATACCCAAGAGGTCCTGTGGTCTGATACTTTTGGGAAAGCCTACACTAAATAAATACTTTTCTCATACACCCTGTGATGAAGGGAATACAAGTTGAGAAACATTGATAAGGACTAATGCAGTTGCTCCCTAAACTGGCTGCCCTCATTTATCTCTTATGATAAATAGTATTTGAAGCAGATAGTCTGTTTCCAGATACTATGTAATCTGGAAATTCACATGCAATATGCTCAGAAAAAAATATGATACAATTACTTCCATTATTAATACTATAAAAGTGAAAGAACCAAGGAGTAAAAGGAGTCCAGGTGAGTGAGAGCTCACATTTAGGTGGAGTCAGTGAGGAAAGCTTCAGCGAGGGAATGGAATTTCCAGATTCCACTTCAAATACTATTAAAGTGCGCGTGCATGCACACGTGCACACACACACACACACATTTCAGTCCCAGCTAAGAACTGCTGCATTTGAACCCTGGGGATTGGGTGGTCAATCAATAGGTCCAATTATAGCAATAGATTTCAGAGCTATACTGGTAGAATTCTAAAGATGAGGAAAAATTTAGGTGTTAATATAAGTTCTTCACTACATTCTGCATGCAACTTTTATAGTAAAAAGAAAGAAAAATAATAACGTAATTTCACATCGATAAGCATTAATTTCAGTTATTTCAAAATTCAACTACTTTTTATGCTTATTACATTATTATACTGTGGGTATTTCTAATCAGGGACCTAAAACAGTAAGTACAATTGAAATCATTTAGAAGAAAACTGAGCAAAAGGCAATACTATATAAAATAAGACCAATACTTGTATTAGTGTTAGTTTTATATACTATACAGCACATTTATTAATTGTTAGCGCTATATATTTGTTATATGTCTAATTCCTATAAGAACGTATTGGAATGCAACTTTCATTTCAGTCAGTCTACTCTCTCTTTGGGTTTTAGAAATAGCAAGCATGAAAGAAAGTGGTACATTGCACATATCTATATTTTAAGGAAATTTTTCTTCTAAAAAGCACATAATACTTTGTAAGCATCAGAAATGCCACATTAAAATGAACTAACAATCTTTTTGTTTTAAGGAAATGGAAAAGTTTATTAGCAAAAGCAATCAAAATGCTATTATTGCCCTACTTTTGTGTCTACTTTGCTTATACGCTTGTGGTTGGATCTCATTTCTCCAGACAGTGAATATAAGCCTTTTCAGTGTTTTTCCATTGCTTCACAAAAGATTCATGAGAATATTTTATCAATATTATTGGTAAACCCATACATGTATATATCTATATATACAGACTTTAATCTGGATCAGTAAATGATTGATTTCAGTCTTGAATCCTGAGGCATTAAAACAAACAAGAAAAAATGTGATAATCCAATTTAATATGGAAAAGGACTAATATGCTTCATTAAATGCACTGTTTATAAAAACCTAATTTTAAAAGAGATATTTTCCTGGGGTAGTTTTTCACAACTTTTGGACACATTCTCTCATTCATATTGCCTGTAAGTTTCACTCTCTTTGATGGAAAGTTTATTCAAATAAAGATATAACCCGTGTGTGTGTGTGTGTGTGTGTGTGTGTTAAACTTTCAGCATTGTTAATTGCACATTATGTTTTCATGTTCTGCTCCCTCACAGGTGTGTGTGTGTGTGTGTGTGTGTTTGTGTATTAATCTTTCAGAATTGTTAATTGAGCATCATGTTCTGCTCCCTCACAGGTGTGTGTGTGTGTGCATGTGTGTGTATGTGTGTGTGTGTATGCATACACACATAGAAGTGCCTTTAATCATTTTTGTAATTGTTACAAAAAGAGGGGAAAGAAACTTCAGAAGATCCATTGACATTCAGTGGCTGGAAAAACTGCAGTAATTCAGATTTTACTGTTAAATCAAAAGTTTGCTTTAGATTTAGGGCAGCTTTTATGGTGCTTTTTCTTTGTCTAAAGAAAAAGTATAAAGAAACTTTCAAGCCAGTTGTGCAATAAAGCCATTGAGAACTACCAGAACTTATACATAAAGCCTACCATCTGACAAAGTCTCTGCCAATAGTGAGTCATTGTCTCAAAAGTGTGTCTCATGCCAAGAGGACATAACAGAGAAAAACAGTTATTCAACATGACAGAAAGCATGTCTTGTTTATTTCCACCACCTCTCAAGTGTTCTATAGTACCCCCCACACAGTATGTGATTAACACATTGTTGTCTAATTTGATGGCAACTCCAACCACTCAGTTGCTCATTGTAGAAACTTCGATTAACTAAACTCCTCTCTCGTATCTTTTCACATTCAATCAGTAAACTGGTGCCATCAGTTTTAGCTCCTAATTAGTGCTAAGCTAACTCTCCCATCTTATGTTTGCTCTGCCATTTCCTTTGTTCATGCCAAACAGTTTATGTTGTGGACTCATTGGCAGTCTACACTCCAAGTCTCTCCAATTCATCTCCTTCACTGACAAATGATTTCTTCACCTAAACTACAGAAAGGATGATACAAAATCCTGCTTTGAACTTTCAATAAGCCTCATAGACTACAGGATTAAGCCCCAAATCTTGTTATACTATACAAGGTCCTCCTTTGCCCAACTCTAGCAGCCTCATCGCCCCCTATTCTGTATCACCCAGATTATACTCAGATCAAACCAGACTTTGCACGTGCTCCCAGAAGCACCATGACCTTTGACTGCTCAGAACCATTGTAATGTTTCCTCTGGTTGAAATGATCCTTCTTCAGTCCTGGTCCATGTCCTGGAAATAACATTTATTCTTTCGATTGAAATGTTTTTATTTTTTAATTGTAGAAATAAGATTATAAATCATCTAGAGATCAAAGTTTGTAAAATATGAACAGGAATATTGTGTTTTTTAGAAACCAGTTCTCCTCCAGAAGTCTTTGTTTTCTTTTACTTCATAAAAAACAACAAATACACATGCAGGTAAAACTATCAAAAATACAGTTTTATTCACGTGTTTATTTTTATGTATTTATTCATTTTTGTGTCCACTTTCTTTGGCCAGACAGTTGCATTAACATGATTTACAAAAATATATAACCGAACTTATTTAATGTCACTGATTCTAAAAAACACATATTATTCTAAAGCATATAACAAAACATTATTCTAAAGCAAATAAAGCAATCTGCATGACTAGATGAACAGACGGAGAAGGATTAATTTCTTTTCCTTGGGTTATCATTCAAAAGGACGTCTTTTTTAATTAAATAGTTTGACACAATCAGATATTTCACAATAAATGGCAGTTTTGTACACTGCAGCTAACAGCCTTCTTTCTCAGAAATATGCCAGAGAAAGCAAACAACATTGGAACACTGGGTATATGGAGGAGTGTGTTGGAGGTAAGAAAATTTTAGGAAGAAGACCACGGAGGACCTTAAATATCCTGCTGGAGAGCTTAAAATATATTCTCTAGGTGCCATCAAATGCTTTTGAATGACGTATTTAGAGTTTCATAAAGAGCTTATTGAATCTTGGACATGGAAAAGAATAGTTTGAATTGGGTAGAGCTGGTAGAAGAAAAACCCAAAATTAGAAGGACACTGAAATATATCAATATTAACAACAATGATAAAGGTTGTTACTGGACCATAATTAAAATGGAATTGAATCTAAGCCACTGCCTTTGGGCAGGATGGCTTAATAGAAATATAGAAAAAACAAATAATGATCAGTCCAGGAGACCACGAAAAATGGAAAGAATACAGTCATTTGGGTCAATTATAGTGGCCTCTCCAGCCCAGTTGTTACCATTTAGTAGGACTGTGGTTTATAGTCATGGTTCACTCCTCCCAGAGCTGTGTGCATCAGTGGGACCTGGAGTCTGATATCCTCCATCTTTTAGGCTCTGTCTCAATGAAATATTTACATTTTATTTGTAGTACAGTGGCTGTCACATGAATCTTCAATTCAAAGCATTATCCTTTGTGATGCAGCTTTTATTCACTTTCAAGGCACTTAAAGTCATTGCTGTTGATTGCATGACTTGAATGTGGAGGTAAATAGTAAATTTGTACCATCCTAACCATTATTCAGGAAAGAACTAATTGGACTCACTGACTCAGATTCTGTAAATCTTTTTGCCACAATAACTACATTAGCACAGATAGCTTAACATAGCTTAATACCACAATATAGGGCATCTACTAGCTTTTTCACTACAAAAGGAACTTTGGCTTGAGCTTCAAATTTACATAAAATTTGTTGCTTTTTTTAATATGGAAAAACAAAGTCACCATCTAGTTGACAAAAATTATTTACATCACATTTGTAAAATATATAAAAATGAAACATGTTGAGATTATCAAAGTAGTAAAAAACAATAGAAAATTATGTCTTCAATGTTTGTCTTTGTTTTAAAGGACTATTGTACTATAACTTAAGTATGGATAGTCATCTTGTGGTCATGTCTAGGTTTCACATTTTCTATATCTATTCATCCATTGATAGGCAATTAGGTTGATTCCATATTTTGGCCACTGTGAGTAGCGCAGCAATAAACATGGGAGTGCAGCCATCTCTTCGATATACCGATTTTCATTCTTTTGGATATATACCCAGCAGGAGGATTGTAGGTTCATATGGTAATTCTATTTTTAGTTTTTGGAGGAAGCTCTATATTGTTTTCCACAGTGGCTGCATTAATTTACATTCTCATCAACAGTGTACGAGTGTTCCCCTTTCTTTATATCCTCACTAGCATTTGTTATTTTCTGTCTTTTGGATAATAGCCATTTTAACTAGGGTGAGATAATATTGCATTGTGTTTTTTATTTGCATTTCCATGACAATTAGTGAATATTATGCACTTGAATATGTGAATATAGTGTACATAATAACATTGGTAGCACATTCAATTATAATGTTTATTATTTCATATTATGTTGTAAGTGTATACTCAAGTTGATTTAATTGCTAAACACTATCCATACACAAATAGAGTAAACACATTTTATTCAAAGTCCATGGAATGATTTAAAATTTTGATCTTGTTGATAGGGTTTGGCTCTGTGTTCCCACCCAAATCTTATCTCAAATTGTAATCCCCATAATCCCCAGGTGTCAAGGCCAGGACCTGGTGGGAGGTGATTACATCATTGGGGTGGTTCCCCCATGCCGTTCTCACGATTGTGAGTGAGTTATCACAAGATCTGATGGTTTTATAGGTGTTTGAGAGTTCCTCCTACACACTCTCTCTCTTGCCTGCTGCCATGTAAAATGTGGCTGCTTCTCTTCTGCCATGATTGTAAGTTTCCTGAAGCCTTCCCAGACATGTGGAACTATGAGTCAATTAAATCTCTTTTCTTTATAAATTACCCAGTCTTGGGTAGTATCTTTATAGCAGTGTGAAAACAAACCAATACACTTGTAATCCCCCCAAAAAACTTTCATTAAATCCACCCAAGTAGAAAGTTTCTATGAAGAACCTGCAATAAAACAGAAAATAAAAAAGGACAAAATTTCAATCAATAAAACTGCAATCAATTAATTGTTAAACTTATATAGTAATTATTGGATGATGTGCATAGTCAAAACTTCAATGATATGATATTTAAAAAATGCTAACAACGTGATGTACAGCAAAACTGTACTTATGGTCATTTTTTCCTGTCATAAATTCTTGAGTTATTTGAAAAATAAAAATCAGTGCAAATAAATTTTGTAAGCCTAAGGAAATTGTGCAAATTCTAATGAGTGAATTAGAAAACATTTTTTTAAAAGAAGAGTAGAACTAATATACAGGAGCTAGTTCTTTGAGGAAAAATAAAAAATAAGTATAGGTCTAATAAATAAAACAGAAACATTTAATGGGCAAAATTACAAATGAGAAGAGTTTAACAGATTTCAAATTTTTAATTAGAATAAAATATTGTTTATAATGCTATACTAAAGAACTTAAAAATTCCCAATGGATGTTTCTGTGATTGATTCAACGGGGAGTAGAAAACCTGAATAGCTTAATAATAATGGACAAAGAAACTTAAAACCTCTCCATGTGTCCAACACTTTTTTCTAAAATATGCTTACGGGCCAAATGACTTACAGATACGTTCTTTCAAATTTTGAAGAAGTTTCTAGTTTCCATAGCGTTTAAATTCTTTCAAAGCATATAAAAAGATAGAATGCTTCACAAATCATTTTACAGAGATTGTACAATTGAGACAGTAAATCTTGATGATGATCTCATAGCACTTGATCTTGGCCATAAAATTAAATGTAAATTAAATTACAAAATTAAATCTGCAAAACAACCTCCTGTTATAAGTACAAAACTGGAATACTAACAAAAGAATGGGGTTTGAGGAAAGGGGTTTGTTAGAAGAAGGATATGACACTAAGATTAATATGGGAAACCAAAGTGGAAAAATGGCCATACTTAATTATAAATTTTAAAGAAGAGAAGTAAGACAGACACTTTCTTTCATGGAAATAGACATACCCTGGCAAAATAAGTTAACCTGGGGTTGAATCTGGGCTTCACCAAAGAGATTTTCATCATTTGGCAAGTCTCTTAACATGTCTTTCTCTCATTTTCATCTTTCAAAGGAGAATAATAAACACCTCAAATGTGCCATGTGTAAATTGAATCATATAAAAGATATAAAGCTTTTTATATGACCCAGTGTATAGTAAGTGCTTGTAAGTGTTAGCAACTTTTATAATTAATGTAAGTAGCATTAATCTCAGGAATCAAATTGATATAACATTGGCACAAGAATCAAAAGATCAATCATGAATCAGGAAGCTAAGAAATATGAATTATTTGAAATTATTTCATTTATTATGGACACATTAGCAGAAATTATTAAAGAAAAATGAGGATTATTTAAAAACAGCTCTGTGGTAATGTCTAGCTGATTGTCCCATCATCAATTATTGAATAGTTTGTTTTCATGGAATACAAGTCTCATAGTGCAGGCATGATTCAGGGCAAGCTAAACATTTCTAACTTTTCTAATTTTTCTTATCCAATTTCTTAACTTAACACTAGTGTCAGGTTTAACAATTTGGCACAATGACTCACAGAACTCAGAAGAGCACTTTACTTACTATTACCACTTTATTATAAAGGATATAACTTAGAAACACCGAACAGGGTCTCTTAATAAAATATTTTATTTTATTCTGTCTGCACAATTTGTATTTTTTTATTTTTGCCATTAATATTTTGCTCAAAAAAATAAAAAAAAATTTATTTTATTTTATTATTATTATACTTTAAGTTTTAGGGTACATGTGCACAATGTGCAGGTTAGTTACATATGTATACATGTGCCATGCTGGTGTGCTGCACCCACTAACTCGTCATCTAGCATTAGGTATATCTCCCAAAGCAATCCCTCCCCCCTCACCCCACCCCACAACAGTCCCCAGAGTGTGATGTTCCCCTTCCTGTGTCCATGTGTTCTCATTGTTCAATTCCCACCTATGAGTGAGAATATGCGGTGTTTGGTTTTTTGTTCTTGCGATAGTTTACTGAGAATGATGATTTCCAATTTCATCCATGTCCCTACAAAGGACATGAACTCATCATTTTTAAAAATAATAAAGTTTCACTAGATATTGTCCTCAATAGATATTTTGAAATGAGTTTTCAGTAGAATAAAATTCATTATACGCTAAATATTTTTGTATTTAATTAAGTGTATGTATTCTTAAGAAGAGGTCTGTAACTTTTAGCTGATTCCCATAAAGGTTAAGACTGATGAAAGAGTAAAACCACATTTCTATAATTTTGATGCGAAGATCTTTAGAAAGATTTCTCGGCCAGGCGCGGTGGCTCACTCCTGTAATCCCTAGCCCTTTGGCAGGCTGAGGTGGGCGGATCACCTGAGGTCGGGATTTCGAGACCAGTCTGACCAATATGGAGAAACCCCGTCTCTACTAAAAAAAAAAAAATACGAAATTAGCCAGGCGTGGTGGTAGTACTAAGTGGTACTTACTAAGGAGGTACTTACTAAGTGGTACTTACTAAGGAGGTAGCTACTAAGTGGTACTTACTAAGGCGGTACTTACTAAGTGGTACTTACTAAGGCGGTAGCTACTAAGGAGGCTGAGGCAGGAGAATCGCTTGAGCCCGGGAGGCGGAGGTTGTGGTGAGTGGAGATCGCACCATTACACGAAACTCTTTCCCAAAAAAAAAAAGACTTCTCTAACAAATAGAAAACAGTAAAAAATAAAATAAAAAAATAAAAATTCAAGTTAGAAAATTATCAACATTTTATTCACTATCATATGCATATTTAAAGAATCACTATCATATGCATATTTAAATATGAATTTGATGAAACTTCCATTTTCTGAGGCTTCTCCAGAAGTTCCTTAATCACAACTGATAATACAGATAATATATTTCAATTGTGCTTTTTCTAAACCACATGGCTTTCTGATTGTCAAGCTTTCCTTTTATTTAAAAATATCTAGATGTTTGCCAGTATCTTAAATCTACATGTTTAATATCTTATAAAGAATTGATAGTATTGGGAGTGTTTTGGAGTTCAAACCCTTCGTCATTAATCCTCACAACTACAATGTCCAAAAAATATGCATGACAATGTATATGAAAAGTTCTGGCTAATTCTCCTTAAACGTTGCTGTCACGCCACTCGGTTTTATTTCTTCCAGCAGTGCTGCTTTAATCCAGTATTTTACTTAAACTAAATCGAATTTTTGGCAGTGGACTTTTTTAATCCTTTTTAAATTGGTTCTAAAAAGATTGAATTTCACTGGTACATCAATGAAATAAAAAATCATTTTTATTAAAATAATCTTCGGTATACTCTGAAACATCTGATATGAATTTCATGAGCAGTTGTCTTATTATTCAGTTGAGAATGTGGTTACAATCACCAGATTTTGTAACATTGAGATCGTTATTGTTCCATTGATTGACTTCTGAATTTTCATACATTTGTAGGACTCAATTGTGAACTATAAAATAGACTTACTTAGCTCGATCTCTGATTTCTAACAGCATCAGAAAACTCATAGATGTGTAATTATAGATGTAATAAATTTATCATGCTCTCTACACTGAGAATATCATTTTCTAAGTTATAAAAATATATTTAATAATGAATTTCACATGTATTCCCTATCCTTCAACCTGTTTCAGTGAGCTGTAATTTTTTTAATTCAGTTTTGTCACAAATTCACCATTCTGTCTAAAATTTGAATGACTTCAATACATATCACATTTTCTTAATTTTCTACCACCAGAAGCACCTTCTCAACCACAGAATTTTCATTTATCATGTAACTTTTTTCTTGTCAGAAAAATTAGCACCACTGTTACAGTAGATAGGTAGGCAGTCAGAAATGAGCAGGGAAGGAGAAGCCCCCCTCCACCCCAACGCCCACCAGGAATGTCAGCAACCATCAGGTGATGGTCAGGCGGTTGCTAAACTGCCTCTCTAAAATAATGATAGGTCACAGCTGGCGCCAGAGAACGGCAGTCTCTCAGTAGATAGGAAAACCTCAAACTGGTGATCAGCAGCTTCCCAATAAGATCTCAGGAGTTAGGCAAGTGAGCTCAAGCATGCGCACTAAGAGGCAAAATGGCAGAGTTTAACCAGTATATGACCATCTAGGAACACTGGGCTAGTAAGGGAAGACTGCCTCAAGTGAGCATGCGTACAGCTCCAGTAAACACACTGGGCATGCTGCACCCCCCAAGAACTAACAGGCCACTGTGCATATGGACAGGCCACCCCGAGGGAAGAATCAGGGGAGAAGTAATGCAAGACCCCGGAAGGATGCCAACATATAAAACCCTAAGTCAAAAGTTAAACAATGCCCTTGATCTCTCAAGTTGCCTGCTTGACCGTCTTCCAAGGATACTTTACTTCCTTTCATTCCTGCTTTAAAGCTTTTTAATAAACTTTCACTCCTGCTCAAAAACTTGTCTCAGTCTCTTACTCTGCCTTATGCCCCTAGGTCAAATTCTTTCTTCTGAGGAGGTGAGAATTGAGCTTGCTGCAGACCCTTAGGGATATGCCACCAGTAACCTTACTAATAGAATTCTACCTCCTTTCTAATCTTGTATCCAACTTTTATAAGTCTATAAAACAGGACTATTTAAAATGTCACAATTTAACTACATCTTCTTGTACTTTAAATCTAAATTTTAGTTACATGTTTCATCATATCTAATAAATTTCATAAAGTGAAGAGTCCTAAATTAAAGCTGTCCTGTATGTATCATCTTGTATTCATAGATTGGCCCCTGATGAAAATTCAGTTGTGCAATGCTACAATCTCAATTGATATCATCAATTGACTCAATTGGTGAAATCTTACAAATATTTGCAAATAATCTTAATATTTGTTTTGGTAACAATTTTAAATTATTACTGTTACTAACATGAGTTATAATAAAACACAGATTTAATATTAAACTGTTAAAAAACAGTAAAAAACATATGCAGCATGTGTATAGAACTGTTATTGATATATGGTAGGATATTCATCTGGTAGATGTGGTACTTTTAAGGTAACCTGATCACTGTGCATACAAATGCCATCACTTACTTCACTGATAATTTTGTAGCTATTTTCTATTTTGAATTTCGATTTAAAATTTGTTGATAATGTTCAATGACAATTTGCAATTTTTAAACAATAACTCAACAAATAGGACAACGATTTATTTCCTATCAGTTGATACACTTTTAAAAGCTTTATAACTTTTAATACAATAGAAAATAAAAGGTTTTACCTTCTGGGAAGTTGGGAAGAATTATAAAGTATTTCATTGTAACTTGCTACTCAAAAAGTGGTCCACAGACCGGCAACATTAGCATCCCCTAGAAAGGCAATAGACATGCAGGTTCCCAGGCCCCTCCCCAGACCTACTGAATCCAAACTGGCATTTTAAGAAGATAAGAGTCCCAGGTGATTCATATGTGTATTTAAGTATAATTCAAATAAATTATGAATTCTCAAAATATATGTGTATTTAAGTATAATTCAAATAAATTATGGATTATCAAAATATATCTTTTGACTTTCATAAAAATAGTATTTTCAAAAGAGTTGCATGTGTTAGAAATAGAATGTTCACCTTAATAAACCCAGACTACATTTTACATATCTATATTATCCTCAAGTGAATGGGTTCAGAATTTGTCAACATACCAAATAATGCAAATTCTTTTTATTTTACATCTTCCTTCATTCAGATTCTTACAGAAGGATTGAGTTATTGTAACTGAAAACTTGAAAACTAACCAGCAAAAAGTGCTCTGAGATTATGTTTGGTTGGAAGTGAACCCAGATGGCTCTGTGAGTCTCCAACAGTTTGTATGCTTAGGTATGGCTAACTCCTCCAAGCTGTTCTGCAATGCAGTACCTCCACTACCTGGAGAACAATAGCAGAGAGCTGTCATAGGCCCTTAAATAACTGCCAGGTAAGACCTACACTAAATATGTATGCAAGACAGGGCAGGCAGGTAGGGGAAGGTGGACCAAAATTTCAAAATGAAGGATCTAGGATAAATTTCTAAAAAAAAGATTGAAATTGTGTAACAGTAGGAGACGTGAAATAAGGAACCATCAGTGCTTTTCTCAGGGTAATTAAGAATAAGATTATTCTTTAATCTGCATCAATATATTAAGTTCTTCCTTCAGGTTTGTATTATGCACCCTGCTCTGCATTATACTTACAGTATATTTGCATATTGATAATTTATAGGGGATAAGAGAAAGTTGCTTCCCAGTAGACTAATTTTATCTCAATGACAGTATCCAAATGTTTAAAAAATGATAGTACAACCAATTCAATGTTTACCTAATATAAAAATATTTTAAATCTAAAATGCAGGTTTTATTTATGTTACAACATCTGAAAATGCCTCCCAAATCCCTATGAGTTTCTGAGATCTCTACTTTGTTAACCATGAGCTAGAATTGGCTAGTGATTTGGCAATGGCGGCTGTAGGAAAACTTACAGCAAATAAATAGACCTGATTTTTGCACGTTGGATTCTCCTCAGATCTCACCTCTAACTCACAGCTCGTTGACAATTAAGAATCCGTTTTTCAATGTAAAAAAAGTAAACAGATCAATTACTTCATAATTAGACAATTTTAATAAGTGAAAGAGACTGATACATAAATCTGTATTTCTACAAAAATCACTACAGCATTCAAAGTTTTTGTTGATATTGCACACTGTTATGGACTAAAGGTTTGTGCCTCCCCCAAATTCACATGTTGAAGCTCTAACCCCCAGTGTGATGGTAATTGCAGATGGAGTTTTGGAGATGAGGTCTTAAGAGTGGGGCCTTAATCTGATGAGATTGGTGTCATTATAAAAAGAAGAGACATAAGAGTGTTCTCTTTCTTCTTCTCTCTCTCTCCCCCTCCTTTCTCCCTTTTGCCCTTCCTCTCTCCCTCCCCACTCTCTGCAAGTACCCACCAAGAAGAGATCATGTGAGGGACACAGTGAGACAGTGAAGTAGCAGCAGCCTGAGCCAGGAGAAGAGGCCTTAGAATGAAACCAACCCTCTCAGCACCTTGATCTTGGACCTCCCCACCTCCATAATTGTGAGAAACAAATTTCTGTTTTTTATGTCACTGAGTCTACGGCATTTTGTAATAGGAGCCCAAGCAGACTAATACATACTTCAAATAATTTCTGTTCCAAATTATTTGGTAGTAGGCGTAGACAAAGGAAAAGGTCAATTTGACTATTACATCATAAGATTTCAATTATAATCATTATTTAAAGGCAAAGATGAGAAAACTGACCTAGAAATGCAACTTACTAGATGTCAGAGAAATGTGGAATGCTTCCTTTTGTGCTTTATTGAATCAAGTAAATCTAAAATATATTTTAAAAATAGTAATGGCAAACCATGCCCTGATTTTTGAAAACAGGAAATGTAAAAACAGTGTTATATAGAACTTAATAAACATATCAAAAAAGTTAAATGCATACTCAATACATATTGTTTTCACATACAATTCTAACATTGGCCCGAAATTATTGGTAAGAATAAAGAAAAAAGTGCATAGATGAAAAACCAGAGACATATAATGAAGATTATTAGATATAATGAAGCTATGTAGCCGAGAATAAAAGCCCCAAATCGCTCTTGATACTTGAATCTAAGAATCCTTAAGGTAATGTACTAGGAAAGTCTTGTTTAAAAGTGTCTGTACATAACTAACAATTCCATGTTACAAATAGAATCTTAGAACAAATCTGTGTGAGTGTTTTCTTCAAGGAATAAATAAAACAATATATTCTGAAAGTTACATTTTATACACATATATAAAATTGTCTTTCTCATATAATTTGTATTGTGCTGAGATTCCAGGAAGATGTTTTCTAATGTGTCTGTAGAATGCTATGAAAATCATCCAGAATAAAAAGGTTATATCTGATTAAAATCCACGTGAGCCAGAATTTGTATTTGTTTTCATCATTCTCGTATTCCTTGTGCTGAGAACATAGCAGACACTAAATAAATGGCACACAGCAGAGACTTAATAAACATGGAATGAGTGAATGAATTGACAGGAATCAGAATATGCTACCCTGAAACATCATACCTTGGCATATTGGATACTTTAAGCTAAAGGAATTTGAGTAACAGCAGGTTCAGGAAGCGCTCTCTGACCTCCCCCTTCATAAGACCCTCATGTGAGAGATGCCTTTTTTATAGCCAAAAGAAACATCCTTATGTCCAAAGACAGAGGGATGTCAAAAGGAATCTGAATGAACAGACCTTGTTGAGTTTCCCCTAGCTTTCTACCCTTAGCTCGTACACCTTTGTCCTATCACATTTTTCCATGATCTTCCATTCTTCATCAAACTCAGTATAAAAACACTCAGGTTTAATTATTTCTTCAGGTCTTCGTTTCTTTACAACTGACATTAAGTAAATTAGTATGTCTTTCTCTTGTTCATAGGTCTTTCATCAATCTAATTTAGAGGGTCCCAGCAAATGAATCTAAGATGGGTAAGATTTTTTTTTTTTCCCTAAAGAATGAATGTGTTGGCCAGGGCTCTCTAAAGAGACAGAACTAACAGTACAGATGCATGTATGAAGGGGAGTTTATGAAGGAGTATTGGCTCACGCGATCACAAGGTGAACTCCCACAATAGGCCATCTGCAAGCTGGCCAGGGAAGCCAGTCCGAGTCCCAAAACCTCAAAAGCAGGGTAGCTGACAGTGCAGCCTTCAGTCTGTGGCCAAAGGCCCCGAGAGCTCCTAGCAAATTACTGGTGAAAGTTTAGTCCAAAAGCTGAAGAACTTGGAGTCTGATGTTCGAGGGCAGGAAGCATCCAGCACAGGAGAAAGATGAAGGCCAGAAGACTCAGCCAGTCAAGCCCTTCCAGGTTCTTCTGCCTGCTTTATTCTAGCCACACTGGCAGCTGGTACCCACCCAGATTGAGGGTGGGTCTGCCTCTCCCAGTCCACCGACTGAAATGTTAATCTCCTTTGGCAACACCCTCACAGACACACCCAGGAACAGTACTTTGCATCCTCCAATCCAATCAAGTTGACAGTCAATGTTAACCATCACGATGAGTGAACAATGTTGTAAATTGTAAGATTATCTTCATTAAAACTACTCCTGTGGTGTTTAACAATATTAATTATAAGTACTTATAAATAACAGAAAAAGAGATTAAGTAGACATTTAATGTTATTATTTAATATATTTGATAGTTAATGAAGAATGAAATTTCCATGTAGGTTTTCACACATATCACTACTTAAACTCTTCATTTGCTTGCATACTAGTTTCTAGTTGCCTGACCCATTAGGATGAAAGCTCTATAACAGCAATGGCTTTGTTTTCTAAACACCTGTACTAATGGTGCTGAAAACAGTGCTTGTCAGACAGCAAGTGCTCAAAAATTGTTTGCTAAGTGAAATAATAAAAATGTAAAGTACAGGTTCTCAAGCCAGTTTAGATGGTGAGGCATCTAAAAATTATGCTTGATGTACTTTAAAAAATATTGTAATAGGCAGGGGATGGTGGCTCACACTTGTAATCCCAACATTTTGGGAATCTGAGGAAGGAGGATTCCTTGAAGGCAGGTCTTTGAAACCAGCCTGGGAAACAAGTGATATGGTTTGGCTGTGTCCCCACCCAAATCTCAACTTGAATTGTATCTCTCATAATTCTCACATGTTGTGGGAGGGACCCAGGAGGAGGTAATTGAACCATGGAGTCTGGTCATTCCTGTGCTATTCTTGTGATAGTGAATAAGCCTCATGAGATCTGATGGGTTTATCAGAGGTTTCCACTTTTGCTTCTTCCTCATTTTCTCTTGCCACTGCCATGTAAGAAGTGCCTTTCACCTCCCACCGTAATTCTGAGGCCTCCCCAGCCATGTGGAACTGTAAGTCTAATTAAACCTCTTTTTCTTCCCAGTCTCAGGTATGTCTTTATCAGAAGCACGAAAACAGACTAATACACAAAGCAAGACCCCATTTCTACCAGAAATAAAAAAAAAGTTTAACCAGGCATGGCTGTGCACAACTGTAGTCCCAGATACTCAGGAGGCAGAAGCAGGAGGATCACTTGAGCCCAAGAGTTTGAGGCTGCAGTAAGCTATGATCATGCCACTGTACTCCAGCCTGCATGACAGAGTACAGAGTGAAACCCCATCTTTTAAAGGAATAAATAAAAAAATAGAGAGAGAGAGTAAGATATTCAAATATTAAGCTTAAAAGCATTAAGCTTGTAATTGGATAAAAATCATGCAATACTATCTGTAGTTGTAAATTATAGAATAGATAATGTATGTTAATTTTTTCATTCCCACTTTTAACTCTCCCACTCAAAATTTCAAATATGATAGAGTGTGGAGTATCTACCAAGTGTCTTGAACATAATATTTGTACTTCAAATGTTAATAAATTTAGATTATAATTGCAAGTCATTTAAACTCAGAGCACCAGAATTGCATATGTAAAATGGATTTGCTATGCTAATACATGTCCCTTTTCTGTCTTGTGCAATGTTAAGGTCAATAAAAATAGATTTTTAAAAATACCAGCAGGTTATAAGGGTGACACAACTCCTTTCATTAAAATAATGATATTATTATTATCTGAATGCTAACATCAACTTCTAGAATCTAAAGGCGAATTCTGTAGAATCTCTGTACTTTTGTCTTAATCTGTTTGGTTGCTATAACAGAGTACCATAAATGGGATGACTTATAAACCACAGAAATTTATTTCTTATAGTTCTGAAAGCTGGAAATGTAACCGCCCAATGGGTTCACGTTGGCTGCTGCCTAGACAGAGCGGATTTATCAAGACAGGGGAATTGCAATAGAGAAAGCATAATTCACACAGAGCCGGCTGTGTGGAAGACCCAAGTTTTATTACTACTCAAATCAGTCTCCCTGAGCATTCGGGGATCAGAGTTTTTCAGGACAATTTTGTGGGTGGGGGAATGACAGTGTGTCAAGAGGGCTGATTGGTTGGGTCAGAGATGAAATAATAGGGAATTAAAGCTGTCTTTTTGTGCTTAGTTCCTGGGTGGGGGCCACAGATCAGATGAGCCAGTTTATCTACCTGGGTGGTGCCAGCTGATCCATCAAGTGCAGGGTCAGCAAAATATTTCAAGCACTGATCTTAGGAGCAGTTTAGGGAGGGTGAGAATCTTGTAACCTCCAGCTGCACGACTCTTAAACCATAATTTCTAATCTTGTGCCTAATTTGTTAGTCCTACAAGGGCAGTCTAGTCTCCAGCAAGAAGGAGGTTTGCTTTGGGAAAGGGCTGTTATCATCTTTGTTTTAAACTATAAACTAAGTTCCTCCAAAGTTAGTTCAGCCTATGCCCCGAAATGAACAAGGACAGCTTGGAGGTTAGAAGCAAGATGGAGTTGGTTAAGTCAGATCTCTTTCACTGTCTCAGTTATAATTTTGAAATAGCGGTTTCAGAAAGAACAAGATCAAGGCACTGGCACTGGCAAATTTGGGGTCTGGTGAGGACATGCTTCTTAGTTCACAGACAGTTGTTTTCTCACTGTGTCCTCACATGGTGGAAGGGACAAGGGAGCTTTCAGGGATCTCTTTTATAAGGCAAATAATCCCACTCATGAAGACTCCAGTCTCGTGATGAAATCACCTCCCAAATGCTCTACCTCCTAGTACCAAGACATTGGGTGGTAGGATTTCAACATAAGAATTTAGTGGGGACACAAATATTCAGTCTATAGCAACTATCATTCCAAACACCGTAACATCATAGCATATTTCAGCAATAACCTAAATTGAGAAGAATCACAAAGAAAAGATAATGTAATATTAGATAGGTAGCTATTCCCAAAAAAGTTTAATATTCAATAAGGATGACTATGCAGGTATTCAAGTTACCTGAGGATTCTATTTCTACATATTGGCCTAGGAAATAGGGAAATTAGTTGACCAAATAATTACTGGGCAAATAAATACATTAGGGGAAGAAAAGTCCACATCAACAATACTTTGAGAAACAAGGTAGGGGCATCAATTTAACATTGCTTAAGGTTTACCACAAATTTTGTAGTGAAAGGAACATATACTCAACTGCCTCAAACACACTACTTCTAGAATGCCTGGCCTCTTTCGACAACAACATCTTCATCTCTAAAAGTACTCCTGAAGCTAGCTAAGGGCATCAGACTGTGAGCTCCTTGGAGGCAAGGATAGCATCATAGTTATCGTTGTAACTGAGACACAATGCTTAGTAAATGTCTGTAGAGCAAATATGACTGTGCTGAATGCGCCAACCATATATAATTATTTGAAATACACTGCACCACTGTTTGTCATAAACCATTGAAATATCCAGTAATTGTTCTGTGCATCCAAAACCTATCTCGAGGCTGCCTGTCACATCCCGGAGAGGCAGAAAATCCATTGTCAGTTCACATTAGAAAAACTGCTAGGAATGTTCAATTCAATTCACTAAAGATTTGTTAGTCTCCTGCTATGTGTCTTTTTATTATGCTAGATGCTATAAGAAAAAAAAGACATAAATGTCATGATCCTTGCACTTAGAAGGGACTTGTCTATTTCTATCCCTGTATATAAGTGTCACTACAACTATTTTCCAAAGAAACATATCCCTCAATCTTTCACAGTAAGTCACCGTAGCATTTTTATTAGGAAACTCAAGTAATAAAAAGGGCAGTTCTCATAAATGTTAAATCTGAACAAACAAGGTGCTATAAAGGAACTAGGGGAGTCATAAAACTAGGTGAGCAAAGGAAGAAAGCTGCAAGTTAAGTAGTGCTGTACCTAAAATAATAGCTGAGACTGAAACTATCTCATAGGGAAATACAATAAAAAGACAAACACTGCCTGAGAAAAATATCATCTGTATCTTATGGGTAGTGGGCACCATTTTTTCTTTCCTTTTAATCTTTTAATGTTAATTTAGAAGACACCAAATAAAAAAGATAAAGATAGACATTTTGAAGACATGAGGTGCTACTTGTGACTGGTCAACCAGAAGGGTACACGGTAAACAGGATAAAAGGAAATATATTGGTGAAGCCAAGACATCTGCTCCCAATCCTAATTTCATTGAACAGTTTGATTAAAGGGAAAGAAAATTCATTTAAATTAATGGCTAGTATTTGCATTTTAATGGAACTTTTTGGAAGATGTAGTCACCAAATATTTCAGCTATTTCCTCAGGGAAGGCAATAGGAGTTCAATTCATTTCAGAATTCTAAAGCAAGTAAAAATATGATCCCATTCTCATAAGACCAAGTGAAGCAAATCTTTTGAATGTCTTTGAACAAATCAATTCAATGGCAAATAATAAATATTTTAAAAAGAGAATATTCTTGACTCCTCAATTATTTTACCACAATCCAGAGAGAGAAATTGGACCCAGATTTACAAACAAATCAGGAAGTTTGAATATCTTTAATTGAAACTAGACCACATCCAAGTAATAACTGATTGGCAAGTTTTGATCTCCATCTTCAAAACTCTATCCAGGGAAGTTGGATAGGCTGACGGATTCAGCTGACTTATAATAAGCTATTGGTGCTCTGTAGTTGTCAATGTGTCAGTTTACTTTTTTATTTTTAGGAATGCCCATGACAAAAAAGCGTTTTAGTTGTTTGTACAGCTTCACATTTACTGAATTGAAGAAATGGGAGAGGTTTTAAGAAGCATGTTATCCTGAGTGTTAAGATATTTCTCTTGCATATGAATGGCTACTTAACATTAATATTTCCTAACTAGTAATTTTTATAAGATGAAATAATAATACTACTAAATTCTTATAGGAAGTCAAGTATTTTGAAAACATGTTATGTGTTCTTATGACTTTTTTTCTGAGAAGCAAAAATAAGAAATATATTTATCCCTTTTCCACCAATTGCGCAAACTGCTCACAGATGCCAAATAATCCTTCATGTTTTTCTCAGTGAGTCAGGTCCTGGACTCATGGAGACTGCAATAAACAGATAACAGATTTACATATAAGATAGCTTATTACATCAAAGTGAACATGCTTTCAGTATTAATAAATTTAAAAAAATCTGCGTTTCCATTGGTAGTTTCTACCTCGTCAATATATTTTTCCCCTTAAAATTTTAATACCAATTCAAATATTTCAGAAAGAGGAAAAAAATCTACTTGGATTGATACAGAACCCTAAAGTCATAGATTTATTATATATAAAGGCATAAATCCTAGAAAGCAAATTAAAATTTGTCTTCCTTTTTGCAGATGAGAGAATTGAAAAGCAGATTCTTTAGCTAGAGGAATTATCCAATACAAGAGGGAGCACAGTGAGGCCCTCAAGCTGAATGGTTCATTAGGCAGTGCAGATGCAGCTCTTAGTCACCCATACTTCTTGAGTTTCCATAATGCCATAGTTTACTAAAGATTTGAAACAAATAAAATTCACTTTAAATTGATCCTCAATTTTCTGGTCTAAAGCCAAACTGTGAAGTAAGGGTAGATAAAGACTCCTCTAATGAGCATAGAAAAGAATCACAGTGGGGCGCGGTGGCTCACACTTGTCCTTGTAGTCCCAGCACTTTGGGAGGCCAAGGTGAGTGGATCACTTGAGCCCAGGAGTTTGAGACCAGCCTGGGCAACATGGCAAAACCCCATCTGTACAAAAATACAAAAATTAGCCAAGCATGGTGTCATGCCCCTGTAGTCTCAGCTACTCAGGAGGCTAAGATGGTAGGATCATTTGAGCCCAGGAGGTCAAGGCTGCAGTGAGTTGTGATTGTGCCACTGCACTCCAGCCTGGGAGACACAGGGGGACTCTGTCTCAAAGAACAAGAAGAAGGAGGAGAAGGAGAAGGAGGAGAAAGAGAAGGAGAAGGAGAAGAAGAAGGAGGAGAAGAAGGAGGAGGAGGAGGAGGAGGAGAAGAAGAAGAAGAAGAAGAAGAAGAAGAAGAAGAAGAAGAAGAAGAAGAAGAAGAAGAAGAAGAAGAAGAAGAAGAAAGGAGAAGAAGAAGAAAGGAGAAGGAGAAGGTGAGTCACAAAAGGAAAATGGGAGCAACAAGTTTTTCTTGTGACTGCTTTCCTTCTTTCTTTTTGAAGACAGTTGTGATTTATTGCTTGTTTTCTAATAAGTGGTGGAACTCCGTGCGTTAGCAAAGGTATTACATAGATGCCCAAGCTGGGCACCTGTCTCTCTAGATGAAGCCAACAATTATTACTGGAAAATTCACAGAGTTGGGGAGGTGGCAAATACAGAGGTGGGGAGGATTATTAGAATGATAGAGAGCATAAAACATTGTTACTGAACAGTCTGCAAAGTTCCATTAGAAAGATGGTGGACAAAATGTCCTATGGCCAGGATGTAAGAAAACAATGTTTGAAATAACAAAAGTCTAAAAGTGCCACTTTCTGCTTACAAACCAGAGTCAAGATATGGATGAAGCTATTATAGACTTAAAAAAATACTGCTGCAATTCAAGTGAAACCTCTAACTTCTGGGAGTCCCAAACAGGAAGAACAGTCATGCTAATCTGATGAGATTACAGAGGATCTGTCACCCAATCTAACGGCTGCATTTATGCACACTCTCCTGCAGTGTGTTTGCAAAAGAAACACTGTTGGCTCTGTCATAACTCAGGAGGAACAAACTGTGCCTACCCTTAACTTGAGGCAGTTAATGTCTTGGTTAGAAAAATAACAAGATGAGTGGCTTTCCATTGATTATTTTTATAGCACTCGACACCATATCACATATGCTTGTTAGCCTAATGACCACCACTAATACTTTGAGGACATGTGGGTGGCTAACAATATATCAGGCTATATACACTCGGCTATGAAGCCACAGGTAAAATGCAGGCAGAGAAAGAAAATAAGTTAACAAACATGCAAAATAAATCTGGCAAAGGAAGGACAAAATGTTTCTACTATGATCTGGGTTGGAAAGGGTTAGAAAAGGTCAGGGGAACACTAGAAACCTACAATTGCTGGTCATTTGGGGAGCCAGAGACATCCACTGGAAGACTGCACTTCATATTTAGACAGAAATACGTCTTATTAAAATAACATTATGAAATGGTCGCAGTTTTTATCCGATTTCCCCAATGCTGACTTCAGAATGTTTAGATAAACATCATGGAAACTCCATCCATCATGCAGCATGTAAAAGACAGAGAAGCTTCCAAATTCCATGAAGACAACCAAAGGATTAGCTGAAAATTCTTGAACTCAAATTTTAGAGTGAAAGTTATATATTCAGTTTTCTGTATACCTTAAGTTCAATGACAAACTTCAGAAATTGTAGAGTGAGGATCTGATATAATTCTAATAATTTTAATTTCAATGCTCTCCTCACCATGCAATTCTTAAAAACCCATAAATATCAAACTATTCTAGGACACAAAACATACTATGTTCATTTATTACTCAATAATAGTGTTTCACAGAGCATTTTCTGTGGAACATTTGTTTCAAAATACTCAAGACAATAGAATTTCATTTTAAAACAACTTGAATGCTTGAATCTACCTAAAGATTCACAATGATCATGAGGCATATTAAAAGTTGTGAGCAGTCCTGCAACTTAAAAAACAAAAAGTTTTCACCAGACCAAAAAAAAACACAAGAACAGACAGCTACAGACCATTATTTCTTATGAATATAGATGCAAAAATTCTCAACAAAATTTAGCAACACAAATGAAATCAGTAAGGCAAAGAGATATGTGTACTCCCATGCTCATCACAGCACTATTCATAATAGACAAGGAATGGAATTAACCTAAGTGTCCATCAACAAATGAATGGATAAAGAAAATACAATTCTAGCTATTTATACAAAGGAATTCTATTCAGCCTTAAAAAGAAGAAAATTCTGCCATTTGCAATGATGTGGATGAACCTGGAGGACATTCTGCCAAGTGAAATAAAACCAACACTGAAAAATACTACGTGATCTCACTTATATGTGGAATCTTAAAAAGTTGAACTCATAGAAACAGAGAGTAGAATGATGGTTGCCAGGGCTTGTGGGAGGAGTTTGGTCAAAAGGTACTAAGTTTCAGTTAGAATGAATAATTTCTGGAGATATATTATACAGCATGGTAACTATAGTTAACAATTTATCGTATACTTGAAAAGTGCTAAGAAAGTGGATCTTAAATGTTTTCTACACACACACACACACACACATATAAATTTGTGAGATGATGGATATGTTACTTAGCTTCATTTAATTATTTTACAATAATAGATGCATCTATCAAAACACCATGTGGTAAACATAATTTGTCAATTATACCTTAATAAAACTTGGGGGAAAGAATACAGCAACATATAAAAAGCATTATACATCATGATGAAGTGGAATTTATTTCAGAAACGCAAGGTAAATTTCACATCTGAAAATCAATTAATGTAATCACACAATCCATTTACGCGAAATGTTCAAAACCGGCAAATCTGTAGAGACAGAATATAAACTGGTAGTTGCCTAAGGCTGAGGCAGGATGCAGAGAACGGCAGGAATGAGGGGTGGTGACTGCTACATAGTCTGGAGTTTCTTTTGGAGGCAACAAAAACATTCCAGAATTGGTTGTAGTGATGGTTACACAACCTTGAATGTACTAAAAACCACTGAATTGTATATTTTAAGCAGGTGAATTGTCTCATATGCAAATTTTATCTCAGTAAAGATATTACCAAAAATTATTTTCACAGACTTCTTACTTATAATATTATCATTGCTAGAGTAATAATATTGGCAAGAGTTATTTTTGCCTTTGCAAAATGTTACTCCTTTTGCCTGGAATGGCAAGCATATTCCCTACCTTTTTTCTGTTTTAAAAACTTCTTCTCCTTTATTAATAATCAGCCAAAGTGTCACCACCACTATAAGGTCTTCCATGATTCACTCTGGAAAAGGCAAATATCTTTGAAACGTGTTTAACCATGACCCACACATGAACCCAGGGTGGGTGGGTGGGTGGATGGATGGATGAATGGATGAGTAAATAGATGATAGATAGATAGATAAAAAATTTACAAAGCAATATTTACTCTTACCACATGCAGTTCATGCTAATATTTTGTATTGCATATTATTCTAGTCTAGTCAATTTCATTTTTTAAAATGTTTTTGTGGCCCATTAAATTAATTTAATGACCCTCTCCATGAGGGGCAATCTGCAATTTGAAAAATATTATCAAAACTAAATTGAGCCTATATTGTGCATTTTAACATAAACATCAATTTGCGACAGTGAATATTCTTACCTTGGATTCGTGTTATAGGATGTTATAGTCATTGTCCATATTCTGCATTAATCTCCTTTTTGAATATTAAGAGTTCTGCTATTCTTTCCTGAGTGTCGTAATCCTGACCTACACAGGTAAGTAATTTTTTTATGCCAAGGAATTATTTCTCTTTTTTTTTGAGACGGAGTCTTGCTCTGTCGCCCGGGCTGGAGTGCAGTGGCGCGATCTCGGCTCACTGCAAGCTCCGCCTCCCGGGTTCACGCCATTCTCCTGCCTCAGCCTCCCGAGTAGCTGGGACTACAGGCGCCCGCCACCACGCCTGGCTAATTTTTGTATTTTTAGTAGAGACAGGATTTCACCGTGTTAGCCAGGATGGTCTCGATCTCCTGACCTCGTGATCCGCCCGCCTCGGCCTCCCAAAGTGCTGGGATTACGGGCGTGAGCGCCCGGCCAAGGAATTATTTCTATTTAAAGAAAAGACTTGATCACTTACTTTAAAATGATGCTTAATTCCTAATTTCCTGCTGTATTAGCTAGAAAATTGTTTTTTCCTCCAATATACTCTACAAAGTGGTGGCTGACTGTTTTACTTCCTCTTCTGGTAGTGGCTTCTGAGCTGTAACTCTGTTTTATATTCTGAGTTTTATATGCTCTCCACAAGCTCCTTGGTGTTCTGCTCTGTGTTCTCCTTTTAACAAGGGCAGATTGGAAACATAGTGAAAGCAATTTCACCATGAGCAGAGATATGGGTACAAACGACACTTACCGCACCATGCAAATAATTGCATCCCATGAATGTGTACCACAAGTAATTTTATAATTGAAGTAAGCCATGCCCAGTGACGAGCAGGTTATCTAAACAACATGATTTCAGATTTTCATTTTTCCTTTTGTCATATTTACTTATGATTATTTTTGTTATTATTTCTGTGTCCATTGTAAAACATTACATCCAGTCTTTAGATAAATAATCTGTATGGAGTGAGAGTGATAGGAAGTGGGTATCGAGTCTGGTAATCACTTCTTTGATATAGGGCTAGAACGATATTGGATATAGGTACCTGCAAGTTTATTCTACATATGGCATTCGAATTTATTTTTTCTACAAATCCCCATTTAGGAAACTGCGTGTGTGTCTGTGTGTGTGTGTGTGTGTGTGTGTGTGTGAGAGAGAGAGAGAGGGAGAGAGAGTTTCAAAAGGACCAGGGTATATTTATGCATGATAAGTCACATAGCCTGGGTATCAGTAATTCTCTCCTTCAGAAATAATTCCAAAGAAGATGTCCATCAGGAAACACCACAAAAACAGTAATAGGTGTAGGTTTTAGAAGAAGTGGCCTTTATTTAAATCCCAGATTGGGTCCTAGTAGTCATCTTCTCTCTGCAAATACTGACTCCATTCTTACATGTACATATCTTGTGTACCATCTATCTAGATACGGCCTGTGCCATATTTTCTTTAAACTAGAATTTTATGTCTCAGAGCCTCATATAGTTGTTTTTAAGCATTCTCTTGCCTCATTCAGTTACTCACATACCTTGGCAAATGTCTGTAAACATCCCATCTTCATTCCAGATCCTTGGAATAGGCCTGACAGACCACAAACTTAAAGAGCACATTATTGACTTTTGTATGTACTGCAGATTCTTTATAAGGTCACCAACCTCAAGGGATATGAAATCCAGTGGCAGAGACAAAATAATGATGATTAACCAATAAAGAACAAGAATGAGAATGTGTGGGGCATATCATAAGTGCTACAGGAATTTTGAAGAAGGAAAGATTTCCGAGAATTCTAATAGTCAACGAAGGATTCTCTTGAAGACTTACACTGTACGTAAATAGGCAGAAAAGGGAATATGTTCCAGGCAAAGAAATACATTTAGGAGGCTGTGGCCTATAGTGTAATGGGTCTGTTGGTTTTAACTTCAAGTCTAAAATATATCCTTTCCACTTATGTTGTTTTTGAAAAGCTAATGAGTATTTCTTAGCCAATAGTATTCTTACCTCTAGAATTAAGATGAAATACCTGCAGTGCTTGGCAACAGTAAGCAATCAATACAAATTTATTGTCACCTTTTTCCAAAAAAACATAATAGAAGTACAGTCAAAAATTAGAAACATGTTATTTTATGAATTTGGGGTAAGAAATATGTTTGTTTAGAGTTCATTGCAATCATGAATCCCATACATGTAACAGGTAGCACAGTAACAAAACTGAGAGCTTTTTAAAATTCTAAACGCCTTGGACATTTATATTCAAATGAAATGACATATGGCAGGATAGCATCTCTTGCCCCTTTGCTCCTTGTTACTCATGGCATCCTCATTACTTATGGGGAGGAGACTTGTTGGCATAATAAAGTTATCAAACTCTTGCTGTGAAAAGCAATTGATCTTAGAAAGTAGATACTCCATTCAGAAAAATGTGACAATTCATAGTATACAGAAGTTAACAGGAAGGTCAGACAAACTGCAGGGAAGAAAGACAAAAAATAAAGAAGGGAGAAAATTCACAGTGAAAAGATCTCAGACTGACGAGAAGGTCATCTGAAAGACGAATAAAGAATGCCTGCGCCCTCCTGAGACTCGGAATATATTCCTAGCTGCCTAGTGTAATATTGGGACTCCAGTGGTGGACAATAGATTTTGTGACCTTTCCAACTGCCACTGAGATTGAAGGCAGGGTTTCCTGAAAACCCAACTGAAGATTAAATGGAAGTCGTATGGATTACCCAATTTGGGATTCCAATGCTACTTCCCTCTTCACCCTCCCATCTCCCAGTCACAGCATCAATGATTTCTGCCTTTTAAGGATGAAACAAATAAACAAACAAAAACTACACTGTCAAAAGATCAATGCTTAAACAAAACCAGTGTAGAAAATGAACATTAAGTTTCAGCTGGGCAATATGGCTTTCACAGGACTTAGAGTGCGGCTCCTTTAGCCTGGTCTATCTTTCTTTGTTGCCTGAACATAGCAATTTTGTCATGCTTTTGTGAAGGAACTTTGCATCTGAGAGTTTCTGTTGATTTCCCACATTTTGCAGGGATAAATGCCCTGTAGTACAATTCTTGAGTCATATGAGAGTTGCATGTCTAGTTGTTGTTGTTTTTAACCTGCCAAACTGTTATCGAGATTGGCTATAACATTTTACAGTCCAACCAGCAATGTATGAGTGGGATCCACTTTCTCTGCATCCTTGTCAGCATTTGGTTCTAGCTGTGTTTTATTTTAGCCATTCAGTTACGTATATCGTGATATCTCCTTGTGATTTTAATTTGCACATCCCTAATAACTAATGATATTGAACATATTTTCCTGTGCTTATTTGTTATTTGTACGTACTCTTTATGTGTTTTGCACATTTTTATTTGGATTATTTGATTTTTTACTGTTGAGTTTTGAGAGCTCTTTATAAATTATAGTGTTTTGTTGCATATGTGGTTTACAAATAGTATTGCTCTTTCTATAGCTCTTATTTTCCCTTTCCTAGGGCCAAATTTTTAATAAGGCCAAGTTATCAATTTTCCCTTTTATGGATTATAATTTTTATGGCATGTCTTAGGAAATCTTTGCTCAGGCCTATATCCTGATTTTTTTTCTTTTTTAAAATATCTTTCAATTTTTAAAATTTTTAAATTTTAATTCTTGTGTTTACATAGTAGATATATATATTTATGGGGCACATTTTTTTTTGTACAGGCATGCAATGAGCAATAATCACATCATGTAAACTAGGGTCTCCATCCCCTAAAGAATTTATATTTTGTGTCACAAATAATCCAATTACAGTCTTTTAGTTATTTTTAAATGTACAATTAAATTATTGTTGACTGTAGTCACCCTGTTGTGCTATCAAATACTAGGTCTTATTCATTCTTTCTCACTATTTTTTGTACCCATTAACCAACTTCACCTCCCCTCAACCTCAGCCCCTCATTACCCTTCCCAACCTCTGGTAATGATTTTTCTACTCTCTATATCCATGAGTTCAATTGTTTTGAATTTTAGATCCCACAAATAAGTGAGAGCATATGATGTTTATCTTTCTGTGCCTGGCTTATTTCACTTAATGTAATGACCTCCAGTTCCATCTATGTTGTTGCAAGAGACAGGATCTCATTCTTTTTTATAGATGAATAGTACTCCATTGTGTATATGTGCCATATTTTCTTTATCCATTCATCTATTGATGCACACTTAGGTTGCTTCCAAATTTTGGCTATTCCAAACAGTGCTACAACAAACATGGGAGTGCAGATATCTCTTTGATATGCTGATTTCCTTTATTTTGGGTATATACCCATCAGTAGAATTGCTGGATCCTATAGCAGCTCTATTTTTAGTTTTTTAAAGAACTTCCAAACTGTTCCCCATAGCAGTTGTACTAATTTACATTCCAACAAACAGTGTGTGAAGGTTGCCTTTTCTCCACATCCTCACAAACATTTGTTATTGCTTTCTTTTGGATATAAGCTGTTTTAACTGGAGTGAGATAATATCTCATTACAGTTTTGATTTGCATTTCTCTGATGATCAGCGATGTTGAGCACCTTTTCATATGCCTGTTTGCCATTTGTATGTCTTCTTTTGAGAAATGTCTATTCAAATCCTTTGCCCACTTTTATTGGATTATTAGATTCTTTTTCCTATAGAGTTGTTTGAGCTCTTTATATATTTTAATTATGAATCTTTTGCCAGGTGAATAGTTTCCAAATATTTTCTCCCATTCTGTGGGTTGTCTCTTCACTTTGTTGATTGTTTGATTAGCTGTACAGAAGCTTTTTAACTTGATATAATCCTATTTGTCTATTTTTGCTTTGGTTGTCTGTGCTTATGCAGTATTACTCAAGAAATTTTTGCCCAGACCAATGTCCTGGAGAGATTCCCTGGCGTTTTCTTGTAGTGGTTTCAGAGTTTAAGGTCCTAGATTTAAGTATTTGATTTTATTTTTGTGTACAGTGAGTGTTAGGGGTCTAGTTTCATTCTTCTGCATATGGATTTTCCATTTTCCCAGCACCATTTCTTGAAGAGATTGTCTTTTCCCCAGTGTATGTTCTTGACACCTTCATTGAAAATAAGTTCACTGTAGGTGTGTGAATTCATTTCTGTGTTCTCTGTCTTGTTTCATTGGTCTATGTGACTGTTTTTATGCCAGTACCGTGTTGTTTTGGTCACGATAGTGGTGTAGAATAATTTGAAGTCAGATAATGTAATTCCTCCCGTTTTGTTCATTTTGCTTAGGATAACTTTGGCTATTCTAGGTCTTCTGTGGTTCCTTATAAATTTTAGGATTTTTTTCTCTATTTTTTTTGAAAAATGTCATTGGCATTTTGGTAGAGATTGTATTGAATTTGTAGATTGCTTTGGGTAGTATGGACATTTTAACAATATTGATCTTTCCAATCCATGAGCATGGAATATCGTTCCATATTTTCGCATCCTCAAAAACTTCTTTCACCAGCATTTTATAGTTTTCATTACAGAGAACTTTCACGTCTTTGGTTAAGTTAATTCCTAGGTATTTAATTTTATTTGTGGCTATTTCAATGAGACTACTTTTTTAATTTCTTTTTCAGATTGTTCACTTTTGGCATACAGAAATACTATCAATTTTTTATGTTGATTTTGCATCTTGCAATTTTACTGAATTTGCTTATCAATTCTACTAGTTTTTTTGTGTGTGGAGTCTTTAGCATTTTCCAAACATAAGATTGCATTATCTGCAAACCAACATCATTTGACTTTTTCCTTTCCAATTTGAACCCCCCTTATTTCTTTCTTTTGTCTGATTGGTCTAGCTAGGACTTCCAGTCTTATATTGAATAACAATGGTGAAAGTGGGCATTTTTGTCCTGTTCCAGATCATACAGAAAAAGCTTTCAGTTTTTCCCCATTAAGTATCATACTTGCTGTGGGTCTGTGGTAAATGGTTTTTCTTATGTTGAGGTATGTTTCTTCTATACCCAGTATAAGGGGTTTTATTACAAAGAGAAGCTGAATTTTATGAAATGCTTTTTTTTGCATCAATTGAAATAATCATATAGTTATTATCCTTCATTTTGTTGTCATGATATATCACATTGATTGATTTGTGTATGTTGAACCATCCTTGCATCCCAGGGATAAATCCCACTTGGTCATAATAAATGCTTTTTCTAATGTATTGTTCAAATTTGTTAGCCAGCATTTTGTTGAGAATTTTTGCATCAATATTCATCAGAGATATTGGCCTGCCTGTAGTTTTCTGTTTTTGATGTGTCTTTCTCTGGCTTTGGTATCAGGGTAATACTGGCCTCATAGAATGAGTTTGGAAGCATTCCCTTCTCCTCTATTTTTCAGAATAGTTTGAGCAGGATTGGTATTAGTTCTTCTTTAGATGGTTTGTAATATTCAGCAGTGAAGCCATCAGGTCCTGGGCTTTTCTTTACTGGAAGACTCATTACTTGCTATTGGTGTGTTCGGGTTTTGGATTTCTTCCTTACTCAATCTTGATAGGTTGTATGTACATAGGAATTTGTCAATTTCTTCTAGATTTTTCCAATTTATTGGCATACAGTTGCTCATAGTAGCCACTGACAATCCTTTGAATTTCTTCAGTATCAGTTGTATGTCTTCTTTTTCATTTCTGATTTTATTTATTTGAAACTTCTCTCTTTTTTTCTTAGTCTGGCTAAAGGTTTGTCAATTTTGCTTATCTTTTCAAACAACCAACTTCTTATTTTCATTAATCTTTTGTTTTTTTTTCAATTTCATTTATTTCTGCTCTGATAATTATTATTTCTTTTCTTACTAATTTGGCGTTTGGCTTGCTCTTGCTTTTCTAGTTCTTTTAGCTGAATTATTAGATTGTTTATTTGAGGTTTTTCCTCTTTTTGATGTAGGCACTGATAGCTATAAACTTCCTTCTTAGTACTGCTTTTGCTGTATCCCATAAGTTTTGGTATGTTGTGTTTGCATTATCATTTGTTTGAAAAAAATTGTCAATTTCTTTCTTAATTTTTTCATTCATCCACTGGTCATTCTGGAGCATATTGCTTAATTTTCATATATTTGTATAGTTACAAAAATTCCTCTTGCCATTAATTGCTAGCTTTATCTATTATGGTCAGAGAAAATGCTTGATATTATTTCAAATTTTTTGCATATTCTAAGACTTGTTTCATGACCTAACATATGGTCTAAATGACCCATGTGCACAGGAAAAGAATGTGTATTCTGTAGCTGTTGGATGAAAAGTTCTGTAACTATTTATTAGCTCTATTTGGTTTACAGTACAGATTAGGTCTGACGTTTCTTTGCTGATTTTCTATCTGGAAGACCTGTCCCATATGAAAGTGGGGTGTCAAAGTCTCCAGCTATTATTATACTGGGGCCTATCTCTCTATATAGCTCTAATAATATTTCCTTTATGTATCTGGGTGTTTCAGTGTTGGGTGCATATATATTTAAAATTGTTATATTCTGTTGCTGAATTGACCCTTTTGTGATTATGCAGTATCCTTCTGCGTCTCTCCTTAGAGTTTTTGTCTTAAAATGTATTTTGTCTGATGTAAGTATAGTGACCTGTGCTCTTTTTTGGTTTCTGTTGACATGAAATATCGTTTTCTCTCCCTTTATGTTCAGTCTACATGTATCTTTATAGGTTAAGTATGTTTCTTGCAGGCAGCAGATCAATATATCTTGTCTTTTCATTTATTCAGCTACCCTATGTCTTTTGATTGGCAAGGTTAGTTCATTTACATTCAATGTTATTATTGATAAGTAAGGACTTACATCTGCCATTTTGTTATTTGATTTCTGGTTGTTTTGTGGCCTTCTTTTATTTCTGTCTTCCTCTAGTGAAGATAATTTTCTCTTGTGATATGATTTAGTTTCTTGCTTTTTGTTATGTATCCATTGTATGTTTATTAGTTTGAGGTTGCCATGAGGCTTGCAAATACTATCTTATAACCCTTTGTTTTAACCTGATAACAACTTAACACTATTTTCATAAACAAGCACAAAGAAATCTAATAAAAATTCACCATAACTTCTTCCCTCTCTTTTTAACTTTTTGTTGTTTCTTTTTATATGTTATTGTGCTGACTGTGCCTTGAAAAGTTTCCATAATTATTATTTTTGATTGGTTTATAGTTTGGCCTTTCTACTTAGGATAAGAGTAGTTTCCACACCACAGTTACAGTGTTATAGTATTCTGTGTTTTTATGTATACTTACTATTACCAGTAAGTTTTGTACATTCAGGTGATTATTTATTTCTCATTAATATCCTTTTTCTTTCTGGTTGAAATACTTCCTTTAGTATTTCTTGTAGGATGGCTCTGATATTTGTTAAATCCCTCAGTTTTTGTTTGTCTGAGGTCTTTATTTCTCCTTCATGTTTGAAGGATATTTTCACCAAATTTACTACTCTAGAGTAAAAAGATTTTTTCCTTCAGCACTTAAATATGTTGTGCCACTCTCTCCTGGACTTAAAGGTTTCCACTGAAAAGTGTGCTGCCAGACATATTGGAGTTCCATTGTATGTTATTTGTTTCTTTTCTTTTGCTACTTTTAGGATCCTTTCTTTATCCTTGACATTTGCGAGTCTGATTACTAAATGCCTTGAGGTAGTCTTGTTTGGGTTAAATATATTTGGTGTTCTAAGACCTTGTACTTGGTTATGATATCTTTCTCTAGGTTTGGGAATTTCTGTTAGTATTCCTTTGAATAAACTTTCTACTCCTTTCTGTTTCTATCCCTCCTCTTTAAGGGCAATAACTCTTAGATTTGCCCTTCCGAGACTATTTTCTAGATCCTGTAGGTGTGCATCATTGTTTTTTGGTTCTTTTTTCTTTTGTCTCCTCTCACTGTGTATTTTCAAATAGCCTGTCTTTTAGCTCACTAATTCTTTCTTCTGCATGACCTGTTCCACTGTTAAAGAACTCTGATGTATTCTCTAGTATGCTTATTATATTTTTCAGCTCAAGACTTTCTGCTTGATTCTTTTAAATTATTTCAATCTCTTTGTTAAGTTTATTTGATAGAATTCTGAATTTCTTCTCTGTGTTATCTTGATTTTTTTTTTTTTTTTAGTTTCTCAGCACAGCTATTTTAAAATCTCTGTCTGAAAGGTCGCATATCTCTGTTTCTCTAGGAGTAATTCCTGGTGGCTTATTTAGTTCATTTGGTGATGTAATGTATTCCTGGATGGTGCTTATTTTAGTAGATGGTCGTTGGTGTCTGGGCATTGAAAAATTAAGTATTTATTGTAGTGTTCACTGTGTGGGCTTATTTTTAGCCATCCTTCTTGGAAAGGCTTTCCAGTTATTTGAAAGGAATTGAGTGTTGTGATCTAAGCTGTTTCCACTTTAGGGGACACCCAAATCCCAGTAATGCTGTGGTTCTTGTAGACTCGTAGAGTTGCCATCTTAATGATCTTAGATAGGATCCTAGAGAATTCTCTGGATTACCAAGCAGAGACTCTTGTTCTCTTCTCTTACTTTCTCCCAAACATACAGAATCTCTGTCTCTGTTGTGAGCCACCTAAAACTGGAGGTGGAGTGACACAAACACCCCTGTGGCCATCACCACTATGACTGCACTGGGTCAAACCTGAAGCCAGCGCAACACTGGGTGTTGCCCAAGGCCTGCTATAACCACTCCCTGGCTACTGCCCATGTTCACTCCAGGCCCTGGGCCTCTACAGTCAGGAGTTGTCAAAGCCAGTGAGGCCTGTGTCCTTCCTTTTAGGGCAGCGAGGTTCCCCAAGCCCCAGGTGGGTCCAGAAGTGCTACCGGGGAGTCAGGACTAAAGTCAAAAACTTTAAAAGTCTACCTGGTATTCTATTACATTGCAGCTGAGCTAGCACTCAAGCCCCAAGATGCAGTCCTTCCCACTCTTCTGTCCCTTTTTCAAAGGTAGAGGAGCCTTACTCTGTAGCTACTACCACACCTGGTAATAAGGAGTGCTGCTAGACTACCACTGATATTTCCTTAAGAACCAAGTACTCTTACGTCAGCTTGTGATGAATGTTGCCTGGCCTTGGCAGGGCAATGGGCTGCCTTTTTACCCAAGGCAAGTCCAGAAATGCTGTTGAAGAGTCAAATTTTGGAATCAGGACCCCAAGAGCCTGCTTGGTGCTCTACCCCGCTGTGGAGATGTTGATACCTAAGGTGTAAGACTAAGTCCCCTTTACTTTTCCCTCTGCTTTTCTCTAGCGGAAGGAGTTTTGTTCTATAGCCACCACTGCTAGTAATATGCTGAGTCTCACCTGAAGCCAGCAAGTCCCAGAGGCTCACCAAGGCCCTCAATGTAGTACTTGGGTATTGCTGCTGGTTATTCAGGGCCCAAGGGCTCTTCAGTTAACAGGTGATGCATGCTGGCAGGTCTGAGTCCTTCTCTTCAAGGCAACTGGTTCCTTTCTGGTCCAGGGTGTATCTAGAAATGTGTAGGAGCTAGAGCCTGGAACAGGGTTCTCATGACTCTGACTGACGCTGCATTCTGCTGTGGCTAAGAGCTGATATCCAAGATGCAGACAAAGTCTTCCCCATTCTTCTCTATCCTCTTTTCAAGTGGAGAAAAGGGTTCTCTTTTGGAGCTGTGGTCTGTGCAGCCTGAGGTTAGTGGAGAGGTGCAGCACTCCCTTGGCTGCCTCAGCTGGTGTCTCAGCATCTCGTGTTCCTCCCCAGTCCACTGTCTCTGGACCTAGTTCAGCCCTACGATTAGTCTAACGGTTGCAGTGCTTGTGGCCTAGACTGCTTTTCAAGTTTACTTAGAGACCAAGAGCACTTTGGCTCTCAGTGGCAAGGTTTGCAGGGCACTCAAGTTTAAACTGCTGGGACCAGTAATTTCTCTCTGGCTAGGGCTGGTTTAAACGCTCTCCCTGTGGGTGGGCATTAGCTAAGTTTGGTCTGGTTTTTCTTCCTGCTCTAACAGGACAGCACTAAATTTAATTCCTCACAGTTGCTGAATTCTCCCTTCCCCAGTGCTCAGAGATGCTCTCTGCACCATGGCACCATGCTGCTGCCTGTGGTGTGGGAGGGGTGGCATCAGCAACTCAGGACTGTTTTTTTCTGTTTTTTGTTTTTTCTGTCTCTTCAGTACCTTTTTCAGTGATAGGAAGTTAAAACCAGGTACTGCGAGTGCTCACCTGATTTTTGGTTCTTATGAAGGCATTTTTTTCTGTGTAGACGGTTGTTAACTTGGTGTCCTTATGCAAGGGCATGGTGATCTGTGGTGCTTTCTATTCCACCATCTTGCCCCACCTCCTCTCCACAAGACTTAATTACGTGTTCTTTAACAGACTTAAACCTTAATTATAAAGATACAAGTAAGTTCACAGTAAAAGAGTGGGAAAACATAGCATACCAAAAATATAAGAAAGCTGGTGTGGCTACATTATTGTCAAAAATCAACTTTAAGATAAGAAGTTAAGTGAGATAAGGAAAGACATTTCAAAATGATGAAAGTATATGTTTATAAGGAACACATATCAATCTTAATTTTTATGGACCTAACAACAGACTTCAAGGCGGGCGGATCATGGGGTCAGGAGTTCGAGACCAGCCTGACCAACATAGTGAAACCCCATCTCTACTAAAAATACAAAAATTAGCCAGGTGTGGTGGCTCATGTCTGTAGTCCCAGCTACTCGGGAGGCTGAGGCAGGGGAATCACTTGAACCAGGGAGGCTGAGGTTGCAGTGAGCTGAGATCACTCCACGCTCCACTGCACTCCAGCTTGGGGATGACAGAGCAAGACATCATCTTAAAAAAAAAAAAAAAAAAAAGTAAAAAAGAAGCAAAAAAATTGGCAGAACTAGAAAGAAGGGTATAGAAATTTTCAATACATTAGGAGATTGTAATATCTTTTTTTGTAATTGATAGAACAAGTTTAAAAAAAGATAAAGATATTTCAACAGCGCTGTAAACCAACTTAACCTAATTGATATTTATAGTACATTACACTCAACAACTAAAGAATATACATTCTTTTCATGTTCCTATAAAACCTTGATCAAGATAGAGGATATGCTGAGCCATAAAACAAGGATTAGTAATTTTCAGAAGATTGAGGTCATATAAAAAATGCTATCTTACTATAACAATATTAAGATAAAAATAAATAGTAAAATGTCTTAAAAATCCCCAATTGTGCATACATTAAGCAACACACTTATGGGTTAAAAAGGTAATAATGAGAATTAAAATGTTTGCACTCAAAAATTAAAATTTGTATGATGGAGTTAAAGAAGGTCTTAAAAGGACATTTATAGTTTTAAATGCTCCACGTTAAATAAGGAAGAAATACAATGAACCAATTTTCCAACTTCAGGAACTAGAAAGTAAAGAACATCAAGCCTCCAAAATAAAGAAATAAATAAAAAACAGAGACGATAAATCAATAAAGTGGAAAACAGGCAAACAATTAAAAACATTAAGAAGCTAATTAGTTCTTTAGAAAGACTGATAAAAATGATAAATCTCTAGCTTTGCTAAATAAAATAAAGAAAGAGATGAAACCCAAGTTACCAATATCAAGAATTAAAGGGATATTATTGTTACAGATATTATAGACATTAAAAGAAAAATAAAGTTGTATTGTGAACATTATTCCAATAAAATAAAATATTCCTTGAAAAATTATTTGTAAACATTGACATAAAAAGTAACAAAAATTAAATTAGCCTAATTATTACAGAATTTAAATTTGTAACCAAAGGCTCTTTCACAAAGCAAATTTCTACTTCAAATAGCTTCAGTGATGAATTCTATGAAACATTTAATAAAGATATATTAACAATTTTACATAAACTTTCATACAAGAGGAGGGAATATATTATTTCAAAACTACTATGAAACCTAAACAAGAGAAAATATTATAAGAAAATAAAATTATTAACCAATATCCCTCAACATAATTTTTAAATGTCATGTTAGCAAACTGACCTAATCTGTCAATGCATTAAAAATCAATATAACATGATTAACTGGAGTCTATTCCAGGAATCCAAGATTGGTTCAACATCTGAAAATCAACAATATAGTTTACCTTGTTAGTAGAATAAAGGAGAAAAATCAGATAGTTATCTTAGTGGATGCAGAAAAATTATTTGACAAACTTCTATGCATGTACATGCTAAATACTCATCATAAACTAGTAATGGGAAGGAACTTCCATAATGTAATAAATAGTATCTATTTAAAAATCTTATAATTCACATTATTTTAATAGTGAAAAACTAAGGGTTTTCCCCAAGTCAGCAAAAGTGTCTGCTCTCTCCATTTCCAATTAATATTCTACTGGGGGTCCTGTCAGGACAGGCAAGAAAAATATGTGCAGGGTATAAAGACTGGGAAGTAGAAGGAAAATCTGTCTTTATGCACATCTGACAGAATGATTTACATAAAAATCCTAAATATTGTATCTTTAAAACTACTAGAATTTCTAAGTAAAACCAATAAGGTTACAAAATACTAACTTAACATAAAATCACTTTTATTTCTATATACTAAGAACAAACTATTGTATATTAATTTCTTGAGGCTGCTGCAGCAATTATCACAGACTTGGCACCTTAAAACAACAAAAAATTGTTTCTCACAGGTCTGGAAGCCAGAAGTACAAAATCAAGGTGTCAGTAGAGACACAATCCCTCAAAAGACTAGAAGAGAATCCTTCCTTGTATCTTCCACATTCTGGTGGCTTCTGGCTTGCTTTGGTTCATGGCAGCATAAATTCATTCTGCTTTCATCTTCACAAGGATTCTTACCTCTGTGTCTTCTCTACTGCCATCTCTTATAAATACATATGTCATTGGATTTAGAATCTATTCTAAATTGAGGATGACCTCATCTTGAGATCCTTAATTACATCTACAAAATCCCTTTATCCAAATAATATGATCTTTACAGGGTCCAGGAATTAGAGTTTGAACCTATTTTTTGAGCCACTATTCAACCAACTACAGTCAGTAAATGAAGTATTAAAAACACCACAAAAATATAAAATATTTGAAGTAAATATAACAAAAAGATACAAATCTTTACACTGAAAACTAATGTACATTGCTGAGAGCAATTTCTATAAGATGAAAATAGAGATATATACCATATTCATGGACTAAAATGCTCAATATTCTTAAGATGACAACTTTCTCTAAATTTATCTAGAGATTCAATATGATAATAAAAATCCCAATAGGATTTTTTTTTTTTACTGAAAAGATAAACCTAAAATTTGTATGGCCTTAGATTGGCCAAAATAATCTTAAAAGAGACTAAGAAACTTGGAAGAGTTACAGTATCTGATTTCAAGATTTATTATAAGATGACCATAATCAAAACAGTAATGTGTCAGTATAGGGAAAGACAGAAAGATCTGTAGAAAAGGATGAAGAGTTCAGAAATAGATCCACAGATATGCAGTCAACCGATTTTTTTTTTTACAAAGATACCAAGTTAATTCAATGGGTCAAGTTGCAGCAAATAGTGCTAGTAAAACAGAATATCTACAGGGAACAAAATGTATCTCAACCCTTATTTCACACAATACACAAAAATATATTAGAGATGTACCCTTAACTTAAATGTAAATCCTAAAATTATACAATGTCTATAAGAAAACAAGAGAATATCTTCACAACCCTGCAGTAGTCAAAGAATTTTTAGGGGACAAAAATCATTCATTATAAATGAAAATCTGATAAATTGTATTCTATCAATGTTTTAAAAAATTGTGTAACAAAATATACTGTTAAGAATATGTAAATGCAAGTCACAGACTGGGAGAAAATATTCTCAAGAAATATATGACAAAGTATATCAAGAATTTAGAAAGAATTCATGTACACTCAATAATTTTAAAAAATAGCAGTCAAATAAAAAATATCAGGCAAATATCTTTAATGAACACTTCATAAAATAAGATGTAAAAATCGGCAATTAGCATGTGAAAAGTAGCTCTACAACATGCTTCATCAGCAAAATAAAAAATTCAATGACCTGCAACTTCATACCCCTAGAATGGATAAAACTAAATAGCTGATAATACCAAGTGTAGGCCAGTATATGGAGTGATTGGAATTCTCATAAATTGCTGGTATCAATGTAAAGTGGTAGAACCAATCTGGAAAATCTTTTCAGCATATTTTTATGAAGTTAGATATATAATACACTTACCTTATCATCCATCAAATAAACTGTTGAATACTTACCCAAGGGACATGGAAATATGTATGCACATGAATAGTTGTACATAATTACTCCTAACCATTTTATTCATAATAGCTAAAAACTGGAAACAACTCAAATGTCCACTAACAGGTAAATGAATAAAATAAATAAAATAAAAATCAGGACATCGTTTGCAATAGAATGCAGCAATAGAAAGGAAGGAATACTAATAAAGAATACAAAAATTTAAGCGAGACACAAATGGAATCCATACATTATGATTCTATTTATAGGACTCTCTAAAGAAGGCAAACCTAAGGTATGATGGACTGCAAAAGGCATCACGAAGAAATTCTTATGATGATAAAAAATCTTTTACATCTTATCAGGGTGAGGATTACATCAGTGAATACATTTGTTAAAACCCATTAATTTGTACACGTAAGTGTTGTGGATTCTACTATATAAAAATTATATTTAATGAAGTTGACCTTTAAAAATATCCTGTTGCATTAAGAATAAGTTTGAGGATTGGAAATACAAAATGCTCTATCAAAGAATAATCAAAACCCCTAGGCTTTGCATCTGCATATAATATATTGATTGTACATTATTTTAGCTTGTTTATTGTTGGCCCTAAAGTATGTTTTTCTATACAGATATTGTCTGTCTTTGGCAGTAATTTAGGACAGGATAGGAAATGCATAAACAATTCTCTTAATTTATTATGATAATATATGTCCTCTTTATGCATAGATAAAGAAAATCTTGTGGTAAGATTAAGGTTAATCATAATTTTTTTTTTTTTGCTAAAAATCTTACACACTCTTTAGGGGCTATGAAACAATAAAAAAAAATAGATATCGGCATCTGTCCCCAGTTTTTGACACAGAGCTTCTAAAACTCTTGTAATTTCCTAAGCAGGAAGTTACTAGGAGCATTTTTTATTCTAATATTTGGTTTTTGACCCTGGTTCCTGACACAGAACCCCTAAATCCTTAGAATTTCCTTGGTAATAGGAGCATCTTTTGTCTAATGAGGCAACCCTTGGTGGGCTACTGAATGGGGGCTAGTCATCAGCAAAACCAAGGCATGATTAGAATTTTGAAATCTTCAGCCCCAGCCCTCATCCACCAGGAAGAAGAGAGAAGATGAAGATTGAGTTAATCAATCATGCTTATGTGATAGAGCCTCCATTAAAATCCCTGAAGTTCAGGATTGGAGAGCCTCCATGTTGGTGAACAGATGGAGGTGCTGGCAAGGTGGTGAGCACGGAGAGGGCCTGGAAGCTTTGCACCCCCTGCCCCATTCCTTGCTCTATGCATCTCTTCCATTTGGCTATTTCTGAATTGTAGCCCTTGTAATAAACTGGTAAATGTAAGCAATGTTTCCCTGAGTTTTGAGTCATTCTAGCAAATTATTGAATCTGAGGAGGAAGTTGTGAGAGCCTCCGATTTATAGCTTGGTCAGAAGCACAGGTGACAACCCGGACTTAAAATTGACATCTGAATTGGCTTATGGGGATACTATTGTGTGACTGATCCCTTAACTTGTGGGCTCTGATGTTACCTGCAGGTAGATAGTGCCAAAATTGAAAAGAATTGTAGGACATCAAGTCCATGTCTCCAGAGAGTTGAAAAATTGCTTGGTGTGGGAAAAAACACACACACACATTTTGGTGTTGGGAGTGAGGTGTTCTACAATTATTGAGTGTTGTGAGAATGTAAGAAAAATAGTATATTTTTCTTATACAGGTGGCTTGAGTTGTAGCATCTAGACATGTTTTTTAATATTTCGTGTTATAAAATGTTAAAAAGTACAGAAGATAACCTAATGACAATCTGTGTATCCATCACTTGATTTTATCATTGTTCTATACTAATCTCAAATTGTTTTGAGTGATAACACTAAGGGACTTTGTTTAAAGGTCCTGCATAAACCTCACTGATTCTATTTCCTTTTGCCCCTCTTTCATTATTCTGAATTTGGTGCTTATCGTATAATTAGACTATGGATAATTTATATATACATAAAAGTGGAACAAAATTGACTTTTTTTGTTTTTGGTTTTTGTTTTTTGTTTTTTTTTGAGAGTATTGGAATTTTTTTATTATTATACTTTAAGTTTTAGGTTACATGTGCACAACGTGCAGGTTTGTTACATATGTATACCTGTGCCATGTTGGTGTGCTGCACCCATTAACTCATCATTTAACATTAGATATATCTCCTAATGCTATCCCTCCCCCCTCCCCCCACCCCACAACAGTCCCCAGTGTGTGATGTTCCCCTTCCTGTGTCCATGTGTTCTCATTATTCAATTCCCACCTAGGAGCAAAAGAAACTACCATCAGAGTGAACAGGCAACCTACAGAATGGGAGAAAATTTTTGCAATCTACTCATCTGACAAAGGGCTAATATCCAGAATCCACAATGAACACAAACAAATTTACAAGAAAAAAAAAACAACCCCATCAAAAAGTGGGCGAAGGATGTGAACAGACACTTCTCAAAAGAAGACATTTATGCAGCCAACAGACACATGAAAAAATGCTCATTATCACTGGCCATCAGAGAAATGCAAATCAAAACCACAATGAGATACCATCTCACACCATTTAGAATGGCGATCATTAAAAAGTCAGGAAACAACAGTTGCTGGAAAGGATGTGGAGAAAATTGACTTATAAATTGTTTTTTAATTTATGTGTTTTGTAGCATACTATATATGTTGGTTGATTTTTTTTTGCACGCAACATTGTTTTTTATATTTGTCCATAATAATAGATATATCACTAGTTTACTCATTTTTAGTAATATATATTATTTCATTGTATGACTATATCACAAGCCACTTTTTTGTCTCCTATTAACTTGTAAGTTTTTGTATTACAAAAATGCTGGAATAAACATTTTTTAAGATATTATACAAACGTGCAAGAGGAACTCTACTGCAATAGTTATCAAATTGTAGCCTGGGGGCACGTGGGGCTCTGAGACCCTTTATGGGCTCTGCAAAAACAAAACTGCTTTTATAATAATATTAAGACATTATTTGCCTTTTTTTGTATTTTAATGCTCTCCTGAATGTAGAGGGAGTTTTCCAGACACTGCGTGTGGAGTGGTAATGTCATCACTCTCACAGCTAATAGAATGTATGTTTGTGTATTCTTATGTTTTAAATTTTTCACAGCTTTAATTTTTAATGTGGTAAATATCTATAACCCACGTGAAAATAGTTTCTTAGAGTCCTCATTAATGTTTTAGAGTGTAAAGAGATCATGATATCAAAATATTTGAAAATCATTGTACTAAACTATATAAGAAAAATGCATCTTCAGCTTTACTAGACGTTGTCAAATTTTCTCCAAAGTAGCTGTAATAACATAGATCTTCACAAATAATGGGGTAGCAAAAATTGGCCTCTGCTCAATCTGACTTCTACATCTTGCGTAAGGGGATCTGGTTAGCTGAATCTGATCACATTCATTATCCCAGTTGAAAAGGAGCCTGTGATTTGTAATTATCTTTCTAGGTTTTGTGAATCCAGAAGGCATAGTAGAAGATTTACATCTTCAACTGAGTTCCATATCAAACACAACCATCCTTCCATACATGCCTTTAAGTTTTAAATTTAATTCTAAAAACTGTGTGAGCTGTATATCAGGATTTTTCAGATACAGTATTGTTAACTGCTATTCAGTTCTAAATATCAATACTACCTATTGTAATTTTCGTCCTTTACCCATAAATAATTTGCTACTGCATTTAAGCCTTAAAATTTACTAATTTTTAAATTATTATTAATTTATTTATTTTGAGACTGGGTCTTGCTCTGTCACCCTGAAAGTGGTACAATCATAGCTCACTGCTACCTCGAACTCCTGGGCTCAAGTGATTCTCCTGCCTTAGCCTTCTGAGTAGCTGGGACTACAGGCACACACCACCATATCCATCTAAGCATTTTTAAGTCTTTAGGCATGTTTTTAAACCTTCTATTGATTTTCTGTTTAATTGCATTATGGTTAGATGTTTCAGTTAAAGTAACCTTGATTTTTTAAAAATGTGTTGCAGACTTCCTGAGAGATTTCTTGTATGGCCGTATGGTCAGTCTTTATTTAGAAGCCATGTAAGAGTTCTACTTCATAGATACAAGGTTCAAAATGGATATTTTAAATCAAGCACATGAATTATATCTTCCAAATTTTTTGTAGACACATATATAATTAAAATATATCTTAACACATAATATAATTAATACAATATGCATATGTTCAAAATATACTGACATATTGCATATTAATATATTAGTATTACCATATTAATATATAAATATGTGCTAATTTTTTTCTATTTTTGGTCTATTAGATCTCTCATTTTTAAATAAAAATAAGTTAAAAATCAACTTATGCTCATTTTTTCTTCTTGTAGCTCTACATGATGTTGTTAGGTTCATATAAGGTCATGATCATGAATTTTTTTGGTGGATTGTTCTTTATAATATTGAGTTATCCCTTTTTATTTAACTGGTTTTGTCTTTGATTCTGAATTGTCTGATCTTAATATTGCTACCATCACTTTTGTTTTTATTGCATGTTTTCGTTGCTCATCTGTTATCCTTTAATCCAGTGGATGTGTATATGTCTAGTATATGTGACTTGGGGAATATCTTTCTTAAGGAGTATATAATCTCTTTACTTATCTTTCATTCTTCTGGCTTTTCTCATTTGTGCCCTCAATAGCACTTATCATACTTTTGGTCATAACCATTCTCTCTTGTGCATTTTCTGACGTAATCTTTATTTCTAAGGTAATGTCCTCTTTTTCTTTAGTTTCCTTCATGAATTTTGTCAGTTCCTGCTCTTTTTCCTTCTCTTCTCTGAGCTTTTGCATTTCTGTTCCTTGTGTTATTTTGTAGCTAGAAATGCTTTTTTATTATACTTTAAGTTTTATAGAAATGCTTCTTAAATTACATATAATTCATATTGATATCATGTGTTACAGCTTTTAGCCACTGTTTGGTGTTGTTTCTTCTGCTAGAAAGTTTTGTTTACTGTTTTCTGTTCTGTGATCTGCCCTGCCCCATGTGGAATCTTTTATTCTATCTTGTTTCATTAAAGCCTTTATCATCTAAAATGTGTTTCTTTCCTTCACCATCAGCTGATTCTGTCAAACTGAAGATTCATAGAGCCTGGGACAAGGATTCTCAAATATTTTGGTATCATGATCTCTTTACACTCTAAAAAATTAATGATAACTCCAAGGAACTAGTTTCATGTGGGTTATATATATATTGATATTTACTACATTAAAAAATTAAAGCTGCGAAAAATTTTAAACATAAAAATACACAAGCATACATTCTATTAGCTCTCAGAGTGATGACATTACCACTCCACGTGTAGTGTTTGGAATGCCTCTTTCTTGTTTTCTTCCAGGAGCAATGACTTCCCAAGACCACTCCACCTTGTCCCATAGCTGGGTAAGCCCCTTTCTTTCTTCTTCTTTGCCAGTGCTCTGACTAGCCAAGTTTCAGAACTGTTCCCAGGAGTGCCCATGCATGTGGCACTTTCTCTTCCTGTTTTGTTTTTTTCACTACTAGTGCCTTCTACCCTCCCCAGCTCTGCTTCACTGCAGTCTTTATTTCCCATATCCTGGAAAATAGGTGTTTGCAATCTTCCTTGCTTCCTAAGAATGCTGTGAGTATAGGTTGTAGATATGTGTATTTGCTTTCTTCTTTATCCGTTTGGATTTTAGAAAAAGGTGAGGGGCTATCAAAGTCCATAGGGCTACCATTATGCTACCTTCTATCATCTCCTGGGCTGGCTTATCTTAAAGTCTTCATCAGAATTTAACACAATTATAATACTGATAATAATTTCATATGGAATTACTCTAGTTATTAGTTTTATCAACTGTCTTTCTTAACTTTAGATTTATTTACATATTTTGGGATCCTCGTTTGTAGACTCATTTCGTGTGGTAGGTTTTAATGTTTTTTATATACCTTTTTTCCTATCTCCCCACAAACTGCCACGTGCACAGGTCTAGCAGTTTTGAGCTTCCTTCCACTCAGATCTTCTTCTAACTCCAGAACAAGACTTTTTAATGGAATTTTGAGTTTCTTCTCCACAGTGATTTTTGGGAAATCACAGAGCCAGCAGAGAGTTTGATTCATGTCCTGGTTACAGGGCTGCACTGTGTCTTCTTGTCTCCCTGAGTTGACAGCCTGATGAAAGGTGTATTTTAGACAGAGGCCAGTATACTTTTTTTTTCTTTTTTTTTTTTCTTTTTGAGACGGAGTCTTGCTCTGTCACCAGCGTGGAGTGTAGTGGCGTGATCTCAGCTCACTGCAACCTCCGCCTCCCAGGTTCAATCGATTCTCCTGCCTCAGCCTCCCAAGTAGCTGGGATTACAGATGCCCACCACCACGCCCAGCTAATTTTTGCATTTTCAGTGGAGATGGGGTTTCACCATGTTGGCCAGGATAGTCTCCATATCTTGACCTCGTGATCCACCCACCTCAGCCTCCCAAAGTGCTGGGATTACAGGCGTGAGCCACTGTACCTGGCCCAGCATACTTTTTATATTCACTCTCCTTCATACTTTTTATATTCACTCTCCTTCATACTTTTTATATTCACTCTCCTTTCATTTTGCAGAGAACCCCATCCCATCCTCACCTTGGCTTCTGTTGTGAGCCTAGCTATGGACCTGTATGAAGTATTTGCATTCTCTTTTACCCACAGAAATAATCCAACTCTGGCTGCCCTTTTTGACTTACAGAACCAGAGCCCGGACAGCCACAGCCTCAGGCCTGACCACATCACATTTCTCATCTCCAGAGTGCTTATCTAGCTTTCAAGTCCGGGTACATATCTTTTCAGTTTTTATATTTATCCAATTGTGGTACGTACCTAGAGCAGATGACAGCATCAAACCATGATTTGATGGAGGCACTCTGGCCATAGATTTTTAGATTGAATTAACGTAGAAGAAGTTGCAGATCTTTAGATGTTAAAGTCATAAAATCCTTCCTCTAGAGGATGATAAGATATCAGCATGCATCAATATTGGACTTATAATGTCCCAGCACTAGGCATGTTGTTTTACATACATTATTATTATCTATATTTTTGTAAGTGGGGAAATAATTTGGGTAAGTAAATTACTCAGGACCTCTTGCCAGTATGTGACAGAAGTGGTATTAAAACCCAGTTCAGCTTCCTTGCCAAGTAGATACTTCAACCAACATACCAAGTATTTAATGTTTACTTCTTAAAATTTAGGAAATAATTCTAGGAGAAAAAAAAACATAGCCAAGTTCTTCACAGTTAAAGTTTCTGAATCTGCATCAAATATCCACAGAGAGCTTTTTAAAATTGTTCATAAAATACTTGGAGATCTTCCGATGAAATTGCTATTAGCACAAAGCATTTTCCACACACTAATAGAACCACTTGTGCCAGCAGACATTAGTTTCCAGGCAGTCTCAGTGAAGTACAGTTCCAGATGTTCTCCTATTTTAACAGCAACTTCTGAGCCTTTTAATTTCCTTGATTTGCAGCATGAATAATGCTTATCAGCCCTCAGTGTCGGCTTCCCATTCTCTGCTGACCCAGCCTGCTTAGAGCTTTGCATGCACAGTGCACCTCTGAAGGGAAGGAAGGGACTGAAATTGGCACTGGTCTTGTGTCCCCACTAATCTCAAGCTGAGGCTGACAGGACGGAATGGAAAAGTGGCCACTGTAGGAATTTTCTCCTTTCTGCTATGGATATTTTATTTGCTTTATCAAGGATAATTCAGCTTTATGAGCGTCAGTCTCTTACCTTCCATGGGCTCTTGATCTCTCCTGCAAATGTGCAGAGTTTGTGTTGGATTTTTTAAAAGAGACTCCTTGTAATTATCTTTCTTATAAACGCCTAAATTCTTTAACTTTTCCCCGTTAATTTCTTACAATTGGCTATACTGAAGTCAGAGAGTACTGACTCTCTTGCGACTGCTTTCTTTTTAAATTCAGCTTCTTTCTTTTGGTCCTTATTCTGTTTAACCAGATTCTGTCACTTTGATTCTCTTCCCATCCTTCTTCTGGCTTCTCCATTTCTGTATGATGCAACAATGTCATTTTCCTGTAACTTTAAGCAACCTGCATGTTCCATTCTGACTGACGGCTCCTCTTGCTCCGCAGTCTCTTCCTTGCAGACCTCGCCTCCGTGGATTCAGCTCTTCCCTGTGCAGATGACTCAGAGGTGTCATGCATGCCTTCAGCTACTGTCCACAGCTCTACTGAACTCTCGGTTATTTTCTTGGAATTTCCAGCATTACCCCAAACCCATCTTGCCTAAAATGAAATGTTGCATCTTCCCATCAAAAAACCTCACGTCTTCCTTCTTCCCCGATAGTTTCCCAATCACAGGAAATTGACTTAATTATTTAACAATAATCAGACTTCAGTCTTAATTAATTAGCCTTAGTTAATTAATTAGTCTAAATTATTCAGACAATTTTTAACATAATCAGTCTGATTTTTTTCTTCAAAATCTGTCACACCTGTTGCTTCTTTTTTCCTGCTAACATCATCCTACTTCTCCTCTTTACACCAAAACATATTTCCATAGGCTTTTGGCTGGCCTCTGCTTCTGATCTTTCTCTAGGACATGAGCTAAGCTTTAATACAGAGTTGGGTTCATATGGCACCATTTCCCTTACATGACTTCTCTCAAAAATATAAGTGTAACACCATGGTCTCTCTATAAGTTTTCACTCTTTAATATGAACTAAGACTTTCCACAACTGATATAGACTTGATTCTAATGTAAAAAGCACTCATTCATTGAACAAATACATGTGCCAGGCACCATGCTAGGTGCTTGAATGTAAGAGGAAAATAATAAAGAGAAAATCTCTCTGCCTCTATGGAGCTTTCTTTCTAGTGAGGGAAGACAGAGAATAAACAATAAACAATGAGAATAAACAGAGAATAACAAGGAATAAACAATGAGAATAAACAATAAACATTTTTAAAACCTAGCAAATTTCCCAGAATGTTACAAGGTAAGGGCTAGGAACAAAAACAACAGAGAGGACAGATCTGTTGGACAGCATCCAGGATGCTGGATGGCATGATGGCACTGGGTGAACTGCATTTGTATAGAGCCCAATCAGAGGAGTCTTCACCGAGAATGATACAATTTAAGCCAAAGTATAAATAAGTAAATCCTTTTCAAGTAAGGATCCCTGTATGGTTGCAGAGAAGTGAGAGGAGAAGGCTGTGGTAGGAATCAGGTGAGAGGCAACAGATACCAAACACTCAGGGCCTTTTAGGCCATTGTGAGAGCTTTAGCATTTACTCTGAGGGAAATCTGAGGGTGGTTGGGGTCAGTTGGAAAAATCATATAGACATCCTAGTGGTGATTCCTAGTGAGCAACTGGATACTCATGCCTCAAGTGGAGGAGAGAGGTCTGGACTCGGGATATATTTGGGGGATTGCCCGTGTTAGGAAATACTATCACTATAATCATTTACTTAGCTTTACCACAGCTTCTCTACTTTCTTCCCAAATCTTTGTGTTTTCCTGTGTGTGTATACATTCTGCTTTATTTTCAATGCAGTATTCGCTTTCAGTCACAGCCTATCCTTCTATGGTTGAGTCTTGCATAATCATCTTTAACTTTATTCACTATTTACTGAGCATTTGATATGTGCCAAGCACTACGCTGGAAATTAGAGACCCAGTAACATACAATAATGTATATGAAAGACAGAACTTTTGCCCTCCTATAACTTACAGTCGAATGAGGGATAAGAACGATAAAACAGACACTTTCAACACGTGTGGCCACTCCTCCCTCCTCGATACTCTTTCTTCACCTTGTCATCAGCTTTAAGTTTTTATTTTATCTCAGTCGTGGCTCTTTTTCAGTTTCCTTTGCTGGTTCCAACTCTTCTCCCCATCCTCTTCATCTCAGAAGTCCCCAGGGCTGGCTCTTCCTTCCTTTTCTTTCCTCTATATGCCGTCTCACCCATCAACATCATGTCTAGGACTCAGACAGCCTCCTAACTGGGCTCTGTATTTCTCCTCTGACACTTACAGTCTTTTCTTAACGAGTCGCCAGAGTGATCCTTTTACACTGCCAGTCAGATCACGTCGTCTCTGTGCTCAACACTCTGCAGTGGTTCCCCATGTGTCCCGGGGTCAAAGTCCAAATCCAACCAAGACCTGCAAAGCCGCCCATGGTCTCATATAAAGCCCCTCGTTACCACTGATCCCATCACTACTTTCCCTACTGCTCACTTTGCTCCCAGCAACCTGACCTCTGTGCCCTTCCTCAAATCCAGTAAGTGCTCTGCTGTATGAGAATTTTTTCACTGGCCATTACTTCTGTCTGGAATACTCCTCCAGATATTGACACAGCAAACCTCTTAGATCCTTCAAATCTTTCTTCAAATATCACTCGGAACTCTCAATTATTTTACCTTGCTCCTTCACCCGCCCCCCTTTTTAAAATCAAAGTTTATAACATTCTAATATATTATATAACTTTTTCATTTTGATATTTTTAAACACCTATCCCCCATAACAGAATATAAGCTTCATGAAGATTTTTATGTGATTTGTTCCCTTTTAGAACCATGCCTGGAGAAGCGCCAGGGATGTAATAGCTGCTCAGTATGTATTTGTTAACTGAATGGGCAAAGGAAGAATACAAATAAATACATTTCAAATTACATATTTTTATTAGTGCTATGAAATAAAGTACTGTGATAAAATGTAAGCATATCTATGAATGTATAGAATGACAGAACATAAGCAAAATATATAAGCATACTTACATATTTTAGAGAAGACGCAGCTCTAAAGATGATACTTAAGGCAATAAGAGAAAGATGAGAGGCTAATGATTAGAAGTGTGGTAAGGCAGGTGTGGGGGTGAGAAGGACATTGTAAGCAAAAGCAGAGGGAACAGCCAGGTGCAAAGGTGCTGGCTGGGAAGAATTTAGTATTTTCTCCGAGTGAGTGGGAAAGGATGAGAGAGAGAGACTAACACATGACAGGGAGATTAGCGTGAGATGAAACCAGAGGGGCAGGCTATAAATAAGATAAGGCCTTTACATCTTAGTAAAAGATCAAGGGGAAGTCATTACAGAATTTCAAGAAGAGAAATGACCTAATGTGATTTGTATTTATAAAGGTCATTCTGAGTAATGCATGGTGAATAGATTATAGGAGAGAAAGAATGGAAACAGAAAGATCAACTAAGAGACACTGCACCAGTCACAGGGCTCTCCCTGATGGTAGCCAAGACTGGCTGGTGGCAGTGAAGTTGGAAAGAAGTAGGTGGATAGGTGAGATATTTTGGAAATCAAACTGATTGTCTTAGGTATCAGTGCCATACATTCCAATTCTACCCCCTAGATGTTAAGATAATTTATTTGAAATATCTGACATTGAATATCAAATAGCAAATAAATGCTTTTATTCTGTTTAGAATTGACAGTGGTTTTGGCTGCTGGCGTGAAGAAAGTCTTAAGCTCTGCACAGCATTACTGCTTATACCTAGTTAAGTTCTGCGATTTTACTGGGGGTCCCATTTTCTACTCCAACATTGTGGTGGATGATTTAGAAAAGGTTCAAGACATTATTTGCATTCAACCTAATTCCTTAAAAATTTATCTCTGACAAAAATATAGCTCCCCTTGAACTGAAATAATCAAGGATCAGGGTAATTTTTTTTTTTCAAGACAGAAGTTTCGCTCTTGTCGCCCGGACTGGAGTGCAATGACGTGATCTCGGCTCACTGCAACCTCCACCTCCCAGGTTCAAACAATTCTCCTGCCTCAGCTTCCCTAGTAGTTGGGATTACAGGTGCCAGCTACCACACCCAGCTAATTTTTTGTATTTTTAGTAGAGACGGGGTTTCACTATGTTGGCCAGGCTGGTCTCGAACTCCTGACCTCAGGCGATCCACTGGCTTCAGCCTCCCAAAGTGCTGGGATTTCAGGCGCGAGCCACCGCATCCGGCCCAGAGTAATTTTATATACTGTAATCCTTCAGCTAAAATAGCAATGTAAAATAATAAAAACTACAATATGTTATATGAAATAATGTTTTTTGGTATTCATGAAATCTCAGCAAACTATGTTTTGAAGACTTAGACCCTTCTGTTAGTTCTATATATACAAGTTTTGAGTGTGTCTGAAATTTGTGGTGATAAAAATAGTAACTTAAAATTTGAGGAACACATCTGTATTTTTTTCTAGCCCATTATGTTTTAGTAACAGTAAGCTAAACTTCTTATTCACAGGTAACATGTATCTATTATTTCCTTCGATGTTAATATTATTTTATATTGTGTGCCCTTTTGTCTCCAGGGCCACCTCTTTCACAAAATGCTTGAGTGACTAACATAATGGTGCCGTGCACACAAATAGGGTGTGATATACTGAGTGTTCAGGTAGGAGTGAAAATAACAAGTTCAATTTGAAAGGTTACAGTGAATTTTAGATACTTTCATTTAGTTAACTGTTTTAACTTATCTTATCTTATTTATTTATTTTTGAGATGGAGTTTTACTTTTGTCGCCCAGGCTAGAGAGCAATGACATGATCTTGGCTCACTGCAACCTCTGCCTCCCGGGTTCAAGTGATTCTCCTGCTTCAGCCTCCCGAGTAGTTGGGATTTCAGGCATGCACCACCACGCCCGGCTAATTTTTGTATCTTTAGTAGAGACGGGGTTTCGCCATGTTGGCCAGGCTGGTCTCAAACTTCTGACCTCAGGTGATCCACCCACCCTGAGGTAGAAGCTGTGTAGAATAAAAGCAGCCATGTTAAATATACAATTCCTTGAGTTTTGACATATGCGTTCACCTGTGAAAGCACCACCACAATCAACATACAGAATTCCTTCCATCTCAGCCAAGTGTTCTTGTGACCTTCCCACGCAATAGTACCACTCACTGGGCCTAAGTAACCACTTACCTGCTATCTTACATTATAGATTAGATTTCTCTTTTCTAGTTTTTATGTAAAATAGAACAATACAATAGATATTCTTATCTGGCTTTTTTGGATCAAAATAATATTTTTGAGACTCATCCATATCATTGCATATATTAGAAAATGCCTTTTAACTGCTGAGTAGTAGTCTGTTGTATGAAATCACTTCAAGTTACTTATTTATTTCACTGTTTTTGGATAATTTAAGTATTTTTCCAGTTTTGGACCATTATGAATAAATTTTCTACTAACATTCATGAAAAAATCTTTGTGGGATCATAGGTTATCATTGCTCTTTGGAAAATACCTATAATTGAATTGTTGGGCCAAACGCTAAATGTACATTTAATTTTATAAGAAACGATTCAACTTTTTTCCAAAGTGACTGTACTATTTTATGTAGTCCCAAGCAACATATGAGAATTCCAATCAGTCCAGTTACTATAAACTTACAGTAATCTAAACAATGTGATTTTGCCTTAATGATAGAAAAATAGATCAATGGAACAGAATACAGAATCTGGAAATACACCCCAAACATAGGGTTGAATACTTTTTAACAAAGATGCTATGGTAATTACATGGAGAACAAAAAATATTTTCAACAAATATTACTGGAATAGAAAAATAAATCCAGTCATGTGCCACGTAACAACAGTTTGAATGACAAACCGCATATATGACAATGGTCCCATAAAATTACGATGGAGCTGAAAAATTCCAATCACCTAGTGTTGTCTTGATGATCCTGGCCCTGTATGGGCTTAAGCTAATCTGTATGTTTGTGTCATAGTTTTTAACAGAAAAAAAAATTGTTTAGGAATTTTTTTTCTTTTTTTTTTTTTTGAGACAGAGTCTCACTCTGTCACCTAGGCTGGAGTGCAGTGGCATGATCTCAGCTCATTGCAATCTCTGCTTCCCGGGTTCAAGTGATTCTCCTGCCTCAGCCTCCCGAGCAGCTGGGACTATAGGCGCCTGCCACCCGCCCAGCTAATTCTTGTGTTTTTAGTTGAGACGAGGTTTCACCATATTGGCCAGGCTGGTCTTGAACTCCTGACCTCGTGATTCACCTGCCTCGGCCTCCCAAAGTGCTGGGATTACAGGTGTGAGCCACCACACACAGCCAGAAAACTTTTTAAATTTACATAGAAAAAACATAAAATAAGGATGTAAAGAAAGAAAATATTTTTGTATAGCTGTGTATTTATGTCTTAAACTAAGTGTTATTACAAAAGAGTCAAAAAGAGAGAAAAATAAGTTTATAAAGTTAAAAATTACAGTAAGCTAAAGTTAATTTATTACTGAAGAAAGAATTGTTAAATAATTTGGTGTACAGTGTCTATAAAGTCTACAGTGCTGTTTGATAATATACTGGACCCTTACATTCACTCAACACTCACTGACTCAGAGCAATTTCCAGTCCTGTAAGCTCCATTTACTTGAAGAACTCTATACAAGTATACTATTTTTATCTTTCATACGGTTTTTTACTGTACCTTTTCTGTGTTTAGATGTGTTCAGATACAGAAATACTTATTACTGTGTTACAACTGTGTACAGTACAGTAACATGCTGTATAGGTTTGTAGCCTAGGAGCAATAATAGGCTATACCATACAGCTTAGGTTTGTACTAGGCTATACCGTCTAGGTTTGTGTAAGTACACTCTATGATGTTCACACAACAAGAAAATTGCCTAATAACACATTTTGAAAAATATTCATGTCATTAAGCAATGTATGGCTATAAATCCTTACTCTTACACACCATACATAAAATTTAACTCCAAACAGATCATAGGCATAAAGGTAAAGGTCATGACTATAAAAGTCCTAAAAAAAAGCATAGGAGAAAATGTTTGCAACCTTGGGGTAGCAAAGATTTGTGGATAGAACAAAAAAAAAAATCATGAACCATAAAAAACAGTTGATAGTAGGACTTCAAAATTAAAACTTGGCTGCTCTTCAAAAAATACCTTAAGAAAATGAAAAGGAAAGTCATGTTACGGGGAGAAGATATTCACCATATATCTGACAAAAGACTTGTGTGCATTATATATAAAGAACTTTTCCCAAAACAACCCAATAAAAATTGGCTAAAAGATTTAAACAGAGATTTGACAAAAGAAATTCTGCAAATAGCCAGTATGCATAGAAAAATAATTTCAACATCTTTAAGGGATACCACTACATATCCACTAGAACCGTTTTAAAAATAATAAAAACAAACAAACCTGACAACATCTCACTTCTCTATTTTATAATTCATCATGATTATAAAATTGCCACATATTCATTTATTTTTAAAAACTCAGTCTTCAATGGCTTCCTCATCACCTGTAAGAAAAAATTCAAACTGCATTATATGAGAACTTTTGCTCCATGTTTTCACCCCATTTTTTCTACATGTCCCTATCATGAAACCTGCAGTCTAGTTCTAGCTAGCCATTCACCCTTACCTGATCTCGCCATGTGCTTCATGCCTCCATGCTTTTGAGAATGCGCTTCATTTATTCTAATCAATTTCCAGTCTTGCCCAACTGTTGAACCTGTTTTATTTTTGGAAATCAAAGATTTTGCCTTTTCACACCTCCATTTGATCAAATATTTATTTTTTAAGAAAAAAAAGTTCTTTTGCAGGCACATTGGCCCTTCTGTTTTTTAAACACATTGGTCATGCTTTCATTTTAGGGGCTTTGCATGACTTTCTGGAATGCTCTCCCATCCACCCCCATATCCCCATGTCTCCATGACTACCTCCTCTGGGTTTTGGTTTAAAGGTCACTTTCTCAATGAGACCCACCCTCATCATTTTATTTAAAATTTCGAACAACTCTAACCCCCACCATTGCACTCCCCTCACATTGATCCTACTCTACTCTTTCTTCATTTCCTTAGCATTTAACACCTTCTAAGGTACCCTATAATTTACGTGTTATTGTCAGTCTACGTGGGCAGGATCTGGCACATAGTTTGCAGTAACAAAACATTTGTTAACTACTGAAAAAGAACTTTTTGGCTTTCACAACTCTAATGCCCCCAGTGAACAGCTTTATTTTAGAGTCTTTTCATTTTCTTAGACTCTGTGCTGTACATATATTTGAATGGGCTTTCTACCCTTTTCAAGCTCGCTACTTGCCTTTGCTTTCATGTTCCTTTGTTAAAAACAAAGAAAAATCAGTCAATTAAATACTCATTCAGATTAAAAGACATATCTTCACAGGGTCCAATTACCAATGAACGTGACACTATCTCACCCAGAACTTCAGTCCCAGGAGGGATAGGTAATTGACATTAAGCACTTACGGCAAAAAAATTATTAGTATATTTTACCTTAGAATTATCTAAACTTTTGTCCCAGAGCTTCTAGCTAAATCCCATATTAGTCTTCTACAATGACTTTGCCAGTCCTTTTGGATTGCATTTCTCCACATAGTCTAGTAAAAACAATATTCTGTCTTTTAGTGTCAGTTATTTGGGTCTTCATATTTTGGGAGCATAGCACATTTTATTTTTTGACTTATAGTGAATGCCAACCTTGCCCATTATTTGTCTATACAAATATTGATGTCAATCTTTATTTGTACTGCTTTAAATGTACACTCAGGAGTTTTTTTAAAAAATATTTTTTGGCATTTGTTGTCAACTTTAAATTGTCAAGACTTCATCAGAAATTCAGTGTTACTACAAAACTTTCATATTTAAATTTCCAGTAAAATGACTTTAATAAAATAAAATCTTCAAATTAAGTAAGAATTAGGACTTGACTTGATCACTAGTTGTTGATGACCCTTGAGTACTTGGTATTCTATTTTCTTAGGAGAATGGTGCAGAGTTTTCCAGATGATTCAAAATAGCCACAGTTGCTGGTCTTATTTATAAGGCTCTAGCATAAACGTGTCAAGCACTGCGTATGGGGGTAGAAAGGTTGAAATCCCTGTGCCAGTAGTATTTAATACACTTTACTCTTCTTGATTAGCTGCCTTCCATACTAGAATAGGGGCTCCTCAGACAGGAATTGTCTGTTTTGCTTGCTGCTCAATCTCTAATACCTTACACAGTGCTGGGCATTCAATAAGCCCTCAGTTGAATGAATGTGTGAAGTGAATGGTTTGAAAAGAACGGGGAAGGGAATTAAACCTACATTCTGGTACCAGCTATTTATTTCATTTATGTGATATCTCTGGACCTCATTTGCCTCATTTACAAAGAAAACAGTTTGGATTAGATGATGTTCATGGTTAACGTATCCCTTGTAATTCATGGGTCTCTTCCACCTCATTTATTTACAAAATTGAGTACACTGTCAACTGTCTCTTGAAAAGCTCAAGGTTTAAGAACGCAAGGCAGTGGAATGGGGCAATTCTTCTCTTCCGGATACTCATTTATTTTACAATTAAACAGTGTCTACAGGATCCTAATGAAGTTTTTGGTCAGGGTATCAGTTTAAACCACTGGCTCTAGCACCAGAAAACCAGACCCAGTATTCTCATTTTTTCACTAACTTGCTGAACTGGACAGGGGTGGTGCCAAGTTTTGTGAGACCTAGAGATTATAATATTAGGGAAGGGGCTGCTAACACTTGAAGAAAAATACAAAATTAAAAATATCAAATTAATGTTTTAAATATTTACTTAAAATGAGAAAGGAAGTAACAAAAAATTACAAATTTTAAGTAGCTCACTACCACAGATAACACCAAAACTGGGAAAAATAGCACAGTGTGGTTCACTAACTGGCTTACTGACACATCTTGGTAATATTTTTACTACATATTTAGCTACATACCGTGTGAGAGCCTCTTCATATGACAACATGACATTTTGTAATAATTGTAATAATTGCTATATGTAGAATAAAAAGATAATTACCTTCCCCCTAGAAAGCCTCATTGAAGCTTTAAAAATTGATAATATAGGAGAGCTTTTTTCAGCTTTATTATTTATTATTGGTCACTTCATGTAAACTTTTTCCAAAGTTGCTAAATTTGAGAATGCCTATTGAGTTTCTTACATTTACAAACTAAGATTTTAGTACACTTCAAATTTGCTTGTGCAGTAACTAATTATATAGATTCATATAATTAGTAGTATAAAATTGTATAAAATTATATTGTATACAATTATATATGTTATATAGACAATTTATTCTTGTTAAATAATTGTATTACTACTAAATCAGGAGCTTACTCATTAATTTATGTGAAATTTTTCTTTTCTTTCTAATGAATCACTGCTTTGAGTATGATCTGAAAATTGTTTTCTTACCATTAATTTCTAGATTCTAGGATAATTTCTATTGATTTTATCATTTATCTGAATTTTTCTTATATATTTAGTAATTCAATTTTAAAATTACAATCATATACCTCAAAACCAGAAGTGTGTTCTCTTCTACTGTTTTCATAGAAACTTTCCAAAGATTCTTTTATATTTTCAGTTCAATGGTTTATTTGACCCTTAACAACTTTTTGAGTAACTCTGTCACCTCTTTCATATTCGTCTCTTCTCTGAAATTTTATTTTAGAGAGCTTGAAAGGCTGTTTTACTCATAATATAAACTTTGAACAGTCTTAAAATGTGCAATCTCATTACACTTGAAATTTAAAGAAAATCCACATTAATATGTGTATTTAAAGGATTCCATCTACGTGATAAACAACTTGAAATGAAAACATGTATCTATAAGAAAATGCTGAATTAGTCAGCCACTTGCAGAGTCACCCTTTGTCTTGAATGACACCAAGGAAGAGCTGAATGGGGCACACTTTCTGTACCTTGATTATTGTTTTAAAGGGTGCTTGCAGCCGGAACTGCCTACATAACATGTGCAGCCTTTTGTCCAAAAAGCATTAACAATTCTGATAAAGTGATGGCAGACAGTTAAGCTAGCGCAGGACCCTTCTAAGTGCCGGGAACTGTGTAAATCATACAGGTAACATGACTGCAAAGCTGGCCCTGCACAGGGCCCCTGGCTCTTCTCCTTCATAACAGCAACACCATTATATGCCTGCCTGACTGTTGTTCAGCGCCTCACAGAAGGAACTCCTAGCCACATGTATTCCACTAAAAGGCAACTAAATATTTCCCCAAGTCAATGTTTCTACAGATCCCTAAAACATTCATTGCTACTCCAATGCCCCCTGAAATGAAGGAAAGGGTGAGGAAGGGAAAATTGGAAAGAAAATGGAATCTTAGCCAATTTCAGTTTGACTATTTTGTATTTGCAAATGTACCAGGACATATTATCCTATAAACATTTCTACAGCCTCTACCAGAAGCTTAGATTGGGTTTCTGCAAGTGAAGAACATTGACGCAAAGGCGTGTAGCAGCTGGGCATGGTGGCTCGTGCTTGTAATCCTGGCACTTTGGGAGGCTGAGGCAGATGGGTCGCTTGAGCCCAGGAGTTCGAGACCAGCCTAGGCGACATGGCAAAATCCCATCTCGACTAAAAATACAAAAATTAGCTGGGCATGGTGGTGCACACCTGTAGTCTCAGCTACTCAGGAGGCTAAAGTGGGAAGACTGCTTGAGCTTAGGAGTTGGAGGCTTCAGTGAGTCAAGATAGCACCTGCACTCCAGCCTGTGTGACAGAGTGAGACCCTGTCTCAAATAAATAAATAAATAAATAATAAAATTAAATTTAAGAAAGCAAGTAACTTTATGGCAAATCCACATCCGGGCGTGGGTCTGAGTCACTGCCATATGCCAAGATCCCCTGAACACAGGTGTTTCTGGTACAGAAGGGGTTTCCTTACTACCTACTTTGGGGCCAGTATTGTTTCCATTTTGCTACCTGAGACACCCAGTAAGTTAATTCTCCATCCATTGTTCTTTTGGGAGGCAGAAAGAAAAAGAGAGAGGGAACAAAGTCGACGTGCTGGGGCAGGCTTCTCCATCCCATAATTTCCAGATTCTCTCTGGAAATCCTCAGATTTGTGTCTAAGCATCATAGGAGTTTGCTAGATCTTAATCCAATGGTCAACTGATGGCATATAACTATGTGTCCTGGTGTGGTTGTTTAAGTATCTTGCAGCCTAAAATACTTTTAGTAGCTTTCAGAATTAGTATGAAGAGGCTTTCTTACCACTTACCAGTTGCTTGTCACAGGATTTTCAATATTTGGCGTTGAACCTCTGAGTTGGGGATGGGCATGGATGTGTTGATGGTAATAATGGATGTGCAAAACTGATGGTTTGCTTAGAAAACATCAATCATTGATTTCAGCCCCATCCAGTCGTCATCAAGTTCAGTGTCTCTGATATCACAGGGGCAAAAGAAGAAGGACTACTTGTAGAAGTCCTGAGAAATCCTATCTCCCCAAATTTAACCCCCATATTCACACACTGTTTTATGACCTTCCAACTAAAATAAGGACTCAGAAGTAAAGATTTTACACTCTTTTCTGCAATGGCTCAATGGTGAAGAATCATAGTTAGTTTTGTATTTATCAAATCAGATCCTTAAAACACTTCTCACATAAGCATCAAGAACACCCTGTTCACAGTTACGCTGCTAATAAACAATTGATTCCATTTCATTCTGGTGAGAATGAAACATTTTCCTGGAAGTGCTCTGATTATCCAGCTTAATCTCCTACATGTCCTTGGCAAATGGCTTTTCCTTAATTCTAATTTGAACAAGAACTCAATTTTTCATCGAAGTAAAATACTCAATAAGAAGCCCTCTTTTTAACTTCACTAGAGAAAATAAAATCCTTGGCTACCACTTTTAATACATATGATTAACTATCTAATATATCTCATCAAGTTTTTATGCTAAGCTAAATGCAATGGGTTTATTGGTTCCTAAATTGCAGGTTCTCTTTCTCTCTGCCACTCATCATTACCCTTTGTCACCTTATTTGTTCTAGCCAATTTAACTCATTGATTTTCATTGTAAAGGCTCCAATACTGCCAGCAATTTGGGACTTTCACAAGTTAGCCTAATTCATGTTAATTGGCATCACTGTCAGCTTTATCATCGAGAATGTAAGTTACAACCTTTTTATTCTGGGTATGTCTGTAAAGGAAGGGGCTAGACAAATGAACAGCAACAACAACAAAAAGAATGAACAAGAACAAATTTGAGATCCATACTTTATAAAGAAGCTAACATTCCAGAAATGTGCTCTTCTGTTTAAAAGGGATTTAGAAACATAGATTGAATTTCAGTACTAAACCAGCATTTGACCAACACATTTTGAGCCCCTAAGAGTCAAACCTCTTGCCTAAAATCAGCAGTGCTGATGACTAAATGCAATTTAAAATAGTAAGTGTTCAAGTAGAGGCATGGATATACAGAGCCTTAAATTACATTCCCAAGTACTGGTCATTTTCTTATATTAAAAAAATACTATTCTTTCCTTTAGAGCTAGACTTTATGTGAAAAATTACAGGGATTTCTTAACAATTCTTAATATTATTTTTCTCACCATAGCTTTTATTTAACACCAAAAATTAATTCTGTTTTCTTGACTCATGGAAATAGTCTTTAAAATCTAATGCCTTGAAGCTAGCAATGACACCTTGCTCATGCTTTTGGAAAATTATAGTAGAGGACTACTATAGACAGAGTGAAGACATTATTGATTTTTATGGATTATTTATTTAAATAATTTGTTTTAGATTAGGACAGTATGATAACAGATATCTTCCTTAAATGAAGATGCAAATATTTTATATTTAATGGAAAAATATCTTTAATTTCATTTTTCAAAACTTCAAGTCTTTCAAAATTGTTATGAATTCACAAATGATAGAAGTTGTGAACCGTATACTGCCACAATGCAGTCACCACCTCCTCTTTTGTGTTGGCCAATCATTACTCTGCCACATACATAACCCTGAGGAAACCACAGTTTAATAAAAATTTGAAAGAAATTAGGTGAACCCAAATGTTAGCACAACTCAAGAAAACTATTTATGTTAGTCATCAGTGTATCTCATAAAAATAACTGCATTGGCACCATCAGTAATCACCTATTAAAAAGTAAGCTCCTTCAGGGAAAGAATTTGGCTTATGCATCTTTTTATTTTCAATACCTAACATGGCACCAGGTCTCAAACTGGAACTAGGCAAAATAGGTATGTGGACTGCCTGTCATTCTGGTACTCTGCCTGCATAATTTAAGAAAAGGATTCCCTGGGTGCCACCAAACTCTCTCTTGGTTAGGGCAATGCCCAGTAAATAGCAACATGTACTTTACTTGCATTTTCCTCTTTGGAAACTAGTTGAAGGAAGAATTCAGATATTCTCAGGGCTATGACCCAATTCCAACTTAATATAATTGTGGATTATCTGAACATGAAAATCATCCACATTCTCCATTCAGATCTTTACATGTAAAATGTCAGTGGATATTGTTTCTTCTTTGTATACATGGAAAATGTATACAGTGAGACACTATGACATCATTCCTCAAGTTCAAGATAGAATTAGTTTAAGAGAAAGCTGCAATTGAGAGCACTATAATCAGATTGGTAGTTTGGACTATGTCAATTACTGCAGCTTCTTCAGGTTCATGTCACAAATCATTATCTTCAGCAAACTGGACCTGACTTAAAAACAGAAAGTCATTTGTCTATATTGTTACTGTTTGTTACACTAATCCTAGGACCATAAATTGGAGTGAAAGTGAATGTTCAGAATTTGGAAGCACATTTTGGCCTTAAAATTCCAAATAATTGACCATGACATATGGTAAGCACTTCAGCCTCTACTCCTTTTTCTAGAGTTAGAATAAACAGTCCAACCAAGGAATAACCTAAAGTTATAGGTCAAATTCTTCTGTCCATATTCCAATAAGACTACCAAATCTTCACTATTCCTACCTTTTCTCTTTGAAATATTGTTCCCACTCTGTGTTCTGCCATCCCCAACTAATCCAACTAAATAGCTAGAGAACAATTACAAAGCCCAAAGTTGTATTTAATGACTTAAAGAATGAAAAATATTCCCCAAATTGCTGTGCAAAAATACATGCAGATATAAAATTAAACTCTCTCTTAGGCTTTCTTGTTATTTCCAAAATAATGAATCAAACTAAATGTCCATCAACTAATGAATGGATAAAAAGAAAATGTGATATACATATATATATATATGGACACAGTGGATAGTGTCCATGTAATGAATGGTATAAATAGTATACACACAATGAGTATTATCCATACAATGGCTACTATTCAGCCTTAAAAAAGAAGTAAATCCTATCATTTGCAACAACGAGGATGAATCTCAGAAGAAAAATTTGGACCCCAGTTTTACATTTAAGCTCTCATTACACTGTAGTCAATGGGTAGAGATAATGGTGATAGTTACTTGTTAACACTTGTTGAGTGCTACCATGTGCTAAGTAGTATTCCAAGTGCCTCAAGTGTGCTACCTCATTTACATTTAACCATCATGTGACATAACTGGAATTGCCATCTCCATTTTACAGAGAAGGAAACTGAGACACGAGAGGTTAAGTAAAAGTCCAGTATTTCTTTCCTTTTTAAAAAATTTTTATTGTTTATTCGTGTGAGTACATAGTAAGTGTGCATATGACAATTCTTACTGTCTTTCTGAAAGATAAGCAATAAGGCAGCCTTTCATCAGTTTATATAATGATTACGAATTGAGGAGACATTGAAAAATAATTTACCTTATAGAGTCTAACAATACAAGTAGCAAAACATGCTTTGCAATAACTATATCAGACATTCTCAAACTTTTTGGTCTCGGGATTCCTTTATATTCTTGAAAGTCACTGAGGATCCCCAGATGCTTTTATTTATGCGGGTTCTATCTATCTATCTATCTATCTATCTATCTATCTATCTATCTATCATCTATTTATCATTCTCTATCTATATATTGCATATTAAAACAATGGAAAAGTTTAAGACACAAGAATACAGATGCACAAATTCCATTCACTGTAAGGATGATGACATCATCACATATTATGTAGCTCTGGAAAATTACACTGTATACATATGACAGAAACAGTGAAGTGGGCAAATAACATTTTAGGATTATTGTAAAAATAGTTTTGATCTCACTGATCCCCTGAAAGTGCAACATTTTGAGAAACGCTGATTAAAAAGTGGTGGTTCTTACCCTGACAATTCTCCTCAATAAATGATTTTAAGTTACTGATCAAAAAAAGTGAGAGATTCTACAAGACTATTTTTATGTTAGTAATGGGATTGAAGTTGATGTTCCAATTACCTTCTGGTCATTCTTTTAAGCCACAAATGTCTGACTGCAGCAGCTGGTCCTGGATGATATTTATTAGTTTACCACCAAACTTTAGAGACTACACAGACCCCTGAAGCCATACTTAGTGACTATTTACAAAGAGTCAACCTATCATATTAAAGTGCTAAGATGACATACAATAAATAATGATCTATCTGAGTATGACCTCTGCAGACACCATGGCTGTAATTGAGTCAGGAGTTGAATTCAGATGACCCAAAATGGGGTGTTGCCACCCAGTCCTACCCGAAGGAGTCAAGGAAGACAAAAGCTGGCAGTCAAATCACCTCTGACCAAATGAAGCTGAGATCCAGATGCTATAGAGGGAGAAAGTTAACACTAAATTTTAAACATTAAATTAAAACATTAAACATAAAGTTAAATTCAGAACATTGATTTTCACCCCAATTTACAGTCCTAGGATTAGTGTTAAAAACAGTAACAATACAGAGGATATAATTTCATTCTTTTTTGGCTGAATAGTATTTCATGTGGATATATACTATATTTTTTATCCATTACACAATCTATGCATGTAACAAAATTTCACATGTACTCCCATAAATTCATACAAATGAAAAGAAAGAAATGAGAATGATACCACAAAAAACAGTAAATAATACAATTCATAGCCTAAAGGAGGGCTTAGAGGCAGCATTAGGTCGAGGGCAGAAAGCAAAAGTTAGAATTATTTAGAAATATGGTCAGAGAAGGCAAGTCTGGATGAAGTGAGGAAGATCTGAGGTGTTGGCAGTGAATAACTGTAGTGCATTATTCAATGACTTTTATCAGTCAACACATCTGTGCGTGGGTGTGAGAGACTGGCTTAAAGGATAAGATTGTGCTATGGCTTGAGTGCAAATTCAGGTGTTACCAGTGTGATGTTATTAAGAGGTAAGGCCTTTAAGAGTTGGTCAGGCCATAAGGGCTCCTTCCTCCTTAATGACATTAAAGCCCTTATAAAAGAGGCTTCCTGCAGCTTTTGGTTAGCTTGCCCTTCTCTCTTCTGCCATGTGAGGATGCTGCAAGAAGACTTTCACCAGACCAAATACCAGTGCCCTGATCTTGGACTTCTCAGCCTCTAGGACTGTGAGAATTAATGTCTGGGTTTTTCAATAAATTATCCAGTGCCAAGGATTCTGTTACAGTAGCACAAACAGATTAAGACTAGTTGGTTCCATAATGTTGAAAGTGAATGTTGGCTTATATGGATGCTATGTTGTCATCCTCCTATTACAAAACAAATAAAAGGCCAGGTGCGGGGTCTCACGCCTGTAATCCCAGCACTTTGGGAGGCTGAGGTGGACATATCACAAGGTCAGGAGATAGAGATCATCCTGGCTAACACAGTGAAACCCCGTCTCTACTAAAAATACAAAAAATTAGCCAGGCATGGTGGCATGCACCTGTAGTCCCAACTACTCGGGAGGCTGAAGCAGGAGAATCGCTTGAACCCACGAGGCGGAGGTTGCAGTGAGCTGAGATCACGCCACTGCACTCCAGCCTGGGCGACAGAGCAAGACTCCATCTCAAAAAAAAAAAAGAAAAATAAAAAATAAAAACCCTGATAAAATGAGTATTTCCTACTTTGACCAAATCACCTTACCACTTATAACAGTTAAAAATAACATCAAACAACATTATTTTCACTTCTAAATTATGTATATTACAGAATTAAAAGAGCTTTCATTTTTAAAAGATTTTTAAATTGTGTCTTCCTTTCAATCCAGACACACACACACAAACAAACACACACAGAATGAATGATGGCTAACATTCTAAAAGTTTGAAATTTTTGCATCAAAGTAAATTCAATAGTCGACTTAAAAAGTCCATCATTCTAAATTAGACCACTTAATTACACTCATTTTCTATTTTTATAGGTTTAGCTTTTGAAACCGGGCAGTACAAAAGAACAATGAAAGGAATGGTATTGATGCTTTCCGAGTTTCATTCCCAACTCTGCATCAAATGCACGCAAATAAATGCATCTGTCTGAAACCGTCATACTACGCTGTTCTTTCTCAAGCACTCACCTTGTAGTGAATGAAGCTCTGCAGACAAGAATTATGTGACAGCATGACCTTTATGAAACAGCAGATGCGCCACTATGTTAACAATTGGCAAATCCTAAAACAGCAGCAAACCTGTTGATTCGATGTCTGTCATTTCCAAATGCCCCATTTGACAGTTTCCTGGAGTTCAGAGACAAATAATAAGGCATACACCACAATGTTACATTAGAGATTTTACTGTAGCCACCTAGAGGAAGCAATTTACCTAAGGTAGCGAGTTTTGTCTCTTCTCTAGGACTGCCACATAGATGAAATTATTAATAAACAAACAGATTTTGAAGAGGCCACATGGGAATGGATAGACACTTCCCAGGTAAGGTCAGGTAGCAAACTCTACCTACTGCAACCCAGGGTTACTTCTGATTGAGGAGACTGCTTCAGATCCTCAATAGGGAAACACTCCTTTCTGTCTTTTGGGCATATGGCTGAGTTGGTCCCTGAATTGATCTCCTTGCCAAGATGAGGAACAATATCCTCAACTATCAAAACAACTATCTGTCATCTGAAAACACTTCCAGTCAAATATATATATATATATATATATATATATATATTTTTTTTTTTTTTTTTTTTTTTTTGAGGTGGAGTCTCACTCTGTCGCCCAGGCTGGAGTGCAGTGGGAGATCTTGGCCCACTGCAGCCTCTGCCTCCCGGGTTCAAGTGATTCTCCTGTCTCAGCCTCCCAAGTAGCTGGGATTATAGGTACTCACCACCATGCCCGGCTAATTTTTGTATTTTTAGTAGAGATGGGATTTCACTACGTTGGTCAGGCTGGTCTCGAAATCCTGACCTTAAGTGATCCACCCGCCTTGGCCTCCCAAAATGCTGGGATTACAGGTGTGAGCCATCGTGCCTGGCCAGCCAAACATATTGAGTGTAAGATAAGAATCTGTCCACAAAGGACCCTCTGCATTTGGCAGTCCTTGGAGCTATGCACACTGATATGCAAGTTTTCACCTTACTTTAACTCTTCTAGTCCACATAAAAGATTTTAAAACACTGATAGATGTTTTTAAAGCTTTTAAAGCACCTCCACTCAGAGACCACTGCAGAAGGCATGTGTGGTGGTGTTGGCAGTGGTCTTGATGATGACCTCACAGAAAGGTGGGCCTTGGGATAGTGGGCAGCTCAGGCTGACCGCAAACACAGACTTTCTCTTTTGCCACTTTCGCCCTGATGTTGAAATGTTTGAGAACTGCAGAGTTCTGTTAACAAGGTAGAAGCTGAGTTTCTATTCAAATTTCCCTCCGTTTTAATAAGGTAACTCTAGAATGACTCGAAAAGGCAAAGACCACCGTGGCATCAGGGTTTCAGAAGCATCACTATAAACACCAGTAGACTAGAAGGACAAGCTGGAATTAATGTGGCAAAAATATTCCATTTCCATTGCAGCTAGAATCATGGAGCTGACACTACAATCTTTTTTAAAAAATTGCCATTCACCAGGGCACCTTCAGACAAAGAATATATTACTGCTTCCCATGACTGCTCCAGATACTCATATCTATATAAAACAGGAGCACTTATTTCACACTAGTTGTTCACTCGATCATTATCATCAATAACATAGATTTGTAATCAAGTATAGATAGAAGTGATAAGGAAAGGTAGGTGATAGACTGTGTTAATAAAAATACTACTCAACTAACAGCTGAATTCCAGCTATTTCTTGAAATTTCTTTGTTCCTATGAAATATGTAATTCCTCGTTGTGTTAGTCTGTTTTTCACACTGCTGATAAAGATGTACCTGAAAGTGGGCAATTTACAAAAGAAAGAGGTTTATTGGACTTATAGTTCCATATGGCTGGGGAGGCCTCATGATCATGGTGGAAGGTGAAAGGCACGTCTCACATGGTGGCAGACAAGAGAAGAGAGCTTGTGTGGGGAAACTCCCATTTTTATATAACCATCAGATCTCCTGAGACTTATTCACTATCACGAGAACAGCACAGGAAAGACCTGCCCCAATGATTCAATCACCTCCCACAGGTTCCTCCCATGACATGTGAGAATTGTGGGAGTTACAATTCAAGATGAGATTTGGGTGGGGACACACCTAAACCATATCACTCATATTTTAAAAATATCAGAAGAGTTTTCATTAAGCACAAATTAACCTTCTTGGCCCCCACATTCCACACCAGCTCCCTTCTCATTTCTCTGTTCACCTTTACAAAAAAAAATGAAAGAATATTTTATACACTCTGCTTCCTCTCTGTTTTGCATTCCATTTCTTGCATTCAATCCACGCTTACCTGGGTTGCATCTCCCCATCTCCACTGAAATGATTCTTGTCTAGATAATCAATAGCTCCAGGTTGCTAAATCAGGGACACATTTGTCGGCATATTGTTCAACTATTTAGAGGCATTTGGAACAAACAGTATTGGTTTCTTGAAACATTCTCTGCTCTAAGATTCAGTGTCACTGAATTCCTTGGCTCTCCTCCTACCCTCTGGCCTCTCCTTCTCAGTTTTCTTTGTTGGCTTCTCCTCCTTTACCAAAATTCCACAGAGAGGGATGTCTTAGCACTCATTCCTGAGACTGCTCACTTTTCCCTAATTCAGGTTGCTTCCAGCACCATCTGTACACTGACTTCTGGACTTACACTTTCAATCTAGGTTGTCTGAGTCCCAGACTTGTACATAAATAGGCAGGTAGATAGATAGATAGAGAATTATAATAGATAGATAAATAGGCTCACACCTCCACTTAGTTGTCTAATAGGCATCTCGAATATAGGAAGTCCAAAGTGGAAGTTTAAAACAAAACTTGCTCGTACCATCTAAACCTCAAGATCTGTTTCTCCCTCAGTAAATAGCCCTGTCAATAAAATTCAACCCAGGAAAACCTTCATTTGTACTTACTTACTTCCCTTTGCTTCCCATGTCGCACAAACAATGAATCCTATCATGTCACCTCCAAAAATATTTCTCCTTTTTAGGTACTTCTCTCTTTTCCCATTACTACCACCCTAACCAAGCCATCAACACTTCTGATCACTTAAAAAAAAAAGAAAAGGAGAAGAAAAAGCTAAAGACTTATCTTTGCTTCTACTTTTTACTTCCACTGATTCATTTTTTCCAACCAGAAATACGAAATCCTAAAATCACAAATCTAGTCAGGCCCTTCCTTTGTTTGAAATCTGTGTTGCTCTCCATTGCACCTAGAATAAAATCCCAGCTCCTCATGATGGATCAAGATGCTGCCTGGTTGAACCTCTATCTCATCTGTTGTCACTCTCTTACTACCTGCTAGCCATATTGGCCTCCTTCTGTGCTTTCTAGAATATGCCCCAAGACTTTTTCTGTTGCTACATGCTAGCCATATTGGCCTCCTTCTGTGCTTTCTGTAATATGCCCCCAAGACTTTTTCTAAATACTGTGCACCTGATATAAACTTTGCCTGGAATGTTGTATCCACCACCATTTTATAAGAAGTATAACAGTGCATAGTAATTTTACCATGTATCTGTTTATGCATTGCAAATAGACAGTAAGTCCCATAAAGGAAGTAATAATGTCTATCTTGTTCTCACAGTATGGTCATCACCTATATAGTAGGTACTAGTGTCTGGCACAGCATAACCATTCAATAAATATTCACTTAATTCTTTAATAATTTAATTCAGTTAGCATAATCATTAGAGTATTGAAATTCTATACTAAGCTGAATGCACTTGTCCCATTATTCTTTTTCCTTCTCATATTATGGAATTGAAGTTATTTAATATATGTATTAATGAAGTAGTGAATGAGTAGACTATGAGGGGAAGTGTTCATTCTCCTCTAATTCTGTTTTTAAGCAAGGTATAGAATTTCAGATGCTGGATAACTAATGAAAGAGAAAAGCCTTACTGAAAAGAATAAGACATTGTGGGAATAAAATCCAATCATCCAGAAGGCTTGAGAAGAGAAATGAATAGATGCTGCAGTTAAATAACTACCACAAGAAAAATAACAAGGAGGGCAATACTGAAGAGCAAATAATTCAATGAGAATGAAGACATGGACTCAGAGGGTCAAAATTTTTCTCTGACCTATGTGGCACAATAATCTATTACATAGTTAATAGTTTGAAAGACGTTTCCATCAGCCTGGGGCCCTCTCTCCGGTATCGAGACACAGTGATATTTTCTACGTCAAGACCATAGCTCCAGTCCACCAGATTAATGCCAGAAATATGTATACGCAGGGCCTACAAATCTAATGAGTATGTTGGCAGACCATAATTCTACACAGCTTCAATATCACTGTCCTACCTTAATATCACTGTCCATAATTCTACACAGCTTCAGTATCGCTAGCCTACTCAGAGCCCCTCTCCATGCTTGTTGTGATCTGATTTTATTCCCCCAAAGTTAAATAACAAAATAGGCAAAAGCCTTAAGGTATCAAAAGGAAAATAGAGAGAGAATTGGGGTAATTAGTCATGGATTACTATCAACACTAAATTATTATTAACCCCAAATTACCACTACATTGGCTGTTGTCACTTCATGTTCCTGTTTTACCAGTCTACATATGCAATACTATGACATAATTCCATGGTTTTTCCAATAGTTTCAAAACCAAAATAAAAATAAAACAACAACTTCAAAAATTCCAACTGAAAAAATGTTTGTCATTCCAGTGGAATATACCAGTGGTATATTTTCCTGCGGTATTTATAAATTATATATAACTTTCCAGTGGAAAATTTAAATACATTTATAACTTGCATTGAACGTATCAGAAAAAAAAGATACAGGTTTAATTAATATTGTTTCCTATTATCTCTTAGAAAACAGTCATTTAAAAAAGAAAAAGAAAAAGAAAAAGAAAAAACTTGTCAGTCCCTTATGGGACAGCTATAACAGCTCCTCTACAGTTCTGCATTGTTTTCCTTTTTGCTTAGAAAAATATAAATAGAATGTATTCATTCTCAATGAGACTCTGCTAGTGACTACAGTTATTTCATGAAAGAAAACATGAGCCATTTAGGTAAAATATACTATTTTGCATGGACCAGAACAGATTTTAATTTTCTTTATAACATTTGAGTGAGCATTCTTGTGCACAAGGTAGTCTAAAATCCTCAGATATCTTTTTCTTTACTGCTATTAACTTAACAAACATTGAGCTTTGACTCTGGCATTGAGCTGGGTGATAAGAATACAAAAATAAATATTCAGTTGCTACCTTAAGAAGCCCACAGTTCAGTTTCTTTCATTATTTTCAGAGGCAGCAATTATTTATTTAAGTAACTAATCTCATAACGTAAAAATATAATTTGTTTCACTAAAATCTCCATACTTTGCATTTTAGTAGTGATTTTTAGAAATAAGTCTATATTATCTACCAGAAGAAAATTTTAGCTCAGAAATTCCTAATAAATGTCTTACAAAGCACTAACTCTTCAGCATGTCAATCTTCATGGCAAAGGGGGAAAATTATGTATTTAAAAAAGTGAAACATAGTCAAAAGAGTTTCTTGATTTTATAACATCCCAGAGGTTCTACCATGCAAACATGCATTATAAATTTCTTGGCCAGGCACAGTGGCTCAAGCCTGTAATCCCAGCACTTTGGGAGGCCGAGGCGGGCGGATCACCCGAGGCCGGGAGTTCGAGACCAGCCTGACCAACAGGGAGAAACTCTGTCTCTACTAACAACACAAAATTAGCCTGGTGTGGTGGCGCATGCCGGTAATCCCAGCTACTCGGGAAGCTGAGGCAGGAGAATTGCTTGAACCTGGGAGACAGAGGTTGCAGTGAGCCGAGATCACGCCATTGCACTCCAGCCTGGGCAACAAAAGTGAAACTCTGTCTCAAAAAATAAAATAAAAATAAAAATAACATAAAATAAATTTCTTAACAGGAAAATATATTATCTGGCATTCACTGAGTTTATTTTACAGGAAAACCGCATTTCATGGGGAAAACACAAAGAAATCAAGTCCAATAGAACATATTTATGAAACTCCAGATAAGGTACAATTTAATTGGGTCAGAGATGGGTCAACATGTAATCATGTCTAATTTACCCTATTGACCAATCTACAATTATTAAAGTATCTTCGAATTTTCCCTAAAAACTCTTAGCTTACATAAAAAAATGACTCTTTACATATAATTTGAGTCTGCAAGAGAACCAATATCAACTTAAATAGATGCCTTCCAGCTCTCTTTTTCCTTTAAGAATCCATGTGCCAGACTCCCACTACTGAAGATAAAAATGAGCTATACAGAGAAAGATCAGTGAACAGGGAAAGAGGAATGTTTTGAAAACTGTAAGCTGTTATGCAGAGATAATTTCAATTTTTCAAGAGGATAATGCAAAACCCATTAAGAAAGAACTAGAATATTTTTCTCAATGAATAATCATTTCATAATAATATCATATAAATATCATATGTGAAAATAAAATGATGTGCAGAATTCATTCCTTGTTAGAATATCAGGAAAAGGTCCTGAGGCCCAGGTACCACAGTGTCAGGTTTTTCCCTATAATCTTACGTAGGTCACTTCATTTCCCTGTGGCTAGACCTTTGCATTCACATAGAAGTCGGATGAATGAGAAAAAGTAAAAGCACTTGAATATCTAGGTTTTCTTTTATAATTTCTGAAGAAAAATTCACCTAAACCAATGGGAAAAAATGAAAACTGCTCTTGATAAATGGAAAATCTCAATAGATATAAACCAAATGTATTTATCTAAAACGTCAACTTTTATCATTAAACACTAATCACAATTAGTTTGGGATTTTAGCATGAACTTAGAAATAGTTCACCTACACATGTTCTGAAAAGACAATCCAATGCACTTTATTCATGGCTAATGTGATAAATGCTCAGCATGTCTAACTGGGGAAAGTATCACAGTGACATCATACAAGTACATTCTGTTTTTATTCAAACGATTGGCAATACCCCCATCACATTGAGTTTTAAAACTAAGTCAAGGGGGAAAGATGGCTGCAGCGCAAATATAACCAGACAGAAACCAGATGGAAAAGAGACGTAACGCAGAGCATGACAGCACGTTCTTTCTATCAACACAATTATAAAGGCATCTGTTCTGAAAGTACAGGTTTCCACTGCATTTTTGTTTTACCTGATGGATGAAAGAACAGAAGCATCTTAAATCATGTGAATGACAAAGCTATATATAACATGTTACTTATATGCAGGAGCTGTTAGTTTCATGATGTCATGGACAGCGTTGATTAACAGCATTCTGTCCCAAAGGGTATAACTATAGCCATAAAAGTCGTCTTGCAACTAGGTGACTAACTGCTCTAGCTACAAGGCAGAAGGGCAAATCTGAACAGCATCATGATATCCCAGGCCTTGATGGGAGTTGGGGTTGCATAGAGCACAATTTTTCTTAGGTCCTGGCATATTTCTGCCAGTGGCAGAGTGATTTTACTGGCATGAATCAGAAAGCATGTGAGTCATCTGTATAATAAATGAGACAACTTTATTTCATTCAGCTTCTGCTCACTTCATTATAGAAACAAAAAGTAAGGAAAATTTCTGTTTTCTGTCAGGTTTTCCCAAAATGATCAGTCACTGATGGCTCACATGTCCCCATCAGAACTGTATGAGACTATGAAGCCACAGCTTGTATTGCCAGCCACCCAGGCAGGAATGTGGTTGCCAAGCACACTGGCTCCTGCAATGATTTACCACTTCCAAATGTTACATTTGACAACAAATCTAAGAAGTGCAGCTTTCTCAGCTAGAAGCTTCCTGAGTTGGATCTTCTGTCACTGCTGCTTGGCTTTGGTGTCTCCATGAAGGACCAGTTAGTTTTATGCATCTCTGCTTGCCAAAGCTCAATCCCATGACTTAGACTCTGCACTTCAGGTTGCCTTCATCTTTCGTGTTCCACTAACAGACCCAATCAAACCAAAGGTCTGATTGAATTAACTGGTTGAGTTAACTGGCAGCCCAGTTCAAGAAGGAGGGGAAGGGGAGAGCAAACTAAAAAAATGCATTTGTTGAATACAAAAGAGACTAAATGAAAACCACTTCTCTGAGTATATGGAATGCTACACAAACAGGATGTCTGAAAATTAGTATCTGCTATATGCAAGGAGAATGACTGTCACATATGCCCAGTTGAAACCAAATCATAACTTTCAAATTGAGAGGTAAGGTAAAAATGTATATTTGTGAATTGTACAGGATATTAGAAATTATCTACTCCCCTCACCTATGTAATGCAGAAATAGTCTACAGGATAGCTTCAGAGCACTCATGCAGCCTTTGAATCATTTAAATCACTAGGAACCCACTTGCTCATGGGGCAGCCCATTTCTTTGCTAACCAATTCTGCTGACTAAAAGAGATTCTAACAGTGCACAGAAATATGCCTCTCAGAAGCTCCCATACACTAGAATTCTCATTGTGGCCACTTCACAGAGCTGGGTGAGAGCTTATCTAAGAAATTTGCTTCATACTTTATACTCCAGTCCACTCCAATTCTTGCACTTTGAATCATTCAGATTTGTTTGTAATTCTGGTCAGTATCCATTTGGTCCTAGTATTCCTGATCTTGGCTATACTCTTAATTCCGCTTTGCTCAACTACAGGTTCAGCTGATTGGATCATCGCCTTTGTTCAGAGAATAAGCAGAGATTTACCAGTTGGCTCTACTGCCCGTTTCCTTTTCCTAGGCACTGTTCTGCCGTACCAATCCTCCAGAGTATCCTTTGCTGGCACAGAGGGGCTCCCAGCCCTTAGTCTTCTCTCCAGAGTATTCCAACCCACACTGTTGATTGTGTGTCCCAACTTGGTTTTTTCTACCTGCTCAGCCTTGAAAACTCTCTCCTGCTTCCCTCTGATTCTCACTGCAGAAATAAGCTGAAGTATCTGGGAGAGTAATGAGTAAGCAAAGATTTAAAATACAGGCAAAAAAAAACAAAACAAAACAAAAAAAAACCTGGTAACAGCCTGAACTCAAGCAAGGAAGATAGATAATGGATACAAACAATATTAAAAGCTAGCAATTGTAGAATGTAATAACTGAATTGATGATATGCACTGAGGAACGTGTATGTGAGAAGCAGATTACAAGACCAAGAGTGGTACCATTCACCAAGATAGATGATACAGAATGAGTCTGATGGAAAGTAATGATTAAGTTTTCAAGATGATTAATTTGAAGTGCCTTTGGGCCTTCCAAATTGAAACATTTATTAGGTCATAGGAAATATAGGTCCAGAAATCAGAAGAGTTCTTGATTAGATTTGAGAATCATCAAAATGTAAAGGAAATGTTAGGAAAGGGTTTTTTTAAAGATATTTTAGGTATTATGTTGAGAACAAAAAGCTCAGAGAGATGAAAATGGATCACTCTGGAATTATGACTTTGACTCTTAAAAATTGAGCAGGTAGATAAAGAACAGTTCTTGAAAGAAATCTAGAATGAATATCTAATGATAGTAAAAGAGGAGAAAAATTAAAAATTAGATAAAGAAAATCAAAGGAGATAGTTTTAAGAAGAAAATGGTTAACAGTAACAAATGTTCATCAGATCGTTCAATGCTTCTGCCAAATCACTTTAGAATCTGCCCCACTCAAATTCAAGTAGCACTTTAATCTTATTGACAAATGCACGAGACAAATAAAACAATACTTTCTTTTTGTTTGATTCAACTAACTAGCCTTCAAATTACAGAGTCACAATTTTACCCAAGAAGACATGAAAGACAAAGCCATCACTTCTATGGCTTCCATCTCGGTCCCTATAAATGTATTGCTTGCTTGGTGAGCTGGGAAAGACTGTCTCCTTGGGCCAAGTGCTGTAAGGTTTCTTATTTTAAGGACTTATGCCTTTGTATTTTGGCACAAGAATGATTCTTGACATAAATCCATCTATTTTCCTAGGAAAAACATTTGGAACTTTCCCATTAAATTGTGAAATGAATTAATAAAATATGCACTTTCTCGTATTGGGAATTATGGCTTAATGTTGTCTAATGAAGTTGATTTAAAAATAATTATACAAAGAGGTGATGTTGAATCCAGCAGAGATACAGTTTGGATATTAAACTCAAATTAAAGATCAGACAAGTATACGGTATTATTGAATGACTGGTGAATGCAACAAAAGCTAAGATGAGCAGAGAACATAAAGCATGCAATTATAATATCAAGTTTTATCAGTTATTAAAACCATATCTGAGAAAGAAACTGTCAGATATATTTTAAAATTCTATTACCTATTTTAAAACAGCCTATGTATTATTATAATTTTTGGCTTTTATTTTCTGTTTTTTTCCCCCAGAACTCTAGCACAGGTCAGTAAACAGAGCATTATCCACACAGAAGGTCCTCTCAGGTCGCAGCACTCCCAAAGATAACAACTTTCTACCTGTTAACATTCTAATTTAATTTTCCCTTTCATTAAACTGTAGTAAATGGAATCACAAAGTATATACTTTTCTGTATCTGGCATCTTTCACTCAGCATTGAGTTTGTGAGTTTTATTCACGATGTTGAATATAAGTTGTCCTTTCTTGTATCTGCAAAGTACTTCATTATGTGAATATCCCACATACTATATATCCATTTTGTTATTTTTGGACACATATTGTTGTCAATTTGGGACTGTTAAGAATAAAGCTGTTATGTGCATTGCTATACATGTGTTTTGGTGATTATATGTAGATATTTCCGCTGGGTAGATACCTGGGAGTGGAATTTTTTAGTATGTATCAACAAATGATTGATTGTATGTATCAACAATGACTGACTGATTCTAAATGATTGTACAATGTATGCTACTATTTGGTATTATAGAAGCGTTTTGGATGTTCCTTGTCTTCTTTAACACTTGTTACTCTCTTTTTCGTCTTAGTCATTCTGGTGTTTATGTAACTTGTTGCGGTTTTAGTCTACATTTCCCTTTTATCTAATAATGTTTTGTGTACCTTTTATATGCGTATCAATCATTTGGAAGTCTACTTTCTGTAAAGTCCCTTTTCAAATCTTTTGTATATTCTTCTTTGGTAGTTTGCTACTGTTGAGTTGCAGCAGTTTTGTGTGTGTGTGTTTTTTGTGTCCTGTTTCTGGCTTACATTTTCACATTCTTAATAGTGTCATTTGCTGAACAAAAATTTTTAATCTTAAACTAGTCAAAATTCTCATTTTTCAATTATGGTTAGCACATTTAATGTCCTGATAAATAATTAATTGTCTACTCCTAAAACATTAAAGATGTTTTCCAATGTATTTTCCAAAGGGCCGTATTGTCTACTTTTTCCACCTAAATCTGAAGTCTCTTGTTTGGTTGTGTGTGTATGTGTACGTGTGTGCGTGCGTGTGTCTGTGTGGGTGTGTATGGTGTAAGAATCTCAATGTTCTTTTTTTAATATCAATATTCAATTGACTCAATACAATGTATTGAAAAGACTATTGTTTCCATGGTTCCTTGCACAAAATGACTTTGTTAGAAATAAGATGATGCCTATCTTTGTACCAATAACATACTATCTTAATTACCACAACTTTTGAATAGATCCTCTTATTTGTTAGTGTAGGCCTTCAGTTTGATTCCTCTTCTGAAAATCACCTTGGCTATTTTTGGTCCTTTGTATTTCAAAAGAAGTCTTAGAATTAGCTTGTCAAGGTCAACACAGAAAAAAGCAGGATATTTATTGGTACTCATTGAAACTATAAACAAAATTGGAGAGAACTAACATCTTTTATAGAAAGTAAAAAAGGTCCACAAATTCCATCCTTTCTTATAATCATGCTTTTGCAATGAAATTTTACAAGGTTAGGCTTCAAGAAGCATTGTGTTTACTTTCTCTCTTTTGGAACTCGGCCAAGGCACCATATGAACAAGCTTGGGATAGTCTGTTGATTATGGGAGACAAATGCCCCTATGTTACTATCATCTCTTGCCCAAATTAAAGCCAGACATCTGTCCAATATGTAAGTGAAGTAATTCTCCAATCAGATTTCAGTTGATCTACCAGATGACCATAGATGCATGTTAGTCAACACCTGTTACTCTCTTTTTCATCTTAGTCATTCTGGCAAGTAAAAATAAGCTGAGCATGACCTAGATCAGCGGAACTTCCCACATGACCAGACTCATGATCAATGATAAATGGTTGTTATTTTGTCTCTAAATGTGGAGGCAGTTTGCTATACAGTGATTTCTAACTGACACAATGTATTCACAATATAGTGTCTTTCAATCCATGAACGGTATGTAACTTAATTTATTTTGTCTTTTTAATTTTTGTCAATTTTGTATTGTTCAGTGTAGAGATCATTTTAATTTCTATTTCTCGATAATTTTTAATACAACTGAAAATTACATGGTTTTTAAAATTTATTTTTCTAGTTATTTGGTTTAAATTATAAAATTGATTTTTACATATTTAATGTGTATCCTATTACTACGCTAAAACCATTTTATTAATTTTAATAATTTATAGAGTCTTTAAAATTTTTTATTTCACAATTCTATTTTGAGAATAATGACAGCTTGGATCCTTTATTTCTAATCCTTATTCCTTTGCCTTCTTTTAATTGCCATTTTGCACTGTGCTGAATACCCAGCACAATTCAGGGTAAAGTCTCAACAATTTACTATAAAATATGATGCCTCTGATAATTCTTTGTTATATCAAGAAGCTTTTCTTCCATATGTACTTTGCCAAGAGTTGTGGTTTTTATTATGAATGCTTTCTGAATTTATCAAGTGCTGTTACTAAATTTATCGATATAATCATTCAATTTTTCTTCCTTTTTGTGTTAACATGATGAATTAGATTTTCTGTTTTGCAAATAATAAACCACTCTGGCATGCTTGAAATGTATTCCACTTTTATGTGATATATTTACCCTTTTAATATTCTTGAATTCTCTTTGCTAATATTGTATTTACAGTTTTTGTATCTTTGTTCAGGAAGGAGACTAATCTGCAAGTTAGTTCCTGTCCTTGTCAGGACTTGACTTCAGAGTTACACTGGTCTCTCCCTTTCCATTCTCTGCAAGAGTTTTTATAATATTGGTGTGTTGTGGTTTTTTTTTTTTAATTTAGCTAAATTTACTGTTGAAGTCATTGAGCCTCATGTTTTCTTCAAAATATATATAAATAAAGTACAATTTTTTTTTTTTTTTGAGACGAAGTCTCGCTGTCGCCCAGGCTGGAGTGCGGTGGCGCGATCTCGGCTCACTGCAAGCTCCGCCTCCCGGGTTCACGTCATTCTCCTGCGTCAGACTCCCGAGTAGCTGGGACTACAGGCGCCCGCCATGATGCCCGGCTAATTTTTTGTATTTTTAGCAGAGACGGGGTTTCACCCTGTTAGCCAGGATGGTCTCATCTCCTGACCTCGTGATCCGCCCGCCTAGGCCTCCCAAAGTGCTGGGATTACAGGCGTGAGCCACCGCGCCCGGCCTAATAAAGGACAATTTTTAATAGCCACTGGACTATTTAAGTGATCTCTTCTGTCAGTTTCTGTAAGTTGTATTTGTTAATGTCTATTTCATTTAAATTTCTAACATCAGTGTGTACTTGTTTAGAATATCTTCTTGTTTTTAATTTCTGTAGAATATACAGTGATGTCCACTTTTTAACTGTTGATATTAATAAGTTGTTAACTTGTATTTTTTCTTTTTTCTTGACAAAGTTATTCCGAGTTTATAAATTTTGTTATTCATTTTACAGTGCCGTTTTGATTGTTAATTTATGGTTAGAATTTTTTTCACTTATTAATTTCTACTTTTGTCTTTATTTTTTATATTGTTTTGCTTTTCTTTTTCTAAATTCTTTAGGTTGAATATAAAATCATTGATTTTTCATCTTTTTTTCTTTTCTAGTGCATGGAAACATAACTACTTATGAATTTTTCACTTATCTTTTTTTTTTTTTTTTTTGAGACGGAGTCTCGCTCTGTCGCCCAGGCTGGAGTGCGGTGGCGCGATTTCCGCTCACTGCAAACTCCACCTCCCGGGTTCACGTCATTCTCCTGCCTCAGTCTCCCGAGTAGCTGGGACTACAGGCGCCCGCCACCACACCCGGCTAATTTTTTGTATTTTTAGTGGAGACGGGGTTTCATTGTGTTAGCCAGGATGGTCTCGATTTCCTGACCTCGTGATCCGCCCACCTCGGCCTCCCAAAGTGCTGGGATTACAGGCGTGAGCCACTGCTCCTGGCCCACTTATCTTTTTTATTACTGATATCCAACTAAATTTCTCTGTGGTAGTATAATATACTATATCAAACTAATATTTGCGAAGACTTTCTATCCCGGTACACGGTCGGTTTTGGTCAATGTTTCATGTGCACTATACTTGTTACTTAGGTCAGTTTTGTTGACTTTGTTTTACAGATTTCTTCTGTCATAGAATTTTTGTCTACATTTTCTATTGGCTATTAAGAGAGCAATGTTAAAGCTTTCTACTATGATGTTATAATTATTTTTTTTTTTAGTTTGGTCAGTGTATGTATTATATATTTTGAAGTTATAATACCAAATGCATAAAAATTTAGAATTGTAGTATCTTCTCAGCAAATGTATCCCTTTATAATTTTTAAATATCCTTCTTTATCTCTAGTTACCTGTTTTGATTTAAATTATACTTTTTCTTGAATTAGAATGGGCTTAGTAGAGGTGCTTTTTTCTTTTTCTATTATTATATTACTATTATTTGCATAGCATTCTTTTTTTCTTTTTTTTTACTTTCAGCCTTTCTGTTAAAAGCAGTTTTTTGTATGTGGTATGGCAAACATAACCTTTTGTTTAAAGTCCTTAGTATATCGACTGCTATCTTTTGTTGCTTAATTTCCATTGCCTTCAAAGCCAATGTTTCATATATTTTGTTCATTTATTGGTTGTTTCAGATAGAAGAATAAATCCTGTTCCTCCCTCTTGGTTAAAAGTGCACATCTGTCAATTATCTGTTAGAAAGATTTATAATAAAAACAAAAAAATCTTTAAATGTACTTAGGTAATTATTTCTGTGCCCTTCATTCCTTTATATTGATCTACAGTTCTATCTGGTATCATCTTCCTTTTGTTGGAAGGATTGACTTTACCATTTCTTTTATTCAGGTCTACTGGCAATGAATACTTATAGCTTTTGTATATTTTACATTGGCTTTATTTTGCCTCCTTTTTTGAAAGACTTTCCCTGGATATATAATTCAAAATTGATTTTTTTTCTTTTAGTATCTTAAAGATATTGTTTCACTGTCTTTTGATTTGCACTGCTTACATTTTTTTTTCAACAAGAACTCTTCTTTCATACTTATCTTTTTTCCTTTATATATAGTGTGTCTTTTTTTCCCCCTGTGTTTAAGATTTTTCCATCATCTCTAGTTGTGTTTTTACATGCCTTAGAATAGTTTTATTTATGTTTTCTTGTGTTGGGGTTTAATAAGCTTCTGGACTCTTTGTGTATTTAAAATGTTTCTCAAATTTGAACAACTTCAGCTATTCTTTTTACAGATTTTTTTTGCCTCACCCCTCCATGTCCTCTGTGTCTTCAAGTTCACCTATCTTTTCTTCTTCATTATCTAATCTGCTGATAATCACATGCAGTGCATTTTTTCATCTTAGAAATTGTAACTTACATATGTAGATATCCATTTTGGGTCTCCTTTTTATTTTATATGTGTCTATGTAACATTTATTCTTTCCTCTAGCTTCTTGAGTGTATGAAACACAATTATAGTAATTTTTGTAATTTGCTTGTCTACTAATTCTATCATCCATGTAATTGCTACATCAGTTTCAAGTGAATGATTTTTCTTCTAATCATGGATTGTATTTTCTCACTTCTTTGCATGGCTAGTAACTTTTAAATGAATGCTAAATGTGAATGTTACCTTATTAGTTGCTAGATATTCTTGTATGCCTATAAATATTATTGAGCTTCGTTCTGGGATGCAAAAAAGTTATTTGAAAATGGATTGACACCTGGGGGTCTTGCTTGTAAGCCTTGTTAGGTGGAGCATAGCAGCATTTAGTCAAGAATTAGTTTTTCCCAGTATTAAAGCAAGACACTTTATACTCTACTTAATGCTCAGTAAATTCTGAAGTTTTCTACTCTAGCTATTTGAAACAAGTGCTACTCCTGGTGTTATGTGAGCTTTGGACACTGTTTCCTTTATATTAAGTATCACCTAACTTTTTTGGGGGATGTTCAATGTCATGAGAGCCATTGTTCCACATTTTGGTTTCTTTTTCAGTTGATTCAGGCAGTAGGTAAAGCTAGTCCCTGTTACTTCATCTTTGCTGGAAGCAGAACTATATAATTTGCACTTTAGATTATAACATTTAGTCACAAGTAAGATTGTGACTAAAAAGGTGAGAACCTGACAAAAGTCACATAGTAACACAGTGATGGGTGGGGTTTGTGGCCACCTCACTTTGTGGCCATTGTGACCGTTCTTTTTTATAAGAAGGATGGTGGCAATGAACATACAAAGGTTAAGAGCAACTGACACGCAAAGAAGAGCATGCACAGACACTAAACAACCAGGGGTGAATTTTGCCAGACATTGCCTGTTAGTACTTAGCACTACTCCTTCCCTTCTAAGCTTTTCCTCTTTTCACATGCTAGAAGACTCTCTTGTCAGCAAAGTCCCACTGTAAGTTCTGACAATTAGGCATTTGCATAAAATTAGAAGAGAAAAAGAAACTATAATTTAATATTCTTCTTCAGATTCCAGCAGTAATCTAGTGTGCACTCTTATTGAATAAATGGCATTGAAGGAAAAGAGAATTATGATCCGAATATAGCCAGAAAACAATGTGTGCCTCTTTGCAGCTGTGTGGCAACAAGAGGCATATTAAAACAGGCTCCTGTGGACACAAAAATAGCCTCATTTCAGTTCCTAATCTTTCAGTAATACCATCTTCCTCCCATTTGTTCCTCTAGTAATTACAAATTTCCACCCTGATAATTTATATTAAATATGTCTTTTATCAAAAGATCTACAATGCTATCTTTTACTGACTTAATTTTGTTATGGTATTCCACTAATGTATGAAGAATTACTGAACGAATAAGTTAATGAGAAATAAAATAAGGAGAAAGAAGAGGTTGAAAGGAGAGAAAACATTACAAGAAAAGTTGAAAAAAAGAAGGAGATGAAGGAATTTGTCTTACACTGTTGATTTTTGGCATATTTTGCAAAAACCTTTTCTGATAATGCCCATTTTCGTATTGGATAGCATACTAAGGTATTGACAATTCTATAATAGTTTAAGTTTCTCTTTTTTATTTTAAGCATATTCAGTTTTTAAGAATATCTCTTTTATGATTTTGTAACTCTCTATTGCTCCACAATCAAATTAATCATGAAAAATTATTTCTCAAATGAAAACAATAATACTGTATTATTTTATTCATATCATTCATATGGTTTAGAACCTGCATGATGACAGTATACATTTTGGTTTACATCCCCCAATTATTCTACAGCTTTTAAAGTTATCTGCAGTAACTAGCACACACAAAATATCGCATCTATCAAAAAACAACATCAGAAACATTTCTATTTACCATTTCAATGTGTGGTTTCTTCATGAAGAGGCAAAGTATCTTGTAACAATTATAAATGTTAAATGTAGCCAGTTCTACTTCTACATTCTTTCCTGCTGGCTTATGTTTGATGTCCTATGTTCATTCCATTGGCCTTTACAAAACACAGGTTTTTATGTATTTTCAAAGGGTTTTGATTTTTGCAGTGTTTCCTTCATTATGAAATGAACTAACAGTAAAACATGCAGATATATAAATATAATTAAATGTAAGGTTTCAGCAGTACCTACTGCCACTTCATTTAGCATGGTCAGGCCTCTTTGCCAAGGACACATTTAATTTATACTTGAGATTATCATTTAAGCTAAATCAAGACTATCTCCCTCTCCTCCTTCTTGACCTCTCCTCTTCTTCTCCTTGCTTGACCTCTCCTCATCCTTTTTTTCCTTCTTTATTTTGCAAAATAATTTTTAAAATAAATGAAAATATGCACATTGCAAAAAATTTAAACTTTGTCTTTACCATCTAGATACATGACAGAGAAAAGAGAGAATTAAAACTCTACTCCTCTTTGCTTCTCTACTTCTAGTGGAGACTGTAGTGTGTCAATCAAACCTTTTTCAGGACTGAGGCACTCATTCCCCCCGTTGCTGATAGTGTTGAGTGCTGAGGACTCACGACCTAGGCTCTCCCCAAGAAACGCCGTTGGACAAAGAGAACTGCCAAATGTTAACTCCTTCCAAAGGGCAGTTCACGTGCAATGATTGCTCAGGGTGGATGGGAGAGTATGAAGTCCCAGACCTTTTGCTTCATTTCAGTATTTCTGAATGGTCATCTCAACAACAGAGATTTCCAGAAGGTTGACTGAAGTCTCTTTTGCAGCTGCATCACAACTCAGCTCTGCCTTTTGCCTTCACCTACTTCACTCACTCCTTTATCGGTGTTACTTCTGAGGGCACACCCCCAACAAATCACTGGCATGCAAATTTTCATTTTATAATCTGTTCTCTAGGGAAACAAAGCTATGAAGGTTAATACCAGAAGTAGTACACAAGAACAGACTCTGAAATGGAATTTTGAAACTGGGTCATTCACTGGCTGGCAATGAGGACACTGTCACTGGTGAACAGTGAAGTCCTGATAGCACCTGGCTTCCTGTAGCGGATCACTAAACTGAGATGACAGATATTATGTCCTCTAAACCAATGGTAAACTGAGTGAGTTTCTGATAAAAGGAAATATATCTCGGGAACATTCAAGGTGCTGGATGGGGAAGGGGAGTAGTAATTATAAGATCTATGAAATACTGCTGGCAGGTATTGACACATTGAATTAATCACAAATTTAGGCAAAATGTGGAAGCTAGAGGACCTCCTAGGCAGCATCTGAAGGCTCTCATATCCTGTAGTCAAAGGGCAGAAAAAGGTGAAATACTTAATTACAAGGGTGAAAGAGAAGATTGAATTCTCAACCCCTACAAGTCTGCTACTCCAAGACAATAGGCCTGATGGGGACCTGAGTGGTCTGGACATTCTGTAGGACATCTCATTGATTCGTTCTATCGATGACATCATGTTAATTCGATGAACTGAATAAAAGGAGGCAAGTAAGTTAAACAGTGATGTTCTTAGTCGTCTAGTAGCCTCAAACATGCTGGGACTTCCCCTCTAACATAAGGACAAATTATTGAGTCTTGCTTATCACTAAAATGGGAGCATAATGACCAGTAGGGACATATTCTACACTTGGGAATGCTCTTCTGACCCATTCAAGAGTGTCAAGGAAGGCCGCTAGGTCTGAGTGGAACTTAAAGGAAAAATAGATCTCTACACAGGTCCCAGATATGCTATAGGCCACTTGCTACTTAGGTCACGTAATCCTACAGACCTAGTGGATCAGAGGTAAATGTGATGGGAAAAGATGCCATGGGAAGATGATGGTAAATCCTAGTAGGTGCATAAAAACATACAATTTAAAATGTATTCTCAGAAGGTCTGCAGCAGAGATTGATATCAATGAAATTGTTAGAGCAACTTATATGTGCTTTACCATTTTTATATCAACTATGAAATATTTATTAATATAAGAGGATATTAACTATAACAAAATGAAACCCTACACCTATCCCTACTTCAAAAACTCCTTGAGTACCTCTTTCTGAATGTATCCCCTCTCTACCCAAGACAGAAAACCAATTTTTTAAATAACATTTGCCATTTCAATGAACTTCTTTATATTTTCACTAAATATCCCTAAAAATAAACAGTATTTTTAATTATTTTATATTTCATACAAATGGTGTAATGGCATTGGTTCATCATCAACTTCTATTTTGTAGAAAATTCTGTTTGTGATATTCAATTATGTTGACCTATAGCTCCAGTTTCTTTTTTTTATTTTTTACTTTTAACACCTTGTACTATTCCATTGTGTTAAAATGTCACAATTGATTTAACTATCCTATTGATGGAAATATCAGTGGTTTCATTTTTTCCCTGTGGCACTAAACCCTTTTATGAATACTCTTAATGTACATATATGTTCATCTTTTATAGTCAGTATCACATTGTCCTCCAAAGTCAGACAAATTTGAAAAGCATAGCATCTTTTTGCTAATTTATTTTTAATTTTTAATGATATATAATAGTTCTACATATTGATAGGGTAGATGTGATATTTTAATACAAGCATACAATGTGTAATGATCAAAGAGGTGATGGGTGTCCCAATTACCCAGATTGATCATCACCTTTAAAATTTTAACATGCATATTTTACTTTACAAAGTATCTAACTTCTGTCTGAACTATACTTAGCTGGGTATATAATTCTAAGTTAATGGTGATTTTCTCTCAAGACTTTGAAGAGATTCAGCTCTTCAGATTCCTCTGTTCATTGTTTGGAAGTCTGTATTCTTTCTAGTTGTCTCAGTTCTGTGGCCCATTTTAAGAAGAGAACTCATCTTAAGAACTTCTTAAGAAGAGAACTCTTCTGCTTTAATGTTTCAGAGTTTTACTAACAGTATATTTAAAGGCGAATTTATTTTTATTTTTCTGCTTGGGTTTTATTGAATTTACTGAACGTGAAGATTTGAGTCTTTCATCGATACTAGAACATTCTCTGTTGTTACTTCTTCAAACATTCCTTCTCCCTTATTCTTTCAATTATCTTCCTCTGAAACACCGAAAGAATTTTGCATCTTCTCATCCTAACCTCCATGTTGCCTAACCTCTTATGTTATCTTTTCTTTTGTCTCTGTATCATATTTTGTGTAATTGTTCTTAAATCTGCGCTTCGGTTTACAAATCTATTTTTTTTCTAATCTGCTGCTTAACATTCTTGAGCATTTATGGCAGTGTTTATATATTTTTTTACCTAGAAGCTATATTTAGTTCTTTATCAAGCGTTTTTGTTAAATACAACCATATCTTTTGTGTTCATGTTTTTAATTATTATTTTTTCCTCCTTTAAACTTACTAAACAAATTTATTTTGTCTTTATTTGTAATTTTTATATCCGGTGCCCTTCAGGGTCTAATTCTGCCCTTTTTTCTTTCTGCTTACCATATAGTAGCTTGTATCTTGGTCATTTTAGATTATAAAACCAAGCTCAAGTGGGCTTTACATGTGGGAGGTTTTTTTGCGGCCTTATTTCAGAGAGATTTTTCTTTGCTAGAGTCATGCACCCAAAAGTATTACCAAACTGAAGCTACTTTAAAGTAAATTCTCAGATTGGGATTTTCTAGATTGCCCAAGTAGTACAAATTTGGATCCCAAACCTATGTGATGGCAGGCTTGTCAATACAAATTCTTAAAAGAAATTTTTTGTTGATAGTGTTACTTTTTGTTGTTGTTTTGTTTGCACTGAGGGCACAGGACAAGACTGTCAAGTTCCCTTGTCTTCTTCATTTTTTTTTTGTTTCTTTTTTTTTTTTTTGGAAGTTTTCTAGTCCATTCTTTCCCCAACATTGAAAGGCCCCAGTTTATGCAGAAATCTCAAGCCCCATTCCCCTCCTATATTGACACAAAGCCCCAGCCACAGTCCCTCGCATAGCCATGGAACCTAAAACTCTAGAGTATTGAGATTGGCAGACTCCTTCAGGACAACCTTCAGAATCACCACGTTAGCTTTCTGCTCCCCCTTTGTATCTGATTACTGAGCATTTCCATTTCATTTTTCTTATTCCAACTGTTCATTTTAAAGGACATTAATTATAGTTTATTTGGCATTTATAGATGCTTTGCAGTGGGACAGCTTTCAGCATACCTAATACGCCATATTGATAGATGTATGCATGTCGATTTTAAATTTGAGGAGATGATAATAATTTGTTTTCCAAGTGGTTGTTCCTAATTAATGATCTTCCAATGGAATGTGTCTGCTTTAGTCAGCATCAAGCTTATACTCTTAATCTGTTGGGGAAAAATGTACCTGGAGTACATTTTGCATTTCTTTAATTATAAGAAAGTTGACCACCTTTTCATAGGTTTATGAGAAACTTTTCTTTTACTGTAAATTGCCTATTCAAATCTTTGCCCACTTATTGGGGTGACTTTTTCTATGGTTTCGTATAGGAAGAAATTAGGTTTTGACTGTTCCATGTTGTTTAACTTTTTATTGAGATAAAAATGACATATGATATATGTCCCATATTTATTGTATACAATTTAATAAATTTTCACATATGTATACAACCCTGAAATCATTACCACATTCAAGACAATGAACATTCCCTTCACCCCCATAAATTTGACTTATTGCAAATATTGTCTCTATTTTTATCGTTTGGGTTTCTTTTTAAATTTAGATTTAAGGGTTTTTTTACTAAATTTCTCTGCAGCCAAATTTGTCAGTCATTTACTCTAGGGCTTCTTTTTTATTTTTAATGCCGTGTTCAGAAATCCTATTCCAGGTTTATTTACAAACTCACCCACATTTTCTTCCTCTATTTTCTTATGATTTCATTTTTATACATTTAAATTTTTGAGACTGCTTCTTTCTTGGGTAGCAGCCCAAAATATTCTATATAATGGCAAATTAGATATTTAAGTCAGTCAGATATCAGAATGAACAGTTTCATTTGATACAAATTACTGAATTTCAAATCAAATGAATTGCATCTCTTGTGGTATTGGCTATCATACCATACAAGAAGTTACAGAGGGTCCTATTTCTCCTAGCAACTCTGTGAGGAACGTATTATTTTGGGTCTAATTTGAGATCCATGTTGGAAAGCCTTCCTTTTTAATATGCCCATTCATAAAATTTGATATAGCATCTTATTTTATTAATCACCTAATTAATTGCTATTTTGTTTCTTAAATGACAGCTAAGTTCAATCAAGACCACAGAAAAACCCGGGCAAAAATAACAAAGGGGAACAAAATAATAAATTAAAAACTTATCACTTTTTAAAGTGCAGTAGGCCCTTCCTATCTGTGGGTTTCACATCAGTGAATTCAACCAAACAGGAAAAGAAAATATTTAGGAAAAAAAAAACCACAAAATAACAATAAAAATAATGCAATTTTTAAAAATACAGCATAAAAACTATTTGCACAGCATTTACATTGTATTAGGTATTATAAGTAATCTAGAGTTTATTTAAAGGATATGAGAGGATCTGTATGAGTTATATGCAAATACTACACAATTTTATATCAGAGACTTAGCATCTTCAATTTTGGTATCCTTGAGAGATCCTAGAATGGATTCCCCACAGATGCCAAAGAACGGCTGTATATCAACTAAGCAGTGATATATGAGAAAACACACCTCTTGGTTTCTAGCTTTTGATTAGAAGGTGGTATTTCCAAAATGATTTGTTTTAGCATTTCCTTTAAATTTCTTTTAAACCCTGAGTGTTACTTGCTCTGGCATAGGCAGCGACTTTGCCACGTCATATTTCATTTTGACAGAAGTAGTGATTTTAAAGAGGTAGTAGGTCTGACCAGTTAAATGTTCTCATCTTTAGTTTAATAAGTCTATGGGTACATTCAAACTGATTAATACACTCAGACATATTTGTGGGTTTTTGTTTCTCTTTTCTTTTGGCTGGGGGTTGGGGGACAGTCATTGGGTATTGGTCAACTTATGTGCAGCTAGTCAAAAGTTATTGTTTAGGAGAAAATATGTGGACAGTTGTAAAATTCAGTTACACTAGAGCAGCAAAGGGTTTTAACCAATTGATGTGTGCAAGGAAAAGTGTTTCCTCCTTCTAGTGAGACCAGAGGTGAGAGAGAGAGGCGGCAGAGGAAATGGAAAGGGGAAAAAGTAAATTGAGGAAGAAATGACTAGACTAAACAGGTAATGAAATAAAATATAAAACACACGTGAGAGGGGATCTTTTGAAACAAGAAAAAATAAAAACAGAAGATATGTGGGAAGTAAGAAAAGAGAAGTTAATGGGAGAGCTGAGAAGTATAAAGATCAAAGAGAAAAGAAAGAAAAAGACAAAAAGAATCAGAGAAAAAGAAAAAAGAATTGGAAGAAATATAAATGGCAAAGACAAATTAAGTGAAGGTAAGAGGAACAGAAAACTGAAAAAAGGAAAAGAGAAAGGATGTGTAGCAAATAGTGTTGCAAATACTGACACAGATTGATAACTCATGTGTGTAATTCTCCCTAGTCCATGGATTTTACCTTTGCTCACAGATAAATGCAAACACAGAAGTGGTTAAGTTAATAGAGCACTTATAGGCAGTGTCTTTGAAGAAGAAATGTTACAAGACAGTACTCATGAAGTAATTTTTTTAATTACAGCAGATAATTAGTAATTTCTGTTGTTTTTACTTGACCTTAAAATCTATTTTTTCATTAGGGAGACTTTAAATTTTCAATAGTACCTGAGTTTTGTTTAGCCTCACAACTGCACTCATGCAAACGAAATGAAAAATGTTTTCCTGTGAATTGCCATTCAAATCTTTTGCATATTTTACCTAGTGATAGAAGAGAAGATTGTGTGTTTCTGACATAGGAGAGAAGATATTAAAGTAACGCATAAGAAAATGAGCATTTTTGTTCTGTTAGATTTCTGGTAAAAGACTATTTTTTGCCCCAGCAAATATATTTTACTGTGAACAGCTATGAAGAAAGGTACACCCCTGTGGCCTCTGTATGCTCTAGGTGTGCTTGCTTTACAAAAGAGGTATATGTGAGCAAAATAGGCTGTAAATAAAAATCACGAAAAATAAGCCCCATTTCTTCATAAATTTCATAACAAACATCAGAAATATGTTCTCTTCAGGGAGGGATAGGAATCTAACTTCTAATTTTGGATAGCACATAGATACAGGGATATTTTGCCTCATTGCCTGTGTTATTGAGTTTTAAGCCATATGTTCCTGGCTTTCATTCATAATATTTACACCACTGGTGAGATGATAAAATTTGAGCACAGTGAGTCCTATTCAGACTTCATTTAATAACTCATCTTTATCTTAGAATATATTCATCAGACTAAATCATATGATTCAAGGCAACTTTTCTTAAACCAGGCAGAAAGACCATTCTGAGCCAACATTACAGAAACAAAGTTTCCTCTTCTATTTGTGTAAAGAGGAATCGAAATGATAGTATCAAGAATAGAAGTAACATTTATGTATTAATATATTTTTGTCTTTCCTAAAGTGTAGGATTTGAATATATTTCCTATTCTAGGTGCTGGCATCTGAATTATTTCCTCTCTAACGCGTTTCCATATCCCACACACATCCTCTACCCCTCATGTTCCACTTGATTGAAAGGGAGATCACATGAAAACCAAATGACGTCCTTACATCAGTATGCTCCTCTACTACCAGCTCCAGAAAGAGACGCAGATGCCCTGACAGCCGTCTGGCCCAGTCCTCTCCATTCATTCACTGCAATATGGTAGATGAGCAATTGCTCTGTTTCAGATCCCAGAAACTGAATTATCTTTGAAATTAACAAGCAGCATTGCCTCCCCACTACTAATTTTTCCACCATTACCTAACTTGAAAACTTCTAAACATATAAGCCTATAGATGACGTTAGTCAGTAACAACGTGAAATCTTACAATTTCAATCAATCCCCTGCAGTCTGCCTTTTAAAAACCTAAATAAATGCCGTGCATGGTGACAAAGATTCTTTACTTGTCCAAACTTTAGTCAGGCTCCTGAAACTTCTCCTAGTCCCATCCGTGCTCTTCCTTGTAAAATCCAGTTTTATAAAGAATCTTGCTAAATCAGTTTAGCAAGAACCCCTCCACCCTCAATATATGACCAACTTCCTCATCCTCCACCATCCCCCATGTGATGTCTGGTCATCCTGGCCTGTCTTCAGCAAGAATCTTGTTAGGTCAGTTTAGCCTGAATCCCTCCTACTCCTAATGTTACCTCTGAGTAACTTTCCATGCACTGACCCCTGCCCTGCTTTTGGCTATAAATTCCCACTTGCCCATGCTGTACTCAGAGTTGAGCCCAATCTTTCTCCTTCATTTCAGAAATTCCATTGTGATGGTCCTGAATAATGTCTTCCTTACCATGTTTCATCAAGTATCATTGAAGAACATTTTCTCTAACAATAATTTAATTTGATTTTTTAATATCATCAGAGGCTGTATATGAAATCACACTGGCTTCTATGAGAAGCACTAAATAAACTAATAGTGTTCACAAGCCAGATAATATTAGGTTGGAGATGAAAATGACCTCACAAGTTTTGAAAATCAGGTTTCAAAAGAAAACTTACTTGTCAGGCTCTTTGGTAACTGAAGTGGATTCAAATCCAAGACTTCGGATTCTCATTCCAGTATTCTTTCCACTGTGCCACATGGCCTTTTTAAGACTATGTGGAAGGCAAACCATTTAGAATATGAATCATTAATGACTGTTGATTTTATTTGACTCAATGTCAAATAAAACCCTTAGTAAGTTTTAACAAATTCTTGTAATTCTTGTTAGCTAGTAGCTTAAAACAATCTTCTGGGTCACTTTTAGAGCTGTCACTTAAATCAGGTCTCTGACCAAGCAGTTCTCATCTTAATTCAAGTATTTGCAAGTTAGTGACCTCAATAAAGAAAACAGGGAGAATAAGGAGAGGTAAGAAGTTAAGAACAATTGGGAAGAACAGATAATAGAGTTATTCATCAAAGTCACAAAGTCTGGAGACTAGTCAGTTTTGTGTTCTAGTCCTGGTTCTTCTACTTACTGGTTGCACCAGTTTAGCCAAATTACTTAACATCTCTGAACCTCAGCTCCCTCCTGTCTGACTGCAGGCAATAATAGTATGCACCTCATAGAAGTTTTGTGGATTCTAAATGTGAAAATGTACCTATTCTGTGGCATATTTATACTATAGTACCTGACACTTGATGCCCAAGAAAAGCTGGCCAAATCCCAATATCTCTATGGATAATTTTTTAAATGGTCACATCTGGAAACTATTATGCAATCCTCTCATCCAGGTGTATTCCAAAATCAAGGCTTTTGTAGAATAGCCATAAGGAGCTTTATGGGGAGTGTGCATCATTTACCCATTCCAGAGGTCATCAGCTTCCAGTGAGTGAATCACTTCTCTGCTAGGTTCAATGGAGAGAATGTTGGGAAAAGCATTTTCTTTGTCACTGCAATGCTGAAAGCAGATTGTGATGTATCCCACAGCTCAAGAGAGAAGCCAAGATGGGAAAGTGCTCAATTTGGTTAAGCTTATTTACTGACTCATCCCAGAACGGTTGCGCTTATATTAAAATTTTATATATGAAATGTACATAAAAACGCACACAGATGGGATGAGCATATGCAGGTGCGCGTACACACACGTGCACACACAGAGTCAACCTTTTTTAATGATAATGAAGAAAATCTAGATAAGCCTAGAAAAAAAACAAAAGTGCCCTTTACTCTTTGGAATTGACTTTCAGGTTTGGGAAGAAAGATTTACTTTCCAAATTATGTTTTGCTTTGGCAAATATTAGCTTTCCCCAGACACACAATGATTAACAACACAGTAAATCATGCTGGATAGCAGGAAGAAGACAATTTGAATTAAATATTTAGGACTGCCTCTAAACTCTCGATGGCAGGGACAACAGACTGTCACTGTTGCATCTATACCTAGCATAATGACAGGCACATAGTATGTCATTATTAAACACTTGTTTTTTAAGTGAATAAAGAGAAATAAGTCCTCATGTGAAACTCAATATATACTAATCTTGAGACAGTAAGGCATTAATTATCACCTCAACGCCCTAAGTCAATATTAAAAAATTCTTTTTTCTTAACAAAACTAAACTAATAATTATATTCATAACTGAAATAACTTTGATTTTTAGGTTTTTATAAGCTTTGAGAAAGTGGCTCATTGCACATTTATTGAGTTCTTACTAAATTTCAGCACTGTCCTGGGCACTAGATATACAAAAATGAAGAAGATGTTATCTTTCCTTATCATCTTTTCTTTTTTCTCACAGCCTATTATGAGGGTAAAATCCCTAGTGTGATTTTTTAAGTAAAACCCAGTGTGAATGTAATGTTATAAAAAAGTGGGCATGAGAGTCAATCTGGCTCAAAGAAGTTGTGCTGGAGACTCTTTGCTCCTCCAGAGCCTTTCTCTTCACTTTTCCACCCTGTTCTGTGCTCCAGGAGCTGGAGGGACTACATCACAGTCTTCCTTTATCCCTGATTTCAGTTTCATTCGGCCAATGGGAGGCACTGGCAGGAGATCAAAGGGCAGGAGGACTGTCAGGCTAGGGTATTTTTAGCATAGCTCCTTCCCTTTGGAAGTTGTACAGGTTGGCTGCATGCCTCTACTGAAGGCTACTCTTCTTATCAAGTAACGTCTTCTCCATGCTCTTGACCCTTGCCCCTTCAGACCTATGGATGGTAATAACCTGCCCACACCTAGGTAAGTATTATCATCGTAACTCAACTCAAATTATCCAATTTGAGTGCACCACCTGTTTCTTCTCAGGAACCTGGGTAGTAGACTGTTTTTGGTGCTTTTACTGTAAAATTAAGGAGCATTAGATGATCTCTGAGGTCTGTTTCAACTTGAAAATTTCACACACCTAAAATTCTACTCAAATTTAAAATACTTTGAAACTACTGAAACATCTTTCAGTTATTATTTTGTTCAGGAAGACAGAACCCGTTCTAGATATTTTGAACAGGAAAGGATTTAATATTGGAGATTAGAACATTACAAAAACATGGGAGGGGCTAAGGGAATGAAGGTAAGGAAAAGTTACCTCTAGAATTCAGGAAATTAGGAAGTGCAGAAATTGCAGACAAGCACTATTGATGATCTTAACTGCCTGCAGCACGGAAATAAATTATTTGCAGTGGATGCCCTGAAGCTGCTGGCAAAACCTCATACTTGCTACAGCCTCCCACTGGCACAGAGTACTACTGGCTTCTACTTCTCTCCCATTTTCAAATTCTTGCATGAATTCCTCTCTTGATCAAACCTAATATCCAACTCTGTGGCAATAATTCTTGGAAATATTACATCCCAGGCAGCTAGTCTCTGCATGCATGCAAAAAAAAAAATGTTTAACAGAGAGAAAATAATGCTTAGCTCCTTTGAATCTGGCATAACACATTAAATTATATTTGTAATAAAGTTTGATTGCATTATTTTATTATAAAAGTAATACATGAGCATTATTTTAAAAATCAAACAAAAGGGGTATGAGTTCATAAGCAAAAGTTGTTCATGTATCTATAGATGTGGTTCTGAGAAGTAATCCTCTTTATTGTTTCATTTTTTAGTGCTTCTAATAGTCTCTTTCATACCTCCAAATACTATGCTTACATCTCTATTTGTTCCTCTGTCAATCCCAAAAAGTATCTACTGCCTCCCTTAATAAAAGTTTAGGAAATTAGCTCACTTACATTATTACTCTAACACTCCTCTCCCTAAATTTGTCACTTATATTTTTTGTTTACTGATTACAATTATTCATTTATATGGTAAAACTAAAGATTTATTTCTTGGTCCTTCTACTTGAGCAATATCTCTTCATTTGACATTGTTTAAAATTGTCAGATAACTATAATAATGCTCTTCATGAGTTCTCTCAGTATTTATGTGAAAAAATATATATATAATACAATATTATGATTGTGTAATAACATTTATTGAGGAAATAAGTAGTGTGAATGGATCCACAAAAAAGGAAACGAAATCCAAACTCATCAAATTTGTTTTGTTACGGAGAGTATGTACAAAGAAAATTAGCAAATGGATTATTATTATTTATTTATTTATTTATTTATTTATTTATTTATTTTTGAGACGGAGTCTTGCTCTGTCGCCCAGGCTGGAGTGCAGTGGTGCAATCTCGGCTCACTGTAAGCTCCGCCTCCCGGGTTCACGCCATTCTCCTGCCTCAGCCTCCCGAGTAGCTGGGACTACAGGCGCCCGCCACCACGCCCGGCTAATTTTTTGTATTTTTAGTAGAGACGGGGTTTCACCATGTTAGCCAGGATGGTCTCGATCTCCTGACCTCGTGATCCACCCGCCTTGGCCTCCCAAAGTACTGGGATTACAGTCGTGAGCCACCGCGCCCGGCCGCAAATGGATTATTTTAAACTCTATCACCAAAGTTCAATCAATTCATTATTAAACCACAACTTCATACTAAACTTTTTATAGATATTTTTGCTTTTGAAGGAACCTCTGGTTACCCTTGTTTTTGAAAGAATAATGCCTTCAACTTATTGCTAAGATGATCAGCTGATGAAATCATATTTTTAAAAGTGAATCCACATTTGAATCAGGTAGAAAGAGGTTCTGACCAATGAAACTGAAAACCAACCACTAGTATCAACCACCAGCAATAGATAGGGGTCTATTCGCATCACATATTAAGACTTCTGGGGTGAGCTGGCTGCAGCTTAGTGCAGCAGCATAATGATGCCATAATTTACCCAGAACTTTTCACCCTTCTTCTCTGCTATTCTTAGCACCATCCAAGCCTCAACATCTTCTTGGTCCTCTTATTCACAAGATGGTAGCTTCACTTCCTGGTAGGAAGAGAACACATTAAAAATTAAATAAATTGTCTTCTAGCAAGGCATTGCTGTTTTATTAGGGGAAAAAAGTTGAATAAAGGTAATTTAGCCTTTTTCTCACTGGCTAGAGTTGTATTTTAGGGTCACCCCTAGAATTGCCTGGAGGTAGGGAGTTGGGGAGGAAGAAGAGGTATCTGGGGGGTGCATTTGGATCAACTAGTCCATTGCATCTGTAATACTGTTTTTCTTTAAAACATTTTTCTCCAATCACTCTGACCTTCTATTTGGGTTTATACCAATCCATTACTAAGCTATCTTATTTAGTTTTCTTATCATTTCATTCTTGGGTTATGTCCACTGTTTTTTGCATTTTGTTCTTTTTTCTTTCCATATTCCTTATTTTGCCACAATATATATATTCAATAATCTTCCTGAGGAAGGTGGAGTAGAGATAAACTTTCAGAGTCCTATAGTATCTAATAATATATGGAAATTACTCTCACAATTGATTAACATTTTTTAAATTTAACTTTTATTTTACATTAAGGGGTATATGTGCAGGTTTGTTTTATAAACTTGTGTCATGGGAGTTTTTTGTGCAGATTATTTTGTCACCCAGGTATTAAGCCTAGTACCCATTAGTTATTTTTCCTGATCCTCTTCCTCCTCCCAACCTCCACCCTCTGAAAAGCCCAAGCGTGTGTTGTTACCCTCTATGTGTCCATGTATTCTCATCATTTAGTGCCCATTTGTAAATGAGAACATGCAGTATTTGGTTTTCTGTTCCTGCATTAGTTTGCTAAGGATAATGGTCCCCAGATCCACCCATGTTCCTGCAAAGGACATGATCTTGTTCTTTTTATGGCTGCGTAGTATTTCATAGTGTATATGTACCACATTTTTTGTATCTAGTCTGTCATTGACAGGCATGTAGATTGATTCCACGTCATTGCTGTTGTGACTAGCGCTGCAATGGATATACTCATGCATGTGTCTTTATGATAGAATGCTTTATATTCCTTTGGGTATATACCCAATAATGGGATTGCTGAGTCAAATGGTAGTTCTGTTTTCAGCTCTTTAAGGGATTGCCATATTGTCTTCCACAATGGTTGAACTAATTTACACTCCCACCAGCAGTGTATAAGTGTTCCTTTTTCTCCACAACCAGCATCTGTTATTTTTTGGCTTTTTAAAAATAGCCATTCTGACTGGTGTGAGATGGTTCTCATTGGGGTTTTGACTTCCATTTCTCTAATAATGATGTTGAGCCTTTTTCATACAATTGTTGGCCTCATGTATGTCCTCTTTTAAAAAAATGTCTGTTCATGGCTTTTGCCCACTTTTTAATGGGGTTGTTTTTTTCTTGCAAATTTGTTTAAGTTCCTTATAGATGTGAGATATTAGATCTTTGTCAGATGCACAGTTTGCAAAACTTTTCTCCCATTCTGTAGGTTGTCTGTTTACTCTGCTGATAGTTTCTTTTGCTGTGCAGAAGCTCTTTAGTTTTATTAGATCCCATTTGTCTATTTTTCCTTTTGTTGCAATTGCTTTTGGCATCTTCATCATAAAATCTTTGCCCATGCCTATGTCCAGAATGGTATTGCCTAGGTTGTCTTCTGTGGTTTTTATACTTTTAGGGTTTATATTTGTCTTCAATCCATTTTGAGTTATTTTTTGTACATTGTGTAAGGAAAGGGTCCAGTTTCAATCTTCTGCACATGGCTAGCCAGTTATCCCAGCACCCTTTGGTTAATCCTAAATGGATTCCCAATAAGGAATCCTTTCCCCATTGCTTGTTTTTGTCAGGTTTGTCAAAGATCAGATAGTTGAAGGTGTGTGGTCTTATGTCCTGGTTCTCTATTCTGTTCCATTGGTCTATGTGTCTGTTCTTGTACCAGTACCATGCTGCTTTGGTTACTGTAGTCCTGTAGTATAGTTTGAATTAAAGTCAGGTAGTGTGATGCCACCACCTTTGTTCATTTTGCTTAGGATAGCCTTGCATATTTGTGGGGTATTTTTGTTTTGTTTTCATATGAATTTTAAAATAGTTTTTTCTAGTTTTGTGAAGAATGTCAATGTCAGTTTAATAGGAATAGCATTGAATCTATAAATTGCTTTCATCAGTATGGCCATTTCAACAATATTGATTTTTTCCATCCATGAGCATGGAATGCTTTTCCATTCATTTGTGTCATCTCTAATTTCTTTGAACAGTGTTTTGTAGTTCTCCTTGTAGATCTCTCACTTCCCTGGTTAGCTTTATTCCTATATTGTTTGTGTGTGCATGTATGTGTGTGTGTGTAGCAATTGTGAATGGGATTGCATTCCTGATTTGGCTCTTGGTTTGACTGTTGTTGGTGTATAAGAGTGTTAGTGATTTTTCCACATTGATTTTGTATCCTGAGGCTTTGCTGAAATTGTTTATCTGCTGAAGGAACTTTTGGTTTGAGATGGGGTTTCCTAATATAGGATTATATCATCTACAAAGAGATAATTTGACTTTCTTCCTGTTTGGATGCCATTTACTTCCTTCTTGCCTGATTGCTTTGGCCAGAACCCAACACTATGTTGAATAGGAGTGGTGAGAGAGGGTGTCCTGGTCTTGTGCTGATTTTCAAGGTGAATGTTTCCACATTTTGCCCATTTATTCTAATGTTGGCTGTGGGTTTGTCATATAGGGGTCTTATTATTTTGAAGTAGTTTCCTTCAATACCTAGCTTATTGAGAGTTTTTAACATGAAGGGATGTTTAATTTTATTGAAAGCCTTTTCTGCATCTATTGAGATAATCATGTGGTTTTTTACTTTAGTTCTGTTTATATGATGAATCACATTTTATTGATTTGTGTATGTTGAACCAACATTGCATACCAGGGATAAAGCCTACTTCATTGTGTGGATACACTTTTTGATGTGATGCTGGATTCAGTTTGACAGTATTTTGTTGAGGATGTTTGCATCAATGGTCATCAATGATATTGGCCCAAAGTTTCCTTTTCTTGTTATGTCCCTGTCAGGTTTTAGTGTCAAGATGATGCTGGCCTCATAGAATGAGTTAGGGAGCAGTCTCTCCTCCTCAAATTTTTGGAACAGTTTGGCAGGAATGGTACCAGCACTTCTTTGTACATCTGGTAGATTTCAGCTGTGAATCCATCTGGGGCTTTTCTTGGTTGGTAGGCTATTTATTACTGCCTCAATTTCAGAGCTCATTATTGGTCTGTTCAGGGATTCAATTTTTTCCTGTTTCAGTCTTGAGAGGGTGTATGTGTCCAGGAATTTACCTATTTCTTCTAGATTCTCTAGTTTTTGTGCATAGAAGTGTTCACAATGTTCTCTAATGGTCATTTGTATTTCTGTGGGATCAGTGGTAATATTCCCTTTGTCATTTTTGATTGTGTCTATTTGGATCTCTCTTTTCTTCTTTATTACTCTAGCTAGTGGTCTATCATTTTTTCAAAAAACCAGCTCTAAATTCATTTCAATGGTTTTTTATGTATCAATTTCCTTTAATTCAGCTATGATTCTGGTTATTTCTTGTCTTCTGTTAACTTTGGGGTTGGTTTTCTCTTAGTTCTCTAGTTCTTTTAGTTGTGATGTTATGTTGTTAACTTGAGATCTTTCTAACTTTTTTATGTGGGCATTTAGTATTATAAATTTCCATTTTACCACTGTCTTAGATGTGTTCCAGAGATTCTGGTATGTTGTATCTTTGTTCTCATTAGTTTCAAAGAACTTCTAGATGTCTGCCTTAATTTCATTATTTACTAAAATTTGCACAAGAGCAGGTTATTTAATTCCCATGTAATTGTATGATTTTCGTGAATTTTTTAGTCTTGATTTCTAATTTGCTTGCAGTGTTGTCTAAGAGATTGTTTGTTGTGATTTTGGTTATTTTTCATTCACTGAGGAGTGTTTTATTTTCAATTATGTGATCAATTTTAGAGTATGTGCCACGTGGCTACATTCTGTTGTTTTGGGGTGAAGAGTTCTGTAAATGTCTATCAGGTTCATTTGACCCAGTGCTGAGTACAGGTCCTGAATATCTTTGTTAATTTTGTCTCTTAATAATCTGTCTAATATTGTCAGTGGTGTGTTAAAATATCCTGCTATTAGTGTATGGGAGTCAAAGTCTCTTTCAAGGTCTCTAAGAACTTGCTTTATGAATCTGAGTGCTCCTGTGTTGGGTGAATATATATTTAGAATAGTTAGGTCTTCTTGTTGAATTGAACCCTTTACTATTACATAATGCCCTTTGTCTTTTTTATCTTTGTTAGTTTGAAGTCTATTTTGTCAGAAACTGGGATTGCAATCCCTGTTTATTCCTGTTTTCCATTTGCTTAGTAGATTTTTCTTCATCCCTTTATTTTGAGCCTATGTGTGTCATTGCATGTGAGATGGGACTCTTGAAGGCAGCATACCAATGGGTCTTTGTTCTTTATTTATTTATTTATTTTATACTTTAAGTTCTAGGGTACATGTGCACAACGTGCAGGTTTGTTACATATGTATACATGCCCCATGTTGGTGTGCTGCACCCATTAACTCGCCATTTACATTAGGTATATCTCCTAATGCTATCCCTCCCCCCTCCTCCCACCCCATGACAGGCCCCAGTGTGTGATTGGGTCTTCGTTCTTTATCCAGTTTGCCACTCTGTGCCTTTTAATCAGGGCATTAGCCCATTTATATTCAAGGTTGGTAAAGATATGTGTAAATTTGATCCTGTCATCATGATGTTAGCTGGTTATTTTTCAGACTTGTTTATGTGGTTGCTTTATAGTGTTATTGGTCTGTGTACTTCAGTGTGCTTTTGTAGTGGCTGGTAAAGGTCTTTCCTTTCATATTTAGTATTTAGTGCTTCCTTCAGAAGCTCTTGTAAGGCAGGCCTGGTGGTAACAAATGCCCTCAGCGTTTGCTTATCTCAAAAGGTTCTTATTTCTTTTTCACTTATGAAGCCTAGTTTTGCTTGATATCAAACTCTGAGTTGGAGTTTCTTTTCTTTAAGACTGTTGAATATGAGCCCCCAACCCCTTCTGGCTTATAAGGTTTCTACTGAGAAATCGATTGCTAGTCTGATGGGCTTCCCTTTGTAGGTGACTTGTTCTTTCTCTCTAGCTGCCTTTAACATTTTTTCTTTCATTTCTACTTTGAAGAATCTGATAATTGTGTGTCTTGGGGATGATCTCTTTGTGAAGTATCCAGTTGGGGTCCTCTGCATTTCCTAAATTTGAATGTTGGCTTCTCTAGATAGGTTGGGGAAGTTCTCATGGATGATATCCTGAAATATGTTTTCCAGGATGCTTCCATTCTCCCCATCTCTTTCAGGGACACAGTGAGTCATAGGTGTGGTCTCTTTACATAATCCCGTATTTCTTGAAGGTTTTGTTTATTCCTTTTCATTCTTTTTTCTCTATTTTTGTCTCACTGACTTATATTAGAAAGCCAGTCTTCAAGCTGAGATCTTTTTGTCTGCTTGTTCTATTCTGCTATTAATACTTACGATTGCATTACAAAAATCTTGTAATGTGTTTTCCAGCTCTATCAAGTCACTTGTGTTCTTTTCTATATGGCTATTTTGTCTGTCAGCTCCTGTATTGTTTTATCATGAATCTTAGCACCCTTAGATTGGGTATTAATGTACTCCTGTAGCTCAGTCATCTTTGTTCATATCCATGTTCTGAATTCTATTTCTGTCATTTCAGCCATCTCAGCCTGGTTCACAACCCCTGCTGGGGAGATAAAACAGTCTTTTGGAGGAAAGAAGGCACTTTGGCTTTTTTAGTTGTCTGGGTTCTTGTGCTGGCTCTTTCTCATCTTTGTGTGTTTATGTTCCTTCAATTTTTGAGGTTGCTGACTTTTGGATTTTTTTTTGTATTTTATCCTATTTGGTGACCCAAGGGTTTGACTGTGGTATAAGGTGGATTCAGCCAACTGGCTTGGTTTCTGGAAAATTTTAGGGGACCAACACTCAGCTCCCAACTCCTGGACTACATGCTCTAACTCTAGGGAACTTGTGTTGGGCCCTGACTTTGTTCTCTGGCTCCTCAAGGTTAGGAATCCACTGCACTGAGGAGGCCAAACAGCTCCCATACCACTGGTCACTACACTCCAATGTCAGCCAAAGCATTTCCAAGTGTGGTGAGAGCAAGATCCATTTTTGTTTGCATATGCCAGCAGCAGTGGTAGTGGCAGTGCTTATTGGTGGGGTGCATGCTTGTCATCTGCGGCAGGGTGTTAGTGGGTGCTGGGGTGCCTGCCTCCCTGTGGGCATTCACCACACTGGCGGAGGCAATGCAGCTGGAGGGGAGCAGGGGCCCCTGCTGGTGACTGTGTGCATGGTTGCACTGATGGTCGTGTTGGCTCCAGCAGTGGGGCACTGGCAGGTGCAGGTCTATATGCCTTTCCTATGCACTGTAAGCAGGAGTGATCACTCAGGGCAGGGGAAGATCTGCCATTCTCTATGTCTAGTTTTACTCTTGTGGTAGTCTTAGTGCAAGGGCAGGGTGCTGATGGAGTTGGGGCTGGCTGGCTCTGTGCCCATCAAGGCTCTGTCTGCAAAGGCAGTCAGTGGAGGAGGTGGGTAGACTGCACTCCCACCACAGCAGTGACTGGGTGGGGTACATGCACACTTGCACCCTGATGGGGCAAGGAAATAAAAACCTGCCCACACAGACACATACCAGCAAAGCAATGTGGGGAGTTGTTGTGGGCCAAGGGGAAGCTGCAGTGTTGGTAAAGAGCATGCAGGTTGGTGCATGACCATGGGGGCCACCCTACTGGAGCTCTCCACTCATCAGGCATGGTACAACAGTGCAGAAGCTATGATGTGGGCCACAGGGCACCTGAGGCTGTCCTACAAGCAGGCATGGCCAGACTGCGGCCCTGGGAGAGGCCAGCAGACCAAGAGGTGCTCAGGTCAGATCAGCCCCATGAGATGGGCAAGACTGACCTATAGAGTTCAGAACCAACAGTTCCACTAGGATTAGAGTCTCCTTTGGGAGTAAGTTGAGCCTAGTGGGTAGCCATTTCTGGTCGTGCCCCACTACAGACACTCCTGCACCAAACTCTCTGGGCTCCACATCAGCTGGCTTTCTGCCCCTACCACTATTCTAAGCAGCTCTCCCTGCCAACCCAAGTGTCCATGATAATTGTGGGATCTCCTCTTGCTGGGGTTACAGAGGCCCATGGTGAGAGTGGGCTGCTCCTTGCTAGTTCAACTCACCAGGTCCCCCAGAGTCACTGAGGGCCAGGAAAAAGTTCAGGTATGCAGTAGGCCCTTGTATGGTTCCCAGCTTCCTCCCTCTTCAGCCTAGCTTCTGTGTCTTTCCTCTATCCACTCTCAGTGCCTTCCTTCTGAAGATCTGCTAGGAGTACACAAGCCATCTTGGTCCCTTGGTGGCAGCTGTTCCATCTGACTGTGTCTAGTCAACCATCCTGTCTTCCCCCTCCCATTAATATTTTATTTATTTAACACTTTCTAGAATGCTGGTTTGAAATCTTTTTCTACCACATAACCTTAAAAGTATTGTTCCATGTCTTCTAGCAGCTAGCTTTGTAAATGAGTAGTCTGAAGCCAATCAAATTCTTGTTCCTGAAAATATTAAGAAACTTTAAGGAACTTTCTTTATCTTTATTGTTCTAATATTTTACTAGGTTATGTCCAGATACAATCATTCATTCAACCACTACTTATTGAGGGCATACATTACATACTCTATGTGAGTGTTACTAGGAATTTGGCAGAAAGCTATGTCAATTCAGCCTGTACTCTTATTATAATTGAGCTGGGAAAAGAATTTTTCTTTTTTTTTTGAGATGGAGTTTCACTCTTGTTGCCCAGGCTGGAGTGCAATGGCACAATCTCGGCTCATCGCAACCTCCGCCTCCTGGGTTCAAGTGATTCTCTTGCCTCAGCCTCCTGAGTAGCTGGGATTACAGGCATGCGCTACCAGGCCTGGCTAATTTTTTGTATTTTCCGTAGAGATGGGGTTTCTCCATGTTGGTCAGGCTGGTCTCGAACTCCCGACCCCAGGTGATCTGTACACCTCGGCCTCCCAAAGTGCTGGGATTACAGGCACTAGCCACCGTGCCTGGCCAGAATTTTTTAAAAATCACATGAATAAGTAAGTTCATTTATAATAGTGATCATACTATGAAGAAAATAAAACAATACGCAGATAGAGAAACTGATTAGTGTGAAGAGATCAATGAAGACTTTGGTCTGGGAACTGATATTTCACCAAAGGGCCAATTGATGAGGTAAAGATATGGGAATGTAGTTATCGATAAAAAGGTCGGTATGGCTAGAGTGTTGTGAATAAGGGGAGAGTGATATCAGAGTTATGGACCCTGGTAAGTAATTTGGGTTTCATTTTAGGTATGGAAATAAATCATTGAAGGATCTTAAAAGGAAGTTGAATGATCAGAATTATGCTTTAAAAATATATCTCTTTGTACTCTTAAAACTCAACAGAGCTAGGGAGAAACACAAAGCCATACTAGAGTTGCCATTTTCAACTCATGACCATAAGCCCCAAATTCAAGTGGGCCTCGTGCTGCTACCCAATTACATATTTCCCTGATCCATTCTCTCTCCCACTCTTTTACATAACTTTCTCCTCTGTTCTCAAATCTCCAGTACTCCTGCCTCATACCCACTCTGTTGATGACCTTTCTATTTTACCAAGGAAACTGAAGCCATCAGAAGAGAATTTCCACAGATTTTCCCTCAGTCTACCCACCTACTAGCACCTGTACTCTGTCCACTTTTTTTTTTCCTGCTCACATACCTTCCTAAAACTAATTATTCACTTGGATGTAAGATTTCATTTCCTGTCATCTGCTTATGGGCCTCACTTAAGCGATTCTACTTCACTTATACCCTCATTTTTTACACTCTCTGCTAGAACATTTTCATCAGCATATAAATATGCTGTTAACTCTCCCATCTTTGTTTGTATAAATTTAGGGGGTACAAATGCAATTTTATTACATGGGTATATGGTATAGGGATGAAGTCTGGGGTTTTAGTGTATCCATCACCCAAATAATGCACATTTTCCCATTAAGTAATTTCTCATCTCTCATCTCCTTCCCATTCTCTCCTATAAATACTAGAAGAAAACCTAGGGAAAACTCTTCTGGACATTGGCCTAGGCAACACATTCACGACTAAGACGTCAAAAGCACAAGCAACAAAAACAAAAAGAGACAAATGGCATTTAATTAAACTTAAAAGCTTCTGCACTGCAAAAGAAATAATCAACAGTGAACAATCTGCAGAATGGGAGAAAATATTTTCAAACTATGCATCCAACAAGGGACTAATATCCAGAAACTACAAAGAACTCAAACAACTTAACAACAACGACAAATCCTCATCCCTTAAAAACTCTCTCTTGACTCTAATTCCTCCATCATCTACCATTCCATTTCTCAACTTCCTTTTGTCTCAAAGTCTCCCAGAGGATTTCCTATACAGGCTTCCTCTGAAACTTTTCCCAGTCACTCTTAAATTCATTCTAATTAGGTCTTTACTTACCCACCATCACTACTCTGACACCATAACTTTCAAAGTAATCTATGATGTCTGCATTACTAAATCCTATCATTTCTGTTTTTATCTTACTGGACCAATCAGTTGCATCTGACACAGTTGACATTTTCTCCCAATTGCTACTCTTTGTTTGGCCTCAAGGACATCACTCTTGGTTTGTTTGTTTGTTTTTCTACCTCATTGGTTTGTCCTTAGGTTCCTTTGTAGTTTCTCTTCTTCCTTCTGAACTCTTAATGTTGATATTCCAGAGCTCACTATTTGTCTATTATTTCTTCTCTTCATTAGTAATGTCACCCAGTCTCATAAGTTTAAACACCATTGACCTATTCTAACGTATCTTTGGCTAAGACCTCTTCCTAAACTCCAGACTCTTATATAACTTTCAGCTTCTTATTTGATATTTCCACTCAGATGTCTAAGAGACATGTTAAATTTAAATCTCCAAAATTGAATTTCTGATAATCTGCAAAAATCTATATCTTTCTCAGTCTTTCCCGGCTCAGCTGATGACAACTTCATCCTCCAAGGTTGTTCAGGCCAAATCATTGAATTCATCTTTGACTTTTCTTCCCTCTCACCCAATATTCAATCTGTCATTAAAGTATATACACACATCCATCCCTTCTCAAAATCTCCAGTTACCACCCTAGATTGACAACCACTATTTTGAGGAAATTTTACTGCAATACTTAGCACAGTAGGTTTTGGGGTTTTTTAGAGGTTCTTTTTTTGTTTGTTTTCTTCTACATTTGTCTTTCTGTGGCACCGCAGCTGCAAAATTTGTTTTTAAATGTTTAGTCAAATTACTCATTGTGCAACACCCTAGAGTGGCTCTCCATTGCCCTTTGAAAATAAAAGCCACAACCTTAGAATCATCCATAAAATTTACATATCTGACCCCATTACCTCTCTGACTTCATCTTCTACCATCTTTGCCCTTCACTCACTTCTCTTTCATTACACTGGCCTCCTTGATGTTCCTCAATTACACCATTCTTGAGAGAACCTTGGGATTTTTGCATTAGTTCTGCTCTCTTTCCCAAATGTTCTCTCCCAAGTCACCACATGACTAAATCCTCCAACTTACTGGTTATTTGCTTACAAAGTTCTGTAATGGTTAATTTTCTGTGTCAATTTGGGTGGGCTAAATATGATCAAATATTAGTCTGGATGTTTCTAAGAGGGTATTTTTGGATGAGACTAAAATTTAAATTGGTGGACTTTGAGTAAAGCAGATTGCTTTCCTTAATCTGAGTGTGCCTCATTCAATCAGCTGAAGGCTTGAACAGAATAAAAGACTGACTTCTCCCTAGTAAGAGGGAATTCTGAAGCATCAACCCTTCCTGGGTCTCCAGCCCACTGGCGCACTCTGCAGATAAGAGTTTTGCCAGCCTTTATAATCTCAAGCCAATTCCTTAAAATGCATCCTTCTCTCTCTCATAAATACATATACACACACATACATTTACATATGTACATATATACATCCCATTTTTTTCTTTTTCTGTAAAGAACTTTGAACACAAGCTCCTTCCCAGAGTTTCCTACTCTGACAATTCTGTTTAAAATTATAGCACTCTCCTCTAATTCCATTGTCCCCTATCCTGCTATATATGTACCATTTCAATTCTTGTTTTGCTGAATTATCTACGTCTCTGTCTGTCTGTCTATCTATCTATCTATCATGTATCATGTTTATTTACTACATACCCCCTCCCACTTGAATATTAGTTCGATGAGAGCAGGGATTTTTGTCTGTTTTATTTACTGTAGATCCGCACCATCTACAAATGGGCTTGGCAGGTAAGAAACTTAATAAATATTTTTGACTGATTGATTGAAAATAAAAATATACATGAATTTTGAAAACTTGATATTGCACTCAAAAAACAAGTCAAAAGAATACTTACAATGTGATTTAATTTCTATAAAGATTAGAGACATTAAAATACAAAACATTTATAGAAACATTTGCAATAAAATATTTTTAGAAGAAATGCTTTTCATCTAGAAGTGAACAAGGAGAACCCATTTGGAGACCTCAAGTTACTGCCTCTTAAGCCTGGTTGTGAGGACATAGTTGGTAATTTTATTATTATTCTTTAAACTGCACATAAACATAGTATATACGTTTTGGCATATATAAGTTCTATCCTAATAAAAATAAAGAACAAACTAAACAAATTATATTTCTTGTACACTTGAGTTTCTGAGATGAATTTATACCCATGCAGTGCTTTTTGATATAAACAAGTGCTGCTTTTGTAATTTCATTTGATCCTCAAAATCTCCTGTCTCCAGTCTATAGACGTGGAAGCTGGAATCAGAAGTGAAATGACTTACTCAAGTCATAAGGCTAGTCACTAAGAGATCCAGGAATACAACTTGGCTCTGCTGATTTCAGAGATTTGGACTGGAAAGTACAGTGATATTTTACACCTCTGTGTAAAGACACTAGATTCACAAAGGGTGTAAAATGTATTCAGTCACTTTGAGAATTTTCAAAGCAACTTGACATTAATTTATGTCATTAATTAATCATATTGACTCTTATTTTCAGGCATAAAATACTGGCCATCACATGATGTTGACCTGAAATTTAAATCCAAGCTTCTACCTAGGTATTTAAAAGCCCCATGATAGACACCTCTCTGTAGCAACAGAGCTTTTCTCTTTCTTTTGCCTATTAAACTTCCGCTCTTAACCTCAAAAAAAAAAAAAAAAAAAAAAGTCCCATTGGAGGCCGGGCACTGTGACTCATGCCTGTAATCCCAGCACTTTGGGAGGCCGAGGCGGGTGGATCACCTGAGGTCAGGGGTTCAAGACCAGCCTGGCCAACATAGTGAAATCCTGTCTCTACTAAAAATACAAAAATTAGCTGGGCAAGGTGGTGGGCGCCTGTAAAAAAATAAAAATAAATAAAATAAAAGCCCCATGATATGACTACAACCTTCATCATCTCATCTTCTACATTCTACCACAGTTACGCAGGAGTATTTTGAGAGCATAAGAAGTCCTTTTATATTATGTTTCCCTTGTCGTGATTATACTTTTATCCTAAAATACCATCCTACCTTCTTCTTGCTTATTAGACAATTGGCTCTCCCTTGAAGACAGCTTAAACTCTCCTACCTCCACATAAGCCATCTCCAAAATCCCAATTTGGAATTAATTGCTACCTTCTTGGTGCAACCGTTATGGGTGTTGAGATTTTTATTAGAACAACACTTTTATTCTGTCTTGTACTATATTTTGTGCTCTATACTGAATTATAAGTTACTCAAGAAAATAGAGTCTGTCTGGCCAGGCACATTGGCTCATGCCTGTAAACCCAGCACTTTAGGAGGCCAAGGTGGGAAGACCACTTGAGGTCAGGAGTTTGAGACCAGCCTGGCCAACATGGTGAAACCCCATCTCTACTAAAAGTACAAAAATTAGCCAGGCATGGTGGCAGGCACCTGTAGTCCCAGCTACTCAGGAGGCTGAGGCAGCAGAATCTCTTGAACCCAGGAAGTGGAGGTTACAGTGAGCCAAGATTGCGCCACTGTACTCCAGCATGGGTGACAGGTGAGACTCTATCTCCAAAAAAAAAAGGAGAGAGAGTTCTAAGTGCATTTTTATTCACCATCAAGTAACATAATGGCATAGTATATTACTTCAATAACTGCTTAAATAAATTTAGTAGTGCACTCAAATAAAAAAATTCCTCAATGAGTTTCATCTACATGAAATCTTAATCAGTTTTTCTTAAGTTCTGCAAACTAATTTAAAAGATAATTTACTGATACTTTTTTTTTTACTTGAAAATACAATCATGTAAATAGCATGGCATTCAATCCTATCATGATCATTATTATTACTGTTATTGATCATAATGGTGGTTAAGGGTTTATTTTTGAGTCTACAAAATCCAAGCAAGAGTGTTTGCTCATGGAGGGAGAAATCAACATCTTATCTCACTGCTGCTATAGAGTAGGCACAGATAAGAGTGTCAGGTCTGACCAGTAGTACTACTAATTTAATTCTTCATTAGTTATACAGTATTCCAGGTGTACTGAGACAGCCAAGAGGTTGTGAATCAAATCTGGTAATCTCATTCTTTGTATGTACAGGCACGTTTTCAGCAGCAGGGCAAGAGTCCACATAAATGAATCTATTGATCTTTTTCAAAATTCGACTACAAACCAATTTAGAATCAGATTTATTAGATGTCAAGTGCAGCAGTTGTAGCAAGATCAGTGACATAATTGGGCACTGTTGAGTATTAGGAAGAAAATGAGAGGGTATTTTTTTTCCTGTTAAAGAGTAAGAAATGCTAGTTGAATACCAATAATTTGGTTGCTCATGAAAGTACAAGTCACATTAATATTTAAGTCTTTTAATGATCTCTAAATTCTGCCCATTTGGCACTGAGACCATCTGACAGATTATGTAATAAACCACTCCCAAGGAAGTCTTCCTTAAAAACTTTTCATTTAGATATGGCACTCATACTCTCTTCCATAAGTATCATACTGATTTTTCACTACCTGTCTAAATAAAATCTCATGTTAAACATTTCCTCTAGGAGAATATTCAAGCTAGAAGAAAACAAAATCCAATTAAATTGATATTTATGAAACGGTGTCATTAGAAAAAAATAAGTAGTTGTTTATATGGTCAAATTAAAGACAAATGCACATAGGCTAAACTTGCCTTCCATTGCTGCATACACCAACCCTGCAGTCAGCTTCTCGCACGGAAAGAAATGTGAGTTGTCAATCACTTTCATCTTAACCATTTTCAGAATGAGGACTTAGTGATTCATACACTTTTTTAGCTTGTTCTAGTGCCCTATAAGTTACTATACATTTCAAAAGACCTCAATAAGAACCGCATTCAACAATTATTTCAATATTTCTGCTTTTACTTACCAGCCAGTCTCTATTTTTTCTAAATATTTTACCCTTTGTGGATATATCACATTAAAGATTGTGAATCTAATATCTGCAATAAAAATCTCTTAATTCTATGTGACCTCTAATTTCCTACTTTTCCTCAGCAGCTAAGCCTCAGCAGAGCAGTTCATGCTTGCTGCCTTGTCTATTTCCCCACTTCTCTTTTATTTCTTCTTTACTTTTCCCTTAAATTTGCTACGACAGTAGTGACCCTTCATTTGAACTATCCCAAAGGACACTCGGCAGTTCTGATCTGCTGCCTGTCTTGGCCACATTATAATTTTGATCCCTCTCTCCTAAAGTCTCCACTCCCTTGGCTTTCGCAGCCTGCTCTGGTGCGCCCACTTATTCCAGACCAATCCCTCGCTTTCTTTCACAAACTCTTCCTCAGATGTCTGCCAATGGGATATAAGAAAACTGGTTTATGATACTGCCAGGGATATCCTTGGAGGAAGGGGACATCATGTTTGTCCTCATCTCTTCCCACTAGATAGGATGTAGATGTGATATCTGAAGGTCGAGGAGCCATCTTGGCCCCTGAGGTTGATCCATGTGTTGAGAATGGAGAATTAACAAGATAAAAACATCATTGATAATAATGTAGCTGCTCTACCAGCCTTGAATTGATTATGTTTTTTGTTATGTTTTGCCATCTTGGGGACCTTGCTGGCCTGGGAAAGACTGCTCCTTTCAGGTCTAACAAATTCCTAGAAATACTAAACAATTCACCTGCTAGCACGCCTTTCACATGCAAACCAACTAATCCTGAGTTTATACCTCCAACCACCTCCTTTATCTAATTCACACAGCAAGCCAATATTCCCACTATAGTAAATCAACCCAGGGCCAGGTTCCAGACAACTAGGGACAGACCCTACGCCTGAAGACTCACTGGAATTATTCAAACTCACCAACCCTAAACTGTTTACCCTCAACTTCCCACAGAAACCCCTCTAAAGGCTGTGGACTATGCCTTCCCCTCACTCCTGCTTTGGCCTCTCTCCTGACCTATTCTGGTGCTTCCTATGTAGTCTTGCATGGCTGTGTCTCTCATTTCTAGAGGAACTGTAGCAGTAAACTTTCCTTTCACTGACATTGACTTCTCCATGTAGTCACCCAGTCACTTTTATGAACCAAGACCTGGGTACAAATCTTGTACTCCTATCTCTGAAACTTATTGATATGAGAAAGACATAAATGTTCATCTTATTGAAATTACTGTTACTTTTGGCCAGGCATGAGGGCTTATGCCTGTAATCCCAGCAGTTTGGGAGCCAAGCTAGGAGGATCACGTCAGTCTAGGAGTTCGAGGCTGCAGTGAGCCATGATCATGCCACTGTACTTCAGCCTGTGAGAACTTGACTCAAAAAAAAAAAAAAAAGGAAAGGCTGTTATTTTCAGTTTCCTATCATGTATAGTCAAATATTGTAATATACACATACATCACTAGTATATTCCACAAACTCCTCAAATACAGCATGTTCAAATAGTGCCCAATACTCCATCCCCTCGAATGCACCCTTACTCTTATTCTTTCTTTTTCAAATAATGTTACTGTGATCTACCCATAGGAATCCAGATCACAAACCTGAGAATCATCCTAGAATCCTTCTCTACCTTTATGCTCCAATTCAACAAATACCTAGGGCTTTTTCATTTTACCCCATTCTCTAAATATTTCTTAAGTATATCCTTCTCCTCTTTATATATGAACTACCTCTGACTTGCACTTCTTTCTTGTACTAATAAATAACACTTAGAATAAAATACAAATGTTCTATTATGGCCTAATGTCCCCCTGCATGACCTTACTCTTCTACTTTTACAACCATACCTTTCTCTACTATCTTCTACCCTCCTTACCCTCTAGGCACTATGCCATCCCTTTCTGTTTCTTGGAGATATTGATCTGATTTCTGTTTCAGAGCCTTTATACCAGCTGTTCACTCTGCATGGAGAACTAATCCTTTCCCCAGGCTTCTCACATGGCTGGTTTCTCCCTCTTCAAATCTGAGTAAATGTCAGCTCCTCAAAAGGCTTTCCCCGATCACCCTATATAAATCCCCCTGTAGCACACACAGATACACAGCTATTCTCTCTCACACTATTACACTTATTTTCTTTATCGCATTTATCACATCTGGAATTATCTTGTTTGCGTGTTGTTTACTTGTTTGTTGTTCATCTCCCTCATGAGATAGCAAGCAGATTAAGATAGATTTCATCCATTCCTTCATTCCTACGTCCTTTTTGCCAAGCATATAGGAAGTGCTTAAAATATGTGTTGAATAAATGAATGAATGGTCTCTCTGTTTCTAATCTGGGTCCCCCTTTTTGGACCTATCCTTCTCACTGATGCCAGAATGGTCTAGACAGAATCTAACTATGAAACAATGCTAACAAAAACTTTTCAAGGCACTACCAGGTGTTCCCAAACTTTAGTGTGCTAAGAAACACCTTGAAGTATTCAAAATATAGATTCCCAGGCCCTCTCTTAAGAGATTGTGATTTGGTACATCTGGCTTAGTGTCTAAGAAAATGCATTAAATGTATTTTTAACAAGCATTCTAGGTGATTCTGAGGCAGGTGGTTTATGAAACATGCAGAATAAAATTCACATTACTTACACTGGCCTACAAGGACTTCTATCACCAGGTATTTACCTGGCCCTGGGTCCATTTCCTGCCATGTCCCACCTGAGCTTTTTGTTCAAGTTTTGCTGAGATGCAGATGTTCTTCTAAAGCACCCGATTATTTCTTGTACCTGAGCTTTTACTTCTGTTGTTCCTAGTTCACTGAGCTGCCTCTACCATTCCATAAGAGTCATCCTTTCCAGAAATATTTCCTAAAATCCTAAAAAGGACTCAATACAGCTAGATAGACAAGAGGCTCTTGTTTTCTTGCCTTTATTATTTTTTTTTTTTAGATGGAGTCTTGCTCTGTCACCCAGGCTGGAGTGCAGTGGTGAGATCTTGGCTCACTGCAACCTCCACCTCCCAGGTTAAAGCAATTATCCTACCTCAGCCTCCCGAGTAGCTGGGATTACAGGCACCCACCACCACGCCCGGCTAATTTTTTTATTTTTAGTAGAGGCAGGGTTTCGCCATGTTGTCCAGCCTGGTCTTGAACTCCTGAACTCAGATGATGTGCCCACCTCAGCCTCCCAAAGTGCTGGGATTACAGGCATGAGCCACCAGGCCTGGCCTGCTTTTCTTTACCTATCTATAGCAATGGAGGAAAAGATTTGAACATCTAGGACTTATAGTTCCATTTCTAACTATGATAATCTCCCTTGGGTTCAAAAATGGGATGGAAATAGGCTATTTGTAAAATGTTATGAAAATATATTGACTTTGGAGGACTCGGAATTGTTTAGTAAAGCCAAACCAATAAACAAACATCATCAGAAATTGGATCCTTTCTGTCTTTCCTCCAGTCCCATTGAAAACAGAGCCTAAGAGGAAAGCTTCTGTGCTGATATTTTATTGGGGGTGTGCAGCCTCAGAGAAGCAGAAGTGAGAGAGGGCAGTGAGCTAGAGAAGAATGAGAGAGAACTCAACATGGTGTTTTACAAAGCTGACCACAGCCTCATAATAAATGCAGCTGATTGCTCAGTCTCACAAGGCCTCTGCAATAGGCTATTTGAATGACTCCATCTTGGGATAGACCACCATGAGGAGGAAAAAAGGAGTATTTTTCTGCCAGCACCCTCTTCATCCATTTCCCATGCCCCACAAGGAGTTAAATCCTCCAGCCTTGCAGGTTGTGTTTCTTGGTTTCTCAAGACAGCTGCTGCCATAGGCAGACACAATTGAGCTTTCTTGTTAGGCAGTGCTTCAAGCATGGTGAATGGAGTGGGGCTTTGATGGGAACCACCATTTCTGCATCCTGCAGGTCTTTTGCGTTAGTGCCAGTACAGTCCTTCCCAGTATTGCTTCTGATTAATCATCTTGGCCAGGATGTGGGAGGACATTTTCAAGAACTTCAACTAATTCCTTCTATCATAATGGCTGTTACTCCATAGATAGACATACACAAGTCAGAAATTCTGCCAGCTGCTAATTTTATCTGTCCCAATTACACTTGCAGAAACTCCAGAAATAACTGCAAAATGGGCCCTGTGACTAAATGGGTATGGCGTGAAGTAAACTTGAGACAAGGGCTCAGTCTTCGGGAGACCATGATAATGTTTTGGGTTCCCTAGTATTAATGTTAATTCAGACCTCACAATGAACAATCCTGATTCCTCACTACAAAGTTATCCTGGAAAATGACATCAGGTCTGTTTAAGGAAGGATCAATGGAGTAGTCATCTCATATACTTCTAATGGCATCACAGTATCCTTCTTCAAAAAGAAGAATACCAGGCTCACCTCCAATCACAGGGCTCTGGGTTTGTTAACTAATTTAGATTTGAAAACTGAATGAAAGACCACGATTTTTCACTGCAAGAACAGACACTAAACTTCTACTTCCCAGCTGTGTTTTTTTTAAAATAACAAAATAGGGTAACATCCTAGTTGAGCTTCCCATCTATCTCACTGCTCAGAGTCCCACGATCCGTTAGCTCTCATCATAGCTCTCTGTAACTCCGGGCACCATTTTCATCATTCCAGTCTTGCTGACTACCATGGTTGTTATGTTCACCTTTCCTCTGACAGTTCAGTGCCTCTGCCTGGCTTCTGCAAGTTTGTAAGCTGGGGGATAGAATGGTGAGTTATTGTTTAATGGGTACAGTGTTTCAGTTTCGGATGATGAAAAGAGTTCTGGAGCTGAGTGCTGGTGGTGGTTGCACACAGTGTGAATGTACTTAATGCCACAGAACTTATACTTTAAAAAAGTGAAAATGATAAATTTTACATGCGTACTTACCGCAATAAAAAAGCAATCCAATCCAAAATTATTATCCTTATAAGTATCATTAAAAGCACAACAGCCATGTAATACCAAGTGTGATTTCCTGTACCTCATGGAGCCTAGTTATAATAGCTGCTTTCAAATCATCATCTGATAGTTGACACATTGGGTCATTTCATGGGTGTGTGTGTGTGTGTGTGTGTGTGTGTGTGTGTGTGTGTGTGTCTTGCTTTCCCTTGGGAATTGGTCACAGTTTTCTGATTCTTTGAATTTTAAGTAATTTTGAGTTGCTTTTTAAAACATTGTGAGCATTATGCTGCAAAGGCTGAGTCCTGTTATAAACTTATAGAGAATGCTGAAGTTTGTATTTTTGTTTGTTTGTTTGTTTTTTGGAAATGGAGTCTCGCTCTGTCAACCAGGCTGGAGTACAGTGGCACAATCTCAGCTCACTGCAACCTCCACCTCCCAGGTTCAAGCGATTCTCCTGTCTCAGCCTCCCGAGTAGCTGGGATTACAGGTGCCCACAACCATGCTCGGCTAATTTTTGTATTTTTAGTAGAGCTGGGGTTTTACCATGTTGGCCAGGTTGGTCTCGAACTCCTGACCTCAGGTGATTTGCCCGCCTCAGCCTCCCAAAGTGCTGGGATTACAGGTGTGAGCCACTGTGCCCAGCCTGTATTTTAGAAGGCATTCAACCTGTTTAGGTTTACACATTATAGTATTTTCCTTCTGTAAGGGTAGTTTTAATTTCCATTGACTTCCTTCGGTCTCTGCAACATTGGTTTGGGTCTGTTCCATGCACGTGCTATTCAGGAGACTTGTGCAGGTGGTTCAGATTTCATTTAAGTTCCCGAAGCCTTGGCTATACATCTTTGATTGTGCCTCATGCATGCATATCTCAAGGTTTAGTCTAAAATTAGTTCTGGTTAATACACAGAAGTAGGAGAACCCTTTCCTGTCTTTCTTCCCTGTAGAATTTCTCCCCAAATTCTCTGACCCACTGAAGCTCCCTTCTCTGGTTTCTCTGGCCAAAAACAAACAAACAAACAAAAAGTTAAATTTATATCAGTTTCAGCTACATGTGCCACGTGCAACTCAATGGCTGAGGCCTGCCCTCAGGGTAAGACTGTGAGAGAAAAGATAAACAGGAAACCCCACTTCCAAACATTTCACTTCTCCAAGCTGTGATTCCCCTCCAAAATCCTGTGCTTTCATTTAGTTTTTGGAGTCCTCACGTTGCTGTTTATTTTGTTTTCAGTTTCTAGTTGTCAATGGCAGGTGAGACAGCTGGGGTGGGCTTACACCACCACAGCAGTAGCAGGATGCTCCTCCCTCCTTATTTGTTTGCTAAGATATCAGGAAGGCTCAGCCAGGAAATAAAAGAACCACTTCAGTTTTTTCAAACGCAAGGATATCATTATAAGCAAATTGGGTTTTCAGGTGATGGAAGGTCTGAGAGGCTAAAAAGAGACAGCAAATCAACACAGAGATTGACAACAGCTGGAAGCTGCCACCAACCCTCATGCTAGAGGGACAATGGAAGATTTTGTTATTAGAGGCCAGATGTCAGGCTCTCTGGCAGGAGCTAGAACACTGGAATACGCACTGGTGGGACCAAGGTGGGAGGAACTCAGTTAGGCTTGGAGCTACCGAGAAGACAATTCACAACCAGAGATGCTATAAGAGGCATCTGACTAGGGGTAGAATATCCTGGCTTCTCCCATCATTCTCGTCTTCCAGTCTACCACCAGTAACTCCCATTAAGCAAACCTATCTGGAAGCTAGAGTGCAAGACAGCCAGAGAAATGAGTTTCCCTAATTTAGAGAGCAAAGCAGGAAAAGGCAGGTGCTATGGTTTGCATGTCTCCCATCTAAAATTCAGGTGTTGCCAATATGCTAATATTAAGAGGCAAGGCCTTTAAGAGGTGATAGGGCCATGAAGATTCCTCCCTTATGAATGGGATTAAGTCTCTTACAAAAGAGGCCTCAGACACTCTTCACCCCTTTTGACTTTCTGCCCCACAGTTTACCATCAGAGGACACAGCAGCAAGGTGCCATCCTAGAAGCAGAGAGCAGACCCTTACCAGACAACCAACCAGCTGGTGCCATGATCTTGGACTTCTCGGCCTCCAGAACTGTGAGAAATAAATTTCTATATTCTATAAATTACCCATTCTGTAGTGTCTTGTAATAGTAGCACAAATAGACTAAGACTGTAAGAAAATGGATTTGGGTCAAACAAGCATTTGAGTGGCGCATTAAAGAATTCTCAAATAAACCCGATATTTTTTGCCCATAAATAGTAGTACTTTACATCTTAAGATGCATTTTAAAAAACGAAAATTTAGATAAAACAACAAATAGCGTCAGTTTTCTACATGGCTAATATCTGGCAGAAATCTAGGAATGGCTAACATTTGAAATGATTATTTCTTAAGATGCGATCTGTGTTCTCTAACTCCAATTCTTGGTATGAGAGAGAGAGGAGCCATCCATTGTTCTTTCCACATTTTGATTTCCAACTGAGATCAAAACACATTGATCAAAGCCAGGAACCAAGAGCCAAAGGTGAAAGAATCCACAAACTCAGATACATGAGGACATACTGAGTAAGATGGAGAAAATGGGTTCCTCTTCCTATATAAAAAGCCAGTCTGACAATCTAAGAGTTGCACTTTACAAGGAAATGAGCTCATACTTCAACATTATAACACCTGATAGAGTGTTGATTTATTTTAACCCATAGAGATTTAATAGGAAAATAGTTTAGGACAGCTGTCAATACATACCCTCTAGCATGCCTCAGATCATTTTCTCTAAAGGAAAATATATCTTGGGTTCTTAGAAGAAAATTCAAAATAAATTTGTCAATAAAAAAATCTTCTAAACACTTCCTTTTGTCATACTCAACCTAAAATATTTTATGGTTCTATTTTCATGAGATATTTAAATTCAAATTTTTCTTATTTATAATATAATCATTTGCATGTAAGCAACATCAAAAACTATTTTTTAAAGCAGGTTTTGTACAGGTTATTTCAACAAGAACTCAATTTTTCTTGATAAAAAAATGAAAATTTAAAATGCCACGGAAATTTTTGTGTTTTCATTATATCCTTTCCATATCCTCCAATGCAAATGTTATAAATCAGCCTATAAGTGGAGGTCTATTCTTAAACTAACATCTCATTTGTTTGAGCTAAAAGCCAAATACTTTAACTCATTTACCCATGAAAATTTTTGTTTCACATGTAAAGTAAAACAAACACAGGGGCAAACCTTTATAACATTTATTATAGAGGAGAAAGAGAGTAGGATAGTTAAGAATATATTTCTTCTGAGAGAGATTTCATCTGTGTAGTTTTTAGACCAGTCAACTGCTGCATAAAGTTTCCAAATATGCCAGTGCTTCTCAAAGTCCCCAGTCTCAGTGAAGGCAACATAGGTTCACATATGGGGCAGTCCCATGGTCAGTCCCTGATTTGGCCAGGAAGTGGCATAATGGGAGCTAGTTCTCCATTAACTAGTTCTAACTTCACCTTTTATCACAACTGAGCCCCCACGACCCAAAGAACAGCCTGGATGAGAAGTATGTGATAGTTTCTTCTTAAAGAATATATTTCCCCTTAGACAAAAAAAAAAAAAAAGTTATAATGTTCAAACTGAAAACAATACATGTATCCCTTTTCAGCTATGTGTGGCATATATACACCTGGGTAAGCATAAATAGTGTAGAAAGCACTCCTAGCTGACATTTTAACATTCCCAGGAAAGTACATAAACTTGCTTCCGTGCCTTCTCGGAAATAGGATGGCCAATATAGTGCTTTGTACAGGTTCATTTTTCAGTTTTATCACACATAGGAAATGGCCTTACCACTGAAAAATACTCTTTGGATGTAAAACTATCCAAAAAACAATTCATGCTATTCACAAATGAGAAAAGTGTGGAGGTCAATAGTTAAGCTGCAATTGCTCCATTAAAGTTTTCTCAACCGCACACAGACAAGTGTGGAGGGAGAGAAGGAGGAAGAGGGATGGAGGGAAAGGGAAAAAAAGGAGAAAGAGCTACAGGAGAGATGGAGGAAGAGACAGGATTTAAACCATGTATGCCTTTGTCCTTGCAATCTTAGTTCTATTTTATGTTGATATCTCCTACAGCTAATTATGTTACTTCTGTTTCACATGGATCTCATATAGAAAATGCACAAGTGTTTAAGAACAGAATATAATGATGAAGGAATATCAATAAGTATATTTTTTGCATTGGTTATATTAGTCAAACATGGCATTACAAAAGGAGTGTCTAATCTTCCCCAGATGTCATTATAAGGTAAAGTTCTTACATATTATTATCAGCATCAGTAAAATTTGATAAATTTCTATTTGACTGACAGAAATACAGATTTATCTTTGTTCCATGCCACTCCTGATAGACATTTACCTCCACCTTGGAAGAATACAAAGGACTCCACTTAAAAGGCAAATCAAGCCAAACCTTATAAAGACAAGCCACAGACTTCAGGTTACATGTTTTGAGTTCTGCACAAAATATTTGAATGGGTGCTTCATAAAAGATGATATATGAGGACTTGGGGCAGAACAAGATGGCAGAATAGAAGGCTCCGCCAATTGTCCCTGCTTCAAGGACACCAATTTAACAACTAACTACATAAAATAGCACCTTTATAAGAACCAAAAATCAGGTGAGTACCTGGCTTTAACTTCGTATTACTAAAAGAGGCACTGAAGAGGCAGGAAAAACCGTCTTGAATTGCTGACATCACACCTCCTCTCTCCCGCAGCAGCAGTGGCATGGTGCAGAGAACATTTTTGTGTGCTGGGGAGAAGGAGATCACAGTATTTGTGAGGCATTGAACTCAGTGCTGCCTTATTATAACAGAAAACAAAATTGGACCAATCTATTCATGAATTGGAAAAATCAATATTGCTAAAATGTCCATACTACCCAAAGCAATCTACAGATTTAATGCAATCCCTATCAAAATGCCAATGACATTATTCACAGAAATAGAAAAACACTCTAAAACGTATGTGGAACCACAAAACACCCAGAATAGCCAAAGCTATACTAAGCAAAAAAAAAAAACAACAAAAAAAAACTGTAGGAATCACTTACCTGACTATAAATTACACTACACAGCTAAGGTAACCAAAAAGGCATGGTACCCACATAAATAAAAACAGACACATAGATCACTGAAACTGAATAGAGGATCCAGAGGTAAATCCATACATACATCTACAGTGAACTCATTTTTGACGAAGTAGCCATGAACATACATTGTGGAAAGGACAATCTCTCCAATAAATGATGCCGGGCAAGCTGGACATCTATATGCAAAAGAACAAAACTAGATTCCTATCTCTGAACAGATACAAAAATCAAATCAAAATGGATTAAAGATTGAAATATAAGATCTCAAATGATGTAACTACTACATGAAAACATTAGGGAATCTCCCCAGAACATTGGCCTGGGCAAAGGTTTCTTAAGTAATAAACACTTCACAAGCACAGGCAACCCAAAACAAAAATTGACAAATGGGATCATACCAAGTTCCAAAGCTTCTGCACAGCAAAAAAAAAATAATAATAATAATTAACAAAGATAAAAGCCACAGAACAGGAGAAAATACTAATTTATATTCCCATCTTGCAAACTACCCATCTGACAAAAGGTTAATAACCAGAATACATAAGGAGCTCAAACAACAGTGTAGGAAAAACATCTAGTAATCCTTTTTTAAAAAAAATGGGCAAAAAATCTGAATAGACATTTCTCGAAAGAAGACAGGTATATGAAAAGGTGCTCAACATCATTGCTCATCAGAGAAATGCAAATCAAAACTGCAATAAGATATTATCTCACCCCAGGTAGAATGGCTTTTATCTAATGTCTGGCAATAACAAATGCTGACGAGGATGGAGAGAAAAGGAAAGCCTCGTACATTGTTAGTGGGAATATAAATTAGTACAACCACTGTGGAGAACAGTTTGGAGGTTCCCAAAAAACTAAAAATAGAGCCACTGTACTATCCAGCAATCCTGCTGCTGGGTATATACCCCAAATAAAAGAAATCGACATATCAAAGAATAGTTGTAGCACTGTTCACAATAGCCAAAATTTGGAAGCAATGTAAGTGTTCATCAACAGATGAATGAATAAAGAAAATGTGGTTCATATACACAATGGAGCACTAATCAGCCATAAAGAAGAATGAGATTCTGTTTTTTGCAACAAAATGGATGGAACTGGAGGTCATTTTGTTAAGTGAACTAAGCTAGACAGAGAAGGACAAACCTTAAATGTTCTCACTGATTTGTGGAAGGTAAAAAGGAAAGTAGTTGAACTCATGGAGATAAGAGTAGAAGGATGGTTAACAGAGATTGGGAAGGGTAGTCAGGGAGTGTGGGGGAAGTAGCGATGGTTAATCAGCACAAAAACATTGTTAGAAAGAATGAATAAGACCTAGTATTTGCTAGCACAACCGTGTGACTATAGTCAAAAATAATTTGATTGTACATTTTAAAATAACTAAAATAGCACAATTGGATCATTTGTAACACAAAAGATCAATACCTGAGGTGATAGGTACCCCAATTACTCCGATGTGACTATTATGCATTGCATGCCTGTTTTGAAATATCTCCTGTATTTCCTTCCTGTGCGAGGCCAGCTGAGGGCACTTGCTCCCGTTGTTTCTGCTCCTGGGTTAACAATCAAGATGGTACATGCTGATGCCTTTTCTCATCCTTTGAGTCACAATGAAGTTGTTGGTTTAATTTTCCATTTGACAATATTTGGTTCAGTAACATACTTTAGTATCAAATGGATGGTAGATGCAATTGATCCAATCAGAAAGCAAAAAGCAGAAGCTCAGAAACAGGCAGAAAAACTAATGAAGCTAATTGGTGTGAAAAACGTGAAGCTCTCAGAATATGAAATGAGTGTTGCTGCCCACCAGTAGACCATCTTTTCTTTTCTTTTCTTTTTTTTTTTGAGACAGAGTCTTGCTCTGTCACCAGGCTGGAGTGCAATGGCATGATCTCGGCTCACTGCAACCTCTGCCTCCCGGGTTCAAGCGATTCTCCTGCCTCAGCCTCCTGAGTAGCTGGGATTACAGATGTGCGCCACTACGCCCAGCTAATTTTTGTATTTTTGTAGAGATGGGGTTTCACCATGTTGGGCAGGATGGTCTTGATCTCTTGACCTCGTGATCCACCCGCCTCAGCCTCCCAAAGTGCTGGGATTACAGGCATAGAGCCACCGCGCCCAGCCTAGTAGACCCTCTTAATATGCATGTTACTTGGAAGTGATATAGCAGGTTTAGATGAGGTCATTACGGATCTGAAAGACAGTCATCTTACCTATCAAAAAGAAACATTTGTTTGAGAATTCCAGGCTTCTGCAGCCTCCAAAAGGTGTTCTTCTCTATGAGCCTCCCCAGGCTGTGGTAAAACGTTGATTGCCAAGGCCACAGCCAAAGAAGCAGGCTGTCGATTTATTAACCTTGAGCCTTCGACACTGACCAATAAGTGGTATGGAGAATCTCAAACACTGGCTGCTGCTGTCTTCTCCCTTGCCATAAAGCTACAACTGTCCATCATCATTATAGACGAAATAGACTCCTTTGTACGAAACCGTTCAGAGTTCTGACCATGAAGCTACAGCCATAATGAAAGCTCAGTTTATGAGTCTCTGGGATGGACTGGACACTGATCACCGCTGCCAGGTCATAGTAATGGGAGCTACCATTCATCCTCAGGACATTGACACGGCTATAACGAGAAGAATTCCTACAAGATTTCACATCAACCAGCCTGCTTTAAAACAGAAAGAAGCAATCCTGAAACTCATCTTGAAAAATGAAAATGTGGATAGGCATGTAGACCTGCTAGAAGTTGCCCAGGAAACTGATGCGTTTTCAGGAAGGGACCTAAATGCGATGTGTTGAGATGCTGCCCTCCTCTGTGTTAGAGAATGTTAATTCTACATCAGAAGAAAGCCATGATGAAGATGAAATTCGGCCTGTTCAACAGCAGGACCTGCATCGGGCAATTGAAAAGATTAAGAAATCGAAGGATGCAGCATTGAAAAAATTAAGAAATCAAAGGATGCAGCATTTCAGAATGTTTTAACACAGGTTTGTTTAGATTAAGAGTGAAGATCATTTGCACAGTTCACTGATCTAGTTTGGTGTGTCCTCTTATCCGTTAGTGGAAGTAGAATGGAAAGAGTGCTCTTTAAACAATGAGGGAGTTCAGTGTTTATGGTTTTGTACTCTGAATTCTAAGTTGTTGAGATACAGTTGTTATATAAGTGGCATTACTGTTTGTCAGAAATCATGAGGAGGAACAATTTAATCCAGCATGAACGTGGGTGCTTGTGTTTGAGCTCTTTAGCCATATGTCGTACAGCCTTATAGAATCTAAGCTGCTCTTACAGTCATGAATGATTCATTGGGTCATTAGTGAGAAATAGGGATGTGGTTAGGCACTGTTTCCTTGACATGTGAGTATGTGTTTGTGTGTGTGCACATATGTGTGTATATTAAATGTATATATCCACACATTTTATATGGACATTCTGTAGATATGTTTGAATACAGAAATTTTTTTTATCCTAACTACTGAATCCAGAAGTACCGAATAATATACAGTAAAACTAAGATTTAAGATTGTGTCAAAAAGGTACAGTGATTCAACCATTTCCATTTGTCATTTGTTTCAACCTTTTTTAAGTTGAGTGTTTTTCTTTCTGCAGTTGATTAATTGGATCCTCCACCTTGCATATATACATCTTGCATATATATACACGGGCTCAATTATTAGATTTGTCAGGATAATCAAATAAAAATACCAGGTCAGTGATCAGCATTGAATGGTTGTTAGACAGTCATGTCAGTCAACACTGATTTCACCTCTTTCTGTAAGCATACTGAGTAAAAACTTTTTTTCAGTTTAAATTGATTTACGTGAAAGTGGATTAAAAGGCCTTTCAAAAGAATGGGTTTGAAAAACCTCAGTCCGCTTTAATACACGTACATTTCTTTCCTTTCTTCATTTAATGTAACATATGTCTGTTGTAACTACGTTTCTTAAATATTATTTTAAGGTTATATGTTCTTTAATTATGCTCCAACATAATTTGGTCACCAAAAATGAAATAATAGTTTAAAACAAGTAGCTGTTACTAAGTGTGCTAAAAATACTCATTTTGTAATTAATTTTTAAAGTTTTCTTAGTATATTATAAATTGTTCCCTGGTCAAGTACAAACGTACACATCAAAATGCCCATATTGTGTCTATCATTTGATGTGAATTATATGTGAAATTTTTCTTGTTCAAAATTTTACTAACCAGAATTCTGTTACAGGCACTTAAACACGCAGCATGAGGAAAATGGAACAACAATCTTGAGGTGCCTTCTGAATCATCAGATTAAATTATGCTTCGTATGTTTTGTTTTACTGTATTTCTTTAAAAACTCTCAATCTTTATTCATGTGTTACTGGATTAATTTATTTGATAATGTCTCACAAGAATCTATTAGATCATTTATTCTTCAGTTGTGCTTTGAATGGTGGGGTGGAAGTTTCAGGTGAACACTGTGGATAACAAAAGCAAGTTGTGGAAGACTGTGAAGAGGATGGAATAATTGAATACAAGAAAAAAATGAAAAAAATTGTCCCATTTTTAATAACTATATTACACTATTATTTTATAAATGTGTAACAAAGGGGTCCCTCTTTAAAAAAAAGAAATATCTCACGTAACCCATAATACATACACTGACTTTGTACCCACAAAAATTAAAAAATAGCTCCTTAATAAATAAATAAATAAAAGAATTCCTCATCTGTCACCTACTACCCACCAAAATTTTCAATAAGTACAACTATTTGTTTGGTGAATGAAATAGTAATATTTTCCCTTTGAACCAGGTGTTTTAATGCTGTGAGCTGCTAAAGATGGAAATCAGCAAAGAAGGAAACAAGCTAGGCCACTACTCACTCCTTCTCCTTAGCCCATGGAGATATATTCCACAAAGCCAGCTATTGATTGCTACCATTAGTCGGCCAGGCAAACCAGCAATAATTGCTTTAGCAATTTTGTTCATGAACATTTCCTGTTAATTTCCCAGGAGTAAAACCAGCTCCTCCCCCTCTTTTAACAAAAAGTCAGAGAGCAGGTGGAAATTATCATACTCATAAATGTTACAAAAGTATTATTTACTTGGTTTGGGGTAGTGAAGAATGCAAAGCAAAAGATGAAGTATTTCAAGTTTTTAAAAGATTTGAATCAACCACATGTATCAGTAAGTAAAGCAAAGACCAAAATTAAAAAGTATATTTGATTTTTTATTTATGGAAACTCTTCACCATTCCACTTAAAAATAAGTAATATCCCTTCAGGGTTTGGTACATTTCAAGATGTCTAACTTTCTAATTATTTAGACAAAAAAACAATGGTTTAGCTCACTAATTTTCACTGCTTCTTATATCCCAAATCTTTTTTTTTTTTTTCTGAGTGGGAGAGAATTTTCCTTTGTTCTGAAGTACATCCTTTCAAACATCATTTAGTGGTGGTCTCATGTGATCGGCTTCTTGGTTTTGTCTGCCTAAATATGTCTATTATTTTATAAATGTGTTTATAAATTAAATGTTTAATTTTCTGTGTCAACTTGGCTAGGTCATGACACCCAGATATTTGGCCAAACACATCTGGATATTGCTGAGAAGTGATTTTTTTAGATGAGATTAACATTTAAATCAGTGGACTTTGAGTAAAGCAGATTACTCTCCATAATATGGGTGGCCTTATCCAGTCAGTCGAAGGCCTTAACCCGTTTATGCCAGAGGTTGCAAATTTTTTGTGTGAAAAATCAGACCTTGGCAATGACCTTGAGCAGTAGGATATAAATAAATCCCACAAGCTTAGCGTTCCAATAGTGGAGCACTAGGCATAAATGCCTTAAAGAAAGGACTGATCTCCCCTGAAGAAGAGAGAATTCTGCCTCTAGATTGCTTACAATTTGAACTGGAACATCAGCTGTTCTCTAGGTCTTAAGTCTGCTGCTCTAACCTACAAATTTTGGACATGCCAATCTCCACAGTCACATGGGCCAATTCCTTAGTTTCTCTGGAGAATCCTGACTAATGTATGCAATGTCTTTATTTCATCCTCATTCTTAAAGGATATTTTCATCAGGTATGCTATTTTAGGTTGATGGTTATTTTCCTAGTGCATTGAAGGTATTATTTTACAGGTTTAGACTTCCATTGTTTCTGTTAAGAAACAGCAGTTTAATTGTTTTTTTGTTTTTTCTTTGAAGGTAGTCTGTAGTTTTTAATGGGTACTTTTATGAACTTTTTTTTTTTGCTTTTGGTGGACTGTGGTTTCACTAGATGTGTGCATGGGTAGATCTCTTTTTTATTTTGCTATTTGAGATTTACTGGGCTTGAATTTGTGAATTAGTGTCTTTCAACAGTCCTGGGATGTTCTTAGCCATTGTATTGTCAGACATTGATTCTTCTCCATTTTCTCTCTCTTCTCTTTCTGAAAGTTCAAATAGATGATTGTTAGATCCCACTCTGTCCTTCCTATGCCTTAATCTCTATTTTGTTTTCTATTAGTTCCCTCTTCAGCTATATGTCTTTTTTTTTTAATTAATAGATTTGTTTGTTTGTTTGTTTGAGACAGGGTCTTGCACTGCTGCCTAGGCTAGAGTGCAGTGGTGCAATCAGGGCTCACTGCAGCCTCACTCAACTTCCCAGTCTCAAGCCATCCTCCTACCTCAGCCTCTGTTCCACTAATCTACTTGTCAATTTTTCCAGCAACACCACACCCTCCTGATCACCATAGCTTTATGGTAAGTCTTTATTTATTTACTTATTCATATATTTATTCTATTTTATTTGAAATCTTTTATTAAAATATAATGTACACACAGAAAAGTACATAAATCAGTGAATCTTCCAAAACTCAATATAATACTATAGCCAGCACCCAGATCAAGGACCAGAACATTTTACCAGCCCCAAGGATCTTCCTCATGTGTTCTCTCCAAGTCCTTACCTCCACCAAGGGCAATCAGGATCCCAGCTTCTCTCACTAAAGAGCAATTTTACCTGTCTCTGAACTTTTAGAAATTGAATTAGTTATATATGTACTCTGGTATGTTTGGCTTCTTTCCTTTTCTGATTATAGAAATAATTTAACCTAGAAAAAAATCCAATACTTAAATTTATCATCAAAGGAAGTTAAATATTACATTAAGTACATAGGTTTTTTTTTTAACTTGTATTTTAGGTTCAGGGGTACATGTGCAGGTTGGTTATATAAATTGCATGTTGCAGAAGTTTGGTGTACCCCTTATTTTGTCACCCAGATAAAGAGTTCTGCTAACAACCCTGTGTTTTTTCCCTTCATTCACTCCTGAATTGATTATTATTCTTACTTGTTGGATTATTTATGGGATAAAGAAGTTCTTTTTTTCAGATTAAAACTATGTTATCCAGTATTTCTAATGGTTTTCAGATTCGTATAAAAAGGTAACTACCAGTTTGCCAGAGGATTGTACCCAAATGCTCTGTGGGCCCTTAGCTCCACCTGGAGCATGTATGGCCACAGCCATGGCACCTGCACCCTTGGCAAGCTGGCCACTTCTCCCTGGAGTAGACCGTGTGGGAGCACTCTGTGTCCCTGCCCAGGAGGTCTTGAGATGGACTGATGAAAACTGAAAGGTCATATTTGCCATGTGCTGAGGTTAAGGTGGATACTAGGGTGACTGTGGAAAGGCAGATGGGAGTGAGGGATGTTGGTGAGGATCTGCTTGGTGATGACATCACCATAGTCTGGTTGTAACATTGCCTACAGTATAGCTTGGAGTGCTCTTCCACAGTGCAGGCGTCCACATCACTAATGAAGGTCTTACACCCTATGCATTCAGGAATGGGGTTGGGATGGGAGAGTAGGTTTGGCTGCTTTGGGGATGGGGAGACCCAGCCCTGATAGTTCACCCTCAGTACCTGCAAAGGCCTGGGGAGGAAACTGTGATATTTATTTTTGACTTGAGTGTTTATATTCTATTTCTTTTAAAATGGTATCTGTTATTCTTATGTTACTTCTAGGTTAACCTTTGGTTATAAAATGGTTTTTCTTTTATTTCTACTTCTCTCGAGTTATTCAATTCATTTATAAGATTTTCTAGTTTTGATATATGTTTTCCTTTATGCCTTATGTTATTTTCTTAATGACTGTTTTGAAGTAGACAGTTCCAATTTTTATCTGTTATGTTAATACATCTTTCTGGTATAATTTCATTGTCTTTAGGAGATATGATTTACTATTTGTTCTTTCTTTTCTCATAATAATTTTTCATGAGACTTGAGAGATTTAAAAACATGGCTGCAGCTCTATAATCATCCTCTTTATATCTTAAGCAGACAATTCATACAATAAGCATTCTAAGTACATTGAGTTGTGGAAATTGTTTTCTTGAATTGGACACAGCTTGATAATAGCTGCTATATATTAAAGTTCTCATGCTGCCTCTCCTTGTAGATTCATGCCTTGGTACTTTCTGCTTTTAAAGAAACTTTCTCTTATATTTAATATCATGTCACAAATAAACTTGATGATTTAAGGCTTTAATTTATTTTGTATGTATCCGAACCTATTAGAAATAATACTAGGAGCATGAATTCCACGTTAAAACACCTCCGGTTACTTATTGCAAAAAGTTCTCCCCTCATTTCGGAGCAACTTTCAGTGTCTTTCCCCAAGCTATATATCTTTGTTAAAATTACATTGGTCATGTCACTAAATAATGCTTGGTACCTAAAGAAATAAAAGAATTTAAGTGGAAAATATAGATATTATTTTGAAAACATTTCAAAACAATGAAAATGTGATGGATTTCCCCTCTCATTTTGAGGACAATTTTAGCCTTAGATGGAATCTTCTAAAGTGTTGTTTAAGTAAGATGCATTGTTTCTAGTCTTTTTTTGTTGTTGTTCTCTTTTGAGATGGAGTCTCGCTCTGTCACCCAGGCTGGAGTGCAGAGGCGTGATCTAGGCTCACTACAAGCTCCGCCGCCCAGGTTCACACCATTCTCCTGCCTCAGCCTCCCGAGTAGCTGAGACTATAGGAGCGCACCACCACCACACCTGGCTAATTTTTTGTATTTTCAGCAGAGACAGGGTTTCACCATTTTAGCCAGGATGGTTTCAATCTCCTGACCTCGTGATCCACCCGCCTTGGCCTCCCAAAGTGCTGGGATTACAGGTGTGCACCACCGCACCCAGCTGTTTCTAGTCTTAATGATAGTTATGACAGAATCAGGGTTATTTTTAATGGTAAATATTTGCTTTTTAGAGATATTTCTATATTTATTTCTGTGCTCCTAAGTTTTATTCTAAAACTCATTTACATAAAATATGCTTATCTTAAAAAATGTATTTATCTATTTTTTACCCTCTTTCCCCACTCAAAAGACAAATTTATATCTACAATCTCAGACTTACATAAAAACAAGACATCACTGAAATTTTGTAATAGCTGAAATTCATGAAGTCTTGAAAGGTAAAACAAATGTCTTTATTTTTACACATTTATGTTGTCAGTAATCCACAGCGAGGCAACAGGGAATAAAAATGTCATAGAGCAAACTACTTCCAGTTGTATTGTTTTAACAAAATTCTGGCTGATTATCAGTTGTGCAGGTTTGTCTACTTTAGCAAAGTTCTGTTTATTGACTTTTCATCAAATATTTTTAAATGCTACATCATATTCCTTTGCCCATATACCTCAGAGACCTCCTTTCTTAGCCTGCCTATTAATGACAATTATCTTTTTTAAAATCAATTTTACTAAATGTAGTTACATACAATAAATGCACCCATTTAAAGTATTCAGTTTGAACCACTTTGACAGACCCCCTCCCCCCCGCACCAGTGCAACCACTACCAATTCAAGATTTGTTATCTATCTTCATGCTAATACCATGTTTTCTTGATTACTACATAGGTGTTGTATTAAACTTCAAATTCAAATAAGATAAAAGTGCAATTTTATTCTTACATTTCAAAATTGTTTTGGCCGTGCAGGGTCCTTCAAATTTATATATGAATTTTAGAATCATCTTGTCTGCCAGGTTTCTCAATAAAGACTGCTGGCGTTTGTATTGCATTAAATTTGTAGCCCCCTTGGGAGAACTGACATGAAAATATTGATTCTTCTAGTCTTTAAATTGTTATATCTTTCCATTTATTTAGCTGTTCTTTTTTTTTATTATTATACTTTAAGATTTAGGGTACATGTGCACATTGTGCAGGTTAGTTACATATGTATACATGTGCCATGCTGGTGTGCTGCACCCACTAACTCATCATCTAGCATCAGGTATATCTCCCAGTGCTATCCCTCCCCGCTCCCCCCACCCCACAACAGTCCCCAGAGTGTGATATTCCCCTTCCTGTGTCCATGTGATCTCATTGTTCAATTCCCACCTATGAGTGAGAATATGCGGCATTTGGTTTTTTGTTCTTGTGATAGTTTACTGAGAATGATGGTTTCCAGCTTCATCCATGTCCCTACAAAGGACATGAACTCATCATTTTTTATGGCTGCATAGTATTCCATGGTGTATATGTGCCATATTTTCTTAATCCAGTCTATCATTGTTGGACATTTGGGTTGGTTCCAAGTCTTTGCTATCGTGAATAATGCCGCAATAAACATACGTGTGCATGTGTCTTTATAGCAGCATGATTTATAGTCCTTTGGGTATATACCCAGTAATGGGATGGCTGGGTCAAATGGTATTTCTGGTTCTAGATCCCTGAGGAATCGCCACACTGACTTCCACAATGGTTGAACTAGTTTACAGTCCCACCAACAGTGTAAAAGTGTTCCTATTTCTCCACATCCTCTCCAGCACCTGTTGTTTCCTGACTTTTTAATGATTGCCATTCTAACTGGTGTGAGATGGTATCTCATAGTGGTTTTGATTTGCATTTCTCTGATGGCTAGTGATGATGAGCATTTTTTCATGTGTTTTTTGGCTGCATAAATGTCTTCTTTTGAGAAGTGTCTGTTCATGTCCTTCGCCCACTTTTTGATGGGGTTGTTTGTTTTTTTCTTGTAAATTTGTTTGAGTTCATTGTAGATTCTGGATATTAGCCCTTTGTCAGATGAGTAGGTTGCGAAAATTTTCTCCCATTTTGTATGTTGCCTGTTCACTCTGACAGTAGTTTCTTTTGTTCTTGAATTTTTATCAGCAATGTTATAAAACTTCAAGATATGAGTCTTATACATATGTTAAATTCATTCCTAGTTAGTTTATATGTTTTGATGATATTGTAAATAAAATTTTAAAAACTTACATTTTTCTATTATTTATTGTTAGTAAATAAAAATACAGTTGATATTTAAATATTGATCCTGAATCTTGTGACTTTTCTAATTTAATTTATCAGTTCTAATACAGTTTTGGTAGATTATTTAGGATTTTCTACATATACAATCATGTTTCCTGTGAATAATACAATTTTATTTCTTTTCTAATTTATATGTCTTTTATTTTAAAAATTTTTATTCTCTTTTTTTCTCCTTTATTGAACACACAAAAATCTCCCATACTGAATGGAAATGGTAAGAGTGGACACCCTTGCTTTGTTTTGATCTTTAGAGGAAAGCATTCACTCTTTCACCATTAAGCATGACCTTACCTGAAAATTTTTTATAGTTGCCCTTCACTAGGCCAAGAAAGATTTACTGGGTTTCTAATTTGTTTAATTAAAAAAATCCAATAAATGAGTGTTGAATTTAGTTAAATGCCTTTTATGCTATATTAAAAGAATTATGATTATTTTTATCCTTCATAAATGTGATGTCACATTACTTGATTTTTCAAATATTAAATTAACCTTTTATTACTCATAGGATTTCAGAGCCTTTCAAGAGTATACTTAGAATTCTTGCCTTAAATCTTTGTTATTGTTGTTATACGTTTTACTTACACGTATATCACAAACCTGTAAAACATTTTTATGTTTTTTAAAGGAAATTTAAAGTCTTTTATATGTACTCATTTATTATCTGTTATTTTTGGCATTCTTTTCTTTGTGCAGATCTGAGCTTTCATCTGGTATCATTTCCTTTCCGTCTGAAGAACTTGCTTTCCTTGGTAATTAAAGTCTTCTAGTGATTAATTTTTTAAAAATTGTTCTATAAAAATGTGTTTATCTTACCTTCATTTTTTACAATTTTTCATTGTTGGGAAATACACATAACAGAATATTTACCATCTTAACTATTTTTAAGTGAATCATTTGGGTGGTACTAAGTACATTCATATTATTGTGCAACCATCACTACCCATCCATCTCCAGAACTCTTTTCATCTTGCAAAACTGAAACTTCATACCCATTAAACAATTACTTCTCATTCCCTTCTACCCCCAACCTTTGGCAATAACCATCTACTTTCTGTCTCTGTCATTTTGACTACTCTGAGTAGCTTATATAAATGTAATCATATAGTATTTGCCTTTTTGTAGCTGGCTTATTTCACTTAGCATAGTGTCTTCTAGGTTCATCTATGTTGTAGCATATGTCAGAATTTTCTTTCTTTGTTAAGGCTTACTGGTAAGGAAGGACTTGCTTCTGTCATTTTGCTATTTGTTTTCTATATGTCTTATAGCATTTTTGTCTAACATTTCCTACATTACTTTCTTCTTTGGGGACCTGAAGGACTCCCTTTAGCATGTTTTGCACTGATCCTTTTCATTGGGAGAATACTTTAGAGGATATAGAATTCTCAGTTGATAAACCCACTCTCCACCCTAGTACTGTAAACATATGTTTCCATCCTTTTATGATCTGCATTGTTTCTGATGAAAGTCAATAATAATTCCTATATTTGTTCCTCTGGGTGTGTAGCATAAATATTTTTTTGGCTGGCTTTAAGATTATTCTTCTTTATTACTAGTTTTACACAATTTGTTTATGATGTGATTTGGGTGGTTTTCTTTGTGTTTATCTTGCTTGAGGTTCATTGAGGTTCCTGAATCTATAGGTTAATATTTTCCATCATATCTGGAAAAAATCTTATCAATTATTTATTCAAATTTTTTCTCTGCCGAATTCCTCTATTCCTGGTACTCTTTTCATACTTATAATAAATTTCTCATTTTCATCCAAGAGATTACTGTGACTGTTTTTTTTTTTTCCAGCCCTTTTCCTTCCTGTGCTTCAATTTGGAAACTTTGATTTGACTTTTCTTCAAGGTTATTGATCGTTCTCTCTGTAATCCTTGCATAATAATTTAATTATCTCAGTCATTTGGAGTCTGTTTCTGTTGAAAAAACTCTTTTTCCATTTGTTTCTTATGGGCTACAGTCTAGATAGTGCTCCAAGACAGTAAACTGCAGTGATTATGTTGCTTACCTGATTTTTCCCCTACTCTTATGAATTATAGTTCCTATTTCTCAATGCTGAAAAAATTGTTTCATTCATTTTCCCCACTTTTCTATTTATTTAAGGTGGAGTGATTAGTCTAGTTTATCATAACTTATACTGAAAGTCCTGACAGTTATCTTTTAATTTTGATGTCTTAGAATGTTTGTTTCTTTTTTATGTCATGTGGAAAAGTAATGGAAGTAAAGCCCAAAGTCTGGTTGAGCTGGAGTTAAGCACTGATTTAACATGGGTAGCCAGTTACATATGATGCTCTAATGATAGCTCCCATCATTTGCTTCCTAGGTTTGAATTTTGCTAGAGTCTCCATCATTCCCCTTAACATTTCTTTTAGAGAATCAGATCATCATACCTATTTTCCATTTATCAAAAGCCTCACTTGTACTTCTTTAGACTGCTTTTGTCTACTCATTCGATTTCATTTTCTTTTTTTTCTTTTTTAAAAATTATTATTATACTTTAAGTTTTAGGGTACATGTGCACAATATGCAGGTTAGTTACATATGTATACATGTGCCATGCTGGTGTGCTGCTCCCACTAACTCATCATTTAGCATTAGGTATATCTCCTAATGCTATCCGATTTCATTTTCACTGCCAAAATTATCTGGGGTTGTCTGTAATTATCTCAGCTCTTCATGATCTCTTCTCCTCATCCCCATTGTTGCTTCAATAGATACCTAAGAACACTGGACTTTGATTCATAACATTGAAATGTGCATCACAGCATAACCAAATCGCTATGACTGCTTGGGAATCTCTCATAACTTCTCTGAACATACTTACATGGTGGAATCAGCATGAGAATACAACCTCTTCTTGTCTCATAGATTTGACAAAGGCAAAGCACAAGTGTAAAGTTTACAGTGTGTTATCTTTGTACTAACTCATGTAATACGCTCTCAAATAATTTTTTTACCATCTGCGCTTTTTCATTAGAAAATTATTTTGTGATGTGTCATACATAACTTAAACATTGTTTCTTACCCCGTAAAATTGATTTAAAAATTGGCTAGATGACACTGAGCAGAATGTCAACCCTCTGTAACTCATCTGGAACTCAATGCACATTTCACATTCTTTACAGAAGATTTCCACACATGGCCTAAGTTTGCTCAGTGGGTGGGCTTTCAGGAGCATGAAGGTTTGTAAATTCAGGACCTCTGATTTATGGTGGGTCTTTATTCCAAAGACTTTCTTTAAATTTAGTTTTTTGAGAACTGAGGGATTGAGAACATATTTTTCAAAGGATGTGTTCATTTAAATTGCAGGTAGATCAGCCCACAGGGCTCTTCTCATACATAATGTAGCTGTGCTATATGGATTAACTGATACAAATAAACTAGAATTTGTGTCAAAGATATTTAAGCTGTGAAGTTGAATTATAGTTTTAGCTTAAATACCTAAACCAGAGGTATCTCTGACAGAAGTAATTTTCTAGGTCTGATTCACAGGTAAGTACTTGATTTTCAGCAGCATGTCTTTGTTGATGAGATTTTTCAGATTTTAGCTCTTGAACTCGCAACAAGGACATTGATTGTTTTCGTTTCATTCTGTATATACCCTGATATCTAAGGATGTTTTACTGGATATTCAATGAGGCCAGAGGCTTACCAGTGATGGCATTTTATTTTACATTCCTTGAATTTTCTAATCTGTACAATTATATATATATGTATGTGTGTGTGTGTATTTCTTTTATGTGCCCTATTGCACATAACATGCAGTATAAATATGTCATATATTAAGTGTAAGTTGAATAATTAAGTGAACTTGTGTAATATACCAGCTCATCTCTATCACACATATTATTTCTTTCTGTCACTTCATTTTTTTCCTCCTCATTCACTTCCATCAGCCTAGATCTTGAAAACTGAAGCAAGGCTTATTTTGCTCTGTCTGCTCTTTTTGGTCTGTTCTTTAGAACAGGATACTTGCTTTTGAAAACTGACACTTCAGACCATTGCAGTTTATTCTTCATAGCCATACTTTTGAATAGGAAAAAATATGCTTCCCTTGGCATGCTGAGGCTTTTGTGAAGTGGAGAAGACAAGCATGGAGTGAGTCTGTTTTGATAACTATGGGGAGTTGGTTGGAGAGAAAACCGAAACACTTACTAAACCTAAGGTGCCACTCCACGGGGACGAATAGTGATGTAGATTACTGCTAGCAGTGTTAGTGTCATCAGATAGGATTTTCCTGGTGATTGTGGGAATTGCAGTCTGCTGAATGAAACACAGAGAATAGTAAAAACAACTTACTAGAGCTCACTAACCCACAAAAAACATATATTTTTGTTTTTTCCATCAAACCCAAGAGTCCCAACCTATTTATGTTTTTGTTTCCTGACTGCATTTTCAAGGTAATTGATGCCTGCAAAAAGGTGGATCCACTACTTGTTATTTTACTGATAAGAGTTTTCTGTTCTGCTTCAGTCTTCCTTTGCTCCTAACCAACTATTTAATTCTATGCCTCCCATCTTCTGTATCCTAGGTCAGCTGTGCTAACTTGATCTCTGAAAATAGGCTGTGGATGGTCCTTGCCCTTCCGGACTAACTTGTGCTGCCATGTTGTTTATAGTCATTAGAAATACTGTAAAAGCATGCACTGGTATTCTAAATTCTATCTTCTAGCATTTGAGAATTTTGTCCAAGACAATATCCTGCCAAAATGCTTCAACAACAGAACAAGAGAAGGGAAATGGAATCCTGGAACCAGTAAGGATTTCTGCTGAGTTACAGCATCTGTACATAGCTCAATATTAAAATATTAAAATTAAAATACTGTAACTTAGCAAGCTAATAGATAAAAAGAGAAAATGCGTATAATTATCTCTTTATAGCTAGAAGAAATTTGATGAAATTCATTCTCTATTCTTGTTAAGAACTCTTAATGCACTGCAATGTATTTACATAAAATATCCTGAAAATAAAAATATAATTATTATTTCATATTTTTAAAAGAACTGCATCTAGAACTTCTAGAACCGTTCCTTTTCATTTCGGAGCAAGAGGAATATGTTCATTATGACATTGTTTTTTAATGAAGTCTAAAGTAATAAATTAGAGAAGGAAATAAAGGGTATAAAGTTACAAAAGAGAAGGGAAAATAAATATTTGCAGTTTAATATAGTTATATCAATTACAAACTCAAGTGGATGATCTGAAACTCTCATAAAATAATAAGAAAATTCCATGAGGCAGCAGAGTACATTAAGAAAAAAAGGAATAGCTTTCTCATATACAAAATAAAAACAAGATAGAAAAACATAATTAAAGGGAAGCACTTACTGACCATAGCCACAAAAAGGTGAAATACACAGAAATAAACTTAATAAGAAATGTAGAACACATAAATAAATTAAAATTGAGAATACTATGGAGGTACTCAAGAAGAATTAAATTTAAATGCATTCCCCCTTTTTGGACATGAAAACTTAATATCATTTTAATGTTTATTCTCTCCCAATAAATCTATATGTTTAATATGCTCCTCAATAATTACAGCAAGATGACTTTTAAATGAACTACACTGATTCTAATATTGATCATTACAAAAATTCTGAAAAACAGTGAAGTTATTGCTTTTTGAATGTACCCTCCAAGGGGATGAGTATTTAGTCCTACAAGATATTAAATGTATTGTTATAATATAGTAATTTCAAAGTTGATGCCAGCACTTACATAAGTAACGTATGATTTAATAAAACAGAGTAAAATGTTCAGAAAATAGCTCGGTAAGTTTGTGAATTTGGTATGTGTTAAAGGTGACATTGAAAAATTAGTGAAAAAACATGAATTATTCAGTAAATGATGCTAGAAAAACTGCATAGCCATCTGAAAAAAGAAATACTGGTTCCTACTATAATTTCATATGAAGCAAAGATTTTAGTGTAAAAGAATTATCCATAAAAGTATGAAAATAAAACATAGCAAACATTTAAAAAGTAATTTTGGAATAAAACATTTCTAAATGTCATACAAAGCCCAGAAGCCATAAAAAAAGATTCATAAACTTGACTAAAAATAGAACATTTGCATGGCAGAAATAACCATAAATAAAATACAAGGAATTTAGAAAAATGTTTATAATACATATCATAGGCGAAGGCTAATTTCTTTAATAAACACTTTCTATTCATCCATGAGAAAATAATAAATGATCCAATAGAAATAAAAGCAAAGGTCATAAATAGTTTAGAGAAAGAAATTACAACTGACTTTCAAACTGAAGAATAAATAACTTGGTACATTCAAAATGGAAGATAAATATAAATTAAAACCACAATTAGGTAAAAACGCTATTAGATTGGCAAAGATAAAATGTTAGATAATGGAAACTCGTATTTGTGTGTTACATGGGTCAATAATAGAACTAATAATGATATTTGACATGTTTTGAGTGTTTACTTTTTGTCAGGTACTGTTCTAAGAACTTTACATGTATTTATTAACTAATTCATCACAACAATCCTATCAAGCAAGAACAATTATTATTCCTATTTTCAGATGGCAAAATTGAGGTCTGGAAAGATAAGTAACTTGTTCAGTTACACAGAAAGTAGTTGGCAGGAGTAGAAAGTGAACACAGGAGATCAGCTAAAAGATATAAGAGCAGCTTATATTCAGCTGTGGTTGTTCTATAATAAAAAGTACAAATACAGTCCCTTTAATACTGAAATTCCACATTCAGAGTTTTATCTTATAGATTTACTCAGACATTTACAAAATGATGAATATACATTTATTGCAACCCTTTCTGCAATAGCAGTAGATTGGAAATCAAAGTTCATTACCAAGAACTGATTATCTATACTGTGGTACAGCCATACAATGCATCCTAAGCAGGTGAAACCAAATGAAAGTTTTCAGTTTCTTCATCTGTAAGTATATTATCATTTGTGTACCAAAAAAGTATCATTGTATACCCATTATTTATGTGGTATGTGTGTGTGTGTGTGTGTGTGTGTATGTGTGTGTGCTCACGTTATATTAACATATCTCTGAAAATGATACACAAGAAATTGGTAATAGCCATAGGTTGGTGCAACAGTACATTAAAAGTAATGGCAAAAACCGCAATTACTGTGGCACCAACCTAATAGCTGCCTTGGAGAGGAAAATTAAGGGTGGGAATGGGGGAAAAACTTACTTTATTCATTGTATATTCTTTAAGATATATTGTATATTCTTTAAGATTTCTTTATATTTTATACCATACGAATGTATTGTCCATTCAAAAATGAAATGCATTTATTAAATTTTTTATATAATTTTGTTTTTGGAAGTGGCTTCACCAATATTCTGAAACCCTTTCTCTACAGGCAGGTATCTATGTGCCCTTGTTTGGCAATAGCTATCTCTAATGACACCAGGTTTGAAGGGAATGTGTTGTATCTGCAAATGGTGTTGAGGCAGATCCAAGGTGGGCATCGTTGAGCTGGATTTCTTTCTGCTCACAGAAACATTTTCCACATTCTTAGAAGAGATATTTAAGTGCTGTTAGGATTGCCTTCCCTCTTCTCATCTGTCTCCACTGCCCTTATAAACACCAGAGCTTGAACCATCTATTTGTCTAAACTGTTATGCCTGGGTCTCCTGGACCCACATTCTCCAAACACCATTCTTATGCTCCATTCTGCACTTTGTCATTCACTGGTTTTGTTTTAATAGCCCAGAATCTTTGTTATCTCTTTCCTCAAAACTATAGTCCCCAAGCATAGAACATCAGAATGCTTAGAGATTACCTAAATCAAACCGTTTATTCCAAAGGGAAAGACATTAAGGCCCAGAGTTGGGAAGGGACTTTCCTTCTCAAACCTTCTTTGTTGCCCAGTGCTTGTGGCTTCTTGTCTGTCTACCCAGCTACTCTGCAGATGCTTCTGTCCTGGCTCCTTTCTGGATGACTTTGCTCTGCTAGATGGAACATAGAGGAGCTCCCAATCATTCTATATGGAACTTTTAAAAGTATTTTGTGGCATAGAGATATGATGAACTGAATAAGAAATTAAAATATAGCCAATGTTGCAAATAAAGGTTTATTTTCTTATTCAGTCTAATTTCAGTTGGTAGGGACTTTTTTGATTTATGTTCGTATTTGTTACCTTTGAGCAATAAAGAATAGCAGAGGTGTTCTGGAGAAATAGTTTTCCTCTGTGATCTTGCTATAAATGTCTCAATTGTAGTTCTTTTAGTATTTGTAATGAAGTGGAAGCTATGTTTTTGAGAAAAAGATGACAAGATTTTGGGCTATAAAAACATGAGATTTGACATTGGCATTGGTATGTCATTTGTGCAGATATAACATGTTTTCACATAAATTAGGACACATTCGAAGTAGCATGCTATATTCCAAGTAGCATTTGTCTTAGTCCGTTTGCTGTTGCTATAATGGAATACTCAGAGACTGGCTAGTTTATTTTTAAAAAGAAATTGATTTTGGCTCATGGTTCTGGAGGCTGAGAAGTTCAAGATTGGTGGCTGCATCTCCATATTGTAATATGTATAATGTATAATGTTCATAATGATGGATGAACCATCATAACCTGATGGAGAAGTGGACTGGGAAGTCTATATGTGCAAAAGGGGCAAAATACAAGGGGTGGCCTTGCTTTGTAACAATTCCCTCTCCTGGTAACTAATCTAGTCTGGAGAGAACTAAAACTCACTCACTTCCATAAGAATTAAACAAGTTCTGTGAGAGCAGCATTAATCCATTTTAATGACTTAATCACTTCTTATAGGCCCCATCTCACAGCATTACCACATCAGGGACCAAATTTTCAACACATAAATTCTAGGGGACACAGTAAAAACCATAGCAGCATGCTTCTTCTCTGTTCTTACTGCAAAAAATCCCACTCATTGCATTTAAAAATTCCCTGATGACTTCTGGCTCATTTAACATTTTTAAATAGTCAACTCCTTTTTAACTTAAGTTTAGCTGGTTGATCATGATTAACAGATAAGTAAATTTTTTAAGTTAATGAAAAAATGACTGCATCTTGTTATTGCCACACTGTGTTATGAATACACCAGTGTGATTAATGAAGCAAGTGCTATTTGTAACACTGAAGTACATGGGCAAATGGTATTATCTTTGGTCCTGACAATCAAATACTTATTCCACAAATCATCATTAAGGCCTCTTACGTGCAAGGCACTATAGAAGCTGCTAAATGCTTCTTTGCTACTCTACTCATAATCATTTTATAGCATATATTTTCTATTATTGACTAAAACTAACTTCAGATGAATTAAAGCGTAAAATTTTTTTAAGTTAATGAAGAAGAAAATATTGCTGGAAATAACTCCAAATAGGAAGCACGTTCAGTCATGAAAATGAATACTCAATAGTTGACCAAACTAAATTACTATACTTGAAAATAATTACCTTGAGCCAAATTAAAAGACAACAAATAAAAGTGGGGAAAAAGTCAAAACAAATGACTAGAAAAGATTTCATCAGAAGCTTATATTTAATAACAATTCTACTGCTGTTATCCAGAATGCTATAATATATGCCATTTCCAAATCAAGAGTAGTAAAAACGACCATTCCTAATAGTGATTACACTATTAGAATCTATGCAAGAAAAATAATTAGAGTAATTATTTGAAAATAAAACTATTTTTATGCAGTCCTCTACATGAAACTCTTAAATGGTTTCAGGATAAAGACCAAACTCCTTATTTTGGTTTATGAGGCCCTAAACATTATATCTGTTAAAAAATAAAAAATCCTATTAAATCTCATTTGTAGTCACTGTTTCCTAGCACCTTTTCTCCTACAGCATGTAGAAAGCCAAGCGTCTGTGTTCTCTCTTACCTCTGCCTTTGTTTCTGTGTCCAGAAAACCCCAATCCTTCTTGCCCTGTCCAGTCCAGGGCTAGAAAGAGCATCCTGTTGTTGCAAGTCCGCCAGTACCTCAAAACACTGGTTGGTTTTCTTCATTCTGTCCATACCTCTTTAATAGTTTCTTCACTAAAATTTCTTCAATTTCCAGGTGAGGTTGCCATACATTTCTTGCTAGGATTCTAAATGATACAACACTCAAAATTCAAAATTAAGAAGTGTTAATATTTTGTGTAATGTCTTATTTAAAAAGTTTTTAAATCAGTTTTATTAGATATGATTTATACATAATCAGATGCACCCATTTTGATCATATAATTTGATGAATTTTGGCAAATGTACATGCCTGTCTAACCACCACTACAATTAAGAAAAAAACACATGTCCATTAACCCCCAAAAAGTTTCCTGCGTCTTTCCTCTGTCAAGTTCCCATTCCTATCCCCAGGTAAAATCTAATCTGCTTTCTGTAACTACAGGTTAGATTTGTGTTCTAGAGTTTCATCTCAATGGAATCATATAATAGGTCCTCATTGGTGTTTACTTCTTTTGCTCAGCATAATATTTTAGAGTTTTATCCATATTGTAGCATTAATCAGTAAATCATTTTTATTGCCAAGTAGTCTTCAGTTGTATAGATAAATTACAATTTGTTTACTCATTTTCCTGCTGATGTACACTTTGGTTGTTTTAAGGTTTGGACTATTATAAATAAAGCTATCATAAACATTCATGTACAAGTCTTTGTGTGGATATATATTTTTTATTTGCGGGGATAAACACCTAGGAGAAAAATTAATGTGTCGTATGTCCTCTTTACAAGGAAATGTCATATTTCTCTTCAAAGGAGAGTATCCTTTTATGTTCACACCAGCAATATACCAGATTTCTAGCTCCTTCATGTTCTCACCTAGCACTTATTTTCATTTTTAAAAATTTAGCAATTTTAATCGATTGGTGGCATTTCATTGTGGTTTAATATGCACGTCCCTGATTACTAATAATGTTGAGCATTTTATCATGTGTTTAGTTATCCTTTTGCCCATTTTTTTAAACTGGCTTTTGTTATTATTTAAGACATATATTCTGTATTCAAGTTCTCTGTCAGATATAAGCATTACAAATATTTTCTCTCAGTCCCCTGCCTTTTTATTTTCTTAGTAATGATTACAATGAGCAGATATTTTAAATTTCGATGACATCCAACTCAATATTTTTTTCTCTTACGGTTTGTGATTTTTGTGTCCTAAGAAATCTTTGCTTCCCTATATTTTCTTCTGGAAAGTTATTTTACCTTTGAAGCAACAAACCTTGTGTTGAATGTTCCCAACACAAAGAGATGATGAATGTTTGAAGTGATGGATATGCTAATCACCCTGATTTAATCATTACACATTGTATGTACGTTTCAAAATATCATACTGAATCACACTATACCACATAAATATGTACAATTATTATGTGTCAATTAAGAATGATAGTAAAAGCAAAAATCTTACTCCATTTAATACAAGAGGATGGCAGTTGAGTCCAGGAACAGAGGTGATAAAGACACAGAAGTTCTGTAAAGAGGGAAAATAAGGAAGGAGGAAGGGCTGCCTGAAACCAGCTTTTCTGTATAAGCTTTGTCTACATAGAGAAATCATATGAAATCAAGTGATTATTGCCAGTAGGTTTGATACTCAACTGCTTCTCATCCCTATGAAACTTGATGGTGATGAGATGTTTTGTATTACTTTCCAGTAGCAGCACACCAGAGACTCTAAAAATGACCAACTATAGATGGACTTGGAATTGTGGATGATTTATTTTGAGGTAGAAATAAATGAGAAGTACCAGTACCATGTGTCAAGAAAAGAGGGGGAAATCATAAATCAAAAGTTACACACCATTAAATTAACTTTTAGACTTGAACCATTTGTTAACCATGAGTTTCAGGAGAGAAGAAAGTGGAGAAGCACAGATGAAGCACAAGTGCACAGAAATTAATTTATTGGGGAATGTGAGGCTAAAATCTCTTTGTATTTCAGTGTGACACCAACATGGGAAGTTTAGGAAACTTTTCAAGACTTTCTTTTGGAGCAGGAACACCTTATCCTCAACAGTCTTTGCAGTTCTGACTCTGAAAGTTGATGTTAGATTTTCATAGCTAATGTCTGCTGATTATATTTCCTATTGTGTCCACTTCCTTCCCCAGGGCTCCCTAACAGGTGTCTAGCTTGTTTACTGAAGATTCTCACAGCCTTTTGACAACATTCTTAGAGTTGAATTATTTTGCCATTTTGCTCCTTAAACATAGAATGGATGGTGTTCGCATCACAGTAATCCTCTAAACTCTTGCGTTCCCCTAATATTCCCCCCAGTAAAACTTATTTTAGGTAAAGAAATATAGCTTTTCTGTTATTAAAAACTTAAGAATAATTCTATTTTCTGCATGATGCCCTTATGTTATGGGATATTTATTAGCCAGGCTCTCTGTACAGGATATTTTTATATTCCAAACTAGAATAAACCCTCTTCTATTCAGAATTTTTAAAATTAAGAATTTGTGATTATTTAGAAGGGGCTAACATTTGTTTTGAAGGCAGGGTTTTGTCTATTTTATTCATTGCAAAATGAATATCTGAATATAAACATACAATTTTTGAAGTCTTAGCATTCATTATATACAACAAAATTCTTCAACCCACATGGCATCATAAAGGTCAAATATGAAGTATTTATGTTGCCTTTCACCCAACAAATTCAGTAGATAATATATCTTTCTGATAATAATACATCCCCGAAAACTGCAGTACAGTTTAAAAGAAACAAAATGAAATAGATGTTTATGTTAGTTGCAGTTTTCTTCTTTGTATTTTTCTATGTTCTAAATTTTCTGGAAGGAAAATGTGTTATTTTATTTTATTTTATTTATTATACTTTAAGTTCTAGGGTACATGTACACAATGTGCAGGTTTGTTACATATGTATGCATGTGCCATGTTGGTGTGCTGCACCCATTAACTTGTCATTTACATTAGGTATTTCTCCTAATGTTATCCCTCCCCCATCCCTCCACCCCACATCAGGCCCTGGTGTGTGATGTTCCCCAACCTGTGTCCAAATGTTCTCATTGTTCAATTCCCACCTATGAGTGAGAACATGCAGTGCTTGGTTTTCTGTCCTTAAGACAGTTTGCTCAGAATGATGGTTTCCAGCTTCATCCATGTCCCTACAAAGGACATGAACTCATCCTTTTTTATGGCTGCATAGTATTCCATGGTGTATATGTGCCACATTTTCTTAATCCAGTCTATCATTGTTGGACATTTGAATTGGTTCCAAGTCTTTGCTATTGTGAATAGTGCTGCAATAAACATACGTGTGCATGTGTCTTTATAGCAGCATGATTTATAATCCTTTGGGTATATACCCAGTAATGGGATGGCTGGGTCAAATGGTATCTCTAGTTCTAGATCCCTGAGGAATCGCCACACTGTCTTCCACAATGGTTGAACTAGTTTACAGTCCCACCAACAGTGTCAAAGTGTTCCTATTTCTCCACATCCTCTCCAGCACCTGTTGTTTCCTGACTTTTTAGTGATCACCATTCTAACTGGTGTGAGATGGTATCTCATTGCGATTTTGATTTGCATTTCTCTGATGGCCAGTGATGATGAGCATTTTTTCATGTGTCTGTTGGCTGCATAAATGTCTTCTTTTTGAGAAGTGTCTGTTCATATCCTTTGCCCACTTTTTGATGGGGTTGTTTGATTTTTTTTCTTGTAAATTTATTTCTTTGTAGACGACGGATATTAGCCCTTTGTCAGATGAGTAGATTGCAAAAATTTTCTCCCATTCTGTAGGTTGCCTATTCACTCTGATGGTAGTTTCTTCTGCTGTGCAGAAGCTCTTTAGTTTAATTACATCCCATTTGTTTATTTTGGCTTCTGTTGCCATTGCTTTTGGTGTTTTAGTCATGAAGTCCTTGCCCATGCCTATGTCCTGAATGGTATTGCCTAGGCTTTCTTCTAGAATTTTTAGGTTTTGGGTCTAACATTTAAGTCTTTAATCCATCTTGAATTAATTTTTGTATAAGGTGTAAGGAAGGGATCGAGTTTCAGCTTTCTACATATGGCTACCCAAGTTTTCCCAGCACCATTTATTAAATAGGGAATCTTTTCCCCATTTCTTGTTTTTGTCAGGTTTGTCAAAGATCAGATAGTTGTAGATGTGTGGTATTATTTCTGAGGGCTCTGTTCTGTTCCATTGGTCTATATCTCTGTTTTCGTACCAGTACCATGCTGTTTTGGTTACTGTAGCCTTGTAGTATAGTTTGAAGTCAGGTAGCATGATGCCTCCAGCTTTGTTCTTTTTGCTTAAGATTGTCTTGGCAATGTGGGCTCTTTTTTGGTTCCATATGAACTTTAAAGTAGTTTTTTCCAATTCTGTGAAGGAAGTCATTGGTAGCTTGATGGGGATGGCATTGAATCTGTAAATTACCTTGGGCAGTATGGCCATTTTCAAGATATTGATTCTTCCTATCCTTGAGCATGGAATGTTCTTCCATTTGTTTGTGTCCTCTTTTATTTCATTAAGCAGTGGTTTGCAGTTCTCCTTGAAGAGGCCCTTCACATCCCTTGTAAGTTGGATTCCTAGGTATTTTATTCTCTTTGAAGCAATTATGAATGGGAGTTCACTCATGATTTGGCTCTCTGTTTGTCTATGATTGGTGTATAGGAATGCTTGTGATTTTTGCACATTGATTTTGTATCCTGAGACTTTGCTGAAGTTGCTTATCAGCTTAAGGAGATTTTGGGCTGAGACCATGGGGTTTTCTAAATATACAATCATGTCATCTGCAAACCTGACAATTTGATTTCCTCTTTTCCTAATTGAATACCCTTTATTTCTTTCTTCTGCCTGATTGCCCTGGCCAGAACTTCCAACACTATGTTGAATAGGAGTGGTGAGGGAGGGCATCCCTGTCTTGTGCCAGTTTTCAAAGGGAATGCTTCCAGTTTTTGCCCATTCAGTATGACATTGGCTGTGGGTTTATCATAAATAGCTCTTATTATTTTGAGATATATCCCATCAATACCTAGTTTATTAAGGGTTTTTAGCATGAAGGACTGTTGAATTTTGTCAAAGGCCTTTTCTGCCTCTATTGAGATAATCATGTGTTTTTTGTCTTTAGTTCTGTTTATATGATGGATTACGTTTATTGATTCGCATACGTTGAACCAGCCTTGCATCCCAGGGATGAAGCCAACTTGATCATGGCGGATAAGCTTTTTGATGTGCTGCTGGGTTTGGTTTGCCAGTATTTTATTGAGGCTTTTTGCATTGATGTTCATCAGGGATATTGGTCTAAAATTCTCTTTTTTTGTTGTGTCTCTGCCAGGCTTTGGTATCAGGATGATGCTGGCCTCATAAAATGAGTTAGGGAGGATTCCCTCTTTTTCTACTGATTGGAATAGTTTCAGAAGGAATGGTACCAGCTCCTCTTTGTACCTCTGATAGAATTCGGCTGTGAATCTGTCTGGTCCCGGTCTTTTTTTGGTTGGTGGACTATTAATTATTGCCTCAATTTCAGAGCCTGTTATTGGTCTATTCAGAGATTCAACTTCTTCCTGGTTTAGTCTTGGGAGGGTGTATGTGTCGAGGAATTTATCCATTTCTTCTAGATTTTCTAGTTTATTTGCATAGAGGTGTTTATAGAATTTTCTGATGGTAGTTTGTATTTCTGTGGGATCGGTGGTGATAACCTCTTTATCATTTTTTATTGCATCTATTTGATTCTTCTCTCTTTTCTTCTTTATTAGTCTTGCTAGCAGTCTATCAATTTCATTGATCTTTTCAAAAAACCATCTCCTGGATTCATTGATTTTTTGGAGGGTTTTTTGTGTCTCTATCTCCTTCAGTTCTGCTCTGATCTTAGTTATTTCTTTCCTTCTGCTAGCTTTTGAATGTGTTCACTCTTGCTTCTCTAGTTCTTTTAATTGTGATGTTAGGGTGTCAATTTTAGATCTTTCCTGCTTTCTCTTGTGGGCATTTAGTGCTATAAATTTCCCTCTACACACTGCTTTAAATGTGTCCCAGAGATTGTGGTACGTTGTGTCTTTGTTCTCATTGGTTTCAAAGAACATCTTTATTTCTGCCTTCATTTCGTTATGTACCCAGTAGTCATTCAGGAGTAGGTTGTTCAGTTTCCATGTAGTTGAGCAGTTTTGAGTGAGTTTCTTAATCCTGAGTTCTAATTTGATTGCACTGTGGTCTGGGAGACAGTTTGTTATAATCTCTGCTCTTTACATTTGCTGAGGAGTGCTTTACTTTCAATTATGTGGTCAATTTTGGAATAAGTGCAATGTGGTGCTGAGAAGAATGTATATTCTGTTGACTTGGGGTGGAGAGTTCTGTAGAAGTCTATTAGGTCTGCTTTGTGAAGAGCTGAGTTCAATTCCTGGATATCCTTGTTAACTTTCTGTCTCGTGGATCTGTCTAATGTTGACAATGGGGTGTTAAAGTCTCCCATTATTATTGTGTGGGAGTCTAAGTCTCTTTGTAGGTCTCTAAGGACTTGCTTTATGAATCTGGGTGCTCCTGTATTGGGTGCATATATATTTAGGATAGTTAGCTCTTCTTGTTGAATTGATCCCTTTACCATTATGTAATGGCCTTCTTTGTCTCTTTTGATCTTTGTTGGTTTAAAGTCTGTTTTATCAGAGACTAGGATTGCAACCTACCCTTTTTTTTTGTTTTCCATTTGCTTGGTAGATCTTCCTCCATCTCTTTATTTTGAGCCTATGTGTGTCTCTGCACGTGAGATGGATCTCCTGAATACAGCACATTGATGGGTCTTGACTCTTTATCCAATTTGCCAGTCTTTGTTTTTAATTGGAGTATTTAGCCCATTTACATTTAAGGTTAATATTGTTATGTGTGAATTTGATCCTGTCATTATTATGTTAGCTGGTTATTTTGCTCGTTAGTTGATGCAGTTTCTTCCTAGTCTTGATAATCTTTACATTTTGGCATGTTTTTGCAGTGGCTGGTACCAGTTCTTCCTTTCCATGTTTAGTGCTTCCTTCAGGAGCTCTTTTAGGGCAGGCCTGGTGGTGACAAAATCTCTCAGCATTTGCTTGTCTGTAAAGTATTTTATTTCTCCTTCACTTATGAAGCTTAGTTTGGCTGGATATGAAATTCTGGGTTGAAAATTCTTTTCTTTAAGAATGTTGAATATTGGCCCCCACTCTCTTCTGACTTGTAGAGTTTCTGCCGAGAGATCAGCTGTTAGTCTGATGGGCTTCCCTTTGTGGGTAACCCAACCTTTCTCTCTGGCTGCCCTGAACATTTTTTCCTTCATTTCAACCTTGGTGAATCTGACAATTACGTGTCTTGGGATTGCTCTTCTCGAGGAGTATCTTTGTGGCATTCTCTGTATTTCCTGGATTTGAACGTTGGCCTGCCTTGCTAGATTGGGGAAGTTCTCCTGGATAACATCCTGTAGAGTGTTTCCAACTTGGTTCCATTCTCCTCATCACTTTTAGGTACACCCATCAGACATAGATTTGGTGTTTTCACATAGTCCCATATTTCTTGGAGGCTTTGCTCGTTTCTTTTAATTCTTTTTTCTCTAAACTTCTATTCTCACTTCATTTCATTCATTTGATCTTCAATCACTGATGCCCTATCTTCCACTTGATTGAATCGGCTGCTGAACATTGTGCATGCATCACGTAGTTCTCATGCCATGGTTTTCAGCTCCATCAGGTCATTTAAGGTCTTCTCTATGCTGTTTATTCTAGCCATTCATGTAATCTTTTTTCAAGGTTTTTAGCACCTTTGTGATGGGTTCAAACATCCTCCTTTAGCTTGGAGAAGTTTGTTATTACTGATCTTTTGAAGCCTACTTCTGTCAACTCATCAAAGTCATTCTCCATCCAGCTTCGTTCCGTTGCTGGTGAGGAGCTGCATTCCCTTGGAGGAGAAGAAGCACTCTGATTTTTAGAATTTTCAGCTTTTCTGCTCTGGTTTCTCCCCATCTTTGTGGTTTTATCTACCTTTGGTCTTTGATGCTGGTGACCTACAGATGGGGTTTTGATGTGGATGTCTTTTTTGTTGATGTTGATCCTATTCCTTTCTGTTTGTTAGTTTTCCTTCTAACAGTCAGGACCCTCAGCTGCAGGTCTGTTGGAGTTCGCTGGAGGTCCACTGCAGACCCTGTTTGCCTGGGTATCACCAGCGGAGGCTGCAGCAAATATTGCAGAACAGCAAATGTTGCCGCCTGATCCTTCCTCTGGAAGCTTCATCTCAGAAGAGCACCTGGCTGTATGAGGTGTTAGTCGGCCCCTACTGGGAGGTATCTCCCAGTTAGGCTACTCGGGGGTGAGGGACTCACTTGAGAAAGCAGTCTGTCCATTCTCAGATCTCAAACTCCGTGCTGGGAGAACCTCTACTCTCTTCAAAGCTGTCAGATAGGGACATTTAATCTGCAGAGGTTTCTGCTGCCTTTTGTTCAGCTATGCCCTGCCACCAGAGGTGGAATCTACAGAAGCAGGCAGGCCTCCTTGAGCTGCAGTGGGCTCCACCCAGTTCAAGATTCCTGGCTGTTTTGTTTACCTACTCAAGCCTCAGCAATGGCAGGCGCCCCTCCCCCAGCCTCGCTGCCGCCTTGCAGTTCGATCTCGGACTGCTGTGCTAGCAGTGAGCCAGGCTCTGTGGGCATGGAACCCTCCAAGCCAGGTGTGGGGTATAATCTCCTGGTGTGCCGTTTGCTAAGACTGTTGGAAAAGTGCAGTATTAGGGTGGGAGTGTCCCGATTTTCCAGGTACCATGTGTCACGGCTTCCCTTGGCTAGGACAGGGAGTTCCCCGACCCCTTGTGCTTCCTGAGTGAGGCGATACCCTGCCCTGCTTCAGCTCATGCTCGCATGGGCTGCACCCACTGTCCAACAAGTCCCAGTGAGATGAACCTCAGTTGGAAATGCAGAAATCACCCATCTTCTGCATTGCTCACGCTGGGAGCTGTAGACTGTAGCTGTTCCTATTCAGCCATCTTTGAAAGTGTGTTATTTTATAATCAGAAAAAATAATCAATACTATTTTTAAAGAATGTAGTGGATGAGATCATTTGCAAATGTATACCTGAGGAAATTTTGAGGACATCAAGGTCAGTCAAGGTGATTGGGAGTTAATACCAGAGAGAAAAATGCTGTCCTTGGAAATATGACACTTCTATCAGGGACTGAATTATGTCCTTCCCCACAAATTCCTATGTTGAAGCCCTAACCTCCAATGTGATGTATTTGGATTTGGGGATTTGAGAAGGCAATTAGATTTGGATGAGGTCATGAGGGTAGGGCCCTCATGATGTGATTAGAGTGCCCTTACAAGAAGGGACACCAGAGAGATTGCTTGCTCTCTCTCTCAGTGTCATGTGATGACACAGTGAGAAGATGGCCACTGGCAAGCCAGGAAGACAGACTTTGCTAGAGCCCAACAATGCTGGCATCCTGATGTTGAACTTCCACCCTTTAATAGAAATAAGTTTCTGCTGTGTAAGCCACCCAGTGTATGGTATTTTGTTAGAGCAGCCCAAGCTGACTGACATAGATTAAGCGGACTGAGATCCGAACTGTTGTGTGGCAAGTAGTTTTCTGAAAACCTTCATATCTTGAAAAAAAGAATATAGAATCAATATTGTTGAGATATGTTTAACCTTGATAAAGAAACTACACCCTTCAGTCACATTCAAAGCACTTAGTGGTTAAGAATAAATTAGTACTATCTATTAAGTGTGCCTAATGGGAGTTCAAGCATTTTTCCAATTCAGTCAGCCCCGAGATAGTGTTGGTGCTTATTGCTGTTGTATCAGAGGAAGCTATTTTAGGGAACACTTTTTTGAGAAGTGTGAGGTTTAAGCGCTTCTACATGTTGCAATAAGAATAAAAGGATAACTGGTGATGTTCATGTAGAATATCTCCAGAGCTTTATTGAAGCCGTGTGTATGTCTAATGAACACAGTATACTAAAGTACCTAAGGAGGACTGGTCATCTTTAGAAACAAGAGTAGGATGTCATGCTGAGATAACAAAGTAGTAGCTTGCTTTCTTAGGTACCATAGTAGAGTGTTAAGGCACTAACTCATTGCCAAAGTTATAAAGGACCAGTAATTTCCTTATCACTGGATGTTCAATGGGTGAGAAGTAGTTTTCCTTCAAGATGGATAATATCTAAGAAATTTCATAAACCATCATGAGTAAAATTATACCTGCCAATTGTGTGGCATTTATCTTTATCTACTACTGTACATTTCCACAGGTAAATGTGGTATAAGACTCAAAATTAATATTTTATACTGCCTTGACCACTGATGAAATTGGGAGAGCCTCAAATTGCCTAATCACAAGTTTCCCCCCACCACTGTGATCCTGTGCATAAAGTCTTCTAACCAAACAACTCACCATATCAAAAAGACCAAATGCAGTTCCTGCTTATGCTTGAGTAGTGGGCTTCATTTCCCTGGCAGCCCACAGTATTTAAACAAGCCAATCACATTCTTCTTTGGGAACCAGGGGGCCCTCACCTTCTTGATACTCCAAAACCTGCCTCCCACAGCCCCTGATTGTTCACTCTGTCCTTGAGTGCAACTGGAGATATAGAGATACAGATATAGATATGAATAGATATAGACTATTCATTCTTAGGAATATAATAAGCAACACGTGTTTTAAAGGAACATTTTTGGTGAAACCAATTTCCGTAGATGTATAACTAATAAATCCTAGGTATTTAGTGAGTAATTACAGATTTAGAGATGGAAAATTTTTCAAAGTAATAATAAGAATCTGGCATAAGAAAGTTCTGCATCTGCTTAGAATATTTTGATGGATATGCAGAAAAGGAATAGGAAAAAGTAGACAGTGAACAAAAAGGAAAAATTCAGAGACCTAGTGTGTTAGTCAGGGTTCTTTTAGAGGGACAGAACTAATAGGATGGATAGATAGATAGATAGATAGTAGATAGATGATAGATAGATAGATAGATAGATAGATAGATAGATAGATAGATAGAGATAGATGATAGATAGATAAATGGGAGCTTATTAAATATTAACTGACATGATCACAAGGCTCCACAACAGGCTGTGTGCAAGCTGAGGAGCAAGGAGAGCCAGTCCAAGTCCCAAAACTGAAGAACTTGGAGTCTGATGTTCAAAGGCAGGAAGCATCCAGCACAGAAGAAAGATGTAGGCAGGGAGGCTAGGCCTATCTCTCTTTTTCACATCTTTTTCTGCCTGCTTTATATTCCCTGGAAACTGATTAGATTGTGCCCACCAGATTAAGGGTGGATCTACCTTCTCCAGCCCACTGACTCAAAGGTCAATCTCTTGGCAACAGCCTCACAGACACACCCAGGATAAATACTTTGCATCCTTTAATCCAATCAAGTTGACACTCAATATTTACCATCACAAGTCCACCCCTTGTCAACTTGAACCCATACACATCTCCTGAGATTATACATAATCTTCAAATAAAGATAATAATGAGGTCATAATTAGGCGGGACACAGTGGTTCACGCCTGTAATCCCAGCACTTTGGGAGGCTGAGGCGGGTGGATCATGAGGTCAAGAGATCAAGACCATCCTGACCAACATGGTGAAACCCCGTCTCTACTAAAAATTAGCAGGGCATGGTGGCGCACGCCTGTAGTCCCAGCTACTCAGGAGGCTGAGGCAGGAGAATTGTTTGAACTTGGGAGGCAGAGGTTCCAGTGAGCCGAGATCGCACCACTGCACTCCAGCCTGGGTGACAGAATGAGACTCTGTCTAAAAAAAAAAAAAAAAAAATTAGGTCATAATTACACCTAACATAAAACAACTATCCTTTGTACAACCAGAAACGCACCAATCCCCAACCCAAATACTATTACATAAAGTTAACAATATTTAAATGCTGGTCTGAAGTCAATAAATTTTATGTCAGGAAATAAAATGAAGGCATTTTCTTAGTACAAGGGTATGCATGCACGAACATGTTTTTAATAAAAGAAGGAGGAAATACTCATGACAGTTATAGTCCTTGTTTCTGTAGCTGGTCATGTGGTCATAGCTCATATTGATGACTATCACCTTCTACTACCCATTCTGTATTCCCTTTGCCTTCAGCAAGCACCTCAGCAGGTCGTGGATTTTTCCTGGTGAAGTGAAAAACCTTCATTCCTGAAGGGTCTGGGTCATTTGTAGTCCTGCCTGGATTGGGCTGTTGTAGTTTCCCATTGGCCTTAATCACAGGGCATGGTAATACTAAGTGATGCCCTAATGGATCTCCTATATTCCATGAGCATTCTTCCTTACCTCCATTGTGGAGTAGTAGACAGATTTCATCTTGATAGTCTGGGTCAGTCACCCCAGACAACACTGTAACTCCCTTCTTAACCTGTTGACTTAGTAGGAGGAGCCCAAAGTGTCCAGGTGGCAATCTTAACTTCCAGTTTAATGGAATCGTTGTGTCTCCTGGTGGCAGCGTTCCTTCCTCTGGAACTAAGACCTCTAGGCCAGCAGAACGTAATGTCGCGAAAACAGGAAGCAAAAATTTTGCTAGTGGATCCCTAGGGGTGATGGTGAGTGATAACACTTCCACTTCCACCCCTTGATTCCTGGACCCATGAATCTTGGCTATGGGAGAAACAGTACCATATATCGGATGCTGATTCAGAGCATACATGCCCTTCTGGAGAACTTTGCCCCAGCCCTACAAAGTATTGTCACGTAGTTGGCACTGTAATTGTGACTTTGAAAGGCCATTCCACCATTCTATCAATCCAGCTGCTTCAGGATGATGGGGAACATGGTAAGATCAGTGAATTCCATGAGCATGAGCCCACTGCCGCACTTCTTTAGCCACAAAGTGAGGGCATTGGTCAGAGGCCATGCTGTGTGGAATACCATGACGGTGGATAAGGCATTCCGTAAGTCCTCAGATGGTAGTCTTGGCAGAAGCATTGTGTGCGGGATAGGCAAACCCATATCTGGAGTAGGTGTCTATTCCAGTGAGGACAAACCTCTGTCCTTTCCATGATGGAGGAGGTCTGATATAATCACCCTGCCACCAGGTAGCTGGTTGATCACCCCGAGGAATGGTGCCATATCGAGGGCCCAGTGTTAGTCTCTGCTGTTGGCAAATTGGGCACTCAGCAGTGCCTGTAGCTGGGTCAGCTTTGGTGAGTAGAAGTCCATGTTGCTGAGCCCATGTGTAACCTCCATCCCTGCCACCACGGACACTTTGTTCATGGGCTCATTTGGGCAATGACAGGGATGGCTGGGGAAAGAGGCTGAGTGGTGTCCACAGAACAGGTCATCCTATCTGCTTGATTATTAAACTCTTCCTCTGATCAGGTCACCCACTGGTGAGCACTTACATGGAATACAAATATCTTTACAGTTTTTGACCACTCAGAGAGGTCCATCCACATACCTTTTCCCCAAATTCCTTTGTCACCAATTTTCCAATCATGCTTCTTCCAAGTCCCTGACCATCCAGCCAAACCATTGGCTACAGCCCACGTATCAGTATATAATCGCACATCTGGCTATTTCTCCTTGCATACAAAGTGCACAACCAGGTGCAGTGATAAAATTTCTGCCCACTGGAAAGATTTTCCTTCACCGCTGTCCTTCAGGGATGTCCTAGAAAGGGACTGTAGTGCTGCAGCTGTCCACTTTTGGGTGATGCCTGCCTATCGTGTGGAACCATCTGTGAACCAGGCCCTAGTCTTCTCTTCCTCTGTCAACTGATCATAGGGACCTCCCCATGAGGCCATCAGTGCAGGCTGGGGGAGAGAAGACAGGGTGGCAGGAGTGGAGACCATGGGCATTTGAGCCACTTCCTCATGTAACTTACTTGTGCCTTCAGGACCTGCTCGAGCCCAATCATGTACATACCACTTCCATTTGATGATGGAATGCTGCTGTGCATGACCCACTTTATGGCTAGATGGGTCAGAAAGCACCCAGTTCATGATAGGCAGTTCAGGTTGCATGTGACTTGATGACCCATAGTCAAACGTTCAGTTTCCACCAAAGCCCAGTAACAGGCCAAGAGCTGTCTCTCGAAAGGGGAGTAGTTAACTGCAGAAGATGGCAGGGCCTTGCTCCAAAATCCTAGAGGCCTCCGCTGTGATTTACCTATAGAAGCCTGCCAAAGGCTCCAAACAACATCCCTATCTGCCACTGACCTCAAGCACCATTGGATCTTCTGGGTCATATGGCCCAAGTGGCAGAGCAGCTTGCACAGCAGCCTGGACCTGTTGCAGAGCCTTCTCCTGTTCTGGACCCCGCTCGACACTGGCAGCCTTTCAGGTTACTTGATAAATAGGCCACAGTAACCCACCCAAACTCCTTGCCTCTCACGAGTGGTGAATCAGGAGTGTCAAATGCATTAATTTGCAGAACTCTCTAAACAGTTCACACCAAGGACTATCAGTGTTCTCCATACTACTAAAAGTAGAGTCCTTAGATTTTGGGGTCTAATCATATTAAGCAGCCAACTCCAGAAACCCCAAAACTAACTAAAGAACTCCATCCTTAATATTCTGTTCCTCTAGAACAACTCCTGGTACCAATATCTGTATTAGTCAGGGTTCTTTTAGAGGGACAGAACTAATAGGATACATATATACATATATATAAAGGGGAGTTCCTTAAGTATTAACTTACATGATAACAAGGTCCCACAATAGGCTTTGCAAGCTGAGGAACAAGGAGAGCTGGTCTGAGTCTCAAAACTGAAGAACTTGGGGTCTGATGTTTGAGGGCAGGAAGCATCCAGTTTTTTTCTACCTGCTTTATATTCACTGGAAGCTTATTAGATTGTGCCTACCAGATTAAGGGTGGATCTGCCTTCCCCAGCCCTGTTAATCTCTTTTGGCAACACCCACACAGACACACCCAGGGTTAATATTTTGTATCCCTCAATCCAATCAAGTTGACATTCTATTAACCATCACACCCAGAATAGATTCTGTTTTTCTAGCTCTGATTGATTCATTGAGAAAAAAAGTAAATTGTTTTTGAAAAAATAAACATCTCAATTCTATAGTACTATTTTTATACACATTTGCTTATTTGGTAATTTAGCCTGCATTTTTTTCTTGTTTCATGGAAGTCATAAAATTGTTCTTAACTGCCTCTTTTATTGACTTCATACAGTGTTGGTGTCATAGTAGGTTTATCCTATCTACCTTTTGTAGCCATGATTCTTGTGCTCAGAGCGGACAAATCAGGATAGTGGTTTATCCCCTATACAATGTTGCTTCAGAAAGTTAATTTTTCTAAGTGTGTATCACATTTTTGAGAAAGTACATATAAGGTAATAAATAAAAAATTAGGCCAGAAAGAATGAGAATCAATGGACGAGTCTATAAAATACATAATATAATCTATTGCCACTCCATTCTTTATTCATTTTTGTGGCAACTTTTTCTGTGAACATTTTCATGAATTCTCCAAAATAACTATTTCATGGAATGTTCCTCAATACCATAGCTTCTTTATCAATGCCTGGGAAAAATAGAAAATCCAGATTTATGTTAAGACATTTAGTTGACAAAAAATACTTTAGAGCATATATCCAATGTTAAAAAATTTAGTTGTCAAAAAATTTAGTTGACATTTAGTTGACAAAAAATACTTTAGAACATATATCCAATGTTAAGTTTGGGGACTGCATTTAGAATAAATATTCAGCAGAATTAAAAACTCATTCGTTATACTCACATGCAAAACCTGGAATTGAGTGCTATTTCATGAATTAGGATTACCCAGACCTGTATCCACTGATTGTCAATCTCTTGGCCAGTCTTCTGCGGCTTTATCTGTAAATGATTTCTGATGTCTGCTTCTGTGGATTTATAAAGTGTGCTGTCATTGGTCTCTTTACCTATGTTAAAACAAGCAAAACAATGTAATTAACTTTAATTGATTTGTTGAAAAGGATGGGTGGGGACTTACACTATCCATTCGTTTCCCTGAAGGTGTCCCTCTTTCCCTTCCCCTTGCTGTTCAGAAGGTAAACTTGAGGTCTGTTGGGTGCTATGTTTTCCTTGTTATTTATCTAAAGATCTTTCTGTTCTTTTACTCCTTGAAGCTGGCAAATCTTTATGATTGATTTCTTTCTATCACCAGGTAACTTTTTTTTTTTTTTGTATGTGGGGCTGGAATCAAACACTGGGAACTCTGAATGTGTTTGCTCTAGAAAAAGACTTGAAGTTAGTGAAAGTGCATCTTAGAGAACATGTTGTAGGGGCCAAGTGAATGTCAATTAAAGTTCACTACAGAATTTCTGACTTCAAAAATGATTTTCAAATTTGCAGATGTGCTCTTGTATTTCAAAACTTTTTCTTAGTCACTGAACCCTGTTTCTGTTCCTCTGAATGAAGGATCACACAAAGAGCATAGTGACATGTCATGGTAGATCAGCTCACACAGGATAGGGACTGTGTTTCACTTGTGTGATTTCTCATCCAGCACACAGGTGCACTAGTTGGGCACAGAGTTAGTGCTCTTTGAAAAGATGTGAGGACAACAAAACCTGCTTATCACCTACGCAGCCTCTGGGACTTTGGCAGGTGATAGTAATAAATAGCAATACAAGAGAAAAAAGTTTTGATGATTAAAGCTCTCAGCTAGTAAATTTTTTCCCTTTTGTGTCTTTTTTTTAAAAAAATTCACATTTCTTTTTGGTAAAGAAATTTACTTCAAAGAACACTGCTGTGTAAAAGTTTCCTTGGTTCTTGATATGCTGCCTCTCATCCCCAGGGGGAAATTGCAGGCCCACATTCCATTTTCCTTCAATTGCACCTTTTTGCTTGTTGCCTGTGAATATCCTAGAAAGTGTGCGCCTCATTTGCCGCATGTGGTTCCTCTAGACTGTTCAGTCACAGAGAAACTGACTGGAGCTTCAATAATGCCATGGCATCCTTCCTTCCTTTTCTCTTTGCCTATCTGAAGTCCACCTAGTCTTCAAGGTCAGGTTCAAATCTCATTCTCTTCGTCCACAAAACCTACAGTGATTTCCTTTATTCTCTGAACTGATAACATCTGTGCCTATGCTCTCCTTCCACTGTTAATTTCTTATCCCACTATGACCCTTTTGTGTTGTTCAATTTTAATGTTTCCTTGATGAATAAAATATAGTATGCAATAGTTCCCAACTTTGTTATAAATCCTTTAAAAGGATACATAATGATTTACATGATTTCATGTCTATTACAATTTTTTTAACTTTTAATTTTTGTAGGTATACAGTAGGTATGTATATTTATGTGGTAAATGAGATGTTTTGATACAGGCATGCAATGCATAGTAATCACATCATGTAAAATGTGGTATCCACCCCCTCAAGAATGTATCCTTTGTGTTACAAACAATCCAGTTATACTCTTTTAGTTATTCTAAAGTGCACAATTAAATTATTTTTTACCATAGTCGCCTTGCTGTGCTGGCAAATACTAGGCCTTATTTATTATTTCTGTTTTTTGTACCTGTTAACCATCCCTACCCTTCCCACCACGAACCACCCCCTGCCCAGTACCCTTTCTAGTCCCTGGAAGCCATCCTTCTAATCTCTATCTTCATGAGTTCCGTTGTTTCAATGTTTGGCTCCCACAAATAAGTGAGAACATGTGAAGTTTGTCTGTCTATGCCTGCCTTATTTCACTTAATACAATGACCTTTAGTTCCATCCATGTTGTTGCAAATGACAGGACTCTTTTCTTTTTTATGGCTGAAAAATACTCCATTATATATATGTACTACATTTTCTTTATCCATTCTTCCATTGATGGATACTTAGGTTGTTTCCAAATCTTGGCTATTGTGAATAGTGCTGCAATAAACATGTGAGTGCAGAAATATCTTTGATATGCTGATTTCCTTTCTTTTGGGAGTGGAATTGCTGAATTATATGTTAGTTCTGTTTTTAGTTTTTTGAGGAACCTCTAAACTGTTCTCCATAGTAGTTGTACCAATTTACATTCCCACCAACTGTGTACAAGGGTTCCCTTTTCTCCATTTGTATGTCTTCTTTTAAGAAATATGCATTCAGGTCTTTTGCTCATCTTTTAATTCAATTATCAGATGTTTTTCTTTTTATTATACTTTAAGTTTTAGGGTACATGTGCACAACGTGCAGGTTTGTTACATATGTAAACGTGCCATGTTGGTGTGCTGCACCCATTAACTCGTCATTTAACATTAGGTATATTTCCTAATGCTATCCCTCCCTCCCCCCTCCCCCCACCCCACAACAGTCCCCAGTGTGTGATGTTCCCCTTCCTGTGTCCATGTGTTCTCATTGTTCAATTCCCTCCTATGAGTGAGAACATGCAGTGTTTGGTTTTTTGTTCTTGTGATAGTTTGCTGAGAATGATGGTTTCCAGCTTCATCTATGTCCCTACAAAGGACATGAACTCATCATTTTATATGGCTGCATAGTATTCCATGGTGTACGTGTGCCACATTTTCTTAATCCAGTCTATCATTGTTGGACATTTGGATTGGTTCCAAGTCTTTGCTATTGTGAATAGTGCCGCAATAAATAGAGTTTTCTGAGCTCCTTATATATTCTGGTTATTAATCCCTTGTCAAATGGGTAGCTTGCAAATATTTTTTTTCATTCGGTGGGTTGTCTCTTCACTTTGTTGATTGTTTCATTTGCTGTGCAGAAGATTTTTAGCTTTATATAATCCCATTGGTCCATTTTTGCTTTGGTTGCCTGTGCTTGTGGAGTATTACTGAAAAACTCCTTGCCCAGATCAGTGTCCTGTAGAGTTTCTCTAATGTGTTATTTTAGTAGTTTGATAGTTTGAGGGCTTAGATTTAAGACTTCAAACCATTTTTATTTAATTTTTGTATGTGGTGAGGGATAGGGGTCTAGTTTCATTCTTCTGCCTATAGATATCCAATTTTCTCAGCACTGTTTATTGAAGAGGCTGATCTTTCCCTGGAAGTCCTAATATTTCTAGTCTCTGGCTGTTCTTCTCCATTTGCCACTGCTACAGCCCTAGATAAGCCCATTGACATTCTCTCAGAGGAAGAGAAATTTGAAACATGAATATTTTTAAAATCTTCAAACTTATCTTCCTGTTGTCATTCTATTACACCTTCAATACACATTCTTCTTTGTTGATGGACAATATTGCTAAAGTGTAAATTTGATCACCCAACTCTTGATTAAACTCCTTTACTTGCTCCTAAATGTCTACTGAATAAAATCTAAAATATTTAGTATGGCATACAGGGCCCTCGAAACAAGGCTCACACATACTTGGTCTCTCACTGTGTATAGCCTCCTCCCTTCCCTGTGTTACCCAAGCCCAAAGCCATAACAAAATTTAACCAGTTTTCTGAACATAGCCAAATTGTTTGGTCAATTTTTACGTTTTCCTGGAGTGTTACTCCTTTCTCTGTTCTATGACTCTTTCTTGATAACTGAGTTCTTGCCCCGATAGAATGAACCAACCTCTTTGTGTACCACCATACTTACTGTCCATTGTACCCACCACACAGTTGTTAATGCGGATAAGGGATCAAGATTTCTAGCTGAGCAAAATGTGAACCTCGAACCACCCTACAGATGATTTCTTAAAGAGTTTATCCAAAAAAAAAAATAAGAAAAAATTCTGGTTTTGTAGACCTACAAAACAGAGCCTTTATTTACTTGTGTGGGGAGCTCTTATTCGTGGGGTATTCCGAGAGGGTGTGAGGAGTTCTTCTAGTCACTAAGAACCAGAAAGGAGGGTGAAGGCAACTATCGACTGGACTTCAGAGAGATTTAGACAAAAGAAACAATTACAACCAAAAGGTCAACCCAACCACCCATATCAGATTCCATTGATTGGACTACATTTCACGTGGCATGTAATCATCAGCATTTGGGGAAATGCTTAGATACAAGATTGTTTGTGCTAGCCCCATGCCATTTTCTTAGATTACCATGTTTCTCCCTGGCTCTGGATGTAGAAAGTAGATAGTGCATTTGGTTAAGTAGGCACATATGAGGGCAAATTATAGGGTTCAGGGTAGAGTGGATCTTTTGGAGAGAAAAGGCCAAGGTGTATGTATGCATATGTATGTGTGTGTGTATGCATGTATAAAGTACAGGTGTATGTGTTAAAAAAAAAAGGCATCTTGGATGTGAGGGCGATCTGCCTGCAACATCTGTCACCCCATTGATCGCCAGGGTTGATCCGGCTGATCTGGTTGGCTAGGTGGGTGTCCCCTTCCTCCCTCACCTCTCCAAGTGTGTCCCTCTTGAAGCTGCATGCTCAGTCGAAGAGGAAGACCATCCCTGATAGAGGAGGACCGGTCTTTGATCAAGGGTATAGGAGTAGCTGCACTCCCCTGCTGGAACCTCTAAACAAGCTCTCAAGAAAAGGGCCTCTCTGCATATCCATCCATCATGATCCTGGTCCTCAAGTTTCAGCAGCAGATTTCTTGAAGCCTTCCTGGATTTCTGCAATCCCACCCCCACCCCCACCACTCCTCTTGGAAGTTATATCATCTACCTCATGAACAATCTTCTGTACCAATCACTTTCGGCGTATCATCATGACTTCTGAACAGTTCTCATCTTCTATACAAGAGTAGGAGATCTGAGGGCAGAGAGTATATTTTATGTATCTTTCTTTCCCCCTGCCCACAGCACCAAGCATAACGCCATAATAAAATCAGGTTCCCAATAATTATTAATTGAACAAATGAGCAGATAAGTGAATGAATGAAAACTTAAAATCATTGAATGAATGATAGAAAGTAATTGGGGGAATGGGTAAACAAAGGGATGCACTGAGGTGATTAGAAACTTTCAGCATAAAAAGGCAAGTGTGAGCTTATTCTCTAACTGACAGAAGGGACATTTTAATTAGAGTCAAAATTTAATCTACTCACCTAAATTTACCAGAGACCAATTTCAACTATGTGTTTTGATTATTACATTTAAAAATGTAGAGACATTGTGTTGCCATTGCAGTTACTATGGTACGGCTATGAGGGTAGTGAGATTTGAGAAGAGCAGCCCTTCTGAAGCTGAGTAATTGAAAAGGACTTCCGTACAGATATGCCTGCCTGAATGTATCTAGGACTTTATGCTCCTATATCTTGCAATGGTTAGCGTTTTGTTCTAGGAAATTCTACTGTACATACAAGCTAAACTTCAGTTGTAAAAAAGAACTATGTAGAAAAGTTTCTAAAACCCATTTTGCCAAATTAGAATATCTGTTATTGGTGATGGAATTTGGTGTGATAGAGAATAGCTTATATCAGGAAGTCTGAGTTCAAGTTTTGTCTCTGCTGCTAATTAGCTTGGGCCCTTGGAGGCAATTTTAGTTCTTTTGATTCTCGGTTTCCTTATTTTATAAAATGAGGGTGTTAAATGAGGTTAACTCTGATAGGATAGATAATATCCTATCATTCTATACATGAGTTTGAAAAAAATCAAAAACAGTCATTTTCTCAAAAGTTACCTCCAGTGCTTTCTCTTTGATTTAAAGAAGGGCAGTTGACAAGATCTAAGCAGGTTTTTAAAATGAGAAGATTGAATACGTTGTGGTAATAACTATATATGCACATATTGATACATGCATATATATGTGTTACAAGGAAATGAAAAAATCTGTTAGCAAAGATATTTATCACATAGGACTCAGTCAGCCAGGGATTTACTACTCCATACCGAGCAGAGTTGCTATAGGAATGTACACATCCTGGGAATAATATTAGTTGCAAGTCAGACAATTACAAAAAATTTTATAAAACAGTTCTACAGCATGGCTGTAATAACAATCTTCCCCAGACTCTTTTAAGTAGTATTTCAGAAATATTCAATTCAGAATTAAGAAATATGAAGTATTTCTGTGGTTTTTCTCTTTTATGTCTACTTGTTAAAACTCACAGCAGAATGGCATTTGACAGTAAAAAATTGTAATTAGAATGCCTCTTTGACAATGATGGGGTAAAGTCAACATTTCCCTGTACCCTTGAGGAAAATATGTGAAAGTCACAAGGAGGTAAGAAAAGAAATGAACTCTACCTCCCACAAAACTAGGAGTCAGCTAAAACTTTGAACTACAAAATAGGTGAAATTCCAGAATCAATGAAAATAAAGCAGATTTGCAGTAGAAACTGGAAAAGTACACACATGGCCCCAGATCTAAAAAAGGGCCTATGAAGTATATTTCTCGAAGACTATGTGGTTACCCTAAGTTGCATAAGAAAATCCTGTGTTCACAGCATTGGGTAGTGGATTCACAAGTTAGAGGTGGTAGCTTCCTGTGACTTATGTTGGTTCTGGGGAGCAGCAAAGGAGAGACTAATGAGGATTCACAGAGATAAGTCCTATGTATAGGAGATAAAGGCCAAAATAGCAGCCATAGCCCTTTCCCCTCTAAGAACCTCATTACAGTAGTAGGTTGGGTAAAAATACACCTCATTAAACAAACGGAAGATCAAAAAATAAACAAAGCAAGGATATAACCAAAAAAAGGAGAAAATTATCAGAAAAATAGAGAACCCAACTGAAAAAATGCTGCTAAATGTTCTCAAATGAATTACAAAAGAAATTTTGAGGGAGAGTATCTATCATCTCAGGCGTTTATCCTTTGTGTTACAAACAATCCAATTATATTCTTTTAGTTATGTTTAAATGTACAATAAATTATTGTAGACTATAGTTACCCTGTGGTATATCAAATACTAGGTCTTATTTATTCTAACTATATTTTTGTACTCACTAACCATATCCACTCCCCGTCCCCCTCACTACCCTTTCCAGCCTCTGATAACCATCTTTATACTCTCTACCTCCATGAGTTTGTTTTAATTTTTACCTCCCACAAATCAGTGAGAAAATGTGATACTTGTCTTTCTGTGCCTGGCTTACTTCACTTAACTTAATGATCTCCAGTTCCATCCATGTTGTTGCAAATGACAGGATCTTATTCTTTCTGATGGCTGAATAGTGCTCCATTTGTGTAGATGTACCACATTTTCTTTATCCATTGGTCTGTTGATGGACACTTAGGTTGCTTCCAAATCTTGGCTGTTGTGAATAGTGCTGCAGCAAACATGGGAGTGCAGATACCATTTCGATATACTGATTTCCTTTCTTTGGGTATGTACTCAGCTGAATAGTGCTCCATTTGTGTAGATGTACCACATTTTCTTTATCCATTGGTCTGTTGATGGACACTTAGGTTGCTTCCAAATCTTGGCTGTTGTGAATAGTGCTGCAACAAACATGGGAGTGCAGATACCATTTCGATATACTGATTTCCTTTCTTTGGGTATGTACTCAGCTGAATAGTGCTCCATTTGTGTAGATGTACCACATTTTCTTTATCCATTGGTCTGTTGATGGACACTTAGGTTGCTTCCAAATCTTGGCTGTTGTGAATAGTGCTGCAACAAACATGGGAGTGCAGATACCATTTCGATATACTGATTTCCTTTCTTTGGGTATGTACTCAGCAGTGAGCTTGCTGGATCATATGGTAGCTCTATTTTCAGTTTTTTGAGGAACCTCCAAACTGTTCTCCATAGTGGTTGCACTAATTTACATTCCCACCAACAGTGTATCAGGATTCCCTTTTCTCCACATCCTTGCCAGCATTTGTTATTGCCTGATTTTTGGATAAAAGCTATTCCAAGTGGGGTGAGATGGTGTCGCATGGTACTTTTGATTTGCATTTCTCTGATGATCGATGATGTTAAGCACCTTTTCATATACTTGGTTGCTGTTTGTTTGCCATTTGCATGTCTTCTTTTGAAAAATGTCTATTCAGATATTTTGCCCACTCTTTCATCAGATTATTAGATTTTACTCCTATTGAGTTGTTTGAACTCCTTAGATATTCTGTTTATTAATCCCTTGTCAGATGGATATTGTGCAAGTAATTTCTTTCATTCTGTGGGTTGTCTATTCACTTTGTTGATTGTTTCCTTTGCTGTGCAGAAGCTTTTTAACTTGACGTGATCCCATTTTCCACTTTTGCTTTGGTTGCCTGTGCTTGTGGGGTATTACTGAAGAAATCTTTGCCCAGTCCAATGTCCTGGATAGTTTCCCTGATGTTTTCTTGTAGTTGTTTTATAGTCTGAGGTCTTTTAAGTCTTTAAGCCATTTTGATTTGATTTTTGTACATGGCAAGAGATAGGAGTCTAGTTTCATTCTTTTGCATATGGATATCCAGTTTTCCTAGCATCATATTGAAGAAACTCTCTTTTCCCCAATGTATATTCTTGGCAACTCTGTCAAAAATGAGTTTATTGTAGATGTATGGATTTATCTCTGGGTTCTCTACTGTGTGCCATTAGTCTATGTGTCTGTTTTTATGCCAGTACCATGCTCTTTTGGTTACTATAGCTATGTAGTATAATTTGAAGTCAGGTAATATAATTCCTCCAGTTTTTGTTCTTTTTGCTCAGGATAGCTTTGGCCACCATTTGGGTCTTTTGTGGTTCCATATAAATTTCAGGATTATTTTTTCTATTTATGTGAAGAATGTCACAGATATTTTGACAGGGATTGCATTGAACCTGTAGATTGTTTTGGGTGTATGGACAATTTAACGATATTGATTATTCTAATCCATGAACATGAAATATCTTTCCATTTTTGGGTGTTCTCTTTAATTTCCTGCATCAATGTCTTATAGTTCTCATTGTAGAGATCTTTTACTTCCTTAGTTAATTCCTAGATAATTTTATTTGTAGCTATTGTAAATGGGAGTACTTTCTTGGTTTCTTCTTCAAATTGCCTACTGTTGACATATAGAAATGCTACTGTATGTTGATTTTGTATTTTGTATTTTGCAACCTTACCAAATTTTTCATCCGTTCTCATAGATTTTGGTGAAGACTTTAGCTTTTTCCAAAATTAAGATTTTATTGTCTGCAAACAAGGATAATCTGACTTCTTTCTTTCCCATTTGGGTGCCCTTTATTTCTTTCTCTTGTCTGATTGCTTTAGCTAAGACTTCCAGTACTATGTTGAATAACAGTGGTAAAAGTGGGCACCCTGTTCACTCAAAGTGATCTTGGGTAAGATCCATGAGAATTCCCTGAATTACCAGACAGAGACTCTTGTTCTCTTCCCTTACTTTCCCCCACACAAACACAGCCTCTCTGTCTGCACTGAGCTGCCTAGACCTTGGGGTGGAGTGACACAAGCAACCCTGTGGCCACCACCACTGGGACTGCACTGGGTCATAATCAAAGCCAGCACAGCACTGGCTCTTGCCCAAGGCTCCCAGGGACTACTACCTGGCTACCGCTTATGTTCACTCAAGGCCCAAGGTTGGTGAATGTAGCCAGCCTGTGTCTTTCCCTTCAGGGCAGTGACTTCCCTCAAGCCCCAGGTGAATGCAGAGATGCTGTCCAGGACCCAGGGCCTGAAGTCAGGAACCTTAGGAATCTACCTGATGCTGTATTCTACCTCAGCTGAGCTAGCACCCAAGCTACAAGACAAGGTTCTTCCCACTTTTCCCTCCCTCTTGACGGCAGAGGAGTCTCTCTCTGTGGCCACCACAGCCCCAGGACCACAGCAAATACTGCCTGGCTACTGCCAATATTCAATAAAGGCTCAAGGGCTCTGCAATCAGTTTATGTTAAATGCTGCCAAGCCTGTGTCTCTCACTTCAGGACAGCAGGCTCTCCTCTGTCCCTGGGCAGGTCGAGAGTGCAAAGGCCTAGAATCAGGGACTGCAGGAGACAGCTTGGTTCTCTACCCCACTGTGGCTGAGCTGGTACCCAAACTCCAAGGTAAAGTCTCCTTTACTCTTCCCTGTCCTTTCCTCAAGCAATAAGAGTCTCTCCCCATAGCCACCTAGCTGGGAATGTGCTGGGTTACACCTGGGGCTAGCACAGCTCTGAGTCTCACCCAAGGCCCATGATGAGTACTGCCTCACTACCATTTGCTGATTATTCAGTGCCCAAGGGCTCTTTAAGCAGCAGGTGATGAATCATGTCAGTATTTGTTCCTTTCTTTCAAGAGAATGGGTTCCTTTCTGGCCCCAGGTGTCTAGAAATGTCCAAGAGTTAGGCCCTAGAATGGGGGAGCCTCAGCACCCTGCCTGGAACCCCATTCCACTGTGGCTAAGCTTGTATCCAAGTTGCAAGACAAAGTCCTTTTTACTCTCCCCTCTACTTTCCTCAAGTAGAGGGAAAGAATTGCCCCCAGAGCTGTGCTGCCTAGGGTTGGGAAAGGCTTGACTTAAGCAGTCCTTTGCTTATCCTGGCTGATGTCTAACTAGGTTCCAAGCACACCAAGTCCACTGGCTTTGAACCCTGCACAGCACTAAGACGTGCCCAGGAATTGCAGCCTTTGTGACCTAGACTGCCTTTCAAATTTATTTAGGACACCAGAGCACTTTAGCATGCATTGGAAGGGCTTGCTGGAAATCGGATTCTGACCACTGGGATAGATTATTTGCCTCTGTCTAGGACTGGTCTAAATGCTCTCTTTGTGGGTGCCCGCTGAATTCTGTCCTGTGTTGTTTTCCACTGTGGCAACATTGAATCAATCAGGCAGCGCTGAATTCCAATGCTAAGTCCCATGATCACTTCACTCTTCCTTACCCTATCTCACAGATTCTCTCTCCATACCACACAGCTGCTGCTGGAGGATTGGGAAGGATGGTATAGGCAGCTCAAGACTGCCTTTCCTACCCTCTTTGGTGCCTCTTTCCTTAACTTGTTCAAAGCAGATACTGTGATCACTCACTTGGTTTTTGGTTCTTATGAATGTGCTCTTTTGTGTGGATAGTTGTTTGATTTGGTGTTCCTGTAGGGAGATGATCACTGGAAGCTTGTATTTGGACATCTTGCTCCACCTCTGAGACATACAAAAGAAATTTAATGAAGAAAATTTCTTAATAATAAAGTAAAGCACAAAGTAGAGAGAACGAGAGGAAATGAAATGTGAGTGTACAGGTCATAGTAAAAAAGTAAAAAAAAAAAAAAGCCTCAAAACTCCATTAGACAAATAAATTAGAAAAAGTACAATAAGGAACGCAGAGGATACTGATGCATAAATAGGGTTGAATGTTAGTGTAGATATGGAACATACTCAAAGTAAATGAAATGTAAGTGTAAATGGAGCTTACACATAAGTGTAAAGGGAGTTCCTAAAGAAGGAAGCTGAAGTATTGGAACAGAACACACATTAAGAATTTCTGAAGACAATTTATAAACAAAAACATTCAATCTACAGACTAAAAGGGCGTACCAAATTTCAAAGAAAGTTGATACAGAATGGCCATGGTAGGAACTGCTGGCTGTATCCCAAAATCTGTTCTACCTGCTCCTGAGCATGGAGCTAGATGACACTTCCTTGCTTACTTAGGGAGTGGCTATGTGATGGTTCTCTCCAGTGGAATTAAGCATACTTAATGATTTGCCATAGCATGATTTAAGTCTCCAGCTTCCTCCCTAGTAATGTTTATTTCCTTATCATCCAATATCAAATCATGAAAACAATGCCACATATTTTAAGTCAGAGTTATCTTATCATTCCATTTCTGTTGCTTATTTCCATAATAATTAGTGAAGGCTAGATTACTATAATAAATACACTCAAATGAAATAGTGCAAAACACAAAAGAGTTTATTTATTGCTACTGTAATAATCAAGATTGAATGTTCCAGGTTGGTGAAGGAGGACCTCTCTTCCCCACAGTCATTCACGGACCCAGGCTTGTTGTTCCATCAAAGCCTACTGACCTAAATGCTCAATAAATGCTATCATTAACCCTTTCCTCTGGTCCTAGCTTATGGAAAGGGGATGAGGAACATGGAGGAGTACATCAAGAAAGCATTATTGCCGGGCCTGGAAGTAACGCAAAGGTGTTCCACTGTACAGCTTCCAAGGAGGTCATATTTCCCAATGCTCCCTTCAGATAAGGCCGTGGAAATTGGGCAAGCAAGAATTTTCTGAGGGTGAAATGAGAGGCTACAGAAAACAGTAAATTCCTCATAGAGAGCAGTTCCAAGGTATAATTGAGAAATTGCCACCTTTGTCAAGACTTCACACTGCTTGCCACACTGGGTAAGCTGTGACTTCTGTGTGTTTCTCATTCTTTCCTTTTCTGAATGGGGATTTTCGCCATGGCTAGCTTTTCTGTACGCCACTGACATTATTGGATATTTGTATATATGTGTGTTTGAAAAGGGCAGATGTTGGATTGTATTTTTAATCTATAGATTGTCAATCCTCCGGGAAGCAGAACTGGGCCTGATGGCAAGGATAGAAATCACATAGAAATCCTGAATTTTGAGTTGGATGCAATAACTGAATAATATTGAGTTTTCTCCCTTGTGGAGAGGTGACTGTTTTTCACATGTGGTCAGTGGAATCTGCATGACTATTTTGTTGCCAGAGGAGCAGATTGTGGCAGAAGTGTCTCATGTCCACCAAAAGATTTTCTTCTTCAACCCTTACGCACATTTTCCAGCCTCCTTTGTGTCATGTGACTGCATTCTAGTCAATATTATGTGAGCAGAAGTGATGTGTCCCAGTTTTAGACATGGCCCATAAAATATCCATGGGAACTCCTCCATGCTCATTCCCTCTTATTATGACCACAATGGTCAAAGAAGGCAGAGCTGAATGACTATGTGGGTTAGAAGCCCCCCCAAAGCCTAACCTGAAATATATATCCTATGAGCAAGAAATCGATTTCTATTCTTTTTGAGCCATTACTTATTGAGTCTACCCTGTAGTAGTTTATCCCATGCCAACTAGTAACACAGGCCATGCTGAGGCATCTTAGTAGTGCTACGAGACATCAAAGACAAAGAAAAATATTATTTGAAAAGTCAGGCAATAAAATCAAGTCACTTAAAAATAGAAAAAATGAAGCTATCCTCAGATTAATGCATAGCAACATTTGACATAATGGAACAATTCTTACTAATCCTCAGGGAATGAACTGTGACCCAAGAATTTTAAATTTAGACAAACTGTCATTCAAGTATAAAGACGACAGATAAATATATTTTAGGGAATATATTGTATATCTTAAAGTACATTGTTTTTATGAATCTTTCTGAAAGACATTATGAGAAGATGAACTTTAGTTTTCCAAATACTGACTGGAAAATTATGGCAAAAGACTGACAATGAGAATTGGGTTTATTTAAATATAAATTACAGCAAAAGATAAACACACCTAAAGAAAGGTACCAATAATACTAATATGTACAATTTCCAATAAATATACAATAGTTGTAAATAATAGGCACTAAATAATAAAGAATCAACATTTATACAGAAAATGCTAGAGATATATGATGCTAGACTAATAGATATATTATGCTGTATAATGCTAGGGAAATAGAAAAATGTTAGTTATAACAGGTGAATACCTTTTTTGGTTTGTAACAAAGCAAGGGGACAAAAAAGAGCAGACGATAATAACTTAGTATTAAAAAATATAAGTACGAGGTAGATTTATAAGGTAGATTTAATTGCTACATACTGAACTTTGTATCTTAAAAATAAAGAATATGCCTACTTTTTAACTATCAGTAGGATAGTAAAAGGAATGACCATATCATATGCCACAAAGAAAACATGAATAACTATCATATAATGATATAGACAAAACTGTGTAATATAAATGCAATAAACTCAAATTTAATAAAATCGGATAGTCAAAAAGCCCCACTACTAGATATTTAGAAACCTTTTCTTAAACAACTTATAAACATAAATAACAGAACATAAGAATAAGGAAAATACTACATAACAGCACATAGGATTTACAGTCAGAGGATAAATTATAGTCTACAAGCTTATGTTAATGAATAGGAGGATAAATCATAGCCTGTAAACTTATATTAATGAATAAGAAAGCATGACTATAAATGAATTAAACATGTAACTAAAGGAGATAGAAAAGGACCGAAAGGAAAACAGAAATAAGGAATTAGTAAAGGTAAAGGTAGAAGTCAATGAATTAGAAAACTGAAAAATGGTAACGCTATATGTATATCCAAAAGATGGGTCTTACAAAATAAATATTACAGGAGATAAATGCCAGCTAACTATGCAAGAAAATGGGAGAAGACACAAATGTATAAATTTAAAAACAAGAAAGAAAATAACCACGGTGGCAGATGAAATTAAATGAAGCATAGGAGCCTGGTTTCCAAAACTCTATGCAAATATATCCGAAATATTTGAAAGTGGATTGTTTTCTAGGAGAATAAAATGTATTAAAACAGATTCCGGAAAGGGGAGAAAAATATGAAAGACTAATTAACATAGAAGAAATAAAGTTGTCAAAGACCTAATTTTCTAAAAAGGACTCTGTCCAGGCAATTTCATAGAGGATAAATTTGATGCCATTTAAATTGTTCCAGAGGCTAAGTGAAGAAAGAAAGCTTCTAAATTTATTCTATGAAGTAGTACACAAAAAGCACAGAAGACAATCTACAGCACAATATTGGTGTAAAAATCAGAAATAAATTATTAGCAAAGACAACTTAGTAGGCAATTAAAAGAAGTCATTTCAAGAACGTGAGGGTCGTTCTATATTAGAAAATATATTGACATACTTCATCTTTGTTATAGATCTAAGGTGAATCGCATAAACATCTCCAAAAGTTTTAGAAAAGCAATGAAAAAGTTAAAGGTAAGCCAGTTGCCATAGACCACATATTGTCTGATTGTGTCCATATGAAATATCCAGAACAGGTAGATCTAGTGAAACAAAAGTAGATCAATGGTTGCCTAGGGTAGGAGGGTAGGATGAGGAGTGAGGAAAGTAATGGGTCTGGAGTTTCCTTTTGGGGTGATAAAAACATTCTGAATTTAGATTGTGGTGATGGTTGCATGACTCTGGATATTCTAAAATCGTATTCTTCAAATGGGTTGATTGCATGGTACATGAATTATACCTCAATAAGACTGTTAAAAAGTCAGTGTACATTCTGGATTAAAATATTATTTACTTTAAATAAAATATTCTTAAATTGATTTTTAAAATCTGTCTCAACCTCCAAGCCGACATCAACTTTGATGAGGGAAGCAACAATGTTTCTTTATAATCTCTTGGGACAAGGCAAGGATATGTACTGTCAGTGCTGTTATTTAACACTGTTCAGAGAAACAAGCCAATGGCAATTAGACAAAAGACAGAAATTAGAGACATAAAATTTGGAAAGAGTAAGGCAAAATTATCATTATGTGAACTGCTATTATTGTAGACATAGAAAACCTAAAACTAATCAAGAAAAAATATAAAACTGTAATAAAATCCAGTAAGATGGATGAGTATAAAATTAATAGACATACATCAATAGCTTTTATATTTGCAGATTACAATGACATACCATTTAGTTGAGGAAAAATCACTGTATATATTCATACTAGTCACCAGCTCTGTGACCTAAGAGAAGTTACTTAAAATCTTGGCACCTCATTTTCCTCACATCTGAAATACAGAAAAGAAATCTCTAGCTCCAAGAGTTTTTCTAATGACTAAAGGTAATAATTATTCAATAAATGCTGGTGCTCTTCTCTAGCCCTTCCTCTAAGAATAGGATGCAATGTCTCTCTAAATTGGTTCACATGTAGTGTTGGTGGAGGGAGTGCAAACTGATAACCTGAATTACCTCGGGATGTCCATTTCTTCCCTATGGCAAATGACAACCTTGTGCCATTTCTTGAGATAGAAAGTGAGCTTCTTCTTTAGCACCAACTTTAATCTATTAACAGTGCAAGCTGGGGGTGCTATGTTGAAAATAATTGTGAGGCTACCTGGACTAGGTGAAAAAAAAATCTATGATTCATTATGACTGACTTTCTTAGGGAATCAGAAGAGGGTGTGTATTTATGGGAGCAAATTCTGCACCAGAATATGCATCTCAGTTTCCTCCTTTTCTCCATGTTCCTTACAACAATTTTACCTAAATTATTTTATGATTAGAATCAAAAATTGCAAATATGGCATAAATACATACTTAGTTATTTATGGTCTACCAGTAGCAGATACTTGCTTTTCATTAAATGATAGTCAAGATTTATTAGTCATAAAAGCAAATATTTCAAAGGCAAAACCCAGGATAACGCTTGTTATAGTAAAAAACCTCTCTCTAGTCATCTTTACAATTGTACTATTATTTTATCAGACTTTAGACATAGTATTCTTTGCATTTGAATTAAAATTTTATTAAACTCATAGAATCAATAGAACAGTATTATTAAACATAATATATTTTCAAAAACCTCCAATACAACAGAACTTTTATATTTTAAAAAGTATCATCCTTCAAATTAGTCATACTAGAATGCTAATTACTTATTCAACTGATATTGTTATTGTTTGAATTATTTTCTGAGTTTCTTCTTGCAATTACCATCCTAGCCTGTGGTACTTTCTTTTGAATATGTGGAAATAGTTAGAAATAATTTAGAGACAACTTCTAGGGGAGAAAATATATGTTCCAGTTGAATTGTCTTGCTTGGCACTAAAACAAGGAAAAAGTTTAAGTTTTGACAGTAAAGTAGTAAGATTGGCTTTTCAGTTTGTGGCTTGTTCATTGCCTGTAAAAGCACTTGTATGCACGCATACATACACACACACACACAAATTCAAAATGTTTTGAGTGATTGCATCATTGTTAGAGTAGATTCCACTTGCATCATTGCCAGAGTAGATTCATAACAAGTCATTTTGGTCCCTTATCTTGTGTTTCTGCTACCTAAATCAGCTTCAGACCAGCAGAAATAGACGTACCCAAGTTTCTCATGCAATGAGTTTCCCAGTAAACTGAATGCATTGTGGGGTAATGGATCACATTCCAACAGCTGTGAGTTTCAATACTGACATTGCTGCTGTGTAATATTCAATGTAATCTCAGGCAGCCTTGATGTTATTGTTATTACACGACATAACAGGTTGTTAGGATAAGTGAGATAACATGAAAGGTACCAAGACCCAGTGCAAGCACTCACCAGGTGTCAGTGCCTGGTTATTTTAAATCAGGCTTGGAATAAGATGGGGATATAATGAAATACTAAGAATAATGATATCTTCTAGTTATTTTTATTCTACCATAGAATTGTGCAATTTCCCTATACACTAATCTTTTATAAATAGACCACCATTGGTTTCTGAATATTTTCTATGCCATAGGCAATTTTCTTTTTGGACATCTTTGTTACATTCAGCCTAAGACATGATTTAATCTGTGATCCTGGAACAGTCTGCCCGAAAGGGGAATCATTGAGGGTTACTCACACCTAAAGTTAAACTCAGGGAAGAAGACATCTTCCGAGATTCCAGGGACAGAGAGCTCCAGGGGTCTGAATTACAACTTGTACTCTCTGTCTTATAATTAAATTTGTAACAATTAGTGCTGACCAGAGACTTCAACACTGAGTACTAGTGATCTAATTAAGGCCGATTGTTCTCAGAACAATTCCAACAGTGCTTAAGATAAGTAGTAGAGGCGGAATTATAGAAGTGGTAATGTGACTTGGCTCTTACAGGGATAGCAGGGACTTCATTTTTGATTTGGGTTGTGATCTGTTCTAGATGTGATATTGTGACTAGGAAGCAACTGATGCCTCTCTTGGGGGCTTTATTTTTCTAATTTTCCTCTGAACCAGTAAATATATTAAGTTTGATAGTTGTGAAGCATCAGTGTCATCTACTAGGTATAAGTTTCAGAAACTATTTTATAGTTTAAAATCTTGATTTTTCCCCTTAAAACAAAAGGTATATTATTTTTACAAATTTCATAATGATTATTTGTTGATGAAATTTACCTTTTTTTTTTTCTTGAGACGGAGTCTTGTCTCGCTCTGTCGCCCAGGCTGGAGTGCAGTGGCGCGATCACGGCTCACTGCAAGCTCCGCCTCCTGGGTTCACGCCATTCTCCTGCCTCAGTCTCCCGAGTAGCTGGGACTACAGGCACCTGCCACCACGCCCGGCTAATTTTCTCTTGTATTTTTAGTAAAGACGGGGTTTCACCGTGTTAGCCAGATGGTCTCCATCTTTAGCCAGATGGTCTGCATCTCCTGACCTCGTGATCCGCTCGCCTCGGCCTCCTAAAGTACATTTTTTGTTTTATTCAGTACAATTTACAAATGAAAATAGTACATATGTATAGACTATAAAGTGATGTTTTGATATGTATACATTGTGAAATGGTTAAGTCAAGCTAATTAACATATTTATCATCTCACATACCTATCATTTTTTTGTAGTGAGAACCTGTCAGGTTACTCTTGCAGCAAGTTTCAAGTACACAATGTATTGATATTAACTATAGTCACCATGTGTAAAGTAGATTATTACTTTTTCGGTGAATTGGTCCTTTAGTTAGATCTAGATAGAAAGACATGGACTCCCTTTGGAAGATCCTGGTTTCTGTTGGTGAATATGTTGGCAGTTCGAAGAAGTTGAGCTGTTCACAGGGCATGAAGGTTTGAGACCACAGTTCCCAGTGGTGGAATCAAGTTTCTTTCTAGAAGTTGCTGTATTGAGTTGGCCGTAGTGCATGTCAACAAACTATGGTAGAAAAAATAATGTTGCATTATCATGAGGAGCAAATAGCCAGATCAAAACTCCTTTGTAGGGACTCTAACTAAAAACTATATAAAACCTTGGGCCCATTTGGAGCACTCATAGCTTAGGAGGTCTTTGAATCAAACAGAAAATATAATCAAAAGTGTTTCCTAAAAAATCAGAGTCAACCCATTAGAATTAGTCAAATGTCATCCACTGAGGTATTGCATTTCTTCAAATATTGCCCTCTTCTACTTCTCGTTTCCTATGTATTATTTCACAGAATGTACCTCAACCAATATGATTTCAGTAATAATAAATGCTATTTAAAAAGACAGCTCAGTAGTAAAATCAAAGTCAAAATTTTATGTCATTTCATATACTCATGCCTGAAGTTAACATATTAAAGGGTCAACATGCCTCTAACTCTATAACAATGTACTAAAGTTCTAGGCTTATCATGTGGCAATACCAAGTGCTTTAGTAAAGGGTTTCTCAGACAGTTGTCTGTGGACCACCTGCCCAAAATCCAAAGGATGGATTCTTGGCCCTGTCTTCAGACCTATTGAGTTAGAATATCTAGAGGGTATATCTAATGAAGTTTAATTCTGGAAATAGCACTCATTGGATTAGAAGAAGCAGTTCGTATCTTCAAGGTAGTGAAATTAAACACCAAAACTTGGCACAACTGAAGTTTTATTTGTAATCACACCACTCAAGAACGAACAGTTGATTTGGGGACAGACAGATGAATAAGCATGCAATTATAATACAGTGTGATAATTGTGAACCAGGAAGTATTACTTACATTATGCAGGATAAAAGAGGAAGTGACTTATTGCTTGCAGGGAGGGTTGGAAAGGCTTCACCACTGGAAGATCAAGGACGGATTTGCTCATTAGAGACTGTGGAAGGGTCTCACTGAGCAGATTAGCATAGGGAAGCAATTTAGCTGTGCTGGGTGAATTTTGCTTCATTGAGATAGTACAAAGCCAGATCCAGCGTAAAGGGTAAAGAATCGATAAGAAATGGTTACCTTCTTGGGAAGATTTCCAAGCTACCCTTACATTTTTAAGCAAAGTTGTATTATGATGAAAATATTAGTTAAAGATTGTTCTAGGGATGTTATAATTTAGATATCTATCGTCTCTAAATCTCATGTTGAAATGTCATCCCTAATTATATTAGCCTGTTTTCATGATGCTAAAAGGACATACCTGAGACTGGGTAATTTATTTAAAAAGACAAAAAAAAAGGTTTAATGGACTCACATGTCCACATGGCTAGGGAGGCCTCATAATCATGGTAGAAGGTGAAGGAGAAGCAAAGGCATGTCTTACATGGTGGCAGGCAAGGAGAAGTGCTGAGCAAAAGGGGGAAAAGCCCCTTACAAAACCATCAGATCTCGTGAAAACTCACTCACTTTCACAAGATCAGCACAGGGGAAAAACCTGGCCCATGATTCAGTTACCCCCCACTGGGTCCCTCTTATGACACCTGGGGATTATGGGAACTACAATTCAAGATGAGATCTGGGTGGTGACACAAGCAAACCATATCACCATATTGGAGGTAGGGGCTAGTGGGAGGTGACTGGATCATGGCAGCAAGCAGATTTCCATGAATGGTTTAGCACCATCCTCTGGTGCTGTCCTCATGATAGAGAGTGAGTTCTCATGAGAGAGACCTGGTTGTTTAAAGTGAGTGGCACTTCCACCCACTCTCTATCTTGCTCCTGCTCTTGCCATGTACTGCCTGCTCCTTCTTCACCTTCTGCCATCAGTAAACACTCCCAGAGGCCTCTCCAGAAGCTGAATACATGACAGCTCCAAGCTTGTACAGCCTGCAGAACCATATGCCAATTAAACCTCTTTTTTTAATCATTTACCCACTCTTGGGTATTCCTTTATAGCAATGCAAGAACAGTTTAACACGGGGGATTATGGGTTATATGGGCTAAATTAGAAGAGACCCAGAGATAAACCAAGAGGCATTTGTAAACCAAGCATATAGAGATGAGGGCCTGATCTAAGTTAGGGGCTGTGTAAATTAGAACAAGAGGGTAAATAGAAATGGCATTTTGGAGCCAGAAACATCAGCACTTGGTAAATGTATTCTGACCTAACACTTGTACATGGAGTGATTCAGTTTTCTATATTCATAGCTTAAGACTCAATCATTATTTTCTAAAATGAGATTTCATCCCTTTCTGTGTATTTTGACTGTGGCAAATATAAAATCCTTCCCTGATGTGATGAATTATTTAAACACTATAACTTTATTAATACCTCCCCAACATGTAGCTCATATGGAAATATGCTTCCATTAAATTGTTGATAATGCCATAATAGACTTAGGAAAAATATATTCTACTGGTAATTATTTTGTATCCTGTAGCTTCATTAAGCTCCTTGTCTAGGCTTCAGGAAGATGTATGTGCTGTATTAATGGTCTATCGACTATTAAAATGTAACACGACTTTTAAAATGAAGGGTAAAATTACCAAGGCGCAATAAGTATGAATGATGGGGAAAGTGAGATAATGAGAACATAGTGTGGGACCCTCCTTGACACAATGTATATCAGCTGAGGATGTGCAAATTAATTTAAGTGTTAAATGCTTGGAACTCAAATCTTTCAAAGAGTTTTTTTTCTTTTCCAGTTAGCATAGCACTTGGGTAGGACAAGGGTAACCTAGTCAAGTGTTCTTAAAGAGACACTACATTAGAATTATACTATTTTTGATACAGAGGAAAACTACACAGATACATAATTCTTTAGGGACTCAAGAGTAGGAAGTCAGCAAACTGTGGCCAGGAGGGAAAATCCAGCCTGCTGCCTGTTTTTCGTAAGTAAAGTTTTATTGGAACACAAACACAATCACCCTCATTCATTCATGTATCATCACTGGCTGTCTTTGTGTTAAAACAGCAGGGTTAAATAGTTGCAACAGAGACTTTATGGTCTGCAAAGCCTAAAATATTTTTTGCTTGGGCTTTTAATGGCCCGTGCTTTAAAAATAAAAAGTTTGTTGACCCCTGCTCTAGAAAGAAAAATAATATTAGAGCAGCACACGAGGGTGGTCTATTCTAGTGCCTTTGAAGCTCCATTTTTGCTCCTTCCTATTTCTAGATAGGGAATCAGAAATTATATCATTCACTAGTGTCCTTCTTACTTGTAAACATTAGGACTGGGTCATTCATAGTCATTGAAATTGCTCCCTAACTTCCACCTTTCCCCACCATTCTTCCCTGGTACTCTGAGCTCCAGCCACCACACTAGCCTTCTTGCTGTTTCTGAAAAATGCCATGTCGTATTCACTTCAGGACTTTTCAGCAGCCTGGAGTTCTCTTGCCTCATATTTTCTCAGCTTCAATGCCCTATGCTCAGGGAGGGCTTTCCCGCTCACCAGATTCATAGCATTGTCCTCCTACTCCATCACTTGTTAACTCACTTCTCTCTTATATTTTTCCATTGCATGAATCACTCTCTGAAATGGTTTAGTCTACTTTTTACTTAGTTACTGTCTGTTTTCTTCATTAGATTGTCAACTCCAACACCTAGAGCACTGCTTGGCACATAAGAGGCCTCCATATTTGTGATGGTGGCTGTTGAAATGCTTTGCTGTAAGGCAAAGTCGGCAATATAATCCAGAGGGCAACAGAGCGTGATTTAGATTCAGAAATGTATTTAGCCTCATGTAAATTAATGTGTGGAAAAGTTCATAATTTCACAGACACTTAAGGCCTAATTTTACTTTCAAAATATTCCAGGGAACCTCCACAAACTCCCGACTGAAAAATGTCTGTCTTCATATAGTTTTTAGAACATCTCAATATTCTGTTTTAAAAGCAAATACCCTATACCCGCTTCAGCTCCAAATCCTTGTCTGATGCTTGGGTTATTTTAGTAACCATTTTTAGACATTCCAGTTTTCAGCTATAACATTAACTTGAGAATGAAAGTAGAGTTACATAACAAGTGAACAGCCTCCTCAATTATGACTAACTTTATGTATTGATCTCACCATTTGTATATGCAAGAATATATATGCTGGAAATCCTAGTGAAACATAAATGACCTCATTTTTAATCAGTGGACTTCAGTCCTTTGGGCTTTCAAAGCAACCCTTTCTAGGAAAGAAGGCTCAGTTACATTTGCTGCTTTAATTTTCAGATAAAGTCCATCTACTGTGACACACTGTTCTCATTAGCTAAGGAAATGAGGTGACAGAATTTAGGTGGGCAATTCTTAGTGTGAAAGAAACAGCCATTTGACTCCAATTAAAGAGATATGGCTTGGTAAATCTCTAGTGCTTTCACAAATTCAGTGACATTGTTTTAGATATTGTCAAGTAAACTTGATAGTACAGAATTAACAAAGAAAAAATGTAATCCAGCTAGCTTCCCTTGCTCAAGATACTTGGAATGGAGTGCAGGTTACACAGCATGTATTCTAGAGAGTTTGAACTTTTTCAATGTTAAGCATTCCTAATTCAGCACAAAGCAGTGTTGTTTATGTAGTATTGTTGACTTATGAGACATTTTGGGCTCTGTGCACTTAAATATGTCACCAGAGTTACTCTTTAATTAGTAAGATGCTGGAGTACTATTTAGTAAATTACTCCTACAGTGAATTAAATGACCTCCTTTTCTCTGGGAAAACAAAACCAAAACTTCGTCTTCTTGTGAACTTAATTTATACCTAATTATGATCAGAGTTGATTTTGGTTTTAAAAACATATTATTTTATTTAAAGCTGACTTGTGACTTGTGCTCTGACTGGCATTAACTAGATTTACAAAACTGCTCGATTTTCATGCCCACTAGTATCAATTGGTAACACCATTGTTAGTTCTAGCTCAACCGTATTGGATTATTTGGTGTTAACTGGACATTTCTGTTTGGACACTTTTCTTGATATTGCGAAATCTCTGAGTTATGGACAAAACTGTGTCTGCCAAAATCATATGTTGGAACTCTAACCCCTATAGGGGTGACTATATTTGGAGACAGGGCCTCTGAGGAGGTGATTAGTGTTAAGTGAAGTCACTAGTGTCCTTATAAGAAGAGGAAGAAATGCCAGAGAGCTCTCTCTCTCTGTGTGTACACAGAGAAGAGACCATGTAATAACACAGTGATAAGGCAGCCGTCTGCACATCAGGAAGCAAAACCTCACTGGAAATCAGCCCTACTGGCATGATCTTGGACTTCTAGTCTCCATGACTGAAAGGTAAATTTCAGTTATTTAAGCCCCTCAGTCTGTAGTATTTTTGTTATGGCAGTCTTCAAGATTAACACATTCTTTATTTTAAGAAGGATGTTTGATATTTTTTGTGCCTTTGAGAATGATAATCAGTGATGCTGCAGAGGACTATACAGGGAAAAGTCACAGAGGAGCCCCTGAAAAATTAAAACTATCATTGGAACACCTGAGAAGCAACACACCAACAACTATGAATAAATGCACACTGAAGGCACATCCAAAAGCTTTCCACAAATGGTCTGGGTTTGATGGAAACATATTTGTTTTAAATCATATTCAGAATGGTTCAGGTAATAAATTATCTGAAGAATGTGATTAAGAGCTATAGGATTTATAGCTAATATTAGCAAGAGCTCCCAAGGTGCTGCTATAGTGAACTTTCAGTGTAATACACATTGATTCATAAAGGTAAGAGTGACCCTGCAGAGAAATGAAATACTGAGTCAGGTTATTTTCAGACAGTCCTTGCCTGAGGTGAGTTTTAGTGTGGAATGGTCACCGGTTGGGTATAACAATCTGAGTTGAAGGAGTGATGGGGTGCATCCTGTAGGGTCCCAAGATGGTTGCTTAGTTCCAGGATAGTTTGTCTCCTGATCCTAAGCTCTCTGCTAGAGAAGAACTACAATTTGGGCGGCTGGCTTTTTTCATTCATACCCTCTTAGAATTCTTTTTCTTTCAAAGTTGTGTTGTAGGTGAAAATCACCGAGTCTTAGAAATACAGCTGAGAATGAGTAAGGAGAGAGAGTTGCTCTGCCTAAGCACATTCTCCCTCACTGAAGGCACTTTGAAGTGACCTCAGGAAGATCACAGAAGTTCCCCTAGCTTCACCCCCACTATAGAAATGCAACCAGAAACTATTCAAAGACAAAAATACCATCCTGAATTCACCAGAACCTGGAGAAGTGGAGACACCCACTGGGCACACAATTGAGCGAAGTTGCCAGCAGTAAGAGAAGCCGCCATTTGAGACTGCACCACACCTCCCTCAAGCCGTCAGAACTACACTCCCAGAGAATCTCCTAGACCCAAGATTTCTGAGGTGGAAGGAGGGAATTGGAGGTAGACATTTGATCTCTCCACCAGTCAGGGAATCTTCCTGGGAAGCCCACTCTGGTCCCGTCCCATGGGAATCATTGGAAGCACCAGAAGTGCTGAAGCACCTGGGGTAAATTGGGGGATTAAAAGCAGGGGTGGTGATTGCAGTAACTGGCATGGATACCTTGGCAGCTGCTCTACAGTCTGATCAGCAGAGATACCATGCTGAGGAGACTGGCTGGTGCCACAGGGTTGCAGAGGGCACAATAAACAGGAAGGCCAGACCCCTGGCTGGATTTTCACAAAACCCAGCTGCTTGAGTGCAGCCTTCCCCTGACTGGGAAACAACTGAAAGGTCAGTAATTAAGTTCCACTGTTTGTTTAAGTCTTCCCCAGACAGGGCAATTAGTTCCTGTGCAGTGTTTTAGTCCTGGTGCTCACCATAAGCCCTCCCCAGAAAAGGAAGCCACAGCAGACCAATAATTAAGTTCTGATTTTAAGTAGTAGATATCTAAAACCACCAAAGAACACCTGCAAAAGCTGGAAGGGGTGGCTGTCTCCTTAAATGCACAGGTATCAATGTAAAGACACAAAAATTATGAAAACTCAGGGAAATATGACACTGCCTAAAGAAACCAACAAAGCTCCAATAATGGACTTGGAATTAAAGATCTGTGATATGTCCAACAAGGAATTCAGAATAATCCTTTTAAATGCCATTCAACTGTTTTTAAAAACTCTGTTGACTCCCCCACCAACCTGTCTTGCAAGCCTACCTCTGTGGTCTGACTTGCTGATGTTAGGCCCCGGAGAGATGGTCAAGGTTAGATTATGTGGGGGGTTGTAGGTGATAGCAATGAGTTTGGATTTTCTTTCCTCTGTGCCATCAAAAAGAAGCACAATGACATTGTTTGCTTTACATTTTAAGTAAATGTTTGGAATAAGTCGTAGCAGGTTAAGAATGAAATTAGGGAGACCAGTTATGCTGCTTCAGTAGAAGAGGCAAAAAACCACGGTACCTGGATAAAGGCGGCAGTGGTGAACACGGAAAACAGTGGATGGATGCAGGTAATAATTTGGAGATACAGCCAATAGAAGTTGCTGCTGAACTAAATGAGAGGGTGGTGATACAAGAGAAAAGACAGAATTGAGGATGACATCTGCATCTGGGGCTTCAGTAATTGGGTAGTGGTTCCAAGCACAGAATTGGAAAATGTTGTGTGAAGCAGGTTTTCAGAGGAAAATCAATAATTCCCTTTTGGACATGTTAGTTTTGAGATTCTTGTTAAATATCCAAATGTCAGACAGTTACCTTCACTAGCACGGAGTTCAATGAAGTGAGTTTCTTGAGATACAAATTTGGAAGTTATACTTTTAAATGCTCAACTGGCATTTAAAGTCATGGGTATGGATGAAATCACCTGGGGTGAGGAATTAGGTAAGGTGAAAAATAAAAAGATTAATCCACAATCCTCGTTCTCAAATAATGTAGGTGAGAAAATATACATCTATATATCTATATGTATACCTATATATGATTATGTAAGTAGTAGAACTCCAAGATCACTCACTGCCTCCAAGCTCCATTTTTGTTCTTCCAACCACAGATAATTTATTCCCTGATAAGGTAGTTGAATCTACAGCCAAACTTTGGCCTCTTTCCTACTTTCCTTGTTTGAATCAGGTTGAACTTGAATTGGCAGGAATGATTGAATCTTCCATTATTTTAGAAAAAAAAATACAAAACAAAATAATCACCATTACCCCATGAAGCTTTTCTTTTCTGCACAGCTAAAACGTCTGAATATGGTGCTCCAGAATCCTCTTGTAATTCAGCAGATTTTGTGATATCAAAAATATTTTATACTTGAGAATAATGGTTTCTCTAGAACAAATAAATAACTCTTGATTCCGTATGATATACTGGTACTCTCCTCCCACCTCGCATGGATGTTTGCAGGCATCTGCCCAAATAATGGGCATCCTCATCTTGCCTGATTCATTAATGAAAAACAAGTTCATCTGACAATGTAAATAAAGACAGGAGAACGAGAAATGGCAAGATCGAAGTAGCATTTTATAATTCTCAAGAAGTGAGAAATAGCATTTCATTTTGAAAAAGAAAAATGTGCTATTCACCTAATGATTTTCAATTTCACCTTTAAGATCTGATATCCCTTCACAAAGAATAACTTCCCTCACCTTTGCTTTTGTTAAGTTTTATAATCCCACTATTTAATGTTTTAGAATTTGGGCTAAATAAAAGTTGCATTTTTGAGAAACTTGAACAAGGGCAAGGATTTTTCTTTTCTTTTTTTTTTTTAACGGTGATAACAGTAGCAAATATGATAATGATGGAGATTACTTTTACTTTTCAAAAAAATTTAATTTAATTTTAAGTTATGGGATACATGTGCAGGGCACGCAGGTTTGTTACACAGGTAAACATGTGCCATGGTGGTTTGCCATATCTATCAACCCATCACGTAGGTATTAAGCCCCGCATGCATTAGCTATTTATCCTGATGCTCTCCCTCTCCACCATGCCCCCTCAACAGGTTCCAGTGTGTGTTGTTCTCCTCCTTGTGTCCATGTATTCTCATTGGTCAGCTCCCACTTATAAGTGAGAACATGCGGTGTTTCATTTTCTGTTCCTGTTTTAGTTTGCTGAGAATAATGGCTTTCAGCTACATCCATGTCCCTGCAAAGGACATTAGCTCGTTCCTTTTTATGGCTGTGTAGTATTCTATGGTGTATATGTACCACATTTTCTTTATCTAGTCTATGATTGTTGGGCATTTGGGTTGATTCCATGTCTTTGCTATTGTGAATAGTGCTGCAAATGAACATATGTGAGCATGTATCTATATAATAGGATGATTTATATTATTTTGGGTATACACTCAGTAATGGGATTGCTGGGTCAAATGGTATTTCTGGTTCTCAGTCTTTGAGGAATCACCACACTGTCTTCCACAATGGTTGAACTAATTTATATTTCTACCAACAGTGTAAAAACGTTCCTATTTCTCCATAGTCTTGCCAGCATCTGTTGTTTCTTGACTTTTTAATAATCGCCATTCTGACTGGCATGAGACAATATCTCATGTGGTTTTGATTTTCATTTCTCTAATGAACAATGATGTGGAGCTTTTTTTCATATATATGTTGGCAACATAAATGTCTTCGTTTGAGAAATGCCTGTTCATGTCCTTTGCCCACTTTTTAATGGGGTTGTTTGGGTTTTTCTTGTAAATTTGTTTAAGTTCTTGGTAGATTCTGGATATTAGACCTTTGTCAGATGGATAAACTGCAAAAATTTTCTCCCATTCTGTAGGTTGTCTGTTCACTCTGGTGATAGTTTCTTTTGCTGTGCAGAAGCTCTTTAGCTTCATTAAATCCCATTTGTCAATTTTTGCTTTTCTTGCAATTGCTTTTGATGTCTTCATCATGAAATCTTTGCCTGTGCCTGTCTTGAATGGTAGTGCCTAAATTTTCTTCTAGGGTTCTTATAGTTTTGGGTTTTACGTTTAAGTCTTATTTCATCATGAGTTAATTTATATATAAGGTGTAAGGAAGGGGTCCAGTTTTAATTTTCTGCGTATGGCTAGCCAGTTCCCCCAGCACCATTTATTTAATATGAAATCCTTTCCCCATTGCTTGTTTTTGTCAGGTTTGTTGAAGATCAGATGGTTATAGATGTGCAGTCTTATTTCTGAGATCTCTACTCTGTTCCATTGGTCTATGTGACTGTTTTTATGTCAGTACCATGATGTTTTGGTTACTGAGTCTTGTAGTATAGTTTGAAGTTGGGTAGCGTGATGCCTTCAGCTTTGTTCTTTTTGCTTAGGATTGTCTTGGCTGCATGGGCTCTTATTTTGTTTCATATGAATTTTAAAGTAGTTTTTTCTAATTCTGTAGAGAATGTCAATGGTAGTTTAATGGAAATAGCATTGGGTCTATAAATTACTTTGAGCAAAAGCTGGAAGCATTCCCCTTGAAAACAGGCACAAGACAAGGATGCCCTCTCTCACCACTCCTATTCAACATAATATTGGAATTTCTGGCCAGGACAATCAGGCAAGAGAAAGAAATAAAGTGTATTCAAATAGGAAGAGAGGAAGTCAAACCATCTCTGTTTGCAGATGACATGATCCTATATCTAGAGAACCCCATTGTCTCAGCCCAAAAGTTTCTTAAGATGATAAGCAACTTCAGCGAAGTCTCAGGATACAAAAGCCACGTGCAAAAATCACAAGCATTCCATACAGCTACAGTAGACAAGCAGAAAGCCAAATCATAAATGAATTCCCATTCACAATTGCCACAATGAGAATAAAATACCTAGGGATACAGCTAACAAGGGAAGTGAAGGAACTCTTCTAGGAGAACTACAAACCACTGCTCAAGGAAATCAGAGAGGACACAAACAAATGGAAAAGCATTCCATGATCATGGATAGGAAGAATCAATATCGTGAAAATGACCATACTTTTGCTTTTATTCCTCCTCACCACACTCTCCACCCACCAAAGCATGAAGGAGGGAAATGTTGTATCCAAGTGAAGCTGAAAGGGATATGGCAGGCTACAGTCCATCCATAAGAGGCAGACAAGAAGCTTAGGATCAGCAGTGCCAAAGGGAGCTCTTTATGTCCAACCACCCTCTCTCTTATCCCATGAGAACAACTGGTGGATAAGGGAGAAAAATACATAATTCAAATAATGGAGAAAAAGCTTTATATCTGATATTGCTTTTTTGTCACAGAAAAGCAAGCTGGTTCTAGTTAACATTTTCCTCCTGATAACTCACCTCCAACATCTGTAAAACTGTACAAATATTGGCCGGGCGCGGTGGCTCATGCCTGTAATCCCAGCACTTTAGGAGGCCAAGGCGGGTGGATCACAAGGTCAGGAGATCGAGACCACCCTACCTAACATGGTGAAACCCCATCTCTACTAAAAACATAAAAAATTAGCCGGGCATGGTGGTGGGTGCCTGTAGTCCCAGCTACTCGGGAGGCTGAGGCAGGAGAATGGCGTGAACCTGGGAGGCGGAGCTTGCAGTGAGCCGAGATAGCGCCACTGCACTCCAGCTGGGCAAAAGAGTGAGACTCCGTCAAAAATAAATAAATAAATAAATAAAAAATAAATAAATAAACTGTACAAATATCATTGGTAAAATATGCTTTCCTAATAGGAAAACATCCTCTTCCTGAAATTAAGGATGGCCATAGAACTACATTCACTCATCTATTCTCATTTTGTTTATCTTCTCATTGAATTTACCTAGCACTTTCCTGACAAAAATGCACTTAACTTCTTCTCTAAACCTTCAGCTCTGCTACTGGTGCCTCTTTGAGAAGTGTCAAAGTGGTTTCCAGGTCACCTGAGCACTGGATCCCCATGCTGATTCCATTCTAGTAGGCTAAGATAGCAGTCCCATAATCATCATTTATGAACATTAATGTCCTTGTCTAGACAGGAATAATTGACCTATCATTCCTAATCCCATTATTCACTTTCCAGGTCTATACACTGTCTAAAAGTGAGTGAGTTTAAAAACATCACTGAATGTTCCTGATAATTAGTTAGAAAGGACTCTATAATGCAAATGTGTGCACATTCAAAAAAAATTGCCCCTCCTTCATTATATAGACTATGTGAGACTGTAGCCATTGGCATTTATTGAAGTATCTTTACTCATTAGAGAAAAGCGAATTAGTCTTTCATTATGCAAGAAATGTTTGGTTTCCCACTTGCACACAGAAAAATACAGAATCACTAGCAAAGAGACAAAATATCGCTTTACTGTATTTGGTTCCCACCCTTAACACGGTTCATGAGCTGGTAGAGTAGAATAGTGAGGAGAAACATCAGGGGTTCTTTCCCCTACTCTCATGACATCCGATTATATTTCACAGTAACCCTGCAGAGACCTCTGCTTGAAATCCTCATGTCTTAATGCCATGCTCATTAACACAGAAAAGACAATGAAAACAATGACCTTTAAAATGTATATCTTTCTAATTGTGTGCTGACAGTGTCTCTTTGCAGCTACACTGTTTGTTTGAGTAAAACCCATGATTGAAAACTATCTCAAAGTTCAGTTCCCCTGGGACTCTACCAAATGACTAGCAAAATGTGCTTTGACATTCTTAAGTCTTAGAGGTTTATATCTTGTACCAAAATATTGTGTGAGATTTACTGAAATCAAATAGGCTTTTATTGGAAGAGACAGAGGTAAAATTACATATCTATTGATACGAAAGGGGGACAGGGAAGCGCTGGATAGAGAAGGGCAGGGTCCCGGGTGAAGGCTCCATCCTCTGGTCTGTGCCCAAAGACATAAGTGAGAACAGGCACTTCTATTTTCCACCCAAATGTTACATTTTCCAAGACCATTCTGGCCCACTACACCCCCCATCCTGTGCCCATATAAACCCAAGACCTTTATAGCGAGCACACACACAAGTAGCTGGAAGTCGAGACCAGCAGACCAGCAAGGGCAGAACAATGCAGCAGAGCAAGAGAGAAGAAGAGGGACGTCTGTATGTCCAGAAGAGTTCAGCTGGGGGCTTGTTGGGGAAGAGTCCGGCCACTGGGTGGCCCGACTCTAGGGGAAGACCACCTTCCCACTTCATCCCCCTCTTCAAGCTCCCCATCCATCTCACTGAAGCCACCTCCACCACTCAATAAAACCTTTCACTCATGCTTCAAACCCATGTGTGATTCATTCTTTCAGGACACTGGGCAAGAGCTCAGGATACAGAAGGCTGTCACACTGGCCCCCAGCCCCTGCGAAAAGACAAGGGTGTATTGAACTGATTAACATAAAAGTCACCTGCAGATGGCAAATCTGAAAGAGCTTTGTAACCACGCCCACTTGGGCTTCGGGAGTTAGACACCCACCCCTAGATGCTACTTTGAGGCCAGAGCCCAGAAGTGCTGGCTCCAGCCTCTGCACTGCCCATCTCTATGCTCTCCCTTGAGGTTTGAGCTGCGGGGTGACTAAGCATGCCAGCCACCCCTGTCGCATATCCTGCCAGGGGAATCAGGGAACTCTCCTGTTTCACTCTGATATGTCCTGAGAGCAGTAATCATTCTAGTTGAATCAACATAGAGATAATAAAGTCTTCTGGCAACTCATAGACATCAAGGTTACGCCATTTTTGACTGTTATTATGCAAAGGTTTTAAGGCAGCCTCTTTGGCTAATAAGATTAATGCTCTCAGTCAGACAAACTGTAATATCCAGAATGAATTCTTTTCAGGACACTTTTAATTGGTACTTTTATGCCAAGTGTTATCATATATTTTCTCTTGTTTCCATGGCTAATGCAATAACTGTCTGTAGCACTCATAGTTTAAAAGTTACTTCAAATACATTATTTTATTTTGGAAATATGCATGTATTATATTTGAAAAATCTATATCAAATTGATTTTTAAAACATCCTTCTATCAGAAATTTTTCTTTCAGCAGACAAAAATTAAGTAAGTTTTAGAATAATTTATCAATATAGCTAACAAGTTCCCATGCTCAATAATGAGGTAATGTATACTCTTTTCAGAATATATAAACAATTTACCAAATTTTACTACAGAATAGGGAAGAATATTTCAAGAATTTTCTAAGGACGGTTAACATGCAGAACAACATGTCTGAGACTATTGCAATAAGATTAGAAGCCAGTTAGAATAATCTAAATCTCTCTACATTTCTCAAACCAATAAAACCAAGGAGGACAAACAAAATCACATATAACCTGCAGAGTAAAAGATAGCAAATTCTATAAATGTCCATTTTCCTGTAAATTTGAAAATGAATGAATACCAGAAGATCACTGGAGACTCCCAGAGTGGGGTTAGGTGGAGATTGCACAGAAGAATGAAAAGAGCAATGGGTCCCAGCATTGGCAGAACACACTACCTGAAGGAGAGACTCCCTCTCAGAAAGGGGAAATATTCAGGACGAGTCAGATAGAGCAGGGCTACCTGGAAATCAAAATGAAGGGAGTTGGTAGGCATGTGGAACAGAGATGAATTATTGACAAGGCATCACTTCTCGGGAGAGAATGCAGCTTAGAAGGGGGAATGTCCTTTGGAGGCTTACTCCAAAGGTAAAGATGCCATCAAATGGTGGATGATTCCTAAGAAAGCAGATGACATCACACAATTGGACCTGTCTCCTTCAAAACTTGTGCCATTTATTTAAGCCAGGTTTTATTGAGGTGTAATTTACATGAAGAAAAATTCATTCTGATTACATGTTAATGTTTGGTGAAATCTGACAGGCTTACAGTCATGTGACTCCCCACATCACAATTAAGATAAAGAATATTTCCCTCATCCTGAAAGTTCCCTGTGCCCTTTGTGGTCCTTTCCCCAGCTCCTGGCAACCACTGACCTCTTTCTTGTTTCTATTGTTTTGCCTCTTTCAGAACATCATATAAATAGATCATAATACGTAGTCTTTTGAATGTGGCCTTTTTCACTTAGCATAATGCTTTTGAGATTTGTCTTATTTTAATTGCTAAATAGTAATTCATTGTATGCTTACACCACAATTTGTTTACCTGTTCATCAGCTGATGGACATTTGGGTTGTTTGCATGATTATGAATAAGTTACTATAAATAATTACATATATTTTTTGGTATGGACATCTTTATTTTTCTTGGTAAATAAAAAGGCAAGTTTTATATGTCGAGTTGGCCACATGCACAGTGCCCAGCTATTTGGTCAAATGTTATTCTGAGTGTTTCTGTGTGGGTGTATTTGGATGAGATTAATATTTATATAAGCAGATTGAGTACAGCAAATTGCCCTCCCTAATGTGGGTGTACTTCCTCCAATCAGTTGAAAGCTTGACTGTAACAATAAGATCAGCTTCCCTTGAGTAAAAGCGATTCCTCCTGCCAGACTACCTTGGGCAAGGGAGATTAGCTTTTCCCGACCTTTGGACTGAAACTTCGGTGCTTCCTGGGTCTCAATTCTACCAGCTTTTGGACAGGAAGTATACTATTGGCTCTCCTCATTCTAGATCCTCAGACACCAGCTAGAACTAACTCGTAGTTTTTCATGGGTCCTGAGCTTGCTGATTCAGCTTGTAGATCTTGGGACCTGTCAGTCTCTGTAATTGCATGAGCAAATTCCTTATAATAAATGTCTCTCTCTCTCTCTCTCCACACATACACACACATAAACAAACACACACACACACATATACACACACACACACACACACACACACACACACACACATCATATTGCTTCTGCTTCTCTGGGAACCCTGATCAATACCGTCAGTATTTAACATTTAAAAAAACTACGAAACTGTTTTCCAAAATAGCTGTATTTTTCATTCCCATTCTCGGGACTTGGTATTGTCTATTTTTTTCCTTAATAGCCGTAGCACATTGTGGTTTTAATTTGTATTTCCCTAATGACTAATGATGTTAAGCATCTTTTTGCTTATTTACTTACCATTTGTATATTCATATATCATCTTTGGTGTTATATATTTAAATCTTTTGCCATTTGGGGGGTGGGGGAATTATTTTCTTATTATTGAGTTGAGAAAGTTATTTATATAATCTGAATACCAGTTTCTTTATTTGTACAAATTTATGAGATACATGAGAAATTTTATTACATGCTTATGTATCCAAAAAACCAATTATATAAAGTATCTGGAAATTGTTCTAGAGGCATATAGCCAATAGATAAACATTTATTCAAGTATGCCTACCAAATCTCGGTAATAGCAAAAGTTTTTGACATTTCAGCCACAATCTGTTCCACCTCCAACCCAAGTTCTGTATTATGAAAACTCTGTATGTGCAGTCAGAAGACAAGGGCTCTCTTACCTTGTTGCTCCCAGTATGGAACTATAGTTGATATCAGGAGAGGCTGATTTCTGGCATTTTTCATCTCTGTCAAATCTGTATTGCACAAGCTCTATCTAGGCATATGTGACTGAACAGACCAGATCTACCCTTCCCCAACTCAGTTGCCACTCATAGGACAGAAGCTCTACCCAAGAATACTGGGCTGTAAATCACCACAACAACTGGCTTGGCAGTTGGCGGTTCCACCTTGCAAAAGGTAGCCCAAGAAGGCTGGGGCTACCACCTCTTCCTGTGCCTACTTGTAGAGTAGTGATGTCACTCTGGGAAAAGCAGGCCCCCACTTCCAAATCTGCTGCAGTGTTTTGAGGGTTATTCCTGGGGGGAAGGGAAGAACATAAAGGTTAAGAGTTCTATAGTTATGGCTGAAGAGACTGAACTTTTGGGATCAGAATGAGGACAAGTATATGTTTAAGGACTTTGCTGAAAACAAAACAAACTTTGAAGGAAAGCAGTTAAGAGGAGTTGGTAGTTCTATAATGCAGCAGAGTGGATGAGCAGCCAGATGCCTTATAGAGAGAAACAAGGAAACAGCAATTAAGAACACTCTTGGGATCACAGTCAACTCTGAGGGTTGGAAAAACCGTGCAACTAAGTGGTTGTCCCAGCTCTGGAGAAATCAGAACAGAAGACAGAACAAACTTGAAAGCATTTTCCAAGCCATACACAGGCACATCAACACACGGTAGAAGCCTCACTGGCACAAACTTCTTAAACACAATCTCTGATGACCAAACATTTACTGAGCAATATGCTAGGCTGGCACAGGTATGACTCCTGGGAAGCTAGACTTAAAAATAACATGACAGTCACTTCTGGCCGTCTGGAAGGCTGTGTGTATGCTGAGAACTGTGCCCTCTCAGAAATAATCAGAGAGGGAACTTCCAAGCTACTAGTCCCTGCCTGAACATGGGGCAAAAACCAAAACGGTTTTCACTGTGATCATAGCCTCCAAGCTATACACACATCCAATGGTGAAGGGTAAAGATCTAGAAGTAAAAGGCTAAGGAGGCTTAAGCACAACATTCATCCAATAAATAACTTATACTGACTTGTAGTAACCATTGGTTGCCAGGCTAACACAAAAACAACAAAAAACAATTTGAGCACACTGCAGGAGAAATAGGCTCTGCAGAATTAGCTCAGCCAAGTCATTAAACAAATAATCAAATGACCAAGCAAACAACCACCACCTCCAGAGAGGGAGTTTAGTACCCAGAGTTTTTTGTTTTGTTTTATTTTGTTTTTTTGAGACAGAGTTTCACTCTTGTCACCCAGGCTGGAGTGCAATGGCACAGCCTTGGCTCACTACAACCTCCACCTCCCAGGTTCAAGCGATTATCCTGCCTCAGCCTCTCAAGTAGCTGGGATTACAGGCACCCTCCACCATACCCAGCTAATTTTTGTATTTTTAGTAGAGACAGGGTTTCACCATGTTGCCAGGCTGGTCTCGAACTCCTGACCTCAGGTGATCCACCCACCTTGGCCTTCCAAAGTGCTGGGATTACAGGCGTGAGCCACAATGCCCAGCCTTCAGAGTTTTTATAATATATCATTATATTATCTAAAATGTATAGTTTTCAAGAAAAATGTGAGCTAAAACTTGAAAACAGAGGAAAGTGTAACACATATGCAAGAAAACAAACAACAAGAGGGGAAAAAAGAAAAAGAAAAAAAGAAGAAAAAACCCAGGCAGTTGAAACTGCTTTTGAGGGATTCTAGATGGTATAATGAGCAGACAAAGTCTTCAAAAAACCTATTTCAAATGTGTTTAAAGAACTAAGGAAACAAGGTTTTACAAATTAAAGAAAGTTACAATAAAATGTCTATAAAATAAAGAATATAGATAGAAAGTACTAAAAATAACCAAACAGAAACTCTGGAGTTGAAAAATTATAATACATGAAATAAAAATAATTCACTAGTAGGATAAAGTTTCTATATTTCTCTGGAATTAGGTTAGTAGAATCTGAAATAGGTTTGAGCTAGTAGAAGAGAGCATCATGGAACTTGAAGATAGAGCAGTAAAGATTATTCAATCTAAAGAAAACAGAGAAAAAAAAGAATGAATAAAAATAAAGAGCCTCAGAGAAATGTGGAACATCACTAAATGTACATTAAAATATTTATGAGAAGGAGAGGAGAGAGAGAAAGGGATGGAAAAAGGAAATCAAAGATATAATGACTCAAAACTTTCCAAATTTGATGAAACACATTAATGTACTCATCCAACAAGCTCAATGAGTTCTAAGTAAAATAAAAGCAAAAAGATCTACATCCAGACATATTATAACCAAAATGTTGAAAGCTAAGAACAAAGAGAAAACCTTGAAACTGGAAAGAGAAAAATAATTTATCACATACAAATGAATCTCAATAAGATTAACAGCTGACTTTTCAACAGAAAAAAAGGGGAGCAGAACAACATATTCAAAGAGCTGAAAATAAAAATGTATTAGCCAAGAATTTAACATTCTAGAAATCTATCTTTCAAAAAAGGGAGTGAATTCACAGTAGCAAAGGCATGGAATTAACTTAAATGCCCCTTAACAGTGGATTAGATAAAGAAAATGCGGGACATATACAGCATCGAATACTACACAGCCATACAAAACAATGAAATCTTGTTCTTTGCAGCAACGTGGATGCAGTTGGAGGCCACTATCCTAAGCAAATTAACACAGGAACAGAAAACTAAATACCACATGTTCTTGCTTATAAATGGAAGCTAAGCATTGAGTACACATTGGACATAAAGATGAAAACAATAGACACTGGGGACAACCAGAGAGAGGACAAAAGAAGGGGGTAAAATCTGAAAAACTACTTATCGGGTACTATGTTCACTACCTGTGTGATAGGATCATTTATACCCCAAACCTCAGCATTACAAGATATACCCATGTAACGAACTTGCACATATACCCCATGAATCTAAAATAAGTTAAAATTATGTTTTAAAAAGGAAGTGAAATACATTCCCAGTTAAAAACAAGCAAACAAATAAAAAAAACCTTGAGAATTTGTTGGTAGCAGGTCTGCTTTACAAGAAATACTGAACACCAGAAAGTATTTCTAGCTCACATTGCAAAACAAGGTACAATTATGTAGATAATTGTAAAAGAAATTATAGTTGCATATTTCTTTTCCTTTTTTCTCTTGGCTAATTTAAAAATTTTATTAAAATATGCATATGATTGCATTGTTGTGGCTGTACCTTATAGAAATGTGATATGTTTGATAATAATAGCACAAGGGAGGTGGGTGGGAACAAAGTTCTATTGAAGTAAAAAAATGTCATCAAATGGTACGTTAAATCTGCTTAAAGAAATGAAGAGAACTGGATATGAAGGTTAACATAAAAATTTAAATATATTCTATTTCTTCTGTCAGCTTCTTTAAAGATTTAAGATTATACAAACTGATAATCATCAAATATGTCATTGGGTTTGTGACATATAAAGTTGTAATATGTATAACAGTAATAGCACAAAAAGGGGATCAGGTGAATGGGACTCTATAGGAGGGTAAATGGGACTCTATAGGAGTAAAGTTTTTCTGTTTCCTTGGAGTTAAGTTAATATAAATCTTAAGTAAACTAAACAATCCAATCAAAAGGCAGAGATTGTCATATGAGATAAAAGAACAAGATCCAACTATATGCCATCTACCAATACAAATACATTGATACAAATAAGTTGAGTAAAACAAAGGAAAAATATGCTAGGTACCAATACAAATATATTGATACAAATAAGTTGAAGGTAAAAGGAAGGAAAAAGATGTGCCACGTAAACCACAACTATAAAAGACTTGGAGTGGCTATACTAATATCAGACAAATAAACTTAAAAATGTTACTAGAGATAAAGAAGGACATTTCATCATTATTAAAGGGCCAACCCACCAGAAAGATAAAACTTTGGAATGTATATACAACACAGTGCCCAAAGACGAAGCAAAAGCTAAAAAACTTGAAGGGAGAAACAGATAATTCAGTAATAGTTGAAGAACCCAATATCCCACTTTCAGTAAAGAATTGACCAGCTAGGGAGAAAATCAACAGGAAAATAAGAAACTTGAACATTATAAACCAATGGGACATAGCAGATATCTAAAGTACATACTGTACGACAGCAGCAGAATACATATTATATAGCTCTCATGGAACATTCTATAGGGTAACTCATGTTAGGCGATACAAGCGTCAATAATTTTTTTTTGCAAGGGTGGGGAAGGGGGATTAAGGTTCTGGCTTTGTCGCCCAGGCTGGAGTGCAGTGACACTCCACTCACTACAACCTCCACCACCTGGACTCAAGCCATCCTCCCACCTCAACCTTCCCAGTATCTGAGACTATAGGCACACACCACCAAACCCATCTAATTTTTGTATTTTTTTGGTAGAGACAGGGTTTTGCCATATTTCTCAAGCTGGTCTTGAACTTCTGAGTTCAAGCTATCCACCCACCTCAGCCTCCCAATGTCTTGGGATTACAGGCATGAGCCATCACACCCAGCCAAGCTTCAATATTTCTAAAATTAGTGAAGTTATACAATGTATGTTCTCTGACCTCCTGAAGTAAATTAGAAATCAAAAACAGAAGAAAATTTGGGAAATTCAAAATATATGGAAATTAAACAGCACATACCCTAAGTAACTAATGGGTCAAATAAGAAATCAAAAAGGAAACTAGAAGATATTTTGAGATGATTGGAAATGAAAACATGTCTTACAAAACTTATGAGACGCAACTAACACAGTGCTTGGAGAAAAATTTATACCTATAATGGCCATATTATAGATGAAGAAATGTTTCAAATTAATAACCTAAGTATGCCCTTTAAAATTTTTTTAAAAAAAGAAGACCAAATTTAACTAAAAGCAAGTAGAAGGAAGGATATCATAAATACTAGAGCAGAAACTAATAAAATAGAGAATAGAATATAATAGGGAAAATAAAAATAAACAAAACCTGATCTTTGTGGGGAAAAAAACAAATGACAAATGTTAGCTAGGTTGACCAGGAAAAAAGAGAGATGACTCAAATTATGAAAGTTATGAATGAAAGGGGATATCACCACCAACTTTATAGAAATAGGATTATAAATAAGTACTATGAACAACTCTATGCCAAAATTCACATAAATAAATTGGACAGATTTCTACAAAGACATACACTGCTGAGACTTACTCAAAAATAAATTAAAAATTGGAGTAAATTTACAACAGATAAAGTGATCAAACTAGTAATTTAACATTTTCACACAAAGAAAAGCCCAGCACCAGATGGCTTTACTGATGAATTCTACCAAACATTCAAAAAATATATATATATACACTAATCCTTCAGAAACTCATCCAAAAATAGAGCAGGAGGGAACACTTCCAACTCATTTAATGAGGCCAGTATCATTATTCTGATACCCAAACCAGACAAAGGTGAGAGACCAGCATGTATTATGTTTTCTCCCTGAGATAAAGACCAAGACAAAGATACTTGTTCTAGCCACTTCTATTTGAATTGTTATGAAGGTTCTGCCAAGGGCAATTAGTCAAGGAAAAGAAATAAAGGACATCTGGATTTTTTTTAAAATGTGAACTATCTCTAGTCATGGACGACATAATTTTGTATATAAAATTCTGAAGAATCCACTAAGAACTATTAGAACTAACAAACAAGTTCAACAAGGCTTCAAAATCTAGTAACAATGTAAAAAAGCCATTGTATTTCTATACAGGTGCAACAAACAACCTGAAAATAAAGTGAATAAAACAATTTCACTTATAATAGCACTCCTCTGAGGTGTTAATAAAAGAAGTGCAAGATTTGTAAATTAAAAACTGCAAAAATTGTTGACAAAAATTAGAAAATATTTAAACGAATCAAAAGACATTCCATGTTTCTGGATCAGAAGACTAAATATTGTTAAAATGATAATACTCAACAAATGTATCTACAGTCTCAACAAAAATCCCTTTCAAAATCCTACCTGGCTTTGTTGCAGAATTTGGCAAGGCGATCCTAGAATTCATATGCAAATGTAAAAGATCCAAAATAGTCAAAATAACTATGAAAAATAATTACAAAGTTGGGGAGCTCACATTTCCCAATTTTGAATCTTGCCTCAAAGCTATTGTAATCAAGACAGTGTCACACTAGTGTAAGGACAGAATTGAACAATAGAACAGAATTGAAAGTCCAGAAATAAACCCGTAAGTTCATAAATAAACCCGTAAGTCCATAAACATTTATGATTCGCAGATTTTCCAAAAAATGTCAAAACAACTTAACTGGAAAGAAGTCTTTTCAACAAATAGTGCTGGCACAAGCACGTGCAAAAAAATGAAGTTAAACCCCTATCTCACACCATACAAAAAAATTAACTCTAAATGAACCAAAGACCTAAATGTAGAGCCAAAACTATAAAACTCTTAGGGAAAAATACTGGGGTAAATCTTCATGACCTGGAGTTAAGCAGTGTTTTCTTAGCAGCAACACAAAAGAAGGAGTAGCAAAAGAGAAATTTTTTAATTGGATTTCATGAAAAGTATAAGATTTTGTGCTACAAATGATATTATCAAGAAAGTTAAAAGACAACCCATAGAAGTGGAGAAAATATTTGCAAATCATATATTTGAGAAGGAACTGTTAGAATATGTAAAGAATTCTTACAACTCAGTAGTAAGACAGAAAAAAAAAACAAAAAACTAAAAGTGGCCAAAGGATATGGAGAGACATTTCATTAAAAAAATAAAGATATACAAACGGCCAATAAGCACATGAAGAGATTCTCAACATTATTTATCATTAGGAAAACGTAAACCAAAACCACAAGATACCACTTCACACTGGTAGAATACAATAATTTTTAAAAGACCAATAATAAGTGTTAGTGAAGATGAGGAAGAATCCTTGTACACTGCCATGTGGATGTAAAAGAGTACAGCCATTTTAAAAAACAGAGTGGCAAATCTTCAAAGAGTTAAACATGGAATTATCACGTGCCCAGCAATTCCACTCCCTGGTATATGCCCACAAAAATAAAAAACGCATGTCCACTCAAAACTTGTACACAAATATTAACAGCATTATTCATAACAATCAACAAGTAAAACAAATCAATTGTTTATCAACTGATGAAAAGAGAAATACGATGTGGTATATTTATACAATGAAATATTATTCAGGAATAAAAAGGAATGAAATACAGCTACTACATGGGTGAACCTTGTAGTAACATTATAAATGCAATATAATGTAGAAACATTATAAGTGAAAGAAGCAAGTCACAGAAGAATATATATATTGTATAATTTCATTTATATGGAATGGCCAGAAAAGGCAAATTTATGGAGATAGAAAGTATATTAGTGATTTCTCAGTGGTATGGGGGAGTGAGTGAAAAGGGTGGGGTTGGGGTGGGGTGTGGCAGCTGATGGGTGTGATTATTCTCTTTAAGGGAGATTAAAATGTTCTAAAATTAGATTGTGATAATGGTTGCATGACCTTAGAAAACACACTTTAAATGAATGTGAGTCATACACCTTAAATGAGTGAATAGTATGGTAGAAGAATTTTATCTCAATAAAGCTATTTTTAAAAGTTTTAAATAAAGTTACTGTTAGAAGAAAATAGAAAGTAAGCATAAAAGCTTTCTAGCTGATGAACATAGGCTATATAAAACAACCATGGGCCGGGCACTGTGGCTCACGCCTATAATCTCAGCACTTTGGGAGGCCGAGGCGGGCATATTACCTGAGGTCAGGAGTTCAAGAGCAGCCTGACCACCAACTTGGTGAAACTCCGTCTCTACTAGAAATATTAAAAAAATCAGCCGGGCATGGGGGTCAGCGCCTGTAATCCTAGCTACTCAGGAGGTTGAGGCAGCAGAATTGCTTGAACCCGGGAGGCGGAGGTTGCAGTGAGCCGAGATCACACTACTTGCACTCCAGCCTGGGTGACAGAGCGAGACCCTGTCTCAAAAAACAAACAAACAAACAAACAAACAAACAAAAAACATGTAGCAGAGGAATATCATTACACAGCCCTTCACGTTTAATTAAATATCATTAAAAAATAAATTTCACATGAGAGAATACATGAATCTGAAATTAACCATCTCAGAAATTGAGTAACAGAAAGGATTTGAAACAAGACCTGATTAAACTCAATAAAGAAATGAGTGAAAGAAGACAAAAATATTTTGTCAATGAAGGCCTTTTGTTATATTTCCCATGGTATTTCATCTTTTTTCATGTTGTAAATAGTAGTCTCAAAGTAATTATTTTCTAATTTTTGTTGGTGTATTAGTCATTCTCACACTGCTATAAAGAAATACTTGAGACTGGGTAATTTACAAAGAAAAGAGGTTTAATTGGCTCATGGTTCTGCAGCCTGTACAGAGCACGTGGCAGCATCTGCTTCTGGGGTGGCCTTAGGGAGCTTTCACTCATAACACAAGGTAAAGTGGGAGCAGACGTCTTACACGGCAGGAGCAGGACCAAGATAGGAGGTGGGAGAGATGCTACACACTTTTAAAACAACCAGATCTCACGATAATTCACTCACTTCCATAAGACTAGCACCGAGGGGCTGGCAGTAAACCATTCATGAGAACTCTACCCCCATGATCCAATCACCTCCCACCAGGCCCACCTCCAGCCTCAGTGGGGACAGAGATCCAAACCATATCAGTTGAGATATAAATTTAAATAATTTTTCTATAATGACCTTATGTCCAGTGATATTGCTAAATCATTTATTAATTTTAAATTGTCTACAGATTATTTTGAATTTTAAATGCACACAATTATCTTTTCGGCAAACCCTGAGAGTTTTACTTCTTCCTATCCAAACCTCATGAATTTTGTTTTCATTTTTTCCTCATTGCAGAATTTTGTGACTAGTATGATGTTGCAGAAAAAAAAAAAGTGGAAATAGCAGAAATTCTTGTCTCATTGTGAATCTCAGGGAAAAAGCACTTAATGTTTTGCCATTATGATAATTTTTATGTAGGATATTACTAAATACTGTTTTTCAGTTTAGGAAGTTCTCTTCTATTCCTAATTTGCTTTTTTCTTTCCAATTTTTATTTTATATTCACAGGGTAGACATGCAAATTCGTTATATGGGTGAATAGTGTGTCACAGGGGCTTGCCATTATTTTGTCACCCAGGTAATGAGCATAATACCCGACAGGTAGTTTTTCAATACTCACTCTCATCCCACACTACAACCTCTAGTAGTCTCTGGTGTTCTTTGCATTCATTTGTATTCAGAGTTTAGCTGCCACTTGTAAGTGAGAACATGCAGTATTTGGTTTTCTGTTCCTGCATTATTTCCCTTAGGATAAGGGTCTCCAGCTTCATCCATGTTGCTGCAAAGAACATGATTTCATTCTTTTTTATGGCTGCATAGTATTCCACTGTGTGTGTGTGTGTGTGTGTGTGTGTGTGTGTGTGTGTGTGTCACATATTCTTTATCCAGTCCACCATTGAAGGGCATCTAGGTAGATTCCATGTTTTGCTATTGTGAATAGTGTTGTGATGAACATACACATTCATGTGTCTTTATGGTAGAATGATTTATATTCCTTTTGGTATATACCCAGTAACAGGATAGCTGGGTTGAATGGTAGTTCTGTTTTAGATTTTTTGAGAAATCTCCAAACTGCTTTCCACAGTGGCTGAACTGTTTACATTCCCACCAACAGTGTTTCAGCATTCCTTTTTTCTCTGCAGCCTCACCAGCATCTGTAGTTTTTCTGACTTTTTAGTAATAGCCATTCTGACCAGTATGAAATGGTATCTCACTGTGGTTTTGATTTGCATTTCTGTAATTATTAGTGATGTTGAGCATTTTTTTCGTATGCCTATTGACCATCTGTATTTCTTCTTTTGAGAAGTGTCTCTTCATGTCCTTGTCTATTTTAAATAGGGTTGTTTGTTTTTTGCTTGTTAATTTGTTTATGTTCTTTATCAATTCAGGATATTAGAACCTTTGTTGGAAGCATAACTTGCAAATATTTTCTCCCATTGTGTAGACTGTCTGTTTACTCTATTGATAGTTTCTTTTGCTGTGCAGAAGATCTTTAGTTTAATTAGGTCCCATTCGTCAATTTTAGTTTTGTCACAGTTGCTTCTGGAGTCTTCATCATGAAATATTTGGCAAGGCCTATATCCAGAATGGTATTTATACCATTCTGGAAATAACAGAAATGATATTTCCTAGGTTTTCTTCTAGAGATTTTGTAGTTTTAGGTTTTACATCTAAGTCTTTAATCAATCTTGAGGTGATTTTGTATATGATAGTAGGAAGGGGTCCAGTTTAATTCTTCTGCACATGGCTAGCCAGTTCTGCCAGAACCATTTATTAAATAGGAAGTTTTTATTGCTTGTTATTGTTGCCTTTGTTGAAGATCAAATGGTTGTAGATATACATCTTTATTTCCAAATTCTCTATTCAGTTCATTTGCTGTATGTGTCTGTTTTTGTGCTAGGACAATGCAGTTTTCGTTACTGTAGCCTTGTAGTATCGTGTGAAATTGGGTAATGTGATGTCTCTGACTCTGTTCATTTTGCTTTGGAGTGCTTTGGCTATTTGGGCTCTTTTTTGGTTCCATATGAATTGTACAATAGTTTTTTTTTCTAATTCTGTAAAGAATGTCATTGGTAGTTTGATACGAATGGCATTAAATCTGTAAATTGCTTTGGGTAGTAGGACCATTTCATTTAACAATATTGATTCTTCCTATCCATGAGCATGAAATGTCTTTCCATTTGTTTGTGTTGTCTCTGATTTCTTTCAAGAGTATTTTGTAATTCACATTGCAAAGAACTTTCACATCCCTGATTAGCTGTATACCTAGGTATTTTATTTTTTTCTGTGGTTATTGAGACTGGGATTGTGTTCTTGATTTGATGCTCATTTTGGATGTTGTGAGTATACAGATATGCTACTGATTTTTTTACTTTGATTTTGTATCTGAAACTTTGCTGAAGTTGTTTATCAAGTCTAGGAACCTTTGGACAGACACTGTGAGATTTTCTAGGTATAAAATTATATCATCTGCAAAGAGAGAGATAGTTTGACTTCCTCTCTTCCTGGTTGAATGCTTTTTATTTCTTTCTCTTGCCTGGTTGAATGCTTTTTATTTCTTTCTCTTGCCTGGTTGCTCTGACTAGAAATTCCAGCGCTATGTTGAATAAGTGTGGTGAAAGTGGGCATCCTTGTCTTGTTCCAGTTCTCAAGGGGAATGCTTTTGCCCATTCAGTATGATATTGGCTGTGGGTTTGACACAGATGGCTCTTATTATTCTAAGGTATGTTCCTTTGATAACTATTTTGTTGAGAGTTTTTAACATAAAGGGATGTTGAGTTTTATCAAAAGCTTTTTCTGCATCTATTGAAATGATCATGTGGTTTTTGTTTTTAGTTCTGTTTTTGTGATGAATCACATTTATTGATATGTGTATGTTGAATCAACCTTGCATCCCAAGAATAAAGCCCAAATGATCATGGTGAATTAACTTTTTGATGTGCTGCTGGATTTTGTTTTCTTCCATTTTGTTGAGGATTTTTGCATCTATGTTCATCAAGGATATTGGTCTAAAGATTTTTTTTCACTGTGTCACTGCCAGGTTTGGGTATCAGAATGATTCTGGCCTCATAGAATGTGCTAAAGAGGAGTCCCTTCTCCTCAATTTTTTGGAATAGTTTTAGTGTGGTTCAGGTTTGTTATCAGCTCTTCTTTATATGTCTGGTAGAATTCAGCTGTGAATCCCTCTGGTCTAGGGTTTTTCTGGTCGGTAGTCTTTTTATTACTGATTCAATTTTGAAACTGATTATCAGTCTATTCAGGGTTTCAATTTCTTCCTGGCTCAATCTTGGAAGGTTGTGTTTCTAGAAATTTATCCATTTCTTCTAGGTTTTCTATGTTGTGTGTATAGAGGTGTTCATAATAATCTCTGAAGGTTTTTTGTATTTATATGGTGTCAGTGGTAATGTCCCCTTTGTCATTTCTGATTGTGTTTATTTGGATACAATCTTATTTTTCATTAGTCTAGCTAGCAGTCTATCAATCTTATTTATTCTTTCAAAGAACTAATATTTTGTTTCATTGATCTTCTGTGTGGTTTTTTACATCTAAATTTCATTCAGTTCTGCTCTAATTTTGGTTATTTCTTTTCTTTTATTAGCTTTGGGGTTGGTTTGCTCTGGTTCCTCTAGCTGTGATGTTAGGATATTGACATGGGATCCTTTTAACGTTTTGATGTGGACATTAGTGCTATAAACTTTCCTCTTAACACTGCTTTAGCTGTGTCCCAGAGATTCTGGTATTTTATATCTTTATTTTCATTAGTTTCAAAGAATTTCCTGATTTCTGCCTTACTTCTATTGTTTAGCCAAAACTAATTTATTAGCAGTTTGTTTAATTTTCATGTAATGGTATGGTTTTGAGAAATCTTCTTAGCATTGATTTCTATTTTTATTGTGCTGTGGTCCAAGAGTATGGGTGGTGTGATTTTGTTTTTGTTTTGTTTTGTTTTGTTTGTTAAGAATTGCTTTATGGCTGAGCATTTGGTCAATTTTAGAGTATGTGCCATGTTCAGATTAGAACAACGTATATTCTGCTATTGTTGGGTGAATTCCTCTGTAGATGTTTGTTAGGTCCACTGGGTCAAGTGTCATGTTTAGGTCCCAAATATCCTTGTTAGTTTTCTGCCACAATTATCTGTCTAATGCTGTCAGTGGGGTGTTGGAAATCTCTCTCTATTATTTTGTGGTTATCTGAGTCTCTCCATACATCTCTAAGAACTTGTGTTATGAATCTGGGTTCTCTGATTTTGGATGCATATATTTTTAGGATAGTAAAGTCTTCTTGTTGGATTGATCCCTTTACATTATACAATGTCCTTTTTTCATTGGTTTAAAGTCTACTTTGTCTGAAATTAAAGTAGCAACCCCTGTTCTTTCCTGTTTTTAATTTGCTGGGTAGAATTTTCTCCATCCCTTTAATCTGTACCTATGAGTATCACTGCATGTGAGATGGGTCTCTTGAAGATAGCATGTAGTTGGGTCTTACTTCTTTTTCCAACTTACCACTGTACCCTGTGCCATTTAAATGGGACATTTAGCCTGTTTATGTTCAGGGTTATTATTGATATGTGTGGACTTGATCCTGTTATTGTGTTGTTAGCTGGTTGTTATGTGGACTTGATTGTGTAGTTGCTTTCTTCTGTCAATGGTCTATGTACTTTAGTGTGTTTTTGTGATGGCTGGTAATGGCCTTTCATTTCCACATTTAGCAGCCCCTTAAGGCCCTCTTGTAAGGCATGTCTTTTGGTCGTGAATTACCTTAGCATTTGCTTGTCTGAACAGGACTTTATTTTTCCTTTGTTTATGAAGCTTAGTTTGGATGAGTATGAAATTCCTAGTTGGAATTTCTTTGCTTTAAAGATGCTGAACAGAACATAAACTCTCAATGTCTTCTGGCTTGTTGAGTTTCTGCTGAAAGGTCCGCAGTTAGTCTGATGGGGTTCTTTTGTTAGATGACCTACCCCTTTTCTCTAGCTGCCTTTAATGTTTTTTCGTTCATATTGATCTTGGAGAATCTGATGACTATGTGTCTTGGGATGGTCGTCTGATATAGTATCTCAAAAGCGTTATTTGAATTTCCTGAATTTGAATGTTGACCTCACTAGTGAGTTTGGAGAAATTTCATGGATAGTATCCTCAAATATGTTTTCCAAATTGCTTGCTTTCTCTTCTTGTCTTTCAGGGATGCCAAAGAGTCATAGGTTTTTGTCTTTTTACATAATCCCAAGTTTTTTGGATGTTTTATTCATTTTTTTGATTCTTTCTTCTCAATTTTTGTCTGAGTTGATTTGAATAACTAGTCTTTGGGCTCTGAGATTTTTTCCTCAGCCTCATCTATTCTGCTGTTAATACTTCTGTTTGTATTATGAAATTCTTGTAGTGAGTTTTAAAGCTCTATCAGACCAACTCGATTCTTTCTTAAAATGGCTCTTGTATCATTTTACTGAATTCCTTGGATTGGGTTTCAACTTTCTTCTGAATTTCAATGACCATCGTTGCCATCTAGGTTCTGAATTCTAAGTCCATCATTTCAGCCATTTCAGCCTGGTTAAGAATGATTGCTGGGGAGCAAGTTTGGAGGTAAGAAGTTGCTCTGGCTTTTTGAGTTGCCAAAATTTTTGCATTAGTTCTTTCTCATCTTTGTGGGCTGTTTCTTTAGTCTTTGATGTTGGTGTCCTTTGGATGGGGATTTTTACTATTATACTCTTTGAGGCCCTTGAGGGTTTGATTGCAGTATAAGTTGGGTTCAGTCAACAGGCTTTATTTCTGGATGATTTCAGAAGATCTGGGCTCAACTCAGCACTCCTGGCCTGCATGCTCTAACTCTGAGGAGCTGGAACCAGGCTTACAGCTTTGTTCTCTGGCCCCTCTAGGTTAAGCACTTGCTGCACTGGAGGAGCCAAGGTATTTCCAGTGTGCCTGCAACAACACCCTGATGGGGGTGCCAGCAAAAGCACTTCATTGGGTTGGTGAGGTCCACGTGTGCACACATGCCATCAAAGTGGTGGGAAAAGGCTATGGGCAAGTGTGTGCCATCGAAGGAGTGGGGGAGACTGTGAATGTGTGTACATTGGTGAGGGCCCATCTGCTGAAGCTCCTTGATGGTTAGACAGGGTCTGCCAGCAGAAGAGGTATGGTAGTGGCCACCGGGAAGCACCCGCATTGGGCATTTGAGGCTGCACTATGAGCAGGTGCCACCAGGAAGGGACCCCAGGAAAGGTGGGCAGACAGGGGAGCACTCAGATTAGACTGGCTTTATCCCACAGGTAAGACACCCCTACTCTGTCCAGACCCAACTGTCAACAGAAGCCAAAGCCATCTGGAGGAGCATGGTAAGCCTTGGGGGATGGGCATTTCTGGCCATGCTCTACTGCAACTACCAAACCCTCTGTGCTCTGCAAAGAGGGGAGTCCTGTTCATGCTAGCTGTCCAAGCAGCTCTCTCTGCAAGCTGAAATGACTGTGGGGGTCGTGAGGTCTTCTGCAGCTAGGATTCCAAAAGTCCATGGTGAGAGGTGGCTCCTCCTTGCCTATTAACTCACTTTTTACCCAGGACCTGCTGGGGCCAGGAATGAGTCCTGGTGCTTGGCAGCCCCATACAGGGTTCCCAGCTTCCTGTCTCTTTAGCCTAGAGTCTGTTTCCTCCTTGCATCCCCTCTCAAGACTTCCTTCTGAAGATCTGCCTGGAGCGTTCTGGCCTTTATGGTCTGCTCTCTCAGTGGGAGATGTTCTTCCTGGCTGCATCTAGTCAGCCATCTTGTCTCCCTCTGAGACTGTTTTTTCAATCAAAAAGGATGTTAATATTATTAAATACTTTTCTAGTACCTACTGAATTAATCACATAAGTTAATTCATAATTACATTTATCTTGAGTGTTAAATCATCCTTGAATTCCTGGAATAAACCCATTTGGTAGTAATGTATTTTCTTCTTACATACCACTGCATTCTATTTGCTAAATAATTCTTTATTATTTTGCATCTAAATTAGTAGATTTCAGAAGAACCTGCTGTTTTTAAAGAAAGTGTTGGAAAGTGTTTGTTCTTTTTCTACTCTCTGGAAGATTTTGCATATCTCATTATTTCCTACATATTTTGAAAAATTCACTTTTAAAGCCCACTATGTATAGACTTTTGTGGGTGTAAGAAGATTTTTAAATAATGTTCAACTTATTTAATTGGTATTGCACTTTAAATATCATTTATTTCTTCTTTCATAAATTTTGGTATAATGTGTTTTATTAAACTATTCATTTCATTCAAATTAGCATGTTTATTGGCATGTATTTATTCATAATGTCCTCTTATAATCTGCTAAATGTCTCTAAGATCTGTAGTAGTGTCTTTGTTTCTATTTTGTTATTGGTAATTTGTGGTTTCTATACTTTTTCCTTCATTAATTTTGTGGGAATTTATCAATTTTGTAAATATCTTTAAGAATCAATTATTTGTTTCTATTTTATATCTATTTTCTATTTTATTGATTTCTGGTCCTATTTTTTACTATTTCCTTGATTCTACTTCTTCAGTTTTGATTTGCTCTTTCTTTTCTAGTGTTTTGAGGTGGAAGATTTGGTCACTAATTTTTAATGTTTCTTCTTTTCTGATATACTTATTTAAGGTTAGCCTCTCTCTAATCAGCATATTATGAGCTGCACCCTACAAGTTTTAGTATGCAATACCTTCATTAGCATTCAGTGTGAAATATTTTATAATTTCTACTTTGCCTTACATCTGTGGATTTAGTTATAAATGTATTGTTTAATTCTAAACACTTAGTAGTTTTTATTATTTATTTCTAGTTTAATCCCACTATGGTAAGGAAATTATTTTAATGTTTTGAAATTTATCAAGGCTTATTTTACATGGTATTCTTTGTTAAATGTTTCATTGTGCTTTTTTAAAAAAATGTGACTTTTATTATTAATCAGTGGAATGACCCCTGTATCATTACGAAATTTCTAGCAATATATTTTGCTTTTTATTTTTTTAAAGTATTTCTGTGCCAACTTTTTAAAGTAGAACATTTTTGACATTTATTGTTTTATATTCTTTTAATTTCAACTTTTTTATCTTTATATAAATCTTGTACCTCTTATAAGCAGCATATACCTTTATTTGTTATTTGTTTATTTGTTGTTGCTAACTTGTCTAAGAATCTTAGTACTTTACTTGGAGTATTTAGTCAGTTTGCATTTAGTTACTTACATGTTTAGGTTAGTATCTACAATCTTATCCTTCGTTTTCTCTATGTATCAGGGACAAGTCAGAAACCACATAAATAATTTTAACAAGAAGAATTTAATATAAAAATTATTAACTAGTAAAAGATAGCTGGGGAAGGCTTATAGACACCCCCCACAAAAATATTCATATCTGGAACCTGTTAATGTGTTACTCTCTATGACAATAAGGATGTTGCAGAGATGATTAAGTTAAAGATCTTGAGAAAATTATCTTGATTATCTAGATGGGCTCAGTATAATCACAAGAGTCATTATAAGGAGAAGATGGAGGCAGGAGAGTCAGTGTCAGAGAAGGAGATGCAATAAAAAAATCAGGGTCATAGTCAGACATTTGAAGATGCTATGGTTCTGGCTTTGAAGATGGAAGATGAGGTCATGAGCCATGGAGTGCAGGCAACCTTTAAAAGCTGGAAAAGGCAAAGGAATGCTCTCCTCTTGATTCTCCAAATGGAATGTAGGCCTGCTAACACATTGATTTTAGCCCAGTGAAATGCATTTTGGATTTCTGTCCTACAGAACTATAAAGTAGTAGATTTGTGTTACTTTTAAGCCACTAAATTTGTGGTAGTTTCTTACAGCAACAACAAGAAACAAATTTATTAGCTAACCTAACCACTAATGACGCAAGAGACAATTCTAAGGACTTTCAAAACAGCAAAGTAGGAGCAGCTGCTACCTCTAGGGATGAGGGTGAGTACCCAGAAAAATATATCTTTCCTGTAGCTATTTTTAAATTTTCTCTACATCTTTGGGTTTTGGCTATCTTACTCTGATGTGGTTTATTTTTATATATTTTGTTTTATAGATTTCATCTTGGGTTTGCTGAGCTTATTGAATCTATGATTTATGTCTTTCCTCATATTTGAAAAATGTTTGGTCTTTATCTCCTAATGTATTACTTCTTCCAATTTTCTCTTTCTTAAACCATATTTATATCATGTTAGATCTTTCAACTGCATTGTATTTATGTCTGACACTCTTTTAGTTTTATTTTTATTTTCTTTTTCTTTGGTTTAGGTTGTATATTTTCAATTGCACCTGTCTTCCAGTTTCCTACTCCTAACTTTACTTGTCTCCAATCTATTGAATGCTTTTTTCAGCGAGTAACTTTTTAGTTTTAGAATATTCATTTGATTCCTAGAAAAGTAAATTCCAGTTGACTCTTAAAATTCTCCTTCTTTGCATCCACTTGGTCCAATGTTTGCTCTATTCTATTGAACATATTAATCATAGTTATTTTAAAGTCCTTACCTGTTAACTGCAATAATACTGTGGCTCTAATTTCATTTCCTATTTTTTTCTCTTGATTATGGGTCATATGGACATGACTCTTTCACATCCCTGGTGACTTTGGATTGAATGAATGTTGGACATTGTATATTAAAAACAGGAGATGTATTCATCTGTTCTCACACTGCTAATAAAGACATACCCCGGACTGGATAATTTATAAAGGAAAGAGGTTTAAATAGCTTACAGTTTCCCATGGCTGGGGAGGCCTCACAATCATGGCAGAAGGCAAATGAGGAGTAAAGTCACGTCTTACATGGTGGCAGGAAAAGAGAGAGCTTGTGTAAGGGAATTCCCCTTTATAAAACCATTAGATCTGTGAGACTTACTATCACAAGAACAGCATGGGAAAGACCTGCCCCCATAATTCAATTACCTCCCACCAGGTCCCTTTCATGACACATGGGAATTATGACAGCTACAATTCAAGATTAGATTTGGGTGGGGACACACAGCCAAACAATATCAGGAGAGAATCGAAATGATGTTGTCTTCCAACAGCAATGGTTCACCCTTTTTTCTGCTAGGTTGATGTGGTTGGAAGTTTGTTTGAAGATTAATTTAATTAAGTCTACCATTTTCCCCCTTTCTCTTGTGTCTCCAGTATTGCCACTACAAACCTGTGTAACCACTAGAGTATGTGCTGGTTTCTCTGTGCCCTAGCATTAGATCTCTGTGGCCAAGCCTTGTTCTCAGTCTCTATCTGCACCCATTAGGAAATTTCTTGAGGAAAGAAGCAGTTGGAGATCATCAAAACAAATTCATTACTCCTTTCAAACCTTTTAGTTTTGACTCCTGTGTCTCAGATCTCCTAATTAAAATTGTTACTTTTAGGGGATAGGTAGGAATAAGGTAGAGAGGATGGAAATGGGAGCAATTCTTCTCAATGTAGTTTTCAGTTTTGGATAATGTTAATGCTTTATATATTCAAAATACATTTAAAATTAAAAGGAATCAAAATGAAAACTCTAAAATTGAATACAGGCATATGTATGAACTCAACAATATATCAACTTGATAATATAATCATAGAGAACAGAATAAGTTCAACTAATTACGGGCAAAATAATCTGATTGCATATCCTTAGTATGTTAGTATGTTTAATGTTTAATAACATTAAACCTTATTCGGTGCATTTATTGTTAGTGCATATATTGCACTAAATATTAAACCTTATTGAGTATATATATTGTACAGTTGAAACTAGTTCATTATATTGTAACATAAAGTAAATAAATCGATATTATAATAAAAGATTTTTAATTAAAAGGGGTACAAATATGTATGTAACTAACAATATGAGCTCGCTTTCTCTCTCACATGCATATACACATGTGCACACACATGCACACACACACACACACTCATACACACCTCAGCTTTTTCCACTAAAGTGGCCTGAAAGCAATGATCCTCCAGTGGCAATGAGCATACATAGTGCTCAAATTCTGTTTTCTAAATAATAATTTTCAACCAAAAGGAATTAGGGCCCCTTGGAGAAAACTAATTCCAAATCTAAGGCAGGAAAGTACAGAGTGAGCTTGGGACATGTTGTTGCATGTATTAGCAAAGGAATGTCCAAAGACAAATGAGATTATTTTAAAGCCATGGAACCAGCTTGAAGCAGTTCCACTGTTTAGATCTGGGAACGATTGAGCATTCAGGACAATAATTGGTTGAATTAAACAAATCCATGAGTCAGCTGTAATACTCTAAATGATTAAATAAAAGGAGAAAGATGGCTACAGGGATATTGACTAAGAAAAGCTCATTTTTATAGAAAGAATGATAGAATCAGAAAATATTCATTTTGTCATTCCTCCAAACTCAGGAGAAACTCAAAAATGCATACAAAAACCATTGCATGAAAAGTGACTGGATTTGTACATAGCGTCAGGAGATGTGCGTAGTGTCAAAGTATCTCATCACACATTACTTGATAATTACAAATGAGAAAAATGAACCTTCACAGTGGCAAGACTTGACTTCTACCTCTTTCAAAAAGTGAGTGAATTTACTATCACTAATAATTAGATTATATTATGTTATGTCCCCTGATATGATACAATATGGTGTACACACTCCATTACCTATAAAATATTTTTTCTCTAAATATTAACTTCAATTTACACACTTCTAAGCCAAACTTCCAGTCTAGAGAAAATACAAGAGCTAGAGAAAATAGTTAAATGATAACATGAGAAAATAATCACAGTGATCTAGATTCTTCCAAAAGTAAAAGTAGTTTTAAAAAGCAGGAGAAAGTTCAAATTTTAGGGACTAAAGAAACCTAACAAAGCAGTTTATTATAAACCTCGATTATAATAGTTTACTATATTGTTAGCTATTAATAGTTCATTATTTTTACTTTAAAGTGCAGGGAAAGATCTCCGTTGTTCCTCTCCAAAGTCCAATCTCTCCAACTCCAGAGAATGTTTTGTAAATAATTTATGTAATTTTTATAAAAATTATAATCAGTAAAAGTATGAGTAGCTATGTGTTATTTTAAAATACATTTGTAATAAAAACATATAAACATGTCTATAGAGCTTATTTATTCAAATTAGCAGACTACTGTATTCCATTATATAACAATACCACAATTATCTACTCCTCTCCTGATAGAGATTTGTATTAGTTTTCAACATTTTAAACTTAAAAATTAATTCTATATCTAACAATCTTTTCTTTTGTACATCCATATACTTTCTAAAGTGTGATGGTAATTTTCACATTATCCGACAGTATACGAGTGTTTTCATTTCTGGTCTGTACAACTTTGGTACTGACAAATTTTCGAGTTTTGCTAATCTGAGGTAAATAGATAAAAATAGTTTCTCATTATTGTTACAGGATGCAATTGTCCAATTATTGGTGAAATTGTCATTTCATGCTATTGGCTATTTGAAATTCCTCCTCTAATGTAAGTGTCCTTTTCTCGTTTTTCTATTATATTGTTTGTGGTTTTCATATTGATTTAAAGTTATTTGTGTTTTTTATTTATGTTGCAATCTTCTCCTAGTTGGTGAATTGCTTTTAAATCTAGGGTGCCTTAGCTTGTTATATTATTTTCCATATTTTTAAACTAAAAATAATGAGAAATGGTAATATCTGAAATTTTATATGTAGCCTCCTAATTAATTTTTACCAAGTTTATGGTACAGTCATCAATAGCAAGGTAAGTCTAGGAGACTAAATTCCCATATCACATTGGACAGTTTCCTGAAGACTGGCTCTCTCTTGGTAAAGGTGTATCCTTTGATAGGGTAAATATGATTAACTTCCAAGGAAATGAAAAATTTACAACCTTTAAATGTCCAAGACCCAGGGAGGGACCTCTGCTCTCAATAGATCTAGAGGAATCCTCCCTAATGATGATGGCCACACCCCAGTTTTGAAACACCAAGCCATGAAAATAGAGGGACACTTACAGTTCTATTTATTGAGTGCATTTTTGAGACTTTCAAAGCTCACTGAGCATGCTCTAATTTAGGTATAACAGATTCAAAATGTATCACTTGTGCATTACCTTCCCCACATTCCAGTTCCTTTTCCTGAAGCCTTTCTGGCCTTCTAACTCTGGCTGAAGACCACCTAAAGAAGGAGAAGGATGTGACTTAGGGGTAGTTTCTTCTAGAAAGATAAAGGAGGAGAACATCTAGTGTTGACTTGGAAGTGGGAATATTCAAGGAGAGAGAGAGAGAGAAAGAGAGAATTCCAACTTCTAACCTCCTTCGTTTGAAACTCATAGGAGGTGAGTGGGGAGAGTTAAAATATCCTCATAAGTTTGAGGACTATTCCTAGGGAGCCAGTGACACCATTTCCCACTTCCGAGTAGCTTGGTGTTTGGTTTGAGATTCTTCAGAGAGACTTTACTCTCACTTGTCACCACTCAGGAGCAGCTTATAGGACATCCTAAGCAGCCCCTTTGTCCTTGTGGGGGAATGAGGATGTGGTGAGAAATTGGGAAACCTGGGATCTGGTGGGAAAATGGTGGAGTGAATGCACCTTGCTGTGGGAGGCAATGCTGCAAAAGCCAGAGAGCTCAGCGTGCCATCTTTCTGGATGCAGTAATGTCCTAAAGGGCAGAATAAAGACCACAGGTCTTTCTTGGCTGCCGTAACTTCCCTTGCACCCAGATCCCAACATACAGAGAGTGACAGGGAAGAGGGGAGGAAGTAAAAAGATGATTTAAACTTTCCTCTTAGAGGGATTTGAACTGGGAATTGAATGAATATTTACCTGAAAGGACCCTTTTAACTTGGAAGACGCTGGATTACTTTTAATTGGCAATTTTTAGAAATCCCTCTCCCCATCCTATCCTCCTCTGATGCTGTCATGGGCATGGAAGCGCCAGAGCAAGGTGAGATATAGAAAATAAAGATACAGTTTTACACAAGGATTTGTGATCTTTAGGATTTTATTCCAGTTAGATGATAATTCATTCCTACAAAGACACTATCTTCTATATTTCTGAGGGGAAAAATCATAAAGACTCATTATTCTCATATTGTTAACTCTGTTCTGGGCACCAAGTTGAGGCTGCTTCACACTGGCAATGTTCTTAGTATTTTCTTTAAAAACCATGCCATGGGCACTGTAAATGTAATCTGGTACATTCCTTCCCTTATATGATATTTGGTCAATAATTTGGTGGACAACATTTTACATATTCTTAAAGGCTATTTTGTCTGTGATGTTCAAATACATAAATATCAGATAACCTGTCTGAATTTTAATTTTTAGTTTTCTTTACTACTAAAGTAATTCCTAAATCTAATATTACAGATGATTATGTTATCTACATATTATCTGTAATATTCTTGTGAATAGTAAGAAGTCTTATTTTTAAAAATTATTGTCAGAAGTTCAATTCAAATCATTTGTTTTGTGAATGATGCATTCAAAACAACCTTCAAAGCTTTATGGAGTTACACAAGGGAATGCAGTGTTCCAGTTCTGAGGTTTTATAATTACTGAGGAAAAAGGTGGACACATGTCCCTACCCTCACCCCATGTCTCCTTCTTAATGTCCATTCAGATGCCTTGTGACGACAGTGGTTGTACTAGAGTCACCTTTATTCAGTCAAATATTGACATGCAATATTGACACAACTGTATTAACATTTCCATTCCCAGATGACTCATTTACTGGGAGCAAGTTCACATGCCAATCCATAGTAGACATTTAATAAGTATTTGTTGGATGAATAAATGAACATATTGGCCGATTTGCATGAGACCTTAAAAAAAATGAGGTGTGGAATATTCTTGTGGTAAAACAAATAATTGTGATAAGTTCCTTCTTTTTTCTTCTTGATATTTATGGCATCAACTTTTTACTTATATCTGGTATTTGATATAACATATGTATTAATGGAAGTTGCAGTAGAGAAGAAAAATGAGGAGATATTTATTTTTATTTTTAGAAAATGGGAATAAATCACGGAAAAGTTTATGATTTATTGAGTTATTTTATGAAGTTCTGATCTGAGATATCACATTTCTGCAGTTCAGAATAAATCACTGAAATTGACATCGGCCAGTCTGAATTTCAAGAAATTACCTGCTGAAGACAAGAGGGATCTCTTCTTCAGATTTGCAGTCTGGGGAAGACACAGCCTCTACTGTACTTTAGAACCTGAGATATGGTGGTGGAGGGAGCCCTGGGTCGAGTGGTAAGATTCACCCTTAGGTTAGTATTGACGTAAGGTGACGAGGAGCTGTAGACAAAAGATTGTAACCATAAGAACTTCATAGTTTTTGTATTTTCACCGAGCTTATATTTGGTGTGTTTTTTGTCTTTTCTTTATGATTATCAATAAAATGCTTGAAAGGAGATGAGGTTGGGGAATAATTTTTGGGAATACCACAAAAGACACTTTTGTGATGGAAATCCTTAAAAAGACACAATCCATTACCTCATTGGGTTCAAAAGGCAATTGTGAACTACTGTGGAGTTTGGAAAGAAGCAATGAGGTAATCAAGGATACTGTTGACAATCTAGCTTATCCTATGGATGGAAGGAAATTGAAACTAATGGAGGCGAGGCTGGTAAAACAATAGGGTTTGAGACAATTCTGTGGCATTAGAAATGAAAGAGGAAGGTGAATCCGGGAGACGGAGCTTGCAGTGAGCTGAGATCGCGCCACTGCACTCCAGCCTGGGCGACAGAGCGAGACTCCATCTCAAAAAAAAAAAAAAAGAAAGAAAGAAAAGAAAGAGGAAGTAATAATCTGTGAAATTTTTCCTTAGGAACTTATTGGCAATTTAAAAATGAATTTGTTAAGCCATGCTGGTTCTGACCCAAAAGCCATTCCCCAGCCTTCCTCACTCCCCTCTTTCACTACTGGCAGAGATTGTCTCTCATTTTACAAGCTGAAAATGCCAGATGCTTGCTTTTACAGTCTTCCTTACACCCAGAGCATGTGCATATGTTTAAACGGTCAAGAAGAAGTCATAACATGGGTGTCTGGGAGAGCTTTTATCCCACAAAAACAACACTTCACTCAAAAAACAAACCAAACAAAGAAAAATTCTCCTTCCTGCCATTGGATGTGAGGCTCAGACCTCTAGTAACCATTTTGTGACCACAAAGCAACAAGCCTGAGGAAAAGTCCTACACGCTGAGCAACAGGCAGAAATATTGCCATCGCTGAGTTGCAGAAACAAATCTAGAGATGTTTTGCTTCTGTAATTATTTTTTATGGGAGATTACAAGTGGGTTTACTGTTCACTTTTCAAATCTTATTTCTCTATGATGTTTAGCTTGGGTAAATTTTACCTTAAATCCACTTTTTTATGTAAGGTAACATATTTGTCGGTTTCAAGGATTAAGATGTGGGCATACTTGGAGGCCATTATTTTGCCCACCACAGGTGAAAAAGGAAGTGTTATTCTTAAATCATTTGGAAGGATCTCTGTGTAAATGCAAGAGCGAGACAAGAAAATGCTGTCATTCTTTTGATATGGACTCGAATTTCCACTTCATGGTTGTCTGCTTCCTTTTTAGAGTATTATTTATCCTCCTAATAAAAAGAAAGTGAAATTTCCCATTTCTTTACATTTGTTGGCTTTTGGTTAGTCATTTTGAAGAAGACCTTTGGAGAGGACCTAATATTGTAAAAGTGATAGATTTAGATTGTTCTAATAACAGAGTTAGTAGGCTTGAATACAATCCTTTTTGTATTTAGAAGACACAGAACTCTGTTGCATGAGGTTTATATCCTTTTTGAAGCAGGAGAATTTGGTTACATAGCAATAGAAAAATTTAGTAGGACAATTTATTTTCAAATTAGGGCAAGAGAAATGCTTTTTTCTCTGTTAAGTAGTTAACAAAATGATTAATTTTATTAACTCACTAGAGCATAAGATAAATTTTGAGAAAGTCTCCAGATTTTGTGTAGTTATTGCCTAAAACACTTTACATGGCTTTGGAACCTTGTGCTATATGGATTACTTAGCTATGGCTTTGATAGCTTTTTGGCTAGGAGAGACTTCAATAATTAAACTGATAATTGCTTTAATCTGGGCTTTGTTTTTATATCTACTTCTGGCTTCCACTTAATGGAGGTAGAGATACTAGCTAGCAGTCAAACTACTTATGCTATAGATATTGTGTTAGGAAAAACAACTTTTTATTTCTTTTTAAGAAATGTTTTAAAAATCAATGTTTCTCTGGAAATTTACAGTCTCCTTGGAGAGGAATGTCTATAACATTAAATTTATTGTTGATTTTAACCTCATGCAATCCATGTACATGGCTCTTGCTCATCCTCCATTACTTTATTTTGTTATTATTATTGTTTTTACACAGAGCCCACTTATGTGTGCATGAAGAACAAGACTATTTTAAGCAACTGAACAAGGTATCACTGCAACCTGGGAAACAACTTTGATCCTTCAATTTCTCCACAATTAATTCTGTGGCAGGTAGCTTAGGAATCCCAAGCAGGCATAGAAACCATGATGAGGTCTCCTGTGCAAACCTCTCCAGATCTGAAACAGCCCCTGCAAATGCTGATTGCTTGCAAATGCAACTGTCTAGGTTACATACAAAATGAACATAATAAGTTTTTATTTCCCATGGTGATACACCAACAGCTACATTCGGCTTCTAATAGTCTGCAATTCAGTAATAATAGCTTGGTTCAGTTTAGTTTATTGAAGACATAAAAATACTTGGCAGCCAGAGGCTGGAATGCATGGTTCAAGGGAACAAGATTCCAACAGGGACCACAGGACCTGTACGTGGAACATGGGTATACTCAGCATTTAGCAGCTATGATTTATTCATTTGGTGAAAAGCAGCATTCCATAAATATGATTTATGTAATTACTGAGGAGGGAATTCAATCTCTAATTTTATAGAAGGGTACCTCAGAATTTTGTTGCACACACCTCACCTTTTTAATAACATTTCTTTTGGCAGAAAATATTTCAATGCCTCACTTTTCTCAGGAGAAAACTCTTCATTTTCATCTTTTAGAGAGGAAAGAAAAAAAATATCAAGTTGCTTTTCTCAGTAACTGGCTTGAGAGCTTAGGCATTACACATCTCTGCTGTGAAACCGAAGGATTTCTTGAATTCAGCTCAAATATCTTAAGCAGAGCTATTTGGGTATAATTTTTTAATCAAAAATGTATCTTCTAGAGGTGAAAATTTAAAACTTTAGACTGGAAAATATTCATTTAACATAAGATGCCGTTATTAGGTGCTAGAAAGTTTAGATAATGTTGGTAATGAAATCCACCATATTTTTATTTATCTTCCACATTAATGAAACTCGCTTAATATTTGGACTAAGAAGACCTGGGCACAATTAGCACTGTATCTCAACTCAACTATGCAACACACTTGACCGTATGAGCTTCAGGAATCTGTTGGCTTCCCTAAGCTTTGGTTTATCCATTTACCAAATGAAGAGTTTGTCAGCCATCTGCCTTATCTGCTACCTCACAGATGTGTTTTAAGTATACCTGAATATCAAATAGAATAATAAATGCAGAAATGGTAGGTCAACTTTACAGAATTTTGTGAGCTTTTATTATTTCATAAAAAGTAGGCCAGTGACACCATGAAGATATGTTCTTTGAGCTGTTCCTACGTTGGTAACAGTGGCATTACACAATTCCACATACTCTGCCAGCCTCTTTGTTGCTTGTGATACAAAATTGTAACTAGTGATGAACCAAGGATTAAGGTAGTCTGTTACTATAGTCATGGGAGACAATCTGGGAATGACACAAAGAATCCTGGTTCAAGATGGAGGTCTTTCAGTGTGTGATTTTGGGTAACTCACTGAATTTTTTTAAACCTCAGTTATCTCATCTGTAAAATATTTGAATAAAACCCCTTGATACTGTGCCTCCAGACTGCTCCATCAAAAGAAGCAATGGAAACTCTTTGGAAACCTAAAACCCACAAATGGAAATTGTTATCATTTATCTTATATTTGGACATGCTAACCTTTAGCATTGACAAATGCCATTATGTAAAATACAATTATTTCCTCATAAAAGCTTAATGCTGTACTGGTGAAGGAGATAATCCTTTCTGTTTGTTTTCTATGATAAACAGCTTTCAGTATAATTGCAGTAAATAAAATCTGTAATGTCTTTATAAATCTTTATTTAGTCAGAACCATGACTATTTCATATAGTGACCTTTTCTTTTGAAAATGATGAGTCTTCTTTGTCAATAAAAACTTGAGGAGTTTACAAACAGACAATGGAATCATCATTATTAAGAAAACTCAAACAAAGTGTTTTAACAATAATATAGGTGTTTAAGAAACTCCACGTATGAAAACCCATATTTGCAAAATAGATTAGTTGGGGAAAAAGGTAATGGGATAATGACTTTACATAATTATTCATTGCCTCTTAAAAGCTTTCAAATAGGTTTTAGAAACAGATATATTATCTGATGAAATATGAAATAAGTACATTGATATAATGTAGAATTAAAACAAAGGGTTACAGAAAAAACTTAGGGGCAGGAAGTGGCTTTTTGTTGGTTTTCACTTTAGTAAGATAAAAAGCTTTTATATGGTGTGAAATCATTTAAATATACATAGATATACAGAAAAATATTGAACTAATACAATAGTTAGATTTTGTCTATTTTTTTATGGTGGTAAAATATATGTAACATAAAGTTTACAATTTTAACCATTTTAAGTGTATAGTTCAGTGTCATTAAGTACATTTACACTGGTATGTAAGCATCACTATTCTCCATCTCTAGCACATTTTCATCCTCCCCAACTAAAACTCTGCACTCATTAAAGAGTTATATTTTGAATAATTTTGTCACCTTGATCTATTTACACTACCATAAAATTTATCTTTGGTATTTAAATATATTTACAGCAGTGTCTTCTATTGTAGCAATATTTTAAATAAAGAGAGGCTTTTTCCAAATATATTTAATTAATTAGGCAAATTGAATTTATATACTCATATATTAGGACCTGTTATAATAAATTTTTGTTATAAGCTAATTTGTAATTTTATTTTTGAGCATTTATTTGATACCAGAATCTTGCCATAACAATAAAATTTTTTGGTTCTGCAAAGAACCAAAATTTCTGCAAAGAAATTTTCTCCTAAAAACTTAACAATCCTTGGCTACATTCCATTATTTCAATGATTTTCTCTATATTATATGAAGTAATGTGGAAGAAATTCTACCCCAGGTGCATTGTGTCCACGTTTTTTGATATCTATAAAATTTGAAAATTAATTTGAACTTTATAATATTGATATTTTTGTTCTGTCTCCTACATTGTTTAGGGGATTATACATTGGTACAGTTTCTATAGAGGGTAATTAATCAGATCTCTCAAAAGTTTAAAAAGTACATTCTTTGACTTGGCAACTACATCTGTAAGAATTTATCCTATGTTTATACCCAGATGAATTCACCAAGGGATATATAGCTATGAACAACTCTTGAAACACATTATTCAGAAGGCATACAACCCAATAAATATGGGGAAAATGTATAAAAAGACTCTTCCAAAAGTATACAAATGGCCAAAAGCCCATGAAAAGATGTTATCAGGGAAATGCAAATTAAAACCACAATGAGATACACTACACACTCACCAAGAACGGCTAATTATAAAAAGGACAATTCTAAATGTCCATGAGGATGTAGAGCAACTGGAGCTCATATATTGATGGTGGGATTACGAAATGTTACAGTTACTTTGGAAAACAGTTTGGCAATGTGTTATAAAGTTCAATAAATACATATCAAATAAAACATATGTTCATGCAAAGACTTGTTTACAAATGTTCACAGCAATTTTGTTCAAAATTGCTTCTAAATAGGAAAACCCAAAATGTCCATCAACTGGAGAATATATAAATAGTGGTATATCCATATATTGAAATTCTACTCAGCAATGAAAAGGAGTGAGCAATGGATACATGCAATAACAAGGGTGAATCTCAAACACATTATGTTTTAAGAGCACATAGTGTATGATTCCCTTTATATAAAATTCTAGAAGAGGAAAAATCCAGGTATTTTGACAGAAAACAGTTAAGTGGTTAAGTAGGTTAACCACAAATAGTTACCAGGAAACTTTTTAAGGTGATGAAAATTTTTGGACCAGGCACAGTGGCTTACACCTATAATCCCAGCACTTTGGGAGGCCAAGGTGAAAGGATTGTTTGAGCCCAGGAATTCAAGTCCAGGCTAGGCAACATAGAAAGTCCCTGTCTCTATACAAAAAATAAAAAGTTTAGCCAGGCATGGTGGTGCACACCTGTGGTCTCAGCTACTTGGGAGGCTGAGGTGGGAGGATCACTTGGGCCCAGGAGGTCAAGGATGCAGTCAGCTGTGATTGTGCCACTGCACTCCAGCCTAGGCAACAGGGTGAGACCCTGTCTCAAAAATAAATGAAAAGGGCTGGGCATGGTGGCTCATGCCTGTCATCCCAGCACTTTGGGAGGCCGAGGCGGGCGGATCACGAAGTCAGGAGATCAAGACCATCCTGGCTAACACGGTGAAACCCCATCTCTACTAAAAATACAAAAAATTAGCCGGGTATGGTGGTGGGCGCCTGTAGTCCCAGCTACTAGGGAGGCTGAGGCAGGAGATTGGCGTGAACCTGGGAGGCGGAGCTTGCAGTGAGCCTAGAGCATGCCACTGCATTCCATCCAACCTGGGCGACAGAGCAAGACTCCGTCTCAAAAATAAATACATAAATAAATAAAATTTAAAAAAGGAAAAATAAAGAAAAATTTCTATATGTTGATTGGTGTGGTGGTTACATAGGTGCACATATTCTTAAAAACTCATCAACCCGTATATCTAAAACAGCTATATTTCATAATATGTAATTATGTCTTAGTTGACAAAGTTGATTTAAAAAATGCAGCAATGGATCGTAACCCATTAAATTAAATAGAAAACCATGAACCCCCTACTAGTACAAGTGAATTCATTAACAGTTTGATGAAGAAGAGGAATCTTACATAGTTTCAAAGCACTACCCCACAAAATATGCCTATTCAGTGTAAAGTGGAAAAGGCTTACTTTTACAATGGAAAAGCTGGAGAGATACTATTTTAATCAAATGATCAAAGTGAACATCATAAGTAATAGGATATGTCAAAATCAAGTGCAACCTGATAGAATGCAAGGAGAGGAAAACATCACTTCTGTGCTATTCTTGCCATAGATGCACACTCACACACTGTATAATGATGCTTCAGTCAGTGACAGACCACATATACAATGGCAGTCCCATAAGACTATAATGGAGCCGAAAAATTCCTATAGTCTGATGACATCTCAGCCATCATAACTTTGTAGTGCAACACATTAATGACATGTTTGCAGTGATGTTCGTGTAAAAAAACCTACTGTGCTGCCAACTGTATAAAAGGCCAACACACACAACTATATACAGTACATGATACTTGATAATCATAATAAACTACTATGTTTCTGGTTTATGTATGCACCACACTTTTTATTGTTATTTTTTAGTGTACTCCTTCTACTTATAAAAAACAATCTTAAATGTAAAAGAACCTCAGGCAGGTCTTTCGGGAGGGATTCCAAAAGAAGGTATTGTTATCCTAGGAGATGACAGCTCCATGCATCTTACTACCCCTGAACACCTTCCAGTGAGACAAAGTGTGGAGGTGGAAGACAATGATGTTGATGATCCTGACCCATGCAAGCCTAGGCTAACAGGCTAATGTGTATGTTTGGTCTTAGTTTCAACAACAACAAAAAAAATTAAGTAAAAAATAAAAATTTTTTAATAATTTCAATTTTCATTATAAATTAAAGGATACACATGCAGGTTTATTACATAGGCAAATTGCATTACGCTGAAGCTTGGGGTCCCAGTGATTTCATCACCCAGAAAGTAAGCATAGTACCCAACAGGTGGTTCTTCAGCCTACACTCCTGTCCCTCCCTCCACCGTCTAGTGGTCCCCAATGTCTATTGTTGCCATCTTTACATTCATGTGTATTCAATGTTTAGCTCCTACCTATAAGTGAGAACATGCAGTGTATGGTTTGCTGTTCTTATGTTAGTTCACTTAGGATTATGGCCTCCAACTCCATCCATGTTACTGTGAAGGACATGATTTCATTCTTTTTATGGCTGTATAGTATTCCATCGTGTATACGTACCACATTTTCTTTATCCAATCTACCTTTGATGAGTACCTGAGTTGATTCCATTTCTTTGTTATAGTGAATAGTGCTGCAGTGAACATATAGGTGCATCTGTCTTTTTGATAGAATGAATTATTTTTCTTTAGGTATATACCCAAGAAGTGGGATTGCTGGGTAAACGGCAATCCCATTTCAAGTTATTTGAGAAATCAAACTGCTTTCCACAGTGGCTGAACTAGTTTGCATTTCCACCAACAGTGTATATCCATTTCCTTTACTCCTCAGCCCCACCAGCATCTGCCTTTTTTTTGTTTGTTTCTTTTTGTTTTTTGTTTTTTGACTTTTTAATTATTGCCATTCTTACCGATGTGAGATGATATCTCGTTGTGGTTTTGATTTGTATTTCCCTAATGATTAGTGATGTTGACCATTTTTTAATGTTTGTTGGACAGTTGTATGTCTTATTTTGAGAAGTGTCTGTTCATGCCCTTTGCCCATTTTCTAATAGAATTTTTTTCTTTTTTGCTTGTTGATTTGCTTCAGTTCCCTTTCTATTCTGGATATTGGAGATTTGTCAGATGCGTAGTTTGCAAATATTTTCTCCCATTCTATAGGCTCTCTGTTTACTCCATTGGTAATTTCTTTTGCTGTGCAGAAGATCTTTAGTTTACTTAAGTCCTACTTATCAATTTTTATTTTGTTGAAATTGCCTTTGGGACTTAACAATAAATTATTTGCCAAAGCCTATGGTGAGAATGGTATTTCCCAGATTTTTTTTTAGGATTTTAATAGTTTGAGGTATCCCATTTAAACCTTTAATCCATCTTGAGTTAATTTTTGCATTTAGTGAGATGTAAGGGTCCAGTTTTATGCTTCTGCATATGGCTAGCCAGTTATGCCAGCATCGTTTGTTGACTAGGGAGTCCTTTTCCTATAGCTTATGTTTGTTAATTTTGTTGAAGATGGTTGTAGGTGTGCCAGTTTACTCCTGGGTTCTCTATTCTGTTCCACTGCTCTCTGTGTCTATTTTTGTACTGGTATCATGTTGTTTTGATTCCTGTAGCCTTAAAGTATAGTTTGAAGTCAAGCGATATGATGCCTCTGACTTTGTTCTTTTTGCTTAGGATTGCTTTGGCCATTCAGGCTCTTTCTTGGTTCCAAATGAATTTTAGAATAGAGTTTTCTAATTCTGCGAAAAATGACGTTGGTATTTTGATAAGGATAGCATTGAATCTGTAATTGCTTTGGGTAGTATGGCCATTTTAACTATATTGATTTCTCCAATCCATGAGCATGCGATATTTTCAATTTTTTTGTGTCATCTTTGATTTCTTTCTTTCAGCAGTGTTTTTAGGTGGTGTTGTTGTTGTTGTTGTTGAGATCTTTCACCTCCTTGGTTAAATGAATTCCTATACTTTTCATTTTCATTGTGGCTAGCATAAATGGAATTGTGTTCTTGATTTGGTTCTCAGCTAGAATGTCACTGGTATATAAAAATGCTGCTGATTTTTGTACATTGATTTTGTATCCTGAAACTTTACCGAATTCATTTATCAGTTCCAGGAGCCTTTTGGCAGAGTCTTTAGGCTGTCCTAAGTATGGGATAATATCATCAGTGAAGAGTCATAATTTGACTTCTTCTTTTTCTATTTGGATGCCTTTTTTTTTTCTTTCTCTTGCCTTATTGCTCTGGCTAGGGCTTTTGGTACTAT